>NC_000014.9:89611713-90861713 GCF_000001405.40 Homo sapiens
GAGAACGGCGTGAACCTGGGAGGCGGAGCTTGCAGTGAGCCGAGATCGTGCCACTGCACTCCAGCCTGGGCGACAGAGTGAGACTCCGTCTCAAAAAAAAAAAAAAAAAAAAAAAATCACTGACAAGGGACCTAAAAAGCCCCTTCCATCACTAATGGTCAGATGTGAGAACACAGAATGTGAAGAAGCAAAATCCTATTTCCGGTGGGAATTACAGCAAATATTCCCCAACCCATCCTGCTTTTTCTTCCCCCCGAAGGGAACTCCATTTTCTGTGTGGAAGGGGAAGTCTTCAACCCTGGGATAGAAACAGTCAGAGGAGCAGTTGTGAGGTGGTCAGTCTCGGAGGAAAGCCTGGGATTTGGAGTCAGGGGACTTGACAGTGAGAACTATTAATAGTCGGGTACCAAAGAATGGGTGACTCTGGGAACACAGTTGCCTTGGTTTCTTCATCTGTAGAATGGGACATTAATGCATATTATCATTAGGTATTAGTAGCAGTATTATTAAGCTAATATGAGAACCAATTAAAATAATGCAGAGAGCAGCATCTGACAAAGGAAGGCCCCTCGCTAGTGTGATGTGATTTTTCTGTATCACCCAATACTGCCACACTTCCCCAGAAGTGTCAAGAGGCCATTCTAAATGCTGAATCTAGTCACAAGAAAAAACATGATGGTCTTAATTTAGAGATATTTATTAAGTAGTCCTTATAGAGTCACTGTTTTATTTTAAAAGCTGCAAAAGTATTCAGTTTGCTGAATTAGGAAATTTCAGAGTGCAACAAGAGCTCTTAAACTGGCTGGGTGTGGTGGCTCACACCTGTAATCCCAGCACTTTGGGAGGCTGAGGTAGGAGGATTGCTTGAGCTCAGGAGTTTGAGACCAGCCTGGGGAGCACAGGGAGACCCCATCTCTACAAAAATAAAAAATTAGCAGGGCATAGTGGTACACACCTGTGGTCCCAGCCACTCGGGAGGTTGAGGTGGAAAGACTGCTTGAGCCCAAGAGTTCGAGGCTGCATTGAGCCCAAGAGTTCGAGGCTGCAGTGAGCCCTGACTGTGCCACTGCACTCCAGCCTGGGTGACAGAGTGACAGAGTGAGACCCTGCTTAAAAAAAAAAAAGTCCGGACACGGTGGCTCACGCTTGTGCTCCCAGCACTTTGGGAGGCCGAGGTGGGCAGATCATGAGGTCAGCAGTTTCAGACGAGCCTGGCCAGCATGGTGAAACCCCATCTCTACTAAAAATACAAAATTAGCCAGGCGTGGTGGCACGCACCTGTAATCCCAGCTACTCAGGAGGCTGAGGCAGGAGAATTGCTTGAACCCAGGAGGCGGAGGTTGCAGTCAGCCGAGATCGCGCCATTGCAGTCCTGCCTGGGCGACAGAGCAAGACTCTGTCTCAAAAAAAAAAAAAAAAAAAAAAAAACTCTTACATTATCTAAAATCTAAACTTGTATAATATACTAAAATCCCTCTCCAAGTGGGACCTGCTACTCTCTGAACCTTAAGAAAGTGGCATCTGCAAAGGCACTGCGAAGGTACTAGGCACACATTTGGAGAAGCCACCTGTTAGCAACTTCAGCAAGGTCCTGGTAACTGGCATGTATCCTTCAGTTCAAAAAGAAAGTCCCCCAAACCATGGGAGCTTAATGCTCACTCCCAAAGAAGCACTGCTCCATTATCATGAGTACACCCTGGGACGGTTCTGTTGGTTACACACTCATTCTTCTTTGAAATGCAGGTGGGAGGAGGAAGGAGATAGCTTTAAACAGCCTCAACATGAAAAGCGTCAGTCAACACAATTCAATAGTTAACCACCATCATTTCGATCATTTCATCGTTACCACAGCCAACTATTTGGTCCTTATGCTAGTTTCATCTTTGTAAAGGAAATATTTCATATGTAATTTTTTTTTCCCAGCACAAATTGTTGGAAGATCTTTGGCTTCCTGGAAAACTTATTATTTTAATTGTCATCTCTAACCCCATGCAGGTAGTAGAAACATGGCAAGCACAATGAAAGTAACAGGAGAATGTACAGAGGGGTCTGTCCTTTCTACTTCTATAGACTCCTCAACTGAACTCCCTCTGAGAAACAATGCAGGGAGGTTGGCTGTGGCCATGAGCAGCACAGTTCTACTGCGGTTTGCCTGAATGAAGAGTCTCCTGATTTCTCATCTCCATACCAGGCAGAGGTGAATCTAGTGATTGTGAAAATCAAGAGTGGAACTGAAGGGGATTCCTCTGCCTGCCACCCCTAGAAATCCTCAATACTGACAGCTTCTGGGATGTAAGGGGGAAAACTGAGCCCGATCTCAATACTGCCATTTCAGAACAATCTCATCATTGAGGAGATAATGTGAATATATTTGATGATATGCAAATATCATCTGTGTGTTATCATTTTACTCAACACTCAAAACACTACTGAGTCTGCCAAGCAGATTTATATAGCTTGGCAAATTTTCATTTCATGAATGACACTTCATATGAAATTATTTTCACTGACTAATAGAATAACAGTGATAGAACAGATCTTGAGGTGGAAATAGAATAAAGCCATGCATTTCCAGCAAAATTATAACCAACTAATCTCAAACACCTCCATATGATGTTCCTATAATTTATAAATAAAAGGGGCCCTGGTTTATAAGTAACCCCTAAAAATATGCCTTCCCTCTCATTATAGACTGGGCCAGGGCTCTTTCATGCTTGTGGTCAGTCATCTTTTTCTGTATGTACGTAGGCTTCCTAGGGTACACTGTATTACGTCACTAATTGCCACCTTTTTCCTGCTCACTATGAGCACAAGCAGCCTCTTAAATTGTCAAGGCAAAAGTTCTCTCTTTCGCTAAGAGGTTCCAGGGCTCTGCAAGCAATTCCCCAAGGTCTTCTCTAGAGAACATTTTAGAAGCAGTGATTTGCAAACTGTGTACACAGTGGTACTGGGTTCCAGAGTGTGCCCTGGGCACAGCCCAGGTGACAATAGCAGGCTCTGGGCTCCTAGTTCCCTCAGAGCAGCTCTGTTTTTATTTGACTCATATATTAGGGTCTTGCATAAGATTCTATTTGTTGCTAAGTAGAAAACAAAAATGATGTCTATGAAAATGTGTGCAAACCATTGCAAGAAATGGTTCCGTCTCCCTCAGGCACTCTTAACCTCCCTCACCAGGCTGCTCTCTGCAAATGGAGGCGGATGCATTTATTTTCCTTTAAAGAAGCTTACCCTTTTCTCCTCTTCCCGAATTTGAAACATCTAGGAATTGAAGCAATTAAATATACTCATTTTCAACATTCAGAAACTAATCCAGACTTCTGCACAGCAAATCCTTTCAAAGTTAAAATTTGTTTTTCTCATGTGTACTATAAACTGGATTTAGCCAACCCATCCCCAATTTCGATTTTTTTTTTTTTTTTTTTTTTGCTATCAGCAAGGTTGGCATATACCTAACGTGTATTCTTTATGGACCTTTTGTTATAAGCAATGAGAAGAATGAAGCTGCCTCTTTCTCTTTACCTCTCTACACTAATCCAAAATCGACACTGGCATTTGGTTGGTATTCTGGAATAATTATTAGAAATTTGGCATAGCCATCCAAAAACAGCAGCTTCAGTGAGTGTGTGAGTAACTAGCTGACAACTGAAAATGAATTGGAATTGTATTGAACATCTTGTTCATTTGTATTAGGAAAATAAGTTGCACATGGTTGTACCACGATCAATTTTCCTAATTCCAAAATCAGAAAGAAATAAACCTAAATGCCACAGGTTTGCAGAGAATGAATTGTACCACTCCAAAGCCCCTTTCGAAACGAAGTGTTCTGAGCCAACTATTTGCAAGACAATAGAGAATGAAGGTAGATTCTAGAAACCAACAAATCCCATTCATTTCCTTCAGTTTGTAAAAACAAGCAACTGACATGTTTCCTGCCAATGAACACACTTGCAGATAAGAAAGCTCCCTACAGGAAATCCTTGCTAAAAGAGACCAGTTGTCCCATTAAACTTAATCTTCTTTACCAAGTCCTAATCAGTTAAATATCTGGGTGATTTAGCATATATTTCATAATCCCATGTTGTCAAATATTTAACTTCTACAGTATATATTTCTACGACATACATGCAGAATATTAAACATTAAAATAGAGTTAGGACTCTCCTCCTCCCCACTCCCCATGCAATTAGTTGATGAAAATAAGGGAAATTTGCTGCTTTTTAAAAAGACCAAATTGTTAATTGAACAAGTTTTAAAACTGACCATTATCAATTAAGATAAAGCTATTCAATGCTTCAAATTGCCATGACTTAAAGGAAGACGTTTCTAAATGAATATCAAGAACATAAAATCTGAAGACTGCCATTAACAAGATTAGAAAAATATAAGAAATGTATTTGCTTTATATTTTACAAGGTTCGATGTTGATCCTCAAAGTCAAAATTTAGTACAGGGCCTCTGGTTATTTTTTGCTTAGCAAAATGAACGGGGTTGGGGGTGGAGGCTAGGGGGAGGGGAGGTCTCCAAACTTTTTTCTTTATAGTCCTCATGGAAATCATTACCAAGATACTGGAAATATTTGCAATTTTGATACTGGGAACGTCTCAATTATCCTAAAAACAAAAGCACTCTTCCCCATCCACAAAAGAGGAAACTTTTCTATTTAAGTCAACTGGGTAATAATAATGGGATTTTTGAAACAGTTCTTATTTTCATTTAGATTTTCCTTTCCCTGGTTAGCCTCTGAGAACACCCTCTCTTATATTTCCCAAAGTACCAGGCAATCTTCATCCCTCCCTTTCACTCCCCAACCCCACCCCCACCACCCCACACACAAACGCAGCCTTCAAAATGCCACCAGTCTGTAAGTTCCATTGCTTGAGTTCAACTTTGAACCCTCTTGTAAACACAAACACCTCATTATAACTTCCCCCGATGAATCCTCATCCACAGGTAACATTCTAACCTTTCTGGCTCTCAAAAGAGTTTTGTTCTAACTGTAGACATACAAGTCAGTTTGATCCCACAATTAAGTGTTCAAATACATTGTTCTTAGCCTTCCCTTGCACAGCTCAGAGGTAGCAAAATGCAAAGTAAGCCTGGGGGCTCATCCTTAGTTTAAGGCTCTTTCCTCAAATATTTCCAACAAAAATACAGTTATGAAATCTAGGAGACCACATTTTTGGTTGTTGTTGTAAAATGACCTTGATTTGACAGGCGCGATCTCAGGTTTCAACAGATGCTGTGGGAAAGCTTACAGAAGCCAACAAGTTCTCCAGGCATCTGTGATGACATGCAGGTTTTGTTTTTGTTTTTGTTTTTGTTTCTTTTTAAGTGGTGGTCATGGTAGAGTATGTATGTGTAGTGGGGGTGGGGTGGGGTTACTCCTCTCGGTTTCCATAACAACCATGTCTCCACTCATCGGTTATTAGATACAATCCACTTCCTGTGTCTAAATTTTTAAGCCAATCAGAAAAGTGTTTATACATTTAACAACTTCTGGGACAGTGCTTCTTTAATGAAATCGCTTTAAAGGCTCAAATGAAGATGTTCATGGGCTTTACAGTTTGTCTTACAGATATAACATTTCACAGTGTTTACTAATTCATATTCTTATATGGTGCAGAATGCCCTTCCTCTTGGATGTGAAATGCATTCGCCTCAAAGCAGATGCCACAATCTCTCAGAATAGTGTGCAGGCTGATTTTGATTGTTTGCTTTTCATTGTCTTTTCCTTTCACTGTCACAGTTTTAGACTTAGTGCATGAAACGTGCTAATGCACAAGGCACTTAAATTATCAAAGTAATGATACAGTTAAGCATCCATCTACTGATGGTCCTTTTTTTAAAAGACTCAGATCAAAACCCGGTTAGGAATCATTATTCTAAGTTGAACAACTTTGCATTCTACAACTTATGAGCAGAAATCATTGAGAATGTATTGTAAAGTGCTGTGTATACGTGTAAGCTAGTAGCTGACGTCTGCAAAGAAATTTGTCACCAAAATGGCCTACTTTATGTGGATAGAAACAACAACAAAAAATTAAACATAAAGGTATCTCGAGCAAACTGCACCCAAATGAAAAACCGACCCTGCAGAAATCTGTGCACAAGAGGGCTATCTGAAACTACAGCACGATTTTAAAAGAAGGTTTTGGGTGACTGTTTTCATAAGTCTCAATCTAACTGACCAATCAGTGTGAGAGTTAAAGTGGGCTCCAGTCATTCGTGCAGCCTTCAGAGCTCTGCACCCTCCGAGCTGCTCTCCTCTCCAAGGCAGAGTCGGCGATCAATGAAAAACAGGGAACAAAAGGAATATAACAGGATGTCTTCCTTAGCTAAGGAAAACGATTCCCTTTTTCCTCAATGAGCCAGTCGCACCCTGCCTACGACAGCTCCACACGGGAGCTTCCAGCAGACCAGTCCTTTCGGGTGAGGCACATTTTACATTTGCAATCATGTGTCCCAACTGCTAGCAAATGTGTCACCTTAAGCACAGCCTGTGACGGAGGGCTCCCCGAGCCCAACCAATTGAAACTAATAAATTAAATAAATTAATAATCCCACAATTAAAACCTCCGGAGAAAGATTGCATTTCCCTTCCCCAAATGTCATCCCGGGAGTATAAACAAAGCATGAAAAATAGTCTCTTCAGCCTTCCCAGCCGGCAATCATGGTTTTCCCCTCAAAACAATGTTTCTCCAAAAAGAGAAATCTTCTTATTACCCTCAGTGGAAACTCATCTGTAGATGTCATATCAGGATAACCCGTTACAGTATTTGAAAAGAGGCTGAAACTGCCCATAGATTTGACACTGTTTATAATTGATAGCCAAACAGTTGCGACAGCAATGCTGTAAACTCTGCCCAGCCAAACAAACTCCACATTTAACACGTTCCTTCCTTGAAAATAAAAGTAACGCCCGGGGAGCCCACAGAAGTGTGCTTCCCTAAAAGTAATTAACAGAATTGCATCAATTATTTGATTATTTTTATAAATATCCATTTGTCTGCAATTTTTTAAAAAAAATTTTAAAAAGCGACTATCCACACATTCCTAAGAAACTTTTTTTTTTTTTAATGAACTTACTTTTGAGACAAAACTAATGAAAATAAGCAACTTGCCATGGCTGGATCTTTCCCATTTGGGCTGCAAGCTATAAATCAATCTGAAACCAGGTGGAAATAGGGGGGCGGACACCTTTAAAAAAAATCAAAGAGTGCCCCAAAATGCAGCAGCCTGAACACGGAGGGCTTCTCGTGACAATGCTAAACCCGAGCAGATTAGGAGGCAGGAAATGAGCCCCATTTTCGTTACCTTCGATCGCCTGCCCCCCCGCTGCTTCTCGCGGCCGCATTGGGGGGCTGCGGCGACGCTGGACTCGCGGGTGGCCCCGCCGCCGGGTCGCGCCGTCTCCCGGCCGAGCTGCAGCAGATCGCGGCCGGAACCCCGGCTCCTGCGCCCGGCGCCCGCCCGGGGTCGGCGGCGCGGCTCCCACCCCGGCCTGGAGCCCTGCTGGGTCCTAGTGCGCGCCGCGCGCCCGCCTCGCGGCCCGGTCTGCAGCCCGCACCGAGGGCAGGCAGCTCCCAGCGCCGCGAGTCTCCGGGCGAGGCCGCCACCCTCTCGGTCCCTTGCGAAAGCGGCCGCGGGGTGTGCGGATGAACTGGAGCTTAATGTCAAATCCTGGCACAAGATGTTCAAAAGAAAGACATTGGCTCCAACTGAACTCTTAGAAGGCAGATGCTAGGATCTGCAGCCCGAGGGTAAGCGTAGGGGCAGTACCTGGCAGACAGAGGTTTGCCGGGTGCACTGGTGACATTGGCCGTTCACAGACGGTGAGACGCGGTACGGGATCGATAAAGATAGATTTCAAAAATATAACGCTAAAAAGAAAAAAGGTTGAAAATGTGTGTGTTTAAAACAATGTTTTAAACTGTTTTTCCCAATATTTTCCCCCTGTTGACAACAGGCCCTTTTGCATTTCGCCTTCTTTTACTTTATAATATGCTCTTTTAAATAACAAAGCCCCATATGGCTAAACATGTAGTCATTTGATTTTCAAAAGACCTCAAAAATTGCATGAAAATATGCACTCATGTATCTCCTAAGAAATCAACGAGAAAGAATTAATGGAGGCATATGGCGTGCCTCATAGAGAGAACTTAATTACAAATTAAAACAAATGCGAAAATTCACAAATTCAGTAAACTGAAAGTAAATTATGATCCTAGATGTATACACAAATCAGCTCATGTACAATTAGAAAGACTGTAAATTCCAGGTTTCTCTTTCACAAAGGGAAAAGGGTGTTTGTTACATGAACTCATATCAGATTCCCCTCGTTTGCCCCCAAAAGGGCTTTCAGCAACCTCTTGGCACATTCATTTACTGCAGCCCACCTGGAAAGCAACTTTTAATCTTGCAAGTGCTCATTTAAGAGGACAATTCTATTAGCCCTTAATTCAAAATAAAAGTGCTTTAGTTAGAAAAGCCTGTTTGAAAGGCTTCAAGACTGGGAGCTTTTTTTCAGTCTTTGATATCACCAAGTTTGAAGGTCGCAATTCTGTAAAACTGCTAATAACAATGGCACTGTGGTTTACACCATAAGGAAAATCAAATATGTGCTTTCTGATTTCTATTTTTGAAGCAGAAAAAAGTCCCTTTGAAAAGTATTCTTGCCCTCCCCCTTTCCAATTTTAGCTAAACAAGTGTAATGGAAGATTTTTAGTATTAATTAAACATCAAAGGCACCTTCTCTGATGCCTTATATCCACGCCAAGAACTAGTTGTCATATGTTACACTTGTCAATCTTAAATTACTTGCACATACATCTCATGCGATCTTTACCACACCTCTGTGAGAAAGCAGATACAATAATCTGCAATTTTCAGATGAGAAATTGGAGGTCCCAAAAGGTAAAGTGACTTGTTCAAAAATCACATGGCTGGTGAGCAGAGCAGCTGGAATCCCATCCTGTCTCCGCTTTCAACAAGCCCTGTTTTTTGAGTACATCACCTGGCCTCCCAACTATCTCTCTGTAAGTACTGCGGAAAATGAAGCATCCGAAACAAAAACGCAGGTAGGTTTTTTTAGTCATCATTTCTTACCTGTCTCAGAGCAGCAATTTACCAGCAAGCAAATATGAGGCTTGTTGGAAATATGTTAGTCTCTGCTAAAATGAGAAACATGGCTAGGAAGACCCACCCACACTGGTCAGATTTCTGTCCTGGAGCTGCCCAGGGCAACCTGGCCGGCAGAAGACTTCAAACTCTGAGGCTGAGCAATGCCTCATCCCCCATATGTCTTTTTGCTCTTTATCAGAAATTAAGAACTGACTCCACTTGACACATGGAGGAGTAGTGTTTTGTCAAATTGAACCTGGGTTTCTATGAGCAGTCCCGGCACCGAAAGGCCTCAAAAACTCTGTAAATTCATATACAAGGTGGCCTATTAGTGGCATCCAGGGTGTCTCTGTCCAGACCTGGTGACCCCTGGAACTTTGATAGGTCCCTTCTCAGCCCTCCTGCACCTATGGTAAAGTCACCACCCAGTTCTGTGTGTGGCGGTCCCCTTCCTCCTCCTCTCTGCCAAAAGGAAATGTAACTTCTCTGATGACGTGTCCTTAAATATCAGCCAGGTGACGGGCTGGGTGACATTTAACTGAAAAAAAAAAAAAAAACAGAAACATTTCATTCTGAAAAGTGATTCATTCCTTTTCTTGTGCTGTTCACAAGGACGGGGCTAGGCACGGTCGTATCATTGGAAAATGCGTATGACCTTCCTGGAAGGATTAATGCAAAACTTACTTGATAAATTCATTTGATCCCTTTGTTGAAAACTGGTCTAATTACTTCATAGTCACACCATCCATGTGCCTGGCAAATGTTGCAAATGCTAGGCTCAAAACAATCTTAGCCCCAGTAGCAAATGATGAGAAGCTGGGAAGAAATGCTGGTGGTGAGCTCAGTTCACCTCTAGCTCAAAGTTAGAGCACACCAGAAAGGTACTGGTCAGGAGAAACTGTCGTTCATTCATTCATTCATCCATTCGTCCAATTGTGTATGTAGCAAATGTCGAGCAAGGTACTGTTCTAGGCTCTGGGTAGAAAAAATAAAGTTTTCAAGCACTCCTATCGTATGGAGCCCACAGACAGGCAAACAATTGCAGTGCAGTGGTATCAGTGGAGCAGTAAAATCATGACACTGGGGATATGAGGGCAATCTGGCTGCGACATCTGTCATCCCATTGATCTCCAGGGTTGATTCAGCTGATCTGGCTGGCTAGGCAGGTGTCCCCTTTCTCCTTCACCGCTCCATCTGCGTCCCTCCTGAAGCTGCGCACTCCATCGAAGAGGACGACTGTCCCTGATAGAGGAGGACTGGTCTTTGGTCAAGGGTGTATGAATAGCTGCGCTCCCCTGCTAGAACCTCCAAACAAGTGCTCAGATCACTGGTGCTCTATATTCAAACACCAACTGCCCTGATAATGGGCCAGTTGTCTTCTAAGCCATTCCAGGCCTGCCCTTTGCTCTGTATTGCTAGGAGCTGTCTCTGGCAGGCTGAGTTTCACAGACGCTTGGGTCAGTTAGTTGGTGGCTAGATGTGGCCAATGAGGGTCACTGGAGGAGTGGAGGATGAAAAGAAGATAGAAGCCAGAGAACGTCATCATGTCTCTCCTGCCTCTGATGGCATCTCTAGCAGTGGCTGCATCTGGCTGAGGCTTCTCTCAGGTGACTGTAGGCCCTGGGCTCAGGTAACACTGCCACTTCCTGTTAACTGTCCAGCGTGAGGACGTTCTTGGCTCTCTGCTGGGGTTAGTTTCTGGGTGACTTCACTGAGATGCACATGAGAGTGGGGAGAAGAAAGTCCCCACTGGAGAGGACATCCTAGGCACTGGGCAAAGGTGTCGGGGGATGAAAATGCGAGGCGGGCCAGTGCACTGCCTGGGGAGCAACGAGGCTAAAGTGAAGGCTTCGGTTGAGGGGGCGTCTGCAGATCCTGCTGGAGATGCCAGCAGGATCCAGAGTCCACTGGGGTTTGAACTTGATTGTGATTTCTACTTGGGAAACCCCTTTATCTCCCATTAGCCTTTGCTTAAATGTTCCCTTCCCAATGTCTCTTACTCCTCCTCATCCTGCTTTTTCCCTTCTTCCCTTTCCCCTTTCTAATACATTACTATTTACTTATCATTTTTGTTATTCATTATCTGTTCCACCACACACACACACACACACACACACACACACACACACACACATACACACACACTGAATAAAGTTCTACAGGGCCAGGAATCTTTGCTCTATTCAATGATAATTTACAAGAACATAAAACAGTGACTGGTACATAGTAGGTGCTCAATAAATTTTTTTAATGAATGAATAAAGTTAATAAATAAAAAGTTATTTGTAGTAGTCAGAGTTCTCCAGAAAAACAGAACCAGTAGGCTGTATTTATTATAGAGAGAGAGAAAAAAAAAGGGGATTGATTATAAGGATTTGGGTCATGTGATTAAGGAGGCTGACAAGTCCCCAGATTTGCACCCAGCAAGCTGTAGGCCAAGGAGAACCAATGGTGTAGTTCCAGTCTGAAGGCCAGCAAGCTCCAAACCCAGGAAGAGCTGATATTTCAGTTGAGTTTGAAGGCAGGAAAAAAAGCAATGTCCCAGCTCGAGGCAGTCAGGCAGGAGGAGGTGGTCCCTCTTACTAGAGGGAGGGCCAGCCTTTTGTTCTAGTTGGGCCTTCAGCTGATTGAATGAGGCCCACCCACATTAGGGTGGGTGTCTGCTTTCTTCGTCTACCTATTCAAATGTTAATTTATTATTATTTTTTTTTTTTTGAGACAGCCTTGCTCTGTCACCCAGGCTGGAGTGCAGTGGCGTGATCTTGGCTCACTGCAACCTCTGCCTCCCAGGTTTAAGCGATTCTCTTGCCTCAGCCTCCCAAGTAGCTGGGATTACAGATGTGTGCCCTCATGCCCGGCTTATTTTTGTATTTTTAGTGGAGATGGGGTTACGCCATGTTGGCTAGGCTGGTCTCAAACTCCTGGCCACTTCGGCCTCCTGAAGTGCTGGGATTATAGACCTGAGCCACTGCACCTGGCCTCAAATGTTACTCTTATCTGAAAAACACCCTCACAGACACACCCAGAATAATGGTTACCCAAATATGTGGACACCCCATGGCCCAGTCAAGCTGACACATAAAATTAACCATCACATTGTAAAAGACTGTGTTTTACCAGGATAATTCTAGAAAGTGTATGGAGGATGATTTCGATCCAAAATGTTGTAGATATCAGAAGGCAGGGTGACTTATTAGGAGGTAATTATTATCCTAGTTCAGATGCAGACCTGAAGGAATTCATCGTTGGTGGCTTCAGATGACCCTTCAGTGATCCATGGGTGATGTGTGATGTTACACACACCAAAGGCAC
The DNA here is from genome assembly GCF_000001405.40 of Homo sapiens. Taxonomy (NCBI): domain Eukaryota; kingdom Metazoa; phylum Chordata; class Mammalia; order Primates; family Hominidae; genus Homo; species Homo sapiens. The sequence continues at coordinate 89,624,146 of NC_000014.9, forward strand.
CACACAGACACAACTCTCGGAGGAATCCATCAGAAGTGCAATGCCTAGAAAAGAACACAGTGGATAACTACGGGGGGGTCCTGGCTGCCCCTGCAACAGGCTGAGGACAACAGTGTCTTCTGGCCACTTTAACTACCCAGTTGCAGTAGACACAAAGCGGGGTGGCAACCTGGCTCCTTTTGGGGGGATTTCTCATTCCACGCCATGGTCCTGGTGTTGAGTGGGAACAGCAGGATTGAGCCCAGGGTGGGCACTTGACAGCATGCTGGACACTTGACCCCATGCCAGGACAATTAGGGTCCTCTGAAGTTCCCTAACTGAAGCCAGGGGAAGCGAGGATCCTTCTCTTCACTTGGATTGCCAAGCTTGGGTGCCACCAGTAGCCCCATCCTCGGTTTGCAGGCTCAGAAGATGGATAACTACGCAACTATCAGCCCAAGCACAACGTTAAAACACGATGAAAGCCCAGTATAAACTTTGGATTATCCAAACAAACTTTTTTCCCCTCTATCATCATAAACAGTTTAGAATAGGCTGTATATATCGCCACCGTTTATATACACACAGGGATGCACCGAAATCCTCACTGTACTGGGAAGATCCCCGGAACACTCTCCAGCTTTCTAGATATAGGTGGTATCAGGTTATACTGAAAGAAAGATTTTCCACTTGCTTCTTTGTATGCTTCCAATTGCAATAAAATGCCACCCGTCTTCACCCTATGAAGTCACAAGCCTTAACATTCCCCATGAAACCGATAGCCTCACCCTTTCACTAACGCAGGCTTAGGAGATGGTGAAATCACACGTGACTTGGATGTCATTACTTTTACCCACCATTTTATAAGGGATTTATTGCCTCAGCGGTGACAGCACTAAATCAGTCCTATGAATCTATGCTTGTCAAGAGGAATGGACAAAACTCACTTTGATTCCTTTGTCTCTCTGATATCTATCACATTTATTCCTTCGTTGACCAAACCCGGGCTTGCTTTGGCAATAATGGCTAATGGGCGGCATCTCATCCCCGGCTCCTACAGAGCCAGTCATGGAATGGCCCACAGCTTGTGTTTCTCAGACCCCCTTCTCAGTTCTGGCTCAGGCCCTTTAGGAATCATTTATCCTGGGGCCTGACTACCAAGCAGGGCTGCGAAGAAGGCCTTGAGAGGAAAGCGTGGGGCAGAACGCTGCCAAAAAAACAGCCCAATCTGGCTCTCAGCCAACCAGCTGGCTGCTGCGGGAAGGCCTCTCCCAGCCTCTCCAGACCCCCCTTTGTCTCCCTCGGCCTCCCTTTCTCAGCTGTCTCGCCTCAGGTAATCATCCACACTCTGCACTTCCCCAGCTCTTTTTATTCCCGCATTTCAGATCACTTTACACACGTTAATTAAGCCTTAAACCACTCAGGAAAGAAAAGCAAAAGGCGCGTGGGGATGTTTGCACTGCGCCCCTCCCAGCTGCTCTGGCCCCGGAGCAGGCCAGCCGCGAGCCGCCCCACTCCCAGCCCGGGAGGAAGGAGAGCCGCAGAGGCTGCTGGAGACCGGGAGGGCTTCTCCTGCGACACGCAGGGTAGGGGTGTCGAGGGTGGAAACTGACTCCACACATCACAGAACACCCCGTGTCATTGAGAGGCGCATGTCATTGTTACGGGACAACCTCCCACATATGGTCACCCGCTACAGTTGATCCAGATGACCTTTGGAAGGTGGGTCCTGGGCAAGACTGCTGGTGGAAAGAGGCGGTCTCTGCATCACACCTGGATTAGGTGCACTTCAGTCTGTGCCATTGTGGTCGTGATCGTGGGTTTTTGAATCAGAGATGTCTTAGTTCACATCTGGGCTCTGTTGTCTCCCAGCTCAGCTGTCTTCCACATATTGCCTGATATCCCAGGCCCCACGGTCTTATCTGCAAAGTGCATGTGATAGTATCCACTACCCTCCCCCAACCTGGATTTTTGTGGAGGATGAAATTAGATCATGCATGCAAAGTATTGGCACGCCAAGTGGTAGATGTTAGAGCTTGTTTGAGCCATCTTTATGTTTAGTCCCAGCCAGTCTGAATTAATGTAGTTCTGCTATGGCTGCTTGGACCCTCTAGCTCAAATTGGTGCTAAAGTCTCTCATTCACAAGAAATGGTGGGGAACTCCAGATGAAGTCTGTAGTTTAGTTAATCATCTGTATCAGTGGTAATTTTTTAGTTTTGGTAAATGTGTCATGGTTATTTGAGTACTAACATTACAGGAAGTTGGGTGAGTGGTGTGAACTCTTCTGTTTTTGCAACAAATGCTCATCTAATGATAACAATAATCTTATGAAAATACATCAAAATTCGTAATGGCTACACAGCGGGTGTCATACTTCACCTGATATGGTTAGGTTTTGTGTCCCCACCCAAATCTCATCTTGAATTGTAATCCCCATAATCCCCACAATCCCCACGTGTGAAGGGAGAGACCTCAAGATTCAAGGTAATTGAATCATGAGGGCAGTTTACCCCATGCTGTTCTCGTCCTAGTGAGTGAGTTCTCACAAGATTTGATGGTTTTATAAGGGGTTCTTCCGCTTTTACTCGACACTTCTCCTTCCTGCCACCTTGTAAAAAAAGGTGCCTTGCTTCCTCTTTGCCTTCTGCCATGACTGTAAGTTTCCTGTAGGCCTCCCTAACCATGCTGAACTGTGAGTCAGTCAAACCTCTTTCCTTTATAAATTACCCACTTTCAGGCAATTCTTTATAGCAGTATGAAAATGGACTAATAGATTACCTATATTTTTAGTGTACTATATTAAGATACCTCCATAGTGACCAAAAACATGCCAAGTCTTCGTTACCAAAATAAGAGGCAATTTATGTTATCTCTAGCTGTTATCACCACCAAGAAAAATCCCTTGGGTTTTCAGTGCCTACAAGGTACCGTATTGAACCTTAAAATAGCAAATGTTACTATCCGGTAAAACCACTACCTATGTGGCAGTCATTTTAAAGTAGGTTTGGATGTAAGATACTTGATAACCTTACCGTATAAGCCCCCAGTGCTTCCCTTATTTCACAGAAAATGAATGGCTTGCCAGTCAATCAGCTCCAAGCTTTCCCTTTTGGTGGGTGGTGACTAGGAAGAGCAATCTTGTCAAATAACACTGTAGATTATATCCGCTTGCCACTCTGAGTAGTTTTTGAGAGGTTCATCTTAAAATGCTGAGGATATCTTTTCTTTCCCTAACTTAATAAGGAGCAGATAATTTAAATCCTTTTATGTTCTCATTTTTTAATACCATGCAAATTGTACTCGCAGGGGGTCAGAAGGAGATCTTTCTTCCTTTCTTCCTTTCTTTCTTTCGACAGGGTCTTGCCCTGTTGCTCTGAGGCTGGAGAACAGTGGCTTGGTCATAGCTCACTGCCACCTCGAATTCCCCAGGCTCAAGCAGTTCTCCTGCCTAAGCCTCCAGAGTAGCTAGGACTGCTGGTGTGTGCTAATTTTTCTCATTTTTTGTAGACACGGGGTCTTGCTATATTGCACACACTGGTTTCCTGGACTTAAACAATCCTCCGGCCTCAGCCTCTCAAAGTGCTGGGATTACAAGCATGAACCACCACACCCAGCCCAGAAGGAGATTTTCATTGAGTGAATGGTGAGTTTTATGAAGAGCCTCGACATCCCTCCCATCAAAGCATGTGAATAGAATATGGCTACATTAAGTGGATTCTGTGAGAGTCACAGCTTTAAAAAGCAAACCGTCTGTCTTGTCAAGTTGCTCAGCTCTCCAGGTGATTGGCAATCTGTGAGGTGTGACTCCTGAATGTAGAGGAGCTACACCTGGACATTTGATTGTGCCTGTTGGCAGAGCGTTCATAATCAAAAGTTGGGTTCGCATCTGCTACCCGCAGGGCATTAATGGATCTAGGTTAGGGCATAGCCCCAGTTCTGAAGTATGAGAATGACATTTGTCACTCTTTTTAGTTGCCCAGGATGTGACCCCTTCCTGTGCCCGCGGAATCCCCAATCTCTGGAGGCAAAGCCACCCCCGCTAAAACTGGAAATGGCACAGACCACATGCCCACCCTTTCTTGCAGTTGAGAGTACAAGGGGCATAACCTAGGTTCCCCCAGCAGCTGGGGATAGGAGGGAGTGGGGTAGTGCTTCATCCAGCAGCTGTAGGAGTGGCAACAGCCTCTGTGGCAGAGCACAACAGCATTGGTGTCCATAGCAGGGCCATCACCTGCCCTATCTGCTGCACGAATTTAATTTAGGCCTTGATCCAGGCTGCATCCTCTTGGAGCTGATCCTCTAGCTCTCTTAAGGACCCTTGTGAGCCACCGACCATCCTGTAAATAAATGCCCTTCCTGCCCAGATCAGCCATGCTCAGCTTCTGTTGACTGACGCAGGAGTCTCCTCTCAGAGTCTCTATCATGGATACCAGTTGCACCAACAAGCCATTATTCTTCCAGTGGTGGCATGGTGTTCCTGCTGATCCCTGACTGGTCAGACTCCTCCTGTCATGACAACATACACTTAGGGATGGGGCATCTGCAGCCATGGAATGAGATTTCACTAGTTACCTGGGTTGTTGGTGCTAAGTGAATCAACCAGAAATGTAAGCAAATTTAATCTCAAGTACTTTTCTGCATGGGCAAGATGGGGCACGTGTTGATACTTATTTCTGGTAACACTGGTAGGAGTCTTTCCTATGAAAGTGTAATACAGAGAACGTAATACACTAGAGTTTGGGCCAAAAGAAAGAGACGACAATGACAACAATAATAACAACAAAACCCTCCGTAGTTACAGGGAAAACTTTTTTTGCTATTTTTTAATGGAAAAGGAACAGTTTCAATATTCAGTTTATCTTCTTTATCCAGCCTCTTCTTTTTGTGTTGTAGAAATTCCACAGTGAACACTTATACTTCATCCGTTGACTCTAGATGACACTGAACCTCACGATAGGAAACTTTCAGTGTGAGATGGATCATCTCGTTTCAAAGAGCAAAGAACTGATCCCTGAAAAGATTGAGAGAAGGTGAGCTTCCATTGATAAAAACCAGGAATACAGGTTTTTCATATTCTCCCAGCAAGTTAAATGTGGAAGTAGAATAATTTCTTCCAAAACAAGGAGACAAAGATATTGTTAATCCTTTCAATTGCATTACTTTTAGCAGCCGTAAAAATAAGCCCAGCAACAAATACTCAGGGTCTTAAATGAAAGCAGAGTAGATTTAAGAGAATTGGAGCGGAGGGCACAATGAAAGGCCCTTTGCCTTTCATTTTGAATTTTTTGTGTAGTCAGTTGTCCAGCGACTGTGACTCCATGAGGGAGGGTGGTCATCCCTGCACAGCTGCAAAGGGTAGGGGCCGTGATTTCCACCTCTTTTCCTCCCACGTCTCTGTCAATCTGGCTTCCACTGAAATCACTTTCACTAATGCACTAATAAATCCCCAACGGCTTAATCTACCTATCTAGGCTGTGTCACACTGCTACTTTCATTTTCTTGCAACTCTTGCCTTTACTGAGCTCTACATTCTTCCTGTTTTCCTTCTCCCTTTCTGACCAGTCCTTCTCCATCTCTCCCACTGGCTCGTCCTCCTCCCCCGCACCACCCCCGCAACTAAGGCCGCAGTTCTCTCATGGGTTCTTTTCTCTTCCATTCCACATGCTTTTTCTTGGTGATCACGTCCATTTTCATGCCTTTTGACAATCACCAGTAACCAATGACCAGCACGCACATATTTCCTGAATTTCAAATCCCTGTCTCTAATAAGCTCCTGGAGCCCTCCACCTGAATATTTTGCTGTCACCTCAAATTCAAATTCAATGTCTCAATCTGGATTATTATCATTTTGCTCCAAACCTCCACTTTTTTTTTGTTTTTTTTTTTTTTCTTAGACAGGGTCTTGCTCTGTTCCCCAGGCTGGACTGCAGTGGCATGATCATGGCTCACCGCAGCCTTTACCTCCTGGGCTCAGGTGATCCTCCTACCTCAGCCTCCTGAGTAGCTGGGTATGTACAGGCACACACCACGATGCTCAGCTAATTTTTTTGTAATTTTTGTAGAGATGGGATTTCTCCACATTGCCCAGCCTGGCCTGGAACACCTGGTCTCAAGTGATCTGCCCTCCTTGGCCTCCCAAAGCGCTGGGATTACAGACGTGAGTCACTGCATCCAACCAGACATTCACTTCTTACATTCCTATATTTACTGCCCAGAAAGCTCAAAATTATCCTCAACACGCCCCTCCCTCCTGTTCCACCCTCATTCACCAAATTCTACAGATTCTGCCTTAGAAATTAATCATAAACTTGGCCCTCCTCTCCATCCCTCTGGCCTTTGCCTCGGTGAAGCCCCCTTCCCCTCTCTATGGCCACGGTCCCCCACACATCCCCACACTGCTTCCCAGTTGTCTTGCACCAGATGACACAGAGTGCTTGGGCAGCCAAGGGAGGAGAGCTCAAGCAGACCTAGGAGACCAAGCAGATGGAAGCCAGCAAAGGAACAAAGGTTATCCATGGGGTCAGGACCCTGGGGGATCCTGAGGCTTGAATGGAAGCTATAGTTTTGCAATTGCAGCAAGTCCTGCCTCCAGCAGTGACCAAGCTGATCCCTAACTCCTCTGAGGATTTGCACGTGGCTGCCTACCTCCACTCCTTCCTACTCCCAGGGTAGGAAGGAAGCTGCCCATGGCCATAGAACTCATTACCCTAAAATACCACCTCAATTCCATCGCTTCCCAGTCCCCAGTCTTTGGTGACTCCCCATCATCCACAGAATCCAGAGTACACTTTCCATTTCCCGCCGAGTGCTCCAGGACCCCATAATTGCTCACGTAGCTTTGCTGTTGAGTGTGTCAATTACTCACCTAAATTAGTCATTCCCCCTCTCACACTTAACTATTGACTGTGATTTTCCAACCTCTGGAATTTGCCTATGGCTTTTCTCCTCCTAGAACCCTGTCCTATAAGTCCTCAAACCTATTTGTTTAGGTCTTATGTGGTTTTTCACTTGTTAAGCCAACACATATTTAGAACCAACTAGGGGCCACGCCAATTCCAGCAAAAAAGACTAGAGCTCTCCCCTCAAAGAGCACTTAGTCCACTGGGAAAGGTGGACAAGGAAAAGGAATTTGCATTACAATGTGATAAATTCCACAGTGATGTTGCCATATGATGTCCTGGGAAAACCTTTCTGGGAATCTCTCAAATCTCATCACCATAGAGATGTTCACATTAACTTACAGAGAAACCATTTCCTGTCTTCTGAACGCCAGGGCTATGATTCTCAACTTTGTTGTACAAAGATTCATCTGGGGCCTGTAGTCCCAGCTACTCAGGAGGCTGAGGCAGGAGAATGGCATGAACCCAGGAGGCAGAGCTTGCAGTGAGCCGAGATCGCACCACTGCGCTCCAGCCTGGGCGACAGAGCGAGACTCCGTCTGGAAAAAAAAAAAAAGATTCATCTGGGGAGCTTTTTTTTAATACACATTTTCCAAAGTCTCACTTTCAGAAATTCTGAGTCAGTAGACCTGAGATTCGGCCTAGGAATAAACATTTTTAATAAACCCCTCAGTGATTTTAATATAGGTGAGGCCACAGGTCACACTTAGAATAACATTGCTAATGCGTTTATTGTTTTTGCAACTCACATACCATACCAGATACTTTCTTGTAGTCTACACACTTACATGAATGGCTTATCTAGTTTGCTAAATAATAGATCTTTAAAAGCAGAATATTTTACTTATACATCTTTTTTTCATTTTGTTTTGTTTTGAGACAGGGTCTTGCTCTGTTGTCCAAGCTAGAGTTTCGTGGCATGATTGTGGCTCACTGCAGTCTTGAACTCCTGGGCCCAAGCAATCTTCCCACCATAGCCTCCCAAGTAGCTGGGACTACAGGCATGTGCCACCACACCTGGCTAATTTTTTTTTTTTTTTTTAGTAGAGACAAGATCTCACTATGTTGCCCAGGCTTATCTTGAACTCCTGGGCTCAGGTGATCCTCTCGCCTTAGCCTCCCAAAGTGTGGGGGTTACAGATGTGAGCCACTGCGCCAAGCCTTCTTATACATCTTTATACTCCTTCAGGTCATAAGAATAGTACATGAGTAATTGTATATCTTTGGTGCTTCATAAGTCTTTAACAATTTTAGTATAGTCATATTTTGTATTTAACTTTTTATAACTATATATTTATTTCATAATTTGAAATATTTTTTTAAAAGATTGATGTGAGGACATGTTGCTGCTGAAAGGCTGAGAGGTGCTAGTGACAAGGTGGGGATGGGAGGTGCTGCTGCACCCCAGGGGCCCACACTCTCAGGTGGGGGCAATGCAAACAGGGCGCCTGCTGCACAGACCAGCTCAGGGAGGTTCAGGATGCACTAACATGATGCTGAGAGAATGTCTTAGAAAGGTGCCATTGGGCCTTCACAGGTGGTGTTCTTTTTACTTTTATTAATTTTTGTAGCGACAGGGTCTCACTATGTTGCCCAGGCTGGTCTTGAACTCCTGGGCTGTAGCCATCCTCCTGCCTCGGCCTCCCAAAGCACTGGGATTACAGGTGTGAGTCACCACGCCCAACCCAGAGGCCGTGTTCTTTAAAGTCAAATCTGAGGCTGGGCATGGTGGCTTGCACCTGTAATCCCAGCAGTTTTGGAGGCCGAGGCGGGTGGCTAACTTGAGGCCAGAAGACCAGCCTGGCCATCATGGCAAGACCCTGTCTCTACTAAAAATGCAAAAATTAGCTGGGCGTGGTGGCGCACACCTGTAATCCCAGCAACTTGGGAGGCTGAGGCACGAGAATCTCTTGAAGCCAGGAGGCAGAGGTTGCAGTGAGCCAAGATTGCACCACTGCACTCCAGCCTGGGTGACAAGAGTGAATGAAATGAAATAGTCAAATCTGATCTCCTACCACATCCCACAATTGTGACAAGCCGTTCTCTCAAACGATGTTTCCAGTGGCATTTTCAAGAAAATGCAGAGGGAAGCCCATGAAGCCCAAGACTCCCGCCCAGCTGGAGGCTGCCTGCCTTTGCTTGTAACCTCCATCAGGGCACCGTGCCTGACCATACCTGCCTGCAAAGGCTCTAGGGCTTGCAGGATCTCTGGAACTGCTGAACTGAGATGTGGGTCTCAACCATGTGGGTTTGGTTCTGCCTTCTCCACGCTCGGACTAGATCTCTTTCTAGATGCAAACCTAACTTCCCCTGTGATGCCACGTGCGCTGGGCCAGGGCTTGTTGCAAACCCCACAGTTGTGTTTCCTGGACCACCCGCTCAGCAGCATCCCAGACAGTGAACCAGAGCCCTAATTGGGCCTGGAAATCACTGGAAGAGAAATAAAAGAGGATTAAGCTGGGATTACTCTTCTTTCTTATTTACCACTCCCTGAGAGCTCTTCTTCCCCAGCCTCTCCAGCTGGCCTCTCTTCACAACTGAAACTACCAACCCCCTCTGCCCCCCATCATATAGCATTAGCCCTACTCCAATCTTTCTAGAAAGTTCTTGTTCTGGAGTCCAGAACGAATACAGATATTGAATAAGGCATATTTTGGAGCTCAGGACCCAGTAGGATGTAGCCTCGTAGCTGTAGCAAAACAGGAAAGATTGGTTAGAATTGGACCCAGAACTAGACCAGGATGGAGCCCAACTAGTCCCAGGTGCTGTTATGGCATCTACTGCGGTAGTGCCATCATTGGGCATACTCACATGCCTTAGTCCATGCTCAGGGACAAATGGAGCAAAGCAACTGGGACCTAGAGATACAGTCAAATAGAATTAAGCTAGTCCATTGGTGGATAAAGGGTTCCTAGCCCCTGGGCTGAGTTTGAGGACCTTTTCTTAGCGGGAACTGCACTGCCAGGTAATTTAGCAGAATAGGGAAGCAATGCAAGAATCCAGCTACCAGATCTGTGGGTCAAGGAACATACTATGACTTCTGAGCAAAACTAGTTTTGATATTTGAACAAAACTAGAGGGAAGAAGGCTGAGGCTTGGAGATACTCTTCAGGAATTCTGCCTGCCTGTGATTCTCCTTATAGAATTCAGAGGAATAAACAATGCCCCACCCAGGACTGACATAGAATGCAGAGAGGGTAACCCAGGCAGCCCCAGGTACTCGCCTGGGTCCAAAGGCCAACCTTGGCCTTCAACACTGCAACATTTCTTTACTATACAAGTGGTATCCTTCATACTCACATGTCATGGTTTATGCTATCTAAAAATTAGAATTGACCTGTAGTCCCAGCTACTGGGGAGGCTGAGGTGGGAGGATCCCTTGAGCCCAGGAAGTCAGGGCTGCAGTGAATCATGATCATGGCCCCACACTCCAGCTTGTGCAACAGAGTGAGACCCCCATCTCAAATAAATAAATAGGCCAGGTGTGGTGGCTCACGCCTGCAATCCCAGCACTTTGGGAGGCTGAGGTGGGTGGATCACAAGGTCAGGAGTTCGAGACCAGCCTGGCCAATATGGTGAAACCCCCGTCTCTACTAAAAATACAAAAAATTAGCCAGGCGTGGTGGTGGGTGCCTGTAATCTCAGCTACTCGGGAGGCTGAGGCAGGAGAATCGCTTGAACCCAGGAGGCAGAGGTTGCAGTGAGCCGAGATCGCACCACTGCACTCCAGCCTAGGCAACAGAGCGAGACTCTGTCTCAATAAATAAATAAATAAATAAAATCAGATTTGATCACCATGTGTGCCTCTTCAGAATATCTGCTAAGCAAAGTGGGGAAACAGGATTAGAAACCAAGTTAGTATCTTTCCTTTTTATGGGAACTTAGTGGAAGCGAGAATCTTCAGACGTTCCATCTAGTTTAACCTACTGATATAAGCTGGGACTCTGTAAAGTCCATGATTTTAATTTCTAGAAAAGAATCCCAGGGGCAGATCTATTGATATTGCCAAGGAAAATTTTAAAAATGAAACGCTTATCACTTCTTGGTAGATATTTGTGAAAACCTCATGATATACTTTATATTTTTTATTGGCAAGAGGTCATATAGGCTAGATCATGTGGTGGAATTTGCTTTTGTTAACATCAAGGGAGGAATGCTAGCTAATTTGTTTGGATGGATGTGTTCTAACATTGCTCTAAAAATTATTGCTGGGCATACTGGGATCATACTAGGATCTCTGTCACCAGAAAAGCCCAGCCTCACTGTCCTTGGTGGCTGACTCTGTGGTCATGGGGCTCACAGATGCAGAAAGGCACACCTACCTACTTTCCCACTGTCCATTTTTGCTCACTCTATTTTTTTTTTTTTTTTATAGACAGAGTCTTGCTCTGTTGCCCAGGCTGGAGTGCAGTGGCGTGATCGCGACTCAATGCAACCTCCACCTCCTGGGTTCAAGCCATTCTCCTGCCTCAGACTCCGAGTAGCTGGGACTACAGGCGCCCGCCACCACGCCCAGCTAATTTTTGTATTTTTAGTAGAGAGGGGGTTTCACCATGTTGGCCAGGATGGTCTCAATCTCTTGACCTCATGATCCGCCCGCCTCGATCTCTTGATCTCATAATCCGCCCTCTGGGATTACAGGTGTGAGCCACCGCGCCTGGCTGCTCACTCTACTTTATAGAAGCTGCTTATTCCCTTCACCCCTTCCCTACTCAATGGCCATAGAGAGTGTCTGGTCATTCCTTTTCCTACTGTATCTTTAAAATTCTATCAATGCGGTTTTTACATTCCATTTTCTTTGAGATGTTTGTTTATGCTGAAGAACTCATACAGGGATTTTTTTTCTCTCTCTGTCTCAGGGGATTAGCATTTTAGTAAGAGCTGAATAATAAAACTAGACTATAAAATCCTGTTTAAATGTTGTGGTGCATGTCTTACTTCTCATAATTGAGTGGGAATTATTAGGATCGAACTTTGTTGTTGTTGTTCCAGAGGGAAAAAACGGGCCAGTTTTCTCTGCCGGGTCACAAGGATGGATGTCGAAGGGGAAATGACCTGTGATATCTTATAAAACATAAACTCTATTTTTCTAGATAGAAAGGAAGATGTAGCACAAAGTGAGATGGAGTATTAATGAGTGGACCACCAGATCTGCTTCGAATGTTTTTCAACTTCTGGTAGGTCTCATACTCTGTTGAAAACTTGAGGCAAACACATATATGCGCAAAGACATACACAACATGGCAGTGATTTCAAGGGAATTGTGGACTCCATGGCCCTCAGATTAAAGAAAATCCTTGTAGGTCCTCAAAATGTTTTCTCTATCCTTTGGGTTCAACTTTAATCCAGAAGTTAGAATAAATGGATGAAATTTAGTTTCCAATCAAGCAATAAATATACACAGTTGACTGTTAAACAACATGGGTTTGAACTGCATGGGTCCACTTTTACATGGATTTTCTTCCATCTTTGCCACCCCTGAGACAACGAGACCAATCTTGCCTCTTCCTCCTCCTCCTCAGGCTACTCAAGGTGAAGACGACAAGGATGAAAACATTTATGGGGATCCACTTCCATTTAACGAATAGTAAATATCTTTTCCCTTCTTTATGATTACAAAATATAACTTACAAAATGTATGTTAATCAACTGTTTATATTATCAATAATTTCAACCCACAGAAAGCTATTAGTAGTTAAGTTTTGGAGGAATCAAAAGTTATATGGAAATTTTTGATTACATGGGGGCCCGTACTCCTAACCTCCGCATTCTTCAAGGGTCAAGTTAATTATGCTTAGTGTTGTGCTAGGTAGGAAAGAACCCAGAAACATTGTAAGAGCTCATCCCTGCCTTCCAGGGCTTTGGGAAGACTGTACAAACTCACATGGGGTATCTTTAAACAAGACAGTATAGAGTTCAGTGCTAAATTGTGTGGTATGGATGAAGAGTGCTACAGGCTCTCAGGAGAGGGGGGTTAATAGTTTAGTCAAAGAAAATTTCATAAAAGGATTTGATTTGTACTTGAAAGAATCTCTGGGGCTTAAACAGAGGGGGATGTGGTAACATTCCATGGAGACAATATAGCTCAGGAGAGAGAATACGGGTTTTGACATGTGGTAAATCTAGGTTTGAATCACCACTCTGTCCCTTTTAGGCTCTATAACTGTGCTAAAGTTATTTAATATCCCTGAATTTTAGATTCTTCATCTGTAAAATGGGCATTTTTAAAGAATGGATGGGAGTAATCAATTAAATAATTCTGTAAAAGTACCTCAGACAGTGCCATGAAGGCAAAAACGTCTCTCTTGTTTGCAAACGCAATCCAAGAGCATTACCCAGGGGCTGACACATAGAAGGTGCTTGACAAATATCTGCAAGAGGGGTTGAATGAATGAGTGAATGAATCAGTGAATCAATGAATAAAAAATATGTTGAGGAATAAGCAATAATGATGAATCTGATGTATGGCAATATGTAATTTCTTCTTTAAAATATATTGTGATAAAATCAAATTCTATCAAGAGAGTAAAAAGATAAGCCATGGACCAGGAGACAATAATCACAAAACACATATCTGTTAAGGGACTGTTGTCCAAAATACACAGAGATCTCTGAAAACTCAATCAGAAGAAAACAACCAGTTAAAGAATGGGGCAAAGACTTTACCATACACCTCATCAAAGAAGATACACAAACGGAAAATAAGCATATGAAAAGATGTTCCACATCATATGTCATCAGGGAAACACAAATTAAAATAACAATAAGATACCACTACACAGCTGTCAGAATGGCCAAAATCCAGAACACTGACAACAGCAAATGCTGGTGAGGATGTGGAGCAACAGAAACCATCATTTATTGCTGGTGGGAATGCAAATGGTGTAGTTATTTTGGAAAATAGTTTGGCAGATTTTTTTTTTTACAAAACTAAACATGCTCTTACCGTATAATCCAGTAATCATGTTCCTTAGTATTTATCCAAAGGAGTTGAAAACTTATGTCCACACAAAAACCTGCACACAAGTGCTTATAGCAACTTTATACATAATTGCCAAAACTTTAGAAGTAACTTAAGATGTCATTCAGTAGGTGAATGGATAAACTATTGTACAATGGAATGATGTGTGGCAATATATAATTTCTTTGTTCAGATATATTGTTATAAAAGCAAATTATATCAACAGAATGAAAAGATAAGCTATAGACCAGGAGAAAATATTTTGTGCATCTAGACAATGCAATATTACTCATTGCTAAAAAGAAATGAGCCATTAGGCCATGAAAACACATGGAGGAAACTTAAATGCCTATTACTAAGTGAAAGAAGCCAATCTAAAAAGACTACATGCTGTATGATTCCAACTATACGACATTCTGGAAGAGGCAAAACTATGGAGATATTAAAAGTTCAGTGGCAGCCAGGCGCAGCGCCTCATGCCTGTAATCCCAGCACTTTGGGAGGCCAAGGCGGGCAGATTGCCTGAGGTCAGGAGTTCAAGACCAGCCTGGCCAACATGGTGAAACCCTGTCTCTACGAAAAGCACAAAAATTAGCTGGGCGTGGTGGCAAGCGCCTGTAGTCCCAGCTACTCAGGAGGCTGAAGCATGAGAATCTCTTGAACCCGGGAGATGGAGGTTGCAGTGAGCCGAGATTGTGCCTCTGCTTGCCAGTCTAGGGGATAGAGCGAGACTCTGTCTCCAAAAAAAAAAAAAGTTAAGTGAGCCACTAGGGGTTAGGCAAAAGAGAGGGACAAATAGGCAGGGCAGAGCACAGAGGATTTTCAGGAAAGTGACACTATTCTGTAAGCTACTATAATGGTGAATATATGTCATTGTACATTTTTCCAAACCCACAGAATGTACAACACTAAGAGTGAACCCTAATGTAAAAACATTTTTATTTAAAAAATCAAATTATAGCTATAGCTATAACTCAAATGCATTCATATTGTGTTCTAGGTTATTCAAGGACAAACTCCCCCGTTTCTGGGTTATCTGGGTTTTTTATAGCTTTATCTCCAGCTCCACAACTCTGATTCTAGTATTATTTCCTGTTGTCTTTCATTTTCAGTTTTCAGCAGTGTAATATGATGTTCCTACATGTGATTTTTCTGTATTTACCATTCGGGGTTCCCTGAACTTCATGAATCTGTGGGTTGATGTTGTTCATCAGTTTTGGAAAACACCGGCCATTGCCCCTCAAATATTACTTCTATCCTATTATCTCTCCTTTCCAAGTATCTCATTGCCTATATGTTAGACCGTTTCACTGTCTCTTATATCTTTTATTTTCTTGTCTATTTTTTCCCTATTCTTCTTTTACCTGTTCATTTTCAATTAACTTGTCTTTCAATCACAAACTTGTCGTCTTCTTCTTCTAAACTGCTATTAAACTCATTTAATGGGTAAGAGCAGATTTTTCCACTCAAAAATTTTCATATTATTCTCTTGTATAGGTTCCATGTCTCTGGTAAAAATACTCATCTTTTTTTTTTCTATTTTCTTGTACATATTAATCATAGTTATTTTAAAGCCCTTGTCTTTTATGCCCCATGTCTGGATTACCTGTAGGTCTGTTTCTATTGCCTATTTTTTCCTCTTAGTTTTCAATCATATGGTACTTCATATGGGGCTTGTAATAGCCATGTCATTTTATGAGACCAATCCTATTAGATAAATCCTTAAGAGAGCTCCAGATATTTATAATAGGTTCATAAGGCAGATGCTTCTTCCCCAAATCACAAAGATATCTATTTATAAACAAATATGTAAAGAGACAAACATCACTATCTGGTTTACACCATTTGGGGTTCTTGAGACTCAGGGATTTCCAGTATTCAATATTCATTCAACAAGTACTTGAGATCCTATTTTGTGTCAGCACCGTTCTAGTGCTGGGGATTTTTGGTGATCAAGGTAAGGTCTCTGTCCACTGGAATTTGCATGTCATTGAGGAAAGACACAAAAAATTAATAAATAGCAAGAAAATGAGCAGATAATCATGAGTGCTGTGCTGATAATTAAAATAGAATGACATGATAAAGAGTAATGTGGTGACTCCTTCACATTGAGTGGTTAGGGAAGGATTATTTCGGGGAAAGTGACTCCAAAGATGATAATTTAATGACAAGAAGGAACCAAGTTATTATTGAAAAAGCATTTAAGGCAGAAGAAAGAACTAGTGCAAGATCCTAAGAGAGGAATGAGTTTGGCACATTCAAGGAAAGGAAAGGAAAGAAGGTCAGAGTTACAGAAGTGAAGAAGTTCAGAGTCAAAGAACTGAGTCAATAGACAGGAATCCTATCATGTAGGGCTTCATATGTCAGAGTAAGGAGTTCAGATTTCTCCTTAACTCTGATAAGAAGCCACGGAAGGAATTTAAGGAGGAGGGGAACAGGATCTGCTTTCTATTTTGAAAAAAGTAGTTTTCAGAAGAGCAAGATTGGAAGCTGAGAAACAAGTTAGGTGCTAATTGTACTGGTCCAGGCGAATAATGGTGAGGGCTTAGATGAGGTTATCCTCATCCAAGCAGTGGAGATGAACACCTAGATTTGGAAATCATTGGCATGTAGATGCTATTTGTAGATGCCTCAGGACTAAATGAGACTCCTGTATTTCTTAGCCAAGTCAAGTATATAGAAACATGATATCCTGGGACTAGAAGAGACATTAAAGATCCTTTAGGCCAGCCGGGCCCCATGGCTCACACCTGTAATGCCAGCACTTTGGGAGGCTGAGGCAGGTGGATCATGAGGTCAGGAGTTCAAGACCAGCTGGACCAATATGGTGAAACCCTTTCTCTACCAAAAATACAAAAATTAGCCGGGTATGGTAGCGTTCACCTGTAATCCCAGCTACTCAGGAGGCTGAGGCAGGATAATTGCTTGAACCCGGGAGGCGGAGGTTGCGGTGAGCCAAGATCTCACCACTGCACTCCAGCCTGGGCGACAGAGTGAGACACTCCATCCGAAAAAAAAAGATTGTTTAGGCCAATCCCATTGTTTTATAAGTAGGGAAACTGAGGCCTAGTCAGGTTAAGTGCTTTCTTCATAGTCATATAGTTCATCAGAATCTAGGATTTCCTTACTTATTTCAGTGCATTTTCATTACCTTCGGCCTCTGAAAGAGTTGAGAGAGTACAACTTAGCTTCAAAGTTATGGTAAATATTTGTTGAAAGAAATAATTATACTCTGTGCAATATTGGATTTTAAATGATCAAAAAATTAAAAAAACCACAAATTCATTGCTTAAAAATATTTCACTATCAATCTGAATTCAAATAAAGAAGCAGCTTCGTTGGCAGACTAGTTGGCTCAGTGAAAAATGAATGAGCAGAAATATTTTTATCCAAATTATTGTAGCTGATGCAACCTTCTTTTTAAAAGAGTGTTTTAAATTAAAAGACCAATCATTTCTTCATCATCTAGAGGGGGAAGAAACTTGTAATGTAAAATCCTATTTACTGAGTTGTTGGATAGGATAGTAAAATTCCACAGATCTGGGTTTACACACACACACATATGCACACACATTTACAATTGTATTGCACAGACAGCAAGTGTGAGTCTTGCTTCTACCAACGCAGTACAAAAGGAAGCTGAGAGAGTCAAGGGAAAACCCTGTCCACGTTGTGTTGACACAGTTAGAGTAAAGTGAAAGAGTCAAAGGTTGAAACCGATACTAAGACTACTATCAGATTTCGCAGAAAAGAGCTCTTCTAGGTACTGCAGATAAAATAATACTCCAATAACTGATCGATCATTCCTTTTATGAAAGTACCACTGAGTTGTTTGTGAAACCCTCAGTAGCTTTAAAAGATACTCCAAATATCATATCCCAGATATTGTTCCACCTGTCTTTTCAGAAAAAGAAGCAGAAAAAGAACTGTACCTTTCTCCATTGCCTGTGTCCGGTAAACTCTTGGCAACAACATGATAGACAACCACTAGCACTATTTAACCTCTTTGAGCCTCCATTTCCTGATCAGTAAAATGAAGCAGGTGATCACTTGGGAATCCCCTGGAGTCTTTGAAATCATAATTCTAAGCTTTGTCAAAGCCAAAATCAATAAAAAGAAGAAAATAGGTTCTAAGATAACGCGAGACTAGCTTTATTTTTTTCTGTGCTTGGGCAGAGCTGTGACCAGCCACCTGGAACATCATATTGGATTCTGACTCCCTTTCTTTCTGCCCCAAATTAAAGTACCTTTTCTTTGGTATTTCACTGAATCTTTAAAGTAGTCAATAGTAAACACCATTTTGTAAATAAAGTTGTCTCATCTGGTAACTACAAAATACAAATATATCTTTCAGACACGATTTCAGATGAATTCTTCAATGCAAATGGAAATGACTTTTTTCAATGTATTATTAAGAGATGGTAGATAACTAGCCTAATGCAAAGACTTGATCTAGTGTAAGGTCAGTAGACAAAAGACCACCTGTGAAAACCAAGGGTTGTACCCTTTTAGTACGGGGAACTTTGTCTCCTGTTGGCCTAAAACCAGTTTATGAGGTCTTTGCAGGAGCCGATGCCACACCAATGAATGTCAATAGATGAGTAGAAGAAGTCTTCAGCTTGCTGATTGCCCCACTCAAGACCAAGGCCTCTCTTCCTGCATCTTCCTTCGTTCAGCAAATTCTCTACATTTGGGGAAAAATAAATCACCTCAACATCAATCTTTGATTCCCTCTTTTGCCAATAAATGTTGACCCCATTTAAAGTCAACTCAAGTTTGACACATGTTATGGTAAGGAGCTTCTGTATTTTCCAGGATTTTAGGAATTTGGTGGTAGAACAGAAAACAGTCCTCATATTATTATTAGTTTTTCTTTTAACAACTATAGTTACTTTGTTATTGTACCCCCAGTACCTAGCACAGTGCCTGATAGGTAGTAAGCATACAGTCTTTGTTGAAAGCTGAGCAAATGAATGAATGAACAGACCTCCTTATAGTCTGGTGAGAAACATTATGTGACTTGAAGGTGGAGAGCAGAACTACATTTATAGTTCACTTAAAAATTTCCCCACTGGTTAGTGCTCTTATTATTAAAATAATTCCCTCCCCATCCACAAGGTAGGTTCCAGGAACTCTCCTTCTTTCTCCTATGTTTTGGGGATTTAAAAAATCTTCTTGGCCAGGTGCGGTGGCTCAGGCCTGTAATCCCAGCACTTTGGGAGGCCGAGATGGGCGGATCACATGAGGTCGGGAGTTTGAGACCCGCCTGACCAATATGGAAAAACCCTATCTCTACTAAAAATACAAAATTAGAAGGGCGTGGTGGTGCACACCTGTAATCCCAGCTGCATGGAAGGCTGAGGCAGGAGAATCGCTTGAACCCGGGATGTGGAGGTTGTGGTGAGCTGAGATCATGCCATTGCAACCAGCCTGGGCAACAAGAGCGAAACTACGTCTCAAAAAAAAAAAAAAATCTTCTCATAGTTGGCCCTCCAAAGCTACCACTTTATCTTCCCTTTTCTTTGTCACAGTCCTTCTTTTGACTCTGCTCTTTTCTCTCTACTCACAGCTTTAGACTTGGTACTTCAAACTGTTTGGGACATTCCAGAGCCCACCTTCATCCAAGCAGGTATTTTATGAACATTATCTCATTAATTATTTTCTCCATTTCATAAGTAAATAAAATTAGACTATGAGATGTCCCACAGGAAGTAGAAACGAGTAGGAAATGGCTGTGCAGTGGCTCATGCCTGTAATCTTAGCACTTTGGGAGGCCAAGGTGGGAGTATCTCTTGAGTTCAAGACCAGCCTGGAAAATATAGCTAGGCCCTGTCTCTATAGCAAAACAAAACAAAACAAAATTAGCCAGGCACAGTGGTACATGCCTGTAGTCCCAGCTATTAAGGAGGTAGAGGCTGAGGCTGGAGGATTGCTTGAGCCCAGCTAGGATCACACCACTGAACTCCAGCCTGGGTGTCAAAGCTGGGTGACAAAGCCTGTCTCTAAGTAAGTAAATAAATTAAAATAAAAGAGTAGAAAGCCAAAAGATCAGTTTTGCTCCAAAGCCTGTCTTCTGTCCATTTCACCTTATCACCTCAATTATCCAGAAGCCCCCTAAAGTAAATTACATCCTCACCTCTTCTCAGATACTGAACATGGTACAACCTTGAAGACTCAAAGACATAATGAGAAACATGATTTCCAGGGTAATGGAGATGACTACAGTACGTAGGACTAGTTGACCAAACACAAAATGATACCTAGATGCTATAATTTTTGAATCTTTGTGTCTGGCTCTTTTTCTTTTTCGATTATCTCCTTCATTGCCAGCCATCTTGTCAATTTCTAGAAAGTTCTTGATCTCCTTTGAATTAGTTATTTCTAATCTGTGGGCTAAGAAACCAGCTAACCAGATTTATTAGGATTATGTCTAAAATGGGAAAAGATGGTTGCTGAATGACAAAGTAAGAAGATGGAAATAAAGTACATGAATAAAGAGCTTAGTGCATGAGCTCTATGGCATTTATTCTAACTTCTCAGAGGCCTTTTTCTTTGAAATGTGTTCTCTATGGCTGACATTATTGGAAAAGTGACCTCTGGGTAGGTGAGTTATTACTGCAAAAAGGCATTGTTTCCTTTCAAATGAATAAGAATGACAGCTAATACTGTATTCTGTTTTCTTTGTAGAATGAATTCTCTGTTAAAAATAAGGTAACAAAAAACTAACAATAAAAAAAGGTAGAGCAATATACTCTAGGAAACAAGACCTAAAGTGAGTCACATTATATAAATAGCTAAGTTGATAGGAAAATAAATGTTGTTTTGCTTATAACACTGAAAAGTCAATAAGCAGCAAATGAACTTTGGAGCAGCCGGGCCGATATTCATTTAGATGCCCTTTGTAATTAAAAAACAACGCCCAAACAAAACAAAGCAAGGGCAGTAAACACAATGCCTACCAGGGTCCCATCTCCAGGTGAGCAAATTGGTGTACAAATACATTTGTAAAACGTATTCATGAGACATCAATAGCTTATTAATGAAGAGAATAGGGGAGGAGTTCCTTTATTCAGAGTGGGTCTGCAGTTTAAATTATAGTACGGAATTTGAAATGGAAACTGCTGGTAAAAATATTTAGAACACCAACATGGCAAAAACACAAAAACAAAAACGCCTTTAAAGCCTCAGATCTTTATACTCTTGATAATTGTTCAATAAAGATTTAATGGCCTTTATCTGGTTGTAACACTGCCCGTTCTTCACCTGCCTCATCTCATGACAAACATATCTCCTTTACCCTTGTCTTTTTTTTTTTTTTTTTTTTTTTTTGAGACGGAGTCTCGCTCTGTTGCCCAGACTGGAGTGCAGTGGCGCGATCTCGGCTCACTGCAAGCTCCGCCTCCCGGGTTCACGCCATTCTCCTGCCTCAGCCTCCCGAGTAGCTGGGACTATAGGTGCCCGCCACCACGCCCGGATAATTTTTTGCATTTTTAGTAGAGACGGGGTTTCACCGTGTTAGCCAGGATGGTCTCAATCTCCTGACCTTGTGATCCACCCGCCTTGGCCTCCCAAAGTGCTGGGATTACAGGCGTGAGCCACCGCGCCCGGCGCAGAGCTTCTTAAGACTATCTTCAGGCAGCCATGAAGGATAAAGAATATTTTATTGATGAATATAAACACCTTTGATATTTTAACCACTATCTTGGACTCTAACCCTAGTTTGTGTGCCAGAGATTCTAAGTCGGCTTTTTCTTGTGTGCCAGCTCCTATCATTTGATTGTGCCTTCCAGAGTGTTATGTTGAGAAAGTTTCTGAACTCACATTTGTGCTCAACAGGAAGAAATGTAGTGGTTGATTGACGATGTCTGCCACTGGCAAGATAGAGGTGATGACAATATGTATGCCAAAAAATTACCATCCCTGTCCTAGATCCTGCCTACAGTGAGTTGAGAGACACCTGGTTCCTGTTGAATTTCTTTCTTTGGCACTGGCTCAGTTCCTTTTATCCAATTCCTACTTGTGGAATATCCAAGCATTTTGTTTCTGCATTGAAAGAGTATAAAGTATATATGGATTTATTTGTTGGCTATGTGGTGGGTAGATTATATAAATTATGGAAATAATTTAAGGTGGTTGAAGAGGATTTAACAGACATATGCTTTCAATATGACCAACACAAACACACACTATGAGAGAACAAAAAATTATGTCCCAATAAAGGTTTTCTCAATTTCTTAACCTAGCTCCTGACAGAGTCAGAATCCCTTTCGTGTGAACGTTTTTTAAAAATTAAAGAGAGCAGCTGGGCGCAGTGGCTCACACCTGTAATCCCAGTACTTTGGGAGGCCGAGGCGGGTGGATCACCTGAGTCAGGAGTTTGAGACCAGCCTGGCCCAGGTGATGAAGCCCCATCTCTACTAAAAATACAAAAATTAGCCCGGCATAGTGGCATGCACCTATAATCCCAGCTACTTGGGAGGCTGAGGCAGAAGAATCGCTTGAACCTGGGAGCTGGAGGTTGCAGTGAGCTGAGATCATGCCACTGCACTCCAGCCTGGCGACAGAGCGAGACTCCATCTAAAAAAAAAAAAAAAAGTAATGATAAAGAGAGCAAGTTTTTAACCAGATTATAGAATGAAAATGATTAACAACATTGATCAACAGGAGATGCTATGATTTATGTCATAGCAGCAAATTATTTATATAATTCTATAAACTTGAATATACTTTTGACTGAGAAGTAAATGGAAGGAGGGCAGCTCTTTAGAAGAAATCAGAAGAGGAATAAAAGAACGAAGAAATGTTACATTCAGATATCCAGTCATTCAAGGAATGTTGGGCTCCTGCCCTCAAGGAGCTTGCAGTCTAATTTAGGTTGGTGCATACATGTACCTAGGCCATGTGTTTAGGCCATGTGTTTGGAGAACTACCAGCTAGTGGATGCTGACTTTTCCTGGTAAGAAAATAAGTCAGGCATATACCATGATCTCATCTATGCTCTCGTAAGTAGAAGTTCCTCCAGAAGCCTAGCAGGCTATTCTTAATGTCTACTATCATTGTATCTTTGAAAATAAAAAAAAAGTACAAGATAACTACATAAGTGTATAAGTAAGCAAATTAATTTCTTCAGAAGAGTCTCTCTTACCTTTGTACAACCTACACAATGACTAAAGTGTAATGATAGTTGAATGAGGAAATGAAAATAAATTAAAAAGAATGTAGAAAACCATCACCTTTCCCTTGACTTTTGGCCTGCACTGTACAATAGCCACTAGCTACTTGTGTCTATTAAATGCTTGAAATGTGGCTAGTCTGAATCAAGGTGTGCTGCAACTATAAAATGCACCCTGGATTTTGAAGACTTAGAATAAAAAAAGTAAAATATACCATTACTAATTTTGTCTATTGATTCCATGTTGAAATGATAATATTTTTGATACCTTGTATTAAATAAGAGATCTTACTAAAATTAAGTTCACCTGTTTCTTTTTACTTTTTTAGTGTGGCTTCTAGAAAATTTAAAATCATGTGCCCTCAATTTTCTTGGCCAGGTGTGGTGGCTCGTGCCTGTAATCCAAGCACTCTGGGAGGCTGAGGTAGAAGGATTGCTTGAGGCCAAGAGTTCGAGACCAGCCTGGGCAACATAGCTAGACCTCACCTCTACCAAAAAAAATTTAAAAATTAGCTGGGGATGGTGGCACATACCTGTAGTCCCAGCTACTTGGGAGGCTGAGGCAGGAGGATCGCTTGAGCCCAGGAATTCGAGATTACAGTGATCTGTGATCAGGCCACTGCACACCAGCTGGAGTGAAAGTGAGACCCTGGGTCTAAAAAGATTTTTTTAATAAAAAAGTAAAATTTCCTAAGTGGCTTGTACTATGTTTCTATAAAATAGTGCTGCTACAGGCAATTCTTTCCTTAAAACTTTCAAGATGGATGGTGGTGTGGTTTATTTGTGAAGATTCAGAGACAGGTAAATACGTTAATTTATTCTTTGAGTCTGGAAAATTATTCCTCTATCTATCTGAAAGGACAAAAACGTCATGAGTGTCTATAGCAGGCAGGTCACAAACTTTTCCTCTATAGGGACAGATAGTAAGTATCTTAGGTTTTGAGGATTAAATGGCCTCTGTTGCAAATATTCAACTCTGTTCATATAGTGTGAAAGCAGCCACTGACAACACCTAAGAGTGTGGCTGTGTCCCAATCAAACTTTATTTATAAAATCAGGCAGCCTTGCAATTACTCACTAGGAATTTCTCAGTAAATAATTATACTGGCATGACAGAAATACATCAAAAGATAAGAGGATTTGACACAAGTGGTCAAATCCTGTTAAAAAACACACATTGTCATATTTACCAATTATAGGACTAATTTGGCATAAGGGGGACACAGCCTAAAATCATGAAAGTCTGCATTAAAGATGGCTTTAAAACAAAATAATTTTTAAAGTTTATGCATACTGCATTTAGTGTACTGCCCCATATACTAATTCATTATAAAGCTATGTGTCTCTAAAATGATTTAATATTTGTAATTTTAAAGGAAAAACAAATATGTCCATACACAATCCATTGCAATCTATCCTAATGTCTGTTTTCCCCATGGTCTGAGGAGATCATGAGCTCTCAGCCAATGAGAGAGAATATGACAGACTATGCTGTATCCTCCTATCCAGTGAGTATTACTGTACTATACGGCATACACTCTCAACCACCAATCAGCTCTTTGCTGTGTTACTTAAATTGATTTTGTAACATGTTGTTTGGTTTGTGGTGGTGACCTCTCTTTTAGACGCTTATCTTGTGCTCTGGTTAATAGTTTTGATCCATTAATGACTAACAAAAGTACACATGTGATAAGACTAGACGTGATTTCAAAGGAAGAGTATCATGAGAGATTTTAAAAGTAAGTTTTAATGGCTAGGTGTGGTGGCTGGAGCCCATAATCCTGGCACTTTAGGAGGCCGAGGCAAG
This sequence comes from Homo sapiens, assembly GCF_000001405.40. NCBI lineage: Eukaryota > Metazoa > Chordata > Mammalia > Primates > Hominidae > Homo > Homo sapiens. The sequence goes on from NC_000014.9 coordinate 89,648,965, forward strand.
AGGATCACTTGAGCCCAGGAGTTTGAGACTAGCCTGGGCAACATGGTGAGACCCTCTCTCTATTAAAATACACACACACATAAAAGAACAAAAAGTTTTATGATCGCTTGAGGCACCCTCATGGACAGCATGGACATAGTTGAGAAACAAGAGTGAAAGTCAGCAAATGCTTGGGATTGGTAGGAATTGTTGGACGTTGGGAAGGGCATCATGAGCACCTCTGCAGCCCGGCATGGGGAGAAACCACAGTGGGAAGTGTCTGCCCTTTCTGGGGATTTGGAAATAGACATAAGATTGGTAATACAGCAATGTGGGATGCTGGGCACACAACCCCACAGGGACGGGGCTTTAATAGGTTCCTACAGTACTGGTTTGAGTAATGGTCCCATTTCTGGAAGTGCATGTCCCCCAATAAATAAGTTTATGTGCAGTATAATAATTCAAACTAAATTTTTTCCAGTTTGTTTTGATAAATAGGATATCTTTGGACCTGCTTTAATAAGTCTATTTTAAAATGTAACGTACATGTTTCATTCATTATATATTCAACCATGTAAATATCTTGAAAACAGTTTATTTTCTAAAGTAGGTTTAATATTTTCCTCCAAAATATTTTTAAACCGTTAATTTCCATGACAAACCCTGTAATACAAAAGTAATCTCTGAGCCGATCTCTGACCACATCATGACAAGTTCTAAATCGGTAGCATCTAAATTAGAGCACCCACCAGCTAAACAGCAGCATCTGTCATTAATCTCTTTGTACACTTATTTTTCTGTTCAAAAAGAGATATTAAAATTGTGCTTGTAAGTTAGGGTTTAAAATTGGAAAGGGATATATGGTTCCTTTAAAGAAGATAGTCTGCTTCAGAAAGCCGTTTGTATTCCATTCTGGGTTAGAGATGGTTACCAAGGAGACCGCTCAACTTCATCAGTAGGCTTCTAGGATTGGGAATCTAGTGGGCTCTCAGGAAATATTTGTAGAAAGAAAAAGAAAGAGAGAAAGAAAAAAGGAAGAATGAGAGGAAGGGAGGGAGGACAGGCTTTCTCCTATTAGAAAACAACACTGCGATGGTTAATTTTATGTATTAACTTGACTAGACCATGGTACCCAGGTATTTGGCCAAAAATTATTCTAGATGTTTCTGTGAAGGTAGTATTTTTAAAGATAAAATTAACATTTAAATCAGTAGACTTAAGAAGAGGGAATTCTGCAAGCAGACTGCCTTTGAGGTCTCACTGCAGCAACAACTCTTTCCTAGGCCCTCATTCCGACTACACAACCTTCTCTCTCCAGCCTGACCTTTGGCCTCATGGGGCATTCCCTATGACTAGTCCAAGGAAGAGAAAACTCAAACCTGGATTATAATTGTTCTGTGAGATATGCAGGCACCACTGAAAGTAGACAGCTTCAGCATGACAGCCCCTTTTGGGGGCATCCCTGAAGGACAGTGGTGAAGGGAAATCCCCCACTGTGGGCAGAACTTTGGGCAGTGCACCTGGTTGTTCATTTTGCTTAGAAGGAGAAATGGCCACATATGCAATTATATACCAACTCATGAGCTGTATGTAGCCAATGTTTTGGTTGGACGGTCAAGGACTTGGAAGGAGCATGTTTGGAAAATCGATGACAAGGAAGTCTGGGGAAGAGATGTGTGGATAGACCTGAATGGATGAAATATGTGAATATGAAATAGATCTGAATGGATGTAATATGTGAAGATATTTGTGTCCCATGTGACTTATCACTAAAGGGTGACCTCAGCAGAGGAGAACTTAGGTAATCAAGTGGATAAGATGACCCATTTTAGTTTTGTTTTTAATTTTTTAAAAACTAGTCAAATGCAGTAGTGAGAAGGGGAAAAAGTGGAACAAGGAGTTCTACCTGTAACTGACAGTGCACAATCCATTGAGATAACTCACTATCTTCGGACCAACCAATAGGACCCATGTTGTGAATACCAGTCAGCCTCTTTCCCCAGCCACCTCTGTCACTGCCCAGTGGACTCATGAACAAAGTGGTCACAGCTAGCACCCTGTAGTCCCAGCTACTTGGGAGGCTGGAGTTGGGAGGATCACTTGAGTCCAGGAATTTGAGGTTGCAGTGAGCTGTGATCGCATCACTGCACTCCAGTCTGGGTGACAGAGTGATACTATCTCAAAAATAAAAAATTAAATTCTAAAAAAGACCGAGATCTTCCAAGGAAGAGGGAATTGTGCCTCCAGACTGCTTTTGGACTCAAGCTGCAACATGGACTCTTCCCTGGGTCTGTAGCATGCAGGTATGCCCAGCAGATTCTGAATCTGACAGCCTTCACAATCACTTGATCCAATTCCCTAAAATCTCAATCTCTTCTCTCCCTCTCTCTCTCTCTCTCGTGTGTGTGTGTGTGTGCATGTCTGTACATATATACGTATAGACACACACATGCTGTAGTTCTCTTTCTCTGGAGAACCGTAAAACAAGCATAATATAAAGTCACATTGTGGTGCTGATATAAACTCATCATATATGTCTATAAGTGCTTTCTGTGGCAGGGCGCGGTGGCTCACACCTGTAATCCCAGCACTTTGGGAGGCCGAGGCAGGCGGATCACAAGGTCAAGAGATGGAGACCATCCTGGCCAACATGGTGAAACCCCGTCTCTACTAAAAATATAAAAAATTAGCCAGATGTGGTGGCATGCGCCTGTAGTCCCAGCTACTCAGGAGGCTGATGCAAGAGAATTGCTTGAACCCAGGAGGTAGAGGTTGCAGTGAGCCGAGATCACGCCACCGCACTCCAGCCTGGTGACAGAGCAAGACTCTGTCTCAAAAAAAAAAAGTGCTTTCTGTAATGATTGCTGTTACATAGAAAGATAGATGGTGTGATACAAAGCTGGAAGACAAGCGAGGTTCCTGGTGAATGCACCAGTAAATAGCAGGAGGTGAGGCTCTCCTGGTATGAACATTCCAACCCCCTACTGAAGAAAATTCAGGATGGGTCTTTGATTTTTAAGCAAAGGGAGATGAGCCTGTTAGTCTCAGCCTTGCAGTGGGTAGGTGAGAGCAGAGGAGCCATCTGTCCTGGAAAGTCCATTTGTTTAATGAATCCCACCAGCCATACAAGCAGATCTAATCCTAGTGTCTCTGAAAGCCAGGAGCTTTGGGGAAAGTTACAGCGCTAGCCAGGCAGAGCAGTCAGGGGCTGTGATTAGAAGTATAATGATTCCAATGCTGAAAACAATTTTTTCTACAAAGCTTTAAGAAAAAACAAAGATTAAACAATGACTGATAAGATTTAAGGATGGGTGAAAATGTAGCAAATGTACTTAGGCATATATTTTCTTTAGTAATTTACTCGGAGGGGCTGTCTTCTTTGCTTTTTAATGTTTGTTATCTGTTTTAATAAAGAGATCTCTCCTTTGTAAAGGAAATTATAATTAGGTTGTAAACTAAATTAATCTTTCAGCTAATCATACCTTTGGGAGATCTGGGTGTTTTAGACTGGAAAGCTCTAATGTAAGAATCGTCACTCACTTAGTAGCCACTACCCTAATCATATGCAAATACTAAGAGGAACTAAACAAGCTCTTGAGTGCTGAGCTTACAAACTCAACCCCAATACAGAGAAAAAATAATCAGAGGACCGAAACGTATTAAAATTTCCATATGCATGTGAACCTCAAATGCAGTACAGAGTCTCCTGACACTGTCAAACATCAATAATAATTATAACAGAGTGGCATTCTAGGCACCCACTCAATGGTTTTGAACTTTTTCAAGATGACAACTCCCTTACGGTATTTTCAAAACTTTCAGTATCCCCTTAGAGTGGTAGTTGTATTTTAGTATCTGATGCAAAAATAATGAGAAAGCATTACTAAGAATGTGGAAGTTATGGCGCAGTGGCTCACACCTGTAATCCCAGCGCTTTGGGAGGCTGAGGTGGGTGGATCACTTGAAGCCAGGAGTTGGAGACCAGCCTGGCCAACATGGCAAAACCCTGTCTCTACTAAAAATACAAAAATTAGCCAGGCGTGGTGGCAGGCGCCTGTAGCCCCAGCTATTCTGGAGGCTGAGGCATGAGAATCGCTTGAGCCCAGGAGGTGGAGGTTGCAGTGAGCTGAGATCATGCCACTGCACTCCAGCCTGGGTGACACAGCAAGACCCTGTCTCAAAAAAAAAAAAAAAAAAAAAAAAATTGGAAGTTATTAGTTTAAGTGAATGTGTAAAATATTACTCATAAAAACTGTATATGTTGAGAATAGTAGTTCACATGTGTATGAGCTCCATGATTTATTTAGTCTAGGTGTGTACATGGATTCATAAGTCCTTTGCATAATTCCTTGGCAGCCTCAGAGCTCTTTAGCCACTGGTTTAGATGATGGGGTGTGAAGCCTCTCAACAACCTAAATGTCTTTAAGGACCCTGCAAGTTAGAGCAAACGCAAGGTCATCTCTCTGGTTGCCATGGCTAGGCAATGTCTCATACTCTATCATGATTTATCATGACTTATCATGGCCCCCACTGACACCATAGCTTCCTAACTGTCTCATTGCCTCAGCTCACCTCCACTCCTTCTCCCAATTCTACTTCACCCTCCATATTATGGCCAGAGCCACCTTTCTAAACATCTAGATGGGCCCACGCCATTTCCCCACTCAAACCTATTCACGGCTCTTCATCACCAAGAGCAGCCTTCTCGGATTTGAACACTCATCAGACTCCTTTGGAAGACTGTTAAAACGCACGTGATGGGGCTCCATTCCCAGAGTTTCTGACTCAGTAAGTGTGGGGTGGAGGCTAACGATTTGCCTTTCCAACAGGTTTGCAGGTGATGGTGGTGGTGCTAATCCAGGGGCCCCATTTGAGAACCACTGCCCTAGGGTATAAAACCCAGACTTCTTAGTGTAACGAAGTATGTCCTTCCTGGTCTGGAACCTAACATTTCTCAAATTTTGTCTGCGGCCTGGTTTGCTCTTTACCCCTTATCTGCTTGTCAATTTCTACTCCTCTTAAGCTTAAGCATCATCTACCTCTCAGAGGGCCCTCCAGGCAAAATTAATTGATTCATCTTTCATGTTCCCATTGACTTGGTTCACATCTTCATCTTGTAGCATGCATCAGCATCATATCTCTTTGCAATCATTAGCTTACACAGGTCTGCCTCACCCACTAGATTGAGGGCTCCATGAAGACAAGGATCTAGTCGTCCATCTTAGCTTTCCCAGCACTAGAACACAGTAGGTGTTTAATAAGCACTTCTGCATGCTTTTGAACCAGTACGAATAGCACATACAAAACTTTTTAAAGACACATTCTCTAGGGCAGTTAGAAACCCTGTACCCTGTTGCCTCACATCCGTAGATTAGATTGTTGGCAGAGTTCAAGACTCAAGAGGTCAAATGCTGCTTACAGCAAAGAAAGTAATATGCTAACACCCTGCGGCTATTTGTGATCCCGATTAAAAAGGACACATGTGACCGGTGAGGTGGCTCACACCTGTAATCCCAGCACTTTGGAAGGCAGAGGCAGACGGATTGCCTGAGCTCAGGAGTTCGAGATCAGCCTGGGCAACATGGTGAAACTCCATCTCTACTAAAAATACAAAAAATTAGCTGGGTGTGGTGGTGCATGCCTGTAATCCCAGCTACTCAGGAGGCTGAGACACGAGAATCGCTTGAATCTGGGAAGCGGACGTTGCAGTGAGCCGAGATCGCACCATTGCACTCCAGCCTGGGTGACAGAGCAAGATTCTGTCTCCAAAAAAAAAAAAGGGGGGGGGGGACATGTGTACATATATATGTCATGCATGCAAATAAAATTAAGAAACATATGAAATCTTTATTGGAATCTAAGACTAGACTGGCAGCAGACCAAAAACTTGTGTTTGTCTCTGATATTCTCTATGGTTCAATGAAAATCAGAGACAGTTTCACCTTCATCCCAGCAACACAGCACTAAAGCAAGGGCAACAACAATATTTCAGTGATCCTTTCCACAGGCCTTTTGCAAATCCTGCTGAGGACTTCCTGACAACACAATAACTGGAGGATGGCCATGAGAGATGGTGGCAGGGGGTTAAATGTTTGAGATTGTGCATGGTCCAAGAGGTAAAGAGAAAAAATAGAGCTTATAAGAACATTCGATGTGGCTGCAAATACAAAGTGGATGATATGTGTACTGGGTCTTAAGACTATTTGTACAGTTGCCTCTGGAGAGATAGCTGCACAATTAGAAAGGAGCACCTTCCAAGGTAAACAATGCTGTGTTATGTATACAGAGTCTATTATTCTATTACTGGCACCTACATGAGGCATATTCTGGTTAACCACACATTGACTAGTAGAAGAAATTGCATTATAGTTCCAAGGATCAGTCTTAGGATACCTGATCTCTAACTGCCATAACCTGTCAATTCTCATTCCCTCTCTCCCTTCCTTCCTCCCTCCTTTCCTCCCTTCTCTCTCTCTCTTCCTTCTGACTCCTCTGCCTTCATATATTCACGTAATTTTTTAAATGTATGTATACACACACATCCTCCATTCTTCAATTACGTCTCATGACTTTCATAAATTAGTTTGTTAAATGATACTTCCTCATGCTCTGATAATAGCTACCAAATCTTGCTTAACTTTTAACGATCTGTCATCAGATCCTGTTCATCAGAGCATATTCAACTTTAAAAAATGTTCTCCCGACATTTTATTCATTCATTTATTCAGTAATTAAGTGTCATAGGTACTGTGACACAGCAGTGAACAAAATAAATATGAATCGTGACCTCATAGCCTTGTGGGGAGAACGGTAGGTAAATGATATGGTTTGGCTCTGTGTCCCCACCCAAATCTCATCTTGAATTGTACTCCCATAATTCCCATGTGTTGTGGGAGGGACCCGGTGGGAGATAATTTGAATCATGGGCGTGGTTTCCCCCATACTGTTCTCGTGGTAGTGAATAAGCCTCACAAGATCTGATGGTTTTATCAGGGGTTTCTGCTTTTGCATCTCTCTCACTTTCTCTTGCTGCCACCATGTGAGAAGTGCCTTTCACCTCCTACCATGATTCTTAGGCCTCCCAAGCCATGTGGAATTGTAAGCCCAGTTAAACCTCTTTTTTCTTCCCAGTCTCAGGTATGTCTTTATCAGTAGCATGAAAACAGACTAACACAGTAAACAAGTAATCTCACAAGTAAATACATAATTACCAAGTACCAGTACCTGGAAAGAAAAGTCTTTCCTATGAGATACTGAGTGTGGGATCTAATCTGAATGAAGGAAATATGGAAAATTTCATCACTGACCCCAATTCTTCACCCTTCCCTGTATCCAAGGCATTTGCCATGTGATGTTGCAGCCCCTCCCCCAAAAGGGGTAGTGTCCTTACCTTCTAACTCTGGCTTTGGCCTTTTGACTTGATTTGACCAATAGGAGAAGGCAAAAGTGATGTTGTGCCAGTCTTGAGCCTAGGTCTCAACAGTCCAAATGTATTTATCCCTGGCTATTGTACTTCTGCCATTGCCATGAGAAGGACATGTCCAGGCGATAGGATTTGGACCTGTGTCGCCACCAAATCTCATGTCGAATTATAATCTCCAGTGTTGGAGGTGGGCCTGGTGGGAGGTGATTGGATCATGGTGGTGGATTTCTCATGAATGGTTTAGCACCATCCTCTTGGTACTGTCCTCTCAATCATGAGTACACTTTTGTGAGATCTGGTCATTTAAAAGTGTGTGGCACCTTCCTCTTCCCTCTCTCTTGCTGCTCAGGCCATGTGACATGCCGGCTCCCCCTTCACCTTCCACCATGATTGAAGTTTCCTGTGACCTCCCTAGTAGCCAAGGAGATACCAGTGCTATGCTTCTTGTACAGCCTGCAGAACTGTGAGCCAATTAAACCTCTTTTCTTTATAAATTACCCAGTCTCAGGTATTTCTTTACAGCAATGCAGGAATGACCTAATACACCAGATTAGCCTGCTGGTCTTAGCGGGAGGATGAGAGACACATAGAACTGACCTATCCCTGCTAATGTACTCTAGCCAATCCTGGGTTAAAGCGCCTGTAGTCCCATCTACTCTAGAGGCTGAGGTAGGAGGATCGCTTGAGCCCAGGAGTTTAAGTCTAGCTTGTGCAATATAGTGGGATCTGTCTCAGAAAAAAAAAAAAAGCAGAGCAACCAGCCATTTCACAGGCACATGTGTGAAACAGGCTTAAATGCAAGAACTCCAATAATGCATGTTTTGAGCCACTGAGTTTTGGCATAGTTTGTTACACAGCAATAGCTAACTGTTACAGGATACCAAGGAGTTCTACAAGAAAGTGACATTTGGGCTGAGACTTAAATGTTAAATAGGTATCAGATGAAGAATGCAGGGCAGAGTGTCTTGATGAAGGAAGAGGCATGTATGAAAGACTTCAGGTGAGAAAGAGCTTGGTGCACTCAAATAACTGGAAGAAACTGTGGTTTGGAGAAGGGAATGAGCTGACGCCAGAGAGGAAGCAGGGCTGGATCATGTGTGGTTTCTCATATAGTCTTCTTAGAGATTTTAAGATTAAGTTTCAAAAATTGAACTCAGAAGAGAGCTATTTATGATCAAAAACATAAAATCAAAGGATTGTTGTCTTCATTATTATTAATCTAGAACTGTGCTGTCTGGCCAGGCATGGTGGCTCATGCCTGTAATCCCAGCACTTTGGGAGGTTAAGGCGGGCAGATCATGAGGTCAGGAGATCGAGACCATCCTGGCTAACATAGTGAAACCCCGTCTCTACTAAAAATAAAAAAAATTAGCTGGGTGTGGTGGCACGTGCCTGTAGTCCCAGCTACTCGGGAGGCTGAGGCAAGAGAATCGCTTAAACCCGGGAGGCAGAGATTGCAGTGAGCCAAGATCACGCCACTGTACTCCAGCCTGGGCGACAGAGCAAGACTTTGTCTCAAAAAAAAAAAAAAAAAAAAAAAAAGAACTGTGCTGTCCAGTAGGTTAGCCACTAGGCGCTATGGCTACCCAAGCTTAAATTAGCTAAAATTATTATTATTATTATTTTTGAGACGGAGTCTCACTCTGTTGCCCAGGCTGGAGTGTAGTGGCATCATCTCAGCTCACTGCAACCTCCGCCTACCAGGTTCAAGTGATTCTCCTGGCTCAGCCTCCTGCGTAGCTGGGATTATAGGCACCCACCACCACGCCTGGCTAATTTTTGTATTTTTAGTAGAGATAGGGTTTCACCATATTGGCCAGGCTGGTCTTGAACTCCTGACCTCAGGTGATCCACCCGCCTTGGCCTCCCAAAGTGCTGGGATTACAAGTGTGAGCCACCGTGCCCGGCAATTAAAATTAAATAAGATAAAAAATTCAGTTCCTCACTTACACTAGACTCATTTCAAATGCTCAGTAGCCCCATGTGGCTAGTGGCCACTATATTGGCAAAGCAAATATAGAACATTTTCAGTATCACAGAAAGTTTTATTGGAGAGGGCATTCGTTTCTTATTGCTGCAGCATGAATTACTACAAAGTTAGCAGCTTAAAGCAACATAAATGTATTATCTCGTAGTTTCCATAGGTCAGGAATCTGGGTACGGATTAGCGAGGCCCTCTACTCAGGGTCTCACCAGGCTGAAATCAAGGTGTGAACTGGGATCTCCTCTGAGGCTCGGGGTCATCTTCCAAGCTCAGTAGTTGTTGGCAGAATTCATTTCCTTGCATCTTTGTGACCAAGGGACAGCTTAATGCTCCCAGAGACCATGCTCAGGTCCTTACCATGTGACCTCCTCTTCTCACAACATCAAAGCTTGCTTCTTTCTTCCAGAGGCCAGCAGCATATATTCTCTGACCTTCAGTTTCTTTTAAAGGGCTTGCCTGATTCGATCAGGCCCACCCAGGATAGAGCTCCTTTTTGATTAACTCCAAGTCAACTGATGAGTAGCCTAGTCAAGGGAGTGACATCTCACCACATTCTCTGATCCTGCTACACTCAAGGGGAGGGGGTATATCCACCAGTGGGGCAGGGAATCTTGGGGGCCATCTAACATTCTGCCTACCGTAGGCATCAGTGATCTAGAAAGTAGAGAAAGGTTAACTAAATGAATCAACGGGGAAGGCAAGTAGTGGGAGAATTTAGAATGATTAGTACAGGCTTAGAGTACAGGGGTAATTGCCATTCAAATAATCTCTACATGACCGAGGTCTGTCCAACAGCATTCTTGTAATTGAAGGCTAGCTTCAGCTAGGCTCAAGGTTTATCTACAGTAGTTTCACTCTTAAAGCAGCTGTAACCCGTACCCTGCATGCTGCCACGGGGAACATAAATAGGTCCCCTAAAAGCAAGCACAAATAGAAATTGCCTTCAGGGCTGACATGCCTACATTCTATTTCCTTGCTGTTACTAACCTCCTGGAGTTTCTGACCTTATACTAGTCTTGATCTCCAAAACCCAATTGCTGCTTCTCAGATTAACTGATTTACTGGCTTGACACACCACCGTGGCTTTGGCCTGAACTCCCTGGCTTCCAGACCCTTGGCCCTCCTGACTGCAAACAACTGTGGAGCTTCCACCCTTGGCCAGATACTCCTGGGCACAATCCTCATGACTCTCAATCCCTGTTTGGCTGCCCCTGTGACTTGGGGTTCAGGGAAGGAGAGAGTCTGAAGCACCGATTTTCAGGGGGAGGTGAGCTGGTAAAAAAAAAATCATTTATACCATTAGACTTAGTTTTCCTGAATGTAAACTTCAACCCCTGATTATAAGGACTCTGTAAGGCTAATTATTAATTTTAAAGAAGTGCTAATTAGAAATCATGCAATGAATATATTTATCATTTTGATAAAGTTATATCTACATAATTTAAAATTTTACAAAGAAACTCTTCATTAAGTGTTGCATGACATTATTTTAAGAAATTCTATTTCAAAGCTCTACCTGATTCTGAAATGGCCTCTATAGTAACACTTTCTTTTTTTTAAAAAAAATGGTTCTTTCTCACAAGCGAAGAATAAGTGTTTGCATTCTAACTATAATCAGTATTTCAACCGAGTGGAGATATTTTAGTGCCTTCGGTGGGCATTTATCTTCTTGCTATCAGCACAATAGAACAAAAATGTACCCATATTAGCATTAATAATAAAACCAAGTCCATTATGCAGACTTTCTTGTCAGTTAAATTTGTTGCAGGCACAATTTTGGATTCAATTTCATCCATTTGGAAGTACTTTTGCTGTCAAGCAAATTTTTGTTTTATCATTTTAATTTTGGAGGTTTTTTTGCTCTCCTGTGTCTGAATCACCTTTTTAGAGGTTGGAAAATGGTTCTTCCCCACTGATATAGGAAGGAATTGATTTGGCAAACTTAGATATTTTCCCTGCGATGTGAATAGAGTTAATTTTAACAGAGCTGTTTCATTTTAACAGCCTCAACTTGCACAGTGTGTGTCATGCCAAACAGCTTTGTGTATCATCATCGACTGATGTCAGCACAGTTCTAGAAATAGTATTTGATAGTTAACAGCTGCCACAGAGCCAGAAGGGGAACACGAGACATTGTGTTTCAGGAGGGTTCACAAAAACTCGTGGCTATTGTTTTTATTTATTTATTTAATTTCTTGACAACGAAAGAAGAGCTTAAAATACCAAGTGTAGGCTTTTAAAAAAAGACTAATATTCCTCAGTAGGTCAAGTGACTCCTAGAACCTTGATATCATAGGCAATATAAATATTGTGTTCTGAACTACATATTTCCCTAATTTAATACAGCTTTTACTCATTTTACAATCATGTATTTGGTCAACAGGTATAGAGCAAAGGTTTGCCTTTAGACCAAATAGATGGTGAAACCATGTCTTTTTTTTGTTTGTTTTTTTGAGACGAAGTCTCTCTCTCTCACCCAGGCTGGAGTGCAGTGGCGTGATCTCGTCTCACTGCAACCTCTGCCCCCCGGGTGCAATTCTTGCACCTCAGCCTCCCTAGTAGCTGGGATTACAGACATGCACCACCATCCCTGGCTAATTTTTGTATTTTTAGTAGAGATAGGGTTTTGCCATGTTGGCCAGGCTGATCTTGAACTCCTGACCTCAAGTGATCCTCCTGCCTTGGCCTCCCAAAGTGGTGGAGTTATAGGCATGAGCCACCATCCCTGGCCATTTTGTTTTTTGTTTGTTTGTTTGTTTGAGACGAGTCTCACTCTGCGGCCCATGCTAGAGTGCAGTGGCACAATCACAGCTCATTGCAGCCTCAACCTCTCTGGCTCAAGGGATCCTCCCATCTCAGCCTCCTGAGCAGCTGAGACCACAGGCCGGCACCACCATGCCTGGCTAATTATTTTTATTTTTTAGTAGAGATGAGGTCTCACTATGTTGTCCAGGCTGGCCTTGCACCCAAGAGATCCCACCACCTTGGCCTCCCAAAGTGCTGGGATTATAGGCATGAGCCATCACACCCAGCAAAAACTTTTCTTTAAAAAGCCAGATAGTAAATATTGCAGGCTTTGTGGGCCATTTACAATCTCCATTGCAATTATTCAGTTCTGCTGTGGCAGGACTAAAATAGCCATAGACAATATGTACATACATGGGTGTGGCTGTGTTCCAATAAAACTTTATTTACAAAACAGGTGGTGGGCCAGATTTGGCCATGGGCCATACTTTCCCCACTGTTGCTTTGGATCATAAGTGGCAGATGCCACATATTTCCATGCAGCATGTCATAAAGGTGAAAGGTACTGACACACTCTTATAAGCTTGTGAATCAACTTCCACGTGTGCTCCCTGCGGAAACGCAGGCAGCCCTTTAATGGCCACAGAGGGGCACTTAATTATATACATATATGTGCTCTACAACCACGCTAATAATGGTATGAGAGTAACTGAGCAACGGATAAGCTTTTATGAACTGAGAGGATAAAGATCATGATCTCTGGTGTACAATGAACCTGATTTTTCTTCCCTTTCTTATTTTATTTAAGTTAATATCACCCTTAAAGTTTGAATTATCCTGCAAGAATGCAGGTTCATTAACTCCCGTTCAGCTTGTGCATCATCTTAATGGGACATATTTTGTAATGATGTGAATCACAAAACAGTCCTGGGCTCCAGAGGACCTAAATGTTTCATTGAAGTCATTACGAGCATTGCATACTAGGAGGGAAAGAGATTTTATTATTTAAAGATAACTTGCACAGAGAAAAAAAAAATTCTAGGAAGAAAATTTGAAGCATAGCCTGAAAAATAAAAAAAAATTTAAAAATCAAAGAACATGCTGGTTCTAAAATGCGACTGAGACAGCCTTTCTCTGGCCACTCCATGCCCACTCTCAACCACGAATTTATTACCATGAAAAGTACCAATCTGATGGTGTACAAAGGTAGGGGGGAAAATGTAAGAACAATGCCTTACATTTTCTACATTTTTTGCGTTCATGTATCACACTTGATACATTTTTCTTTGAGATGCCATTTTAACCCCTGGCATCTCAAAGGCAAAGTGATGGTCTCACACCCGGGAATGCTTGCTTAGGTAGGATCCCACCAACTGGCAACTTCCTAAAAGGTGATCACTTTTTCCAAACATGCCTCTTGCTCTATGCTACATTCTCTTTTAACGGTCTTTTTTTTTTTTTAATTTTTTGTTTGTTTTACAACAATTATTTTTTTGACGTTTTTCCTTCTCTTAATGTTACCGTTGGGGCTCAGAAACCCAATACCCTAAAATATGGTGGTCTGACATACTGAACTGAAGAAGCTTCAAGGTCTCTCTGACCTTCTCCACCCCATTGTCTCTCTCAAAAGCTTTATCTGCCTAAGATCCAGACCCACCAGAAGGAACCATTGTTCCTTCTTCTCCTCCCTCTAAGACCAAGAAGGTAACCATACTGGAACAGACCCTTTCACAAGAAAATGAACAAATTAATCTCTGTTCCCTGATCCGTTCATTCTTCCTAGTAATCCCGTCAACAGAGTTCCTCTTCGCTCCCTTCCCATAATGTCCAGCCAGGATGGCATATAAGCTTCCAAACCCCATTGGATGGTCACTGCGTGGCTCTGTGTGTGTGTGTGTGTGTTAAATAAATTGTCTGCCTTTTGTCCCATTAAACTGCCTTTTGTGAGTTGATTTTTCAAGCAAACCTTCAGAGGGCGAAGAGGAAGCTCTCCTTTGACCCTACATTGCTGTAATCTCTTGATTGTCTTGTCTGTCCTTGTTTCTCCTATTTGTTACTTTCTGGAGATGGAAAAGTCAGCCATTTGTCTAATGGAGTTCAGAATGATTTTCATACCACAGCCTCTCTTTTTAGATTGGTCTGTTACTGCCTTCAGTAACTACACCACATAACACCATAGTGTTGCATCATGCTAAATGTTATAATGCCATCTTTTTCTTTAAGGGGTTATTCTCATAGCAATTTAAGTTGAATAAGTAAATCATTGTACTCTTAAGTTATTCCTATCGGTGTGCATAATTTATAAAAACTAGGCCTGCTATTGTGTTATTCATTTTCCTAATTGGGTTAGGTCCATCTTTGGCTCTCAGTTATCTGGTTTACCCTCACACCATCATGAATAAACATCACTGGTCTCAATATTGATTGCTAGAATATCTCAGCCCTAACTTCATCATCACACTCTTTAAATGGCATGGAAGTGTTTTTACGGGCACTCTTTTCTCTCCCAAACCCCCCATTTCATCCTCTGGAATCCCTATAAAATGCTAAGTAAATTTCCTAACATATTCCAGCCTTTACCAAATGTTTCCCCTGCTTCCTGATTATAACCGAAGCCTGCTCTCCCTTGAGGACGTGCAGGGAGCTGGAGCTGGGATGAGGGCAAGATGAGCTCCATATTCTCTTATCTTCTCATTGCGCGGCTGCCAAACCATCTTTTTATTTATTTATTTATTTATTTTTCTGATATGGAGTCTTGCTCTGTCACCCAGGCTGGAGTGCAGTGGCATGATCTCGGCTCACTGCCACCTCTGCCTCCTGGGTTCAAGTGATTCTTCTGCCTCAGCCTCCCAAGGAGCTGGGATTACAGTTGCCTGCCACGGTGCCCAGCTAATTTTTTTGTATTTTTAGAGGAGACAGAGTTTCACTATGTTGGTCAGGATGGTCTTGAACTCCTGACCTCATGATCCACCCGCCTCGGCCTCCCAAAGTGCTGGGATTACAGGTGTGAGCCACCACACCCGGCCAAACCATCATTTTTTACCTTCACGTGAACGTCTCTTTCTCTTCAGCCTCACATCATCCAACTACGCAGCATCTTACAGGTCCTCATGGTGTCATCTGCTGGGACAGAGGCTAACATGGTAGAAGGACTTCATAAATAGCCAAGGAATCATGCCTGTAATCCCAGCACTTTGGGAGGCCAAGGCAGGCAGATCATGAGGTCAGGAGTTCGAGACCAGCCTGGCCAACATGGTGAAACTCTGTCTCTACTAAAAATACAAAAATTAGCCAGGCGTGGTAGCACACGCCTGTAATCCCAACTACTCTGGAGGCTGAGGCAGGAGAATTGCTTGAACCCAGGAGGCAGAGGTTGCAGTGAGCCGGGATCGTGCCACTGCACTCCAGCCTGGGTAACAAGAGTGAAACTCCATCTCAAAAATAAATCAATAAAATAAAATAAAATAGTCAAGGAATTAATGAAATAATGCATATAATTACTGCTCATTTTCTGTATTTATCAAAAATGGCTGAGCCTTCCCCTCTCTGACAGGTCCCTGAGTCATTTCCAGGGTCTTTGAACTTGTTTAAATCCTTGCCTCACTCTTTTTTTCACACCTATATTCCAGTGGCTGTTGCCTCCTCAATTCATGAGTGTACCAAGTTCCACGTCATCTATAGCACTATACTCACTCAAAAATCTTAAAATTCTTGAAGTTCATTCCCAATCAGTCTCTGACTGTCTTTACTGTTCTGCCTATTAAACTATCTATTTCAGTGTTTCTCTGAATTTTGATATCCACAAACAACTTTATGGCTATTTAGAACATGTGGATTTTCCATTGTAGATAAATTGGCTTTTAAAAGATTATTGAAACCGCATGAGTTCCTTTGTTCTGTTGAGGCAGAAATTGGCAGGCAGGGGATTTATTTGGGGAGTGCATTTGAGATTAACATCTGTAGGAGGAAGGGAAAGAAGGAAGGTTGGGAAGAGGGAGAATTAAGCTGCAGTGTAGTCACTGCAAGGCCTCAGTCCCACAGGCAGCTCCTTCAGTATTGGTCTGAACTGGGGCACTGGGATTGAGCCTCCATACAATGGCAACTGGTCATTGGTTGCAGGCTATCCTGGAAAGGGGGTATGTCCTTGGACAAGAAAGCTTTCTTCAGCCTAGGCTATTCCCAAAGAGGATTGACAGCTGAGAGCTGTCAGCCTACAACCTTCCCAGCACATGGGGCAAAGATCTCTTAAAGCCGGGGATCTGGGCAATGTAGTCCAACATCGACAACGGACACTCACTCAGGCTCAGGAGGCACATTGTTCATCATCTGATGTGCTCTGTGGATACAGCAGGGCTGGGTCAGCCTTTAGACTTTCATCTGACTAGCCCAGCCTTTTCCTTGTTATGATTATAGGTAGTGATCCATTAATACTGAGTGCAAATATTTGCCAGTCTACATCAGGGCTCATGGAGTGCCTTATCTGCCCAAATATAAGACAATTATGTACATAAGACAGTAGCTCCATGAAAAAATACAAAACAAAAGCCTTTTGGACAATTTGAATATATATGCATATGATATGGTTTGGCTCTGTGTCCCCGCCCAAATCTCATCTTGTAAGTCCCATAATTCCCACGTGTTGTGGGAGGGGCCCAGTGGAGATAATTGAATCATGGGGGCAGGTCTTTCCCATGCTGTTCTCCTGATAGTGAATGAGTCTCATGAGATCTGATGGTTTTAAAAACAGGAGTTTCCCTGCACAAACTCTCTCTTTGCCTGCTGCCATCCATGTAGGATGTGACTTGCTCCTCCTTGCCTTCCACCATGATCGTGAGGCCTCCTCAGCCATGTGGAACTGTAAGTCCATTAAACCTCTTTCTTTTGTAAATTGCTCAGTCTCAGGTATGTCTTTATCAGCAGCGTGAAAATTGACTAATACAGCATATATGTATAAGTGTGTGTGTGTGTGTGTGTGTGTGTATTTAGAAATGGGGTCTCACTCTACTGCCCAGGCTAGAGTGCAGTGGTGTGATCATGGCTCACGGCAGCCTCAACCTCCTGGACTCAAGTGATCTTCCCACCTCAGCCTCCTGAGTAGGGGGGACCACAGGTACACACTACCACATCTGGCTAATTTTTTTTTTTTTTTTTGGTAGACACAGGGTCTAGATATGTTGCCCAAGATTGTCTTGAACTCCTGGGCTCAAGCAGTCCTCCTGCCTCTGGCTCCCAACGTGCTGAGATTACACACATGAGCTACCATGTCTGGTCAATATATATATATGAGAATGTAGATGAAAGAGCCATATGTCTACTTATAATATTTACTTAGTCATGTAATGTTATGATATTTAAAACCTCATGTTGTAAACTCAGATTTCATGCAACAATTTTATTGTTTTCATATGCTTTATCATATGTCATTATTAAAGTCACTTTATAAGCTTTCTTTTTTTTTTTTTTTTTGAGACACAGTCTTACTCTGTCACCCAGGCTGGAGTGCAGTGGCACAACCTCGGCTCACTGCAACCTCCACTTCCCGGGTTCAAGCAATTCTAATGCCTCAGCCTCCCAAGTAACTGGGATTACAGGCACACACCACCACGCCCAGGTAATTTTTGTGTTTTTAGTAAAGCCTGTTGGCCAGGCTGGTCTCAAACTCCCAATCTCAAGTGATCCGCCCACCTCAGCCTCCCAAAGTGCTGGGATTACAGGCATGAGTTACCGTGCCTGGCCTCACTTTATAAGTTTTCTAGAGTTTTTCAGAACACATCATCTTTATTTCCATCTAAGTTGCCTAAGATATAGTACCTTTGGAATCTTTGTATAATAATGACCCCTGATTCTCAGTCAACAAGAAAAAATAAAAAGAATACTGACCTTGAAAACTGTATCCCAAGCTACTTGTGAACGCCACATTATAATCACTTGTTTTATTGCACCTTAAAGTGTTTTTAGAAGACTTGTTCTCAACAATTTCCAACACTTGTAATTGAGAGGTCATTTTCCCATTAATAATTACTATATCTCTGTTAAAATTTCTTTTCTTTTCTTTTATAGAGACGGGGTCTTGCTATGTTAGCCAGGTTGTTCTTGAATTCCTGGCCTCAAGCAATCCTTTGGCGTCAGCCTCCCAATAAGCTAGGATTACAGGTGTGAGCCACTGCACCTTGCCTAAAATTCTTTGTTTTTCTTTTAACTGATGCCATAGCTTATTATTGTAAGAATATAAATGTCTTCTCCCAGGGGAATTTATTGTTCAAAATAAAGTAACTAAGAGGGCTTCATGTAATATGAATGACTTTGTAAAGATTTTAACTGAAGTCAACTTTTCTGAAAGACTATTTTGGGGTGGGGGTTTGGGGAGAGACTGCATTATATTTGGGTATATGCAGCAACCACAATGAAAAAGTTTTCCTCTATATAATGATTTCCAAAGAGAAACAGGGTAAGAACTGACTCAATTTCCTAATTTCCACTCTTCGGTTTATCTGCATTATATCTTCTCTCTAGCATCAGATAAAAATTACTAACGGTAGGAAAAAGAAAATGCAGAAACATCTTGAAAGTTGCACACGATGTGGCTGGGCAGTGGCTCATGCCTGTAATCTCACACTTTGGGAGGCCGAGGTGGGAGGATTGCTTGAGTCTAGGAGCTCAAGACGAGTCTGGGCAACATAACGAAACCCTGTCTCTACAAAAAATACAAAACTAGCTGGGTGTGGTGGCACACACCTGTGGTCCCAGCTACTTGGGAGGCTGAGGCAGGAGGATCGCTTGAGCCCAGGAGGCAGAGGTTGCAGAGTAACTGGGAAGCTGGTAAAATCAAATTAAGCAAATGACAAATTGCTCAGGAACACAACAAAGAATGCACTAGTGGCAAAAATCCTTTATCAAAGATATCAGTGGATATGGTGTGATATCAGCCGCCCTCAGCATGGGAGAGTCCTGGTGACTCTGGTTGGGTTTAAGCCCATCACTCCTCCTGGCCCCGAATCCCTTCCACAGCTACACATCCGCAGCATTCCTCTTGTAGCAGTCTGTGTGCCGCCGACCCCCACCCCGATGCTGAAGCCAACAGACATTTATCATCCCTCCTGCACTTGACCTCTCCTGCCTTTCCTCTAGAAACACGCTCCTCCCTTGGAATGACTAACCCAACTTCTGCACAGCTTTCCTTTTCTCTCTCTGAACTCCCCCTTTTTAATCTTTAAGGAAATCTCTGCTCATGAATTATAGGTAAATGTTCTTGTTCTCTAGAGTTTCACTGTCTGCCCTCTGCTTAAACTACATCCTCTGCCTAAGCAAACTGACTTATCCCTGTTGCTTTATTTGTTACCTATAAGCCAAAAACTTCCAGTCAGACTGTTTGGGTTGAAATCCCAAATTAGCCACATTCTAGCTGTGGAGTCTTGGAAAAGAGTATAATAAAAGGACTGATCTCACAAGGCTGGCTATTTAATGATTAAATGAAATCATACATGTAACATGCTTAGTACAGTTTCTGGCACATGGTGTAACACATTGAAATGTTAGCTGCTTTTCTTAGCATCTCTATTTCCAGCCTGTATCTGAATTTGGAATTACCTTGTATAGATTCATTTAGATTTCCTATAAACACTGCAAACTCCACAGGCCCAAATTTAAACTTGCCATCCTACCCTATTCATTCCACTACCCCATACACACACATCACACATACACACACACACACACACACACACCCCTAGAGAAAGAGATTTATTTTAAGGAATTGGCTATGTGATTGTGAAGGTTTGGTAAGTCCAAAATCTGCAGGGTAGGCGGACAGGCTGGAGACCCAGGGGAGCGTTACAGTTCAAATCCAGGGGCTGTCTACTGGCAGGATCCCTTCTTGCTGCGGGCAAGTGAGTCTTCATTCTATTAAGGCTTCCAACTGATTGGATGAGGCCCATCCACATTATGGAAGGTCATCTGCATTATTCAAAACTCACTGACTTGAATGCTAATCTCATCTTAAAAAAAAATACCTTTAAAAAACACCCAGAATAATCTTTGACCAAATATCTGAGCACCGTGGCCCAGACAGGTTGACGCATGAAATTCACCATAACGTTGTCTTTGGGCAGAAGCTGAGATGAGGATTCAGGGGCAAGTGGTTGATATGGAACTGCAGGAGGCCAAGGTGGGGGTGTGGGAGGTGGTGCAGGAAGGGAAGGAAGCCATGAGGGGAACTTCACCAAGCAGTTACCACTGAGGACAGCTGGGGAACACGAGGGGCCCAGTGGAAAACCCACATCCGCACGGGGCCGCCAGTCATTCCAGCCTGCCTCCTGAGCAAGAGTGGGCTCTTGTGGCCAAAGAAAGCCCTCGGGCAAGGGAGTACACAGGCCGGAAGAAGAATGTGGTCGAACACCAAGAGCGCCAAGTGCACCGAGTAACCTCTTCACAGAGAGGAAGCTCAATGTCTTCTGGTGTCAAGGCCTCTCCCAAGATCCTACACGCTGACGGTCAGTAGGATCCTTGGGGGTGGAAGGCTCCTTTTCAATATGTAATTCGTTAAATAAGTTATGTGGGAACAAAAGATGACAGCAATAGTTCAACCAACTCTTATCAGTGGTGTGAAATATTGTCATATATGGAAGAGGGATGTGAACCTTCAGGAACATTCTGGGGCCTTCCAGGAACCACACAGGATTCCAGTCAATAACCAGACACAACTGCAGGGTTAAGTGTTCTTTGGAGTGCGGCAATCAGGCCTATAGAACCTCAACTTGACCTGCAGTAAGAAGCAATCAGAAAGCTCAGACAGGCCAGGCGCGGTGGCTCACGCCTGTAATCCCAGCACTTTGGAAGTCCGAGGCAGGTGGATCACTTGAGGTCAGGAGTTTGAGACCAGCCTGGCCAACATGGTGAAACTCTGTCTCTACTAAAAATACAAAAATTAGCTGGGTGTGGTGGCATGTACCCATTGCACTCCAGACTGGGCATCGCAGCGAGACTCCATCTCAAAAAAAAAAAAGAAAGAAAAAGAAGAAGAAAGCTCAGATAGGCTCCTTAAAAAGTTAAACACAGAATTATCATGTGAAGAGCTGGACATGGTGGTGTGCACCAGTAGTCCAGCTACTCAGGAGGCTGAGGCCAGAGGGTTGCTTGAGCCCAGAAGTTCGAGGCTACAGTGAGCTATGATTGCACCACTGGGCTCCAGCCTGACACAGCAAGACCCTGTCTCTAAAAATAAAAAATAATAATAAAAAAATTAAGTTGAAATTTAAAAGAATTATCATATGACCCAGGAGTTGTACTCCTAGTTATATACCCAAAATAATTTAAAAGAGGGACTCAAACAGATACTTTTCACCAATGTTTAAATGTTCATTGCACCATTATTCACAGCAGCCAAAAGATGGAACAATCCAAGTGTCCATTGACAGATGAAGGTATAAACCAAATGTGATATATCCACACAACGGAATAATATTCAGCCATAAAAAGGAGTAAAGTGGCTGAGCTGGTGGCTCACGCCTGTAATCCCAGCACTTTGGGAGGCCGAGGTGGGCGGATCACCTGAGGTCGAGACCAGCCTGACCAACATGGAGAAACCCCGTCTTTGCTAAAAATACAAAATTAACTGGACGTGGTGGCGCATGCCTGTAATACCAGCTACTCAGGAGGCTGAGGCAGGAGAATCACTTGAACCCGGAAGGCGGAGGTTGTGGTGAGCCGAGATTGCACCATTGCACTCCAGCCAGGGCAACAAGAGCCAAACTCCGTCTCAAAAAAAAAAAAAACAAAAGAGTCAAGTACTGACATCTGTTACCATATGGGTGAACGAACCTCCAAAACTTGATGCTAAGTGAAAGAAGCCAGGCACAAAAGGCCACATATTGTATGATTCAACTTATATGAAATATCCAGAATAGGTAAATCTATATATAGAGAAAGTAGATTAGTGGTTGTCAGGGGCTCAGTGGAGAAGGAAATGTAGGTAGCTGCTTAATGGGTACAGGGATTTCTTTTGGGTGATGTAAATGTTTTGGAACTAGATAGAGGTAGTGGTTGCCCAGCATTGCGAATGTACTAAATGCCACTATGTCTCTAGTTCCTAAAGTTGATGTAAATTAGTTGCTTGCATTTCTACCAAAATACCACATATTAATAAAATGTACAGTTAGTAATTGCATCAATATTGCTAATGCATGTACAATAAAAAGTATATACTAAACCTGTTTATCTTATTTTTATGTATAAACATATACGTAAATTGATTGTGTCTACATGTAAATGAACAACACAGTATGAATGTTTCCTGAAAGTTTGTTGTGGGCAAGAATTTTCTGTTTCTAATAAAAAGACTCGACTGGGCGTGGTGGCTCACACCTATCATTAATCATTCACTTAAAAATGATTTTTTTTTTTTTGAGATGGAGTCTTGCTCTGTTGCCCAGTCTGGACTGCAGTGGCGCTATCTCAGCTCACTGCAAGCTCCGCCTCCCAGGTTCATGCCATTCTCCTGCCTCAGCCTCCTGAGTAGCTGGGACTACAGGTGCCCACCACCACGCCCGGCTAACTTTTTGCATTTTTAGTAGAGACAGCGTTTCACCGTGTTAGCTAGGATGGCCTCGATCTCCTGACCTCATGATCCGCCCGCCTCGGCCTCCCAAAGTGCTGGGATTACAGGCGTGAGCCACCGCGCCCGGCCAAAAATGATTAATTTTATGTAATGTGAATGGTTACCATAATAATAATGATAATTAATAATTTTTTAAAGCAAAAAAAAAAAAGAGCTCAGGGATAGAGACATGAGCAACAAGAAGTCAAGGCAGCTCACAGCATCAACCCAGGGGCAGAAAGTAGGATCTTAACGTGAATCCCATGTACCCTCCAGTCTATGTCTTCTGGAGATGACTCTAAAACAAACAGGCAAACAAAAAAAACCCCTCTCAAAACTTCTTCATTTTTTTCTTTTTTTTTTTTTCTTGGTAAAGATGGGATCTTGCTATGTTGCTCAGGCTGGTCTCGAACTTCTGGGCTCAAGTGATCCTCCCACCTTCGCCTCCCAAAGTGCTGGGATTACAGGTATGAGCCATCTCATCCTGGCTAACTTATTCACTTTTACATCAGTTTTTCTTTAAATGTTCCATTTTTTTTTTTTTCCGTGGTGGAGTTTTGCTCTTGTGGCCCAGCCTGGAATGCAATGGCACTATCTTGGCTCACTGCAACCTCTGTCTCCTGGGTTCAGGCGATTCTCCTGTCTTAGCCTCCCGAGTAGCTGGGATTACAGGCATGCATCACCACATCCAGCTAATTTTTGCATTTTTTAGTAGAGATGGGGTTTCACCATGTTGGTCAGGCTAGTCTCGAAGTCCTGACCTCAGGTGATCCACCTGCCCCAGCCTCCCAAAGTGCTGGGATTACAGGCGTGAGCCACTGCGCCTGTCCTAAATGTTCTTTTTTAACAAGTAAAGCATGCTCACTGATAAAAAGTCTCGATACAGAGTTGATACAATGGTATCAACAGTTCATCAATAGTAAAATCAGAGTTTCACCCCTCCTGCCCCATGTCCCACTGCCAGTCCTTGCATTAGGGAAACTATGAATGATTTGGAGAGTAGGATCTGCCATCTGATTTCCATTTCAACTTCCATTTCTCAGGCGTCCTGCCCAGGAGTTTTACTCTCTTTCTCACAGCTTATCTCCCCCAGGCTCCCTCTGCCTGACCTCCCTGGCCCTCTGCCAGATCCTCCTAGACATTCTCCACTTCCCCAGAACACTTGCCTGTGCTATTTCCTCTCCACCCTACTCACCCCCACTCCGTCAGGCATATGGATCCTTTGAATCCACGGAGAAGTTTTCCTTGACAACACTTCACCCCCTGGCCACATCAGATCCCCTCTTACGCCCTGGGCATGTTTTTCTTCAGAGCTTAAACTGTTTGAACTTTGCATTTATGTGAGTGATTATTTGACTAAGGTCTGACACCCAGACCGTAATAAAAGTTCCGCAAAGTCAACAATCATGTGTTCCTTAGGTCGCTATATCCCCAGCACCCAACGCCACATTTGATCTAAAGGTGTGTCCTGTTGGTTGGACCTTCACAATAGATCCAGGATCTAACCATTTCTCATGACCTTCCCAGGGATCTCCCGAGCTGGCATCGGGACTATGACTATAACGCCCACATGCTCTCCGTGGTCTATGTGAGGGGGACAAGGACCCTGCGTGTCGTATGCTTCATTACGTACCCAGTGCTTTATCTTTGCCCAGCACATGGGCACATGATTAGTATTTGTTGAGCTGAATTAACCAGAATTGTTACTTTATTTTCTTAATCTCTATTTCAGCCATAGTTATAATACTCACTCACATCCATACATATTCTTACCACATATTTGAGCAAAGTCGAGGTCTAAGTAATAATTTATACGTATTCCAGCACAAAGATATTGCAGTATTTAGTAAATGACATTATCACTATGTAAAATAACCAATTCATCGTTTTTATCTTTACACTTTCACCTATATTCTTATCTACCATATACACCAAGGATAAGGTGCATACCTCTTTAGAACACCAGCTTCTTATCTGTAATAAAAGGGAGTTTGGAGCTGGGTGTGGTGGCATGCACCTGTAGTCCCAGCTACTCCGGAGGTTGAAGTGGTTGAAGTGGGAGAATTGCATGAGGCCCAGGAGTTCAGGGTCAGCCCAGGCAACATAGCAAGACTTGTCTCTTAAAAAAAAAAAAAAAAAGTGTGGGCAGGGGATGGTGTCTTTCAACTCTATTTCTGGGGCCCTATGTGTTAAGCTGCATAAGCACCCACTTCTTATTCATCTTTGCATCCCCAGAACCAGCCCAGGTCTTGTGTGCAGCAGGAACTCAAGAGCACAGCCCTGCTGTGGGCTGTCTACATTCAAACCAGCCACGCACCGTGTTGGCTGTACAAACCTGGAAATTACCTTAATCCCTCAAAGCCTCGGTTTCCTCCTCCGAAAAGTGGAGATTGTAAGATAATGCTTGCAAAGAGCTGAGCACAAGGTCTGACTCACAGTCAGCTCTCATGGAATGTGCATGAATGTATGAGCCAGTGAATCTAGGATTCTAGACAAATTGCCTAGATTAAATGGCAAAGTGTGCATTATTTCTTT
The DNA here is from genome assembly GCF_000001405.40 of Homo sapiens. Taxonomy (NCBI): domain Eukaryota; kingdom Metazoa; phylum Chordata; class Mammalia; order Primates; family Hominidae; genus Homo; species Homo sapiens. Next base: position 89,674,222 of record NC_000014.9, read on the forward strand.
GGTATCATGTTCTCTAAAATATTGAATGGTTAACATAACTGTTCCTACTCTCTAGTTTATAAAGTAGATGTAAATTAGTTCCTTGCATTTGTGCTAGAATACCAAATATTAATAAAATGTACACGTAGTAATTACATTGATATTGCTAATGCATGTACAATAAAGGGCATGTACTAAATCTGTTTATTTTATTTTTATGTATAAATATGTACATAAACTGATTATGTCTACATTTAAATGAACAACAGTATGACTATTTCCTGAAAGTTTGCTGTGGGCAAGAATTTTCTGTTTCTATTATAATAAAAAGACTTGGTCAAGTGTGGTGGCTCATACCTACAATCCCAGCACTTTGGGAGGCTGAGGCAGGAGGATCCCTTGAGCCCAAGAGTTCAAGACCAGTCTGGACAACATGGTGCAACCCTGTTTCTAGACAAATTAGAAAAATTAGCCAGGGACGGTGGTGCACACCTGTGGTCCCAGCTACTCGGGAGGCTAAGGTGGGAGAATGGCTTGAACCCAGAAGGTGGAGGCTGCAGTGAACTGTGATCACGCCCCTGCACTCCAGCCTGAGTGACAGAGCAAGACCCTGTCTCAAAAAAATAAAAATAGAAAATAAAAGAGACCCACTTGATTATCATATTGTTACCTAATTATGCCCTGAACAAAATTAAGTCTGAACTTTTATTGGGTTAAATCAGAGCTCGGGAGTTACATTATCTTGCAAACAAAGTTTCTGACTGTCTCATTAAATAAGAGAAGGTGTAACAACAAATTTAATTATCAAATGTGACTTTTTCTGCCAATTTTTTTCCCTCAACTGTTTATGCTGTTGGTTTAGCCCATCTGGTTTTTATTTGAGAATAGAAATCACAAATCCCACAAACCATCCACTGATTCCTAATCCTAGAAAAGACTGGTATTACTTTAGCAGCATAATATGTTTTTCTTTCCTCTGGTGGGAATAAATGTGCAGCTTTATAGTGGATTAAAAAAGACAATTGAGAAATTTCCTATTATAAACATGTATGGTATCTTAATTTCCTAGTATAATAGCAAGCCGACTAACATAATTAATTATATTTTAAATGCAAATTGTTGACAAGAGTTCATCTGGTTGAAATTATTTAAGCCACATCAACTCTAAAGAAAGTCCTGCTTTCTAACTCCTAATTCTTTTTTTAGAAAAATAATTCCATATTCTCTCCCATGCCCAGCAATCTCTTAAAAATTTCACATGATATTTAAAGCACCATTGCTGCAACCCCATAGAGACAACTAGGCAAATATAAGTGATTTATATGCAGATTTCAACCTATTTACCGAGCTTAATAGTAAGAGACAAAATATTATATGCAAAATGCGTTCATTTAAATTTTTGATCAGATCTTTCTGCTGCTTGATGGAGCGAGCAAGTTATATTGGTATAGGAGCAAATACATTTCAGAATAGAAGTCTCAAGCCAAGTTTATATGTAGTGAGAGACCTGGACAACGTATGGCTAGATAATCCATTAGTTTCACTCATCTTGACTGACAAGTAGCTCTGAAATGTGAATCAACCCTGAAATTTCCACAGGAAGTACTAAGTAGCTGAGATAATGACAGCTCTCAGACCAACAGTGCTGTGGGACCCACAGGGATCACCTTGCTCTATGTTTCTGAAAAGGCAGGATGCTAGCCACGTGTAGTATGCAAGATAATTTTAGGAAGCACACACATTGGTTACATTTACAGTTCTGTTTGTGTATCAACATGCATTAGAACAAACAACAAACATTGAAACTATGATTGAGGCTGGGTACAGTGGTTCATGCCCGTAATCGCAGCACTTTTGGTGGCCGAGGCAGATGGATCGCTTCGGCCCAGAAGTCTGAGCAACATGGCAAAACCTCGTATCTATCAAAAAAAAAAAAAAATTAACTGGGCATTGGTGGTCTGTACCTGTAGTTTTAGCCACTCAGGAGGGTGAGGTGGGAGGATTGCTTGATTCTGGGAGGTTGAGGCTGCAGTGAGCCATGATCAGGTCACTGCGCTCCAGCCTGGGCAACAGAGAGTCAACAACAACCACCACCACCACCACCTAGGATTTTATGGATGTTACCACTAGTTAAGTAAAAAGAGGTGAGTTGATTAAAGAAAAATATTGGCTGGGTGCGGTGGCTCACACCTGTAATCTCAGCACTTTGGGAGGCCGAGGCAGGTGGATCACAAGGTCAGGAGATCAAGACCATCCTGGCTAACATGGTGAAACCCTGTCTCTACTAAAAATACAAAAAATTAGCTGGGCGTGGTGATGGGCGCCTGTAGTCCCAGCTACTCGGGAGGCTGAGGCAGGAGAATCGCTTGAACCCAGGAGGCAGAAGTTGCAGCGAGCCAAGATTGCGCCACTGCACTCCAGCCTGGGCAACAGAGCAAGATTCTGTTTCAAAAAAAAAAAAAAAAGAAAAGAAAAATATTAAGAAAATAATAGGGCAGGTAGCATATGCAAATGATGAAAATAGTGATGGTCGTATATAAGGATGATTAAAATTTGGATGACACTGACCCTAATTTTATAGGTGAGGAAAATGAAGCCCTGAGTAGTGTTTTTTGTTTTTGTTTTTGTTTTTGTTTTTGTTTTGAGATGGAGTTTAACTCTTGTTGCCCAGGCTGGGGTGCAATGGCACGATCTCAGCTCACTGTAACCTCTGCCTCCTGGGCTCAAGTGATTCTCCTGCCTCAGCCTCCCGAGTAGCTGGGATTACAGGCACCCACCACAATGCCTGGCTATTTTTTGTATTTTTAGCAGAGATGGGGTTTCACCATGTTGGCCAGACTGGTCTCCAGCTCCTGACCTCAGGTGATCCACCTGCCTTGGCCCTCCAAAGTGCTGGGATTACAGGCGTGAGCCACCATGCGTGGCAGGCCCTGGGTAGTTTTAAAGGTTTACCCAAAATCCTATGGCTTGTCAGAGGTAGAACAGACCCCATAACTGATTGTTCCACACTCTATGTATTGCATTTAGACTAGCTGAGCCTCACAAAGCATATGGGCTTTTTTCTAGACACATGGGTCAATGAGAAGTTCAGATAAATTCTCAAGCTATTTGTGTATTTGTTGTTGTTTCTTTTTAGGGAACAATGGTGGTATAGTTGTCACTTGGCCAGAATAAAAAGGTGCTAATGACAGCTGATCTCATGTTCAGCTGTGTTTAAACAGAGTAATATTGATTAGATCTGTATTGTTAATTACAGGTATAGACGTGAAATAGAAGAATGATAAGTTTATAATCATCTTTATATTTTGTTAACTTTTGCACCTTCTTAGTAAATGCATCTATGCTTAAAGTGACACTTTTATCCAATATACTGAGGCCTTTGGACATTTTTTTTTTTTCTTGAGATGGAGTTTCACTTTTGTTGCCCAGGCTGGAGTGCAATGGCGCAATCTCGACTCACTGCAACCTCTGCCTCCTGGGTTCAAGCAATTCTCCTGCCTCAGCCTCCTGAGTAGCTGGGATTACAGGCATGCAACATCTCGCCTGGCTAATTTTGTATTTTTAGTAGAGATGGGGTTTCTCCATGCTGGTCAGGCTGGTCTCCAACTCCTGACCTCAGGTGATCCGCCTGCCTCGGCCTCCCAGAGTGCTAGGATCAGAGGCGTGACCCACTGCGCTTGGCCGGACATTTTTGCCTTTTATGTGAAAGATATTCTATGATATATTCTATAGCAGGGGTGTCCAATCTTTTGGCTACCCTGGGTGATATGTTTTCGCTGTATCCCCACCCAAATCTCATCTTGAATAGTAGCTCCCATAATCCCCACATGTCATGGGAGGGACCAGATGGGAGGTAATTGAATCATGAGGGCGAGTTTTTCCCATGCTGTTCTCATGATAGTGAATAAGTCTCATGAAATCTGATGGTTTTACAAAGGGCAGTTCTTCTGCACAGGCTCTCTGGCCTGTCGCCATGTAAGACGTGACTTTGCTTCTCCTTTGCCTTCCACCATGATTGCGAGGCCTCCCCAGCCATGTGGAACTGTGAGTCCATTAAACCTCTTTTTCTTTATAAATTACCCAGTCTTTAGTATGTCTTTATTAGCAGCATGAGAATAGACTAATACGCTGAGCCACATTGGAAGAAGAAGAATTGTCTTAGGCCACGTATAAAATATACCAACACTAACGAGAGCTGATGAGCTCGAAAAAATTCACAAAAAATCTCATAAAGTTTTAAGAAAGTTTACAAATTTGTGTTGGGTCAATTCAAAGCCATCCTGGGCCACATATGGCGTGTGGGCAGTGGGTTGGACAAGCTTGTTCTACAGATTCCTGGAAATAGAAAACAAAAGTCCACATATACATATGCTCCAGTAATGTGGTGGAGCCATTTCCCACCAGATTGCAAGCTGCTCTTCCCACTGCCTTGTTCAGTGACTTCACCTTGGTAACTTGAAATCACTGGCTGTGGCAGGAGTATTTACACCACAGAAATAGGCAAATGATACAAATCAGGGCTTCTTCCTCCAGAGAGCTGATTACTAAACACTTTACCAGTGCACCACTTCTTTGAGCAGTTTTGAGGGTGGAGAGAAGGTAAGCCCTTTTTAAATGAGGTTTGGGAACTTTAAGGAATGATATACAAATTAACTTTGATACCAGTAGAAAGCTTCCCAAGGGAGTACAGAGAGGCATCCCAGAGCCTCTAGCGAACAGATAAGCTGCGGAATGCAGAAAGCATTTGGCTCTGTTTTCTTTGCTTACCAGGGACTTTAGTACAGATTGAGCCTTAAGGAAAAACAGTTCCAAATAGTTAGAAATGGGCTTTCTTGTTATTCTGCTGACTAGAAAGATACTGCCTAAGGCTCTTTGGAAAGTTAAGATGACAGGTGATGCCTTCTTCAGAAAGACAAATTTCTATGTAAAAATTCTCATGAATGGGATAGATATGTGCTGTCCAACAGGAATCAAAATGTTCTTTGTTCATGCCGCTAGACACATGCTGCTACGTAACCCTTGAAATGCAGGTAGTCTGAATTGAGATATGCTGTAAGGTAAAATACACACTGGATTTCCAAGACTTAAGAAAAAAAAAAGAATGTAAAATATCATATTAACATGTTCGTATTGATTACCTGTTGAAATGATCATCTTTTGTATATATTAATTATTAAATAATATACATTATGAAAATTAATTTCACTTGTTATCTCTACTTTTTTTTTTTTTTGAGATGGAGTCTTCCTCTGTTGCCCAGGCTGGAGTGCAGTGGCACAATCTCGGCTCACTGCAACTTCTGCCTCCCAGGTTCAAGCGATCCTCCTACTTCAGCCTCCTGAGTAGCTGGGATTACAGGTGGACGCCGCCACATCTGGCTAATTTTTTGTATTTTTAGTAGAGACGGGGTTTCACCATGTTGGCCAGGCTGGTCTCGAACTCCTGACCTCAAGTGACCCACTCATCTTGGCCTCCCAAAGTGCTGGGATTACAGGCATGAGCCACCTCGCCTGGCCTCTCTTCACTAGTTTTTAATGTGGCTCCTAGAAAATTTTAAATTACATGTGCACAGCTCTGGGCAACATAGGAAAACCCCATATCTACAAAAAAAAATACAAAAATTAGCCAGGCACGGTGGCATGCGCCTATAGTCCCAGCTACTTGGGAGGTTAGGTGGGAGGGTCACTTGAGCCCAGAAGGTTAAGGCTGCAGTGAGTTGAGACTGTGCCACTGCACTCCAGCCTGGGCAACAGAGTGACACCTCGTCTCAAAAGAAAAAAAAAAATTACATGTGTGGCACACACTATATTCTTATTAGGTATCACTGGGCTAGATCATGTCCAATAGAACTTTCTATCTATAGTGATCAAAATGTTCTATATTTATGCTGTCCATCCAGGTAGCCACTGGACACATGCTGGTATTTAACCCTCGAAATGTGGGTAGTCTGAACTGAGATGTGCCATAAGGTAACACACAGCTACTTCGGAGGTTGAGGTGGGAGGACTGTATTCTGAATCAGGTGCTGGAGAAGGCAGAAGAGTATAGGGAATCAAAAGAGATGGGCAAGCTACAAACGCAGCTCAATTTTGCACAGCTCATAAGACAAATTTCATAATGCAATCTCTTCATCTACACTGAGGGTTAGAATGCCAGGAAAATGCATAACAAATGCCCAACGTGTTGTATAGGCAGAGAGGACAACACACCCAAATATTTGAAACCATGAGCTGTAAATCTGAATCTCAAGCACAGTCTCTATTTCCCTCAAACCTTCTCCCTTGGGTAGATAGGATTATGACAGTGTTGAGAAGGTGCTCTGGAATTCTGTGAGAAACACGGGTCAAATTTTTAGTCCTGCTTCCAATATATATGTCCTCCTTCCAGCCCCAGCCAGAAAAAGAACAGTATTGTGCTTGAAAATTTATGTCAGATCACTACCCACCTTGAAATCCAGCACCTTTTTTCAGATGGAGAGCCATAAGGCATAGATTAAGGTATAAGCAGCCCCTGTAAATCAGAAGGATGGCTAAGCCTGGACAGGACTCAGATTTCATTATTTTAATTTCTGGTCTTCAGTTTCTCAAGGAGCTTTAAAAAAAGCAACACAATAATTCAAATACACTCAAGGTTGAAAATGTATTTTTTTTTTTTTTTTTTGCCCATTTCTCAGAGGTAGGCTTGGCTTCTGAAGCTGTCACCAAGGCATCTCATTGAGGGCAACTGCTGCAGCCAGTGGGAAAAAAAGGGTTTGTTTTCAACATTAAAAAAAAAAAAAAAAGTGAAGGGAGGAAGAAATTCATTTTTTCTTCCAAACCTCCAAGCCTTCACTTGGAGGATACCCACTTCATTGGCATCTTCTGGGTTAAGGAGACAAAGGTCATGTTCTGATGAGAAGACTCAGATCGAGCATAAGTTAAGGAAGTTTCCACCACCCACGTCACCTGCAAAACCACCACGTAGGAAGCACACTGTGAACCCCTGAGAGGGAGCGTGGCTGGTACATAAATCCTTGCTTTCTCTGCACGCTCCTTCTGGGACTTTTGCATTCACCGCAGAGAGTGGGAACTGTAAAAATAGACTATATGTTTCTGAAGAAGTGAAAGACTTATTGCATAATGGTGGTAAACTGTGTCTACTAGAACAGAATGACTGTGCATGCAAACATAAAACTCAAAAAATAGCTACCATTCCAGACAAATTTATTTTTTTTAAATATTCAGCCTAAGGAAAAATATGTGGCTCTATGAGTGGAGTAAAAGCTTTGCTCCCTGACATTGGGAAAGTGGAATGACATTAGGTAGTCCAAAAATCTGGCCAACATATGAGGCTAATTCACACTGACCTCTCCTCAGCTGTAAGTTTCAGGTTATTTCTCTCCTCTTTACTTCCTTTTCTCTTTGTAAGACCTACACAAAAATAGAAAGGAAATAATTTGGAAACAGAAAGTATCAATTTTTGCAGAAGCCCTGTAAGGCACAAATCTACCACTTCCTTCCTTCCTTTTCATCCCTAGGAACAAGAAGAATGAGAAAAACATTCAGACAGACACAGCTGTCAAGTAGAAGAAGAGGCGTCTCCTCAGCCCTGGCCTTTGCTCCCTGCCTTCCCCTTTTCCCACTCTCCCTCTTGCGTTTCTGTGGGGACTCTGGATCACTGCTGAACCTGTTCTCCCTTAATAACTTCTCAACTGTGGATTTGCCAATCCATACAACAAATATTTATTAAGCAACTAGAATGTGCAAGCCTGGGCTAGGTACTGGGGGATGGGAGACCACGGCAAGTGAGAAAGAGAGACACAATGATAAACAAGACATGAGAACTTTCTTAAAGGAATTTAAAATCTAGCAAACAGGCTGGGCGTGGTGGCTCACGCCTGTAATCCCAGCACTTTGGGAGGCCAAGGCGAGAGGATGGCTTGAGGCCAGCCAGGAGTTTGAGACCAGCCTGTACAACATAGTGAGACTCTGTCTTTAAATAAAGTTTTTAAAAATTAGCCAGGCGTGGTGGTGCACATCTGTAGTCCCAGCTACTTGGGAGGCTGGAGCAGGAAGATCACTTGAGTCCAGGAGTTTGAGGCTGCAGTGAGCTATGATCATGCCACTGCACTCCAGCCTGGGGAACAGAGACTCTGTCTCCAAAAATTAATAAATAATAAAATAAAATAAAATCTAGGGTTGATACACTGAGTGTATTAAGTGTTATGATAGTGTGTCATGAAACCTGAAAAATGTCCTTAGGAGAGGCCTTGTCTCAGAATGCCTGGAGGTCTCTGTGGGGTACGCCTGGTAGAAGTTGATGTGACTTTTGGGAAGCAGAAATTGTGAGGGAAATGAGACATATAAGATCATTGCCAATTCAGTGCTTCAGGTCAGAGTAGATGAGACAGATTGAGACTACCTGGCTTTTGGCCACATCCCTGAGTCTTAAGGGAAGAGGCCCAAATGGACAAAATCTTTCCATCAGTAGCCTGTCCATTGGGTATCCAGTACCCAAGGTCTCATGGTTCCCTTGCTGGTAGAATGGTTTCCTTCTCTCTTTGGGTTATTTTTGGAGTCCATATGGACATGGCACTAATATAGTGTTTTAAGCAGCTGGACAGTCCAACCAGAAGTCGGATCAAAGAAGACATACGAGGGGACAATGTATGTCTGCCATTGTGACCATCAACAGCATCTTGGTGGCCTCAGAAGTTAGAAGCTCCTTTGAAAGGCTTCTCTTCAGAAGATGTTGGCAATCTCATCCTCACAGCAATGGGGGCATCACAGGTCGCTGAACATGAGGGAGGAAAATGAGACACACTAAAGGTAGGGTTTATGTGGATCAATGAGCCTGAGGTGCTTCATGGAGCCTGTGTTCATTTATGCTCCCAAGGTTTATTGAGCATTACCTATGTGCTGGGCACTGGGCTAGATGCTGGACATACAATGACCAACCAGTCAGACACTAGCCGCTGCCCCAAATGTCTTTGGTCTGCTTGGGGCAAACAGAGGTTACTTATACTTGTATCAGTGATGACTTAATTGGTTAAGTCCTATAAAGGAAAAGTACAGGATCGAGAAAGCATAAAGGGGTGTTAAGGTAGTCTGAGGGGTTATAAAATGCTTCCCTGGGCAAAGGGAACTGGATGGAAATGTTCTCACAGTCGCAGGTATGGACAGGACTAGAGCATTTCTCTTTTTAGAGATGCTCTAAAAAGCATTAGAAATGCTCTAGTCCTGTCCTAGTCCTAGCTCTAGTCCTGTGATGGCTTTTGTGACTCTGTTATTACTCCACGTCTGCATGCCCTGGAAAACCTAGGTTACAAAATATATAAATAGAGAGCTGTGGGAACTCATGGGAAATTGACTTTCGAGACCTGGGAAGGCCCAGTGCCCAGCATATAGGTGAAGCCCAATAAACACTGGGATATACACGAACACAGGCTTCGTGAGGTGCCTCAGGTTTGTTTTGGGGCAAGGAAAATATTTGGTGGTTTTGTAATTGGGCTTTGAAATATGAGTAGGGATTCTGTATTTCTTTACTTACTTATTTATTTTATTTTATTTTTTTGGCAGAGTCTTGCTCTGTTGCCCAGGCTGGAATGCAGTAGTGCCATCTCGGCTCACTGCAACCTCTGCCTCCCAGGTTCAAGTGATTCTCATGCCTCAGCCTCCCAAGTAGCTGGGATTGTAGGTACACACCACCATCCCTGGCTAATTTCTGTATTTTTAATAGAGATGTGGTTTCACCATGTTGGCCAGGCTGGTCTTGAATTCCTGACCTCAAGTAATCTGCCCACCTCAGTCTTCCAAAGCACTGAGATTACAGGCAGGAGCCACCACACTTGGCCTCCTTTACTTTCTTAATAAACTTGCTTTCACTTTACTCTATGGATTCACCTGAAATTCTTTCTTGTGCACTTTCCAAGAACCCTCTCTTGGGGTCTGGATCGGGACCCCTTTCCGGTAACATCTTTCTGTCAAACCCTGAAGGGACGATACTGAGGAGACCCCCGACCCAAAGAACTAGACTGTAGCACTGATTGGCCAACTTTGGAGTCAAGGAAACTTTTCTTCTGAAATATTGACAGCATTTAACAATTGAGTAATGTATAATTCTGTCAAAATTTGAAGCATATTTGTTTCTGTCTACCTGATTTCTCCAGAATTGAAAACTGTTTGTGAGTATTCTTAACTTATGGCACATAGTTATTCGCATAAGTGCAATAAGAATCTGTTTTCTTTTGCAATAGGACAGAATTGGAGAAACTGGCTATTTTACCAAGGCTTAAACTAGAATGGTGTGCTTTCCTTTAAGGAATCAAATTTGACTTACAGAGCCAATAAAAGCCCTTTGGGAAAACTGGCCTCATACCTTGACTACACAGGCCCTGTACAGGGTTCCTGACCTGTGGTAAGTAAAGAATTACCACAGGGTCAGGAGCCTCAAGTTACTTTAAGACCTCAAGAGGAGAGGAATTTATTCAGCTCATAGGTATTTAAGGGTATAAACCTATGACTGGGCTCAGCTTTAAAAAAAAGTCTTATCTAAGATTCCTTATGGAACAGAGTTCCATCAAAGCCAATTTTAAAAGCCTATATGAAAAATAATTATTCTCGCTGCACTTTATACAAATAATTGGGCCAAGTATAATAAAGCAAATCTGTCTTACCACAATTTGTCTTTTAGTAAAAATGAGAAACCGGAAAGAGAAAATTGTGTTTCAAGAACAGGTACACCTGTTATTAGATTCTAGTCTCGTCAGTTGTTTTTGAATTTTTTTCCTGCGATTTAGACTGACCCTGCTTACTCATGTGAACCAATCAGTGATCTGTGATTGCAGCTTAGAAGAAACAAAGGGGTTGTGTAATGTAAAAAACAAAAAACAGGATCAATATTCTAATTTTGGCACATATTGGAATCAGCTAGCAACCCCATATCAGCTTGGTTCCAACAGTTTCCCAGTTCATGAAAGGCCTTCTTATTTAGTTTGCTTGGGATAATATTACTTATTTTGTTTTACTGTTGTGGAATATATTGCTGTTGTACTTTCTGTGTAGGAATGCAGGATAAGTTTACCAAATGTTTTATTAATCTGAACACTTATTAATCTTCCGGATATCACCTTTGGTCAGAACTCAAAGTTATGAATGGCCCTCAACATACTGATGCTTTCTGACGGAGCTCCTCTCTACCCTGAATACAAAAGACCCAATAGTTAGGCAGGAATATCATTGCCCCTATCAGCCTGAAGAAGTTACAGAAGATGGATCTTCATCCTTCTGCAACCCTTAGGATTAAGAATTCTTTTATAAAAGGGAGGAGGGAAAGGTCAGAGGCGTTTGAACCAAGCAATTCCAACTTGAATAGGAGCTGGGTAAAATGAATCTGAGACCACTGGGCTCCATTCTCAGATGGTTATGGCATTCTAAGTCACAGAATGAGATAGGTCAGCACAAGACACAGGTCATAAAGACCTTGCTGATAAAACAGGTTGCAGTCAAGAAGCTTGCTAAAACCCACCAAAACCAAGATGGCGATGAGAGTGACCCTTTTTTTGGTCACTATGATTCTATGAATTCTTTCACATTTTTAAATAAGACATCGAATAAACCAGCATGGTCTTTGTCCTCTTGTCCTGTAAAAATGCTTGAGAGAATTTTCTTTCTAACCAGATGGTTGAAGTGAGGCGAGATAGGGCAGAGAGCATTCCTGTTTGGGTAAGCCAAATAAATATCCCTTACATTAACGAATTTGATATTTATTCCATAGGAGATAAAACGTTATCAAAAGCATTTGAGCAGGGGTGTGATATAATCAGCTCTGTATTCTAGGAGAATTTCAATAGCAATGTGAAGGAAGGTTTAGACCATTCATACATGTTATTTCATCAAAACTTACCCTCTTTTCTTTAATTAGTATAAGGGTGATATGTATTATAATATAATAGCTATCTAAGTATATGTAGTCACCAATAAAAGTTAATTTAATGAACTTTAGTTGAATGTGAACAGTTCCTAGAAATGTAATGACAACCTCCAAAAAAAACCCTGGCTTTATTTTGGAAATGGGGTCTTGTTCTGTTGCTGAGGCTGGAGTGCAGTGGTGTGATCATAGCTCACTGTAGCCTTGAACTCTTGGGCACAAATGATCCTCTTGTACCAGCCTCCTGAGTTACTGGGACTACAGCATGTGCCACCACACCAGACTAATTTTTTTTTCTTGGTAGAGACAGGGTCTCACTATGTCATCCAAGCTGGTCTTCCCACCTCAACCTCCCAAAGTGTTGGCATCACAGGTATGAGCCACTACACCTGGCCCAAAACTGGCTTTCTTATGGAGGGTATTTCAAGTTCTAGGAGAAGGGAAAGAGGAGAAACCATTTTGGGGAAAAGAAAACATTTGCTGCCAAAGCCACCATCCAGTAAGTCAGTCTTTGCTCTTGCCATCCACATGCTTTTCCATGGCTACAGATCCCTCAGATAGATTTGCTTCTGTATGGGACAGTGTGTTCACTTGAAAATTTCCATTTAAAAATAACAAAAATAGATTTTTTTTTTTCCTAGAACTTTTTCTGGGTTAAGTTTCTGGAAAACACGGCTTTTCCTGTATTTAAATGAAGTTGCTATAACTGAATGCTTAGATGTGGCTCTCAACGCTTCCACATTTCACAGTTTTAACTGGGACTGTGACCACTCAGCACTGACATATACTTTGGGCAAGAATCTGTACAGCAGCTCTCTCAGTGAAGACTGAAAAATAGATTTCATTTCAGGGCTTCTCCCTGTTTAAATTGTTTGGATGTGTTGGCTCTTCTTGTTTCTTACTTTGTGAAACCTGCTTACCACTGCTACCTTTTTTCCTTTCCTTCTTTGAATATCTATTTCATTCTTTCATGCAGTTGTTCATTTAGCAAATTTTGATTGAGTTATACCATACGTCAGTTACTGTCCTAAGGATAGAGGTAGTGTATTAGTCTGTTTTCATGCTGCTGATAAAGACATACCTGAGACTGGGGGTAATTTATAAAGGAAAGAGGTTTAATGGACTCACAGCTCTACATGGCTGGGGAGGTCTCACAATCATGGCAGAAAGTGAAAGGAACGTCTTACATGGCAGGCAAGAGAGAGAAATGAGAACCAAGCAGAAGGGGAAACCCGTTATAAAACCATCAGATCTCATGAGACTTATTCACTACTACAAGAACAGTATGGGGGAAACTGCCCCGATGATTTGATTATCTCCCACTGGGTCCCTCCCACAACACATGGGAATAATGGGAGCTACAAGTTGAGATGAGATTTGGATGGGGACACAACCAAACCATATCAGGTAGGGAAGGGCCAGTACCTGTCATCAAGAGCTGTGCCGTCTCATGGGAAAGAGGATGTGATGGAGCCATGGACAGGCTGCCGAAGCTCAGAGGAATCAGGTTGGGGGGCAATTTTCAGAGGAAGTTGCATTGAGCTGGGTCTTAAAGATGAGTAGATGCTTTGGATGTCAAGAGGAAGAGGGAATTCTAGGCAGAGGCAAGGAGACACATTTCCTCTCATCCCTTTCGGCCTCTTATCTCCCCCCATCCATAAATTCGATTTATCTTTTTAAAAGTCAATCACCCAAAGTAGATACAGATGGAGGGGGGAAACACTAGAAAATAGCAAAAGAAAAATATTTTTGAACATGCTTTTGTCAAATGCTGAGAGTATATAATTCTCTGTGCACCTATAAAGACTATATGTGGGTGGAAGGTTGGGCCTTGTCTTTCTGTATCATGAGGAATTCCTGGACCTGCCATGAGTTTTCATTTCTCAATCCAGAAATTTTTGTATGTGTGCCCAATCGATGACCTGCCTCGGCAGTCATAACTTCTTTGTCCCACATCTTCCATGAATGCTTTGATTTACCATTCAAGGTATTGTTCATGTGATGGCGAAGACCTAATGGAAAGCATAAGGGAAATGGGCAGGCCGCAGGTAAGAAAATGGAGCTGCCGGCTAGGCTCAGTGGCTCACGCCTGTAATCCCAGCACTTTGAGAGGCCGAGGCTGGTGGATCACAAGGTCAGGAGTTCAAGACCAGCCTGGCCAAGATGGTGAAACCCCGGCTCTACTAAAAATACAAAAATTAGCCGGGCGTGGTAGTGGGCGCTTGTAATCCCAGCTACTCGGGATGCTGTGGCAGAGAATTGCTTAAACCCACAAGGCAGAGGTTGAAGTGAGCCGAGATCGCGCCACTGCACTCCAGCCTGGCGACAAAGCAAGACTCCGTCTCAAAAAAAAAAAAAAGAAAATGGCGCTGCTTTTCTCAGCACAATTCAACAACATACATATGCTCTAAAGCCATTAGAAAGATCAACTGGGTTTGAGGGAAGGTGTGGAGGGGTGTGGAGGGAAGGTAGATGTTATTTTTGTAAAACGGGCAAGGCATTTACTGTTACTGAGTTCCAGAATTGATCCTGATGAGAATCCTGTGTCTAAGGCTCTTAGAACTGATGATAAACCACACAGCACTTTAGGGAGTGACCAGCCATCGATTTGCATATGTGAGGCAACTTTGCTATCTAAAAATTTTTTTTGAAATACACTACTTCTGAGCTGTTTTCTTTAAAGAAACACTAACTGATATACATGGATAATTATTTTAAAATGCTTTAAAAAAAAAACAGTTGTGATGCTTTTCACCATCAGTCTATACTAAAAGATTCATAGCCCACATTGATTTTTCTTCCCCCAAAGACATCTCAATTTTCAATAAGCCTTGAGGCCTCCCTCTTTCCATACAATCTGCTCCTTGCTTCCTCTGCTATCTCTGCCCTCTGGCCACCTTCCCAGACAGTCCATTTTCCAAACATGTATATTATTTTAAGGACGATAACTGGTTTGAGATATTTTATTGCTCAGTTCCTCTGTGAGGTTGTATTGCAGACATTTGGGGATAAACAGGCAATATTAGCCATCTCTGTATATGAATAGACCCGAACCTGCCCACGATAACTAACTAACGTAGCCCAAGGTTCTGCTAGAATTAGGAAGAAAAGCAGGGGAATTGGGGTGTCTTCTTAGAATGTCCCCATTGACAGCACAAAGAGGTAAAGTTTGTCTTCAACACCTTCTCCCCTCCCTACTTGGTGTCATTTTGTCTGTCCGGATTAGGCATTTCTTTTTTTTTTTTTCCTTTTTTCTTTCTTGTTTTTTTTTTGAGATGGAGTCTTGCTCTGTCACCCAGGCTGGAGTGCAGTGGCACGATCTCAGCTCACTGCAAACTCCGCCTCCCGGGTTCATGCCATTCTCCTGCCTCAGCCTCCCAAGTAACTGGGACTACAGGTACCCACCATCATGCCCAGCTAATTTTTTATATTTTTAGTAGAGACGGGGTTTCACTGTGTTAGCCAGGATGGTCTTGATCTCCTGACCTCATGATCTGCCCGCCTCAGCCTCCCAAAGTGCTGGGATTACAGGCATGAGCCACCGCACCCGGCCTCTTTTTTTCTTTTTTTTTTTAAGATGGAGTCTGGCACTATCACCCAGGCTGGAGTGCAGTGGCATGATCTCGGCTCACTGCAACCTCCGCCTCCCAGGTTCCAGAGGCTCTTCTGCCTCAGCTTCCTGAGTAGTTGGGATTACAGGCACGAACCACCATGCCCAGCTAATTTTTTGCATTTTTAGTAGAGACAAGGTTTCACCACGTTGACCAGGCTGGTCTCAAACTCCTGAACTCAAGTGATCTACCCGCCTCGGCCTCCCAAAGTGCTGAGATTACAGGCATGAGTCACTGCACCTGGCCTGGGTTAGGCATTCTTGTTCCCCAATCCTAAACATCTAAACCATTTCAGAGAATTGATCTTGTTTCCTAACGTATCTGGTTGGAAAGCAATTCCTGCTAAGGTGTTAATAAAACAAACAAATAAACCACAGTAAGTACAAAAATCAAAACTACCACCACAAAAAGTCTCCTAAAGGTATCTGCAATGTGATTCATTCATTCCCTCCACAAATGGCTGCTGAGTGCCTAAGGCGTGCCAGACATGGTGCTAATTAATGAAGATGAAACAATGAATGTTCAGAACTCAGTATGTTAACGCTACGATAGATTGCGTGAGATGCTAGGCAAGCTAAAAAAACACAATCAAGCATTTTGTGCCAAGTTTTGTGTGTATTGTCTCATTTCCTTCTCCCAACAATCCTAAGAGGCAGATAGTATCATTACTCTCATTATACAGAGGAGGAAATGAAGGTTAGGGAGGATACGTAGGTTGCCCAAGGTCACATGGTTAGTACATGCTAGAACATGGACTTGAATCCTTACCTGGCTGACTCCAAATCCACGTGTCAAGCTTTAGCCAGGCTGTTTCCCTGCGTCCAGCAGAAGACACACTCAAAGTCAGTTCAGTGAAGAAAGGGAAGCACATTCCAGGTGGAAGGAACAGCATGTTGGAGGGTTCAGAGGCAAGAATCATGGCGTGTTCAAAGAACCCCATCTAGATCATATGGTTGAGAGCGATCTAATGAAAGGAGTGACAGATCAAGGGCAAGCCTCGAGAATCCCAACATTTTAGGAATATAAGGGCAAAGAGGAGGAAGCAGGAAGGACGGACTTAGCAGACTGAGGAAGGAAAACCTTCAAGCTGCCAGGGAGTGAAGGGTGGGATGTCGGGCACATGAATCCCAAGGTGCGGAAGAGATGTTTTAGAGCATCTTTTAGTGACTTACATAAAGATACACTGCATAGGTCACCATCTGTTTCTCTCACATCACCCAGTGAAAGGATTGACCATGGGTGAACTGGCTGATGGATGGAATCACAAAATTGTAGAGATGGGCCGTGGGATCATTTCATTTAACCATCTAATTTTCCACAAGAGGAAATGGAGATCCAGAACTCTATGGTGGTTTTCCTAACATTGCATAGCTGATTAAGAGTTGTGATTAGAATTCAGATAATCTGACTCTAGCTCAAAAGGAAACATTTCTGACATATATTTTTGCAAAGGACATGAACAGACAATCCACAAAGGAAATGCGAAAGGCCAATAAAACATGAAAAAAATTGTTTAACTTCACTCATAATCAAAGAATCCACAATAGTATTGGGAAACAAACACACTTGTGTATTGCTGGGGGAAATCTAAATCGAATAATCTTTTGTGGAAGATATTTTGGCAATATGGAAGTGGCAATATAGTATAGTGATTAACAATATCAGCCTTGAAGTGAGTCAGGTTCAAAGCTAGGTCTGCCAATCACTCTCACTTTTTTTTTTTTTCTTTTTTTTTTCAGACAGAGTCTCGCTCTATCGCCCAGGCTGGAGTGCAGTGGCGCTGTCTTGGCTCACTGCAACCTCCACCTCCCGGGTTCACGCCATTCTCCCGCCTCAGCCTCCAGAGTAGCTGGGACTACAGGCGCCCCCACCACACCCAGCTAATTTTTTTGTATTTTTAGTAGAGAGGGGGTTCCACTGTGTTAACCAGGATGGTCTCGATCTCCTGACCTCGTGATCCGCCCGTCTCGGCCTCCCAAAGTGCTGGGATTACAGGAGTGAGCCACTGCGCCCGGCCCACTCTCACTTATTAACCATTTTCTGGGCGCAAGTCTCAGTTTCCACTGGAAAGTGCATATATTAATAACACTTACCTCATAAATTTGTTGTGAAGGTTGAGATTATTTTTATTTATTTATTTATTTTTTTATTGTTTGAGACCGAGTTTCGCTCTTGTTGCCCAGGCTGGAGTGCAATGGCTTGATCTCGGCTCACTGCAACCTCCACTTCCCGGGTTCAAGAGATTCTCCTGTCTCAGTCTCCCAAGTAGCTGGGATTACAGGCATGGACCACCATGCCCAGCTAATTTTGTTTTTTAGTAGAGACGGGGTTTTTCTCCACGTTGGTCAGGCTGGTCTCTAACTCCTGACCTCAGCTGATCCGCCCACCTCAGCCTCCCAAAGTGCTGGGATTACAGGCGTGAGCCACCGCGCCCAGCCTAAATGAGATTATTTTTATAAAGCATTTAGCACAGTGCCTAAAATATAGAGTCCAATAAATGGTATCCTCCTGATCATTATATATAAAAAGTTGTACAAATACTCACATTCGTGGGCCTGGCAATTTCATATCTTGGAATTTATCTTACAGAAATGATCAGAACCGAGCACAAAGATTTATATACATGGACATTCATCACAACATTATTTATAATAGTGAAAAACTGTAACCACAAATGCCCAACAATAGAGTGTGTAAATAAATGATGGTTCATCTGGTTGATGGAATACCATGTAGCCATTAAATATCATGCTGTAAAAGAACACTTAATCATCTGAGAAAACATCCATATCAAGTGACAAAAGCAGGTTATACAGCAATACATAAGCATAATGCCAATTTTATAATAAAACATATATACATGCATGTATTCTACACACACAGAAAAGAGTGAAAGGCAACTTGGTGGGAAGGAAAGAACTTTGACATAAATCCATGCTGGTCATACAAATGCATGTCTATAGGAGACCCCTGTTCCCTGAATTGAGGAAAATCCAGTTCAGTGGATTGTGTTGTAAACTCTGTAAAAAGATTAAGATTAAAAAAAGAATAAAAATCAGTTCCTTTTACTGATATTATCAAAACTATATAAATATTTGAGTTTAACGAGCCATTCTCCACCTTTCAGGTTTGAAAAGATGTGAAAGGAAATTATATTTTACAATTGAAAATGTATCTTAGCATATTGGGACTTCTATATTTAACTTCTATTAATGCTTTTCAATGCCAGCATGAAAACATGTACCTTAGACAATCGTCCTCAGTGGTATTTCTTATGGGAAGCTGATTAGACTAAATAAAATAATGTAGCAAACTAAACAGGCAAACCTCTGTGGATAAACACTGAAAAAGAATGTTAGAGTTGATTTCTTTACTATTTTCTTCCATCAATATGTCTTAGGAAACCTACAGAGGAATTATTGTACAAATGAGAAAAATAAAGAACACAAAGGAATAAGTGATCATTTTTTCACCCATATGATTCCAAATAGTTCACTCTAATAGGCTTTGAAAAGAGTAGTTTGCATTCTCAGCTATAAATCACATATCTACTCTTTCTAGCTATATATTATTTGTGTAAGGTTTCGAACATACACGTCAAACAGGTCTTACAAATATAAAGAATCCAACATTATTGTGTTTTGGGGTTTTTATTTATTGATTTATTTATTTTGGAGACAGGGTCTTGCTCTGTCACCCTGGCTGGAGTGCAGTGGCACAATCATGGTTCACTGCAGCCTCCACCACCCTAGCTCAAGCAATCCTCCTGTCTCAGCCTCCTGAATAGCTGGGACTACAGGTGCACACCACCATGCCCGGCTAATTTTGTTTATTTTTTGTGCTTTAATTTATAATATAATTAAATTATAAATGTGTTCCTAATAACATGCTCTTGGACAAGTCACTTAACTTATCAAATCCTCAGTGTCTTCATTTATAAACATATAGTATTGAACACAATGATTTTTAAGATTCCTTCTAACTCTAAAACTATACAGCAAATTATGGCACAAAATTAAATTAAATTTTAAAAACTGTGCTTCTCCTGGGAAAGAAGTTGGCCTTATTAAGAATTCATGTTGAAACCGTAGAAGTTATAAAATGTCTATGTTAGTATTTTCAATGTTAAAGAAACACATTTCTGAGTATTATAGTAATTTTAAATCTGATTACCAGAACACCACAGATTAGTTACAATCAAGATTTAAATTATTCAAATGATAAGTATGCTAGGAAATTGTTTAAAAATTTTTTTTTTTTTTTTTTGAGACAGGGCCTTGCTTTGTCACCCAGGCTGGAGTGCAGTGATGGGTGCTGTCATGGCTCACTGTAGCCTCGACCTCCCGGGCTCAAGCAGTCCTCCCACCTCAGCCTCCCAAGTAGCTGGGACGACAGGTTCGCACCATCATACCCAGCTAAGTTTTTAATTTTTTGTACAGACAGTATCTTCTTACTGTATGGCCCAGACTGGTCTCGAACTCCTGAGCTCAAGCGATCCTCCAGTCTTGGCCTCCCAAAGTGCTGGGATCACAGGCATGAGCTACCATGCCTGGCCTTCAAAATTCTTGTTTCATTTTGTGGACCAACAATTTGCGTAAATGCCTTTATACCTTGGTTTATATAATAACACTCTAGTTTTGAAAGATACTTTATAGTTTCAATGTATATTTTTATGTAATGTCTCATATGAATATCATAACAAATCTATGAATGTAGGTTTATTTTTTTTATTTACAAAGATCACTATTTCTGTAATAATAAACTATTTTCCCCAAGTAGTGTAGTTACTTGAGTAGGAGAGCCAGGACTGAAGACTAGATCTCAAACTCCAAAACACCTCCTGTTTCTGCTACATCACATTGCTTCCAAGGCCATAAGCCTCATTTAAAAGCAAGTTTTTAGATATCTTTGGAAGTGGCTTCTGTGCACAGCTAAGATTATTCAGTGGTTACATGTTTTTGTTTTGTTTTGGTTTGGTTTTGAGACAGGGTCTTGCTCTGTTGCCCAGGTTGGAGTGCTGTGGTGGAATCACAGCTCACTGCTACCTCCACCTCCTGGGCTCAAGCAATCCTCCCACCTCAGCCTCCTGAGTAGCTGGGACTACAGGCCCACGTGCACATCTCCAGGCTTAGCTAGTTTTTGTATTTTTTGTAGAGATAGGGTTTTACCATGTTGCCCAGGCTGGTCTCAAACTCCTAAGCTCCAGTGATCCACCCACTTCGCCCTCCAAAAGTGTTAGAATTACAGGCGGGAGCCACCATACCTGGCCAACAATCATTTTTAAGGAGGCTTTTGTAAGATCAGTTGAAACTCCTTTAAACATTTTTAACTACATTTATATATTTGATGTATTAGATTTCCTTTTAACATAGCTCAGGTGTCTATCTTAACAACAATTTCAAAAATTTCCCAGGTATTTGTATTATTCTCATAAATCTAATAAAACATGTTGAATCACATATATAATATGAATAATTTGTTACTATAGTCCAGGCGCGGTGGCCCATGACTATAATCCCAGCACTTTGGGAGGCGGAGGCGGGCTATTCACCTGAGGTCAGATGTTTGGGACCACCCTGGCTAACATGGCGAAAGCCCATCTCTACTAAAAATACAAAAAAATTAGGTGGGCATAGTGGTGGGCGCCTGTAATCCCAGCTACTTGGGAGGCTGAGGCAGAGAAAATTGCTTGAACTCGGGAGACGGAGGTTGCAGTGAGCCGAGATTGTGCTACTGCACTCTAGCCTGGGCGACAGACTGAGACTCTGTCTCAAAAAAATAAAAAATAAAAAATAAAAAATTTGTTACTATAAATGTATAACTACATTGTCTTAACTTCTCTTAAGTGTTCCAATACTTTGTATGAATGTGGAAAGATTTCTATATAGAAATCACCAGCCTAAATCAATTATGATTTTTATTTAGAATAACAAGACTGACTTGTTTAATCTAGATGTGAAATTCTCTTTAACAAAAGTCACAAATGTAAACAAATTCCTTCTTGACATAAAATATAAATAATATAGGTTTGATCTTCTTAAATGTTTATGTGCTTGAGTTTAAATCACCTCAAACTTTGGGTTTGGGTTGATTTTCAGGTTTGTGGCCTCAAGGGAGGCGTGTTCCCATCACGGAGCACATGGGTGGGGGCTGAGCCTGCCATCTGATCATTAGGCTTCTCATGGTTACTCCTGAATATCAGGGAGAATTAAAGTTGCTGCTTTGCTGCAAAAGCTAGTAGATTCTCTGGAGTGCCTCTCGGTACTGCCACATCCAGTGGCCAAAGTTAGAAAAGACTATCATCCCTAGAAAACAGACACCTCAGGAATGAAGGTTGAGGCCATGTCCCCAGGCAAAGAAGTCTGGCCCACTGAGCAACTGGCTGGGAGCAAAGACTACAGGGAATGGGTAGTAGAGGAAGGAAGTTATGAAAACCAACTTTGAGTTGAGACCAATAGCAAAAATGAGGACTGTGGTAGCTACTTATATACCTCTATTTATATAGGTATATGGGTATCTATCTACCTATCAATCAAGTATCTCTATACATAGGAGTAGCTCTCTGTGTGTGTGTGTATATATATCTTTGTGTGTGTGTGTGTGTGTGTGTGTGTGTGTGTGTGTATATATATATATATTTTTTTTTTTTTTTTTTTTTTTTTGAGACAGAGTCTTGCTCTGTCACCCAGGCTGGAGTGGAGTGGAATGGTCACTGCTCACTGCAGCCTCAACTTCCCCAGGCTTAGGTGATCCTCCTATCTTAGCCTCCTGAGTACCTGGGAAAACAGGCACATGCCAGCATGCCTGGCAAATTTTTTTGTATTTTTTGTAGTGACGGGGTCTCGCTATATTGCCCAGGCTGGTCTCAAACTACCAGGCTCAAGAGATCCGCCTGCCTCAGCCTCTCAAAGTGCCGGGATTACAGGCCTGAGCCACTGTGCCTGGCTGTGCCTTTTTTTTTTTTTTTTAAACATATATTAACTACTTTCCTTTTTATTCCTTTTCCCTGGCCCCTAATATTTTATACAGTGGTTTTTGGTCATGATTTACTTGAATTTAGCCCATAGGTTGTGGGACATCAAGACTGGGTTGTGACTGGGTTAAAGAAAACAAATAAACATTACCTAGAGATAGATACGATATTGGTCTCCCTGCGGGGAGAAGCCAAGTGCACTGGAATGTTACTGAGGATCTGTTGTTATTGCTGTTACCTGGAAGCTTAAATTTAGGAAAAAGAGTGTATATGAACTCTTAGCCAAATATGTGGTCTGCAGTGGACAAGGTGGATTAGTGCTCAACAGCCATTCTGACATATTTGGTGTGTCTTCCACTACTGCAGAGGTGGAACACCACACACTCCCTTTCACACTTCTTTGAAGCAAGGTTCTGAATATAATTTAGGTTCTCACGATGCGCCAGCTTGGTTCCAGCTTCACTTCTGCTGCTTTTGCTATTTCTACTGGCAAGCTTGGTAGAGGAGTCATTGAGTGTTTCTTCAATAGAGTTAACAAATGTCCCAGTGTGCAGTCACTAGCCTTGCAAGTATCCAAAGAGGTCACGGGGCATCCATTTCACTGGTGTAGATTTCATGAGGGTGCCGTGACTCTACTGCTGGCAGCTGTAGGATCACAGGGCCTCCCTAATGGTAGTGGTTTCCTAATGGTGGTGGGTTTCTGATCATGACTGTGGCAGTGTGGCTCCCAAGCCAGAAATTGTAGTGGCAGCTTCATAATGTGGCAGGCAGTTTCCTGTTACACAAAGGCCCTGATCTGGTTCCATGCGGTGGTTTGGACAGTCATATTCAAAGTTCAACCTACAAGGGTTTCCTCAACCCTAAAAACAAGCCAGAAAGCCATTTATCATCCTATAACAAATTTCCTTCTGCTTAAACTCCCTAGAGTAGTGATATGGTTTGGCTGTGTCCTCACCCAAATCTTATCTTGACTTGTAGCTCCCACAGTGGGATGGACCTAGTGGGAGGTAATTGAATCATGGGGGCGGGTCTTTCCCATGCTGTTCTCCTGATAGTGAATAAGTCTCACGAGATCTGATGGTTTTATAAGGGGGAGTTTCCCTGCACACGCTCTCTTCGTTGCCTGCTGCCATCCATGTAGGACGTGACTTGCTCCTTCTTGCCTTCCACCATGATTGTGAGGCCTCTCCAGTCATGTGGAACTGTGAGCCCATAAAACCTTTTCCTGTATAAATTACCCAGTCTTGGTATGTCTTTATTAGCAGCATGAAAATAAACTAAAACGACTAGATTCTGACCTCTGCCAGGAAACCTCAATTCATTAAAAAGATCTTCCCACCTAGGTCTAAGTCTTTTGAATTCATCAGAATTCTCCCTTTTAAAATATTTTTCCTATATGGCAGGTTCACAGTCTTACATGTATTTAAACATCTTATCTCTCATGGCTTTGACTATGTCATGACTAGTTTTATGAACATTATTCTACTGTCAGCTCTGATTATTTTTCATTCCACTTTATCATCTTAGGTGCCTAATGACCCATGCTGTGCATGAGCTTCCCGGGATACCCGTGGACACTTCCTTCTAGCTGCTGGCCTGTGCTCTGAACTGTTCCCTTCTCCTTGCATCCCTCTCCTCCTTGGTCAGAATCCTGATCCTCTGTGGACAGTTTAATCTAATAAACGAATTCAGGCTGAGGTAAGTGGGGGACCATGAATATAATGTTCTAATATTGATAATGATAATAATCACAGCCACTGTTGGTATTTTTTGTTGACTGTGTGCCACGTACTTTTCAAGAATTATCTCATTTACCTCTTAAAAATACCCAAACTTAACGAGTTAAGTCCTATTATCCCCACTTTACAGATGGGGAGCCTGGGGCCTAGAGAGGTTAAAAAAACATGATCAAAGTCTCAAAGCTAGTGTTAGAAGCAGGACTCGAATCCTTGGTTAAGTCCAGAGTCTGTTCTCTTAACTACCGCACACTATTTCCTCTTCAAATGCAAAGGAGTGCTTTGAGAATTTTAGGTGGCCTTGCAACTTGATGGGAAAAAATTATTTTAGGATTTCAGGATGATGGAGTCTTCTACCAACACAAGCATTTGTATTTTACTGAGATCAGGAGAGCTAAATATAAGACAGTAGGAGCTAAACGAGAAGATTCCATATTTTGTGGGAACACAACCATTTCTGTGGTAACAAGATAAGCATTTGGGCTTATTTCATTGTATATAAGGAATGAAACTGGGAAACATAAATATTTAAAGAAGGATAAAGGCATATAGGTAAATGAGCAAAAGTAGAGAGATCTGGGAAAATAGAGAAAGGTTAGTTTATTCTTATTATAAAAATATTTCATTAAAGAGTCCATATTATGATAAGCTTCTAAAAGATTAAAGTGGTATAGATAAAGCAGTAAATCGAGTTTAATGCAGGATTAGATAAGAGGCTGGTAGTCTGTAATAACGATAAGATGCTTAAAGCTTAAGGTCACTGATTATTTGAAAAAGAGGAAAAGGTGAGCATGCAAAATGGATCTCGTGTTTGATAAATATTAGGTTCCCGAGGTAACAATAACCATAAATGATAAGGCAGAAACTTTGTGATCCTGGCAACTAACTGGAACGGCTGTATGGAGATCATTTCCACGTTAGGAAATTATGTGGAAAATCTAGTGAGGTTGTCAACATTCCAATATTATTAATAAAGTAGGGCATGCATAAATCATATGGGCTTCTCTGGTGTCTATTTAACACTGCCAAGTGGTCAATGAAGTATAGGGAGTGAAGGTTGGGCTAACTCATGTGTGTAACTAAACCTCTGTCTAGAGAGACCAACCAGTTAAACAGCTGATCTGGGCAATTCTATCTGCAGACACTTATGGACCCTTACCAATATTCTGTGGCCAAGTTGTTCTGGGCTCAGTCTGATAATAACCTCTGTGGAAAGAACTTTAGGATAATGAATGAATAATCAGAGGGGCTATGAAAGTTTCCAAATAAAAATTCATGTATGCAAATGCCCTTATTTTATTGTAAAATTCACTTTTATTTTTGTTGCTATTATAACATTAAACAATTTTTTTTCAGACAGGGTCTTGCTCTGTTGCCCAGGTTGAAGTCTAGTGGGACAATCACAGCTCACTACAGCCTCAACTTCCTGGGCTCAACTGATTCTCCCACCTCAGCCTCCCAAGTAGCTGGGACTACAGGCATATGCCACCATACCCGGCTAATTTTTGTATTTTTTGTAGAGACGGGGTTTCACCATGTTGTCTAGGCTGCTCTCGAACCCCTTGGCTCAAGCAGTCTGCCTGCGTCAGCCTCCCAAAACGCTGAGATTACAGGTATGAGCCATTGGGCCCATACATTTGGTACATTTTAACTACCAAATGTACAGCAAATTAATTTAATGATTTGCCCTTTGCACACAAAGTCATTAGGTATACACAGTTTCATCGTTTTTTTCCCTCCATAGTGCTAAACATAAAACTATTCTGTTCAGACTTTTGGTTTAGCTTTCTGAATTTATCTTCTACCCTCCACCATGCAAATTAAAGGTTCTGTTTTGATACTGGGAAAAAATGATCTAAGATTAAGAGGACATTGTGTATATGTGTGTGTGTGTGTGTGTGTGTGTATAAATTAATTTTATATGATCACTTGTCCAAACACAATCACGTTTTCAAACTAAAAAGTGTGTCAAAGTGGTTTTAGAAGAAATTAAATAGTCTGGCAAGATGAAGAATAAAAAAGTTCCAAGTGAATGATCCTTTGGAGTGGAAAAAGGTTAGCTGTGAATATGCTTTTGAAATATACTACAGGGGATTCTCATCCCAAGATTATGGTCGTTCATGCCTCTAGGTTTAAGTGTTGCTCAATCAGCAAGGTGCTCAATTCACAGTGATTGCTGCGCATTTCCTTGTTGATCAAGAAAATGCAGAATCTCAGCGCAGACACATTTACCAGCACATTTACCATCAAAATGAATATAAGAAATAAGATTTTGATTTAAATTTTCCAGTTGCAGCAGATCGAGAAAAATATGTGCAGGAGAGGATTCCATTTGAAAAGCTCTGATTCAAATAAGTCCAAAGAGAATGCATCTCTATGTACCTAATGTTGCCTTCGAATTAGACAGTAAGCTTTTCTCGCTCAGAGCCCTTGTCAATTTGATTAAACTCACAAACATGTGACTGACTCCGCCTCTATTAAAAACACTCAAGCCAGAGAACGACTGAGAAGCGTGTGGCTTTGTCTTTGTGAGTGGGTCTTTTGGCCAAGCGATCATTACACTAGCTAAATGGGTGTACGGTTAAATTTAATACTCCACAACTGAATTCTCCAATCGCAGCTCACTGCAAAAAGTGATTTAGAATAATGCAAATTTGAGTCCAGAATCTAGAACACCCTTCCAGGCACGGAGGTTTTCCGTTTAAATGGCCCTCGGGAAATAACACTGATTTTCAAAGTCGTTTTAAAAGGCAGCTTTTGGCAGCTGCTATCTTTTGCATATTCTCTTTCCGAGATTAAAGAACCTTCAGGTGACAACACCTAGGGTAAAAGGATGGGACATCAGGCTGCAGACGTGCGTATGCGTGTGTGCACACGCGTGCAGTCTTGACTAGGTGTGGAAAAAAGGTCCGAAGAGATTCCAAAATCAAAAAAATTCCCTTGGCCTACTCCGGCCCCGAAGACCAACTCAGACCCCACCAGACAAACTGGAAAGTCTCCAAGCTCTCAGTCGCCCCAGTCGGCGGGGGAGTGAGTGGGGCCGACCGGCCTTGCGGCCCTGCCACCTTTCGGGGCGACTCGGTTTCTCCACTGACACCCCCGGGCGCGAGGTCTGGTCCATCCCGGAGTGGGAGCTAGGCAGGGACGCCACCTGGCAGCCCACTCTGGGCCCCTGGCCCGCGTTTCCCGCAGGCGCCGGCGGCGTCGGGCGCGGCCGCCGCGCTGCCATGGCAACGGCGGTCCGCCCCCCCCCCGCTTCCCGGCGCCGGCGCGCCAGCGGGGCGGGGCGGGGCGGGCGTTGCTAGGAAACCGGCGGCGGGCCGCCTCCGCGGCGCGGTCTCTCGGCTTCCACCCTTCACCTACTTCCCCTGCGGGGCCGGAGTGGGGGAGGGTCGGGGGAGGCCATCGGGAAGCCACGTGGTGGCCCGGGGCCTCGCGGCTCATTCTGCGTTGCGCCGTCCCTTCCAGGTCGAGTTGACGGCCTTTTCCCCCTTGGCGTACAAGTATTGAGTCCCGCGCCCTGGGAGGGAGACGGCGCTCAGCAAATTTAGATGAATGCAACGCTTCAACGTGGGCTCTCGACCTCTGGTCCCCCATCCCCTGCCGGCTCTATTAGGACAATGAAGTCCCCAAACTCCACTGGAGGGTTCTTCACCCACTCTTCTTCCCCTCCAAAGGAACCATCTCTTGAACTTCACGAAATCCAGGAGCAATGCTAAGCGTTTTGTATACATCACCTCATTTTCAATCCTGTGAGGTGGGAGCTGGGAACTTCATTTTAACAGGAATAAAATGTGGCCTACAGCTGGTTGGGGTGGAGCCAGGACTTGAAGTCCAGTTGTGCTTATTAACTTCAAGTGTCTGCCTTTTTATAATGCTCAAGTTCGTCCTCTCAGCTGCCTCTTGGCTAGCCCAGCATCCCCCTTTGCTGTCCAAACACCCACACCAGCCAGGACACACTGTCTGGAACATGGTCTGACAAGGGGATTAAAAACTTGAAATCAAGGTTGTCCAAAAAATCTGGGGCATACGGTTTATGTTGATGTATCATTGATAATTTACAGATGTCCCACTCTGTAATGTACTACCAGAATAACCACTTATGATCATCAAATTCTTAGGAAATGAAAATCCAAACCAAAGACAATTGACTCATGGTAGGTACTCCATTCTGGGCTTTAACATTTTTTTTTTTTTTTCTTGTAAACCATAGCTGTTCACTAAGTGTTTTTTTTTTTTTTTTTTTTTCTTTATTTCCTTGTCACTGACTTGAAGCTCGAGAGTGTATTTTCTACTAGGGAACTGTCTTGGGTTGCCAAGGATTTGCGTGCAAGCAATTTATTAAGGAAGAGCTTCCAGGAGAAACTAGAAAGGGAAGCAGAATAGGAAAGAAGCAGCCAAGCAAGGGAGCAATTTAAGGTGAAGTTCCAGCCCCAGCAAGATCCCCAGCTAGTTCTGGAGCATAAATTAGAATTTATCCCAACTTGAGGCAAGGGAGCTGGGGTTTTCATAACCCTGCACCAATTAGTCACTGGCTATAGTCTTTCCTGGAAAGGGTGGGGGGACAAAAATACCTAGCACTTCTGGTTCTGAGGTGAGTCTGGGTGAGTCTAGGCACTTAATTTAGACGCGTTAAGTGAGTCTAGGTGCTTAATACCTCTTCTGCAGTGAAGTGGCTCCTATAGATTAAGGGAAGGAAGTTCTCTGAAGGAAGGGGTATGAACCTTTAGGAGTAAACCACTTAGAAGCTGGGGCTAGGGGCAATGAACTGGAAAGGGGGATATGAAGGGATCTGGGCAGAGCACCAACAACACCCATGACAGTCCACCCCCTGCACCACTTAGATCCACATGTGCATTAGTTCGTTCTCAGGCTGCTATAAAGAAATACCTGAGGCTGCAAAATTTACAGAGAAAAGAGGTTTAATTGGCTCATGGCTCTGCAGGCTGTACAGGAAGTATGGTGGCCTCTGCTTAGCTTCTGGGGAGATCTCAAGAAACCTTCAATCATGGTGGGAAGTGAAAGAGAAGCAGGTACATCCTACATGGCCAGGGCAGGACCAAGGAAGAGAAGGGGAGATGCTACACACTTTTAAGCAACCAGATCTTGCCATAACTCACTCATGAGAACAGCACCAAAGGGGAAATCTATTCCCATAATCCAGTTACCTCCCACCAGGCCCCCACCTCCAACACTGGGGATTACAAATCCACATGGGATTTGGGTGTGGACACAAATCCAAACGATATCAACATGCTTCTCACGTCAGTTTCACTTCATCATGTCACAGCTTATTCAAAAAAGACAGACCATAGATAGCCCTTGCTGCTGCAGCTGGTCCTAAGACAATAACATATTCATCATCTGTATTAGTTCCTTCTCATGGTGCTAACCTGAGACTGGGTAATTTATGAAGAGGTTTAATTGACTCACAGTTCAGCATGGCTGGGGAAGCCTCAGGAAACTTACAATCATGGTGGAAGGGGAAGCAAAGACATCCTTCTTCACATGGCTGCTGGAAGAAGAATGAAAGCTGAGTGAAGGGGCAAGCCCCTTATAAAATCATCAGATCTCATGAGAACTCACTCACTATCACTTGAATAGCATGGGGGAAACCACGCCCATGATTCAGTTACCTCCCACGGGGTCCCTCCTGTGATACTTGGAGATTATGGGAACTACAATTCAAGATGAGATTTGGGTGGAGACACAGTCAAATTATACCATAATCTTTCTTCCCTATCATCCATTCTAGATTCTCCTCAACCTCAACTAGCCCCCCATTTTTTTTTTTTTGAGACAGAGTCTCACTCTGTTGCCAGGCTGGAGTGCAGTGGCGCCATCTTGGTTCACTGCAATCTCTGCCTCCTGAGTTCAAGTGATTTTCCTCCCTCAGCCTCCCAAGTAGCTGGGACTACAGGCGCGCACCACCGCGCCTAGCTAATTTTTTTTGTATTTTTAGTAGAGATGGGGTTTCACCATGCTGGCCAGGATGGTCTCGATCTCCTGACCTTGTGATCCACCTGCCTCTGACTCCCAAAGTGCTGCGATTACAGGCATGAGCCACTGCGCCTGGTCCTCAACTAGCCCTGCTGCCAGTGTAGGTGGCTTGCCCAATGAAGTGACCCAAAACGTCATCTTTGAGGGATCTAAATTCTGTACTACCATGTCTTTATTAGGTAATGGTTTTTGAGTGGAAAAATGTTCCTCCCTGTCCCATTATGTAGCAGCAGCCCTACTTCCTTATAATAGTGGTCAGTTACCCCTACCATTATATAACTGCTTTTTTTTCCCCCTTCATGGAGTCCAAAATAGGACAGTAGCTGTAGTTTTGTTTAGTGGGACTCTTCTTGTGTCCACTGGTGCAAAGCATTTTCCTCCAGGAACTAGAACCTCTAGACCTAATGCTCTACAATTGTGAGGACAGGAAGCATACATTCCCCTAAGAAGTTCTCTGAGAGTGATGGTGAGCCAGGCTACTCCTATTTCCACCCTTTGCTTCCCAGACCCATGCACTCAACTCACTAGAGATGCAATATAGTATAATGGTTATTGGTTTAAGTCACATACTGCATCCTGAAGCATAATGCCCCAACCTCACACAGTATCATTTCTAAGTTTGTGCCTAGCTATGCCTTCAAAAAATGGTTATGATATTATCAGGATAGATGTTTCTGAATGGTGTGATATGTTGTGGGACCAGTGGATCTCACAGTTATGTGACTACCAACATATTTCCTCTACCAAAAAGTGAGGAAAAAAATGCTTTGTGGATTCTCTTAGTAAATCAGACATTCTGAGTCCTATATTAGATCTTGTCAAAGCACTGCAAGCAGGAAGGGCAAATCCATACACAGAATTTGTACCAATCCCAGTCAGAACAAAATGATGTCCGTTCTTTCCAGGATGAAAGAAGTCCTACTTAATTAACTTGCCACTAAGTCTCTGGTTGGTGTCCTCAAGGAATGGTCCTATACTGGGCACTCAGAGTCAGTCTATGTAATTGATAGATCAGATTTTTTGGGGGGGAGGGGGGAACGAAAAAAAGTCTGTCTTGTTCTGTTGCCCAGGCTGGAGTACAGTGGTGCCATCTTGGCTCACTGCAACCTCTGCCTCCTGGGCTTAAGTGATCCTCATGCCTCAGGCTTCAGAGTAGCTGGGATTACAGGCACACACCACCATGCCTGGCTAATTTTTGTATTTTTAGTAGAGACAGGGTTTTGCCATGTTGGCCAGGCTGATCTCAAACTCCTGGCCTCAAGCAGTCTGCCTGCCTTGGCCTCCCAAAGTGCTGGGATTACAGGCGTGAGCCACTGCACCTGGCCAGATCAGACATTTAGCAGTGGCAGTAGCTACATTAGCTATGGTGAGAAGAAGTTCATGCTTTTGGACTCATGCATAGCCTCCATTTCTATCACCATAGATACTACATTCATGAACCTATTGGGCAAGAACTAGGGTAGCAGCTAAAGACTAGGGTATCAGCAGCTGGCTGATATCTTCTGGATTAGTCATCATGTCTTAATGCCTCTTCTGCAGTGAACGCTCTCTGGTAGGCATTAATGTGCGATGCAAGAATCTGCATCCCCTTTGTGCCCACTCCTATAGGTCTTCTTCCCCCAAAACTCCTTGCCCCCATTTTCTAATTGTGCACCTTCCAGACCCAAGACCAACCAGTGGAGTCATTTGCTACTGGTATATTAGTCCATTCTCACAGTGCTATAAAGAAATACCTGAGACTGGGTAATTTATAAAGAGGCTTAATTGACTCACAGTTCCACAGGCTGTACAGAAGGCCTCAGGAAACTTACAATCATGGTGGAAGGGTGAATGGGATGCCAGCACGTCTTACACGGTGGGAACAGGAGGAGGAGAGAGAAAAGTGGGAGGTGCTACACACTTTCAAACAACCAGATCTCATGAGAACTCTCACCATGAGGCAGCACTAGGGGGATGGTGTTAAACCATTAGAAACCCACTTCCGTGATCCAGTCACCTCCCACCAGGTCTCACCTCCAACCCTGGGGATCACAATTCAACATGAGATTTGTGTGGGGACACAGCCAAACCATATCAACTGGGAAGTCCAAGATCAGCCCCAAGGTGCTGGCAGATTCAGCACCTGAACCTGAGGGCTGCTTTATAGACAGCCATCTTCTCACTATTACCTCACATGTTGGAAAAGACTAGCTAGCTCTCTGGGGCTTCTTTTATAAGGGCACTAATCCTAGTCATGAAGGGGGAGCCCTCATAACCTAAGCACCTCCCATCTTGGGACTAGGACGTCAACATATGAATTTTGCAGGGAACACAAACATTTAGTCTATAGCACCAAGCAAGGTTGTGAATTAAAGTGAAGTTCCAGCCTCAACCTGACCCCTTAGGAGATTTTGAGAATAAATTAACCAGGAGTTTGTCCTACCTGAAAGCAAGGGGGCTAGGCTTTTATACTCCTGCACTAGTAAGGAGTATATATAGGCCACCATGGGGGTTTGCGAGTTCCCAGACATTTTTGGTTCTGGAAGCATCTGCGTGAAGAGGTTCCAGGGTACCAAGAGGAGTCCTCTGAAGAGAACTGCAGATGTGAACTCTTGGGAGTAAAGCCTGTAGAAACTGGGGGATGGGTACACTGAACCAATTAGGAGGAAACTTTTGGGGATCCTGACAGAGTACCACAACTACTGAAAAAGCTAAGATTAATATACAGCTAACTGACATAGAGCTCCTTGCAACTGACAAAATGGTAAACTAACCTGGGCTTCTGGCTTCCCCCTCCTCCCCAGAATCTATCTCTGAAGAAACCACTGGGGAGACATAAAGACAGTGGATCCCCATGTGTGGGTTGGTGAGGGCACAGTGCATGACAGCTCTGAGCATCAGAGAAACAGTTTCAATGGAAAGATTCTGAGTAGACCATTACCTTTTGTGTCTGGGTTATAGAAGACTGTGACTTCCATGTTGCTACTAGACTCACTCTATTGTGTTGTTGGGTTGCATGCTTTGATATAGCGAGCAGCTTTACCAAAGCATGCAACTCCAGAACACAACGCTGCAGAGGCCCACATGGCAAGACGATGCAGGAGGCCTCCAGCCAACAGCCTGCAAGGAACTGTGCCCTTCAGCCCAATAACTCTTAGGAAACTGAAATCTGCCAACATGAGCTGGGAAGGGGAGGATCCTTTTCCGGGTGAGCCTTCAAATGACAACACAGCCCTGGTCAATAACTTGACTGTGGCCCATGAGAGACCCTGAAGCAGAGGATCTAACTAAATCATGCTCAGATCTGTGATCCACAGAAACTGTAAGATAATACTTGTATGTTGTTTTAAGCCACTAAGTTGTGGCAATTTGTTACACAGCAATAGACAGCGAATACAAGCTTTCTGCAGCTGGTCTTTAGGCTTGAGCATACCCACCCTGTGTATGGTTATCAGTGTACAGGTCTTAGCTACCTGCTAGAATATAATGCCCAACTTTGGATCTCCCTGCAGCACCTAGGGTCTTGCCCTGCACATTGGAAGTACACAGTAAATGATTCCTTTAAAGGAACTCCAGGCCTAAATACCAGGCATTTATAATAATAATAACAAGAAATGATTTACTTACTATCTGCCAGATCTTGTTCTAGGTCATTTAAAAATCTTAATTAATTAATTAAAAAAAATTTTTTTAAGATAGGGTCTTGCTCTTTTTAAAGGTAGGGCCAGGCTAGAGTGCACAATCATAGCGTACTACAACCTCAAACTCCTGGGCTCAAGTGATCTTCCTGCCCAACCTTCCTCGTAGCTAGGACTATAGGCATGTACCAAACACTGGGCTATATTTTTAATTTTTAATTGTTTTGTGGAGATGGGTCTAGCTATATTTTCCAGGTTGGTTTCAAGCAATTCTCCTGCCTCAGCCTCCCAAAGTGCTGGGGTTACAGGCATAAGTCACTGCATCCAGCCAAATTTTCATATTATTTAATCCTCATAGCCATCATATTAAGTAGGTTCTATCAGGACTTCCATTTCTTTCTTTCTTTCTTTCTTTTTTTTGAGACAGGTTCTCACTCTGCCACCCAGCCTGGATTGCAGTGGCGCGATCTCTGCTCACTGCAACCTCCGCCTCCTGGGCTCACGTGATTCTCCCACCTCAGCCCCACAAGTAGCCGGGAGTACAGGTGTGATCCACCACACCCAGCTAAATGTTGTATTTTTTGTAGAGACAGGGTTTCACCATGTTGGCCAGGCTGATCTTAAACTTCTGAGCTCAAGCGATCCATCCACCTCAGCCTCCCAAAGTGCTGGGACTACAGGCATGAGCCATTGTACCCAGTCAGGACTTCCATTTTTATGAGAAACACGAGGTTTATAGCAAACAAAGAACTCGACAAAGTCTGACATTGAGACTGGCTGAGCTGGGACAGTCAGTCTGAAACCCGGACAACCCAGTTTCAGAGTCTGTGTTGCCTGTTAGAATTGAGAAGAGATGGAGATCAGAACCACATAAACATTGTCATTTTCTGAAGCACCATTAAAAATTCCAACTCCTCAGCCACCTGTCAGCTATCAGAGGGCAGGATTGTACCTTGTTTGACATGAAATCACACCATTAATATTCAAAACACAGAAGTAGTAGGAGCCTTTAAAAATCGGTTGAATTAGTGAAGAATGAATGAATGAATGTGACGCCTTGAGTAGGATGTGGGGTGGAAAGAAAAGGGAACATATAGAATGTTCTATTTCTAGATATTACAGTAGCAGAATCACATGGCTCATTCCCACATGTTTCTGTACAGTTGTTATCAATATTAGCTCTCCCAGTAGTTATCTGATAGCATGAGTCAGGAAATATGGTGCATTTTTCTTGATTTGAAATTGAGAGCAGAAATAATTCATAAGAGGTAAGTGAAGTGGAAGGCAGTTATTGTCCCTAACAAATGTGTCTATTTCTTACTGGTGTATGTACATGTGCACACACCGAGAGTCCTGGATAGATCTAATTCTGCATTCATACTAGTCTATTGCCTGCAGGGATAAGTGAGGTTATGTAATGGGCTGGTTCAAAGAATGTGCTTGCTTATATATGCAAATATCTGTCTAAATTGCTTAAAACAACAAGTTTCTTAACACTCTAAACTGGGGGAATTTGGTTTGAAATGTTTAGACATTACCCCTCATTAGGCCTGCCTACTACAAATATATGAAATGAAAAATGGCTCCTTTCAATGCCAAGTTCCTTAGCCACATGATAGTTTTAGAGTAAAGGAAGAAGTTGAAGTCTTTTCTTATATTTCATTCATATTTTAAGTACTTGAGTCAGGATAATAATTGTATTCATTAACAATTTTTGGCTGGGCACAGTGGCTCACGCCTGTAATCCCAACACTTTGGGAGGCCAAGGTGGGTGGATCACCTGAAGTCAGGAATTTGAGACCAACCTAGCCAACATGGCGAAACCCCGTCTTTATTGAAAATACAAAAAATTATCTGGATGTGGTGGTGTGCACCTGTAATCCCAGCTATTCAGGAGGCTGAGGCATGAGAATCACTTAAACCCGGGAGGTGGAGGTTGCAGCGAGCCAAGATCGTGCCACTGCACTCCAACCTGGGTGACAGAGTGAGACTCTGTCTCAAAAAAACAAAAAACAAAGAACAAAAAAAAATTTATGATTAGGCTGCTTTGTTTATTTCACACAGACACAAAATGTATGGTAGAGTTCCACTAACTATGTGGTCATCCTCTACTTAGCAGAAGTGGACTCTGCTGTTTTTATTTACTTATTTAATCAATTTTATTTTTTTGAGACAGGGTCTCACTCTGTCACCCAGGCTGGAGTGCAATGGCATGAGCTCAGCTCACTGCAACCTCTGCCTCCAGATTCAAGCAATTCTCCTGCCTCAGCCTCCCAAGTAGCTGGGATTATAGGCGCCTGCCACCATGCCCGGCTAATTTTATATTTTTAGTAGAGATGGGGTTTCATCATGTTGGCCAGGCTGGTGTTGAACTCCTGACCTTAGGTGATCTGCCCGCCTCGGCTTCCCAGACTCTGCTATTTTAGGTGGTGCATTCTGCTCTCTAAGAAAACTAGGTGCAGCTAATTGAGCTACATTTTCTTGAGCTTTCTTTTGCCTTTCTCTTTTCTTTGATTGCCATCCTGACGGTGGCACACAAAGCTGGTCACACCGAGCCCTGGTTCACAGCTTTGGCTGACTCTCCTGGTCTCCTCAAAATAAAAGGTACAGTCCTTGGCCTGACCTTTCTGGCCTTTGTCATCCAGCCTCTACTCCTATCACTGACTTCATCTGTCAAAGGTTTCTCCCACTCTCCAGCCTCCATCTTTCTTCTCTTCTCCTCCATTTTCAGTTTCTCAAATTTTCTATGATTTCCAAAGCCTTTAGGCATTTGCACACATGATTCCCTCTGTCTTGTTCACCTTTCTTCCCCACTCCCTGGGTCTTGACTGACTCTTGGGCTTCCTGCTAAGATGTCAGCACCATTGAAGCACTCCCTCAGCTGAGGTTGGGTGCTGCATTAGTCTGTTTTCACACTGCTGTTACAGACATACTCGACACTGGGCAATTTACAAAAGAAAGAGGTTTAATGGACTCATAGTTCCATGTGGCTGCGGAGGCCTCACAATCATGGTGGAAGGCGAAAGGCATGTCTCACATGGAGGCAGACGAGAGAAGAGAATGAAAGCCAAGTGAAAGAGGTTTCCCCTTATAAAACCATCAGATCTCATAGATTTATTCACAACCACGAAAACCGTATGGGGAAACTGCCCCCATGATTCAATTTTCTCCCACTGGGTCCCTCCCACAACATGTGGGAATTATGGGAGATACAATTCAAGAGGAGATTTGGGTGGGGATACAGCCAAACCATATCAGATGCCCTCCTCAGGGCTCCTGTGGGTCCCAGAAGACACCCTGCTGAGGGCCCACTTCATTAACATTGTCCAACTCCCTGCTGGCCCATGAGCTCCTAGAGGGCTGGGACCCTGTACTGTTTGCTTCAGTACCCTGCACAGGGGCCTGGGTCATAGAAGAAATTTTAAAAACATAAAAGGAAAAAAATCTGTTAATGAATGTCCTCATTACTCTCCTGTAACCTTCGTTTTTCCCCTTTGGGGGGATCTAAACTGCAATTAGTACAGTTAGTAGAGTTTGTAAATTTCATTCCAACTGAATGACAGTTTAAGTAAAATAAAAGCTGTTAGCACAATAGAGAAATTTTTTGAAAGCAAAATTAAATTAACTTTGGAAATTTCAATCACATGAAATTAATTTCTATAATTTAAAGCACAAATTTGAAAAACAGCTTCTCAAATCTTGGATTCAAGCACTGCTTCTAAATCAATCTATTTTCAATGCTTGCAGACCCCCATCACTGTATGAGAATATGGCCATAAAGGTGATGCTGCCTCTCACCCTCCCTCGCAACTTTTCTTAGAAAGCGTGACATGCATTTTTTTTTCTGCTGGCATTATAATGAAAGGAAGGGTAAATATAGTAAGATTTTGCTTCATGTAGTGCTATAGGACATAAAAATAGATAAGGTCTAAAGAACTGTAAAATATAGTGTTTATGAACCAAATTGATTTTTATTTAGAACAGAATTCTCTCTGTGCAGTGCACACTGTTGCCTTTGGCATCTCCCCTGATATTACTGGCAGTAATAACAGTTTCACCAAAGTGAAGGGATGTAACTTTGATAATTTAGGAGTGTTCTCAATCAGGCCTCAACACCCTCCTAGATGGAATTGTCTTTAAAACTGGTGCTGGAAGTTGATAAAATCAAGGCTTTATTTTTACTGTAAAGGTTCTGATGGGCCTTGTTCTAAACTCTTTGTAAACTATAAATCACTATTAGAATTTTGTTTAGAGTCTGAAACTGCCTTTATCGTTTTGAATTTTTAGAGCCGGGGGCTGAATTTCCTGTTCGTGTACAACATGTAGCTCTTATTCTAGGAAAAACTCCAGTGACATTCTTGTTCAGTAAAGTGAAGTAGGCCTGATCCTATTTATCAAGACTGACTTCTTAGGTTTGCTGAAAAGACATTCAATGGCTCACCAGGCAAATCAAGAAATGAGAACAAGGATGTGAGGGCGATCTGGCTGCGACATCTGTCACCCCATTGATCGCCAGGGTTGATTTGGCTGATCTGGCTGGCTAGGCGGGTGTCCCCTTCCTCCCTCACCGCTCCATGTGCGTCCCTCCCGAAGCTGCGCGCTCGGTCGAAGAGGACGACCATCCCCGACAGAGGAGGACCAGTCTTCGGTCAAGGGTATACGAGTAGCTGCGCTCCACTGCTAGAACCTCCAAACAAGCTCTCAAGAAATGAGAACAACACCAAAAG
The DNA here is from genome assembly GCF_000001405.40 of Homo sapiens. Taxonomy (NCBI): domain Eukaryota; kingdom Metazoa; phylum Chordata; class Mammalia; order Primates; family Hominidae; genus Homo; species Homo sapiens. The sequence goes on from NC_000014.9 coordinate 89,712,772, forward strand.
AGAGCATAAGATAAAGGGGGTGTCTCAGTCTGTTTGGGCTGACTGATACCATAGACTGGGTAATTTATAAACAACAGAAATTTACTGCCCACAGTTCTGGAGGCTGGGAAGTCCAAGATCAAGGCAGCAGCAGATCTGGTTTCTTGTGAGGGCTCATGCCTCATAGATGGCACCTTCTATGTGTCCACACATGGTAGAAGGGACAAACAAGCTCTCCAGGCCTTGATTGTAAGGGCATTAATCCCATTCACTAGGGCAGTGTCCTCATGACCTAATCACCTCCCCCACCTCTTAATACCATCACAGTGGGGGTTAGGTTTCAGTGTGAATTTTGGGGGGACACAAAAATTCAGACCATAGCAGAGGATGTGTTCGCTTCTTAGGGCTGCCATAACACATTGCCATAAGCTTGGTGGTTTACAAAAAATGGTACCTATTCTCTTACAGATCTGGAGGCCAGAAGTCCAGAATCAAGGTGTTGGAAGGATTGGTTCCTTCTGGTGGCTATGAGGAAGAATCCATTCCACACCTCTTTCCTAGCTTCTGGTGGTTGTCAGCAATCCTTTGCATCCTTTGGCTTGTAGAAGCATGACTCTAATCTCTGCCTCCATCATCACAGGCCCTCCCACTTTGTGTCTTCATGTCTGTGTCCCACATCTCCTTCTCCTTTCTCTTAGAAGGAGCCCAGTCATTGAATTTAGGTCCACCCTAAATCCAGGATGACTTTATTTAAAGATCTTTAATTACATCTGCAAGGACCCTAATTTTTTTTAAGTTCTGGGGTACAAGTGCAGGACATGCAGGTTTGTTACATAGGTAAACATGTGCCACAGTAGTTTGCTGCACCTGTCAACCCATCATCTAGGTATTAAGCCCCACATCCATTAGCTATTTATCCTGATGTTCTCCCTCCCCCCAACCCCATGACAGGCCCTGGTGTGTGTTGTTCTCCTCTCTGTGTCCATGTGTTCTCATTGTTTAGCTCCCACTTAAGAGCGAGAACATGTGGTGTTTGGTTTTCTGTTCCTGTGTTAGTTTGCTGAGGATAATGGCTCCCAGCTCCACCCATGTCCCCACAAAGGACATGATCTCATTCCTTCCTTTTTATGGCTGCATAGTATTCCATGGTGTATATGTACCATATTTTCTTATGAGGTCACATTCACAGGTACCAGAGGCTATGACATGGACATATCTTTTTGGGGGACATAATTCAATCCACACTAGAGAAGGAAAATTCACCAAGGTAAAAAAAAAAAATCCTTGCTGCTTTGACCCTCTCAAGAGCTGTCTATATTTTGACCTTCTGAATTTTCTCCTCCAATCACTGAGGCTAACCCCTGCCCCTTTTACACAGTGTTTACAATAAAACCAGAATATGAGATATCATTGTGAGGAGAGCTTGAAGACTGAAAAAGAAAAATAACCAAGAAGCAAGGAAGGAAGACTGGTCTTAAAATCCTAAAAGATCAAAATATAGAACCAGTGACATACAACATGATCTCATTTTTTGACAAAAAGTAATTGCATATATGCTAAAAAGATATATGCCAAAAGTACACAGGGATTCACTGGGTTTTGGGAGTATAGAATCTTAAATTCCTTCTTTATGTGTATTTATATTCTATAACTTTATGTAATTTAAAAACATATTTTTAAACACAAGAACTAATTGTTTATTAAAAGATATGAAATCTGCTTGGTGTGGTGGCTGATACTTGTAATCCCAGTGATTCAGAAGGCTGAGATGGGAGGATCACTAGAGGCCAGGAGTTTGAGACCAGACTGGGCAACATAACAAGACAACATCTATTAAAAAAAATGTAAAAACTTAGCTGGGCATGGTGGCATGCACCTGTAGTCCCAGCTATTTGGGAGGCCCAGGTGGGAGGATTGCTTAAGTCCAGGAGCTCGAGGCTGCAGTGAGCTATAGTTGTACCACTGCACTCTAGCCTGGGCAACAGAGAGACTCCATCTCAAAAAAAAAAAAAAAAGATAATGAGATTCTAGTATCTTAGTCCATTTAGGCTGCTATAACAAAATACCATAAACGGGGTGACTTTTAAACAAGAAAAACTTATTTCTCACAGTTCTGGAGGCTGGAAGTCCAGGATCAAGGTACCAGCAGATCTGACATCTGGTGAAAGCTCACTCTCTACTTCATAGGTGGCCTCTCTTGCTGTGGCCTCATGTGGTGGAGGGGGCAAGGCAGCTTCCTGGGGCCTCTTTGATAAGGGCACTCATCCCATTCATGAGTGCTCTGTCCTCACGATCTAACCTTCCTCCAACAGCCCCTCCTTCTAATGCCATCTTGTTGTTGATTAGATTTCAACATATGAGTTTTGGGAGGACACATTCAGACCATAGCACCCAAGATGGCAAAGGATTACTCACCTGGTCTGGTCTTTCCAAGAGGCAGTTACTCTGAGTCAAGTAGAGAAGGTGGGACAGGAGTCAGTTGGCACCTTTCCCTGAATCTCCCTTTACAACTTCAACACACCATATCCTGGGGTTTGGCCACAGTCTAGATGATCTTACTGAATTGTAGATGTGAAAGCTGGAAGAAACCTCACAGATCAACCTCCTTATTTTATAGACCATGAAAGAGAGCCCTACAGAAGGTAACAGGCTCTCCCAAGGCCCCATGGACAGACATAGAGCTGAGACCAAACCCCAAGAATTGCATTTCCCAAGTGGAACTTCTTACGTTAAATGCAGGCAGCTGCTGTCAAGGTCTTGTCCATGAACCAGTGAACTAACACAAATCATAGTGCCCATTTCCAGTTCAACTTCTAATGAATACACCACATATCTGTGCCACTACTAGGTGTACAACATTTGTTAAGACTTACTCATAAAACTATTACTAACTACCTGCACCCCATCCAGTCACTGGGTAATAAAGACAGAGAGGCACATCTTCAGGATGCTACCTAGTTAACAAGAAACTGTAACCTAAATGTCCCAGGCCTAGCCAGGTTGTGAATACAAATGAGACCATTTTAATATAAAGACATATCTGTCTGTGACCGGAGTTCCCAACTGCTGTCTTGGAATTTTAACACCCTTGCAAATCCCTGCCCTGGTTATTTTAGGGAGTCTCAGGTCATAGGGATATAAAGGTTTGGGGTTTACTAGTGGTGTCTCACAGACATTCAGCAGTAGCTCTGCTCATGGTCCTCCCAGGGCCTCATCTGGGAAGTCAATGGTCCAAAAACTATTTGTGAAGATATGTTTGTTAATTTTAGGTGTTAACATAGCTATGTCACAGTACTCAGATATTTGGTCAAACAATTCTAGATGTTTCAGTGAAGATTTTTTTAAAGGTAAGATTAACATTGAAATTGCCAGGTGTGGTAGATCACACCTGTAGTCCTAGCACTTTGGGAGGCCAAGGCAGGTGGATTGCTTGAGCTCGCAAGTTCAAGACCAGCCTGGGCAACATGGTGAATCCCCATGTCTACCAAAAACAAAAAATAAAAATTAGCCAGGAGTGGTGGTACGTGCCTGTAATCCCAGCTACTTGGGAGGCTGAGGTGGGAGAATGGATTGAGCCCAGGAGATGGAGGTTGCTGTGAGCCGAGATCATGCCACTACACTCCAGCCTGGGCAATAGAGCCAACCTTGTCTCAAAAAAAAAAAAAAAAAAAATCGAGACCAGTTTAATATTGAAATCAGTAGACTTTGAGTAAAGCAGATGACCTTCCATAATGTGGGTGGGCCTCATCCAGTCAGTTGAAGGCCTTAATAGAAAAAAAGACTGACCTCCCTGGAGGAAGAGGGAATTCAGCCGGTAGACTCGGCCTTTGGACTCTAACTGCAGTGCCTCCCTGGGTCTCCAACTTTGCTGGCCTACTCTACAGAGTTTGGACTTGCCAGTCTCCATAGTCATTTTAAGGGCTAACTCCTTAAAATCAATCAATCTCTCTCACATCTATACACTTTTTACTTTTTTTTTTTAAAGTAGGTTTTGCTATTTGCCCATGATGACCTCGAACTCCAGGACTCAAGTGATCCTCTTGCCTGCCTCAGCCTCATAAAGTGCTGGGATTATAGGCGCAAGCCTCCATGCTTGGCCTATATACATCTCATTGGTTCTGTTTCTCTGGAAAACCCTGGCTAATGCAGGAGAAGACAACTGTCACTGTTAGTGCCAACCTAGAGAACCCTGTTTCCTTGACAGTCTAGTCACCAAAACTGCGTGGCTTCTTCACAGCCCCCATCAGACCTGCTGTTTGTCCTGAAAAGGAAATGAGAGGACCACTATCCTCAACTCTGTGTCAAACTTGCTAGTTAGAGGTTGGGCTCAGTGGCTCACGCCTGTAATCCCAGCACTTTGGGAGGCCAAGACAGGTGGATCACTTGAGGCCAGGAGTTTGAGGCCAGCCTGGCCAAAATGGTGAAACCTTGTTTCTACTAAAAAAAATTCCAAAAAGTAGCCAGGCATGGTGGCACACGCCTGTAATCCTAGCTACTCAGGAGGCTGAGGCAGGAGAATTGCTTGAACCCAGGAGGCGGAGGTTGCAGTGAGCCAAGATCACACCACTGCCCTCCAGCCTGGGTGACAGAGTGAGTCTGTCTCAAAACAACAACAACAGCAACAAAAACTTGCTAGCTAGAGCCCTGAAGCAGCTAATAGATGATAAAAAACCATAATGCCTATGGAAAAAGGACTCATAAATAACTTAAAGACATTTGTTACTAAAATAAAAGCACAAAGATAGCAAACTAAATAAAAATATTACCAACAATATATATAGATTGAAAACTAGTAATATATAGTACTGGATATTTTTCCATTTTCCAGCTTTTACTACCTGAACAGTTTTCAGGATTTGCCTTCCCTATGGTTTTAAAAATGTGCTTCTAAATCATAGATAACACACATGCTAAAATGTTTTTTCTTCTTTTTCGGGGGGAGGGGACAGTGTCTTGCTCTGTCACCCAGGTTGGAATGCAGTAGTTGCAATAACAGCTCACTGCAGCCTCCACCTCCCAGGCTCAAGCAATCCTCCCGCCTCAGCTACCATAGTAGCTGGGACTCCTGGCGTGCACCACCATGTCCAGCTAAATTTTTGAATTTTTTTTGTAGAGATGGGGTCTCCCTATGTTGCCCAGGCTGGTTTTGAACTCCTGGACTCAAGTGAACCACCCCCCTCAGCCTCCCAAAGTGTTGGGATTACAGGTGCGAGCCCCTGTGCCTGGCCCTGTTTTTCCTTCTATGTCTGATTCTTCGTGCACATATTGCATGTGCTTTGTACTTTTTGGAATGGAGTTGTTGGTTGTCTTGCTTCTCATTTTTCTATTGTGGTCCCAGAGGTGTGGAAGAGCTTGAATAAAACAGTACCATCATCACCTATTATGTGAGGAAGGCATTATTATCCCTATGGTGCAGAAATGGAACTGAGGATCAGAGATGTCAAATAATTCTCTTAATGTCACTCAACTAGATTGTCCCAAAGCTGGCCCTAAGCCCAGGGCTGTGTGACTCCAAGTTGACATTGCCTTTTTGATTGAGATGCTTTGAGTAATTTTTATCGAATTGGCTTAATATAGCTGAGTAGTGATTTGCCAAATTTGTGCCACCACATAGAAGGTTATATAGGTCCTTATCCATAAACACTATAGCCTAATGTCTTTGCCTGTGCTGCCTGCTCCTCCCACAGGTGACCCTGTTTCTTCCCTTCCATCAACACAGCTGGCTGTTCCATGGCCCTTGGCTACCAGCTCTCAGCTTCCTTGATCTTTTCCAAGGCTTCAGTGCAAAGCATCAGCTTCTTCTCTGCCTTCTGTTGCATCTCAGTTTTCTATTCCCCACTCCTAGATAGCCCCTCCACAAATTTAAAAAACCTAATTATTCCTAACACAAATGAGTTTAAAGCATATGAAGCAAATTTCTCACAGTTGCAAATAAAGGCACTGTACTCATTAGTACAAGTGACAAAAATCCAACTCAATCAGCTTTATGGAGTTAATTGGTTCATGTACCTGGGAAGTCTGGGGGTGACCACCTTCAGGCATAGCTGTATCAAGTGGCTCAAACAATGATAAGAGGGCTCTGTCTTTTGACTTTGATTGACTTCACTCTCAAGCAGAATCTCTCCAATCTCTCCAACACGGCTGCAAGGACCCCTGTCTGGCATCTTCAGCCTCCTGTGTTCTTTAGATCTCTGCATCCTAGGGCAAGGGAGAAGGACACTTCCCTCCACCCCTACCCCTACCCTTAGCTCTCAAGCAAACTCCCTATAATGATTTTGATTCACTTTGCTTGGGTTGCATTATATCGCAGCAATGGGGTGGGGTCACACTGTTGGCAGCCTTGCCAACATCACACAAAATGGGTGAAGTGGTCATTACCTTCAGATAGAAAAACAGGAGACAGGCGAGGCGCGGTGGCTCATGCTGTAATCCCAGCACTTTGGGAGGCCGAGGTGGGCGGATCATCTGAGGTCCAGAGTTCGAGACCAGCCTGACCAACGTGGAGAAACCCCGTCTCTACTAAAAATACAAAATTAGCCGGGCGTGGTGGCACATGCCTGTAATCCCAACTACTCCGGAGGCTGAGGCAGGAGAATGGCTTGAACCCGGGAGGCGGAGGTTGCTATGAGCCGAGATTGCGCCATTGCACTCCAGCCTGGGCGACAAAAGCAAAACTCCATCTCCAAAAAAAAAAAAAAAAGAAAAAGAAAAACAGGAGACCAGAGTAACATTTCACCTCGTCATGAACTTTCCCTGAGGGACTCTCATGACAGCAGAAAGAGGAAGCACGTGTCCTCTATCTAACAACCACAACCACCATAGTCTCATTCAGCAAGATTGACCCCCACCTTCCAGTTGGCCTGGGTTGAACAGGTGCCCAGCATTAGATCCAGAAGCCAGGAGAAAACAGCCAGATGCAACAGGCACACCCAGTCCCTGAAGCCCTCACTGGTCCCAACTACCCCAGGCCCTACCAGAAGTATCTGTGGAGAGGAGGGATGGAGGCGTTCAGCCCCCTTCTCCACTCCTAGACCCCCAGAGCAACTTCAGGGACTCATTTCAATAAGTATATTCCCAATTTATTTCTTTTTTTTCTCCCAGATCTAAATGATCATCATGATGGTGATGGAGGAAGCAGTGATAATGATGATGATGATGTCATAAAACTAAAATTATTGAGCACTAAGTACTGGTCAAGATGCTTTAGATACATCAGTTCATCGAATCCTCTCAACAACCTTGTTTTACAGGTGAGCGTTTGAGGATGGGTGATAAGGTCTCGCTGTGTCCATATCCAAATCTCATCTTGAATTGTAGCTCCCGTAATTCCCATTTGTGGTGGGAGGGACCTGGTGGGAGATAATTGAATCATGGGGGTGGTTTCCCCCAACTGTTCTCGTGGTAGTGAATAAGTCTCACGAGATCTGATGGTTTTATAAGGGGAAACCCCTTTTGCTTGGCTTTCATTCTCCTTCCTGCCGTGTTTGCTTCCCCTTCCTCCATGGTTGTGAGTTTCCTGAGGCCTCCCCAGCCACACTGAACTTGAGTCAATTAAGCCTCTTTCCTTTATAAATTACCCATTCTGGGGTAGTGTCTTTGCAGCAATGTGAGAACGGACTAATACAATGGGGAAATTAAGAAATGTACCCAAGGTCACATCTGGTAAAGGAAGAATGGGGCTTTGCACTCAAGCAGTTTCTTAACCAGTCGTGAAGATTCTTGTTAGTGGGGCACTTATGATGTGCCACATGCTTTACGTGAATTATCTCCTTTAACTTTCACAGTGGCCCAACAATACAGTGCCTATTATCATCCTTGCTTCATGAAGAAGAACACGAGGTTTAGGAGGGTTCACCCTCTCAGTCAAAGTCCCTGAAGTGCAGAACTTGGCCAACCCCACAGTGGACTGGCTTCTGCTAGGCAGTTGGGAGCCACTGCCATCTCCAAACAGCAGGAAGAGATGCTCAAAGCTGTGCTTTTGAAAAATCAATCTGGCAGTAGTGGAGAAGATACACTGTCTTTTCTCAGCTCAGCATACCAGTTGGAAGGCCTAACCACAGAGCCAGCAGGCGGCAGAGCTGGGGGTTAGATCCCACATCTACCTGATTCCAGCACCCTTGCTCGAATCCCCCAAACCTAGCTGCTTGAGGCCAGATGAAGGCTTCCGGCTTCACAAGTGCCCTTCCCTCACTGCGGGTGCATTGGCACCTCACTTCCTTGCCACACTTCCTCTTGTTTTGAACCACTATATTGGCTCATCTCAGCAGCAGACAGTTCCTCTGAATAGAGTATGCCCTGAAAAGTCAAAATCTACCACCAGCTGGAGCTGGTAAGGCTGCAGTACTTCCTGTTGAATCGGGTCTTGGGGCCAGAAACCACATTGTTATTTATACCCGAAGCTCTTTATTCACGGTGCTTTACAAAACAAAGAAGGGGCAGCCCCCTGTCTTATGGAGCCAGCAGACCCCAGAGATACAGAAGACAACAGACAATAATAAGCCCTCTCCCCTCTCCTTAAGCTGTAACTTCCATCCTGCCTGACCAGTCCCTGCCACTGCCCCTTTGTTTCTTCTATTACCTTCCTCTGAGCAGTCTTATTATGGAAATAGACTCCTAATTAACACATCAGGTTTCCGCTTTTCCAAAAAGTCTCTGAAATTGGCCCGTTTCATGATGTTGTTCACTCCAAACACCCCCTGCTATCTTTATTTTGTTCTGCTTTTCATCCTGGCTTATATCATTTATTTCTTTGTATTGAAAGCTTGTCAACTCATGGGACCTGGCATGTATTAATTAGGAGGATGGTCTGGAGCCCGACACAGCTTGATGGAAAGCCAGTCTGAGGGGGGAATTAGGCAGAGAATCAGAAAGAAGCTGAACCAAGCAGCAGAGGGGTAGATGGCTTAAGACCATGACCCAAATTTCAGACCCAGGGTGACCGACTGTCAGCCTTCTGGGCTGGGATTCTTCCCTTAAGCTAAGACAGTCTTCACTTTGTGCCATAAAAGTGCACGTCAGGTCTCACCTCTGTGCCGTTTGCTCAATGTGTACCCCCCTGCCGGGATGCCCTTCTTTCTCTTTTCTACCTACTAAGCTCTGCTGCTTTTCAAGGCCAAAATGAAGTCCCATCTCCCATAAAAAGCCTTCCGCGGCTCCTCCAGTCCTGAGCAACCTCCATTTTCATGACACTCTTGCAGGATTTGTAGCACATAATTTAGGCCTTGCTTATGTAGTCTTCTTAATGAGAACTGTCTTAGTCTCTCCAGCCACGTCAGAGAGAAACAGAGTTCAGGAAGACATAGGTTGAATAAGAAAGAAGCTTGTTTGCCCCTCTGGGGACAGCAGGAGGAGAGGGACAAGCTCAGCAGGCCCGTGCGATTGCACAGAAGCTGGCCTCCAGCGTTGCCCAGACAATCCCCAGCTGTTTTTTAAAAACATTACCAAGTACACAAATCTCTGCTGTTACCAGCTGGCTAGAGTTGCCCATGTGAGAAGCAGCTCAACTGGAAACCAGTGTCTGCAAGTTGAAGGGCGTGTCCTTGGATTTTGGACTCATATCTGAAACATTTATTCCTTGTTCTGCCCACAGGTCTTAATACGCATGGGGAACACTGTATTGAGGGGCTCTGTGCCCTCTCCTGAAAATCCTTTGTCCATTTCTGAGTGTCCTTCCCTTGGCTTCTCTCTTTTTTTTTTTTTTTTTTTTGAGACAGAGCCTTGCTCTGTTGCCCAGGCTAGAGTGCAGTGGTGCGATCTCGGCTCACTGTAACCTCCGCCTTTCAGGTTCAAGCAATTCTCCTGCCTCAGCCTCCTGAGTAGCTGAGATTACAGGCATGCGCCACCACACCCAGCTAATTTTGTATTTTTAGTAGAGTCGGGGTTTCACCACGTTGGCCAGGCTGGTCTCAAACTCCTGGCCTCAGGTGATCCACCTACCTCAGCCTCCCAAAGTGCTGGCATTACAGGCGTGAGCCACCAAGACTGGCCCCTTCCCTTGGCTTCTATGCCTGCTTCTAATGACTCTCTTCTAAAGACTGGTGACAGATGTACCTGGAAATTTGGGTCCTCCCTAGGGGGCCATTGGCCAATGGCTGACTGGTGCAGAATATGAAAGCCCAGCTCTGGGGTGCCTGGAGTTGGGATACAATCAGAGGTGTAACTTACACTCCACTGCTTTTTGTAGAGCCATGCTGAGGCTGGGACTTGGCCTGAAGTGGCTGTCTTGCTGGGCTCCTTTCCCTTCCCCATCCAGCCTGTTCCTCCTCCCACCCCCTCATTTCCCCTGGAGCACTTCATTTATAAACTCTGGCATACTAGTCCCCATCTGCGAGACTGTGTCTGCGAGACCCTGACCTACCATAATGCATATGGCACATCTCTTCATTGGTAGTCAGCCCACCATCACCCCCCACAAGCCCATATTTTAAGGCCATTTTATAAATTCAAATGTTCCCTCCAATACAGTGAAAATCCATCCAGTCATGCTCAGGTGATGTGATGATAGACATCTAGTCAGAAACTTATTTTTATTTATGTTGGTTACAAATTAAAGTCATCATTCATCCTCCTAGCACAGTAGTATCTTGCCCCTCTGTGACTTTGGATGCTGCCAAGGTAGTCACGAATAGATTTCATTCATCTTTCTAGATCCTGTTTTCTTGATATTTGTAGCTCAAGAATGATTCTGCACCACTGGCCCTGCCCCAAATCCTCCTGATAGGCTACTCTGAGTAACCAAGCAAATGAGAAGATGACTTTCTGTCCCAGGCCACACAGATCACTAAACTCTAAGTTTATTAAAACCTCTCTCTAGACTGGGCACAGTGGCTCACGCCTGTAATCCCAGCACTTTGGGAGGCCAAGGCAGGTGGATCACTTGGGGTCAGGAATTTGAGACCAGCCTGGCCAACATGGTGAAACCCCACCTCTATTAAAAACACAAAAATTAGCCAGGAGTAGTGGTGGGTGCCTGTAATCCCAGCTACTTGAGAGGCTGAGGCAGGAGAATCGCTTAAACCCAGGAGGCAGAGGCAGGAGAATCGCTTAAACCTGGGAGGGGGAGGCAGGAGAATCGCTTAAACCTGGGAGGCGGAGGTCGCAGTGAGCCGAGCTCAAGATTGCACCATTGCACTCCAGTCTGGGTGACAGAGCAAGACTCCGTCTCAAAAAAAACAAAAACAAAACCAAAAATCTCTCTCTAAACCCACCAGCACACTGCTACCTTTGCTGCTGCTGTACATATTCTCTTTGAACCCCCATTCCCCACCCCCAAGCCCCAAACCAGGTCTTATAATTCTTTGCCCCTTCATAGTGCTCAGCACAGGGCCAGGGGCAAACTTGTCAAATTCATCAGTCACATGGGAAGTAAAAGTCACAACTTTGAACCAAGCCAGGTAAACAGGGTTTGTGCAAGAGTCAACCTATTCATGGGACCAAGTACATTTCCAAGCTAGAGACAAAATTGGCCACCGAAACATATTTTTCTGAAATGTAATTTCTCCAACTCCTTTAACTATCTGCCCTCAGGTGCATTTGGTTTTTCTTTCTAGCGCTATTGTTCTGCAACTTGATCCCTTTTTCTGCCTCTCTGAGAAATTCAAGTTTTCCTGAACTTAGGGTTTTTAGTACTTTAGATTTCTAAGAAAGGCAGTTTATTAGGAAACCTTGTGTTTACTCAAGTTTGCAGCAGGTCCCGGTTGGCCAGCAGGCTCAATGTGATTCCTTGAAATTCTGTTCCGGGCATGGACTCCCGGGAGCTAAATGTAACATTTAGTCATCAATAGGATAATTTAGGTTCATTCTTTCTACTTGCCTCCTTAAGAAGGGATTGGAGTTCACGCTGGTATTCTCTAGAAAACGGAACTACCTTCCCACCCTGTAGAAGTATGTTATGATGGAAAGAGCCACCTATTTCCTGTGTTGGCTTCTTCTCTGCTTTCGGATTTAGGCACGGTGTCTTTTCAGATGTGCTGACTTTTTACGGCTTCAGCAAGGTAATACTGTATAAATGCCGTTGGCCGTTTACCATTTGGGATTCAACGCAACGTCTGGATCTTGTTATGTAGGCATTTTCAGAGCATTACAGCTCAGCTGTGAAAGCACTCTGGCTTAAAGCGAAAATGCAGTAGAACCTTGCTAATCTAACAACTTAATAACACTTGCCACCCCTTCACAGCAAGGACTTAATGGTAAGACTCAAAGTGAGGCTTCATGTTTTAGAATGCACAGGAATGCATCCCACAGATGACTGTGTTATCATCAATAATCTCCAACTTTGCTTATTAAAGCACATGCAGCAACGTTACTTTAACACCACGCTATCCTTTAATTCAGCCACCAAAGATAGCCTCAAAATAACGAGAACCTGCCTGAGACCTTCTGAGTTATGCTTTGCCTTCTCTCCTTCAGCACCAAGATTCTACGAAAAATGTGTTGTGGACCTAAGGCTTTTAGTTTCTTTTCTTTTCTTTTCTTTTCTTTCTTTCTTTCCTTCTTTATTTCTCTCTCTCTCTCTCTCTCTTTCCTTCTTTCTCTTTCTCTCTCTTTCTTTCTCTCTTGACAGAGTTTCACTCTGTCGCACAGGCTGGAGTGCAATGGCATGACTCGGCTCACTGCAACCTCCACCTCCCGGGTTCAAGTCATTCTCCTGCCTCAGCATCCCAAGTAGCTGGAATTACAGGCATGCACCACTATGCTGGGCTAATTTTTGTATTTTTAGTAGAGACGGGGTTTCATCACCTTGGCCAGGCTGGTCTCGAACCCCTGACCTCAGGTGATCCGCCCACCTCAGCCTCCCAAAGTGCTGGGATTGCAGGCGTGAGCCACCGTGCCCAGCTGGGCTTTTAGTTTCTTTAGGTGTCTTTAGAGGAATGTTCTAAACACGTTTTAGGTACAGGTATCCAAAACCCAGATTAGCTTATCTGCTTTTCTAAGGACTTTATTTTCACATAGCTAAGTCTAATTTTTGGTTAGAATGGGTTAGTCCATTTTCTTTCCCTGTGGGGGCGAGGGAAGCTTTCATATTCAAACTTAACTTGTTTCTGATGATCTCTAAATGATTTCTATGGCATATACTAGTTAAAATTTGTTTTCTATTTATATTTCTCTCTTCATAAAAATACTGTGTTTAAAAAATAAGCAAGACTAAAGAAGTGACCTATTTTTATTTATGAAATGTAACTGATCTCACCTAAAATTTTACTAACTCTAATAAAGATATTACAGTTGAAATTTCCCTGTGTCTGTGTGTCTAATATTGTTATACTCTTCTATCTGATGAAACTTTTTACAGATCTTGGAAGGCAGCCCTCAGTTAACCAAGTTTAATGGAGATACACAAGGGAAAATTGATGACCTGAATGTATTTACAAGTTCCCATGAAAATGACTATCAATCTCTTCAATGATGATGTTTTACGTTGAATATGGTGCTTGGAACTGGATACAATATAAATACCCTGTAAACATGGACGCAACCATTTTAAGCAACTTGAAAAACACACTGATGGTTCATGGGATGCAGATTTCCTGTGTGTGGGGCTTTAGAATGCCAAGTCTTTGGTTAATTCTTTTTTTTTTTTTTCTTTGAAGCAGAGTCTCTGTCACCCACGCTGGAGTGCAGTGGCATGATCTCGGCTCACTGCAACCTCTGCCTCCCAGGTTGAAATGATTCTCGTGCCTCAGCCCCCGGAGTAGCTGCAACTACAGGCATGAACAACCATGCCTGACTAATTTTTGTGTTTTTAGTAGAGATGGAGTTTCACCATGTTGGCCAGGCTAGTCTCGAACTCCTGACCTCAGGTGATCCACCCACCTCGGCCTCCCAAAATGGTGGGATTACAGGTGTGAGCCACTGCACCCTATCCAAAAATGCCAAGCCTTTGGTTAATTCTGAATAGGGTCTAGGAATGATCTGTATGAACTGCTTTGTGGAGATCCTTTATCTTTTGGCAACAAATTGCTGAAAGCTTCCAAAGTAATTGTCACTTACCCTCTCATTACTTCACGTAAATCTAGAGACGGCATTTGTCAAAGGTGGGAAAGATGCCTCAGAGTTTGCCCTAGCCCAAGTTGTCCCAAAGTCATGTCAGTTTAGTATCACTCCTTGTAAATAAGTTACCACATACCAGACTATTCTAACCCAAAATATTCTTCAAGAAAAGGATATTCTTCCATAGGAGTATATAAACACAGGTATTTCTCTTGTCGTAAAGCCAGCATCACTGAACGTGGCAGGAGAAACTTGAGCAGTAATACAATATTCCAAGTAATTGTTAGCTGATCTCTTAATCTTCAAGGGACAGAATTCCTAGAAAACCAACAGAGCATCTTAACTATTCTAAGAAATTTTTCTGGGTTTCATGATCATTATGACCTTGCCTGCCAAATTCTCGGGAATCTACAGAAAATCTGTCATAAATTTTAAAATTATCCCTTAAAAATGTGTGTGAGATTATGTCCCCCGCCCTGCTCAAAACACTATAATGACTTCCTATGACAATTGGAAGAAAATTCGGTCCTCACCACGCCTCCAAGGTTCCTCATGGGCTGACCCTGCCTTCACGGGTAGCATGCTTGCACTGTCTCCCTGGGCTGTGGCCACTGTGGCCTCCCAGACTCCAGTCTGGAGCCCATGTACTCACTGTGCCCCTGCTGGGAGCATCCTTCCACCACTGACTCACCTACAGCCATGACTTGTTCCCTTATTCAGAGCTCTGTTCAGATGTCTTCCTTCCTCAGAGGGGTCTTCCCTGACCCCCTTGCTAGGGGCTGAATTATATTCTCACCAAATTCCTATGTTGAAGTCCTAGCCCCCACTACCTCAGGATGTGACTGTATTTGGAGACAGGGTCTGTAAACAGGTGATTATGTTGAGTTCACTTGAGTGTACCCTAATCCAATAGGACTGGTGCCCTTTTAAGAAGAGGAGGTTAGAACACAGACACTGATGTACACCAGACGTGGGTACACACAGAGACGGCCAAGTGAACACACAACAAAAGGCAGCTATACACCAAGGAGAGTCTCAGAAAGAATCAAACCTGCCGACACCTTGATCTCGGACTTCTAGACTCCAGAACTGCGCAAGAATAAATTTCTGTCATTTAAGACACATGGTCTCTGGTATTTCGTTATGGCAGCTCTAACAAACAAATACACCCCTCAACCTGAGAGCTACTTCCCTGACTTTACCCTGTATCCTGCCGTATGTCTCCTCATAGCACATGATAATATGTTCCTATTTATTTATGCATGATCGTCTCTCTCCCCTGTGTACAATGAAAGCTCCTTGACAGTAGGCACTTGGTCTTGTTCTCTGCTGTATTCCCGTGTCTAAAGTAGTACCTGACACATAGTAGGCATTCAATAAATATTTGATTAACAAATTACTAAATATATATTAAATAATGCACTGTAGCTAACTCTAATAGGAGCTTTGAGCAGCATATACACAGATACTGAGGTCTCATGTTTAAATCAAATGAACCAACTTATTCCCTAAATGTATAGTAACTTGTATTGAAATGACTATAATCTTGGCAGGCACCTTGTAAATGACATTGAAATAGACCTAATAACTAGAGAGGCACTGAGAGGAAGCTGTGAATATGAAATCAAATTCAAGAACATATATGTATATTTTTTTGCTGCTTTCATGGTCATTAAACTATATTTGGAATAATTAGGAAAAAACACACCACAAAGAAGCTAATGTTCAAAAGGCAGAGATACTTGAAAGTCTTTGAACACCTCACTAGAAATAATTTAACCAAATAAGATTAAAATTCCAGATCAAAGGTAGCAAAAATAAAGGGAAGAAAGGCAGTTGTGAGACTTCCCATTCCCACACATGTTTAACACTATGCAAATGATGAATAGACATGGGGTTCCCATAGCAAATAATTCCATTTCCAACATCTATAAGGAATAGCGTTGCATCACTGTTCTTGGAAATATAGCTGGTAGTTTCCATCACTCATGATCTGAATGATCTAGGAGCACATAAACAATAGAGAAAAAGAATGATACTGAAGGATGAATCTTTACTATTGTGTAATAAATCAGCAAATATGTAGTGACTACCTGCTTCTATGTGAAATTCTATCCATGGTGTTATAGGAAAATCCACCATTATATTCAAAAGCTTCATGCAATTTACATAGTCAAGGAAATCTATACTGAATGGCACTGGGCATTAAGCCCCTTGCTGGAATGTAAGCTAGGGTCACGACACTGACTCACCTGTGTATTTCAAGATCCTTACACATAATTAGTGCTCCATTAATATTTTTTGAATGAATAAAATGAATATCAAAATAAAAGTCAACGTATGGCTG
Source organism: Homo sapiens (assembly GCF_000001405.40). Classification (NCBI taxonomy): domain Eukaryota; kingdom Metazoa; phylum Chordata; class Mammalia; order Primates; family Hominidae; genus Homo; species Homo sapiens. Next base: position 89,729,087 of record NC_000014.9, read on the forward strand.
CACTTCAGAAATGTAACAGCAATGGCTCAGCTTCTTGAGTCATGAATTCAAAGCTGTTAAACAAACAAAACCAGGCTACTGGTCATCCAATTCAGTGACATAGATTACCTGCAACTTTGAGATCAGATAATATCCAGTGTCTACCATGGACGGCTCTCCTGGCAGTGACAGGGAATGTCTGTCATTTTTGTCTCCCTTGTATGTGTTCTGTCCTTCAAACTGAGGCGAGGGAACAGCATCTAGATTTCCCTTTCCACATTCTCGGGTCATATAGTTTGAGTGGAGTTGAACCCCTCCTCCAACCCCGGGCATGAAGACAGACACCTGGTACAGGCCGGGTCACCTCAACGGTTCCTTCCACTTGACCACAGGGGCCTGGCTTAGGGATGTTAATTGGCCCAGGACAGGCCCGTAAGACTCAATCCCAGGATTCATACTGGGACTTTTAAGGGGAAAAAAGTCCTCTCTTTCTACCAGACTTTAAACTTTTGGATATAGGCCTGTTGCTACTCAGTTTAACCATGTCAGCAGGGATGTGAACAGACTCCGTAGGTGGAGAATGTGTGTGTGTGTCTGTGTGTGTGTGTGTGTGTGTGAGAGAGAGAGAGAGAATGAATGAGAGAGAACCACCACCTCGTCACTTGGATACAGCTGTGCCTGAAACTGGAGATTCCCAGTGATCCCAGTTATGCCACCAACAATTTCCTTTCCTATACTCACTTCAGCAAATTTGAGTTGGCTTCCCATAGCTTGCTAGTAAAATAATTTGAACAATACAGCGACACAGGGCAAGCCTCAAATTAGTCTGTTTCTCAGTGGAACACTGCATGGTGAAAATAGTTGTCAAAAAAAAAAAGGGGTAGAAATTTATGGATGGGCCAGGTGTGGTGGCTCATGCCTGTAATCCCAGCATGTTGGGAGGCTGAGGGGGGAGGATCACTTGAGCCCAGGAGTTCGAGACCAGCCTGGCAAGGGTGAGACCTTGTCTCCACTAAAAAGTTACCCGGGCATAGTGACATGCACCTGTGGTCCCAGCTACTCGCCAGGCTGAGGCGGGAGGATTGCTTGAGCCTGGGAAGTCAAAGCTGCAATGAGCTGTGATCATGCCACTGCATTTTGGCCTGGGGAACAGAGCAAGATCTTGTCTCAAAAAAAAAAAAAATTATAGACGAACCCGTAACTGATTAGTTATCTTTGGATTCTCTGTTCCTCATCTGTGAAATGGGGATAATAATAAAACCTGCCTTGTGAAGGAGTAAAGAAATCAATATATCAAAATACTCCCAATGTTAACCAATACTGTTGTTAGCCCCATTTAAAAAATTATGTCCATGCAGAGTTCTGTCGTTCTATGTGAGGGTACTGCTTTGGCATCAGATATGAATTAGCACCAAGTTGAAATAATTATTCATGAGGTCTCTTCATTACTGGATACATTGATTATTCATTCTGTCTTTCAAAAAGGAAGTCCATATCTGAGTCTGGGATCTGGCCCGACACCCGAATCCACAGGGAACACCCATGGATAAACAAGAGGCCCCTGAAGGACAGGGTCCCTCATCACTGCACAGAGCCTATAAGGACCAGGGAACCTGTGGCTCCATCTGCACCTGTGGAACCAACCGAAGTTCCCATCTCTGTGGAATCCAATAGGGAGATGAGTATTTTTAGAGGAACCGAGGGAAAAGGATAATGGTAGCTTTAGCTTGAGTCTTGAAGCTGTCGCAAGAGAAAATAACAGTGTTGGTAATTTCTCCTTCCTGTTTAAGCACTTCAGCAAAGCGCCTTCCCTTAAATTAAACTGGGAAGTAAGAAAAACCTAGTTCCCATGCCAGCTTACAGACCCACAGGCCCACTTGGCCACAGACTTCTAGCACACAGGAGTTCTCTTAGAGAGTAACTGGGGAACTGGGCCAGACTGCAATATAAGAATTTCCCTCTTACGTGGAAAAAAAAAAAAAGAAATTTAATCATCCCAAAGAATGTTAATGTCCCCTTCCCAAACCCTTTTTATTATTTCTTCTTCTCTTTTCTCTCTCTTTTTTTTTTGAGATGGAGTCTCATACTGTTTCCCAGGCTGGAGTGCAGTGGCGCAATCTCGGCTCACTGCAACCTCCACCTCCCAGGTTCAAGCAATTCTCCTGCCTCAGCCTCCCAAGTAGCTGGGATTACAGGCGCCTGCCACCATGCCCAGCTAATTTTTTGTGTTTTTAGTAGAGACAGGGTTTCACTACGTTGGCCAGGCTGGTCTCGAACGCCTGACCTCACGATCCACTTGCCTTGGCCTCCCAAAGTGCTGGGTTTACAGGCATGAGCCACTGCACACGGTTTCATTGTAATCATTTTTAAGTGTACATTTAAATGGTATTGAATACGTATACATTGTTATGCAACCATCACCAGCAACCATCTCCAGGACTTTTTCCCCTTCTCCAACTGAAACTCTGTACCCGTTAAACATAATTATCTCCCAATTGCTCCCTCCCCAAGGTTCCTGGCAACCATCCTTCTACTTTCTGTTTCTATGAATTTGACTACTCTAGGAAACTCATATAAGAAGAATCATACAGTATTTGTTCTCTTGTGACAGGCTGATTTAACTTAGCGTAATGTCTTCAAGTTTCATCTATGTTGTATAGCTTTGTCAGCATTTCCTTCTTTTTTAAGGCTGAAGAATTAACATTTCACTGTATGTATGTACCATCTTTGGTTTATCCATTTATCTGTTCATAGACACTTAGGTTGTCCACCTTTTGGCTACTGTGAATAATGCTGCTACGAACATGGGTGTACAAATACATGTTGGAGTCTCCGCTTTCAGTTCTTTTGGGTAGACACCCAGAAGTGGAATTGCTGGATCATATGGTAATTCCTTGTTTAATTATTTGAGGAACTGCTCAAATAATTTCCATAGCAGCAGCTCCATTTTACATTCCCACCAGCGATGCATAATAATTCCAGCTTCTCTGCATTTTTATCAACACCTGTTATTTTCTGTTTTTTTAAATGATGGCCATCTAAATGGGTGTGAAGTGGTTTCTCATTGTGGTTTTGATTTGCATTTCCCTAATGATTAGTGGTGTTGAGCATCTTTTTATGTGCTTATTGACTATTCATATATCTTTTTCAGAGAAATGGCTATCCAAGTCCTTTGCTCATATTTTAGTTAGATTATTTGGTTTTTTCTAATTGACTTGTGGGAGTTCTTTATGTAGTCTGGATACTAATCCCTTATCAAATATATGATTTACAAATATTTTCTCCCATTCCATGGGTTGCCTTTTCACTCTGTTGATAGTGAGTGTCCTTTCATGCACAAATTTTTAGATTTTGATGTAGTCCAGTTTATCTATGTTTTCTTTTGTTGCCTATGCTTTTGATGTAATATCCAAGAAATTCTTGTCAAATCCAATGTCATGAAATTTTTCTGTTTTCTTCTAAGAGTTTTATAATTTTAGCTCTTACATTTAGCTCTTTGATACACTTTGAGTTAATTTTTATATATGATATAAGGTAAGGGTCCAAATTTATTCTTACAATGTGGAGATCCAGCTTTCCCAACACCATTTGTTGGGCAAGAAAACCGTTCAGTTTGAAAATCATCTATAATTGTGAATTAAAAATTTGTTCTCTTCTCAGTTCTTTCAGTGTTTGCTTTATGTATTTTGAAGCTCTGTGAATAGGCACATATACACTTAGGACTGTTGTGTTTTCTTAATGAATTGATCCTTTTACTATTGTGAATTGCCTTTTTTAATCCATGGTTATATTGTTTATTCTGAAGTCCACTTGGCCTGATATCAATATAGCCACCTCTGTTTTCCTATTATTAGTGTTTGTATAGTGTATCTCTTTCCATTCCTTTATTTTCATCCATTTGTTGTCTATATATTGGGTTTCTTTTAGACAACTCTGAATTGGGTCTTGCTTTCTTATCCAGTCTCACAATATTTGGCTTTTAATTTAAGTGCTGTTATTTAATGTAGCTACTGATAGGGATGGATTTAAGTCTACCACTTTACTATTTTATTTCTACTTGGTTATCTGTTTTTATTTTTTCCCCTCTTTCCCTGCTTTCTTTTGGATTGAGTATTTTTAGGTTCCATTTTTTCTCTATTGTCTTATCACCTATATCTATCTGTTCTATTTTTTAGTGGAGTACAGTATAGGGTTTACAATATGCATCTTTAACTTACTGCAGTCTACTTCCAAATTATAGTATATCTCTTATTATATAACCAAGAATCTTACAATAGTATATTTTCTTTCCTCCCCTTGGGTCCTTTATGCAATTGTTGGCATACATTTTACTTCACATAGATAATAAATCCACAATATATTATTGTTTTGGCTTTAAACATTCAACTCATTTTAAAAGAAATTTGTAAATAAGGGGGAAATATATTTTACATTTGCACACATATTTACCACTTCCAGTGTGCCTTCCTTTATGTAAATCCAATTTTCCACTTGGTATTATTTTCCTTCAGTGCAAAAAGATTCCTTTAACATTTCTTTTTTTTTTTTTAAAGAAAATTATGTTAATTCCAGGGTAAGGCATTGCAATGGAATATGTACACCATGATAAACTATATGCATATTCAGGGAGGTAAAGAAAGACAAAAGTTTTTAAAGAAAAAATGAGGAGAATTGCATAATTGTTTGAAGATACTTATCCTTGGCTATAAAGATCAATAATAAGAGTGACACTCATCTGATGCTAGACAGGCAGGTGTTGGGCAGATGTTCTTGCAGAAGCATTTTTTCATGTGTAAGGTTGTGATGGACTTTGTGCAATCCTTTAACATTTCTTATCTTGGAGGTCTCCTGGATGAAAAGTGTTATTTTGTTTATGTTTTTTTTTAAAGATTATTTTTGCTGGATATAGAATTCTGTGTTGACTTTTTTTTTTAACTTTTAGCTCCATGACAACACATACTTACTGTCTTCTGGCTTGCATTGTTCTTGACAAGAAGTCTGTGAATATTCTTGTCTTTGTTCCCTGTATGTAATATGTCTTTATTATCTGCTTTTAAGAATTTCTTTTTTATTACTGGCTTTCAGCAATTCACTATGACGTGTTTTGTTTATATTTTTTTCCGCTTGGGGTTCATTGAGCCTCAGAGCTATATATTTATAGTTTTTCATTAAATTGGGGGAAATTTTGGCCATTATTACTTCAAATAAATTTTTTGTTCTCCCTTTTCTGGGACTCCTATTTTTTATACATTAGACCACTTAATATTTTCCCAAGGGTCATTAATGCTCTTTCTTTTTTTCTTGAGACAAAGTCTCGCTCTTGCCCCCAGGCTGGAGTGCAATGGCACAATCTCGGCTCACTGCAACCTCCGCCTCCCAGGGTCAAGCTATTCTCCTGACTCAGTCTCCCGAGTAGCTGGGATTACAGGTGCCTGCCACCATGTCCAGCTAATTTTTGTATTTTTTTTAGGAGAGATGGGTTTTCACCATGTTGGCCAGGCTGGTCTCGAACTCCTGACCTCAGGTGATCCACCCACTTTGGTCTCCCAAAGTGCTGGGATTACAGGCATGAGTCACGGTGCCCGGCCTCTTTTTTTTTTTTTTTTTTTTTAAGAGAAACAAATCAATAAAGCATTTTTTATTAACCGATAGTAAAACATATGCTACCTGACAATAACTGTGTCCCTTTATGTATGAGTCTAAGATAAATATCATTCAGATTTTTATCTGGACAACAAATTCAAAGGCTCCTTAAGAAATAAGAAACAAAATACCATGGTTACTAATGTAACCAGACTAAATATAAAAGCTATATATATAAGTGTGTGTATATGTATCTTAAAAAATCAATGTATTGATCAATGTAACTAATCTGAGTTTACAATAACTCACTGCTTTAAATAATATTTCAATCACATATATCAGATTAAGATCCTGTTTGGGGAAAACAGCCTCAGAAGGAAGTATTAAAAAAAAAAAGGTGGCCTGGTGCAGTGGCTCACGCCTATAATCCCAGCACTTTGGGAGGCCGAGGCGGGCGGATCACAATGTCAGGAGATCGAGACCATCCTGGCTAACATGGTGAAACCCTGTCTCCACTAAAAAATACGAAAAATTAGCTGGGCGTGGTGGCGGGCGCCTGTAGTCCCAGCTACTCGGGAGACTGAGGCAAAGAGAATCGCTTGAACCTGGGAGACAGAGGTTGCAGTGAGCCGAGATCATGCCACTGCTCTCCAGCCTGGGCAACAGACCAAGACTCCATCTCAAAAAAAAAGGTATATTAATCATTACTTTTGATCAAACTAAGTATCAACCTTTCCCCCAACCCGTAAAGACTTCATGTCTCTAAATGGTTCCTAAATCATGAAAGATAACTTGAAGATTTTTAAGTAGATCTCAAGGTATTAGATACTTATACACACAATGTGGGCCCAACTTTTACTGCCCAGAGTTTCTTGTCATGGTAATGTAACGTCATGAAATTCTGGTCGCCAGATCTTTTTGTTTTTATTTGTAACACAGCTAAGCCTTTTAACAATTATATTAACTACATCTAAGTTATTTGCTAATGGTAGTAGAATGATATTTATGCTTTATTAACAAAAATAGTACTTCTGGAAATTTTTCTTTGTAAGAATTTCATAAATACCAAGGAAAAGAAAAGACTCAAGGGGTTTGGGAAATAAACCCCTTTTATTTTCTTTTTAAATCTATGTAAGTTTAATTTATTCCCAAACTTTCTAAGTTCTTCCAGAGTTCTGGACTTCATAATATTTCCTAATTTTTCTTCTTGAGTTCTGCACTGCTTCAGAACCTATCCAAACAATCTAATTCTGTGTTACCTATATTTAATATAAATAAAGTAAATATATAATCAACATTGTATCACTAGAATTGTGAAGCTCTTCATGAATTACTTTAAAAAACTCCAAAAGAATTAAGCTATTTTATTTAACATGTAATAGATAGTCATAAAGCAAGTCCATATATTTAGTTTTCTGATACCCTAATGTATTTCCACAAACCTTTTGAGTCTCCAATTTTATATAGTTTTCCATCAGGGAGGCAAGACATATATAATTTCTTTTTATATTTAACTAATTAAAGGTTTTAAGAGGGTTTAGTCTCTAACTAAGTAACAATTAGTCATAACACCATACAAACACATTTAAATATTCAGGAAAGAGGTTTTTAAGATTATTGCTTAGTCTTATAAAATGGTGAATTTTAACCAAATTGATACCTCTGCATTCTTACTTATGCTTCCTGTACACTTACATCATACTGCTTGGCAAGCAATGTAAGTTTTGACGTAATTTAAAAATTCAAGTAGTTGTAAACAAATTCTAATTTGCTAAACAGTTCATATATTCCCCTTTACTTACTACACTACCTTGGAATTAATCCTCCTTAAGAAAGTAATCATCCCACATAGAAAAAACTGCAGAGCTTCTCATCTCTTCCTTAAATATTTTCAAGTACTATAAGAACACAAATCCATGAAAAACTGATTAAAATTTGACATTTCATCTTGCTTTACTAATCATGGAATAATAGAAAGACATAAAAAACATGTTCCTTAATATTTCTGTGCTCAACCGAGAAATACAAAGAAATACTGCAATTACAGTAATGGGCTATTTCCAGCCTTTTCAAGTATAGGACACAACTATGGTTCCTACCAGTAAGGAGAAATTAATAATCAATCTTATATAACATAAAAGAAAGACGAGAGGCACAAAAAGACAAACTGACTTTGGCTTTTAAGAACCTAATGTTAACCCTGAAATGCCAGATTCAGTAACACCACAACAAAACAAAAATTAGGGCAGCAAGCCACCACTTCACACGGTATTAAGAATTCTGAAATACAGGATAGCCTTCCTCCCATCTCCCACTCAATCTGTTGTGTCTTCTTTCTGTTTTTCCTGCTTTTTCACTGCAGGCAGTTCAAGGCTTGCCCACTGCATCGGTTCAGCTTTTCTCATAGTGATCTCAATCTTTGTTGCAGTCAAAGTTACGTAACTTTGCTTTACATCAGTCACACCCTATAATTTCACATTTTGATCAAATTCCTTCTCTCCTTCAAATACAATGTGCACATTTAACAATGTGCTATTGCTTCTACTCGACTAAGTTCTGGAAGTGAATTTTTAGCATATGCTTGAAATGGTAAGTCCACCTCCAGTCTGATGCCAGTCATGTCTACATGGAACAACTTTTTTCCCAGAATCCTTTTATTTCTTTTCTCTTTCTTTCTTTTTTTTTTTTTTTTTTTTTTTTTTTTTTTGAGACGGAGTTTCACTCTTGTTGCCCAGGCTGGAGTGCAATGATGTGATCTCGGCTCATAGCAACCTCTGCCTCCCGGGTTCAAGTGATTCTCCTGCCTCAGCCTCCCAAGTAGCTGGGATTACAGGTATGCGCCACCACACCCGGCTAATTTTGTATTTTTAGTAGAGACAAGCTTTCTCTGTGTTGGACAGGCTGGGCTCGAGCTCCTGACCTCAGGTGATCTGCCCATCTCATCCTCCCAAAGTGCTGGGATTACAGGCGTGAGCCACCGCACCCGGCCTCCCAGCATCCTTTTTAGTCCGCATGTGTTCCCCTGTTGTACAGCCCCTCTTGGGCTAAGAATGTACTAAAATCAGAAGTTTTTCTTCTACAACAGCTCCAGTATTTCATCCCCTCACGGAAAATAGCTTCTCCAGAATGATATACTCAGACTTTTTCTAGACTCTCTAGACCCTGATACGTCTTTGAACACCCTCCATTCTTACATGAGGTGCCAATCTTAATTTCTTCATTGTCTTCTTTCTTATCTTCTTCATTCCCTGACGACAGTTTATCAAGTGCTTGTTTTGGGGAGGCAGATATTTTTAATTCCAAATTTGTCATTGGTTCATCTGGGCTTGGCCGTTTTATTGCTTCTACTGGCTTAGGGGCTTGAATGATGTGTTCCTGAAATTTGGGTTTCAATTCAGATATTTCCTTCTTCTCAGTAGTCTTGACTTCAGGTTTGACTGGTTCAGGTGGCTTCTCACTATTATGTCTACCTTTTGTGCAGTGTACAATGCTTAAGAAATCAGAAAAATCAGTTGTTCTTCTCTTATAGCAAGACCAACCCTTTAAAGCATCGTGAAAGACTGGAACACCTGGGTGGTATGTACAGGCATCATCGGAATTGGTCTCATGATCGAAGCGCTGACCGCAGCCCCAGCTGTAGCCCGCAAGGCCATTTCCTCTTCTCACCGTCGCAGGCAGGCAAGGTCCAAACACCGGGAACGGCAAGAGGATGCGTTAGCCACTCCCGTGTCGCTAGCACCGGTTTGACAACTGAGGCGGTTGCCGGCTTCAGGAAACGACCGCTCTTTCTTTTCTTTTTCTTTTTTTGTTTGTTTGGTTGTTTGAGACGGAGTCTCACTGTGTTGCCCAGGCTGTAGTGTAGTGGCGCGATCTTGGTTCACTGCAACCTCCATCTCCCTGGTTCAAGCAATTCCCCTGCCTCAGCCTCCTGAGTAGCTGGGACTACAGGTGCCCGCCACCGCGCCCAGCTAAGTTTTTTGTATTTTTAGTAGAGACGGGGTTTCACCATGTTGGCCAGACTGGTCTTGAACTCCTGACCTCAGGCAATCCACCTGCCTCGGCCTCCCAAAGTGCTGGGATTACAGGCGTGAGCCGGCGCCAGGCCTTTCTTTTTTATTCAGACTTTTTCTTTGTGTGCTTCAGTCTAGATAGTTTCTTTCTTTTTTTTTTTTTTTTTTTGAGACGGAGTCTCGCTGTCCAGGCTGGAGTGCAGTGGCGTGATCTCGGCTCACTGCAGGCTCCGTCCCCCAGGGTTCACGCCATTCTCCTGCCTCAGCCTCCCGAGTAGCTGGGACTACAGGCGCCCGCCACCTCGCCCGGCTAATTTTTTGTATTTTTAGTGGAGACGGGGTTTCACCGTGTTAGCCAGGATGGTCTTGATCTCCTGACCTCGTGATCCGCCCACCTCGGCCTCCCAAAGTGCTGGGATTACAGGCGTAAGCCACCGCGCCCGGCCTAGATAGTTTCTTTCATGATTTCTTCTAGTTCACTGACCTTTTGTTCTTCGGTGTCCAATCTCTAATTAAAATTTCCAGTGAATTTTTCATTTCATTTGGTTCCATTGAAATTCCATTGACTTTATGTTGATGGTTTGTATTTCTCTCCTCATATGGTCACGTTTTTATTTAAACTCTTGAGCGCATTCATAAGAACTATTTTAAAGTCCTCATTTGATTATTCCATTATCAGTCATTATGGGATGATTTCTATTGATTAATTTTTCTTCTGGTTATGAATCGTATTTTCCTGCTTCTTTGAATGTCCAGTAGCTTTTGATTGTGATTATTAATGTCACATTGTTTTGTGACATTGTGTCTGGATTTTGTTGCCTTTCTTTAAAGAGTATTGAAGTTTATTTTGACAGGCATTAACTTACTTGTGGATCAGCTTAATCCTTTCAAGCTTGTCTTTAGGCTTTGTTAGGTTGGGTCTAGAGTAGCCGTCACTTTAGGACTAGTTTATCATAATACTACGGCATGACTGTTCTGGGGTCTCTAATAAATGCCTCAGTGGTTATAGTAAGCAAAATTATTCCACCAAAGATGTTCACATCTGAATCCCCAGAACGTGGGAATATGTTAGGCTACATGACAGACGGGAATTAAGGTGGCAGCAGCTGGAATTAATGTTGCTAATCAGCATGCCTTAAAACAGGGAACTTATTCTGGGTTATCCAGGTGGGCTCAAGAGTCCTTAAAAGCAGAATAGGGATGCTGAAGAAAGAACCAAAAAGACAGCAGCATGAGAAGGACCTGGCTCAATGTTGTTGGCTTTGAAGATGAGGGAGGAAGCCATGAGTTAAGGAAAGTAGGTGGCCTCTGGAAGGTGAAAAAGGCAAAGAAGTGGATTCTCCCCTACATCCTTCAAAAAGGACAGCACCATGCGGTGATCTTGGCCCAGTGTGACATCTGTGTTGGACTTCTCATCCACAGAACTGTAAGATAATACATTTTTGTTATTTTAAACCACCATATTTATGGTAAGGTATTACAGTAGCCACAGAAAGCTAATACAATGGTCAGTGAGATCTCTCCACACCGACTGGGTTGTCTTCCACATCATCATGAATGCTGAGAATGTTCCAGTTTATAGCTCCCTGGTGGTTCTTTCACTCTGTTTTGTTTCCTTTGTCTCAGGAATTATACTTTTGCTGTCCAATATCTGAAAACAATTGTATCATATAATTTTCCAGTTGTCTAGCTGTTTACAGGTAGGAAGGAAACAAGTAGAACTGGTTATTCCAACATCGCTAGAGGCAGAAATAATACGTTCAGTTTTGCATATTGAGAAACAAACTTATATAGTATGACTTTTAAAAAACTTCCTTCAACAGAGCTGAAGATTCAACTCAGTTCCACCCTCCTCAATTATAGCACTGCCTTCTTTTGGTCTTAGCAGCCACCACTGAAGATAAAAGTAATACCCTGTGTCTTCACAGCAGCCTTCCCTCCGAGTGTGTCTGACTATTAATCTCTCCTTTTAAGGAGGCCAGTTTTACTGGTTTAGGGCACACTCCGGTGACCTCATTTAAGCTTAATTACCTCTTTAAAAACTCTGTCTCCCAATATAGTCACATTTTGAGGTATTTGGGGTCTTTGAATGCATGAATTTTGGAGGGACATAATTCAGTCCATAACAGTGCCCTTCCATGCTTAAAGTTACTGTTTCTTTTTGTTTTTGTTTTTTTTGAGACGGCGTCTCGCTCTGTCGCCCAGGCTGGAGTGCAGTGGCGCGATCTCGGCTCACTGCAAGCTCCACCTCCCGGGTTCACGCCATTCTCCTGCCTCAGCCTCTGGAGTAGCTGGGCCTACAGGCGCCCGCCACCATGCCCGGCTAATTTTTTGTATTTTTAGTAGAGACGGGATTTCACCGTGTTAGTCAGGATGGTCTCGATCTCCTGACCTTGTGATCCGCCTGCCTTGGCCTCCTAAAGTGCTGGGATTACAGGCATGAGCCACCGTGCCCGGCCAAAGTTACTGTTTTAAGAACACTGGGAATCTTTTTTTCCATTTCTGTGGCCCATTGACTGTTCTTCCTCATTTAAGAGCAGTAGCAAATATTGATTAAGAAAAACTTGATTTGGCCTGGCGCAGTGACTCACACCTGTAATCCCAGCACTTTGGGAGGCTAATGCAGGGATCACCTGAGGTCAGGAGTTCAAGACCAGCCTGGTCAACATGGTGAAACCTCATCTCTACCAAAAAATACAAAAATTAGCTGCGCATGGTGGTGTGCACCTGTAATCCAGCTACTCAGGAGGCTGAGGCAGGAGAATCACTTGAACCCAGGAGGCGGAGGTTGCAGTGAGCCAAGATGGCACCACTGCACTCCCTGCTGGGTGACAGAATGAGACTCTGTTTCAAAAAAAGAAAAGAAAAGAAAAACTTGATTTGCTGGACAGGATACCAGGATATGGTCAGGATACAGTTCTTGCCCTCAAGGGGCTTACTTTTTGTGGTGGCATTATATTTTTGATGTATAACAATCTTGGCTGTTTTTGTTGTTGTTGTTGTTGTCCTTAGTACTTTCTTCTACCCACTGACCCACAGACAGGTTCTCTGATACCCTGGACTCTCACACAAGCCTCTTTATATTTACATACCTATAAAGGGAATCGGAGCAGCTGAGCCCTGAACCAATGGAAGGGCCTTATAGTAAAGAATGAGTAAAAATCTCACAGTTAACTGACAATGAAATATCAAATAAATGAGGATGTCTCCATCAGTTGATGACATTAAAGGCCAGCTATGCCTCCACAAACCAGAACTTGGGTTCAAATAAAAAACATTAGAAAACCCCCAAACTAACTAGAATTTCTTTTCTGCTATCCCTGTGGCACAAAAACTCAAGAAATAAATTCAGTAAAGAAATGCATTTCTTGCACCTTGAAATCCATACCCACGGTATTGTCTAACTGGGGAGGTAGGACATTTCCATAAAAAGAGAAGCACTGATGCTTTTAGATGCTGAGGGTAAATAAGTTGTGTAGGAGACACTTTCTACAGTAGGTCAAAGCCTGTAGAGATGGAGAGGACGTTGAGAATGTTAGTGACCTTCTTGCAATATTAACTGACCACACTGGTTAGGGTAATGCAAAGTATCTCCAAAGCTAGCTGCTAGAACAAACACCAAATGTCAAAGGCTAACCACAAAAGAAGTTTACTGCTTGCATATGTAACAGTTTGATAGAGGCAATCCTGGTTGCTAGATGGCTTCCTCCACACAGTCGTTCAGGGACCCAGGCAGCTAGATCTCCCCAGAGCAAGGGGAACACTTTAACAACACTATAGGGCAGCGGATCCCAACCTTTTTGGCACCAGGAATTGGTTTGTGGAAGACAATTTTTCCATGGACTGGGGTCAGGGGATGGTTTTGGGATGATTCAAGCACATTACATTTATTGTGCACTTTATTTCTATTATTATTATATTGCAATACATAATGAAATAATTATGCAACTTGCCATAATGTAGAATCAGTGGGAGCCCTGAACTTGTTTTCCTGCAACTAGACAGTCCCATCTGGGGGTGATAAAAGATAGTGACAGATCATCAGGCATTAGATTTTCATAAGGAGCATGCAACCTAGATTCCTTGCATGCACAGTTCACAATAGGGTTTGCTTTCCTATGAGAATCTAATGCTGCTGCTGATCAACAGGAGGCGGAGCTCAGGTGGTCCTGTGAGTGACGGAGAGTGGCTGTAAATACAGATGAAGCTTCTCTTGCATGCCCACAGCTGACTTCCTTCTGTGTGGCCTGGTTCCTAACAGGCCATGAACTGGTACTGGTCATGGCCTGGGGGTTGGGGACCCCTAGTATAAGGCATTGCTATGAAAGGAATCATCCTAGTTCACATTCCCTGAGCACTTCCTGGGGAGCAGGCAATGTGTTGGGGCTCCCCATACAATCCTCACAATAACCCTGTGCTGAGGAGCCAGGTCCCGGAAAGGTTCACACCCAATTTTGGCCAAACCCAGCCAGATTCTTAATCTCTCTGCTCTACATCAGCCTCTGGATTTATGTTGCTCTTACATTCCTGAGATGTGCCAGTTAATTCAAAAACATGTAGAGCAAAAATGAATTTTCTCACAAGACACAAAGGGACAGCAAAGCAGGAAAAATGCTCTAGTAGGTTGCAAAAGACTCCAGCCACGTAAATGGTTTTGCCACATTGCATTAATATGAGCAGTAAATAAGCAGTTTATGGGGGAAAACTGAATACATTAAAATTTATTCATGGAATAAAACAAGAAAAAAACCGCCACTGACTGACGGCGTACTGGCCAGGGTAGCCTGCAATCGGTAGTATGCAAGTCTCCATTTGCTACTCCATCAGAATTCTAACATACCGAGTCTCTCATCATATTAGTGGTGTTCCCAACCAAAGGCCCCTGTTATTCTTGGTGGCCCTGCTGAAACTTGTTCTTAGTATTGTCACCTGGGTGAAGCCTGGGGCCAAAGCCTGTGATGATAACATGAAAGATCAAGCCCTAAGTGCTGAGGGCAGGCACTGCTGTAAACACATGCATCAACCCGTTTCATCTTCATGTTCACCCAATAGGAAGTTTCTGTTATTATCTCCATTTCATTGGCGAGGGAACTAAGACGCTAAGAGACTGAGCAACTTCCTGTGATGGTTACTTGTATGTGTCAGCATGGCTGGGCCAGATGTCCAGATATTCTGGATGTTTCTGTGAGGGTGTTTTTAGATGAGATTTACATTTAAATTGGTATGCTTTAAGTAAGGAAAATTACTCTCCATAATGTGGGGGATGCTCACGCGGTCAGTGGAAGGCCTGAATAGAACACAAAGATGACCTTCCCTGAGCAGGAGAAACTCTGCCTGCAGACAGCCTTTGAACTTCCTCTGCCGCACCTGCTCTTCCTGGTTCACCAGCGGACAGCCTTTGGACTTGAACTGTGTCTCTTTCGTGGGCCTCCACCCTAGCAGCTTCCCCCATCAGACTGTGGAGATTCTAGACATGCCAAACCTCCACCGTGATGTGAGCCAATTACTTAAAATAAATTTCTTCCTACACACACACACACAGACACACACACACAACTTATTGGTTTTGTTTCTCTGGAGAACCCTGATTAATACAGATTTTGGTACTGAGAGTAGATGGTGGTCAATGGTTTGGTTGGATGGTCAGGGGCTTGGAAGGAAAATGATTAAGAAATTGATGGCAAAGAAGTCTAGGAAAGAGTTATGTGGATAGACCTCTAAACAGGCAAAAAATATGAAGGTATTTGTGTCCCATGTGAGTGCTCACTAAAGGGTGGTTTCAGCAGAGGAGAACTTTAATAATCAAGCAGATAGGCTGACCGGTTCTGTGGATACCAGGAAGCCTCTTTCCCCAGCCACACCTGTCATCACCCAATGAGCTCATGAACAAAGTTGCCATGGTGGCAGGGATGGAGGTTACGCATGGGCTCAGTAACATGGACTCCCATTCCCCAAGTCCAACCTGGCTATCACCATGGCTGAGTGGCCAATCTGCTAGCAGCAGGAACCAACACTGAATCCCTGCTATGGCACCAATTTTCCAGGTGATCAGCCAGCTACCTGGTGTCAGGCTGATTACATTAAACCTCTTCTACCCTGAAAGGAGCAGCATTTTGTTGTTGCTAGAACAGACACTCTGGATACAGATTTGCCTTCCCCTCGTGCAGGGCTTCTGTAAAAGCTACACTCCACAGACTTACAGAATGCTTTCTCCACCACCATGGTATTCCACACAGCATTGCTTCTGATCAAGGAGCTTGCTTCACAGAAAATGAAGTGTGGTAGTGGGCCCATGCCCATGGAATTGGAAGGTCTTGCCATGTTCCCCACATTCCTGAAGCAGCTGGCTTGACAGAGGGTGAAATGGCCTTTTGAAGACTTTTAGCACCAGATAGGTGGCAGTACCTTGCAGGGCTGGGGCAAGGTCCTCCAGAAGGCCGTGTATGCTCTGAATCAGCCTCCAAAATACAGTGCTGTTTCTCCCCATAACCAGGATTAATGTATCCAGAAACCAAGGAGTTGAAAAAGAGTGGTGCCACTCACTATTACCCCTAATAACCCACCAGTGACATTTTTGTTTCCTGTCCCCACAGCTTATACTCTGCTGGCATAGAGGTCTTAGTACCAAAGGCAGGAATGCTTCCACCAGGAAACATAATAATGATTCCATTGACCTGGGAGATAAGACCACCACTCAGCTACTTTGGGCTCCTCAGGCCTCTAAACATCACGTAAGAAGGGAGGGACTGTGCTGGCTGGGGTGATTGATGCTGGCTGCCAAGGCGATTTTGGACTGCCATTCCACAATGGATGTAAGGAACAGTACGTCTGGAATACAGGAGATCCTTTAAGGCATCTCTTAGTCATGCCCTGTGATTAAAGTCAATGGAAAACTACAACAGCCCACTCCAAACAGGACCACTAATGGCCTAGACCTTTCAAGAATGAAGATTTGGCGCATCCTACCAGGCAAAGAACCACAACAAGCTGAGGTAATTGCTGAGGGAAAAGGGAATATAGGTAGCCATAAATACCAGCTACAGTCAAGTGACCAGTTATAGAGACAGGGACTCTAATTGTCCTGAGTATTTCTTCCTGATTTTGTTATGAATGTGTGTGTTTTCCTCTCTTACCTGCTTATCGTGTAACATAAGCTGTATTGACTTTGTATCATAGTATTTAAGTATTGTTACCTTTCTGTCATATACTTAAGCTACAGGATCTCAAGGTGAAGAAGAAAGATCATTCATGGACTTTGCCTCCTCTTCTGGGGAAAGGGTTAGTGGGTTTTTGGCTGTACACAGGATAGTTCTATCACGTTAGGCAGAGCTATAACCTTATGATTGTCTTTACTTGAAGATTAAGTACAGTTTAGGGAGATGTGTGTGGGTGCCCAGTTGACAGGAGTGGACTTGGGATGGTTAATTTTATGGGTCAATTTGGTGGTCCATGGTGCCCAGATATTTGTTCAAACATTATTCTGGATGTTTCTGTGAGGGTGTTTTTGGAGGAGCTTTACTATTAAATCAGTGGACTTTGAGTGAAGCATATTGCCCTCCATATGAGGCTTCTGCAGTTAGTGGAAGGCCTGAATAGAACACAAAGATGACCTCCCCTGAGCAAGAGAAACCCCGCCTGCAGACAGCCTTTGAACTTCCTCCGCATCATCGCTTTTCCTGGTTCACCGGCAGACAGCCTTTGGACTTGAACTGTGACTCTTTCCTGGACCTCCTCCATTAGATTTGGAGATTTTAGATGTGCCAAGCCTCCACCGTGATGTGAACCAATTGTTCTCTCGTGTGTGTGTGAATCCTTTTGGTTCCGTGTCTCTGGAGAACCCTGCCTAATACACTTGCCTAAGATTATATAGATGATAAACAGTAGAATTGGCTTTAAATCCTGCAGTTTGGTGCCAGAATCCACACTCTTGATGTATACCATTCTGTTAGCCTTTATCACTGTAATAGGTAATGTCCATTTGAGTCCAATAGTGATAGCTTTTTCCCATGTCTTCATATGAACTGATCATATTGGTTAAGGGGATTCCAAGTGGCTAAGAAGCTAGCTATTAGAATAAAAAACTCCAAATGTCAAAGGCTAATCACAATAGAAGCTTACTTCTTACATATTCGTCAGTTTGATAGAGGTAATCTTGGTTGCTAGGCTACTTCCTCCACACAGTCATTCAGGGACTCAGGCTGCTATAGGCTCCGCCTCCCTCAACATGTAGCTTCTAAGATCACCCTGGGCTTTGATTCCACTCTAGCCAGACAGAAGGGGAAAGGAGAATGGTAGATTAGGCATGGAAAGTTTTTATACTTACTACTGCTAAGGAATTTGTTTGTTTGATTTAAAAGGAAAGCAGTTTAAATTGTTTTATTCTGAAATTATTTTGTGTGTATATGTAGGTATGCATGTAAAGTTTCCAATCTCTCCTTCATTTTATTTCAAACTCCTTAAATTAACAGGGTATAAACAGAGAGGCAGGTGTATTTCTTCAGGAATCAACCAAATTGACTGGAAGAGCTGTTTTACATAGAGGATATTGAGAGAGAAGATTGGAGATAAAGTCGAAGCCAGATTGTGGAAGGCCTTGAAATGCTTGGCCAAAGGGCTTGGACCTTATCCTCTGAGAGATCTCAGGTTCTCTCTCTCTCCTCAACTAACTGCCCTTATTCTCTACACCAGCGAATCACAGCCTACATTCACCACCACGTGACGTGGTAATATTTAACTTGTCCTTTGTTTATTTCCTTTCTTACCCCACACCCATCACCTGGATAAACTGTATGCATCTCAACAGCAAGAACAATGACTTATATTTTTCTCAATGCTGCACAAGCCTAGGAGAGGGTCTCATATGTAATGTTTAACGACTACATTCTGTTGACATGCAAGAGGTATATGTCCCTACACCTTCAAACGCCCTACAAATTGTTGAATATAACAATAGCATATCATTTCCTCCCCAAATCTGGTATATTTTGACTGAAAAATGTGAATAATATCTTGAAGCTTCTAATGCCTTTATAAGCTACCACATTCTGATCAGAGTTCTTGGCAAAATGGCTTAATGAATTATGCTTCCTTGTTTTGAGATCACATCCTCCAACTGTTTTCATATCATAAAGCCAAGTCATCATCACATTTGACATTCTGTTCCTTGAAATTTCATTATTGGGCTAGGAATGTCTTTCTCAGGCCTCTTTATTTTCTCTTTATTTCGAACACTAGGACTAGCAGAACTGATTTTTTGACAAAGGAACACAGCCTCAAGAAAAAAAAATCACATTAAGCCAGGTGCAATGGCATGCACCTGTAGTCCCAGCTACTTGGGAGGCTGAGGTGGGAGGATCACTTGAGCCAGGAGTTCAAATACAGCCTGGATGACATAGCAAGACCACATCTCTTTTAAAAAAAATCACATCATAAAATGTACTGCATAAAGAACTACACATCGAGAACAAAACTCTGTTTATTTGACAGTCAGCTAGGATCACTCACTAGCTAAGAAATTCACTCCCGCCCACAAGCCTGTGACTCAAATTCATGGCTCAGCAAAATTACAAATGACTGTATATCATGGATCTGGTATTTATAAACAATCAACACCATACATGCTGACCATGCGGAAGGTAAGCGTTTATGATATAACAGGTAAATGTGACAATAGCATTGACCCCATCTCATTACCAAGCCTGAAACATGTCTGCATGAATACATATGCATACACACGTGAGTTTGGAGATATATATATTTTCATGTTCTCTATGATTACCTAAGACGTTATCTCAGAATAGTGGCTTACAACAACTACAATCATTTCTTCTCGTGTCACACAGTTCTAGAAGTTGACTGAGTTCAGCTAGGTGGTTCTCGCTCTGGGACTGGCCATGGTTGCAGTCAACATGTAGGGAGAATTAGAATTTTTTTTTTTTTTTCCTGAGATGGAATTTCACTCTTGTTGCCCAGTCTGGAGTGCAGTGGCGTGATCTCGGCTCACTGCAACCTCCGCCTCCCAGGTTCAAGCAATTCTCCTGCCTCAGCCTCCCGAGTAGCTGGGATTATAGGCTTGCGCCACCACGCCTGGCTAATTTTTTGTATTTTTAGTAGAGACAGGGTTTCTTCATGTTGGCCAGGATGGTCTCAAACTCCTGACCTCGTGATCCACCCGTCTTGGCCTCCCAAAGTGCTGGGATCACAGGCATGAGCCACCGCACCTGGCTGCTAGAATCATTTTAAAGGCCTCTTCATACACCTGTCTGGGGCCTGGACTGGGAAGACCCAAACAGTTGCAGGCTAGAGCATGAAGACAGGCGACTCCTTGGGCATCTCTCTCTATTTCTGTTTGGTCTCTCCATTTGGTTGTTCCACTACGGTGGCTTCAGGGTATCTGGACACTTACACGGTGGCTGGTGACTCAGGGCTCCAAAGGCATGTGTCCCAGGAAAGAGACATGCTATGCTCTAACATAATCACATGCTTCCCATCACCTTTGCTGTCTGCCGCTGATTAGAAGCACATCACAGGTCCCACCCGCCCTTGTGGGGAAGAGCATGACACAAGCTGTGAATACGAAGAGGCAGGGATCATGGCGGCCTCCTTAAAGTCTATCTGCCACACTTAGTAGAATTTAGCAATGTTGCCCCAGGTCACGTAGCTAGTGAGCAGCACAAACAGGATTTGACCCCACGCAGTCTCACTCCAGAGTCCCCATTCTCGAATGGTACCCTATAGGGCCACTCAGTATGAGTGACTATTTTTCAATAGTTCTCATTTTCATTTTAAATGAATACATTCTCCTCTGTGTCCTCAGTTAGTAAGAGACTACACTACTCCCGCCACACTGGCAGAATCATGCTTCTGGGTCTACAGAGCTGAAGACCAGACTCTGACACATGGCGACTTCATGCAGGTAATGCCGTACCCATCAACAAAGTTCCCTGCTGGCACCTGTTCCATGATCGTCCCCTCGAGTCACAAGAATATACCTAACATATTTGTACAAACTGAAAAAGAGATCTTGTCAGAAGACTATGCATTTCTTTAGAACATCATCAGGCCAGAAGCCCATGGGCAGGAACAAATGGGTAGTGGAAAAATGGAAAACAAGTGGGAGAAAGTTCTGTAGATGCTGGGACTTCAGCTTTGGAAAGGCCCCTGGCCACAGCTGATTTTCTGCAAGGCAACCGGCTGAAAAAATACATCTCTGCAAAAATAAAGAAAAGCCTAACCGAGTGCAGCCGCCATCCTCCCAGTAATGAGATTTGGAGGATTACTGCTGAGATGAATGGAAGATATCGTATGGTCACTGCTAGAAATGTTTGCCACCCCGGTCTAACTACACGAGTAGACACTAGAGTTCTTAGCAGGCCCACATATGTTTGATTTTAATTAAAACGTGCTGAATGAACTGTTAGCAGCACTGAAATAATGAAGAAAAGCAACGTAAGACAAATCGGCTAATAGACAACTCCAAACATTCTATTTTATACCCTTCAGTTATGTTAATGGAGGTTTCCAATATGTTCTAGCTGAAATAATCATTACACAAACACAGTTACATAATAATCTAAGGGGTAGATGAAAATATAAATAACTGCAGCAGCAAAAACCACAAATGGGTCAAAGGATTACAAATTCATTTTCTCAGTCTTTATTCGAAAACAATTTAGTGAGTGCTTATTGGTTATTATGTGCCAGGCACTCATGGGCTAATGCCTATGATGAAATCATCCTAGTGTTTCCAAATATACACTTTTGTTTAAGATAGCATGTTCTATGAGTACCAGGGTGCTGTGTAGAGTATATCTCCAACCACATGATGAAACAAAACAGCAAGCGACTCTTGAAAGGGAGAGACCATCATTTTAAGTCATTTCAAAAGCTAGTTCATATGAAGGCAGAGACTCTGGCCAAGATCTTAACAAATTACATTTTATTCAGTGCACAAGAAATTAGCACAGCTGCCTGAAGGAAAATATGTCCTGGGATTGTGTACACAGTGCAAGGCCAAAGGGCAGCCATATTCCAAGTAGACCGTAAACAGGAGGTTTATTGGAGGCCTTTCCAAAGAACGCGACCAAATTTCAGCCGTGAGATAACCAGAATTCCAGCCAAAATTGGGAGTGATGGAAACTGTCAAATGTCTTTGGATCTTTTGTGGAGATTAATCCCTTGGCTGTCCAGTCTCTGATGAATGAAGGAGAATAATTCAGAGTCACTGAACACCCTTGCTCTTAACTGGAGAGGCAGGATATCAACGAGGTAAGTGAACGCCAATGCAT
Source organism: Homo sapiens (assembly GCF_000001405.40). NCBI lineage: Eukaryota > Metazoa > Chordata > Mammalia > Primates > Hominidae > Homo > Homo sapiens. The sequence goes on from NC_000014.9 coordinate 89,750,946, forward strand.
TTAGAGTTTATTTACAACTAAACTGCTAAAGCCTCAACTCATCCATATTCAATTAGAGAAAGTTGTGGTTCATCCAAGACAAGACGTGAGCCAAAATTTGGGGCGAGGGTGACATCATCTGAAAGGGCTGGAAATAAAGTGTAAATTTGAGTATCATCTGTATATAAGTGATAATTAAAGCTGTGCAACTCAACACGTGCCAAGAGAGAAGGTCAATAAAAATGAAGAACAACAGGGTCCCAAACCACATGTTACTTCTAAAATGAAGATTTATTTTTTTTAAGGTGGTGAGGGTGAGCTTTTCTTTCCTGCTGCATAATCTCAAAACAGATACAGATCACCTGCAAGGAAGACTCATTTCTGCAGAAAGTCACTGAATTACTTGAACATTGAGCTAAGGAGAGGGGCTTTTCTGTGTGATCTATATTGCAAGGAAGTAAGAAGTCATTCCATTTAGTTTGGGGAAGACCTCCCCAACCCCCTAAAATAGATCACTTTAGTAAATAATATCTAAGAGAACCACCAATTCAAGCTGATACTTGATTGTCCTTTTCAAGTCTGGTGTTAAATTTGGGCAGGAAACACAAGTTGCTTTTATCTGGGTGCTCGATAATTTCATTCATGCAGTGAAGAAATAGGTTCTTTATTCTCAGCTGTGTTTGAACACTTTAACAATGGGATAACTGAAGTAAGATGCAGCTTAAATCAAATGAAATGGAGACTTGCCCACAAGGACTTATTCATTATAAAAAAGGGCAGCTCTTGTCCTAATCGTTCCTCTAGAGATCTATGACTTAGGGCTCTTTTTATTTTTGACTACCAGCTACCTTTCCAAATCATGGAAGCTTTCTAAAAATACCAAGTTCCTCAGTAGCTGGAGCTGAGCAGGGAGTGAGCCTAACCATAAATGATGGGTGTTATGGGTTTAAATTGTTTCCCTCTCAAAATCATGTGTTGAAATTCTAACCCCCAGTGCCTCAGAAGGTGACCATATTTGGAGACAGTGTCATTAGAGAGGCAATTAAGTTAAAATGGGGTCACAAGGATGGACCCTAATGCAATATGGCTGGTGTCTGTATAAAAAGAGGAAATTAGAACAGACATGTACAGAGGAAGGACCATATGCAGACACAGGGATATGACGGCCATCTACAAGCCAAAGAGGGAGGTCTCAGAAGAAGCCAATCCTGCCAACATCTTGAACTCAGACTTCCATCCTACAGAATTGTGAGGAAGTAAATTTCTGTTGTTGAAGCCACCCAATCTACAGTACTTTGTTATGGCCACCCCAGAAAACTAACACGATGGGGCAAAAGGAGTAGAGCCAGGGCCGGGCGTGGTAGCTCATGCCTGTAATCCCAGCACTTTGGGAGGCTGACGTGGGCGGATAACCTGAGGTCAGGAGTTCGGGACCAGCCTGACCAACATAGTGAGATCCCATCTCTAATGAAAATACAAAAAGTTAGCCAGGCATGTTGGCGCGCACTTGTAATCCCAGCTACTTGGGAGCCTGAGGCAGGAGAATCGCTTGAACCTGGGAGGTGGAGGTTGCAGTGAGCCAAGATGGTGCCACTGAACTCCAGCCTGGGCAACAGAATGAGACTCTGTCTCAAAAAAGAAAAAGAAAAGAAATAGAGCCAGGCTGAGCACAGCGGCTCACACCTGTATAATATTCTGTGTATTTTTTTTTTTTGGTATACCTTAAATTTGTAAAAGAGTTTCTAAAAGCAGAAAGAATGGTCAATTCATCCATTCCTGGAGATACTTTGTTTAAATTTGCTTTTGAGTGAAGTCAAACCATGAATGAAGGAGCTGCAAAGTGGGACTTCATTTCACCTTGATCTCCCTAGAAAGGCCTTGCTCCTTCTTGCTGCATTTGAGTTTATGCAACTGTGGGCGCACTTTAGGGATCAGCCCTATGAGCCCCTCTTTGCATTTGTTAGAGGAAAGTGGTTAATGATCTTGTCTACTACTTCATACAATTTTTCCCTTACTAGGCCTCATTATTCTGAAGACACTTTTTATAAGCAGACACAAATCCTTTTAGAATAAGGAGGAGCATAAATAAATACATGATTATTATATCAAATGCAATAACTATCTCTGCTGGTGGATAACAGGCTCATGCCTCTAGAAGGATGAAAGCAACTTTTACTGAACTCCTACCGTGAGACAAGCCTTCTGCTACAGGCTTTAGACAATTGTCTGCCGAATTTTAATTTTCACAATCTTATGAAGCAGATTATGAGAAAATGTAGGTAACTTGCCTAAAGTCACATTGTAAATGACCAAACCAGAAAACCACAGTATTTTATGATCATAACAAAGAATGGAAGAGGGGAAGGAGAAAAGCTTATGTTAATTTGTTGAGAACCTACTTCCAGTGAACCAAGTATTTTTCATCCCAATTTAGAAATGAGGAAACTAAAGCTCAGAGGAATACATAAATGTATAAATATATGTAATATATATATATTAAAAATATATGTAATATATATATTAAAAATATGTTATATATAATATATATTTGCTCAAGGTGACATAATAGATGAATATATTAGGTAGGTCTATTTCTAGAATGAGAGGAGACATTTAAGACAAGGAGATTCCATGGAAAATACATAAGCTGGCTCTGTTTCTTTTTTTTTATTATTTTACTTTTTTAGAAACAGGGTCTTACTCTGTCACCCAGACTGGAGTGCAGTGTCACACTCATGGTTCCCTGCAGCCTCAACCTCCCCAGGCTCAGGTGATCCTCCCATCTCAGTCTCCCAAGTATCTGGGATTACAGACAGATGCCACCATACCCAGATAATTTTTGCATTTTTTGTAGAGATGTGGTTTCGCCATGTTGCCCAGGCTGGTCTTGAACTTCTGGGTTCAAGGGATCCCCCCACTTTGGCCTCCCAAAGTGCTGGGATTACAGGTGTTAGCCCCCGCCCCCACCCCGTGCTCAGCCAATTCCAGGGCATTTAAATGTTTACTCACATATAGAAGGGATTTCTGTAGGTCTGTGGGTGTGTTCCACGCCTCTAAGTGGTAGGTGGTATCATATGGTATGCACCATTATGCCTCATGCACATTCAACTCAACATTGCTTTCTGAGATGGAGACACTTTGTTATTCATGGATCTTACTCATTCCCTGTAGGGGCAGGGTTATGGGCTAAATTGTGTTCCCCTCAAAATTTGTATGTTGAAGTCACAATCTCCTAGTACCTCAGAATGTGACTGTATTTGGAGACAGTGTCTTTAAATAGACAATTAGGTTAAAATGAGATCACTAGGGTGAGCTGTAATCCAATATGACTGCTGTCCTTATAAGAAGGGGCGATGAGGACACAGACACAAAGAAAAGCCATGTGAAGGCTAACAAAAACAAGCAACAGGGAAAGGACTCCCTATTCAATAAATGGTGCTGGGATAACTGGCTAGCCATATGCAGAAGATTGAAGTTGGACCCTTTCACCGTATAAAAAATTAACTCAAAATGGATTAAAGATTTAAATGTAAGACCTCAAACCATAAAAATCCTAGAAAGCAACCTAGGAAATACTCTTCTTGATATCAGCCTTGGCAAAGAATTTTTGGCTAATTCCCCAAAAGCAACTGCAACAAAAACAAAAATAGACAAGTGGGACCCAATTAAATTAAAGCACTTCTGCACAACAAAAGACATTATTAACAGAGTAAACAGACAAGCTACAGAATGGGGGAAGATATGTGCAAATCATGCATCCAACCAAGGCCTAATATCCAGAATCTATAGGGAACTCAAACAAATCAACAAGGAAAAAATAAATAACCCCATGTATTAGTCCATTTTCACGTGGCTATGAAGAAGTACCCAAGAGTGGGTAATTTATAAAGGAAAGAGGTTTAGTTGACTCACAGTTTCACATGGCTGAGGAGGCCTCAGGAAACCTACAATCATGGAGGAAGGGGAAGCAAACATGTCCTTCTTCACCTGGCAGCATCAAGAAGTGCTGAGCAAAAGGGGGAAAGGCCCTTATAAAACCATCAGATCTCATGAGAACTCACTATCACAAGAACAGCATGTGGATATCTGCCCCCATGATTCAATTACCTCCCACCAAGTCCCTCCCACAACACATAGGGATTATGGGAACTACAAGTCAAGGTAAGATTTGGGTGGGGATACAAAGACAAACCGTATCATTCCACCCATGCCCCCCACCCACATCCCATGTCCTCACATTTCAAACCACAATCATGCCCTTCTAATAGTCCCCCAAAGTCTTAACTCATTCCAGCATTAACCCAAAAGTCCAAGTCCAAAGTCTCATCTGAGACAAGGCAAGTCTCTTCAGCCTAGGAGTCTGTAAAATCAAAAGCAGGTTAGTTACTTCCTAGATACAATGGAGGTACAGGCATTGGGTCAATACACCCATTCCAAATGGGAGAAATTAGCCAAAACAAAGGTGCTACAGGCTCCATGCAAGTCCAAAATCCAGCAGAGCAGACAAATCTTTAAGCGCTGAAATAATCTCCTTTGACTCCATGTCTCGCATCCAGGTCACACTGATGCAAGAGGTGAGCTCCCATGGCCTTGGGCAGCTCTGCCTCTGTGGCTTTGCAGGGTACAGGCTCCCTCTCAGCTGCTTTCATGGGCTGGCATTGAGTGTCTGAGGCTTTTCCAGGTGCACAGTGCAAGCTGTAGGTGGATCTACCACTCTGGAGTCTGGAGGATGGTGGCCTCTTTCTCATAGCCCCACTAGGCAGTGCTCCAGTGGGGACTCTGTGTGGGGGCTCCCACCCCACATTTCCCTTCTGCACTGCCCTCACAGAGGTTCTCCATGAGGCTCCATCCCTGCAGCAAACTTTTGCCTGGACATCCAGGCTTTTCCATACATCCTCTGAAATCTAGGCAGAGGTTCCGAAACCTTGATTCTTGTCCTCCATGTACCGGCAGGACCAACACCATTTGGAAGCTGCCAAGGCTTGAGGCTTGCACTCTGAAGCAATGGCCTGAACTGTATCTTGGCCCCTTTTAGCCATGGCTGGAACTGAAGCAGCTGGGATGCAGAACACCATGTCTCAAGGCTGCACAGAGCAGGAGGGCCCTGGGCCCGGGTCCAGGAAACCATTCTTCCCTCCTAGGCCTCCAGGACATTGATGGGGGCACTGCCAAAGTCTCTGACATGCCCTGGAGACATTTTCCCCATCGTTTTGGTGATTAACATTTGGCTTCTTGTTATTAGGCAAATTTCTGCAGCAGGCTTGAATTTCTCCCCAGAAAATGTGTTTTTCTTTTCTATCACATCATCGGGCTGCAAATTTTCCAAACTTTTATGCTCTGCTTCCTCTTGAATGCTTTGCAGCTTAGAAAATTCTCCCTCCAGATACCCTAAATCATCTCTCTCAAGTTCAAAGTTCCACAGAACTCTAGGGCAGGGGCAAAATGTGCCAGTCTCTTTGCATAGAAAGAGTGACCTTTACTCCAGTTCCCAACAAGTTCTTCATCTCCATCTAAGACCACCTCAGCATGGACTTTATTGTCCATATCACTATCAGCATTTTAGTCAAAGCCATTCAACAAGTCTCCAGGAAGTTCTAGAGTTTCCCACATCTTCCTGTCTTCTGAGCCCTCCAAGTCTCTAGGAAGTTCCAAACTTTCCCACATCTTCCTGTCTTCTTCTGAGCCCTTCAAACTGTTCCAACCTCTGTCTGTTACCCAGTTCCAAAGTAGCTTCTACATTTTCAGGTATCTTTACAGCATCACCCCACTCTCAGTGTTACCAGTTTACTTATGCAAATTAAAATTTAAAAATGGGCAAAGGACATGAACAGACACTTCTTGAAAGAAGACATACAGTTGGCCAACAAGCATATGAAAGATGCTCAACATCACTAATCATCAGAGAAATGCAAATCAAAACCAAAATGAGATACCATCTCACACCAGTCAGGATGGCTATTGTTAGAAAGTCCAAAAACAACAGATGCTGGCAAGGCTGCAGAGAAAAAGAAATGCTTATACGCTGTTAGTGAGAATGCAAATTAGTCCAGCCACTATGCAAAGCAGTCTGGAGATTTCTCAGATAACTTAAAACAGAGCTGCCATTTAACCCAGCAATCCCATTATATACTGGGTATATACCCAAAGGAAAATAAATCATTCTACCAGAAAGACACATGTACTTGCATGTTCATCACTGTTCTATTCACAATAGCAAAGACATGGAATCAACCCAGTGCCCATCAGCGGTAGACCGGATAAAGAAAATGTGGTATACGTATACACCATGGAATACTATGCAGCCATAAAAAGAATGAAATCATGTCCTTTGCAGCCACATGGATGCAGTTGAAGGCCATAATCCTAAGGGAATTACACAAGAACAGAAAACCAAATACTGCATGTTCTCACTTATAAGTGGATGCTAAACACTGAGCACCTATGGATATATATATATATGGGAAGAATAGACCCTGTGGACTACTAGAGGGGGCAGGGAGAGAGGGGCCAGGAATTGAAAAACTACCTATCAGGTACTGTGGTCACTATATGGATGATGGGATCTGTACCCCAAGTCTCAGATTACGCAATATTCCCAAGTAACAAAGCTGCACATGTACCTCTGTGTCTAAAATAAAAGTTGATTTTTTCTTTTGAAAAGGCCATGTGAAGACATAGGGAGAAGACAGCCATCTCCACCCCAAGGAAAGGGGCCTCCGAGGAAAGTAGCCCTGCTGACACCTTGACCACAGACTGCTAGATTCCAAAACAGTGAGAAAATAAACTTCTGTTGTTTGAGCCACTCAGTCTGTGGTACTTTGTCATACCAGCCCGAACAAATTAACGCAGGCAGCAAAGTATTCTACAGACCACAAACACCACACTATTTTAGCCAGTCTCATGGTGGACATTTAGATTGAAACTAAACAGAAATACACATCCTTGGACAGTGCTCTTGTGAGCACCTGTGGGAGTAAATACGTAGAAATGAAATTGCTGTTACAGGGGATGCATGTTTTCAAATTTACAAAATGCTGCTAAATTGTTCTCCTAAATATCTCTGTTGATTTACACTCCCAACAACAGTGAATGAGGGCACCATTTCTCTCACAGCTTAGCCAACATTTGATATTCTCAGGCTCAAGATTTCTGCCAATGTGATTGGTCAAAAAAAAAAAACCATATTGTTTTAACTGCACTTTCCTAAGTTTGCATGAAGCTGAATATTTTTTAATATACACATTGCCTGTTCTTATTTCCCCTTCTATACATTCTCAGTTCATATTTTTGGTCTGTTTTTCCTTTGGGGTTGTATGGCTTTTTCCACCTGATTTGTAGGGATCACATATGTTCTAGGTCACAATTCTCTGTCTGCTAGATCTTCTGCAAATACCTTCTCCAAGGCCCCCACTTGTCTTTTAATCTAGCTCATGGTGTGTTTTTTACAAAAGGTTTTAAATCAGGTATAATCAGATAGACCTCTGTTTGTAGTTTGTATTTTTTGTATTGTCTTAAAGAAAATACTTTCTGGCTGGGTGTGATTACTTACACCTGTAATTCCTGGAGGCTGAAGCAGGTGGATCACTTAAGGCCAGGAGTTCGAGACCAGCCTGCCCAACAAAGTGAAAACCCATCTCCTCTAAAAATAGAAAAAAAATAGCCAGGCATGGTGGCACATGCCTGTAATCCCAGCTACTTGGGAGACTTGAGGCATGAGAATCACTTGAACCCAGGATTTGGAGATTGTAGTGAGGCAAGATCGTGCCACTGCACTCCAGCCTGGGCAACAGAGTGAGATTCTATATCAAAAGAAACGAAAAGAAAAGAAAAGAAAAAACGTTTTCTCTCCAAAATTCAAAAAGGTATTCTCTTATAATTTCTTCTGACAGTTTTAGTGTATTTTCCCCATGTTCCAGTCTTTAGTACCTCTTTAATGTATTTCAGTGGGGGCAATAGGTAGGAATTTTATTTTCTTTACGATTTTTTTTCTTTTCTCTTTCATTTGAGAGTGAATTGTCCCAACGCCACTTACTGAAATATCAAATGCTTACTCCAGTCATTAAAAATATATATTCAGCAAAGCACCCACAGACCATCGCATTTTGAGTAGTCTAATTTCCTGATAAATCCTCCATAATGTATTAGGAGAAAAATGTACCCCTAGGTAAGTAAATAAGCTGATCTAAATGGGTATTTGGCTATGAGCCAAGCAAATGCTAGAGGTTATCTGCCAAAAAATGGTTTTGATATTGGAAGAGTTGATGTTAAGCCCTTCTTCCTGACAGTCATTGGATAGTGGGGCCAGGTGTCTTTTGAGGCCACTCTGAGTTCGTAATGATTAAACCATGTCCACGACATTTAGGAGAAGACTTGTCCTTCCATTGTCCCCACCAAGGGAATGTGCTTCCTGCCCAGCAGAGCAGTGGCCCCTGCACAGAAATCTCTGGAATGATGTGCTAAAGCCAGACACAGCGTTGTCTCCGGAGGATGGAAACAGGGTGTTTGTGAGGAGGGTAATTTTTCACTGAATTCCTTTTCTATCTCTTAACTTTGTTGACCATATGCATATACAATTGATTCAAAATAATAACTTTTTTTAAAAGCCAAAAAAAAAAAAAACCCTGCCAAGTATGTCACTAAGACACTAAGGAAAATCAAGAAAAAATACATTCCTGTGGCAGTCTGCTAAAAACAAACAACAACAAAAAAAAACAACGACAAAAAAACAGATATATGAGAACTTCTTTTGCAGGGGTAATTAAACTGGAAATTATGTTCCACCTTGTTTGAATAATTTACAGAATTGTTTTTCACATATTCCTTAGTCACAAGACACTTTGTTCAAGCTAGATCTTCCTCAAAGACCAACATATAAAATAGATGAAAGTACTCCCGTTTAAAAATGGGGATCCCCATCAGCGGCCTTTCAGGCAGCTCTGTGGGGGTCCCCAGGGCTCTTCTGAGTACATTGAGAAACTTCCTTTAAAGTCAATGTATTTGAGAGTTAGATATATAATTATCTTTTGCACCTTCTTCATGTAGTAATACTACACTCCACTTTAAAATTTACAGCATTGTGTATTTGCTTATGCTGTAAATATTGCTTGAGCACCTACTGTTTGCCAGACCCTAGAATAGACAGGAGGAGGAGGTGACTTAAACGTGGTAAGGTCTGAACAAAAGGTTGAAGTGTGAATAGAAAACAACCAGGAGGGCGTTCCAGGTCCAGTAGACTGCAGGGGAAAGCTGGAAAGCTGGGAGGAAGCAGCCTGGCAGATCGGGAAGATGGGGGTGGGTGCACTCAGTGTGCATAGATGCACGGGGCATCTGTTGGTCCTAGCAGGTGCTGAAACTGGAGAGGGAGGGAGCAATAAGTTATTACTGCCTGGTGGATCTTTCTAAGTTTGGACTTGGCAGGCCATGAGGAAGCGATTGAAGGGTCTTAGACAGGAGATTGACACAGTCATATTTGTGCTTTGGAATGATTGCTCTGACCTAAGTGAGCATTGCAAGGGGACGTGATTAAGGCAGTGAGACTGGGTAGGGAGGTCTTCGCAGCCACCCAGGGAGGAGATGATGATGGACAGACTTGAAGTCCTGGCAGAGATAGAGCAGAGGGGGTGACTAAAACGGAATTAACTGGATGTTGGTGGGAGGCAGAAAAGGGATGTGTCTAGGAAATTTCTGGAGTTTGGGCTGTATAACTGAGTGGGGTTGGATAACTGGGGCCATTCAACAAAGCAAGGAAGACGGGAGAAGGGATTTGGGCAATAGATGATGAGCTTCATTTGGCGGAAGGTTTTGATTGAAGTACCTGTAAGACATGAGGTGGAAATGTCCAGTAGGCAATCAGATAGCCGATCTGGGATGGAGGTGAAGGCCTGAGGTCATCCTCAGTGAGCTGATAATAGTAGTCAAGAAGATACTTGAAACCCCCAGGAGAATGTGAGCAGTGAGAGAGGAGAGGCCCACGCAGGCAGATCTGGGATGGAGAGGAGAGGCCCACGCAAGCAGCGGATGGTTCGCATGAAGCCGGCTAAGATGGCTGAGCAGTGAGGAAGGAAGAGAGTCAGGGAGAGTGGGGGTCAAAGAAACCAAGGAGGGAATTTGAGGATAGGAGGAATTATCAGCAGGCTCAAACCCTGCACAGAGAAGAAGCTTAGGGACTGGAGAACTCACTGGACATAGCAACTAGCAGCTCACTGGAGAGAATGAGGAAAGGCAGTTCCCAGAGACGTGGGCAGCGGGGAAGCCATACAGCAGGGCTTGGGGAGTGAATGGGCAGGGAGAAACTGGGGAAAAGTCGGGTATGACCACTCTCCAAAAACGGCGATGATGAAGGAAGTGTCAGCTACCTCCAGGTGGGCCTGCTTCAGTCCTCTGATGAGCAACACAGAATGACTGGACCCGTGCCTCTCAATTCCAGCTGCGCTTCTAATTCCAACCGCACAATAGAAGCACCTGGGGAATTTTTTAAAATAAAAAAGTACCAAAGCCGGGGCCACAGATTTAATTGGCCTGGGGTGGGGCCTGGGCAAGGGTATATTTTTAAAGCTCCACAAGAAAGTCTAATGTGCTGCCACCATTAGGACCATGGCTCCAGTTATTCCCTATTTTGAGCAACAAAGGATTGAATGAGCTTGCTTGGGGAGAAGTCAGAGGTGGTCCTCTGACATTGATCTGTCTTGTCGGGACACAAAGGAGAGGTTCGTGAAAGAAAGAGTCCCGCACATTTAAGTGTGCCTGTGTGGACCCAATTCTTTTCAGTAGAGTTAGGCCCTGAAATTAGGGGAGCACCAAAAATGTGTTCTCCATTGCTGGAGAGTAGGATTTCACTGGGCTTTTCTAGAACATAAGAGACCTGTCCCCCAAATCATTCTGAGTCTATACTTGCCAAACCTCCTTTTGATTAATAATTAAACTCTACCTGGTGATTTTTAAAATCATACCTGTTTTCCATAATTTCCAAGAAATACATGCATAGGATGAAAAGATAAAATGCTACAGAAGTAACCTTCTACCTCCCACATCGCCTCCACCTGCAGCTGCTTCCCAACGCCAACCGCTTGACTGCTTCTGTTTTTGTTTTTCCTGGTGGTTACCTCCATAACCTTAAATCATATGCTTACTCTTCTCCTTCATAATTTACCAATAGTATACATGATCTACCTATTTTGAAAGGTAAACATCTACTAACTCTGCCTCCACTTTCACTTCTCCCTTCCAAAGTTTGGTGGTTTTAGTATTATTTTTAATCCTTCCATTGGTTACTTACATAATTTTAAGTAATATACTTAAAATTCCAGTTCTCACTCCATGAACTTACCTTATTTATTTATTTTGAGACAGGACCTCATTCTGTCACCCAGGCTGGAGTGCAGTGGCGTGAACACGGATCACGGCAGCCTTGAACTCCTGGGCACCAGCAATGCTCCTGCCTCAGCCTCCCAAGTAGCTGGGATTACAGGCACGTGTCAACACACCTGGCTAATTTTTAATTTTTTCTTTTTGGAGAGATAGGATCTTGCTATGTTACCCAGGCTGGTCTCAGACTCTTGGCCTCAAGTGGTCTTCCTGCCCCAGCCTCCCAAAGTGCTGGGATTTCAGGCATAATCCACCACGTTTGGCCTCATTCCATGAACTTTCAACAATATTTCTCAACTCCACACAGTATGAGATGGAGATACCAGCTCCCCCACTTTCCCCTTTCAACTTCTTCCAGCTTGATCTTTGTTTTTCCATTGTTCTGATTGGTAACATTACATTCTGTTCTGCAAGCATGATGAGTCCTCTGTGCTTGGTCTATGGGTTAATTCTGCTAGTTTGAAGCCAATGAACTGCATTAACATTATTGTGAGCGGGTAAATATTGTTCCCTGGAGAGCCAAGGACTGCGTTAGGATCACATTTCTTCCTCTTGCATTCAATGTCACCACCTTTTGGGTGACTCAAAGGAGTATGTTCCCAGGAGCACAGCCGAATTGATTTTCTTTTATTACATCCCTGCAGTTACTCAAAATTACGATTCATTTTATTTTGCCTCTGTTTGGACCATGATTTTCTTGTACCTTTTTGAGTTCTTCCTAGACTTTTTTTTCTGTAGAAAGAAGAAACATATTTTGTCCTTGCCACATCACGAATATTTTCTAGCTTCTTACTCCTTCCATCTGAAGCATCGAATACCTTCAGTTTTTCTTCTTACAGAGAGATTTATTGGACCATGCTGACTTCCTGCCTTTAATTTGGACTTAATGACTTTTAGATCTCTACACAGCTACCATCTTTCCCCTGTGTTGATACTGGGAAATGAATATTAGAGATAACTAACACAAACTTTTTTTCCATCAACTTTTATCTTAAGTTCCAGGCTACATGTGCAGGATGTGCAGGTTTGTTACATAGGTAAACATGTGCCACGGTGGTTTGCTGCACACATCAACCCATCACCTAGGTATTAAGCCCAGCATCCATTAGCTATTCTTCCTGATGCTGTCCCTTCCCCCACTGTCCCCACACAGGCCCCAGTGTGTGTTGTTCCCCACCACGTGTCCATGTGTTCTCATCATTCAGCTCGCACTTGTAAGTGAGAACATGTAGGAACACAAGCATTTTGATCACTGCAAAGAGACAATCTCATTGTAAACAAATCCATTTGTCATGTATTCATTTGTCTTGTCTAAATTTAATTAGTGTGATTTGTCATAGAAAGACTGATCAGCTATGGACATATAAAGAAAATTCATGTTCTGGGCCTCAGAGATTAAGTATTAGACCCCGGAGGTAGCCACCCAACCACCCTGAGAAGTCTCACCATAACCAGCCAAAATCCTTCAATGCATCTGTAGTGGGAACTGGAACGTGCTGCTTGGAGACACAAAGGACTCAAAGGACTAAGGCACTCAGTCCCCTGCCTCAATCCCAGACATCTCTGAAGGACCAGCCATCTTCAGAGGTCCCCATGGGGTGAGCTGAGCCCTTTCTCACAATTGCCAAGAAGTTCAACTTCTTTCTCTGTCCAGTCCTTCCTTCATTCTCGTGCAGGTTTCCCCCAAAACTCTCCCCTAGAAACATCTATCTCAAAGTCTATTTCCTGAGGATCCATTCCTACAACCGCACCTTTATCACATACCCTAGAATTGTAATATCAACAAACACACAATAAAAGGTCAATTGCTGATGGGGATAATGAATTATTGTGGGAAGCGGTTGTTTTACAGGCAGGAAATGAGATGAGGATTGGGTTTCAGTCCTAGGGGAGGCAGGAGAGGCTGGGATCCAGGGCACCTAGGGAGGGGAGCAGGAACTAAGCTTTGTCAGAGGTAGGAATGGAAGACAGAGCGTGAGATGCAGATCATCACTGCAGGTATTAGAATGGGGTACGAAGCTGAGGAAGTGGTAATGATGGTTGTGACTCTGAATTTTCTTGGGGAGAAGAGCTCTCTGTTTGTAAATTCAGTTTTTCCTTCTATTGTACGTGTACCTTCAGACCCCGGTGGGTGGGTTGGTGGGAGAGTGGAAGGGATAGGAGTGGATGAGGACCTGAACTGAAACAACTGCAGCAATTACAACATGTTCTGGAATAGTCAGGTTGGTGAACGTGTTCGCGCTCATTCACTTAAAGTAACTTTAAATTCCTATTAATTCAAACTAGAATGAGTTTATATAGAATCTATGCTATAGGAAGGGAGTTGGGAGGGGCAGCCAGCCTTCTAAGGCCAGCATTAGAAAATGTCAGTCCTATTAATGCAGAAACGGAAATCCAAATACTGCATGGTCTCACTTGTGAGAGTTAAACATGGGGACACACAGACATAAAGATGGGAACAATAGATACTGAGACTCCAAAAGAGGGGCAGAAGGGAGGGGGGAAATGGCTGGGAAGACTTCCTATTGGGTACTATGTTCACTATTTGGGTGATGGGATCAACAGAAGCCTGAACCTCAGCATCACGCAATATACCCTTGTAACAAACCTGCACATGTACCCCCGAATCAAAAATAAAAACAGGCCAGGCATGGTGGCTCACACCTGTAATCCCAACACTTCGGGAGGCCGAGGCAGGCGGATCACCTGAGGTCAGGAGTTTGAGACCAGTCTGGCCAACATGGTGAAATCCCGACTCTACTAAAACTACAAAAATTAGCCAGGTGTGGTGGTGGGTGCCTGTAATCCTAGCTAGTCAGGAGGCTGAGACAGGAGAATCGCTAGAACCCAGGAGGCAGAGGTTGCAGTGAGCTGAGATCACACCACTGCACTCCAGCCTGAGCAACAAAGAGTGAAACTCCATCTCAAAAATATAAAAATAAAAATAAATAAATAAATAAAAACAAAAACCGAATATGTCGGTCCTTGCCAAGTTAGTTAAAATTAACTTCAGCTTAATTAGAAATGGTAGAAAACCTCAAATAATAACAAATTTAACAAGATACACATGTAATTGTCTAGTAGAAACCAAGTCTGGAAGTGAGCAGAGGGGAGACTGTCCTGGTATCTGGCAGTTTTGCAAACACTAGGAAGCCAGTCTCCATGTTCTCGCTCCACCAATCACAAGAGTACCCACCTCATGGTCTTTTTTTTTTTTTTTTTTTTTGTGAGACAGGATGTCACTCTGTCACCCAGGCTGCAGTGCAGTGGCTCAGTTATAGCTCACTGTAGTGCAGCCTCAACCTCCTGGCTCAAGCAATCCTCCCACCTCAGCCTCCAACGTAGCTAGGACTACAGGCACACACCCCCATACCTAGTTTATTTATTTATTTATTTTTTGTAGAGTCGGGCTCTTGCTATGTTACCTAGGTTGTTCTCAAACTCCTGGGCTCAAGTGATCTTCCCATCTCAGCCTCCCAAACTGCTGGGCTGACAAGCATGAGCCACCACCACGCCTGGCCTTCAAAATTCTTATGACACTGTGTGGACCAACAATTTCTGTAGATGCATTTATACTTTGGTTGCCCAGGCTGGTCTCGACTCCTGGCCTCAAGTTATCCTCCCACCTTGCTGTCCCAAAATGCTGGGATTACAGGCATGAGCCACCATGCCAAACCCACCTCATGGTCTCAAATGGCTGCTGGAGTTCCAGCCATTGCATCCCTACCAGAGGAAGGATAGTAGGAGAAGAAGGGCATGGTCACACTGAGCTGCAAGGGAGGTTGGTGGCCATGTGCCCAGTTATTCATAAAATTTGGGAGCTCTAGTACCAAGGCAGAAGGGAAGAACAGGCATTGGGGGCCATCCACAGCTTCTGCCACACCTGCCTCCCCTACTCCAGACACCTGGCATCACCTCTACCCTTCATCTGCCACCTCACCCCCGCTCTGGAGCTGACCGACTCCCACACAGAGCAGTCAGTGAGTTAATGTCCATGGTCATGCTGTAGGACTGCTGCTTGGCACTTCTGTGCCTGCATACCAGAGAATTGTACTTCTGAATCAGTTTCCCTCCCAGCACCCCTCTTCCATGATGGCGGCCTGTCCAGCTCTTGCCAGTGCCCTCTCTATGGAGTCTAGTCTCTCTCTGTCATGCCCTCAATCTCTCCAGACACTGGCTGGGGCCCTTTTCTGATGGACCCACCACCCAGATCCCAGTATCAGGCCACCCAGCTTTCAGGGTCACTTCCTGCCTAGATCTTTGCCTCACCTCTCTCTACCTCTTCACTGAGTTGCTCAAACTACACCTGAACTTGACATGCTTATTAGCTTCTCACCAATGATGACAGTGAGCAAAGTCTTTTTTTTCCTGGAAAGGACTAATTCCAAAAAACCATAATTCTTAGGAGCTATGTATTTTTCTTTCAAAATAAGAACTTGAATCCCAAGAGAAAATGTACACCCTTGTAGTTTAGATCACAAGGGCATGACTTGTCAACTCAGAGAGTGGCCTACAGCCTTGGTTCCATCTCTTGCTAGCTGTGGGACTTAGGCATATAACTTACCATCTCCGAGCTCTGGGTTCCACAACTGGAAAACTATCCTAAGCACAGCACCTACCTTTCAGCACTATAAGGAAGATTATGGAAGATTAAATGAGGTACACTGCCCGGTGCATGGCAAGCACAAAGTAAAGTTACTTATAATAATAATTGATTTATAATAACATGAATTTTAAATATCAGTAAATTGGCACTGATTTTTTAGTTGCTAAAATGTTACTGCCTGGGCTTTTGTGAGAAGTAGTTCAGTGCAGTCAGCGTTTCAATTTTTCATTCTGAAATCTTGTCTAACTCCTTACTTCCTCCTTTCCCTGGTGGACTCAAGCAGTGGAGGTCCCAGTGTGCCTTACACCTGAGGAGGTGTGGTGTGTACATCAAAATCAAGCCTGCTTCCTTTTGGTAAATAGTTACACCACACCAGGCGAGGGCCTGCCTACTCCAGTGTGGCCGATGTATTTTTCCAAACCCATAATCAACCCAGAGATCATTGGCCCAACCACATCTGCTGCCCTTGATATTACATCTTGGAGTGGCAGTTGAGGGCCTGGCCAAGTAGAGAACTTGTCTTTTGGGGATGAAGTAGCATTCTCCCCCAACTCTCACTTTCTTTTCTACACGTGGATTTCTTTCTGAGTCTCATTTTATCTTTGTCTTTTTGGCTTTCTTTGTCTACACAATTGTTTTATTTATTTATTTGCCCCATCCCCCTACTTTTTTTGCAATGGGGTCTCTATGTTGCCCAGAAGCATCTGGAACACCTGGGCTCAAGCGATCCTCCCATCTCAGCCTCCCAAGTAGCTGGGACTACAGGCCCGAGTTACCACATGCAGCCCCACGATTGTTCCTTTTTACATATTAAATAACCTATGCTTAATTTAGAAAATGCAAAAAATGAAAAGATGGGGAAAAAAACCAAACACGTAACTCCTGCACCTTGGTGTGTACCCATCCAGAACACTACACATGCACACAATTTTTGTTTTCTCGGAAATAAAATCATATGAGCTAGACCAGTGGTTCTCAATCAGGGTGATTTTTCCCCCACAGAAGACATTCAGCAATGTCTGCAGACATTTTAGGTTGTCAAAACTGGGGCAGGTGGTGATACTGGCATCTAGTGGTTGAGGCCAGAGATACTGCTAAACATCCTAAAACGCACAGGCCAGCCCTCAACAACAACAAATTACCTAGCCCCAAATGTCAAAAGGCCCAAGGTTAGGAAACTCTGGTCTAGACCACGGTTAAGCAAACTACTGCCCTCCTGGTTGGCTACCTGTTTTTATAAATAAAGTTTTATTAGAACACGGAGATGTCCATTCATTTCTATGTCATCTATGGCTGCTTTGACTTACAACGCAAGTGAGCAGTTGTAACAGAAACTGTGTGGTCACAAGTCCTAAAATAAATATGAGCCACATATGAAATTTCAAGTTTTTCTAGTAGCCACATTTTTTTAAAGTACAAAAAAAGCAGGGGAAATTAATGTTAGTAATATGCCCCAAATATTATCATTTCAACCTTGAATCAACATAAAAATTAATGAAATATTGTTATATTCTTTTATTTCCATATTAAGTCTTCACTTACAGCACTTCTCAATTCAGACTAGTCACATTTTTTTTTTTTTTTTTGAGACGGAGTTTTGCTCTCATTGCCCAGGCTAGAGTGCAGTGGCACAATCTCAGCTTACCACAACCTCCTCCTCTCAGGTTCAAGCGATTCTCCTGCCTCAGCCTCCCGAGTAGCTGGGATTACAGGCACGTGCCACCACGCCCGGCTAATTTTGTATTTTTAGTAGAGACTGGGTTTCTCCATGTTGGTCAGGCTGGTCTCGAATTCCGACCTTAGGTGGTCCACCCACCTCAGCCTCCCAAAGTGCTGGGATTATAGGCATGAGCCACTGTGCCTGGCCCAGACTAGTCACATTTTAAGTGCTCACGTTGCTGGTGGCTATTGTATTACACAATGCAGGTCTACACTGCATTTTTCACTAAACTGCTTTTTTAAATTATTTTACTTTTAATTTTATTTTATATATATTTTTGAGACGAAGTTTCACTCTTGTCACCCAGGCTGGAGGGCAGTGGCGCGATCTCGGCTCACCACAATCTCTGCCTCCTGGGTTCAAATGATTCTCCTGCCTCAGCCGCCCTAGCAGCTGGAACTACAGGTGCATACCACCACACCCGGCTAATTTTTTTTTTATTTTTAGTAAAGACAGGGTTTCACTACGTTGGCCAGGCTGGTCTCGAACTCCTGACCTCAAGTGGTCCCCCTGCCTCGGCTTCCCAAAGTGCTGGGATTATAGGTGTGAGCCACTGTGCCCTGCCACTAAAAAAAAAAAGTGCTGCTTTTTTTACTTAATGGAAATAAAAGTCTTCTCATGTCCACCATATATTTTTATATCTCTTTTAAAGCGTTCAACTTTTTTAAAAGATTCCAATTTTCTGGATGTTTATATTGCTTCTGAGTTTCACAATTATGAACGATTCTGCCACGAACATTCTTAGATAAAGCTTTTTCACCTCATCTGTAATTATTTCCTTAGGATAAACTCCCAGATGTGCGTCAAAGAGCAAAGAAACATTTTTAAGGGTTTTGAAATATATATATTTTTAAGAATAATACCTTCCCTACAAGATGATTACAAGAATTACGTTAGTACATGTAAATCAATTTTATTAATTCAAGTAAGGTCAATAAAACTTAAAATAGTAGGCTGGGCACAGTGGCTCACACCTGTAATCCCAGCACTTTGGGAGACAGAAGTGGGCAGATGACGAGGTCAGGAGATTGAGACCATCCTGGCTAACACGGTGAAACCCCGTCTCTATTAAAAATACAAAAAATTAGCCAGGTGTGGTGGCAGACGCCTGTAGTCCCAGCTACTCGGGAGGCTGAGGCAGGAGAATGGCATGAACCCAGGAGGCGGAGATTGCAGTGAGCCGAGATTGCGCCACCGCACTCCAGCCTGAGTGACAGAGCGAGACTCCCTCTAAAAAAAAACAAAACAAAAAAAAAACAAAAAAAACTTAAAATAGTAGAACCTGGCACATAAAGGCACTCTATAAATACCATCTATTATTGGTATCAGTATTGCTCCTGAATTTATCTCCAGCACTGTGGTTCTAATTATACTTCCACTAACAATGTCTAAGAATGCTTGTTTCTGGTATACTCTTTCTAATACTATTATTTTTATAGCCCTTGCAAATTTGATATACGAAATTGGCTTCTTGTTATTGTTGGTTTAATCTGACTGTAGTTCATTCATTTTCTTCGATTTAGGATGTTTTTCTTGGGTAGAGTTGTTACAAGCTCAGTCTATAGCCACATGTTTAAGGGTTGGACCATTTTTCACCAGAATGACCAGGACAATAAGTGACCATTTGTATCAGTCAGCTTTCACTAGGTTACATGTTGTAACAAGTGCTCCTAACATCTCAGTGGCTCACAATAACAAGTATGTATTTCTCACTCACATTGCATGTGACAGCCCAGGCTGAAAGAGCGGTGCCCATCGGGGACATGCCATTCCCATGGAAGAGGGAAAGGAATAAATGAGAAAGAAAGCAAGGGTGAAGCCTCCAAAGCTTCAGCTCCTACCCGCACAGACTCCCTTCCGCTTGCATCTCATTAGCCAGAGCAAGTCATGGTGCCAAGTCCAATATCAATGGAGCAGAGAAGTGTATTCCCACCATAAGAGACACTGCAAGCTACATAGCAATGTGTGGGAACTGAGATAGGGAGCAATCCACCAGTAAAATCGATGCAATTAACTAATTGTGTGCCTCTATTCGCCTCAAGTCAGGATTCCCCCTATATGATTCATTACAGTTCTCATAGAAATGATAAGCCCCATCCCCGCTAGCCACCGTGGGAACAGACAACAGATACTGAGCTGCTGTACTGCTTCCAATGGGCTCTAAAGACAAACTGGTCTGGAGAGACCCAGCCTAAACCAAACACGAGGACATCTCCCACTCCCTGCTTAAAGGGGCAAACTTGCCTATCAATGAAAAGAACTTTGTGCCTAAAGTCATCATTACATCACCGACAAGTAGGAAACAATAAATCTCTGATCTGATCTAACCGTCATCAAACAATCATCCATCATACACAGAGAGTGTAATGGTTCCTTAGAATAAAGAGGATGGGGTTTATACTGCAGTTGGCCTCACCTGTGAGATCAATAGTTGCTATCAGCAGCAGCAGTAGCATAGTCACCACCATCACCTCCAGCGCCTTTTAAGGTCAAGCCAGTTACCATACACCTGAACCCAGCCAACAGCACAGGATGTTTACAGATAAAAGGACCGACCCCTGTCCTAAAGAATTGAGCCCTTGGCTCTGCTAGCATGGCTGGTTGGAAAATTATTATGCTACTTGAATCCTCATAAAAATATATTCCTAAAATCCTAACACTAGACAGTTTTAGAATCAATAAATGTATATTAAAATTACAAGCTGTTCTACCCCAACCCTGAAAGAAACCATTCTAGAAACATGAAAAACAAAAAAGAGCAAGGCATGTTTCCTAAGGTAAGTCACTTCCTATTTGAATCATTTATTTATATAACAAGCCTTTCTGGACTGATTAAGGAAACTGCCAGTTACACTTACCAGCTGTTCCTCAGGTTGGGGAGAAGCATGGCGTTTTCCTCCTGCTTTACATGTGAGTGCCTGTGCTGGAGATTTTTGTCCTCGTATCCAAATTCTCTCCCTTTCTGTCAGTCTCTGGAAGGACTCGATGCTCAAAGAAAAACACTTCTCATCCTGAACCAGTGGCAAAGGGAAGAAAACCAACACGATCCTTTACATCCCCCTGGGCTGCTAGCTTCCTTGAGCCTTAGAAAATGATCAGGAATGAAAGTACGGTATTTTCTTCTTCATCCGTTTTTAAACTTTAGGTCTCCCAACGCCCAGCTCAAATCCTACCTGTCCTATGAAGGCATTCCTAACGACCTCAGCTGAGAATGGTTTTCCTTCCCTGAACCTCAATTGCAGCTTCCTGATTTTACCCCCCACCAGCACTGTCTTCACTGCCTGGTAATGTTGGTTAACTTCCCAAGTGGGCTGTAATGGCTACTGATTTTACAGGTTCATTCTAGTCTCCCTTCTTCTGAGGTTTGGAGTGATTGGTTCGGGGTGAGCCTGTAACCCCAGAGGGACCATTCTGCATTTCCTCTTCATAGTTAAGTATGCCTTGAGAGAGAGAAGCTCCTGTTTTCTCCTGGGTCATGAGCTAGAAGGGAATTGTGAGCCTGGAACTTCTCAAAGCCATCTTCCCTGGACTCCTGCAAGAAGCCAATGTTGGGAGACGGAGAATCCTAATGACATACTTTGAACCCCTAGATCCAGTTATGCCTGAAACTCAGCCTGAACCTCCCAATTATGGGAACAAATACATTCCCTTTTCTGCTTAAGTGAAAAGTCTGTCTTGTCTTCTTTTCTTTTTCTTTCTTTCTTTCTTTTTTCTTTCTTTCTTTTATAGAGACAGGGTCTTGCTGTCTCTAAAAGGAGGCAGGCTGGAGTGTGAAATGGCACCATCACAGCTCACTGCAGCCTCAAACTCCTAGGCTTAAGCAATCCTCCTGCCTCAGCCTCTTGAGTAGCTGGAACCATAGGTGCACATCACCATCCCTGGCTAGTTTTTGTATTTGTTGTAGAGACAGGGTTTTACTATGTTGCTTAAGCTGGTCTCAAACTCTTGGGCTTAAGCTATCCTCCCGCCTCAGCCTCCCAAAGTCCTGGGATTACAGACATGAACCACTGTGCCCAGCCAATTTCAGTTGGTTTTAATTTTTTTCCTTCCTTCCTCCCTCCCTCCCTCCCTCCCTCCTTCCTTCCTACCTTCCTTCCTTCCCTCCCTCCTTCCTTCCTTCCCTCCCTCCCTTCTTCCTTCCCTCCCTCCTTCATTCCTTCCTTCTTTCCTTCCTTCCTTTTCCTTCCTTCCTTCCCTCTTTTTCCTTCCTTCCCTCTCTCTTTTTCCTTCCTTCCTTCCTCTCCTCTTTTTCCTTCCTTTGTTCCTTCCTTCCTTCCTTTTTTAGAAACAAGGTCTTGCTGTGTTGGTCAGGCTGGTCTCAAACTCCTGACCTCAAGCCATCCTCCTGCCTTGGCCTCCCAAAGTGTTGGGATTACAGGTGTGAGCCACTGCATCTGGCCTCAGTTGGTTTTTATTATTCACGACCTAAGTGACTAAGAAGCTCACTCAGAACTCCTTAGGAAAAAAGAAGAGTACGATGCAGGTGCTTTAGGGTATAAAATCTCCAAGATCTCTCCATCCTGCTGCTTTGTTCTTGTCATCGTGTGGTTGAAGCTGGGTTGCCTCAGATTTGGGTTCCAGCTGATGGGAAGGGGAAAGAGCACGTGGAGGGGTATGCAGCTGGCGTCCACAGGTGCAGCTCTGGAGCCGGCACACCCACTTGCCCAAACATGCATGTGATAAGTAGCAGTGATACGGCCACCCCTAACTGCATGGGAAGCTGGTTCATGGCTCTGTCTGGGGAGCTGTGTGTGCAGCCACAGCTGTATTTCTGAAAGAAAGATGCGGATGCACAGCCAGCAGTCTAAAGCACACCAGGTGTTTGTGGATTTAAACAATTGCAATAGCACATCCAATTTCAACACATGCGAAGTCTGGAGTGAGGTGAAGAAAACACCACTTCACAGGTATAAAGTGCTGGTGAGCAGAGCCCCTCAGGGTCTACTGTGGGGGGCTTGGACTATGGCAATTTAGTGAACCTGGAACTACATTTTCTAGAGTTCCTTTCCTGTAGGGTTTCAAGTTAGGGCTGACCAGGAGAGAAATTTGCATGAGATATGGAAGGTGGAAGTGAAGCAGCAGCTCTCACGCTCCGCAGGTGGGTGCGGGGCACTGTGCATTGTTACTGTAGCTCCAGTGCGTTGCCACTGATCTGCTGACTCACCCGGTGGCGGCTCGGGGCAGCCAGCCCTGCAGTTCCTCAGCAGCTGCCCCATATCCCTCTTTAGCATCGCCAAATCCTCCCAGGTGCAAGTGTTCTTCAATGATGAGGGACAGCAACTCCTGCTTTGGGTTATCCCTTCACTGAGGGGGGCTGCAAGAGGCAGACATGGCTTATAGGTTGTGGCCTTTCTTCACATAAGGGTCTCTCAGCCTCAGCACTGTTGCTCTTTCAAGCCAGATAACTGTGGTCAGAGGCTGTCTTGTGCATTGCAGTGTTTAGCAGCATTCCTGGCCTCTTCTCACTAGATAGTCGTCACTCTCACCTAAGTTGTGGCCACCAAAACTGTCTCCAGGCATCAACTCCAAATGTCTTCTGGGGGACAAAGTCGTCCCGGGTTGAGAACCACAGCCTTCACATCCGGCTTTTTTTCTCAACTGCTGGCTTTGTGACCTAGGGTAACCTCAAGCCCATCTGCAGATACAGAGGTCTAGCAGCTCTGCTGAGACCTCTCCATCAGCTGCCACAGTCACAGAAAAGCCAATCCTTAGACTCGGTCCCTTATTCCATGTTACTCACAGCAGTTCTGCTCAGATGAATTATGACTTCTATGCGCTGAGCCACTTTGCCTTCATGGACCTTATTCTACTGTTAAAACATTTTTTAAAAAATTATAGTTTAGGCCAGCTGTGGTGGCTCACACCTGTAATCCCAGCACTTTGGGGGGCCGAGGTGGGTGGATCACCTGAGGTCAGGAGTTCAAGACCAGCCTGGCCAACATGGAGAAACTCCATCTCTACTAAAAATACAAAAATTAGCCAGGCTTGGTGTCAGGTGTCTGTAATCCCAGCTACTAGGGAGGCTGAGGCAGGATAATTGCTTGAACCTGGGAGGCCATTGCACTTCAGCCTGGGCAACAGAGCAAGACTCCTCCCTGCCCCCACAAAAATTACATTTTGTAATTATGTTGGTATAAAAAAATACTACCTAGGCTGGATTCATTATTATGTATTCACTATTATACTCATTTTCCTCCAATCTTAAAATAAATTATAATTAAAATTGGGCCCTGCAAGTATCCAGGGCTGTAGACATTGTGTGTCTGATGGAGAAGTCGGTCTTGGGTCTGCTCCTTTTGCCGAAACCCTAATGACACCTGCATTAACTTCACATGATTATCGTCTCTGTAATCAGAACAAAAACTCATGCAACAGTGATTTGTTGCTTTCAAGGCTAACCAGAGTTTGGGGAAATCACTCTGAGTACTCGGTGCTATATTCAATGGCAGCAGAGCCAAAGTGAGCGAAGACCCTTGGTGAGCTGGCAATGAGCTTACCAGCTGGGTCAATAGGAACGATAGTGGCTGTATAGGGAATTCAAGGGAAGAGATGAGTGTGAAATAAAACTCCCTTTAAAAAACACATCAAAGAAAACAAGTATGTCTCAAAATGAAATGGCAGACATGTGTTTTCGATGTATTTCCCATTAGATTCTTAATAATAGGATGTAAATCATCAACTGGAGTCAGACGGACCAATCCCGGGGCCCCGGTCCCCACCAAACGATGGCTGTTTCTGATTAGCTTGGAGCCTCCTATTCTCAGGAACAATGAGCGCTTCCTGGGGTCTGTGAGGGACAGGAAATTAAGCCATCAGGCTTCTTGCCTATTATTTCCACACTTTCCTCAAGTTGGAAATCCATCAACTTTGAAAGAAAGACAAATAAACTGTTCAAAGTGGAAGGAAGTTCGGGATGCAGTTTTATTCCACACTCCCCTTAACAAGCTTGTCCACAAGGGCTAGATATTCACTCCAGAATTAAAACACCTGCCTTACACCAGATGTTTTATAGATGGGTACCATAGTGGATGTTAGAAAGTTTGTATCAAAACACCAAATTTTTCCTGTAGCAAAAACTCTGCTTTTTTTATATGGAAATATCAGGAAACCATTTTGCAGTTGAACAACCAAACCAAAGGCAGTGGAGTTTAAGATAAATGTTATGAAAATTGCATAAAACATTATATCAAAACCCTTGGCAGTGTCGAAAAGCAAGATTTCTGAATCCAATGAGTAGCCGAAGAAGAAAATTCAATTCCATTTTTTCACTTTGCCTGCCAATTTTTATAGCACTTCATTTAAAATGGAATCTCTAAAGAATCAATTCAAATTAGCTTTACAGTTTTCCCCAAAGAATCCGCTTTAAAATAAATTGAATTGGAGCATGTGACATAATAAGTGAGAATAAAATTCATGTTAACTAGAGTCTGAAGGAAAAACTTTTCATAATAAGGAAACAAATAATCTCACTTGACTGAGCTAAAAATAGTCTTTAGATTGTCAGTTTCAAAATTGAACAAAAACAGGGGGAGTTGTTGTAATAATGACATGGCGCATTGCCCCCTAATGAAATGGCCTTGAATTTTGTAATAAATTACAAAAAGAGAATTCTTTGGGTGAAAAGGAGATTCCAGACATGAGTTCCTTTCATAAATACAGTGACAGTAATGAAAATACCTTCCATCTGGGACTGAGCAGCTTTGGCCATTCTCCCCAGAGGTCCCACCATCGAACCCAGGGCAGAGCTGGGATTAGAGTGGGGTTGAGCCATAACAGGCTGCTTCTCCTGTTCAGAAAATAGCTTTTGCTTCTGCATTTGTTTTATTTTGATGAGGTAGAGCTATCATAAGTTTTTACTTATGTTTTTTATAAAGTTTATTTAGATCTTAAGCTCCTTGAGGATAATGACTATATATATATATTTTTTTTTTTTTTGGAGAGGCAGGGTCTCACTCTGTCATCCAGGCTGGAGTGCAGTGGCATGATCACAGCTTAGTGCAACCTCAAACTCCTGGGCTCAAGCGATCCTCCAACTCCTGGGCTCAAGCGATCCTCCCGCCTCAGCCTCCGGAGTAGCTAGGACTACAGGCATGTGCCACCATGCCTGGCTAATTTTTTATTCTTTTAACTTTTAGTAGAGGAAGAGTCTTGTTTTGTTGCCCAAGCTGGTCTTGAACTCCTGGGCTCAAGTGATTCTCTCACCTCAGCCTCCCAAAGTGTTAGGATTACAGGTATGAGCCACAGCGCCTGGCCTGACGATATCTTATTTGACTTTGTAACTACCCAGTACCTATCATAGTGTCTGACACACAGTAGGAATTCCATTATCATTTGAGGGAGAAACACAAGACTGAATAAGCCAATGAATCAATTTATTGTTTAAATCAGATTAAACTGAGCTTTTAGATTATATCTTTTTTAAAAAAATCAGTTAATTTGGGAAATGCACAGTTTTTAATTAAGAAGGAGATAGTTGGGTTGTGGTGATTTTTTTTCCCCTCTATTGAAGTCAAGTGACAAATAACTTGGTTTATCTTTGAAGAAGTCTTGATGGAGATTACTTAAGGCTCTGCCTGAAAGTAACCGTAAGTTACTTATAAGTTACGTAAGATAACCAAAGTTTATCTTAAGGGGACTCAATATCTTGAAATGTAATTATGTTGTAAAGAACGGGCCATCTCCTCTTTTCACAATACCATTTGGGCTTCCTTGCATTTCCACTATGCTCAATCAATATAACTTAGTAAAGACCGTGTTTTATTTCCTACCACCTTTACCTATCTTTCCATCCTTCCACCTATCCATTCATTAGTCCATCCATCTATCTGATTATCCATCCATCAAGTAGTTAGAGACACAGTGATGAATAATAATAGCTAACATTTATTGAGTGCTCATTACATCCCAAGGACTGCAATAAACACTCTATGCTAATTAACTCATTTAATACTCCCAAAAGTTCTATTAAGGAAGTACAATTATAATTCAAATTTTGCATACAAGGCAACTGAGGCAAAGCAAGGTGAAATATCTTGCCCATATTTACACCACTAGGAAGCGGGGCAGTCGAGATTTGAACCCAGAGACTCTGGCTCCAGAACCACCTGTCTGCTGTGTTAATTAGACAGATATGGTCACCGAACATAGACTTTGCGTTCTAGTGGGAGAAATAGAATTTAAACAACTAATTATGTAATTTTAATAATAACAATTGCTTTGAAGGAAAAGTACAGCATGTTATAAGAGTCTATGAAAGATGGCTGGGTGCAGTGGCTCATACCTGTCATCCCAGCAATTTGGGAGGCCGAGGTGGGTGTATCGCTTGAGCCCAGGAGTTAGAGACCAGCCTGGGCAACATGGCAAAACCCCATCTCTACTAAAATCACAAAAATGAGCCGGGCATGGTGTTGTGCACCCGTAATCCCAGCTACTCTGGAGGCTGAGGCATGAGAATCGCTTGAACCCGGGAGGCAGGGGTTGCAGTGAACCGAGATCGCATCACTGCACTCCAGCCTGGACGACACAGCAAAACCCTGTCTCCAAAACAAACAAACAAACAAACAAACAAAAAACAAAAAGTAAGAAACACTGAGCCTAGTCTGAGGAAAGTGGGAAGACTTCCCTGCTGAGGAGGTTGACCCTTGGGGCTGAGATGGGCTGAGATGTGGCTGGTGGATGAGTAGTGAAGTATAAGCAGGAAAGAGTGTTCCAAGTAGAACGGCACATGCTGGAGAAAGAGGTATCTGTGTTGAGGAACAAAAAGTGGCCAAGTGGCCGTTAATGTCTACTGATGTCAGTGTGACCAAAACTCAGCTCAAACAAGGGCCTATTCTGGAGCTCTCGACCCCACTGACCTTCTGTACTCAGTTATGGAAGTCAGAATTCCAGGAGAGAACTGGTCATTTCCCCCCTCACCAGTGCCCACCCCACCTCACCTGTCACCAACTTTTGTCTCCTGGTGCCCCCCATATCAAATCAGTTGCCCCTCATAGATCTATCAAATCCACTCATTTCTTTCCGATCCTGTCCCACCTCCTGAATCCAAGCCACTTTCACTTCCTGCTTGGATGTCTGCAGCATTTCCCTGTATCTGATGCTCTGCGAAACGTCCCCCAGATCCCCACATGCCTGCCCTCCGCCCTTCAGCCAGACTGATATTTCCAACTCTGCCCTCACTTAGAAACCTTCAGTGGTCTTCCATTGCTCTCGGAAAAAGACGAAACTCCTGACCATGGTCTCTGAGGCTGAGCATGGCCTGTTCCCCACCTAGAAAGTCAGCTCTGTCCTGGGCCCCAGGCTCTGCCTCACAGAATCTCAGCTGCCGTGGCCTTCTTGCTTTGGTCTCTCTAGTGTGATTGGCCCCTCCCGCTGTAGGGCTGTGGCGCCTGCTCTCACCTCTTCCTGGAAGACACTTTTTCTCCTCTTTGTTTAATTTGCTCTTACTCATCCTCTAGATCCCCGCTGAACAGGGAAGCCTGCCTATGTACCTGCTCGGTTATCTGAGCTGTCCCCATTACAATCTCTGTCCAGCTACCTCTCTGTTATGGGTGAAATTAGGTTTCCCCCAAATTCCTATGTTGAAGTCCTAATCCCCGGAACCTCAGAATGTGACTATATTTGGAGATAGGGCCTTTAAAGAGACAATGTGAAATGAGTCAGCTAGGGTGAGCCCTAATCCAATGAGTAGTGTCTTTATAAGAGGAAATGTAGACTCAAAAAGAACCAACCCAAATGTCCATCAATGATAGACTGGATGAAGAAAATGTGGCACATATACACCATGGAATACTATGCAGCCATAAAAAAGGATGAGTTCATGTCCTTTGTAGGGACATGGATGAAGCTGGAAACCATCATTCTCAGCAAACTATCGCAAGGACAAAAAACCAAACACCACATGTTCTCACTCATAGGTGGGAATTGAACAATGAGAACACTTGGACACAGGAAGGGGAACATCACACACCGGGGCCTGTCGTGGGGTGGGGGGAGGGGGGAGGGATAGCATTAGGAGATATACCTAATGTAAATGACGAGTTAATGGGTGCAGCACACCAACGTGGCGCATGTATACATATGTAACAAACCTGCACGTTGTGCACATGTACCCTAGAACTTGAAGTATAATTTAAAAAAAAATTTTTTTTAAAAACCCTTTTTCTGTCAAAAAAAAGGGACCCTATGGATGGGTATGCAGAGAGAAAAGGCCACGTGAGGGCGCCATAAGAAGGCAGCCATCTGCCAGCTAAGGAGAGAGGCCTCAGGAGACACCAGCCCTGCCTGCGCCATGATCTTAGTCTTCTTGGCTCCAGAACTGTGAGAAAATAAGTCTTCGTGTCTAAGCCACCCAGCCTGTGGTATTTTGTTATGGCTGCCCGAGGGGACTGACATACTCTCTTTCACGGAACCGGTCACAGTTGTAATCTGTTTTATTATCATATCATCATCTTGACAAGAATGCAAGCTCTGTGAGGACAGAAACTGGGTCTGGTTTTGCTTGGCCAGCTGTCCCCAGTGCCTGGCATGGGGCCTGGCATGTAGTGGGTGCTCGATAAATAATTACTTCCTCACTGAATGAATGAATGAATGGACAAATAAAAATGTGTGAGTGGGCCAGGTGCGGTGGCTCATGCCTGTAATCTCAGCACTTTGGGGAGGCCAAGATGGGCGGATCACCTGAGGCCAGGATTTCGAGATTAGCCTGGCCAACATGGTGAAACTCCATCTCTATAAAAAATACGAAAATTAGCTGGGCATGGTGGCACGTGCCTGTAGTCCCAGCTACTCGGAAGGTTTAGGCACAAGAATCACTTGAACTGGGGAGGCAGAGGTTGCCAAGAGCCGAGATTGTCACTCCAGCCTGGGTGACAGAGCAAGACTCTGTCTCAGAAAACAAAACAAAACAAAAACAAAAACCATATGAGTGAATGGTCACTGAATGAATGAATGGACAAGTAAAAACATGAGTGAATTGATGAACACACACATGAGAGAAGCGATCATTACCGATATTAGTGGGTTTTACCTCCGGGAAGATTCACTTTAGGCCTGGCTTGCATCTAGAAGCAAGGGCACCTTGTATTGACTAATATGGGTATTAGTATGCATTTATGTAATTTCACCAGATACAGCCAATTCCTGGAATTTCAAGTTTTTAGCCCCTGAGAGAAATACTATTTAATGAAATTTAATCTCATGGATTTTATTTTTAAAGAGGCAAATCTCTCTCTGTAGGGTTAAAAAAGATCATTCTAACAAATTTAAGTCCAACATCTTCGCAACGGGAAGAAAATACAAAAGTGAGAGAAACGTCCTCATTTGTATCTAGCCGGGTCGATTTATGGCACGCTTGACTTTGGCTTGGAAAATGTCCTTGCTGGTTTCCGTGGGGGCAATGACACCGTGAGAACACTGCGGAATCACTAGGCGGGAGGGAGGGAGGGTGGAACACATATACGAGAATTTCTATCGAAGTCTTTGGAGGAACCTTCTTTTCTGAGAAACTCATTATTCACTTAATTATTCATTCTGTTTATTTACTGTATAGTTATTACACATAAATATGGTGCAAATCCCCAGAATCCTCAAACACCAGATGCCAGTTTCCCTCCACAGTCCCAAAAGACATAGCCAAGCCATCACTGTGAGAATTAAAACAACAACAACTAAAACCCAATTAAAATTGTGCCAGCATGTTCATTTCCAAAAGAAAAACCCTGCAAATGAATAAGCTTTAGTCACTCTCCCGACTGCTGCTGCAAAGAAACAAACAAACAAACCTTAACACGAAAACTGAAATATCATTAATATTTACATCACAGCTACATTGAACTTAGTATCTGCATGGAAAGGGCATTGGTGAAATCAATTTTATATCATTTCTTCCATTTTCTAAATCAGATGATTGGGAAAAAAATGCTGTTTTGCTTTTCAAACTTTCAGTGTGTCTGGCAAAGCCCAATGGTGGTGGAGAAGAAGCCAGGTAGTGCTACGTTACTGATGGGGTCTTGGGATTCTCGGGTTACACAACCCCTCCTCTTATTGATCTGAGATGGGATGAAATGGGTGCATCTTGCTCACCTGAGTGCATGAGCGGGCATCCTGAGGAGGTGAGCCTGCAACCTGAGCTCTTTGGACAAAGTCTAATGACGTATAAGCCAAATGCTGCCAGTCAAGGAGGCCTCCTGTGAGAAATGGTGGGAGGTGGCAAAAACAGAGGGCAGTGCAGGGCTGATGGCTGGGATGGAGGATGCATGTAGGTGTGGAGGGAGGAGGGGAGGGGTGTGTGTCGGTGTCATTGTTTACAAGTCACCAGTCCTCTGGTGACATTGGCTTCGTGAAGAACAAAGTGGTCTCTTAGATGAGTGTGTGATGGTGGCTGTCCCTAATCAAGAGTCATGCTGTACCTGGGAGATGTGTCTAGACTGTTCCACCCACACCAACATGTCTGCCTAGGGGGCCACTGATCAGACACACAGGGACCTTTGAGACACAGGCCACTGGTTCTGCTACTGGAAACACCTGAAGCTCCTCTAGATCTGTGGTGCCTCCCCAAACCTAGAGCTCAGACCTGAAAGGCCAGGGGTCTCCAGCCTCAGTGTTGAGGGTCTGGGGATGGACTCTGGGCCGGACTGTCCAAATTCAAAGCACCAGGTCTCCCATTTACCATTAACAGTCCTCATCCTGCCTCCTGAGAATCAAGACTGTGTCTTGATTCTTACAGTTGCCACAAGAATTAAATTCTATGGCCGGGTGCAGTGGTTCAGGCCTGTAATCCCAGCACTTCGGAAGGCTGAGGCGGGCTGATGACTTAAGGTCAGGAGTTCAAGACCAGGCTGGGCAACATGGCGAAACCCAGTCTAAAAATACAAAAGTTAGCCGGGCGTGGTAGCATGCATCTGTGCTCCCAGCTACTCGGGAGGCTGAGGCACAAGGATCACTTGAAGAAAAGGTTGCAGTGAGCTGAGATCGTGCCATTGCACTCCAGCCTGGGTGACAGAATGAGACTCTCGCTCTCTCTCAAAAAAAAAAAAAAAAAAAGGAATTACATTCTTCACATTACTTTGCACTTCATGCAAAGTGCTGAGAACAGTGTTGACCAATGGCAGGCATACAATAAACCAGCAGTCCCTAACTTTTTGGCACCAGGGATCAGTTTGATGGAAGAAAATTTTTCCACAGATGAGATGGGGGGATGGTTTTGGGATGAAACTGTTCCACCTCAGATCATCAGGCAATAGATTCTCTTAAGGAGTACACAACCTAGATCCCTTTGCACATGCAGTTCACAATAGGGTTCATACTCCTATGAGAATCTAACACTGCTGCTGATCTGACAGGAGAAGGAGCTCAGGTGGTGATGTCTGCTCATTCACTGCTCACCTCCTGCTGTGTGGCCTGATTCCTAACAGGCCATGGATTTGTACCAGCCCCAGGGGTTGGGGACCCCTACAATAAACATTGGTTTCTTTTTTTTAGACAGAGTCTCACTCTGTCACCCAGGCTGGAGTGCAGCAGTGCAATCTTGGCTCACTGCCACCTCCGCCTCCCAGGTTCAAGCGATTCTCCTACCTCAGCCTCCCGAGTAGCTGGGATTACAGGCACCCAGCACCACGCCTGGCTAATTTTTTGTATTTTTAGTAGAGATGGGGTTTCACCATGTTGGTCAGGCTGGTCCGAAACTCCTAACCTCAGGTGATCCACCCGCGTTGGCCACCCAAAGTGCTGGGATTACAGGCGTGAGCCACCATGCCCGGCCTAAACATTGGTTTTTAATAAGTTAATAAGTTCAGTTAATAAGTTAATAAGTTCAGTGCATGTGGCAATTTAGCACGGCACGAGGAAACCCTGTTTTTCCTGCTTTTTATCCAAAAGAGTTGACATGATTATTTGTGTTGTTCTTCAGCATAAGAATGTTGCTATTCCTGGCATCTCTGATTGAAATAAATTCAGCACCTCCTGTCCCACAATGCCTCATGGCCATTTTGGTTACCTGTTGCAAATATTCTCTATTCATGTAGCCTAATTTGGGACCTTTTTACTAAGAAGGCAAAAACATTTCCAATCTATCTGGCACCCATGTTATAAACTATCAGACCCACCAAAACACAAAAGGTCTTCATTAATAATACACGGAATATGAACTCTGTAGAATATTTCACTATTGCTTTCTTATTAACATACCATTATTAATCTGTTGCTGCTTTAAGAAATTCATATGTATGAAAGCCTTGTATATTAAGTTATTGCTCAAACTAGATATATTAAACTGACACCCATGAAACCATGAAAGAAATGTGGTAGAACTGAAAACATCAATTTTAAATTAAAATAAAATTATTCTCCCTGTCTTATGCTTTGATTTTCAAAGCAGCTGCTCTTTCAGATTAGCACCGACTTTACTTCTGTATCAGAGGTCAAAGGTAAATATGCATGCACCCCAGCCCTGTCTCTCCTGACAGACATGTGAAGTAGAGCTGCTCCAATGTCTTTTTTTTTGGGTGGGGCAGGGAGTGGAAAGGAGATGAGGAAGCAGGGGCTGACGGAGTGGAAGGTGAAGTGTATGGCTCTGTGAGTTCTTAGTTACAGCGCTGTCCAAGTCAGCCACAGGGACTGTAAGACTCTGGAAGGCATCTTCATAAAAATGCAGAACTAGAAGATTCTGCAGGGGTCAGCTAGTTAACCATTTCCCAAGATACGATCCATGGAACATCAGTTCTTTATGATGGCACTCTCTACATACACACACATGCACAGGCACCCACATCCAACGTGGTTCCATGGTTCATCAAATAAGTCTGAAACTCTGCACATTCTACTTATTTCTTGGAGTGCCATAATGGACTTCAGCATTTCAAAAGTTCTGTGAACCCCTGTATTAAAAAAATACCCATTTATCATCTTTGACCAAGTATTTCCCCAGCTTCCCTGGCCATGACACTTTCTGCTCATATAATGCTAATTCATGTATAATGGTGCAATGGAACAAATGTTTGTGTCTCCCGAAAATTGGTATGTTGAAATTCTAACCCCCAGTGTGATGGTATTAGGAAGTACGGCCTTCAGGAGGTAATTAAGTCATGAAGGTGGAGTCCTCATGAATGAGAGAAGGGCCCTTATGAAAGAGACCCCAGAGAGATCTCTCACCCCTTCTACCATGTGAGGACACAGTAGTAACCAGGAAGCAGGTCCTCCCCAGACACCTAATCTGCTAGTGTCTTAACTTTGGACTCTCCAGCCTCCAGAATTGTAAGAAATAAATATTTATTGTGTAAGCCACACAGTCGATGGTATTTTTGGTATAGCAACCCGAATGGACTAAGACAAATGAGCAGTGAGCAATCTTATCCAAGTCAACCACTTCACTGAAATTTATGAAGAAGAGGAAATTGAAGCCCAAGAAGTGGTTGACTTGCCAAAGAGTACAAGAGATAGGAATTGAGTGGAGCACAGAATTCTGGCTTTCTGATTCTTAGCTCTATACTGCACCATCTTGCAGAGAAATTTCCCTTTAATTCATCAACATACCAAGATCTGTCATTTATGAGGCACTGTGCCAAGGATTAAGGACACTGGTCCCCAGGGAAGCTGGGGAAATACTTGGTCAAAGATGATAAAATACAAAAAAGACACATAGCCTTAGCCTTTGGGAAGTTCATGATCAAGAGTCAGAGACAGATACGGAAATATGCCAATCACACTACAACATGGGGAGGACTCTGAAGAGGCTTCTGTGAGATTCCAGAAGAAAGTATGACCACCCTCTAAAGGAGCTAGGAGAGTTGTCCTACAGTGGGTGATGTAGGCATGGGGCCTTCAAGGATGCTATAGTTTGTTTGTCTCCTCCAAAACTCATGTTGAAATTTAATTGCCATTGTAACAGTATGAAGATGTGGGACCTTTAAGAAGTGATTAGGCCATGAGGGCTCCACCCTCGTGGATAGATTAATGCTGATATTTAGGGAGTGGGTTCATCATCAAAAAGGTACGTTTAACCCCCTTTTCTCGCTCTCTCATCCTCTTGTTCTCTGCCATGAAATGACGTGGGAAGAAGGCCCTCACCAGATGCTGCCCCTTGATCTTGATCTTGGACTTCTCAGCCTCCAGAACTGTAAGAAATAAATTTCTGTTCTTTATAAATTACCCAGTCTCAGGTATTTTGTTACAGCAGCACAAAGACAAAGGATGATCAGGCATTTTCCAGGCAGTTTGCTGCAACGTGTTTATCTCTCCCTCAATCCCTTTCTAAGGAGTTCCCACAATAGCTGTCTTATATGGGGTACTGTTTGCACACATCACCATGCTAGTACCACAGGACTCTGTCAGCTGATTGGACCAGGATGGGCTGCTGACCCCAGAGCAGTCAATCTAAAATCTGACTAGCATTGCGCGGGAGCACCTAGGGAGTGCTGTCTAGGCCAACAGAACTGGCTGCAGTGATGAGAATGTTCTATTCTGTGCTCTTCAGTTTGGCAGCCACTAACCACATGCAGCTATTGGACATTTGAAATATGGCTTGGGATATGGCTGTTCAGCAGTGAACTAAATTTTAAGTTTTATTTAATTGTGTTAAAAATTAAAATTAAATAATGACATGCACTGTTGGCTACCGCATTGGACAGCACAGCCTCAGACTGATCAACAGATTTACTTGGCGATTCTAATTTAAAATACAAGTTGGCTTAGATTTACGATTTTAAGTTGAAATCCAAGCTTACAAATAGTGTTGGAACATTCAAGAGAACTAAGACAATAGATTACAGAGTTTAATTTACTATTCTTAAAAACTTGTTGAAATACATGGGAAGATGTCTTTGTTCATTGAAGAACCAAAGGTCTTAAAAGAGAATTGATTGAAAGATTTGAAAGATTCAGAATAAGTCCTCTGGCCACAGTGAAATTAGCTAGAAATCACCAAAGAAAACTAGAATACCCACAATTTTTGAAAATTTAACATTTCATTTCTGAACAGCGCATGTGTCAAAGAAGCAATCACAACAGAAATTAGAAAATATGTTTTATGATAATTATAAAGAAGATAAAATGTATAAAAACTTTTGAGATGCAGCTAAAGCAGTACTCACTGGAAATTTATAACCTTAAATATATATATTAGAAAACAAATACTGGAAGTCAATGATCTTAATTTCTCAAGCAGCTAAAAAACAAAGAGCAAAAAAGGAGGGAAATAATAAAGAGCAGAAATAATGAAACAGAAAACAAACAGAAAAGCAACAAGACCAAAAGTTGGCGTTTTGAAAAGGTTAATAAAATTGATAAATTCCTAAAAAGATCAATCAACTAAAGTGTGATGGTTAATATTAAGTGTCAACTTGATTGGATTGAAGGATGCAAAGTATTGTTCCTGGGTGTGTCTGTGAGGGTGTTGCCAAAGGAGATTAACATTTGAGTCAGTGGACTGGGAGAGGCAGACCCACCCTCAACGTGGTGGGCACCATCCAATCAACTGCCAGTGCGGCTGGAATAAAGCAGGCAGAAGAAGGTGGGGGAAGCCGACTTGCTGAGTCTTCTTGGCCTCCATCTTTCTTCCGTGCTGGATGCTTCCTGCCCTCCTTGGAACATCAGACTCCAAGTTCTTCAGCTTTTTCACCAGTGGCTCTCGGGCCTTTGGCCACAAACTGAAGGCTGCACTGTAAATTTCCCTACTTTTGAGGTTTTGGTACTTGGACTGAGCCACGACCAGCTTCCTTGCTCCTCAATTTGCAGACGGCCTATCGTGGGACTTCACCTTGTGATCATGTGGATCAATTCTCCTTAATAAACTCCCTTTCGTATATACATATATCCTATTAGTCCTGTCCCTATAGAGAACCCTGACTAATTCAGAAAGATAACTGAATATATATTTTATACATGCAGGTAAAATGTATGGAAATGTAACAGAATTATGAAAGCCACCTTAGAGTGATTCATACAACTTTCCAGATTTATAAATAGAAGAATAGGATCTGTCTATATAGTAAAAGCTTAAAGGAAGAATTAGGCTTGTTAACCATTACAGCTTTAATGTAGAAAACATGTACTTTGTAAAATCAAATTAGTCCCTGAGTAATCTCACAATGACCATGCTGGTTTTCCGAGGCTGTGACTCAGTGCCAAGCTGAGGCCAAGCCACCAGGACTGCAGAGAGAACAGGGGGAGGGCTCCTCCCAGTATGCGGGTGTGCGCCACTCATTAGCAGCCCTTTCGAGACCTGCTGCAGGGTGAATCTAGGAACTACACCTTATGGGTGCATGGCACCTTACAGTTTTCTCAGCACTGTGAGAAATTACCAAGTTCAAAAGAAGTAGAAAGGCCTTTGTTTTCAATAGGTCCAAAGCTAAGGGATTTCTTTCCTTGAAACGTATATTGAAAGCAATATAATAGAAAGCTGGAGACTTTCTTTTTTTGAATGTTTTCAAAATGCAATTCAAACATACTTGAAACTATATGAGGTCTCTTCTTGGTCAGAAACCAATCCGAGTCATAGAAGAGGCTGTGAACACACTTCCCTACGGCAAAGGCCTGACCCTACTAGGGAGGCCATCGTTGAGGCTGCAGTCAGAGGGTCCCAAAAAGGTGCCGTAGGTGGCCGGGCGCGGTGGCGCACGCCTGTAATCCCAGCACTTTGGGAGGCCGAGGAGGGCGGATCGCCTGAGCTCAGGAGTTCAGGACCAGCCTGGGCAACATGATGAAACCCCATCTCTGCTAAAAATACAGAATTAGCTGGGCGCGGTGGCGCACGCCTGTAATCCCAGCACTTTCGGAGGCCGAGGAGGGCGGATCGCCTGAGCTCAGGAGTTCAGGACCAGCCTGGGCAACACGATGAAACCCCATCTCCGCTAAAAATACAGAATTAGCTGGGCGTGGTGGAGCATGCCTGTAATCCCAGCTACTCAGGAGGCTGAGGCAGGAGAATCGCTTGAACCCAGGAGGCAGAGGTTGCGGTGAGCCGAGATCGCGCCACTGCGCTCCAGCCTGGGCAGGAGAAGCAAAACTCCATGTCCCAGACAAAAAAAAAAAAAAAGTGCCGCAAGTGGTGCTCTACACGGGTTTTTTGCTAAGTATTCCATAACATTATTCCGAAAAGTTATGTACTCCTTTTTCCATATTTTTAATTGATACCTTAAACTTTTATTATAAATTTAAATAGTGGAAAGGTATAGAAGATCCACCATAAAGTAAGATCTGTTTTTTTTGTTTTTGTTTTTTTTTGAGACGGAGTTTCGCTTTTGTTGCCCAGGCTGGAGTGCAGTGGCATGATCTCGGCTCATCGCAACCTCTGCCTCCCGGGTTCAAGTGATTCTCCTGCCTCAGCCTCCCGAGTAGCTGGGACTACAGGCATGCACCACCACACCTAGCTGATTTTTTGTATTTTTAGTAGAGACGGGGGTTTCTCCATGTTGGTCAGGCTGGTCTTGAACTCCTGACCTCAGATGATCCGTCCGCCTCGGCCTCCCGAAGTGCTGGGATTACAGGCGTGAGCCACTGCGCCCGGCCAGATCTGAATTTTTTTAAAAATAAACTTTTTACTTTAGAACAGTTTTAGGTTTATAGAAAAATTAAGATAGTATAGAAATTAATACATATCACGCACTCAGTTTTCCGTATTATGAACATTGTATGTGTATGATACCTTTGCTGCAATTAATGAGCTAATGCTGGTACATTATTAATTAAAGTTCATACCTTATTCAGATTTCCTAGGTTTCCCACAGTGTCCTTTTCCTGTTCTAGGATCCCATCTAGGCTATTGCATTACATTTAGTCCCCATGGCTCCAGAGGTTCCTCTTGGAGTTTCTTAGGCTTTCTTTGGTTTTGATGGGCTGGATAGTTTTGAGGAGGATTGGTCAGGTATTTTGTAGAAGATCCATTCACTTCTTAAGAACATATCTCGGTTGCTTCTAGGTTTTGGTGATGATGAAGAAAGCTTCTATAAACATTCATATGCAAGTTTTTGTGTGGATGGAATTTTCAAACCAGTTGGGTAAATACCTAGAAGCTTGATTGAGGGGTCATGTGGTAAGACTATGTTTAGCTTTGTAAGAAACTGCCAAACTGTCTTCCAAAGCGGCTGTACCATTTTACATTGCCCCTAGAAACAAATGAGAGTAGAAATTATCCAACTGAAACAGGGAGAGAAAGGAGGAAGGGGAGGAAGAGCATGAAGATGTGGTGGAGAAGAATAGACAATGAGAGATGTGTCAGATAATATTATTGATATAAAGTATGTACAACTGGAGTTTGAGAAGGCCATTCTCTTCAAGATTGTGGTAAATGGAGTATTTGAAGAAATCATGGCCCAGAGATTTCTATGTTTGATGAAAGACATAAAGTGTTCTGGAATTTTGGTTTCAATTTGTAGTAAGGGGGAAAAATCTGCTCATAGAAGTTTGAATGTCAGCCAAGGAGCAGGTCAGATCGAATGAACCTTAGATGGTCCAATATATGCAATTCTAGGAATTAAGGAAGGAAAGAAGAAAGGGAACAAGGAAGGAAAAAAAGAAAGAAATGAACAAATCCTATCCCATGGGCCGTCCAAGACAAGTAGCAATAGTGAAAGCTTGGTAAGGAAATGGACTCAAGAACTCTCTCTGACACATTTGACCTTAGAAAAGTTATTTAAAATTAAACTTGGCTTCCTTATTTAAAATTAAAAAGATGTTCAAACCTCACTTCTACCTTAAAATGACTGTTGCTATGACAATACACACAATATATTTCCAGCCCCTTGGTCAAAATTTTTTTCTATAAATTCAATATTATTGGAATTGCTCTTTCTGAAGTCACATACTTTAGCCAACTTAGCTGTTTTGCGCTCTGCTAAAATTTTTTTCAAGGATCAGTAAAGCATAAAATAGGGAGTATATTTGGATTTCAGTTTATGTTTTCACATAAATTAATCTGCATTTTCTCTGAAGTTAGAATAAATTCTTTTTTATTCACATTTCTGAGTATTTCGTCAACTTAATAATCTAAGAAACATTTTGATTGGACACTCTATATTTTATTATGTTAAATTGTTTTAAGCTACTTTTCAATCCCTGTGGCCAATCCAATTTAAGCCTGTTTTATAAGAAAGGTTACTTTGTGAGCTGCTATTCCTAATGCCATTGAATTTCAATTTGTGTGTGTATATGAATTTTTTAACTGCCTAGTTCTGCAGTTCCAAACAAATTTCTCAAAAGTTATAAGCTACAGAAAGGAAAGTAGCCAACAGTTCATTTTTATTAATCCTAAATTACAATTCTGTAAGAGAGGTGTGAATACCAAGTAGGCTGATTGGTGAGATACAGTTTAGAATTTATATACATAAGTGAGCGTTGCCCAGTGGGAATGCACACCTATTTCAAAGATGCTTCAATTGTTCGCAGCATTTCTGAAACTCCTCTTTGAATACTGCCTTTAGAGATTGCAGCACATTTTAATCCTTGTCTTTTGAAAGTGGGTTTAATAACCCAAAGTAATTTTGGTTAAGTTTGGTGATGTGGAAGATGGAAAATAATTTTTTTTCTTTTTTTTTTTTTTTGAGACAGAGTCTCACTCTGTTGCCCAGGTTGGAGTGCAGTGGCACGATCTTGGCTCACTGCAACCTCTGCCTCCCGGGTTTAAGTGATTCTCCTGCCTCAGCCTCCAGAGTAGCTGGGATTACAGACATGCGCCAACACGCCGGACTAATTTTTATATTTTTGGTAGAGATGAGATTTCACCATGTTGGCCAGGTTGGTCTCGAACTCCTGACCTCAGGTGATCCACCCGCCTCGGCCTCCCAAAGTGCTGGGATTACAGGCGTGAGCCACCAAGCCCAGCTTGGAAATTAATTTTTCATACCTACTATGTGCTAAAGGCTTGTCTTGGATTGTCCAGTGAATCTGGGTAAATTCATTTTAGACTGAAAATGAAGTGTAACCATAGAATATGAATCAGTGTCATAGATGATTTTCCCACTGCAGGTAATAATGCAGCATCGTAGGAAAGGCATATGTTTTCGGTCAGGCTGATAGGTTTGAATCCCTACCCTGACACTCTTCTCCCGTCACCATCACTTAGCCTGAATCAAGTTACTTAGATTTTCCGGGACTGTTTCCTTATTTATAAAAGAGGATGACTAATATCTATCTCAATAATTTAAAAAATAAAACAAATATACAAAATACCTGGCATAATTAGTCCCCCTTCCCAGGGTGACAAAGTGAAGGGAAAAATACCCATTATGATGAAGATGATCCCGGATGTTTTTCAAAGTGAGTTTTATTATTTTATGGTTGCATTTTCCTATTATCTTGTCAGATATTAATTCCAAGAGTATTTGTTACTCCTCTATTTTGGGCAAAGATGTCTTGTTTTTGGTGTATTTAGGAGAAGGGACTGTGTGTGTGAGTTTACCTGGTTGTGGGGTGGTATGGCAGAGGTAGTTGTGAACAATGGGACTGAAAATATAAATTGATACCCGATTATGGAGGGCTTTGAATGGCATATTACAGGGTTCGACATTATCCAATAGAAAAGATGGCCACCGAAAGCTTTTGAGCAGAGACAAAGTAATTTTGTCTGTGCTTTGGGAAGATAACAGACATACTAGATTGAAATTTGTTGACAGCAGGGTTTACTTCTTACTTGCACATCTTTTACTCATCTTTATATAAATGAGTAGAAGAAAAAATGACTAGGTGGAAGGATGGAAAGGGGAATAAGGAAAAGGCAGGATGATCAGGAGGGGATGGAAGACAATGCTGTGAAGGGTTTACAGAGCCAGGCTCAAAAGGATTCAGCAAGTGTCTGGATGACGGAGCTAAAGAAGATGGGGGAGACTTGAAAAGAACTCTGCGGCAGCTGGCTTAGATGACAGCTCTGGGCGGGGGGTGGGGCGGCGGCTAGGAAAAAGAAACACAGAATGGGAAAATCATTTTGAAAATGAGGGGAACGATGAGTCTGATTTTAATTCAATGAGCTTGCATGGCAGTCCGATAGGCAAATGAAAACACAGGTCTGGAGTTGAGCCGAGGTCAAAATAAAGATTTGTTTGTAGAGTCATATCCATAAAGATAATAGCTGAAATCTTGGTGGTGATGAAATCATCCTTGGAGAATGTGTGGATCAAGAAGATTGGCCAAATACAGGGCCTCGGAAAATGCTAATACTTACGGGATGGCTGTAGGAGAGGAAGCAGGAAAAGACAGAGGGGAAAAAATGGGCACAGAAATACCAGGAGAGACCCATGTCATGGAAACTAAAAGGGAAGGATTTCAAAGGTGCAGCTGTCAGGGCAGACCCAGGAGAAAGGACAAGTATGATGAGGTTAGAGAAGGGCTGGTGCGTTTGGCCATTCATTAGCAGCTCACTGGTGACCCCTTTGAGAGCAGCTGCCATGGGGAAGATGGAGCTGGGTTACAGGGAGAGGGCAAGTCGGGGCAGGGGAATCGTAGAGAGAAGTGGGCAATAGCTTCTGCTTCTACCTTTAACTGCTTCTTCTTAGTCTCGTTAGAAGACTTTTCTCTGCTGTCCTAGTAAATGTTAACGTTGCCCAAGACTCTGTCCTTGGCTCGATGCTTACAACAGTTAGGGTTCTCTTGGTTTCAAATAACAGAAAGCAACTCCAGCTGGCTTGAGCAGAAAGATTTATTGGGAGGATACAGGGTTACCTCACAGGACCCAGAGGGTTATGACTGGGCCTTGGACACAAGCTTTAACCAGCAGCCAAACATCATGGGGCTTCTTGTCTCCTTTCCTGTTCTCCTCTCGGTGTCTTTTTCTTTTTTCTCCGCTCTCAATGCCAACTAGCTGCCTTGGGTTTCCAGGCCATGTGGTAGAAAACATGTGTGCCACTCACTCCTGAGTCAGACCCACTTACTCAGCCCCTCAGAGGGGCACTGCTCTCTCTCACTTATGCCCACTCTTGGTGTTTCCCAAGAGAAGAGATTGAGTTGGTCAACAGACGTCCACCCTTGGGCCACTCAACTGAAATCAGATCAACAAAGTCATTCTGCACAGACAGTAGCATGTGGACTGGGGACAAAGACAGGGACTAGGACCTGGAAGTGAGAAGCTGGGGAAAAAGCTTATGGGATGAGGATTTGGATTGGGCCCAGGGCAAGTGAAAAGAAGGGGAAGGTGACATGAGTGGCTTCTCATTCCCTCTTTCTGTATTCACCCTGAGAGCCTGGATCCTCCTAAGTAGCAAATCCGAGGAGCACTCTCCCTCCTAGACTACAGTTTGCAGCTAGATAGACATACAGTTTTCTTCTAAGAAAGAAAATGGGATGTCTGCTCAGATCTTACAAACTTCCCCTCTCTGCGACCAGCCATGGGTATACCTGGGCCAGTGCCCAGTTGGCCATGTCCATACCCCCTGGGTGAACCAGAGTTGATTGCTCCAAGGGGCCAGAGCCTCTATGTGGGGTCTCTAGACTTGGAACTGGATGAATCATGAGCCAATTCCTTTTCAGGATACTGTGAGGCTGTCCGTGACTACGGGAGAGAGGCAGAGTCTGAAGGTGCTGGTATGGTTGGTTCTAGTTATTCTGGAAACCCACTGCACCACTGCTGTCTCTATGTTAGTTCTATCAGATAGCCCAGTGTTTTCCAGTACATTCTCTTGCAGTCTAAGCTAGTTTGGGTGGTTTTCCGTCACTGAGACAAAAAAGAGCCTTGACTAGTCCAGGGTCAAGGGAGTTGCCCAACAGCTATCCCCAACTTGGCCTCTTGCCTGCCGCATCAACTGTAGGAAATGACCCCTCCCTTTCCCTTGTCATGTTTCCTGGGAGAAATGAGGTCCGAATAGTGACTGCAATAGGAGGTTATGGCTTTCTGGAAATTCTGAATAATGCCACTTTGTTCATGTATTACTCCAATTTTGATATTTTAAAAAATCTGAAGTATGCATCATTTATGTTCTGAGATCAGGAATCAACAACTCAATTATTCAACTTATGATGAAAATACTTGCTGAACAAAACTCTACCCAAAATCAGAAAGGAACAATTCATCAACTTTTCATCAACTGGAACAATTCGTACATAAACACAAAAGCTACTCAATGATACCATTGATCCGCTTTGTATTTGAAATAAGATTTTATTTTTACTTGATTTTCAATGTTTTCTTCATTTTAGATAAAGTTTAGTTTAACAGGTTTTGAATAAGACTTTATTTTTTAAATGAATTTTTAATTTTAGAATAGTTTTAGATTTATAGAAAAATTGTGAAAATAGTAGAGGGTTCCCATATACCTCACCCAGTTTCCCCTACTATTAACATTATATATGAGTAGGATACATTTGTTACAATTAATGAACCAATAGTGATACATTATTATTAGCTAAAGTCCATGCTTGATTTGTTTCTACTTAATGTCTTTTTTTTTTTTTTTTTTTTTTTTTTTGAGAGGGAGTCTCGCTCTGTTGCCCAGACTGGAGTGCAGTGGCACCATTTCAGCTCACTGCAAGCTCTGCCTCCCAGGTTCATGCTATTCTCCTGCCTCAGCCTCCCGAGCAGCTGGGACTACAGGCACCTGCCACCACGCCCAGCTAATCTTTTTTTGTTTTTTGTATTTTTAGTAGAGACGGGGTTTCACCGTGTTAGCCAGGATGGTCTCGATCTCCCGACCTCGTGATCCACCCGCCTCGGCCTCCCGAAGTGCTGGGATTACAGGCTGAGTCACTGTGTCCGGCCAATGTTTATTTTTTATTCCGTGATCTCATCCAGGATACCAAATGACATTTAGTTGTCACATCTTGTTAGGCTCCTCTTAT
Source organism: Homo sapiens (assembly GCF_000001405.40). Taxonomy (NCBI): domain Eukaryota; kingdom Metazoa; phylum Chordata; class Mammalia; order Primates; family Hominidae; genus Homo; species Homo sapiens. The sequence continues at coordinate 89,795,366 of NC_000014.9, forward strand.
TTGACAGTTTAAAACTTTATTTTTATTGGCCAGGCATGGTGGCTCACGCCTGTAATCCCAGCACTTTGGGAGGCCGAGGCAGACGGATCACTTGAGGTCAGGAGTTCAAGACCAGCCTGGCCAACATGGTGAAACCCCTTCTCTACTAAAAATTAGCCGGGTGTGGCGGTACACACCTGTAAACCCAGATACTCAGGAGGCTAAGGCAGGAGAATCACTTGATCCCAGGAGGCGGAAGTTGCAGTGAGCCGAGATCGCGCACTGTACTCCAGCTTAGGTGACAAAGTGAGACTCTGTCTCAAAAAAAACCCGCAAACGTTTATTTTTATTAAGGTTATCTGCTAATAATTTGTATGATAATGACGCTTAATGTTTCCATATTACAAATTTACAATTTTACTTGACCTTTAAATTTTAACACTTAAAAAGTGAATTATATTAAAAGTTCTTTGACTAATGTTCATGTTATGCATTCCGTACACTTATAAATAAGAGTACTGATACCAGTATTTTGGAATTACCTTCACTAAATGCTGAGTGTCCAGCATTGCTGTTCTTGCTCCAGTATAGCAGTTACTGGAGCCCAGCAGGACAGGCAAGGCATGGGGAACGTGAACACACATGGCTAAGTGTCTGGGTGCAGGACGTGACTGCTAGAAACCAGGGGGTATGGAGCAGAGGGCAGCTGAGCAGCTCAAGGCTTGCTTCTCCACAGTGAGACTCCCAAGCCTAGACCATCCTAAAGGGTTCTGCAAACATGTCTCTTGCCCCCAGTACCCTCATCACCCTGTTCTTCCTCTGTATATAGCCCGAGAGGGCTTGCTCATGTTAGCCCAAGCCGATTTCTTTGTCTTGCACAGACAGTGCCCTGGGACCACTTTACAGTGATGATTTGGACTCAGGGACATTATCTTAGAGAAGTCTTTATATGTTTTTTTTTAATTGAAAGTGTTTTTTTAGAGACAGGGTCTTGCTCTATCATCCAGGCTGGAGTGCGACAGTGCAATCATGGCTCACTGAAGCTTCAAACCCCTGGGCTCAAATGATCCTTCCACCTCAGCCTCCCAAGTAGCTGGGACTACAGGTACACACCACTAAATCCAGATAATTTTTTATTATTAATTTTTTGGTAGGGATGGGGTCTCGGTATGTTGCCCAGGCTAGTCTCCAATTCCTAGGCTCAAGTGATCCTCCTGCTTTGGCCTCCCAAAGTGCTGGGATTGTAGGCATGAGCCTATCTTAGAGAAGTCTTAAGCCTATGCTTCCCAAGGCCTGGCTGATTGCTTGGAACATAGTAAGTATTCTGTATGTGTAGGTGCTATTATTTGTTCAACCAATGTTGAGCAAATGAAGGAAACTGGCACCATTGGCAGGAAAAGTCTGCCCCTCTGCAGATATTAGGAGATGATGAGATTCAGGGTGGGATGGTGAGGACAATGAAGTGAGTGAGTAGAGCACCGTGGCCTGCAGTGTGGAGAGGGTAGGGGGCAAGAAGAGTGAGGAGGAGGAGGACCACCAGTGCCATCCCTAGCCCCAGCTCTAGCAATGGCGGCCTGACTCAGGGCTGCTGGCCACACAGAAGGAGACCCCCGGCAGCAACCATCTCTAGGATTCTGAGATGCAAGTCTATCATCAGCATCCAAAAATTATGATTAAAAATTTAGTCAATTACTTATTGCATGCCTGTGCCAAAATATCTCCCGTAACCCATATATGTGTGTGTATGTATACATATGCACCTACTATGTACCCACAAAAATTAAAAATTTTTAAATGTTTAATCACAAGTCTGTAGCATGACATCATTAGTAGAGTCGAGTCTGCTGACATTACAATCTATTGATCTCCCCAGAGTTACCAAAAGTAGTTCACAATAGTTAGGCTTCCTTCTGTCCATAGTTCAGGGCATATTCAAAGTCTCTAAAGCTGACGTGACCATCTGAATCTCGATCTACTTCCCTGGAAAATGAAACAAAAAGTCATTTACACATTATTCTCGTTAACACCTATGCACCGAGAGCACATTAGAATCTTTATTTATTTGCATGTCTGTGTGAGAGAGGAACCTATTTTATCTACTTGAAGGCTGAGATTGATGCCTGTTTTTTCATTGATAATAAAGGTTTGCAGGAAAGAAAGGGTATTTATTAAAACTTACAGAAATAATATATTCCACATATTTAAAGAGATGAAGCCAAATACACAGATTATATAAGAAAAAAAGAAACGGCTCTTTCTAATTATCTTACACATGTCTTTCTGTGATATGTCAAAAACATATGCAGGCCAGATGCAGTGGCTCACACCTGTAATCCCAGCACTTTGGGAGGCCAAGGTGGGTGGATCACCTGAGGTCAGGAGTTCTAGACCAGCCAGGCCAACATGGTGAAACCTTGTCTCTACTAAAAATACAAAAAATTAGCCAGGCATGGTGGTGGGCCCCTGTAATCCCAGCTACTTGGGAGGCTGAGGCAGGAGAATCACTTGAACCCAGGAGGCAGAGGTTGCAGTGAGCCGAGATCACGCCACTGCACTCCAGCCTGGGTGACAGAGCAAGACTCCATCTCAATTAAGAAAAAAAAAAGTGTGTTTGAAAGCATAACTGGTGAGTAGTGGTCCCAACTCCTCTTTGGGGGCATTCTAAAACAATGCCTTACAAGTAGCTTCTGCAGTTGATGCCAATTATATTTTGTTCAAACATCAAATTCGTATCAACCATGACATAGGACTTTTTAAAGCAAAGACTGGCCCAAGCAAGAGAGCCACTAATCACTGTAATAGTTTTAAAGCAGGCTTTTAAAATATTGAATTCTAAAATAAACTTTCTGAATATTTCATGCCAAAGTCTCTGAAGTCTATAATGGTTCTGGATAGAGTGATGATAATTTTTCATTCTTTTGAAGTAGAGAAAAATCCCTACTTCTCTGCCCCAGGGCAAAACCATGTTGCAGTGTGTTCATATAAAATGATTGCAGACTGCAGAGGCCATTATTCTTGTTACTTCTTTTGGTAAAATATACATGATGATTTCATGCTACACAGGACCAAAAGCATAGTGTCAGATCTCTTCTAAGGGATTAGAAATAATCAGTATCACGTTACTAACTACAGAATATAAATCATCCCTTTTATTAAATTAGATAATTGAGGATTCTTAATATTGCCTAAGTATTTTTTCCCAAGGAATTGGATTAGATAAACGGCCTTTTTTCTTTCCACTCTGAACTGGTATGGTTGAACTATAAATCTCAGAGGGTGAGTTAAGTGAATAACCTAGAAAAATAATGTTTAGAATAAACTGCTTCTGATAATATTTTGTGTGTGTGCGAGTGTGCTTATTCACTTATTGAGATGCTGAATGCTTGTAGAGAAGCAAATCCCTTTGCCTGACTTTCTCAGTAAACGACCTCATTGTTATTGTATTAACTTTTTGTTTTTTGAGATGGAGTCTCACTCTGTCACCCAGGCTGGAGTGCAGCAGTGTGATCTTGGCTCACTGCGACCTCCGCCTCTCCGGCTCAAGCAATCTTCCCACCTCAGCCTCCTGAGTAGCTAAGACTACAGGCACCCAGTACCACGCCTGGCTAATTTTTGTATTTTTTTGGTAAAGATGGGGTTTCACTATGTTGGCGAGGCTGGTCTCGAACTCCTGAGCTCAAGCCATCCCCCTGCCTCGGCCTCCCAAAGTGCTGGGATTATAGGCATGAGCCATTGTACCCCGCCTGTTATTGTATTAACTCCTAATTTTTCTTGCTGCCTTTGCTAGAGCTTTCCATCATAAAATGAGTATAGTAAAACCAAGCACTGTTAAAACTGGAAAGTTTATTCATAACGTGTGGGGTGGCATTTTATTCACATAATGAATGGCAGGGCATCATCATTTTAAATTCATATTTCAAATGAGACATGCTGAAATACTTAATGTCTTCTGACTTTTCGTCGTCATCGCATATATACAAGCAGGTCTGGTCATCTCACGGAGAGTGCAGAGGAAATTCAAGTTCAGAGCTATCATTTTAAAAGCTAACAAATACTGTTTTTCATTGCAGACAGAATTATTCTGAAGAAGGAAGGTCTCATAGCACCCACACTCAAATCACTGTGACAGAGAAGATGTACCGTGGGTAGAATTAGTGACTGGCTGAGGAGAGGAAGGAAATGTCATCAGGTTAAAAAGCCCTCTTGTTTCTGTTACAGCATTCAACCCTAACGTGAGTTTGCTCTAGTTTTGAAACTAGAATGCATTGTTTTGGTGTCATCAACAAACCCTCAGCACTAAAAAATTCAGCACCTCCCACCCCCCAACCCTGACTCGAAAGAAACTTTAGGAGGGCAAGACCTTTGTCTTCTTTGCTGCTGTGGCCCCACTTCTTGCCCCACAGCAGAGGATGAATGTCGAATGAATGAATTTGTGGAACAAATGAATCTGAGGAAACAGCTGATAATATTATAGAAAATCTATTACCTCCCAGGAGGTACTAGGGAATTAAAGAAAGAAACTATCACCTCATTGTTTTACCGAGTCTAAAAACGCTTGTGGCTGGGCGTGGTGGCTCATGCTTGTAATCCCAGCACTTTGGGAGGCCCAGGCGGGTGGATCACCTGAGGTCAGGAGTTCGAGACTAGCCTGGCCAATGTGGTGAAACCCAATCTCTACTAAAAATACAATAATTAGCCAGGCATGGTGGCAGGTGCCTGTAATCCCAGCTACTTGGGAGGCTGAGGCAGAAGAATTGCTTGAACCCGGGAGGCAGAGGTTGCAGTGAGCCAAGATCGGGCCACTGCACTCCAGCCTGGGCGAAAAGAGCAAAACTCAATCTCGTAAACAAACAAACAAACAAACAAACAAACAAACAAACGCACGCCTGAGAAACACCTTAGACCCATCATTCAGGGACCCGTAAGTAAGTCGATTACAGTTTCCATGCTCAACCACATTTTGCAAAACATAGACTAGGTACAGAGGAGACCACATGAGAGACAAGCTGTGGAAAATGAGGCTCAAAACATGGGGCAGTGGAGCGAGGGAACCCCCTGAATGTCAGGCTGAACAATTTAGAGTTAAGAAGCAGGAAATTGTGAACCAATGCAGAACACTGGGTACACATGGTCTAACCCATAGTCAAAGACCACCCACTTCAATCCAGTTAAGCAGCTCCCCTTTTACCAGACACAGGGACGTAGGTATAGACACATATACAGACTATCTCAGAAATGGCTTTTCAAAGGAATTAAAGTTTATGCAGATGTAAAAGAGGATAATTAACTAACAACAACTGCTTCTAGAAATGTAGGCCCAATGAAATTAAAGGCTTTTTTGGTGTGTTTGTTTTTGAGATGCAAAAGGGAGACCTGGAATTGATTTTGGGAGTAGAGACTCAAGAGAGCAGAACTGGGCTGGGTGTGGTGGCTCACACCTGTAATCCCAGCACTTTGGGAAGCTGAGGTGGGTGGATCACTTGAGGTCAGGAGTTCGAGACCAGCCTGGCCAACATGGTGAAACCCCATCTCTATTAAAAAGGCAAAAATTAGACAGGCGTGGTGGCATGTGCCTGTAATCCCAGCTACTCGGGAGGCTGAGGCAGGAGAATCACTTGAGCCTGGGAGACGGAGGCTGCAGTGAGCTGAGTTCACACTCCAGCCTGGGTGACAGAGCCAGATCCCACCTCAAAAAAGAAAAAAAAAAAAAAAAAAAGAAGTACTGCTCTGTATTACTTGGTATGAACAATTTAGGGCCATCTGGGAGGAAGGAGATGACAAGCCAAGACAAGAGAGGGTACAGGCACAGGGAGATGCCATATAAGAACAGTCATGAAATTCCCCAATGATGCGATGATCAAAAGTCCTTCAATTGACTGTTACGTTTCCTATGTACTTCCAAACTGTTTGTATTACCTGTTCTAACCTCTCCCCTATCTTCACCAAGGGAGTGCCAGGCACACACACACTGTGGGGGATGGTGACTTTGGGGTGTCAGTGTTGAGTCAGGGGCTGAAGATTGAGTCAGGAGATGAGCTCTGTCTGAACGTGCAGCAGAGAGCAGGAAAAGCAAGAAGGGAAAGGCAGGATGATCCATCCACTGAATTCTCTCAGAGAAATGAGAACTCAGAGCCATAAGCCTGCTAGGAATTTGCAAGAATCTTGGGAAGTGCTTCATAATCCCCCAGGTGTAGAATGGAGGTTCCAGGCAATACTCTATGGACTTCAAAGTACAGGAAGACCTCAGATGACACAGGATACATTCCAAATTTGCAGAACTGGACTCAGTCCATTCAGTTGAATTCCAACAGTTTTCAAATTTGTAAAAGTAAAAATATTTTGATTCATTGTATTAAAAAGTGGTTATAGGCCAGGCGCAGTGGTGCACACTGTAATCCCAGCATTTTGGGAGGCCGCGGCAGGTGGATCACTGGAGGTCAGGAGTTCAAGACCAGCCTGGGCAACATGGTGAAACCCCGTCTCTACTAAAAATACAAAAATTAGCCGGGCATGGTGACGCACACCTATAATCCCAGCTACTGGGGAGGCTGAGGCAGAAGAACTGGTTGAAGCCAGGAGCTGGAGGTTGCAGTGAGCTGAGATCGCACTACTGCACTCCAGCCCAGGCGATAGTGCGAGACTCTGTCTCAAAAAAAAAAAAAATGTAAATAGTCAATGTTTCTCACAAGGAGTAAATGTTTCTTGTATGAAAATGTTGACATCATAACAATTTCTTAGAATGTTCTGAAAGTGGTTATTTCTTGGAAAATCATTTTTCTTGTAAAATTATTCAGGAGTACCCCATGTCTAAGTCTCCAAAGCCAGGCTTCAGACTAGAGTACTTGCTTTTACCCAAGTTACTTAAAAAAAAAAAAAAAAAGAAAGAAAAAGGAAATGGTTTAAATTTTACTACATTGAAACGATGGAATCTTTTCTATTAAAATGACATAAAGACTATGAAAGTGATATTTTTAAGTGGGAGCAAGAATACAGAATGGTATCGCATCATCATTGCAATGTTTTCGTTTTTTAATTTTAATTTTAATTAATTAATTAATTTATTTAGAGACAGAGTCTTGCTCTGTCACTCAGGCTGGAGTGCAATGGTATGATCTTGGCTCACTGCAACCTCTGCCTCCCAGAATCAAGTGATTCTCCTGCCTCAGCCTCCCGAGTAGCTGGGATTACAGGCATGCGCCACCAAGTCCGGCTAATTTTTTGTAGTTTTAGTAGAGATGGGGTTTCGCCATGCTGACCAGGCTGGTCTCAAACTCCTCACCTCAAATGATCCTCCTGCCTTGGCCTCCCATAGTGCTGGGATTATAGGCGTGAGCCACTGCGGTCGGACCCATAATTGCAATTTTATAAACATTTATATTCTTTTGGGCAGAAGCTGAAGGTTATATGCTACGCAGAAACTTGTCTTATGAAGATGGTAGGGTTTTGGGTAATTCTGTCTTAAGATATTCCTTAATATTACTTATATCTTTTTCAACTGAAAAAATATTTTCTTTCAATTTAGTCTGAATTTTCCAAACAATTGGCCTTATTTCAAATTGTATAAATCCACAACAGCTAGCGCTGGGCTTCTCAACATCAGCACGATTGATATTTTGGACCAGACAATGCTCTGATATAGCAGAGAGGGGGCTGTCCTGGGCATTGCAGGACGTTTGGCAGCATCCCTGGCCTCCACCTGCTAGATGTTGGTAGGACCCTCTCCCACCCCTCATGCCCAATCGTGACAGCCAAAAATGTCTCCAGAAATTGCCAAGTGTCCCTTGGGGGACACAATCACCCCAGTTGACAACCATTGAGCCAGAGGAATCACAGTTTAAGGCAATCCTTTTGAACATTCCAGCTAAATCTACACTTACTAATATAATTGCTTTAAAGACTTTTTCTTTAAAAAGAAAATGATTTCAGGGTCAGCTGAGGCACATGTTTCTCAGATCATGCAGATGATTGTCCCAACACTCTAAGGTTTTGAAATGAGCCCAGAGAAGACCCCACTGGAGAGGCAAACTCTTGCTGGTGGTAATAGGGCGTGTGCCAGACATATCTGTGTTCCCAACAAACGCACTGACAGATAGTAATTATTTTGAGTCACTGTGATAATCACATGAGATTTTGAAAGTTGATGCCATATTTGATGCACCTGAAATGTGAATGAGAAATTTAATGTGGAGGCCAAGATTTAAGTGAGAAAAGTTTTCTTAGTGGAATTTTTGGGGTGGGGGAAAAGGGAGAGAGCAGCTTTTTCTCTTTGATTCTTTATGGAATAATTTAAACCAAAGTCAAAACTGCCACTACATTAGGGACAAAGCTGTCATACTGACTGAACAGTGAAAGTAAAAATTACCCTCCAAGCAAGGAGCCCCTGCTGGGGATGAGAAGACCCGCCAATTGAAGATGTAATGATGACAGCCTCTCCCGCAAGCAGCCTTCTCTTCTGAGGAGCCCGCTGCTTCTTCCCACTGGCGTGCTTGCCTCTTTGTTGATGAGAGTCCTGCAGGGCTCTACAGCAATTCAGCTGGTAATGTGTTTATTAATTTTACCTTTTTAAAGACATGTGTTAAGAAAAGCCATTCGGATATACAGGAAAGACTAAAGAGATATGCAGATGATTTCTGGTCTTTTCTAGGCTCCAACATGACTTTGGCAGATGTGCTGCATTCTCTTCGGTGTGTACTGGGGTCCCTTTGTGCCCGTCCCACGCTATGCAACCTCCTTTGACTCCAGCCATTGCTGGGAAAGCCTCACCCGAGCCAGTAGCAGTATCTTTTGCTGTTTGGGACTGCTCTGACACCTGGGGTGGCACCCCCTACCCCCCAAACGTGGAAGCATGAAAAGGAGTGTTAAGGCCTTCTTCATGCACAGAGCAGGTAGAACCCCTTGACCAGTTTACACTCCAGCTCACTCTGCTGTTCTCTCTTTCCTTCATTTTGCACGGCTCCAGTCTCAGGCTGGTAATTAACGCTTAAAAGCCTGTGCACGAATTATTGAATCAATGTACCAAAGGAGCACAGGACTGTTGTGAAGACTGCATCCTTATGGCAGGAAAATACCAAGCTTTACGTAGACAACTCTGAGGTCATTCTCTTGGCTCATCAGAGGTTCTGGTGGGATCAAGCTCCAATCGCTCATAGTAGTAATGAGCTTGGTGACAGACACTTGCATTCCCTCATTCTCTGTTTCACAACAACCTGTACACAAGCCCCCATCAGGCTCTGCTTTCAAGAAGAACCCAGGTTAAGACACAATGGAAAGTTTATTTTGAGAGATGAAACTTCACACAGAGCATTTAAATTGCCATCAGCAATAGCACGTCATATCAGATTCTCACTCAAGTAAAAGAGATCTCACTACTTCAAAGAGATCAGACTATTCCTCTACTTGCAAAATGCTTTTTTTGGGAGGAAATTAAATATTGCCTTTAAGAAGAGCTCTGAAGTTTGAAGTTCCAAGCAATTAAAATGCCAGGGTTAACCAGAAAAAAAACACTGCAGCAGTCTTCTTTTTACTGTCTAATATACATGTCTTATTAATAATATTTAGTCCATTAATAGTAAATAGTATTATTGGACTTTAAGTGCTCCTTCAGAGTGAGGACAAGGTATCCCTGAATATAAGATTCTTACAGGGTCCTTTTGGATGCAGAGGTATAGTTATCATCTGACCATAAGCAAGTGGTGGACCTGGCTGTTTAGGATGAACTGTGAAGGGTAAGAGAATGTCCAGATCAGGCCAGGAATAAAGAACGACATAAGCCAGGCAAAACAGTGGCCTCATTAGCACTCGGCTCAGCCTACTAGCCTAACAATTCCATGGACATTGTTTGCGTCTTCCCCAACTTCCATCTTACCTGCTCTGTGCCATGTAGCAGCTGTGTGATTGTGGGGGAACAGACCCCCACCCCAAGCTCTAGAAGTGGGAGCTCACTGGCCTTAACCAATGACTGTAATCCCACTCTCCTTACCACAGTGACTGGCTCAAGGATTGACTGGCTTAAGCCAGTTAACACATGTCATTCCTCCCCTGGCTACTACTGGTTGGTAAAGAATTGGTACAAACATAATGAAGTCTAGGAATTTTGCTTGCAAGTTGAGAAGCTCTTTCAATGTGGACATCTGAGATGCAGAGGTGAGGCTTGCTATTCCAACAGCCTTTTCCTACCATAAGGGTGCAATTTCCACAACAGTTCTATGCTCCAATGGTACATTGATTCGATAATTTGTGCACAGGCTTTTAAGTGTTAATTACCAGCTTGAGACTGGAGCTATATACAATGAGGGAAAGAGTCAGAGAACAGCACAGTGAGCTGGAGCCTAAACAAACCATGCCTGAAGCCTCCCCTATGTCAAGACTCTTAGTCACTGACCCAATAAATTCCCTGTGTTGTTTAAGGCAGTCTGAAATGGATTTTCTGCTACTTGGAAATGAAAGCATCCTGACATACAAAGGATTCTGTCTGAAATCTTTTCCAAACCTTGCAGTATTTGGAACTTGATGGACAGACAGCAGATACTCAATGAACATAGTATTTTTGAAATGATTATTCCATTTTAAAGAAACCATAAATAATTTAGATTTCTCCTCGGATGCTAGCTCAAGATTCTGGATTATTCTCCTCAGCTCTGCAATCTAAAGAGTAACTTGCTTGCTGTATCCAACAGAAAGTTCTGTTTATGGTGCCTTGTGATTCTTAATGCACTGAAGAGGCTATTGAGGGAACTAATATATATTTTCCCTAACAAGTGACGGAATAAATTCTCCAGTCCAAGAAAAAAGGAAAAATGGATGTAAAATACAGTCACAGCTTACCAAAGTGACTAACCATAAATAATGACTCACTTTTTCCTATTTACTAAATTTTAAGAATGAGGAATCTCATTGACAGCTAGACATATTTTAAAAGGAAGAAAATATAATTTCAGTATGTCATTTCGGATTATTGACTACTTGTAGACATGTGGATAAATGCAATCAACATATAGCCCAAGGCCCTGGGCTATATTTCCAGGAAATAATTTGATATTCCTTCTCTATCAAGTGCTTTAACAGAGCTGCTAATAAACAGGGATATGATCGTGTTTCTAACTTTGATTCTCTGGAAGAGAAATGACAATGTAAGAAAACAGCACAGATCAGACAGTTTTCAGGATAAAGTACAAAAGTCAAAGTGAACATCTTTGAACTAATCATAACAAATCTGTTTCCTACACTTCTGAGTCACTAAGATCTTCCATTCTTCCCCCCATGCCGTAAATATGCAACTACCACAGGCCCACTCTGAATATGGCAGGGAGACAGTGTGGTCCAGCAGAAACCCCCCAGGAGCGAGCTCTCTGCTCAGCTAGGCTGCTGCCAAGCCCTGGGCAAGTTTCTCAACTGCTATGACTTTGAAGCTCCTCACTTGTCAAGCTGAATGGCTAGGCTAGATGATTGCTAAGATTTGGTTCAGTTCTCAATTTTGATGAATCTAAGCCAGATCTTAGTTATACAACTAGTATCTTTGTATGCAGAAAATTGGAAAATGTAACCCAACTCCTGTTAGCCATGTTTAGCCTTTTAAAAAAAAGTAGTTTGAACCTTTGACCCCGTGGACATTTATAAGGAAACATAAGCATATATAAATATAAAGAAAAAAGATCCTACCATCAACAATATGAAATATGAATGGAGAGAAAGCCATTTCTATTTCAAATATATAATCACTTCAGCTGAGATACCCAGTATCATCTTGAACTTGATTATGAGATAAAAGAAATGGGACAGAGATGGCAATCATTTAATCTCTTAAGAACAGCTATTCTGAAGAGCTTTTCCCTCTATGCTCAATAGATTTCTAGCAGGTTATGATCTGGCTAGAAAGAAAGCATAATGATGAAGAAAATTATGTTTTCAATAACACAGGCTTTTTACAGTACAAGTCCTTCCACAAAGGAGGCAATAAAATGAACTCTGACCACTTTAACAGATGGCATAATGGCTCAGTGCACAGATGTGGCCTCTCTGAAAGCAACAAGTTCATCTCCTTGACTGGAGGTTTAGGAATGAGCTGAACTTTCAAGTGTAATGTAGGAAAGATTACATATTTCCATACAAGAAAGCTGAGTATTAGTGGGTTCAGAAGCTTGGAGAGATGGACTAAAAGAATAAGGCTTAATGAGTTTCATTTTGCTAATGCAACAAATAGAGTTGAAGTTGAAATGTGAACTATAAATATCAAGCCATTTGTAAATGCCCTCCTAATTACATTGTTAGCCATTGTTTAGACGGAAGCTTGCCTTTTAAAAAGCATACTTCCTCAGAGTCAGAAAATACCAGTTGTCAAATAATGCTTATTTTAATAGTATAATATTTTGAGTGGGATATATTTTTAATAATACATGATAGAAGGACTGTAGAGTTTTTTGTTTACTTTCTTTGGGAAATTTGATAAATCAAAAGTTTATCTGGGAAAATAAATATGCCATAAAATTCAAAATATTTTTAAAAACAATGTTATCAAAACAAAAGATAAATCCTCAATTCGGTAATTAAAAGAGTATGATTATTACTCAGGAATCAATAAGAATAATGTCCAGAAATATGTATATATAGGAATTCTGCAAAAATCAAATGAGGCAATTCAAACGAGTGGGGATGGAATAGGTTGGCAGGAAAAGAAGCCGGGATAATTGGCTATCCATCTGGGGATGGGTGGAGTTTGACTCCATGGTAGAGCCTGCTTTGTGTTCAACAAAATTTACTTCCCTCTCTTCCGGGGAACACAGCTAGACTACATTTCCCAGCCTCCCTTGCAATGAGATGCAACCGGGAGTCCTGGCAATGAATGTTAATAATATAATGATATAGGAACGAAGACTAGCCATTGCTCCATCTAATTAAAAGCGTAATATTTCTAAGGCCTGTATAGGACCTTATAATCACCCTAGGGGCTGTGACATGGCCAGATCCTGAAGGATATTCTCATACAGTGTTAGCAAATACTCACCAGTAAGTGAGTAATTTACTGTATAGATCTTGGTTATAGAAAAATTACTTTAAAATTCTGTGAAGATAGATTTTTTTTTCCATTAAATGAGAGTGCAGGAACTTATATAAAAATTAAGATTTGCTTTTAACAGCTTGTACTTTAATTTTCAATAATCCATTTGGGAAAATAAGATTTTACATCTCAGCCCATTTCTCATTGATGCGATGTGCATCACTGAGCCACTAGGAAATTTGGCCTTAGTTCAGCATGACTATAATAAATTATTTATGTTTTCATTTACAACATGCTCCTAGCATTTAAAACCTCTGGGTCTGTGGACAATAATACATGACATAAAAAATGAATAACATTTGATAATGAAACAATTCCCTCAAATTATCAAAAACACTCTATTAATGGAGTCCACTCACAATAAAAAAGTCACACCAAATGGAATGACCAAAAGGGCTTTTAACAAGAGAATTTCAGTCTAAAGAGATAAAGGTTCAGAGGGCCATATACAAGCATTTAGAAAATTATGAAATGCATGAGGAGTGTGAATATGGGCAAATCAATCAAATCCTAGGATTAAAACTCAGGGACTCCAAGTGAAAGTTCAGAGGGGACATTTGAGGACTCAAACCTGGAAGTGCTTCTTCAGCTAACAGTTAGAATTTGTTTTCTATCCCTGCATTAATTCTCAAAGTTGGTATGGAGATGGGAGAAGAAAAAGGAACATACCGTGAGGGAGGTCTTACAAATTGCATATGACATCCTCATTCCCCGACCCTGTCCACCTCTCTCCCTCTGCCCAGCACTAAGCATTACTCCCAAGACAGGTGACCGTTGTGCTGAAACTGGTGTGCCATTTGCCTTAGTGAGTTGGGGAGGCAAAGAGTCCTCAGAGGTTTCAGGCCAGGAACAGACACTGGCCACGAGGGATTTCAATAATGCGTAAATCACTAAGGGACATTAGGATGTTGGGGAGCTCTCCCTACCCTTGGGAAGAAACTGCTCTCCCATAAATTGCCACACTAATACCAATTTCAGGGATTCAAATTACTGGCCCAATCCAGCAAGACATTTTCTGCCCATTATCTAGTTTCTCCTGCCTCCAGGCAGGGCCACATCATTGATTACGGAGCATTTCAGCCACTAAAAAAGATCACGCTCATCATTAAAGACATTAAGTGTTGATCTGTGCTGGCTAAGTGACTTAAAAGGTTCGTGCCCTTCTAGTAACAACTCAAAGAGGCTATTTCAGGATATTTATTAAACAAATTAAGTATTTACATTATGCTCAAGCACAGACGCACAGTCACCAAGTGCAGAAGTGTAAGAAGACAAAACTAAGTGAATTTATGTTGGAGACAACTCGGCATTTTTAGTTCTTAGAAGTGGGGGCCGGGGAACCTCCAAATGTCTGAGAAAGAGAATGAATTGGGCAGGGAAAGGGTTCTACCTCCCTCCCCCCGTCAATGGCGTCCCAATGACCACCTCTTTAAAAGAGGATAAACAGTGATTAAAGACTGCAGAGACAATTTAGAAAATCTCCTTCAAGGCCTAAAGACTAAAGGAAACAGGTATATTAACCCTACAATTTCCCCCCACAATTTAAAATTTTAGGACCCTAATAATGATGACCCGGATTTTAGAAGTATTTTCTGTAGCCTATGGTACACACTATGGTGAAGGAACCCATGTTTTCTTGAATACAGCTGCAGCCCATGAATGCTGGACCATCAATATGACTGTGATTAGTGTTCCTCCTCACCTGCCTATGAACTTGCAGTGGGCAGAGGCCACCTATATCGTGTTCACTGTGCTGTTCCCAGTATTTGGCACAGTGTCTGGCACACAGTGGTGTTCAATAAGTATCGGCTGAACATACGAGCATGTGAGTGGGAGAGTTTGGAGACGGGAGAAAGAACTCACCACCCTATGATCTTACACCAATTGCTGTGAAAATGTTGGCACTTTTCCTTCCGTCAGCATAAGAACATTTGGATCCTGCTATTTAAATGTAAAACAGATGTTTCTCCCCATTGTTATAGTCTTTATAATTTTCATTTTTAATGGCCATATGCAATTTTATCAAATGGACTTATAATAAATTATTTTTTGTTGGACTTTGGAGCCAATCCAGTCTTTTCACTTTTATAAATGTATCACTGAACACATTGAGTAACTATGCAGAGGTGGGTGGATCACCTGAGGTCAGGAGTTTGAGACCAGCCTGGCCAACATGGTAAAACCCCATCTCTACTAAAAATACAAAAATTAGCCAGGTATGGTGGCGGGCACCTGTAATCCCAGCTACTTAGGAGGCTGAGGCAGGAGAATCACTTGAACTCGACAGGCAAAGGTTGCAGTGAGCTGAGATTGCGCCACTGCACTCCAGCCTGGGTGACAAAGTGAGACTCCGTCTCAAAAAAAAAAAAAAAAAGAAATGGATTCCTGAGTCCAGTTACTCATTCACCAGGCAAACACTAAGAGCCCACTATGGTCCACGCACAGTAGGTTCTGAAGATAAATGGGTGAGCAGAAAAGACAAGAGTCCCTTTGAGCTTTTATCCAATCCTGGGAGAGAATTCTATAAGCAAAATTAAATAATTCTATTAATACAAGCAAAATAATATTACCAGTGTACTAAGTGCCCTGAAGGAGTGACAGAAGGTTCTAGGAGAGGGTGGGACATAGGGGCGAGAACTGGGCAGCAGGTCAGGGAAGCAGGACCTGGCTGAAATCTGAGAAGCATGGAGCTAATAAGAGAGGTGCAGGTGGGGAAGAGTTCTCCAAGCAGAGGGAACAGCATGTGCAAGGTCCTTGTGGCAGGACAGAGCAAGGTACATTCAAGGAACTGAAAGAAGGCAAATGTAACCAGGCACAGAGTGAGGATGAGCATGGAGCCAAATGAGGCTCTGGGATGCATGGGCTGGAACTATTCAGGTCCTGGAAGTCTATGTAAGGACCTTGGTCGTGATGCAAAGAGCGATGGGAAGTCATCAAAGTGCTTCAAGAAGGGGGCCGATGTGCTTGATATAAATTTTGGAAGTTTATCTTTGCTTAATAACACCCCGCCCCAAAGGTATCCATGTGCTATCCCCAGCACCTGTGAATATGTTGTATTATGTGGGGAAGGAAAATTAGGGTTGCAGACAGAATTAAGGTTGCTGACTCTAACATGGGGAGATTATCCTAGGTTATCAAGGTGGGGCCAATGTAATCTTAGGGGACTTTAAAAGCAGGAGAGGGCGTACAAGAATCAGAGGAGCCAGAGAGATGTGAAGACGCTAAACTGCCAGCTTTGTTGATGGAGAAAAAGCCATGAACCAAGGAAGGCAGGGGCCTCTGGAAGCTGGAAACAGTAGACATGGCTTCTCCCCTTGAGCCTCCAGCAGGAATGTGGCCCTGCTGACACCTGGATTTTAGCCCAATGATGGCCATTTTGGATTTTGGCCTCCAGAAATGTAAGATGATAAATTTGTGTTGTTTAAAGCCACCAAGTCGGTGGCAACTTGTTATTGTGGCAATAGGAATCTAATACAAAGGAGATGATCATGAATTTAGTTTCGGATATTTAAGTTTTACAAGTCTTTGACACAAAGAACATGGACATTGGAAGTATTATTCATCTACAGCCACTCTCTTAATGAGTAATATGATCTTTATTTTACCTTTCGTGACTTCAGTGTTATCATATATAAAAAGAAAATAGATTTAAGGTTGGTTCCAGTTCTAAATCTCTGAGCTTATAAGCCTGGAAAGGAACAAATATGCTTTTCACTTAGATTTCTGTCAGAATTTGGCAATCCGTGGGGAAAAAGTGATATTAAAAATAGTGATCTAAACTAAAGGGGGAAAAGATTCCATTTTTAAAAAGTACCCAAAATATGAAATAACTAGAAATACCTTAATAAGAAATGTGTTGAATTTATATAAAGAAAACTACAGAATTCCTTCGAGACATATAAAAGGATATTTGAAAATGTGCAGGGACAAGCCACGTGTGTATTCCTGGATGGGAAGACTGAACATTGTAAAGATGCCAGATCCTTCCCAATTAATTTATAGGCTGAATGCAATTTTCATCAAAACCCCAAAGGGAGTTCTTGGAACTTCACAAAAATGATTTTACCATTCATCTGGAAAATAAACAGGCAAGAAGAGCTGAGAACAAATTTGACAACAAGAAACACCAGGTTTTAGAACATATTGTCAGAACTAGGGGCGGAAAGGTGTGTCCCTGGAGTAAGAATAAGCTGACCAAGGGAATAGGATAAATGTCCTGGAAAGGTCACCTTGTATGTAAAAGGAATCAGTACAGCACAAAGTGATAAAGGCATTATATATAAATGGGGATTACTTAACAAAGGATCATGGAAAAACTGGCTATTTAGAAACAAAAATGCTTAGATCATCACCCCATGCTATATACCAAAATAAGTTCCAAATTCGTTAACATGTTAGATTGTCCTAAAATTCAAACCAACCAAGAATATGGAAGCAAGGAAAATTTTCTTAGTACAAAAGCAATTGAAGAAATTGTGAAGGAAAAGATCAGAGATTTGAATACATGAAAACTTAAAATCTTTGCACATCAAAAATTATAATAAAAGAAAACAATAAGCTGGAAAAACAGTTGTAATAAAAATAGAAACAAGTAAATGTTTTCACTATAGAAGAGAAAATGGGCAAATGGTATGAATAGATAATTCACAGAAAAGAGAACAGAAAAGGCTAATAAACATGTAAAAATGTTCAAAGTTATTAGCAATTGGAGAAATAAAAAAATAAGATACTCTTTCCACCTATTAGATTCGTAAACATTTGAAAAATAATACTCGGTCATTGGTGAGAACAGGACGAGAAGGGCATATACAGTGAGGGGAGCAGAATTTGTTTATTAGGCAATTGGGTAAGAAGAACCAGGAGCTGTAAAAATGATAAAATAACTTCATACTCTCTGATACGATACCTTGATATCTAGGAACAGCTCCTAAGAAGATAAAAGTGAAGACAAATTTGTTTATTGTAGGGTTATTTATAAAGGAAAATGGCAAAATGATTGAAAAGCATGGTATATAAAACTCACACTCATCTTAACAAAAACAGAGAGAAACAGGGAAGAATCAATACCAAAATATTAATGATAATTATCTTTGGTTTGGTATGAATATGGTTGTTTGGTTTGTTTTTTTGTTTTGTTTTGTTTTGTTTTTCTTTCTTCAGACCTTTCTCTATTTCCAACATATTCTATGAGGAGCATTTGTTACTTCAGCCAGATCTCCTCCCAACCGTCCACCTCCCACCCCCTGCCCCACCTTCTACCCTCCACCCGCTATAAAATGCCTATGTGCTCAGCACACAACCACTTCTCTATTTTGTGAGTTTCCCATTGCGTGCAGCTGATAGCTGAGGGAAAATTCATGTTTGATAAAATCATTTTGTGAGTGATGGCCAACCAAGGAAAACCATTTCACACTTCGAGAGTTTACATAATGTGAGTTTATAAGAAAGGAATGAAAGAAAAGATGTTACGGGCAGAACTTTTAGAGAAACAACCGTGCTTGACTTCTGCGGAGAAGGAATGCAGTTCCAGGGTGCCCGGTGTCTGCGCGCATTCCTCGGCTGCTGCTCTCTTTCAGTGACTACATGGTCTGACTATTTGACTCGTTTGACACTCTTTAGTAATAAATATATCCCCATATGGAAGTTTTACTGAAAATAGCTCCCTGGGGGGAGAAAAAAAAAACTAACCTTTTTTTTTTTTTCCACTTTGAATCGAACCACAGGTATAAAATAACTCTGAACTTGGTGTTCAGCGCTACAACCTCTAGAGCACTGTACAGAACAAATGTCCTGAAGTGAGAACTTTTCATGTCTTCTTTTCTTCCCCCTTTGCTTTTCTGTCCCTCGCTGAAGGGATCTGTGGTGAGGGCTTCAGACCTGCCGCCTGCCAGCAACACACGGTCTGGTCCGCTGGGACAAAGGGCTCTACTGACCTGCCCACCATGCTTCCAGAGTCCAAGCCTCTCCCCAGAACAACGACACGTAGTCATTTTTCCTTCAAGGGACTTTAAAAATCACCCAGCAGGCCGGGAGCAGTGGCTCATGCCTGTAATCCCAGCACTTTGGGAGGGCGAGGCGGGCAGATCACCTGAGGTTGGGAGTTCGAGAGCAGCCTGACCAACATGGAGAAATGCCGTCTCTACTAAAAATACAAAATTAGCCTGGCGTGGTGGTGCATGCCTGTAATCCCAGCTACTCGGGAGGCTGAGGCAGGAGAATCGCTTGAACCTGGGAGGTGGAGGTTGTGGTGAGCTGAGATCACGCCATTGCACTCCAGCCTGGGCAACAAGAGCGAAACTCCCTTTCAAAAAAAAAAAAATCACCCAGCCCCACTCTTTCATTTTACAGATGGGAAAATGGAGGCTCAGATGCACGAAGCTGCTTTCCTACCTAGCATAGCAGAGCAGGTCTCTGGATTCATGGCACAGTCCTATGCCCAGCTAATAACTCTGGGCTTTCGGAGATTTTGAGGGTCTTTGCCAAAAACCCAGGCTGGTCCCATTGGACAAAGAAAGGAACGCCAATTTGTAATACACTGCCAACTCAAAGCTGTGTACACACTGCAAGCAGTACCAAGAACAAGACATTGGGACTCCCCATTTCAACTGCTTGATCATTTCCAGCTTATGTGGGAATATGGGATAAACTGTAGGATTAGGATGACTTTGGTGTGCAGTTAGCTTAAACTTTTCACAGTCACGCAGAATTAGGGGCTGAATAAGACGTGAAGATCTGTCCCTGGAATATGCGGCAATTATGACATCACAATGAACATCCTCCCCAGAGCCCTGCAGAATAGCCCAAGAGAACGTCCCCACAATTTGGGGGTGGGAAAAGAAGGCACAAAAACTTTTCAAAATATTAGTGTTTCAAAAATGTTGTCATAAGTGTACATGTGAAAAATTTGTTTAAGTTCTTAGTTAGGATTTCCCCCCACGGAGGCTGGGTTGGGCTTAAGAAAAAAGTCTTTCACAAAACCTGATTTTAATAGGAGCACTGGTATCATAATTAAAGGAATTTCATTATGAAATCCTTTTTTTTTTTCCAAGACGGAATCTTGTTCTGTCGCCCAGGCTGGAGTGCAGTGGTGTGATCTCGGCTCACTGCAACCTCCGCCTCCCAGGTTCAAGCAATTTTCCTGCCTCAGCCTCTTGAGTAGCTGGGATTACAGGCGCGCGCCACCACGCTGGCTAATTTTTGTATTTTCAGTAGAGACGGGGTTTCACCATGTTGGCCAGGATGGTCTCGAACTCCTGACCTCATAATCCACCCGCCTCGGCCTCCCAAAGTGCTGGGATTACAGGCGTGAGTCATCGCGCCCGGCCGAAATCCTTTCTAATTAGTACTATATAGATTGCTGTAAATTTGAGTTTTGGGCAATGGTGAGGAAATAAACTGATGGAAGAAAGTGAGTACTTCTGGAACATCCTAAAGATTAGGGTTTTGACTCATTTCTCGGGTTCAACTGGAAAAATAAAAATTAAGAAGAAAAGAATTTTAGCATTTTTTCCTATTTTTGTGAATAATGTCATTGGTATTGTGGTAGGCATTACATTGAATCTGTAGATAGCTTTGGGTGGTACTGACATTTTCACAATATTAATCCTTCCAATCCATGAGCATGGGGTATCTATTTTTTGTGTGTCCTCTTCAATTTCGCTTATCAGTGTTTTATAGTTTTCCTTATAGAGATTTTTTATTTCTTTGGTTACATTTCTTCCTAGGTATTTTATATTTTTTTTGGTAGCTATTATAAATGGAGTTGCTTCCTTGATTTCCTTTCAGTTTGTTCACTGTTGGCATATATAAATGGTACTGATTTCTGTAAGTTGATTTTGTATCATATAACTTTACTTAATTCATTTATCAGTTCTAATAGTTTTTTGGTGGAGTCTGTAGGTTTTTCTAAATATGTTGTCAGCAAACAAGGATAATTTGACTTTTTCCTTTAGGAACATGACAAAGTACCAACATTTCCTTAAAAAGAAAGTCTTTGAAACATTAGAGCAAAAGATTAAAAATTTGTGAACTAACATGCAAAGTAACCATAAAAGAAATATGTTCTTCTCATAATACAGTTAATTCACTCCTAGCACACTTTGCTGGCCCTCACCATTACTTGTATGTTAAAAGGCTTAAAAGGGAATTTTATAAAATAAAGCATACATTCCTAATCTTTAACTTCTGAAAACTAAACAAAGCAAAACCCTTAGTGGAGATACAGATATTAGTGGCATGTTTCCTAAAGCAAACTCAAAACAGAGATACTCTTTATTTTACATTTTATTTAGTAAACTAGAAGAGGGTCTTGCCACGGTGAAAAGGCAAGAAAAACAAAAAAGAAAAATTAATAGGAAAGAAACATCATTAATTGCTACAGCTGCGATTATGTAACCCAGAAAACTCAAAGGGCTCTACTAAGAATTTTAGAAGTAAAATAATGCAAGGATAATTATCATATAAAACATGCTCTAAAAATAATAACATTGCTTTTCAACAACAACTATCAAACTTTTTGTTTCAAAATTAGATTTCTCTTATAACAAGGAAAAAATATATCTGTATTTAATACACATTTATTGAGTACCTACTTGGTAATTAAACCAAGGTAGAATATATCAGTCCAATAATAAAAGTATAAATATTTTATAAAAGAAAAAATGAAAATAGGCAATACTTCAAGGTAATTTGTAGATTTAATACATTTCTAAATAAAATAATAATAGGATATTTTATTATGTAAAAATTCTGAAGTTCATATCAGACATTAACTGGGACAATAAGGGGCAACTTAAGAGAGATCAGAATGTATCAAAAAGCAACCCACATTAAAAGAAATAGGAGCACTGACTAACACCTGTAACCCCAGTGCTTTGGGAGGCCAAGGGGGGAGAACCACTTGAGGTCAGGAGTTCGAGACCAGCCAAAAACTGGGCAACACAGTGAGACCCTGTCTCTACAAAAAATAAAAAATAAAAAAATTAGCTAGGCATGTACCTGTAGTCCTAGCTATTCAGAAGGCTGAGATAGGAGGATCACTTGAGCCCAGGAGTTCTGGATAACAGTGAGCTATGATCGTACCACTGCATTCTAGCCTGGGTGATAGAGCTGAGACTCCTTCTTAAAAAAAAATTATAAATATAAACTTAGATGCTTACTTTATACCATAAAACAGAATAAATACATTGTAAAGAAAAATTTAACATACAATTTCCCAAAGGTAGACGAAAATAATAATATATTTATCCCAGGTAGGTATTTAGATTCACTATTTAAAACACACGAGAAAATTACAAGTAAAATGCAGTTGCAAGGCCAGGCGCGGTGGCTCACGCTTGTAATCCCAGCACTTTGGGAGGCTGAGGCAGGTGGGTCACTTGAGGTCAGGAATTCGAGACCAGCCTGGCCAACATGGCGAAACCCCGTCTCTACTAAAAATACAAAAATCAGCCGGGTGTTGTGGAAGGTGCCTGGAGTCCCAGCTACTCAGGATGCTGTGGCAGGAGAATCACTTGAACCTGGGAGGCAGAGGTTGCAGTGAGCCAAGATCACGCCACCGTACTCCAGCCTGGGTGACAGAGTGAGACTCTGTCTCAAAATAAATAAATAAATAAATAAATAAAAATAAAAAATTGCAGTTGGGGTAGGGAGTAAACCAAGATAAAAGGTAAATATGGATATGAAATTGTGATAAATATTATATGTAAATGTTGACATCTACAATACATGAAAAGCTCTTATAACTCTATAACAATAATTCAAAATTACCAATGACAAATGGTTAAAAGTTACAGAAGGAAAAATATTTTAAATACCAAATTTAAGTAAATGTTCAACTTGCCAGGTAAGTGAAGTGAAATATAACTGTAATGTCGCACTTTACACTCACCAAAATAGCAAGTAAAGACAAGTGAGAAAGACCAGAGTTGGCAAGCCTCCAGGGAACAACATACTATGATTCAGTGATAGTGTTTCAAATTCTTTGGAAGACAGACAACAAGTAAGTAGAACTACAAAAGAAAGAAGCAAGAGGGAAAGAGGACGTAGGGAGAAGAAGGGAAGGAAGGAGGGAGGAAGGGAGGGAAGAAGGAAAGAAGAAAAGATTAGGTTTTTGACCCATTAATCTTATTTCTGAAAATGTATCCAAAGAAAATATATTTTAAAAATTTCTGCTCTTCAACAAACACAGGTAAGGCAATGAACAGACAAGCTACAGCCTAGAAGAAAAATCTTTGCAAAGTACATACCTGATAAAGCAATACATAAAGAACTCTCAAAACTCAATAATAAAGCAAATACCACGTAAAAAATAGGTGAGAGATTTGAACAGATACTTCACTAAAGAAGATATGATGGAAAATACGCACATGAAAAGATATTCAACGTCATTAGTCATTACAAAAATACTGACTGAAACAACAGTGAGAGATACCACTACATGCCTATAAAAATGGCTAAATTTACAAAGATCGAGTGTTAGTGAGGATGCAGAGCACCTGGAATTCTCATTCACTGCTGGTAGAAATGAAAACAGGTACAGCCACTTCGGAAAAATTAGGCAGTTTTGTAAAAAAACTAGACATATAATACATCTACCACACGGTCCAGCCATTCCACCCCTAGCTACGTATCCAAGGGAAAAGAAAGCACATATCCATTCAGACTTGCACACCAATGTTCACAGCTGCTTTATTTGTTTAATGCCCCCAAACTGGAAACAAACCCAACGCCCATCAACA
Organism: Homo sapiens; assembly: GCF_000001405.40. Taxonomy (NCBI): domain Eukaryota; kingdom Metazoa; phylum Chordata; class Mammalia; order Primates; family Hominidae; genus Homo; species Homo sapiens. The sequence goes on from NC_000014.9 coordinate 89,819,138, forward strand.
TGGTACATTGTTACAATGTACTCAGCAATGGAAAAGGAATGAACTGTTGATACATGGTATCCCATGGATAAATCTCAAAATAATTACACAGGGTCAAAGAAGCCAGACCAAAACAAGTACATATTATATGATTCCATTTATATAATATTGTAGAAAATGAAAACTAATGTGCAGTGTCAGAAAGCTGTTCAGTGGTTATCTGAGAAGAGGGAAGGGGGAACAGGGAGGTGGGAAGGGGTAGGAGGGTGGGAGCAACTGCAAAGGGATACAAAGAAACTTTCTATCTTTTTTTTCTTCCTCCAGGCAAGGTCTCACTTTGTCACCTAGGCTGGAGTGCAGTTGCATGGTCACAGCTCACTACAGCCTAAAACTCCTGGGTTCAAGTGATCCTCCCTGGTCAGCCTCCAGAGTAGCTGGGACTACAGGGGACTACAGGGACATGCCACCATGTCCAGCTAATTATAAAAAAAACCCATTTCTTTAGAGATGGGGTCTTGCTGTGTTGCCCAGGCTGGTCTTGAAGTCCTGGCCTCAAGCAATCCTCCTGCCTTGATCTCCCAAAGTGCTGAAATGACAGGCATGAGCTACTGTGCCCAGCCCCAAAGAAACTTTTAATGGTGATGGCTATCTTCAATATTTGACTGTAGTGATATTTCATGTGTATACATACCAAAAATTATTCAAGTATGTTAAATTATTAAATATATGTAGTTTATTACACATCAGTTATATCACAATAAAAATGTAAAAAATAATTTAGATAAAAAATCATTTATACCATTATCTTTTACAATGGTAAAAATCTGTTAGGAAATCCCAATCCAACAATAGGAATATGACTCAGTAAACTATGGCTCATCAATTTACCATAAAGCTTTTCTGTTATTAAACATAATACATATAAAGACCACATAGACATAAACTTCCTCATAGTAGGACACAAAACCACATATACAATATTATTACAGCTATACAAAAGCCTAGGATTACATAAGGCTAAAGACTGGAAGAGGCTATAGAAAAACCTAACAGTTGTCATAGTAAAGAAAGGGATTACAGGTGTTTAAGTGCAGAGCTGTCGATTTTTTTTCTTTATTCACAAAGAATAGCATGCTTGTTTTTTAGAGGTTTAATAACATCTTTCTAAAGCTCTCTCCAAAGGAGTTGGGAAGTCCTGCCACCAAAGAGACAAAGAAACTTAAGGAAATTTAAATGCTGAATTCCCCAGCAAAATATTCATCATTTGCCTTTTTCCTCTCTCCTTCCACTCTTCTCCATTCCACCGCCCCCACCACTCTCACCGTTGGCCTTTCCCTGGACACTGTCTCACTCAGGTCCTTCTCATTCCTCCCCTAGCTACCATCTCAGTGCTGCACACTAGATTTCAGTCCCTACACTGCCATCTAGACAGGCGACATCACATATTTCCCTCATCAAAACGTTAGAAGACTCCCACTCGGCCCACATAATACAGTTAACTCCTTCACAAAGTCTCTCAGGAGCTACAGTAACCTCTACTTGCAGCCTTATTTAAACATTATTTCCTTATTCCCAAACTGCAGCCTCTTATTTGCTATTCCTTAATTCCTATGCAGTACTCAAAGTTTTAGGGGTATAAAAATGAGTAATAGATGTATGATGGTTAATTTTATGTGTTACCTTGGCTAGGCTATGATGCCCAGTTGTTTGATCAAATACCAGTCTAGACATTGCTATGAAGGTAATTTTTAGATTTTTAGATATTATATATATAAAATATGTTATATGTTTTATACATAATAACATATATATTTATATGTGTATGGTTTCTCTTTGTCACACAGGCTGGAAGGCAGTGGCCTGATCTCAGCTCACTGCCACCTTGAACTCCTGGGATCAAATGCCTGGCTAATTTTTTATTTTTTGTAGAGATGGGGGTCTCACTATCTTGCCCAGGATGGTCTCCAACTCCTGGGCTTGAGCAATCCTCCTGCCTTGGCCTCCCAAAGTGCTGGGATTACACCTGTGAACCACTGTGCTGGGCAGTGATTAACATTTCAATCAGTAGACTTTGAGTAAAGCAGATTGCGCTCCATAATGTAAGTGGACTCATTCAATTAGCTGAAGGTCTTAAGGGCAAAGACTGAGATCTCCCAAAGAAGAGGCAATTCTGCCTCAAGACTGCGGTAACAACTCTTACTTGAGTCTCCAGCCGGCAGCCTTCCCTATGAACTCTGGACTTGCCAGCCCCCACAATCCTGCAAGCCAGTTCCTTAAAACCAGTCTTTCTCCCCTTATGTATATAAATCCTATTGTGTCTGTTTCTCTGGAGAGCTGTAATACCATATGGCTCCTATGCTTATAAAACTCAGGCAAATCTAGGAAATAGGAATATAAACAAATAATAAAACCCAGTGTGGAGGGTACCACACTAGCCCTTCTGCCATAAAGAATGAAAAATATATTTTTAAAAATCACTTTCAGAGATTGGACAACAGAGAGTAAGGCCTGTGGTCCCTGAAAAGAAAAACAAATGAAGTGAGCCCTGGGATGGTCCTAGCTTTCTGCCTAGAGGCACCGTTTGGATGGAGGTGCGGGAGAGGGAAACTTGAAAACAGAGAACCTAACCTATTTCACACCAGGAGCACACCCTTTTTAAACACCTCCTCCTCTATGTGACAAAACTATTTTCAGCAACACTCATGTAATAATGAGCAATAATCATGACTTTCTTGATTTAGTCTCTGGTTTTAAAACACACATGAACAATCCAAAAAGGAGAATAAATATCACTTTACAAAATATCATTCAAATTTAGTAAAATCATCCAGGTGTAAACTACAATTTACACATAACAAACATAAACATTACACATGACATTTCCCACTTTCTCACTATTTTCCATTTTAAACACAAATTAAAACTCTGAAGTAGTCATATAGATAAAATTTAATAACTCGAGGTTTTTTTTATGTTTACAACCACTGTGTTATCATTGTTTACACCGAATCTATTGTTAAAACACTGGAGCTTCTGGTGCGACCAGAGATGAAAACACTAACTGCACCTAAAGCCAGTTCAAATGATTCTGAACTGTTATAAATGTATTCTCAAAATGAGCAAGTGTGGCTGCTAATTAAAACTAAGAAATAAAAGTGTACAATTTAAAGTTTATATATGTATTATTAAAACTCAGAGTAACTTCAGCAATTACTTAGAATGTAGGCGTATAAGCGTGCTTGTTTTCTTCCCCTGGCAGGAGTAGGTATTTAGAAACATGGTGATAAAAGAAGATAGACTTTGAGTCACTGTTTTAAAATTCTCTTCAGACAAATACTCCTAAATTTTCAGCACCTAGGTTGGATTGGTCCTCCCACCCCACCCTTGGCACTCCACTGGTTGGGAGAGGCTGAGAGTCTAGAATTTGTAGGGCAGAGTACAAGAGAAGGAGCTGTGCAGAAAAAAAGCTCCAGAAATTGGCCTCGGTGTCATTTGAGTCTGGTCAAATATTGTATGGACACACAGAGTGTGAGAATCCAAACCCATGGGAAAAGAACTTACAGGTACAGATCAGCTGGATGGCCACAGGACTTCACAGAGGGCTTGTGCATGCTGAGGTTCTGACTACTGAGAGTGGAGACCTCACTGAATACCTACATTATTCAATAGACACCACAAAGGCCATACCTCAGAAATAGGGCTAAATCAGTCACGGAGTAAAAGCTATTCTAGAACTATCCTAACAAAGCTTATAAACCAGCCTGAAAATATCAAGCTGATTTGCAAGTAAACTTAGAACCTGCCAGAATACATCGCAATACTCTTTAAAAGAAGACATCAAAATCCTGCTACTTGGCCATCATAATGGTTGTAATTGTGATAGGCAGAATTCCTAGGAATAACCCCCAAGATTACACATCCTGAACATATGAAAGTGATGAGCTATAACTCCTGTGATTGTTATATTACCCAGGTGGGACTAATCTAAACCTGTGAGCACAGAACTTTCTCCAGTGTGTAGTAAAAGAGGAGGTCGAAGAGACTCAAAGCCCAAGAAGAATATGACATACCATTGTTGCTTGAAGATGCAGAGGATCACATGAAAAGGAATATGGGCATCCACCAGGGCCAGAGAGTAGACCCTGGCCAACAGCCTGTAAGAAAATGAGTACCTCAAACCTACAGCCACAAGGAACTGGATTCTATTAACAACCTGAGTGAGCTTGAAAGTAGATTCTTCCCATGAACTTCCAGGTAAGAGCCCATCCCAACCAACACCTTGATTTTGACCTCCTGAGACCCTAAGCAAAAACAATGAGTCCACCATGCTGCGGACCTTCATAAGTGAAATGAAAATGGGTGTTGTTTTCAGCTGTTAAGATTGTGGCAGTTTGTCATGCAGCAATAGAAAACTAATATAATAATACTCAGAATCCAATCAAAACATTACTATACATGCTAAGAAGCTGGAAAATGTGACCAATAAGCAGGAGAAAAATCAGACAATGGAAACAGAATCAGAAACAACAAAGCCAATAGAATTAGTTGACAAGAACTTTTAATTATAAGTATGCTCTAGTATTTAAAGGAAGGCATGGATATAGTAAAGACAGAAATGGAAAGTATTTTTAAAAACCCAGTGGAACTTCTAGAGATGAAAAACATAATATCTGAAGTTAATAATTCATGGACTGGGATCAATGTCACATTAAATATTGCAGAAGAAAACTTCTGTGAATGTAAAGACACAGAAATAGAAATTCTCCAAACTAAATCTGAGAGAAAAAGAAACGAACAGAGGAATGAAAAGAGCATCAGTGACTTGTGGGGCAATATCACGTGGTCTAACATATGCATAATTGGAGTACCAGAAGGTTGAGGAAGAAGAAAAAAACATTCAAAAGAATGATGGCCAAACATTGTGCAAATTTGATGAAAACTAAAATTCTACAGATCCAAGAAGCTCAATGAACTCTAAGTAAGATAATGAAGAACACTATAAAAAACAACACCATAATCAAATTGCTGAAAACTGGCAATAAAGACAGTATCTTAAAAGCAGAGAAAAAGACATACTTGTTCAGAGAAAAAAATATATAAAAACTACCACTGACTTCTCATCAGACACCATGGGAACCAGTTAGAATTACAATGTTAAAGTGTGGAAATATATATATTTCAAAACAAAAGTAAAATAGAAACATTTTCAGACAAACAGAAACTGATAAAAATTTGTGGCCAGCAGACATTAAATTTAAGGAAGTTCCTTAGGCTTATGGAAAATAATACGAAATGGAAAACTGGATCTACAAAAGGGAAAGAAAAGTACTGGAAATAAAGGTAGAAAAGGGGGATAGAGGAAAACAAATGACAAATGAGAGAAATAGGAAATGTGAAGATGTAGACTTAGACCCAATGATATAAATAATTACATTAAATGTAAATATGCTAAATATTAATTAAAAATCAGGATTGCCAGAAAAGATGAAAAAGCAGACTCAACTGTATGCTGTCCTTAGGAAATTCACTTTAAATATAAAGACACAGATACGTTAATAGTAAAAGAATAAAAAATGATAATCACAGCAAAGAAAGAATAGCCACATCAATATTACTGCTGAACAAAAAATACTGGTGGAGATAATAAGAGACATTTCATAATTATAGCAGGGTCGATTAATCAAGAAGACATAATAATTCTAAACGTATACGTACCTAATAACAGAGCTTAAAAATACATGAAGCAAAACATCGAGAGAACTAAAAGGAGAAACAGACAAATCCATTATCATAGCCGGTTATTTTTAACATTTCTCTCTCAGTAAATGAGAGAACACAGAGACAGGAAATCAGTAAAAATAATATGACCAACACCATCAACCAACTTGACCTAGCTGACATTTATAGAGCCCCACTCCTGACACCTACAGGATATTCATTCCGTTCAAGTGCTCATGGAACATTTACCAAGATAGATGCTGGGACCAAAAAAAAAAAAAAAAAAAAAGTTGCAACACATTTGAAAAGATTGAAATTGAATAACGGAATGAAATTAGAGATCAATAACCAAAAAATTGGGAGAACTTTCAAATATTTGGAAATTAAACAGTACATTTCATAATAACCCATGGGTCAAAAAAGAAAATTCAAGAAAAATTAGAAAGTATTTGGAATTAAATGACAGTGAAAATCCAACATATCAGAATTGTGGTATGCAGTTAAAGCAGTCCTTAGATGGAAATATGTAGTTTTAAATGCCTACATTTGAAAAGACTAAAATCAATGATCAAAACATCCACCTTAAGAAGACAGAAAAAGAGCAAGTCAACTAAAATAACTATAAGAAATAACAAGTAACAATGGCAAAAGTCAATTAACTGGAAAATGAAAAAATCATAGAGAAAATAAACGAAACTAAAAGATGCCTCTTTAAAAAAATTAATAAAGTTGATAGCCCTGAGCTAGACTGATGGGGGAGGGGAGAAGAAAACCCACAAATCACCTATATCACAACTGAAAGTTAGAGCCTAGAGTCATTAAAAATATCATAAGGAAATAGTATATGTAATTTGTGCTAATAATTTTTAATTTAGATGAAAATATTCTTTTACATTTTATTTCTCGAAAAAAAAAGAGAAAGAGAGAAAGAGAGCGAGTGCAAGTGTGAGATGTGAAGCAAGTATGGCCATATGTCAAAATGTGTTAAATTTTGCTGGCAGCTATCTGGATGCTTGTTATAATATTTTCTGTATGCTTGCAATGTTTTATAACTAAAATAGTAAGTTAATTGAAAGAAAATTACTTCCCAGGATCATTCAATCAACAAATAATCATTGATCATCTACTATGCCATAGGTATTGGAGCAGGGTCCTGGGAATATAGTAGCCAATAAGACTGACAGGTTTCTGCCCTAATGGAGAGCAGGGTGGTGGGGGAGACAAACAAATAAGATCTCTCTTTCTCTCTCTCATATACATATATATGTAAGCTCTGTTATTATGTATGTATACATTTAGAATTATTATGTCTTCTTGATTAATTGACCCTGTTATAATTATGAAATGTATCATATATATATATAGTGGCAAGTGCTATGTAAGAAATGAATGCATGATGATAACATATTTACTAGAGGAAAGGGTTGAAGGTTTGCTTTAAATAGGGAGGGTTGGGGACCTAGGGAATATGAAATATGAAGGATGGGTAACAGTCATACATGCCAAGGGAAATGAATTCTAAGAAGAAGGAACTATAAATGTGGGAACTCCCAGGCCAGAGAGAGCTAGAAAGACTGGAACACAGAGGGGAGGAAATGGTTTGAGACGAAGTTGAAGAGGTTAGATTTTTTTTTTTTTAATGCAGTAGGATGTCATTGGAGGTTTTAGGCAGAGGTGTTGGCTTTATGGTATCTTGGTCACCCTCTAAGAAATGGACTGTAAGAAAGGGAGAGCAGGAAGCTGTCGCAAAACTTCAGTTGAGAAAATATGACTTATAGTAGGATGGTAGAGGTGGAGATAAAAAGAAGTGAAATAATTTGAGATTTGCCAGATATGACTTGAGCTGAGTGTTTAAAGACTTGAGCTTGTCATTTTTTTTTTCCATAAGAATGCCACTAAAGGCAGAATAGCCTCCCATTCCACACTTCTGACATCATCATTACTACTATAATGGCTAAGTGCAGCCGCCACTTGGTCCCTTAAGTTACTAGCTTCAGGCACTTCTTCACAATCAACCACAGGGGATAGTTTGATTAATCATGATGCCACGGCATGACCCGATTACTAACATTCCATTTCACATTGACAAGCTGCTCAGCACTGCATTTTGGGCCAAAGACACAATCAAACCATTCCCAGACCACCTGGGACCACTTCTGGTACCATTTATTATATCAGTTGGGATTCGGTTAGAAAATCAGAAACCACAGTGGTTATTTTAAAAGAGAGAATTTAATATAAAAGAAATAGGTTAGACAGGTATTGAAGAACAAAAAAGGCAAAAGAGGAATTCTGCAATTAAAAGGTAGTAACCATTAAAACACATGAAGCCTCTACCATCCTCAGGGCTGAAGAAACAAAGGGATGAGACTGAGGTTATTAGAACCTAGGAGGCTGCAGGAAGGTCCTGTGGAGCTGGAACCCAGACCCCTGGAGAGGGTGCTAGAGGCTGAAGCTGCTGTCTCTGAGGGAGGACACCATAGGAAAACGCACGAAACTAGAACTGCAGACAACTGGAGTGAGGAACTGTTATAGGAGTGAGCCTCACAGGAACTGCAAGAGGACAGGAAGGAACACTCGCCTCTCCCTTCTCTGGCCGCCCGGTAGCCTCTGTATCTCCGGAGGACAGGACCTAAAGGGAAGCAGCTGGGAAACGAGAGATGTGGTTTGTCAGGCAGGTCTGGCCCCACCATGCAGAGTATAGAAGGGTGAGTTTGGAGCCCAGAGACAGTTGAAGGACCAACATGCACTGCTTTTTCCATGACCATGTTTCATGAAGCAATTTTATTCACTCTTTTTTTTTTTTTTTTTTTTTTGAGATGGAGTTTTGCTCTTGTCGCCCAGGCTGGAGCGCAATGGTGCAATCTTGGCTCATTGTACCCTCCGCCTCCCGGGTTCAAGCGATTCTCCTGCCTCATCCTCTGAAGTAGCTGGGATTACAGGCATGTGCCACCATGCCCCGCTAATTTTGTATTTTTAGTAGAGACAGGGTTTCTCCATGTCGGTCAGGCTGGTCTCGAACTCCCGACCTCAGGTGATCCGCCTGCCTCGGCCTCCCAAAGTGCTGGGATTACAGGTGTGAGCCACCATGCCTGGCCTTTTATTCACTCTTGACATGCATCTTCATATAAACGTTTTCATGATCACCAGAGCCACTTTTTGAGACATAAAACTCTTTTCCAGGGCACCTGGAAGAGTTATCTGGAATACAGGACTTTGATTCCATGCTTAGTACTGACAGTAGAAATTTTTGCCTAAAGCCATTTAGTAGCCGTTTGCATAACATTATAATAGGTGTGTTTTTTCATTCAACCTGAGATGCATGTTTGTGATCTCTAATTAATATATAACCACTTATTGTATTGATATGACTGGTCTGTTAACTGTACCCTAAAAGTGTATAAAAACCTATGAAAATGTAAGCATTTATTTTTATGACTGACTTTATACGTTTTAATTTTTAATCAGAATTTTTAACTTTGTGGTTTAACATTATTAGCTGATTAGAGCAATAATATTTGTTATTTTCACCCTCAATTTATGGAGGTGAAACAAGCTTCACTGGACTTTTTTTCGTGAGAAAATACTTTTCTGAGTATGACAGGGGTAGAAACCAAATGATGACATGGAAGTGATTCTGAAGAAACCAAGACCCAAAGAGTTCATAGTGCTTTTCCCCAGAACTATGATCCCTAACATGCTGAGTTCAGTTTAAAGCTGTAATCGATGTTGACATGCTAAAAACATAGTGTTCGGTTTTTTGTATGTACTGGCTATGAAGCAATGAGACCATCAGAACTTATGGGGTGTTTACTTACAAAAATTCAGTTAAAAACCACAAGAATTTTTTGAAAGAAAGAATATTGGATTAAATAGCTTATGAAGCAGATGTTCAATATTTTACATATAAACATTAGGGCTTTACGGGCTTAATAAGAAGCAGTTCAGCTTGCCAAAATTAAGATCCATATACAGTTGGGGAGATATTAGTGAAAAGACTGTATCAAAGGTATTTACTTGGAAATATTGGGTGAATCTGCAGCAAAGAAGGTGGCTCAAGCACTACTTTTCAGTGCCACCATAGCTCAGCATATCCAGGCACTGGCTAACGATCCAGAAGGCTAACCCATGGAGCAGTTAAAGCTGGCAACGTATTTTTCATTGCAGCATGATAATTGCACTCACATTCCTGTTTATGTGCAATTGGAACATGATGGTGATATGAAGGAAGAGTTCTTTTTTTCAATTTTGTTGCTGACATACATAACTAAGTCTGAACTGTATAAAACTATGAAAGATTATATTGTCAACAAATGTGGTTTGGAGTTTAAATTTTGTGTAGGGTATGTTCTGACGGTGCAGGAAATATTCTGGAGGAGTTATCCTGACTAAGGAGCTTGTACCAGAATGTAAATCTATGTTTTGTTTCTCTCATGAGGAGGTCCTGCTATGAAAAGAAATGTTGGTGGAACTAAACAGTGGGCTTAATGTTGTACTAAAAATTATGAATTAGGTAAAGGCTAGTGCGTTAAATCTTAGATTATTCTCTTGTGTTGCATGATACTATGGAAGCAGATCATAACCAGCTGTTGCTGCATGCTGGGGTACGATGATGACCAATAGGCTGTGTTTGAGAAAGTTTGAACTACAAAACAACTCTTAAATGTTTCTGCAAAATAAGAAGACAATTTGGCCCCAACTTGTTGAAGATATGAATTGGACAAAGAGGATTGTTTATGCATCTGATATCCTCAGTAGTTTTAATGATCTTAATACTTCCATGCAAGGAATTAATGCAACATGTTTTTCAATGACAGGTAGAATCAAATGGCAAAAATGAAAGTTCAAAGCTTGGAAGAACAGTTTCTGCAGATTGCTATGACACATGTTCCAAAATGTAACAATTTTAAATGACATAGTGATGATTCTGATATTGCACATCAATGAAGAGCAAACACCAAACACCTTAAATTTGATAAAGCATTTTGAATTTTATTTTCCATCAAAAGAAGATCTATGTCTAAAAAATCCATGGATCTAGGATCCATTTATTTCACCAAAAGATAATTATATTTAATTATAATTTACAGGATATATTGCTGGCACTCAGGTCTGTTGAGGGATTGGAAGACTTTGAAAGCATAGTGGCTCTGGCTCCATCTTAGATAAAATTTTAAAATGAATAAACTGAGCTCACTGAAAATTGCTCTAAAATCTCTCCCTCCATTCCATTGTGAGACTGGTTTCTTTTGTATCATTATTAAAATAAAGCGTAGAAATTATTTAGATATACCTTATTCCCTACAAGTAGCCTTATTGGCAATTTTACCTAGATTAGGTAAAGTATCAAGTAGGAAGCAATCCCATTTGTCACATTAAAAACTTTAAATATTTATCCACATTGTGTTCAAAGTGTACAAATAGACATTTAATATGGGAATTCCATTTTCCCTTAAAATGAAGAAAACTTACAAGTGCAATAGCCTATTAATTGCTTACACGCATACTTTCAATGAACAAACACGAACAATTTTTGTATCTTTTTTCCTATACCCCAGTAATTTTTGCAATATAACTTCCTGTTTGCTAAAAATTACAACTTTTATTTTATATGTCTTTTTCAAAAATTTCATTTTTCTAGTAATTCACTTTTATTAATTTTTACAAAGTATCGGTTTGCAACAGACTGGAAATTTATAAAAAGTGGTTCTTTTCCACAGAGAGTTTAAGAAGCACTGCCTTATAGGATGTAATATAAAACGAGCCTTTCCTTCAATATATATCCCTTTGAAAAGCATTAGTTAGCTTATAAAGTACCTTCTACCACCAGACTTGCTTTCAGTTACTTTATTTTGAACAGTACTAGTTGAGCCTGAAACAACCTCAATCAATGCCAGGTTTTGATGCTTACAGAGGTCACCTAATGAAACTGGCAAAAAATTTCACAGATCTAGTTCTCATGCTTAGTGCTATACACTCATAATTGCAAATAGTGGCTATGGTTGTAAACAAACCTTTAAAAATCATTTTAAAAGCAACATAGTAAGTGGTTACATATTGGAGGTCACAAACATACATCACAGGTGAAATGGAAAAAAGAAAAAACTCCATACCTATCATAGGTGAGATGAGAAGGCCCCTCCTGATGTACATTTTACAAGGATCATTGCTGGACTTATTTATTGGGTGGAGAAGAGACCTGAAGTAGATTGATGGGGGCAAAGGCAGAATCCTGGAGCTGGGTAAGAGGCTGAGATGGTGGTGGAGGTTTGCACTGGGTGACACAGTGGAGGTGCTGAGAGGTGGTCAGAGTCGAGATTTGTTGACAGCTTGGATGTGGAGGGTAAGAAAAAGAAAGGAACTTGGGATGACTTCCAGGTTTCTGGCACAAGCAACACAAAGGATGGAGTTACCATTAATTAAGATGGCAGAAAACCATGGGAAAAGCAGGTTTTGGGGAGAAGATGAGGAATCTGGTTTTGAACATGGAGATGTCTATCTCACATTCAGATACAGAGTTTAGAGTAGAATACTCGCAGAAAAGATAAAAACAATTTCAATGTCACTAATAGGGACTGGTGAAATTATGGCACATTGATATGACTGCTGAAAGAACAGGAGTTACAAAGAATGTGATATCACTACAATAATATGAAATGTTGTCTATATAAAAAAGCAAGTTGCTGAATGGTACGACAGCATTTTAATTAGATATCTCTATATAGTCTATGTATGTATGTGCATGTATATATTAGTTTACATACTCAGAAAAATTTGGATCTATAGACACCAAATAATTTAGCAGTGTTTACCTGGAGAATGAGAATGGTGAAGGGAAGAATGGAAGGAAAAAATCGTACTTTATTTCTATATTGTTAGAAGTTTTAAAGAAAGAGCATGTATTACAAGTTAGTACAAATTAACAAAGATTGAAAGGATTGAAACCTTTTAAAAAGTGTTTGAAATGATGCTTGCTTCATATATAAGCAAATTTTCTCAAATACAAGCACATTTTGCCGAGGTTGTTCTTTGAAATGAAGTAGCATTTTTTGATTGCAGCTTTTATCTGAGGCAGCAAGTGGTCTAAGATATGGAGCGGGTGGTGGTGAAGAGTAGAAGAGAGAAAGAAGGCATGCAGAAAGGGGAATGGCAGGCAAGGGGCAGGCATAACTTAGAGATCTAAATCCCAAGCTAGGGGCTGGGCGTGGTGGCTCACACCTGTAATCCCAGCACTTTAGGAGGCTAAGGTAGGATGATCATTAGAGGTCATGAGTTCGAGACCAGCCTGGCCAACATGGTGAAACCCCATCTCTACTAAAAATATAAAAATTAGCCAGACGTGGTGGCCGGCACCTGTAATTTCAGCTACTTGGGAGGCTGAGGTAGGAGAATCACTTGAATCCGGGAGGCAGAGGTTGCAGTGAGCCGAGACTGCACCACTGCACTCCAGCACTCCAGCATGGGTGACAGAGCGAGACTCCGTTTCAAAACAACAGCAAACTCAAGCTAGGGGCAGTACAGGATCTCTGGCCATGTTTTTGCTTGGCTAGCACAGTGTTTTTAAATTTTTAAATGTGGATGTCTTTAGGCAACTTGGGAGCTCTCCAGTTTGCCATAAGCTCTACCACTCCTCATGATTTCGCATGACGCCTATGTCGCACATGTATGTTTCTGTAGGCAGTGACTCTTCCAGCCCTGCAAGCACTGAATTCTTACTCTGGGCTCAGCACTATACAGATGTTCCTTGATTTACCATTGTAAGTTGTAAATATCGTAAGCTGAAAATGCATTTAATCCACCGAACCTACTGAACATCATAGTTTAGCCTAGCCTATTTAAATGTGCTTAGAACACTTACATTAGCCTACAGTTGGGCAAAATCATTTAACACAAAGCCTAGTTTATAATAAAGTGTAGAATCTCATGTACTTTATTGAATACTGTACTGAAAATGAAAAACAGAAAGGCTGTGTGGGTACTCAAAGTACGGTTTCTACTCAACGCCTATCTCTTCAACACCACTGTAACGCTGAACCATCCTAAAAGTCACGGACCATTTGTATGAAATTCTGCCTTATACTGTCTTGGTGGCATAGGTAATGCCAGAAGATCAAGAGCATTAACAGAATTTTCCCCACAACATTTTCATGTCTCATCTATCCTCCTTTGAGCCATATCCATTTTCTTACACAACAATAAAAATTAAAATTGTTACCATATCATTTTTAAAGTTCCTACTTACGTTGCAAACAACGTGAAATACACAAATCATCAGGTAATGGAATCTTGACTTTTTATTTAATTTTGGCAATTCTTTCTTCTCTGGACCGACAAGAGTTTTCCCTATTTAAGTAGAGAGTAGCACATAAAGGTCACATGATGAATATTGTTATTAAAGTAACTGTGGCAGGAACAGATGGAATGAAATGATATGATCTTTGGAATCTCGTGACTGTGCAAAAAGTAGGTACTTCTGAGTAACACAGTCTGAAGGCTAGGACAAGAAATGCTGGCAGGTAAAGCCAAAATAAAGTCATAAATTCAGCATATATTTTGGCAGGCATCTTTTCATATATTACATAATATCCACTCTAAGATTTCTTGGAGTGACTGTTCACATAATTATTTGTCGGATGAATGATGAATGAATAAACAAAGGAATGTTCTATATGTGACATTTCTTCATTTCAATGAAAAGAGAGCCTTAAATAGTTCTCGCTGAATTCTTTCAGTGTCAAGATCTAATATGGCCCCTAGGCTGGTGTGTGGCACTCAAGTTCTGAGTATGGAACATGGAACTAAGTAAGAGAAGCTTTACTACAAGATATGAAAGGGAAAAGGCTATAATGTTTAATCAAATTTATCCAGGGAAAAAATTTTGAAAATGTTCTTTTCAATAATCATGGAACATCCATTGTCTTTTTAAGGTTTCTTTCTCAGAACTGCAGAAATCATTTAGTCTAGGAGAACACTGTGTGGCTTAAATTTATTTTCTTTCTCTCTAGACTCTCTGCCAAGAACTACAGAGCAAAATGAAATGATGGTGTGGGGAGACAGCTGCTAAGTAATCTCTTTATTGTATTTCTAATAAAATAGCTACACCACTTCTGTTGCTAACATATAGCCATATTAGTTCTGAAATAAGCTATTATGGTTTTTTCCCCTCAGTGGACTCCAGTTGCAATAAGTAATACATCATTTATAATTGGAAATGTGTATCCCTTAAAGAAAAGTTTGTGGCCGTGTGTGGTGGCTCACACCTGTAATCCCAGCACTTTGGGAGGCTGAGGCGGGCCTATCACGAGGTCAGGAGATAGAGACCACAAGGTCAGGAGATAGAAACCATCCTGGCCGACGTGGTGAAACTCCGTCTCTACTAAAAATACAAAAAATTAGCCGAGCATGGTGGCGCGTGCCTGTAATCCCAGCTACTCAGGAGGCTGAG
The DNA here is from genome assembly GCF_000001405.40 of Homo sapiens. Classification (NCBI taxonomy): domain Eukaryota; kingdom Metazoa; phylum Chordata; class Mammalia; order Primates; family Hominidae; genus Homo; species Homo sapiens. The sequence goes on from NC_000014.9 coordinate 89,834,280, forward strand.
GCAGGTGAATCGCTTGAACCCAGGAGGCGGAGGTTGCAGCGAGCCGAGATCGCACCACTGCACTCCAGCCTGGGCAACAGAGTGAGACTCCGTCTCAAAAAAAAAAAAAAAAAAAAAAAAAAAACCTTTTTGTTTAAACTTCTAAAGATTTGTGAGTCTACTTGCAACCGGCAATTGGATCTGCATATGTAATTTGATACTGACTGAGCCCCTTCTCCAGGCAAGGCACTGGGAGTGCAAGGAATTAGAAGGGAAGCCGCCTCCGGCAGAACTCTGCGGAAGACATTTGTGGGAAGGAGACTTGGAAAGCTGTTCGGGAAAGTAGGAAGGTGCATGGATCTCAGGGCAAAGAGCATGCTTAGAAGGTAGGCTCAAGAGTGCCCAATACTGCAAGGACTGAAGTACCCACGGATAGCAACAAAGAGGTTCAAGGCAGTTTCAGCAGAGTTACTGGGGCAGAAATAAAATCACAGTGGACTGAAAGAGATTTGGATATGAGAAGTAGAGAAGTGACTGCAGCTTAATGCAGAGCTTCAGACAGAGAAGATAATTGATGCAGTTAGGACCAGAGGAAGTAGAAAAGGGCAGAATCCAAAGCTATGGTGGAAGGATTTGTCTGGGGCTGGGAGATAGGAGAAATAGTACCCCTGCCATTGTGACCAGAATGAAGCGGGCAGTGGTTAGTGCTGAAGAAAGTTAGCCATCATCCCCCATCACCCTCATCCTTACCAACAGTGTATAGTAACTGCAGAGGGAAGCAGAAAGTAAAAGACATTATGCTTTGATGACTTCTATTTTCTTGGAGATATAGGAGGCAAGGCCATTTGCTGAGAGTGACAGGGAAAATGGGGCAGGAGCCTGAGAAAAGTGGCAAAGGTTTGAAAGTGCTTCTGTGGAAACCAGAAAGAGCTGCCTGAGAGAACACAGCAGGATGCCCGGAGGCAGAGGCCCAGCATGTTTACACTGCTGATACAGGCTGAGGTCCCTTATCTGAAATGCCTGGAACCAGAAGAGTTTCAGATTTCTGATTTTTTTCAGATTTTGGAATATCTGCATATACGTAATGAGATATCTTGGGATGGCACTCAAATGTAAAGACAAAATTCACTGATACTTTATAAACATATGTATAGCCTGAAGGTAATTTTATATAATATTTTCAACAATTTTGGTTTATGAAACAAAGTTTTGACTGCAACCAGTCACATGAGGTCAGGTGTGGAATTTTCCACTTGTGGCGTCAGATCAGCTCTCATAAAGTTTCAGATTTTGGAGCATTTTGGATTTCAGATTAGGGATGCTCAACGTGTGTGTGTGTGTGTGTGTGTGTGTGTGTGTGTGTGTGTGTGTGTGTGTGTGTGTGTTTGAGACGTTGTCTCACTCTGTTGCCCAGGCTGGAGTGCAGTGGAGTGATCTCGGTTCACTGCAACCTCCGCCTCCCGGGTTCGAACAATTCTCCCACCTCAGCCTCCTGAGTAGTTGGGATTACAGGTGTCCACCACCACGCCCAGCTAATTTTTGTATTTTCAGTAGAGACAGGGTTTCACCATGTTGGCCAGGCTGGTCTCAAACTCCTGACCTCAGATGATCTACCTGCCTCGGCCTCCCAAAGTGTTGGGATTACAGGCGTGAGCCACTGCACCTGGCCCAACCTGTATATTTTTATTGCAGACACTCAACAACCTAAGCGTAAAGCAAGAAGATGGAGAGTCAGGTTGGCCCAGGGCTAAGATTTTGCTAGGCAGGAGTGACGGATAAACAAGGGTGCTAGGAAGTTGACGGCATTGCTAGGAGTATGAGGGGCCATAGGCTCCAGGCTAGACAGGGAAAGAAGGGAGTACCACAAGAGGTTTACAGTCTGAGAAAACACAGATGGTCAAGGGACTACAGGTCTTGATGAAAATCAAGTGTAATGGGGCCCAGCATAAGACTCAGGACAGAGGCGACCCTACCCTGGGCCCTGCATTTTAGAGGACTAGGCTCAGTCTCATCTTTTGCTCTAGAGTCCTTCCATGGAGCAAGGACTCTATTGGACCAGGAGATATGTCCATCCAAAGCTCATACCCATTACCTTTTAGACCACATTCCAGGTACCTGGGACCCTAGAATTTCCTTCCTACACAGCCCTGAGGCTGCTTTTAGTACCTTTGCAGGCCTCTTCCTGAGGGTCTGCCCAGAGTGGTTGTTTGAAGGGGATGTGGATTAAGCATGGATGTTGGGGGCGGTGTGTCCACACAGTGTGTAAGGCTCTTCACCATGGGGAGCAGGGCTAGGGACCAGACGTCAGTACTCCCCTGTGCCATAGATGTTCCACATGAACCTCCAGGAAATTGATGAATCCCAAATAAAACCTCTCCCTTCTAGCTCATTATTAATGTACATCTGTCAGGGTAGAAAGATAAAACAGATTTTATTTAATAGTTTACCTTGATTTATAATGTTTAAATATATAGACATGGCTGGGCACAGTGGCTTACACCTGTAATCCCAGCACTTTGGGAGGCTGAGGTGGGCAGATCACTTGAGGCTAGGAGCTCGAGACCAGCCTGGCCAACATGGTAAAACCTCGTCTCTACTAAAAATTAAAAAATTAGGCGGCTGTGATGGCGCACGTCTATAATCCCATCTACTTGGGAGGCTGAGGCAGGAGAATTGCTTGAACCCAGGAGGAAGTGGAGGCTGCAGTGAGCCAAGACTGTGCGACTGTACTCCAGCCTGGGCGACAGAGCGATACACTTGCCTGAGAATCTGCACAGGTGAGGGGTGTGCCTGAATGATGGAGTCAGCTGCTAAGAGGCCAGAGGAGGGGTTTTTAGACTTCTGGTCAATATGGCAGAGTAAACACTTGCTGAAAATCCTTAGGCCTCTGCAACATACAGAAATAACAGATACACTATTTATTTAAACCACATAAGCCTTATACTATTTATTCTCTATTTGCATATCCATCCAATCAATTTTCTGCCTTGCCCTGTGCCCTTCTGGGTCACATTACCTGGGCTCCCTTCCAGTTAGGTTTGGCCAACAGAAGTTCCACCAAGAAACTGGAGTGTGGGAGAAGAGAGGATGGGATATTTCTTTCCTGTAGCCTCCCTGCTTCCTTCTGGTAATGGCTACTTTCCTCCAGATACAGCTTCTACCAGGCAGCCCTTCTCAATAGCTCCAGCTCTCTTGGGCTCCTGTAATAACATTTCCTCCCTTGCCCTTTAGAGCCTGCTGTTCTTAGTCTCTGGGCACCTCAAATGACCTTGTTGTATGCTTTATTCCTGGCCTTATATCTGTAAATAGTCCCTTCATTCAAATCTCTTGAATTTAGGTATCTGAATAACATTGTTTTCTGCTGGGGCCCTGACTGATAGAACCATTTTTAAAAACAAGAAAGAAAAGTCTCTGTGAATAAAAAACGATAATAAACCCATGCTGGTAGTGACGTGTAAGACTATGGCCATTGTGAGATTGGAGGTAGGGGCAGGTGCTGAAAAGACATGGGGTCTGAGGTTTCTACATCTGCAAAGGGAAAAGAATATGAATCCTGAGCATGACTCCACATAAATCTAGGGGTGGGGCGGGGAGCTGTGGGGGTGATATCAGTTTCTTTTTTTTCAGTGAGGGTCAAGGCCCCAAATTACCTATGATTAGAGATGAAGATAAGACACCTATATATAACTAGCTTCTGAGTCTGCATTTCACATGGGCATAGAAATCACTTCCCTGCAGTAGGATTCCCAAGCTATGCCTAACTTATGAATTGTTTCAGAGCTGAGGAATTCATAGGCCTGGGGTTGAGACAATTCCCAAAGAGAACCTTTATAGGGCAAATCTGTAGGGAAGTTAAGCTCTTAATTAAAGAAAATTACAAAAGGATATGCACCATGATTAAAAGCAGTTCAATGAATGAGGAGATTCATATCCGAGGAAATATGTACTACAGAACACTCTGAATAAAGACTTAAAAATCCTCAGTCATAATAGAGATTACTAGCAAGATTGTAAAATCAGAAAGTTGTGAAATAAAAAGAGGTAGAAATGAAAAGGAACCAACTGAAAGTCTTAGAATGAAAAATTATATAATTAGCAGGATTGACAGAGCTGAAAAGAGATTTGATGAACTGGAATGTATAACTGTGGAAATCTCCCAATATGCACTACAGAGAGATAAAAAGGAAAAAAAAAAACCAAAAAAACCCTGAAAGGAAAGTCAAAAAAACACAGAAGACACAAGGGAAAGTGCTAACATTAAACTAAAAGAAATTTCAGAAGGAGAGAAAATATTTAATGCTGCAAATATCAGATTAAGGGAGAAAAACAATAACAGCATTTCACATATGTAGAAAAATATTCAAAGAAACCCAACAGATATTTATAATGGAAAAATTGAGCAGATTGGGAATACAAACGCATTTTGCTTCCACCAAAACCCTACAGCAACATCATACTAAATGGTGAGACTTTAGAAGTATTTCCTTAAAAAGGCTAAAAGCACATAAGGATGTCCACTATAATTTCTACTACCCAACATTATATCAGAGATCCTGACTCATAAAAAAGAGTTATTTCAATGTGATATTTTAGCAAAGATGTGTTTCCTGGTAATGATCCAGGGTATAGCTAAGGAAGCAGGCGGCTAAAGTAACACAGATAAATTCACTAGAATTGATGATGTGAAAGAAATGAAAATCTAAAGGACTGAGTAGTTTTGATGATGGCAGGGCTTTGAGTTTTGGGGGAGGCTATATGTGACATAGGTGACTATGAGGTTAGTGGATGACAGTATTATGGACAGAGGACAAATCAGTCAGATAGCAGGATGATCAGAAGAGTAGGGTCTACAACAGAGTGGGAAACAATGGACTCCGAACAGCACTGTGCTTCTGGAGCAGGATTCTCTCACCTGGGAAAAGCTCTCAGGGAAGAGTCAAATTTCAGTTAAGGCAAGAAGGCAGGTACAATGTTCTACCATCCAGTTAAGGAGGTGGGTGTATTTACTATAAAAATAGGATTCCAGGAACATCTTTCACAAGTTTGAGAGAGGAAAAAGGTGGAGGCTGAGTGAGAACAAATAAAGAGCAAAGTAGAATGGGGATGGGACAACCAGAGAGAGGGGCTTCTTTTTCTAACAGAGTGGTCAGACTGTGAGCCTGGGGCATTAGCTGGTGTTGAGGTTGGAGGTCTCTCTGTTAGTCTGCCACAGCCCAGATACTTACAGGAGGATCCATTATATGTGTTAAGAAATGGAACATGAGGTCTCTTTGGGGTCATGATGGGAAGAATAAAAACAAGAGGGAAACAAGTGAGGTGGTTTGGCAGGCAGCTTGTATTAGTCAATTCTCACACTGCTATAAAGAAATACCTGAGACTGGGTGATTTATAAAGAAAATAGGTTTAATTGGCTTACAGTTCCACAGCCTATACAAGAAGCATGGTGGCTTCTGCTTCTAGGGAGGCCTCAGGAAACTTACAATCATGGTGGAATGCAAAGGGGGAGCCAGAACTTCACATGGCTGGAGCAGGGGGAAGAGAGAGGAAGGGGGGAGGTGCTTCATACTCTGTAACAACCAGATCTTGTGAGAACTCATTCGCTATATAGTACCAAGGGGGGATGGTGCTAAACCATTAGAAACCGCCCCCATGAACCATCACCTCGCACCAGGCCCCATCTCCAACACTGGGGATTACAACTGGATATGAGATGAGATTTGGGCAGACCCAAACCCTATCACAGCTCAAATGGCCTGGTTGAGTCAAAAGGCAACAAAATGAAGTCTGACCTCCAGATGAGATCCACTAGGCATTCCCCATAGATTTGCCACTTAAAAGTGCCCTTGTACTATACTGTAGTCTACGCTTACACATATTCAACACAAGTATATTCAAGTTTCTCAATATGAGAAATCTAGAAAAACTGCAATATGACATTAAAGCATGTTTCTAGAACAAACACCCATGTCTTAAATACAATAAATATTTAGTAGAGGGCTATAAACTTGGAATCTAGAAGTATTTTATAGACTAGGCTTATACTGAAGATACTTGAGATATTTTATTTTACAATTGCAATGAAGAAATTGTTTTGTACTTTGCATAATTAACCTTAGAGAAATAGATTTTGGACATCACTTAACTATCCCCCAAAAGCAATAATCTCCATTACATTTGCCTTATCATTTCCTCTGATGCAGAACACAGCATGTTCAAGTCTTAGGAGGCATCTCTTTCAGTAATGACCATTGAGGAACAAATATCAAAATAAGCAAGGATTGGCATCTGTTGGCTTATGAATCTGGAATGTTAATTATGTAAGACAAACATGATGTATTCAAGAAAATAGTACCCATTCATCTGCTTTTTTTCAAAATGGAAAAGCACTACATTTAATTTGTGGTTCTCTGCATTTTAAATAGGCAATTCAATGAAGCAATAAATGTGTTCATAATGAATAGATTTTTCTACATAGGGATCTCTTAATGGCAGCGGCGTAACTGAAGATTTAACCTGGTGAACATAAAAGTAAACAACAGAAACACATAAGAATAATTTGAATTGGTCAGAAAATGATGTTTTGGTTAAAAAGAATATTATTGTTGAGAATAAATTTTAGGTTGTGATAAAATGCATCATTGTGTAAAAAGATGAGACTGCTGTAATTAAGTTACCAATATCTAAAATAAGCTACAGCTCCCTGTACACACCTGTCTCCTCACAAAACTGCCATGCTTGGGCACTCTGGGGAGCCCCTCTGGCCTTCCAGTCTCCCGTGTCTTCTTCCTCACACTGCCTTGTGCTTTTTCTCCTTTAATCTAAATTCCTACTACTTTCCTCCTCCTGAACCTTTCCACTGAGTACCATGGAATTTCCATTTGCTAGTTAAACTATCATACATCCTCATCTGTCTCAGCTAATGCTCATTTCACCTCATGCCTTGATTGGAACTTGGTTTTTCGTTGGAGACATGGCTTCTCTCCATATTTTCCCCAATCCTTTCACCGCCTGACTCTTCTGGAACACCCCATTCTAACAATTTCCCCTTCTCTCTTATGTCTTCAGCTTTCTCTCTCTACTGCCTCCTTCCCATTGAGTGAAAGTAATCTCAACCTCCCTCTCTCCCCATCCTTTCTCTCTCCCCTACTGCCTTCATCTCCCCTCCCCCTCAACTACTCTCTTCTTCCCCGCCGCACCCCCAGTCTGCTATCCTCTCTCCCTCACTCTTTAACCTACTGGAGCGTGCCATTCTACTGATATTGTTCTGGAAGCAGTCAATGACTCAACAACTACCTCCTCGTTACTAAGTCAAAAAGACCCTCTTAATCCTCCTTGTACTTCTTGGCAGTACTTGTCACTGCTGACCCCGCCCCCTCCTTTCTTCTTGACTCTATTCCCCTTGCCTCAGTGCTCACATAGTCTGGATTCTGTTACTTCTCTGGGCACTGTTTACTGTTTTTCAGGGACAGTTGCACACTCTCCTTTCTTTAATTATCCCTTAGATGTTGGTACCCCCAGGGTTGTCTCTTAGGCAGTCTTCTCTTCTTATTCCAACCCTCTGAGGGTTCTCACTCAGCCCATGGCTTCAGTTACAGTTTGTGTGTTGACGGCTCTCTCCTCTGTGCCTCTAGTCCAGATGCTCTTTCTGAGCTTCAGAACAACGCATCGGAGTGCTGACCGGGCAGCTCCTCCTAGGTACCCTACAGGAACTCAAGTCAGATTCCTCCTCCTTCTCTCTAAACCTGCGCCGCCTGTGTTCCCTCTGCTGGTGAACAGTATCATGACTCCCAGGTGCTGAACCTGAAACCTAGATTCAGTCTTGATGCCTACCTATCCTTCCCTCTAGCCACACCCAACCATTTACCTAGTTCTGTAAACTTCTCCACACACCTCTCTCTGAAGTGTATGCATGTCTCTCCAACACTTCAGCCATATCCTAGTCCAGGTTCCATCAGCTCTCTGATTGCCACAATGACCCCTAGTGGGTCTCCCCTGCCTCTAGACATCCATTCCCTATGGCCAGAGGGATCTGTCTAAAATGTAATCTGGGCGGGGCGTGGTGGCTCACGCCTGTAATCCCAGCACTTTGGGAGGCCGAGGCAGGTGGATCACCTGAGTTCAGGAGTTTGAGACCAGCCTAGCCGACAGGCTGAAACCTCTTCTCTACTAAAAATGCAAACATTAGCCAAGCATGGAATCCCAGCTACTCAGGAGGCTGAGGTGGAAGAATCACTTGAACCCAGGAGGCGGAGGCTGCAGTGAGCCGAGATCGTGCCACTGCACTCTAGCCTGGGCAACAGAGTGACCCACTGTCTCAAAAAATAAATTAATATGATATAATATGATATGATATGATATGATATGATATGATATGATATGATATAATATAATGTCCCTCTCGTGTCTTAAAACGCCCCAGTATCTTCCAGTTCCCCTCAGAGGAGGTCCTGCCTCCTGAACTCACACAGCCCTTCGTGATGTGGCTGCTGTCCTCTAGTTCAGCTTCTGTCACACCATCCCCCTTTACCCTGTGCTCAAGCTACACTCCTCTTATTTCTGCAGTGGAGCCATGATCTCTTCCATGGGGCCCTCTGCACATGATTTTCCATATACCCAGAGGAATCACTCTGTTATTGCCTGGATAACTCTTATTCATCCTTTAAGAATCAGCAGAGAGACACTAATTCGTCCTGGAAGTTTCTAAACAGGGTGAGGTGCTCCCATATCACCCTGCGCTTTTCCTATCACAGCACTTACCACACTTTATGGGACTTATCTATTTAGCTGTAGATGACTTAGCTCCATGGGCAAGGTCCACTCCTGTCTAGTACACAATGCTATCTCTACACCAGCCCAAGCCCACTATATAATATTCTCTATGTACCAGAACGGTGGTTCTCAAACTTTTTGGCTTCAGGATTCCCTTATACTCTTAAAAACTGAGAACTCTAGAAACTTCTGTTCATATAGGTTATGTCAACAATATTTACTATACTAGAAATGAATATTAAAACTGAGAAAAATTTAAAATATTAATTCATTTTAAAATAAGTTATTTGTATTTTAACATAAACATATTTTTAAGAAAATTCATTTTGCAAAACAAAAGTAAGAAGAATATCATGATTTTACATTTTTGTAAGTCTTTTATGTGTATTCCCTAATAAATTATAGCTAGATTCTCTCCTGCTTCCGAATTTCCTTTGTAGAGATACGGCTGTAGTATATAAAGAAAAATATGGCCTCACATAGATTCATAGTTAAAAAGGGGAGGAGTATTTTCATAGTCTTTTCAGATGACTGTAGATACTCTTGTGCTACACTGTAACTCAGTAAGTGGTATTTTCTTAAAGACTAGCTGCAGTGTAGAATTTGAAAACATATCAATTAACTTTTCATACTTTATTACGTTAACATATATTGGGGCATCTTATACTTGCAATGGATCTTTTATCCAAGCAAAATTCATGATTTTGTAACATCTTACACTGGTCATCAAAAAATGTTTATTCACTGACTTAAACGGATCTTCTAAACGTTAGCACATTTCATTATACACTATAAAAACCATATTTAATATCACCACTGAACTCATCAGAAAAGCCTTCATGTATTGAGAAACTGTCAAGCTCACAGTGGTGAATACAAGTTTCTCAAATTCTAAATTTCACTTGAAAGCTTGAATTTTATCATTGGCAACAAATACTGTCAGTTGTTTTCCTTGAAATGACAGGCTCACTCCATTCAGTTTTGAGAAAATGTCGACCAAATACTAAAGGCTGAATAACAGTAGTTTGTCTGTCAGTCACTCTTTCAAATAAAAATGGTGTACCAGTAAAACAGTGGCCACTTCTGATTTCAACTTAAACAATCATGAAATCCTTTTCCTGGAGACAATCTTTTGTGCTTCTGCGTATAACAGAAATGCTGTATGGATACTTCCCAGAATATTAAAAAGATGTGCATTTGGGGATTGAGACAATAAAATTAATACTTTTTAATATTTCCTTTGAAATATTCTTAAGTGAGACTGACAATTGTTTTAAACTGTGAGGACAAGGGGGTGATGAATACAGTGATTACGACTACGGTTTTCACTACTGTCTTCATGCTAAAATTGAATGAAATAATTCATACAATTTTACCTACCATTGCCTTTGCACCATCAATGCAAATGTCAATGGTGCCTTAATATTGTGAAAACAGTTTTGACCTCACAGACCCCTGGCGGCCCTGGATCACATACAGAGAACTGCTGGGTGGATGAATGAATATAAGGAAGGCCATCACCACCCAGCTTAGATGCCTGTGACAATGCTGCCTGGGGCACTGGCCCTATGTCTGAAATCCAAGCTAAGCAACTTCTGCATGGCTAACACTTCCCCCAACCTTCCTCACTCTCAGCCTTCCCAGTCACTTCCTCCCAGCCACATCCCCACACCCGATACCTGGTTTTGGCTCAATCCCTGGGTGTTAACACCTAGGCCTTAACAAAGTCCTGGTTGGAACTTAATTTCCTGGCCTCATTTTTGTAATTCCTTCTGGGACTTGGCTTTGGGTATCAGCCCTCTGGCCTCAGGCCCCATGATCAGGAGTAAGGTAAACCCTCCTTGGTGTTGTTTCTGGAACACTATGAGGTAGACTGCCAGGGGCACTTCCAGCTCTGTATCTCGCACTGTGGGTGTGTTGGAGGAGGCAGTGAGGGGAGGGGGCGGGGTTATAAGGATTAGGTATTTGGTATAAATTGATATTGTTTAGGAATATATCTAACATTAAAAGTAAAAAAATCTGTTTTGTTGTTTTACATTTTGCATGATGAAGTGAAATATTATTTTACTCTTGCAAATAGGGGTTAAAAAGTCTTCATTTGGTTAATAAACATAAGCTAAAGAAATACCTAACATATTACAGTTTTTAAAATATGTGCTCATCCATTTCTCTTCCATCGGTACTTTCTGAATATGCATCATGAGTTCATCCAAGTAAACGGATCATTTAAATATAAAAGTTAGAGTTAGGCATACCACAGGACAAGGTATCATTTTCTGAAAGTAGCTTTCAGCAAATAGCAAATTAATTTAGAAACAAATTAATATGATTTTCAAGGAGGTCTTAAAATTAAGTTACTCATTTTATCATTAGAAATGCTTTCTTCTCCTTGCATACTTCTTATATTACTTTTCTGAGCATTCTTGAAATAAGGTTTCAAACTAAGATTTCGACGTCAGCACAGCAACCTCCTTGCACTTTGAACAGCCAAGAGCCATCACAGTGACGTGTCTATGTGAAACAACCCTCTGGTATTTCCAAGAATCAACAGTGGAATGAAACGGCTCTCATGCCATTCTTCAGCTCTCTTGTAAGGAGTGCCCAGAGGATTAACTTCTGCGGGGCTTTGGGAAGACATCTCATGCTGCCCCTGGCAGTGAAGGGCACTGTCTTAGGTGAGCAGTACTGTATGGGGTGATGGAATGCCCAAAGGACACTGTGATTCTGTGCTTTAGGGAGAAGCAGGCTGAAGATGGTCAACAGGGAGACGGATGTGCAGTCGGGAGTACTGGGTCGAGTGGTGCGTCTCTGGACAGGGGCCCCAGGGTGGCTGCTTTCCTCTTCCTTCACAAACAGGAATACACTAACCTCCAAAATGAGGCTGACTTAGGTCTCCCCAGCATCGACAGACAGTTTTACAGAGTTAGTATCTCAAGTTCTAGATGCAAATTGCCCGGATTTGAATATTGGCTCCATCATTTACAAGCTGAGTGACCTTGGGCAAGGGACTTAACCTCTCTAATCTTCAGAGTCCTCATCCATAAAATAGACACAGAAAGTGCACCTATCTTGCGGAGTTATAAGTGTATAAAGAGATAATCCACATAAAGTGCTTAGCGCAGTGGCTAGCATGTAGTAAGTGCTTAACAAATGACAGCTATTAGTATTATTAGCATTATGCTTCTGAAAGCGTAAGCTGTACATCCTCTGGAAGGAGAAGAAATGAACCCAGGACACTTCCCCTACCAGTCTCAGGATGAACATACTAAGAAAAAGTTGAAGATTCTATCAGATTTCTTGGACACCAATGAAAGAACGTCACTAACCATGAAGAATGTTTCCATCATAATGGGGAAGGACCTCTTTAGACATTACATTTGGATTATTAACAAAGTATTATTAAAAAGATGTAGTCTTACTAGTTGGGAACTCAAAAGGATACCAGTGCAAAGAGCTTAGTCCCTTCAGCTCTTCAATTCTGATGAATTCACCTTCACTCTGCTTCAACAATTGATCTCTGATGGCAGGGCCAGGGATATCATCAGCTACCCAGGCTTCTCTGTACATTAATTGATCAATATCAAGAATACCGTGCACAACTCCCTGTACTCACAACTCAGTTCTTCATTTACTCCCAACTTCTCTTCAGCATCTTTGAGACTCCCAAGACCTTGGCCCCTCTACATTCTCTAAGTCTATGAATGGCCTCCTGATCTTACTTATTCTCTTCCTAGTCTGCAGCCTACGATGCCATGACTTTGGTTATACTGATGACTGTCTTTAGTTCTCTGCCTCCTTGATCTTCTATCACACCCAACCTAAAAAGCCCAATCCTGACGTCAATCCAGTCATAATTCTTCTACCAGGCTTTGGATCCCATCTCTCCTATCTCCTAAGGAAGGGTCTTGCTTTCTTCAATCACATTCCTTCACTTCTACTATTTCTGCCCGATACATCTATGTCTTAAATATCTCCCTGGATTCCAAATAGCTTATTTAGCACCTCATTCTTCAAAAGGAATTTATACCAGTTTTCTCCACTTCATCATTACCAATTTACTTCTCAACCCAAAGCAATCTGGCCTTTGCCTTCCTTATCTTGCCCAAGCTGCTTTTGTTAAAATTACCAATCCTTTTCATATTGCCAAATCCAAATAACCTTTTTAAATTCTTACCCTTTTTGATCTCCTGATGGCATCCAAAACTGCTAATCATCCCCTCTTTCTCTAAATTCTTACCTCACCTTCAAATTCAGTGTTGCCCAGAGTTGCATCCTTGCCTTCTGCTTTTCTGATTCTATAGATTCCTCCAGTACCTCATTCAAACCTAAGACTTGAACCACTGAGAACATTCACAAACTGACACCATGTAGCTCAGATGTCTCTGCTGAGTGGAGGCCCATATGCACACTGATTAAGAATGCAGACTCTAGACTGGGTGCGGTGGGTCATGCCTGTAATCCCAGCACTTTGGGAGGCAGAGGCGGGCGGATCACCTGAGGTCAGGAGTTTAAGACCAGCCTGACCAACATGGGGAAACCCCATCTCTACTAAAAATACAAAATTAGCCAGGCATGGTGGCACATGCCTGTAATTCCAGCTACTCAGGAGGCTGAGACAGGAGAATCGCTTGAACCTGGGAGGTGGAGGTTGCAGTGGGCTGAGATTGCACCATTACACTCCAGCCTGGGAAACAAGAGAGAAACTCTGTCTCACAAAAAAAAAAAAAAAAAAGAAAGAAAGAAAGAAAGAAAAAAAAGAATGCAGACTCTGAATTCAGACAGACTTGCCTTCCAAATTGTCTCTGCATTTACCAGCTGTCTGGCCTTGAGAAAGATACTTAACTTAAAACTCAGTCTTCTCAGGTTCAGAATGAGAGCAATCATATCACTAATACCTACCTATACAGTTCTTTGGAAGATTAAACAAAATAATGTATGTAAAGCACGTAGTTAACAATCAATAATATTAGCTATTGTTGTTATTACAGGATTCTCTACCTAAGCTCCCCAAAGTAACTCAAACTTTACATATTAAAATATCAACTGAATGCCCTCATGCTTCTCCTTTTATTGCAGTAATAATCATAATAGCTCTCTCAAGGATTAATTTATATCATTATCCTGTAAGTTAAATATTAGTGACCCCATTTCACATATAAGGAAACTGAGGCTTAGAGAATTACTCTGCTTGAAATGGCAGAAAAATGGCAGTTAGGATTCAAATCTTGGTCCTCTGACTCCAAAGTTTATGATGTTTGGTACCGATATATGACTTCAGTGTTCAATTCCCAAGCCAAAACCCAGGACATTTATTTTGGATTTCTTCCCTCTCACTCAGCTACATCTAGTGGTGTGCTGCAGAACTGGCTTGAATGAAAAAAAATCCCTGATTTGTAGCATTTGCTGATTTCAAGCTATGAAGGTGACATTACTGAAAAGATGGGCAGAAATGTCTTGAGAGCCTGCATAAGTCAGCTCCAGCACGGCACTGGATCCAGTAAGCCCCCAAATCCTCTTAATTTGGGTATAGATCATTTGGTTGAAAGCCATTTGCCAAAACCAACTTAGTCCGAATCAAGTTGGTGAAAGCAACACTGTGTTAAAACAATCTGGTTGAGTCCGGGCACAGTGGCTCATGCCTGTAATCCCAGCACTTTGGGAGGCCAAGGCAGGTGGATCACTTGAGGTCAGGAGTTTGAGACCAGCCTGGCCAACATGGTGAAACCCTGTTTCTACTAAAATTACAAAAATTATCCAGGCGTGGTGGCAAGCACCTGTAGTCCTAACTACTCAGGAGGCTGATGCAGGAGGATCACTTGAACGCGGAAGGTGGGGGTTGCTATGAGTCGAGATGGCACCATTGCACTCCAGCCTGGGTGACACAGCGAGACTCTGTCTCAAGAAAAAATAAATAAATAAAAATGAAAATAAAGCATTCTGGTTGAAAAGGAATAACGTTCAGTGATAAGCTGCAGATTTTTTCTCTTTTTGTCTTTTATTCCCTCTACTTTTTCCCTAAATAAATTTTGGCCAATTAGTCCCCTGGATATCCAACTGTAGGCTATTAGTTCCAATGTTTTAATCTTGTGAACGTCCACTCCCATTACCCTTCACCCTCCATGGTCCAGCTTTACTGTACATCCTTCGGTTCTCACAAATGTTATGGTTGCTTCACCTCTAGGTCTGTGCCCAGGCAGTACTTCAACCTAGAATGTCTATCCCTCCACTCCACCATCTTTGCCTGGCTGACTCCTGTCCCTTCACTTTCAGTTTAGGCATCAGCCATGGGAAATTACTTGGAACAGACTAAATGTGAAACAATGGGAATTAGATTGGAAGAGTACAAATGTCCAACAATTGGCAGATTATGTAAATGAACTGTGCTGGTTTTCAAAACGTAGATGGTGTAATCTATTTTGGTAGGGAAGAATGCACATCTACATGGAAAAGAATCTAAAAAGTTAGTGTCTAGGGGGTTTTGCAGTGGTTTTCTAAATGTGAGTGGGATTGTGGGAGGTTTCTTTGCTTGTCTGTAGCTTCCGTAATAAGTATGCATTGCTTTTGTAACAAGGAAATCTGTTTTTTTTTTTTTTTTGGTAAGATACTCTTATTGCTAATATCTTGGTATTCCACCTGTTCATTATTATAATCAATTTGGGACAAGGATTACTGGCTGACTATTCACTGGATAGAAAAAGAACCTAGAAAATAATGGAAAACAGGTCATATTTAAGAACACGTAAGTCATCATATGGTGCACAAAAATGACCAGAAATGAAGAAACCAGATACCCAAGAGATTGACTTTCAACTGAAGTGTAATTTCAGCAGGATTAATGGGTTAACTAGATTATATTTAGATAAATTCTACGCTATCATTAATTCTACCACCTTGAGAACTCTAGTGAATCTTTTATTTTCTCTGTTCCATTTCTCTTGTTCTCAGGTTAGGAAAGCAATCCAATCTCTTGGAGTACACAAGCCCCCTAATTACCATCAGAGCTCTACCTAGATCTTGGCATCTCTTCTGCCACATGTTCCTCTCCTCCCCACCCCTACTAGACTACCCCCTGCCTCCCGGCCAGCCACATGCTCTCTGCTGCAGTGATGCAAACTTCACATTCCTGAATGTGTCATGTAGTTTCAATTCTCTAAGCCTCTGCACATACTATGTTCTCTGAAATGATTTTAGAACACATGGTCCTGTGCACACACACACACTGTGATACAGTATAATTAATATTAGCACACCATGGAGTATTAATATTAATCCTACCTGCCTTACAGACACCATGTGTCTTCCTTACCTTGGCATTCCGAATGTTTCTAGACTGTGCGACCCACAGTGTGGTCTGCACACCAGTAATATCATATGGGAGCTTGTTAGATGCTAATTTTAGGCCCTACCACAATATCTACCAAATCAGAAACTCTGAGGATGGAGCCCAGGAGGGACATTTTAAAGGCCTTCCAGGTGATTCTTATGCACATAAAGTTTGAGAGGTGCTGCTCTGCATAATTGTTAACATTGCCTGGATGAACTAATAGATGATTAAAAACTTGGGAAACTCCTTTACATTTGTTTTAAACCTACCTCCATTCTAAGCCCTTGCTTTTGTATGTGTAAGTCCAGATATGTATGTATGTGTGTGTGTATGAATTGATGAATCAATAACCAATCTTGTCAAAATGTCCAGTGAAATTTTACTTAATTATTTGATCACTGTAGGACATTTAACTTTCACCTCTAAAAAGGGAAAAGAGGAAGTTAATAGAGGATTTCACGCTACATGGCCTCATTTATTATTAGTTAGTTGGTTAGTGGCTTCTTGGGATTTAGTAAGCTAAATCTGTATTATAATTCCTAATTTTGGAAGGAGAAACTGAGCCCTAGGAAGTTAAACACTCAGTATCTTGCCTAGGACCACACATCAATTTAGTGGGAAGCCTAGGCCCAGGCTGAACAGACTCAGAATTCCAATTTGTTGCTCATCCACTGAGCCAACAGTGTTCATCTACCTTTAGTTATATTATAGGAATTAACTTACTAGAGAGCCCTTGGAAGGTTACAGTAAACACTTTATTTTGTAGTCAGGTAATTAAATGTGTAAAGGTCCCTTACCCTCTATCCAGCCATTACCTATAGGACATTCCTATTTGGCCAGAAGTGATTTATTGGCTTTGTAATATAGGCAGCCTTTGTACATCTCCCTCTGTAGCTGCTGAAATCTTGGCTTGCACCCAAATGCCCCACTTGGGTTTTGTTCAGAAAAGATTTCCTCCAGCTGCTTTATTTGTTCCACGATTACATGTATGAGCTTCCAGAATGTATAAGATCACAAGTCAAATGAAGGGCTTCAGCTCCCAGTTCACAAAAAGAGAGAAAATTTGAAACCAAGGAAAAAACAAAACTTGGCTAAATGAAGGGCTAAGCATAAATGAGGCTGAATAGTATTCCTGCTAAAAGGTCAGCACATGCTAAAATGCTCAAGGAAAACAGACACTATAGGGTAATCATAGGATCTTTGTGCTATATTTATGGTCACACTGGCAAAGGGATTCAGACTTCCACTTTAGCATTGACAATTTGGGGCAAAGCAAGCTGAGAGAAACGAAAAGCAAATTTGGATCTAACAATAAACAAAACAACCATATAAACAGGGCTCCTGTTTTAAGAATTGGAAGACTATATTCCAAAATGAAATTTAGACGTCCTGGAGATTGGCCATCATTCAAGTCAGGAGCTTTGGGATCATCATAAAGAGACGCGGGTCTAAGGCAAAAGGCTAAAGTAAAAGGAAGAGGGATGGCAGTTATTTGCAGCAGACGGAAGAGTCACCAAAGAACATGCAGAGAGAGACCTACAGGTCATAGGGCACGAAAGGAAGATGATCTCTAGTACAAAAGTGGAGAGTTTGCCAAAGGATACCATCGAATGCCAAAAGAGTCTTTGGAAATTTAAAAAGAAAACCTGAAGTTGGTTCCATGAATCTCAAAATAAATACTGGAAAATACTTAGGAGTGGACAGAGGCCCTAACATCAGTTGTGCTTCCAACACATCACACGTTTATTTGCTGTGATTAAGTTTACAGGATTCAGGAGAACGCAGTCTTGTTGTATCATAGATGGGACAACTGTCATATGCAAAGAAGATCAAATACAATGAGACCTTCAGAAGATTATGCATAAGCAGTGAAGATACTCTTATTTGAAGCAATCTGGACCAGAAGTTAATCAGTTAATCTTTAAAAGTCTGTTATAAAGGGAAAACCACACACAAAATGGAGACACACTGTTGTGGATGCTGTAGTGTACCACTCAGATCCCCCAGCTGCTGGAGTGTTACCTGCTGATTGTTCTCAGCTAAGAACCTCCTGAGACTCACGCTCAGCCAAAGAAGTTCGCCTTGTTCGAGGTTATGCCCCTCCCCTGGGGAGCAGCCCACATCCAAGGTCTGATCAACACAGGAGGACAAGTTCCAATGGCCTCAATCTCCATCTGTGAGTCTGTTCCCCAGGAGCCTAGCCCAAGACACGTACACAACTTAAATGTTTCATTTTAAACTTAAAATAAGTTTCCTATCTTGGTTTCCTGAAATTATGAAAACTTAACGACCACTGGGAAACAATCTCGATGTGGACTCTTTCTAGATGTTTTATTCCTCGCACACCTCAATCTTTAACAGCTATTTTATCCACAGCTAATGTGACATATTTTTAAAAGCTTTAACTGTATTAAAATATACATAATATAACATTTACCACCTTAGCCATTTTTAAGTCCAGTCACATTGCTGTGCAACCATCGTGCAACCCACCCATCTCCTGTCCCCTGTCCCCATCCAGAACTCTCCTCATCTTGGAAAATGGAAACTCTGTACCCATTGAACCCCAACTCGACATTCCTACCTTCTCTCCAGCCCCTGGCAACCACCATTCTCCTTTCAGTCTCTACAAATCTACAGGTACCTTAATGAGTAATATTTTGTTAAGTCTTTCCATAGCCTTCAAAGTTCATTTTCAGGAAAAAGCTGCTGTCTTTTTATACTTTTACATTCCATCTGTTTGCCTGATATTTAATTAAATTACATAATTACAATAACAAGTTCAACTGGCACAAATAGGCTTGGGAACAAACACAAGCAACAAATAACATAAACAGGTTTGGCAGCAAATAAAGTCAGCTAATTGGAGTAGAAGTGCCTGAGCATACTAGAGAGAAGCCAGTTACAGTTCACCACGTCGTGGGCATTCACTGGACTGCTCGGCAAAGGGTCTGGAAGCTTCCTTTAATCTGATGAATTGGTTAAGAAAGCTTCCTCTACTATATAAAAATATATATTGTTAGCATTTATTGAGTACCTACTATGTGCCAGGCATTGTGCTATGCATGTAACTTGCATTATGTCACTGAATGCCCATAATCCTGTGAGGTGAATATTACCATCATTCTCATTTCATGCACCAAGAAGCCTAGGCACAGAGAGGCACCTAAGCAACTTACCCAAAGTCACACCACTAGGAAGTGGTGAGGCTGAGATTTTCAAGGCAGTGTGACTCCAAAGCCTGTCCTCACTTCACCTGCCACACTGGCTCTTAAAATGAATATTAAATAAAAGGGATACCAAGAATAAAAATGCAGAAGTGATCCTTTGTTTTCTATGGCATCATACAAAATGACAAAATATGTCACATCCAATTTCTTTAAAAGACTGTAATTTAACAAACAAGGGTGTACTTACATCCTCACAACAAAAGAATGTAGGTAGTACAATCTGCAATTGTTATTTGTTTACATAGGAATGATTTTGGATAATTAAAGACAGAAGAGTTAGGCAATATTTGTAAGGAAAGAACTGAAGTCAGACATCTTAATTATGCTCTCAGATTAGCACAAAAAAGAGAATAAGCTACAAATGAAAAAATGGAAAGTTTATAGACTATAATAACAGCTAAATGTGTTACATCTCAGGACAACTCTTTGAATCAAAAAGAGAGAGAGCAAGAGTGCCAGCACATCTAAAATGATTCAGAGTCAGATAGCAAGTGCTTAATTAGAGAGGTCTCATTACAACCATCTGTTTCAACACCCATATGGAAAAAGCCAAACTATGGTTTTAGTAGAGGTATTTCCCCCGAGAAGATAAGCATGAATTTGCGGTTGTCTCTCAAAAAAAAAAAAAATGACATCTCAAAGCAGATACAAACACATTTTTTTTAAAGAGGCATTTAAGATTGCCAAATCCTAATGAGTAAAAGCAAGCTCCATGTAATGACCCATAGGAGAGCTGGGCAGAGAGAGGTGCCCGCATCCTACATACAGGGCAATGTGGTAGCTCCTCTCCACATCCACTAGCAAGAGGCTGCCCATTGCTCCCCTCCTCATTCAGGATACTAAGCTATAAAGACAGCAGCAGAGATTCCCAACAAAGCCGCACACAGCCAAGAAAGTCCTCTGCAGCAGTTGGCTCTCTTCAGTACCGGCAATCCATGAACTGGACATCATCAGATACATGCCTACGATCCAGCTGTCTCCCAGATGTCCCCAGACAGTTGCTCTTTCACGGAGCCATCTAACCTCAATGCACATTTCTTGATAAAATATCTTCCCTAATTGTCCAAAAGACGCCTTAAATACTTGAATACACAGCCCAAATTGCCCCCATAGTGAACCCCACACCTGCTCCTCCTCCCCTGTCCCCTGCCATACTGAATGGAGCTACCATTCACTCAGGCTCCCAGGTCTCCTCAACTTCTCCATGTCCATCCACCGTGCATCCTGTCACCACGATCCTGTAGATTTAGACATGAAATATTTGAATGCACCTGCTCTTCCACCACTACTTTAGCTTAGGGCCTAGACTCTTGCATTGGGGCCTCTTAAGAGTGATCAGGAAGTCTCAGTAGCTTGGTCGGGGGTTTGATACACAATCTCCTCATTTACTGAGCTCCAACTTCCTATCTAAATACGATGTTCAATTCTTGCATCACCCAGGTCAGAATCCCTGGAAAAATGGGAAAGAAAAAAGAGGACTTTCCCTTACTTAGCATTTTAGGCATGAGGAAATTTCAGTGTCCCACTTACAGAATGAAGAACATCAGGTAATACCAAAAGTTCTTTTGTAGCCTGAATAGGACAGCTTCTTTTTTTTTTTTTTAATAAATGTTAGGCCAGGTGTGGTGGCATGCCTGTAATCCCAGCACTTTGGGAGGCAGAGGCAGGAGAATCACTTGAGCCCAGAACTTCAAGACCAGCCTGGGCAACGTGGCGAAACCCCATCTCTACAAAAAATACAAAAATTAGCTGGGCAGGGTGGTGTGCACCTGTAGTCCCACCTACTCGGGAGGCTGAGGTGGGAGGATTGCTTGAGTCTGGGAAGTTGAGGCTGCAGTGAGCCATGATCGTGCCTCTGTACTCCAGCCTGGGCAACAGAGTGACACTCCATCTCAAACAATAAATGAATACATTGTATTGTGTATATTTAACATATACAACATGATGATATGGGATACATACCGATAGGAAAATGGTTACTATAGCAAAGCAAATTAACATATCCCAACTAACTATTGCACAGTTACCCATTTTTTTGTTTTTGTGGCAAAAATAGCTAAAATCTACTCATTTCACATGAATCCCAAATGCAGCACAATTTTATTACCTGTAGTGCTCATGTTGTACCTTAGGCCTCTAGGCTTGTTCTTCCTACACATCTGCTACTTTGTATCCTCTGACCTGTATCTCCCCATTTCCTGGCATGCCCCCACAGCCCTGGTAACCACTGTTTTATTCTCTCTGTATATTTGACTGGGTTTTTGTTTTTTAGATTCCACATATAAGTGAAATCATGCAATATTTGGCTTTCTGTATGTGGTTTATGTCACCTGGTATAAAGCCCACCAGGTTCATCCATGTGGTGACAACTGTCAGGATCACTTTTAAGGCTGAATAATACTCCATCGTATATATACACCACAGTTTCTTTATCCATTTGTCCAGCAATGAACTCTTAGGTTGTTTCTATATCTTGGCTATTGTGAATAATGCTGCAATTATCGGCAGATATCTTTACAAAGTGGTGAATTTTATTTCCTTTGGGTATATTCCCAGAAAAGGAATTCCTGAGTCATATGGTAGTTCTATTTTTAATTTCTCTCTCTCTCTCTTTTTTTTTTTTTTGAGACAAGATCTTGCTTTGTCATCAATGCTGGAGTGCAGTGGTGCAATCTTGGCTCACTGTACCCTCTGCCTCCCAGGTTTGGGTGATTATCCTGGCTTAGTCCCCCAAATAACTGGGACTACAGGCGCGTGCCACCACACCTGCCTAATTTTTGTATTTTTTTGTAGAGACAGAGTTTCACCATGTTGCTCAGGCTGGTCTCGAACTCCTGAGCTCAAGCAATCCGCCCACCTTGGCCTCCCATAGTGCTGGGATTACAGGCATGAGTCACCATGCCGTATTTTGAATTTCTTTAGAAATCTCCATACTGATTTCCATAATGGCTGTACCAATGTACATTCCCAACGGTATATAAGAGTTCCCTCCTCTACACCTTTGCCAATATTGGTTATCTTTTAACTTTTTGATAATAGCCATCCTAACAGCTATGAAGTAGCATCTCACAGTGATTTTGATTTGCATTTCCCTGATGATTAATAATACTGGGCACCTTTTCATGTACCTGTTGGTCATTTTTATGTCTTCTTTGGAGAAATGTCTATTTAGGACCTTTGCCCATTTTTAAATTGGGCTATCTGTTTTTCTACTATTGAGTTGTATGAGTCCTTTATCAATTTTAGATATTAACCTTTATCAGATATATGGTTTGCAAAAGCCAGCTTATTTTCAAGACCCTTTTATCCAATCAACAGACTGTTTCCTTTTGGCAGTCTCTTAAACTACAGTGATTCATTCTGGGCAAAGACAGAAATGCCTCCTAAGTAATTTCTCCTAGCTGAGAACTACAAGGATACTACTTGGGGCTCCCAACACAGTTCCCTCCTAGAGTTCTCCTGGGTGCATGTGAACTGAAGCAGAAAATATAGACCTGGCTTTGAAGCTCAAACTCTGCCACTTACTAACTATGGGCTGCACTCAAGTTTTCCAATCCTCTGAGTGTTATCTTTCTTACAGAGAAAAAGAAGATAATGGTATTTACTTATAGGCTTGTTAAACTCAACCACAAATAATAAAAATCAACTAAGGGCCAGGCATTGCCTTGCTCATCTGGATTCAAAGACGCATTTCACAGCTCTGCCCTTTGGGCACTCCCAGTCAAGTGGCAAACAGATACAGACCAAAAAGTGCTATAATCATGACGCACGAAGACGGAAAGACTGGTTGGAGGATGAAGAATTGAAAGAAAACTTACTTGAAATGAGGTAATTATGTAAAAACACGGTTCCCGATGCCTGGCTCACTTTATAAATGCCTTTGGGTTGATTTTTTTTAACACCCTATAGCTGTTACTGACCTGGTCTTTCTTTTTTTTCTGAAAGTTCCTATAAAAAAATCACCAATAAAATGCTGGATGGTCATTGGTTCCATTTTTGGAGAAGCTCCTGAGTAACTGTAAGATGCCTTCTCTGAAGCTCTGTCATATCTGGCACTTGCTCCTCTAATCCTAGGTGAATGCTGTGGAATTGGCCCTCACCAGTTCATCTAGAAACTGGGCAGCTTTCTTAAATTTCTTTCCACCTTCAATAAGAAGGCTTCTCAGAAACAATAAGTTCTGAATTATGGTCTAGACAGGAAAAGTTTGTAGTCTGGTGTGCAGAGAAAATGATATCTTTTTATTCTAATACTTCATGATTTTTTTACTACTGTATCTCATTATCTTATACAAGAGAATAAAAAGAAAGTAGGCCCTAGAAATAATAAAGTAGAAACCAGAAATTCTGATATCCAGCTTCTACTCATGGAGAAGAAACTACATAAATAACTTGGATCACAGATGCTTTCAGACCCTGGACAAAGCATCTAAGGTAGCAAACAGAATCTAATGGTACAGGCTGTGGCAGTTTTAAACTATGTCCACAAATGCTTTGATGTTCCTCCCTTCAAGAGTAGAGCCTGACAGCCTTTCCCCTAAACGTGGGCAATGGGGCTACCTCTAGGCTCTCCCTCTCCTGGCTCTCTTGCCATGTGGTGAAGACACTCAAGCTGCCCTGATGACAGGGCCATGTGGTAAGAAACTGAGGCCTCCTGCAGACAGGCACTAACTTGCAGGCATCTGAGTGAGCCACCTCGGAAGCCTTCAGATGACCAATACCTTGACTGTAACTTCGTGAGAGGACATGAACTAGGACGACCCAGCAAAGCCACTCCCAGATTCCTGACCCACAGATACTGGAGAGATACTAAATGTTTATTGTTTTAATCAGCTGAGTGTCAGGGAAATTTGTTACTCAGCCACAGATAACTAAAATGCAGGTCAACAGGCTAATAGGCTATAAATGATGAAGGGTTTGTTTTGTTTTTAGACAAGGTCTCACTCTGTCGCCCAGAGTTGAGTGCAGTGGCGTGATCATGGCTCACTGCAGTCTCAACCTCCTGGGCTCAGGTAATCCTCCCACCTCAGCCTCCCAGGCAGCTGGGACCACAGGTGTGCATCACCACACCCAGCTAATTTTTTTTTTTTTTTTTTTTTTTTGTAGAGGCAGGGTCTCCCTATGTTGCCCAGGCTGGTCTCCAACTTCTGGGCTCAAGCGATCTGCCTGCTTTGGCCTCCCACTTGAGCCACTGTGCCTGGCCAATGATGAGGTTTTTGTATTCAGGATGGCATAGTTTTCTTAGTTAAAAAACAATTATCTTAATTGCTTTCTCTGGAGCATAGAAATACGATATACATAAGAGTGGGTGGTGTGGCAACACCGAAGTTCACACTAGTTCTCCTTTATTCAGCACGTCACATCCCTCACCCCAAAGAAAGAAACTGTAGTTTAAAATACTAGAATTATATGACTCAAAAGAGTGGTGGATTGTCACTTATTAAGAAACAATTTAAAATAAGGCCTATGGTAAGGCAGTAATAATGAAAGCAAATATCTTATCACGAAATTGTAAAAATCAGGCAAATAAAGCAGAGTAGTCCTAGCCAAAATTATTAGATAACAATGAGCTCTGAATTTTATCAGATCTGGTGGTTTGGGCACTTACATAATTTCACTTATTTAAAACTATAACTTGGTATGGGTAATGTGAATTAGTCTTTAAAGGTCCAAGGTTTTAGATCTGCAAACAGAAGAAAGGGCATTTTCCTCTCATTTATTATTTATTACTTTTCTCTAGAGTTAAATTCTCTTATTCACAAATATTTCTTGTATATCTAATTTCTGCCAGAATCAGAATGGGAATGAAATGGCAGAAACCATAGTCTGCCTCCTCAAGGAACTCACGGAGGAGAGACTTGTGTTTCTCACATGAGCATGACCTGTGGCGGAATTTTACAGTAGGAATGTATAGGCCTGTTCCTACAAACTCAAATGCCAAAGGCAGGGGAGTAGGACCTGGAGATCTCTGTTTCTGATGTTTAGTCAGTGTGGAGAACCACCAGGGTGGACAATAATACAACACAGTCCATTTACTCTGTCATCAAATATTTATGGAGCACCTGAGCTGTACCAGAGGTGCTAGGTGCCAGGGATGCCACTGTATGCCAAAAAAACAGGTAGCCTGAGGTTAGGAGGGTAAGAGAGTTGGGCACATGAAGGGAGAAGTAAGGCTGTTCCATCATAGACAGAGGAAACAGGCAGAGGAGGGGGCATGAGGAACACTCTGATCACGTCTGCAAATGTGGAGTCATACCATGCAGTAGGCTTGATTAGTGGAAGACAGAATATATAGTATAGCCATGCATTCTGAGCTTTTTTATTTGAATGAGACCAAATTGGCCCTCTGATACCGTCTTCTCACTTCATTGCTGAGGAACTCTAGATGTTGATCTCCTCACAGTCAAGCCCCAAAGGAGGGAACAGAACCTAGGTCCTATGACTCTGGTTCTAACGTGCTTTTTCCTTTATTGGCTCCTTTTAGGACTAAAAGATATCTTCAGGGCCAGGTGCAGTGGCTCATGCCTGTAATCCCAGCATTTTGGGAGGCCGAGGCAGGTGGATCACCTGAGATCAGGAGTTTGAGACCAGCCTGGCCAACATGGTAAAACTCTGTCTCTACTAAAAACACAAAAACTAGCTGGGTGTGGTGGCGGGCACCCATCATCCCTGTTACTCGGGAGACTGAGGCAGGAGAATCGCTTGAACCCAGGAGGCGGAGGTTGCAGTGAGCCGAGATCGCACCATTGCACTCCAGCCTGGGCGACAAGAGTGAAAACTCCATCTCAAAACAAACAAACAAACAAACAAACAAATGTCTTCAGGAACCAGAACAAGGCCAAAGTACATTTCTCAACCATTCTAAAAAGCTTGTGTTGTTACTATAGGCATACTACCTCACATGCTGTCAATCTGGGGTGTTTTCAAAAAGATATAATCAACCAAGAAAAAGTAAGGTAGATGTGAAAAATGTCTTTGAAGATATTTCAGTTGCTACTGTTAGAAAATGTTTGAATTTAAACTCTACTAGGCATAAAATAAGCTTATAGAAAACATTAGTTTTGGAATCTGAATCAATGACCCAGAAATAAATCTTGGAGAGGGATAAGTGAAATTCTGAAAGAGTGGAATCAAAGAATATCAAACTATTATTTCCAAATGGTTTGTAAAAATAATGTTTCTGGGTTACAGTGTGAAAACAGGTACATTTTAAATCTCCAGGTATTAATAATATACTGGCATTTTGTAACATAATGCTAGTCAGTTAAGGAGTAAATTTCCTTCCAAGGGGTTTATTACTTGAAGTGACTGAAGGATCTTGTTTTACAGTCTCCCCAGTAACACAAATTCTTCTCCATTTTCAGGGCCTTTGCCATCTGGTACCCACTTCCACTACTTTTCTGAAGTTACTCAAAGGTCAACATTTTGTCCTTCTCCTAAACAAAACCAAACTCAGACCTCTTATTTCTTGACTTTTCTGTTCTTCTTGTCATCTTGAAACACTGTCTTCTCTTTGCTTCCATGAAACTGTAAGTTCCCGGTTCTCCTCTGACATTCCTTTTCTGGCTTTCCTCCTATCCACTGACATCCTCTAAAGCCTCTGCCTATTACACTTCTCTTTCTCACCATCCATTTATACTAATATGACACCATGATTCCCTACTCACCTAGGCTCTCCATCCTTGGAACTAACCTTGACAATTCTCTTCACATTGCTTCCCAATATCCAATAAGCTACTGAGGCTACCTGATTCTGTGTTAAGATTTGACCTTCCCTTTCTAAGATTTGACTTAGCCTTCACATGTCTACCTCCTTTACCCTAGAAACAAGACCTCATCACTTAAGCCTCGGTCAGTTACTTAGTTCTCTGGTATCTGCTGCAGCCTGCAAACAGATGAAGACCTTTCTCATCATGTCCCTTCCTTGCCCAAGAATTAGTACATGCCCTGCTGAACCCAATCCCAGTGGCCCTTACCTGCAATGTCATTCCCCTTTGCAAGTTGCTATGGTTTAAATGTGTCCCCCAAATTTCATGTGTTGGAAACTTAATCCCCAAATTTATAAACTGATTAGGAATGTGGTCTTTTGGAGGTAATTGGGATTACATAAGACCATCAGGATGGGGCCCTCATGAGAGGACTATTGGCTTTATAAAAAGAGGAAGAGAGACCTGAGCTGACATACATGCTCTTGTCATCTCTCCATGTGATGCCTTCTGCCATGTTATGATGCAGCAAGATGGTCCTCTCCAGATGCTGGTACCATGTTCTTGGACTTCCCAGCCTCTAGAACTGTGAGAAATAAATTTCTTTTCTTTATACATTGCCAAGTCTCAGGTATTCAGTTATAGCAACAAAAAATTGACAGAGACACAAACCAAATTTAATTCTTTGTCCAAAATTAAACATGAAATTCCTTCTTGGATGAATCTTTCCTTACCTAATCTCCTTCCACAGTGAATTTTAGTTTCCTTAGCAGTCACATCTGGATCACACTCTCTTGCACTTGCTGCAACTAAAAGCCAGCTCTTATAGAAACCATGGTATTGCGGGACCAGCAGAAGGGTCTCCACAAATGTTTGCTAAATTGAATTGAATTATATTGCAGCTCTGCCAAAGTTCACTTTTAATTATATAAAGATGGAAAGAAAATAGAAAGCACATCCTGTTTCAACTGTAACAGTTATTATTTTAATTTCTTAAACAGTAATAATAGAAACAGATACTAAAAGCATTTTTTTTTATTAGAAAAACCACTGGGACAAAAATCTTTTAAACATTTTTGTTAGTTTTCTTTCCTGTAACACTTTTGATATATTTTATCACTCTGAATATAGAGGGGATTTTTGGCACCTGAGGAGCTGAGGATTGATGACAATGGGCAGTCTCACACATGTGAAGGATGAATTGTGTCCAGAAAACTGTGGGTCAGAGACATATTTTCCAAATGGGAAATGAATTCTGACAGAAAGCTACCTGGTGGGAAATGAAGGATGACTTTGAAAAGCTAGTAATCATGATCAGATTTTAGTTGTGTTGACTAGTCTGAAATACACACATGGAACTACAACACATAAGTTGTTCTTAAAAGAACTGAATTATGCAGAAGAGGAACAAAAGATCTTGTAAAATTTGAGCATTCACATCATCAAACATGTTAATGTATCATAGATAACAACTCTGACTTACAAAATAACTGATGTCTGAGAGCACTTTAGTAGGTTTCTAAATCTTACCTCCTGGAGAAGGTAAGACAAAGTTAGCTCTGAGTTAGGTAAAACTAGCAGGAAGCTGCTATAAGAAGATAGATTGTTCAAAATCATAAGTAAAATTACAATTATACATATGTACTTACATCTAATTTCCTCTGCATTATTTCTTTCTACTCATATGTGAAATGTTTCCATACATTTACTAAGCATTTAATGTGCATCTTCTATGTGCCAAGCACTATCCAAAGCTCCAGGGAGTTGATGATCTCTGTCTAAAAGGAATTCACAGCCACCTAGGGGAGTTCACAGACTTAGTAGAAAAAAAAAATGAAGAGTAAAGGACAGGAAATAACTAAAAGGGAAGAAATAATATGAAATGGAAAATTTTAGGTTTAATCCTAAATTTATTAAACTAAGAATAATCCAACAACTCAATGTTAAAGAAAGCCAGCTAAGAACTCTGCCAACTTGATGATAGTCAGATTCAGAAGTGATCTATATGACCAACTCCTAACAATTCTACAGGAAATATTACACAATAAAGAAAATCTTGGAATTAAGCAGCATACTCCATAATTTTAAGAAAAATAGAATGAAATTCAACTGCAAAAGCAAACTTGTTTGACCACCTGGGATGTTCTCCCTTTCCTTGCCAACATCTGAGCCTCTCCCATCCTCTGCAGGCTTTCTCCTCTCACCCCAGCAACTGCTCCCCCTTTTCTAAACTCATTGTTGGTTTGCCTGCTGGCACTAGGTAGTGAATGAACTGCTACTTTTTATTTTCCATGTTATTTGCTTTTCTTCCCAAAGAGATCATATGCTGTTCCCTGAGGAAAGGAAGTGTGTCTTCTACTTCTCCGTATCCCCAGCAATGGGGATGCACCCTGCACATGATAAATGTTTGTTGAGCATATGCTCATTTTATGTTCATATATCTGTGAATATTAATGAATACAGTTGGTTGAGAAAAAAAGGACCTAGGATGAAAAATTGGCAATGCTACACATTTTGCCTGATTTTGAAGTATTTCTGAAGAATTCAATACAGCCTGTACTAACTAGTCAAGTAAAAACTAAAAAAAATCCCAGTATTTTTAAAACTGAAAATTCATGTATTCTGAATTTTAAAAACTCTTTAAACTTAGATAAGATAGCAAACAAAAGATCATCAAACTTTTCTTTAACCAATAACCCTTATTTGCATCTTCTTCCACTTCTCTCAAGCTTATTTATAAAATTATTCTAATATAACCAATGAGGAACACTACTTAATTTTTAAATAACTAGTTCTAAATAATGCATAATGGTCCTAAACAAACAGGATCTACATGTTTATGGAATTCCATCCCCAACACCCACATACTTAGCCAATTTTAAATGTCCTGGATCCAAGCTCAAATGCACTCCCTTTAACACAGGAGTATGTCAGAGGCAAAAATAATTGCATAACTGAGCCATACTAACAAATTAGTGATTATATGAATGAGTGTCATGGGCAAGGCTAGTACAGGAAGCACAAGTTTCAGGAACTGTTGGATGGCCTGACGGTCTACCCTAAAAACAATTCCTCTCCCATCTGTTTGCTGATGCCCATGTTTCTTTCTCTTTTTCCCTTTTCTTTCCTTTTTCCTTTTGTTTCCTTCCTTTTTTTTTCAGATGGGGTCTCACTCTGTTACACAGGCTGGAGTACAGTGGTGCAATCATGGCTCACTGCAGCCTTGACCTCCTGGGCTCAACTGATCCTTCCACCTCAGCCTCCCAAATAGTAGCTGGGACTACAGGTGCACGTCAACATGCCCAGATAATTTTTGTTTTGTTTTTTGTTTTTTTGTAGAGACAGGGTTTTTTCATGCTGCCCAGGCTGGTCTCGAACTCCTGGCCTCAAGTGATCTGCCTGCCTTGGCCTCCCAAAGTGCTGGGATTACAGGCGTGAGCCACTATGTCCAGCCACATTTCTTTAATATTAAATTAACAGACTAAATACTTAAAATACAAATATCCCTATGCGTC
Source organism: Homo sapiens (assembly GCF_000001405.40). Taxonomy (NCBI): domain Eukaryota; kingdom Metazoa; phylum Chordata; class Mammalia; order Primates; family Hominidae; genus Homo; species Homo sapiens. Next base: position 89,864,800 of record NC_000014.9, read on the forward strand.
AGTGTTGTTTGGTGCTTCCCTAGAGCTGACTCAACCTTGTGCCCATTCTTGGTCTCCAGGGTCCCTGTGATTTGGGAGAGAAGGATCCACCCACAGCTCCAGAGATTATACTCCACCAATCAGCAGGATGCCCTCAGTGACTAGTTCTCAGATTATTAGATACTCCTGGACCTAATAATTGGCTCAGGGGTGTCCCACAACCTTAGAGAGAAGCCAAGGGCTTGTGACCGTCCTGAGTAGAGCAGCACTTTCAGCTCAGGTTGGTGAGGTTACGGGTGTGAGGCCGGGAGCCGCTGCAGTCAGTGCTGCATCCTTGGTGGGAGTCAGTCCAAGATCACCACTGACACGGGGCAAGGGCAAGGCTGAAAGAACATCAGAGACCTGCGGCCAGGGGCCAGATCAAATTGCACCAGAGGCAGTCCCACTTCTGCATGGTTCTGTTGTGAGAGTCAACGAATTCCTTTTATCACCTAAAGCAGCTGGAGTTACAATCAGCCATACATTATAACCTGGGAAAAGGCAACAGACTGATTCAAAATTGCATCATAAAGTTCATATAAGTCATATCCGACAGAGCCTCTCTTGAAATCAGGTGTTGATTTAGAGACTGACATATGAGTCCTGGGCGTCTGAAGAGGGAAGGGATGCTATGCGGGGAGAGAGAGAGAGAGATACTTTATTTGAAAAGGATGGCTGGAGGTCTAAAAAAAATTTATTTTTATTTTTGAGATTGGGTCCAATGCCCAGGCTGGAGTGCAGTGAAACAATCACGGCTCACTGCAGCGTCAACCTCCTGGGCTCAAGTGATCTTCCCACCTCGGCCTCCAGAGTAGCTGGAACTACAGGCGCATGCCACCATGTCTGGCTTGTGTTTATTTTTTTTGAGATGGAGTCTCACTCTGTCGCCCAGCCTGGAGTGCAGTGGCGCGATCTCAGCACACTGTGGCCTCCACCTCCCAGGTTCATGGGATTCTCCTGCTTCAGACTCCCAAGTTGGTGGGATTACAGGCGCCCACCACCATGCTCGGCTAATTTTGTATTTTTTTAAACTAGAGATGGGGTTTCACCATGTTGGCCAGGCTGGTCTCGAACTCTTGACCTCAAGTGATCTGCCTGTCTCAGCCTCCCAAAGTGTTGGGATTACAGGTGTGAGCCACAATGCCTGGCCTGAGATAGGGTTTTGCCATGTTGCCCAGGCTGGTCTAAAACTCCTGAGCTCAAGTGATCCGCCCACCTCAGCCTTCCAAAGTGCCGGGATTACAGGCATGAGTCACCGTGCCTGGCCTGACAAAATTTTTAAATATCCTGCAATTTTGTCTGATCCTGCTTGACTGTCAGAGGACTTGTGTTTTAAAGGAGATGAAGTTCAATGATAGGATTTTAGACACCGTCAGGGATGGTTGGAAAGACATTTTTGGGCAGGGGCCCTTCTGGGCACCCCTAAATGACACCGTATGGCAAGAGCCCCTTCTGTTCCCTTCAGATCTGAATTGCCCTCACCAATAGTAGATTCCCTTCTTTAAGCCCCAATTAAACGCATGGCCAGGGCCACACAGTAGAAGCTGTTGCTCCCCTGCTTAAAATTCCTAATGTCAGACCCCATGCCTTTCAGGTTCTATCCTCAAAACGTGGCCCACGAGGCCTGTGGGACAAAGCTGCCTCCTGGCCTCTCCAAGGGCCCCCTCCAGCACCTGCAGGTTCTCCCTCTTCAAGATTCACCAGCCACTTCTCAAAGGCACCAAGAGTGTTTCCTCCCCATGGTCTTGCACACCATGCGTCTTGCCTAAAATGCTCTCCTAAGCCCTGGGCCCACACCCTCGTCACTTGGCTGACCCAGCCTTGATCTCCTTGTCTAGGCTGAAACATGTCTCCCTCAGAGAAGCCACCCCCACTCCAGCTCAATCAGGCCCCGGGCTATAATCATTCATGATGTTCTTTGGTTTTCTATGACAGCAGGTAGAGAAATGTGTAATGATCTCATTTTTAAAAATGTTTTATTTATCTTTTTTTTATTTTTATTTTTTTGAGAGTCTCACTCTGTTGCCCAGGCTGGAGTGCAGTGGCACAATCTTGGCCCACTCCAACCTCAGTCTCCTGAGTAGCGGGGATTACAGGTGCCTGCCACCAAACCCAGCTAATTTTTGTATTTTTAGTGGAGACAGGGTTTCACCGTATTGGCCAGGCTGGTCTCCAACTCCTGACCTCAAGTGATCTGTCTTGGTCTCCCAAAGTGCTGGGATTACAGGCGTGAGCCACTGCGCCTGGCCTGATCTTGTTTTTAGTGTAATTATTTACATAAAGTCTATTTACCTGACTAGATTATAAACTGAGTATGAAGCCAGGAACCAGGTCTCCTGCCTCACCATCAGCAAATAGGACCTGAACTGCTGAATGATTCCATGATTTCTGGTCACTACTGGTGCTATACCTTTGTCTTGTTTTTTAGTCAGCGACCCTGCCTTATATAGGCAGTCCCTACATTTATTACTATCTGGCGTATTGGCAACTCAAACCTAAAAATCAGTCACGGATGACCTCAGCCAATCCCTGGTCCTCCCCAAACCTCACCTCAACCAATGGAGCTTCTGCTGGTGCCAACATCATGTTAATGTGTGGCCTTTTCCAGAATCCAGAAATTTAGAAACAGTATAAGGAAAGAGGTGATGAGAAGTAGGGTGGGCTTTGGAGAGCCAGCCCCAGGGAACAAGCTCCTCTTACGGCTGCTCTGCCTCCAGGGTGATCCTGCAGCCCCAACGCAACTGCCCTTGCATGGTCTTAATCTTTTATTTCACTTTATCCTACGTGCTAAATAATCTACCCTTGCTTGACTTAATATGCATTTAATAAGTATTTTGTTTTAATAATGCAAATGCCTCTGGGAAGATTAAGGAAGTTATCAGTTATGCACATGTTAGTATGAATTAGTTAAATCAAAATACTTCTGTACTAACATCTAACTGAGATCTGCTACGCCGAGGAAATGAGAGTTTTGCTGGGTTGGGGAAACAGGGAGGAGGCAGCTGGCGACTGTGGAGGACACTGGGAACCCCTGTGGCAGGAGGGCACTGAAGAAGGGGTGAGCTTAGCACCCAGAAAGGCAGAAGAAAGTTCCCCCCGCTTTTCTTTTGTATCTCAACCCTAACAGAAGCCTTAGACATCAAGATATGGATGAACCACACTAGCGATTAACGATGCCTCATGGGCGAACCTGGAAAATTAAGCGCCATTCATTACATTGTTGGGCGCCACATTCCAGGTTCCAGATTCAGCTTCCCAATCATTTGGAAACCAATCCATTCTTAATTGGGGGCTGTACTTCCTTTGTCTCTTGCACAGGGGAAAACCCTGAACTAAGCCCACAATAGGCATGCAATAAACACCTGTTTAACTGATAGATTAACAGTGTGCAATCTCATCATCAAGTCAAGTGAATATGGTCCCTCAAGAGAGACTGGCAAGACCAGTAGGACTAAGCTAAAATAAAGGTTTCTCTTGCTATGATATGGTTTGTAAGTTGGAGTGGTTTGCACTTCAAATTATGTATATTTAAACCACTATTACGTACAGGACTATGTGGTCCTCAGAAAGAGTTTATAAAGATACAAAACATTCCCATTAAAAGGAAAGATATGTCAATTTTGTATGAAATTCCATCAAATTAAGGCATTTACAAGAATACACCAAGATAAAATACTCCGTAGAATTAAGCAGAAAAACTATAAAAAGCTCTCCTAAAAAGATTACAACTGGGGGTCCAAGGTCTCTGCAGCACCCAGTGAGTACCTGTCTTCAGGGATGTGGCCAGCCTTCTGTACCTGGAGGAGGCCAGTTCTGGCTACTTTTACACTGCATTTCCTTGTTTTACGTGCTCTGTATGCCAGATTAATGTATTTACATTTTCTGTAGCCAAATAAAGACAAATCAGCAAACTAAGGATAAAGACACTTCATATTTTACCTTTGAAGCCCATTTCACATTAAGTGCTGTGACTTCCCTCATAGGTACCAATTATAAATCAGAAGGAAAATGACATATCCTTCGTGAGCATAACAGACACCAAAATACTATGCAAACCTGCTTTCTTACAGAAACAAATGTGTGCACACTAGGTCTCATCCTAGTATGTTAAAGAAATATAGCTCACGTCTGTAATTCCAGCACTTTGGGAGGCTGAGGAGGATCACTTGAGCCTAGGAGTTTGAGACCAGCCTGGGTAACATAGTGAGACCTCAACTCTACAAAAAAAAAATTAAATTAGCCAGATGTGTTGGTACACATCTGTGTTCCCAGCTACTTGGAAGGCTGAAGCAGGAAGATCACTTGAGCCAAGGAGCTCGAGGCTGCAGTGATGCATGTTCACAACACTGCAGTCCAGCCTGGGTGACAGTGAGACCCTGTCTCAAAAAAGAAAAACAAAAATAAAAATATCTCTAATGTACTTGGTCCCTCCTCCTCACACTTTAAAAATGTTAAATCCCACTTATTAGAAAATATTAACCATCTTGGTATCAGTGATATAGTTTTGCTGAAAAGTAGTAGCATGGAATTCACTTTAAAAGGGATAGTCAAATCTCAGCAATCTCTAATGTATTGGGGGCTCCTGCCTGGAGGTCACAGAGCTTGACCCACTTGTCCTTATTACATAATGTCTGATCACAACTGTAAGACATTCTCACTTCTATGAGGTTAAAAAAAATTCTATACACTCCTGTAATGTTACCAGAATTAAAGGATTAAATGACAAAGACCTGCCACTGTTAGAAGCATGAGCTATAGAATCCACAGGACCGAGTGTGCACTCTGCCTAAGAGGCCACAAAAAGTGACTTCGCCTCTTTCTAGGCCCTGCTTCCTCAGCACAAGATGGGGATGGTGACAACAGCTACCTTGGGTTGCTGTGAAGAGTAAATAAAGCAAAGCACAGAAAGCATTTGGTCTACAGTAGGTGGTAAAAACCTTCAGAGAGTATTATTTATGACAACAACATCCTAAGAGACCTCACAAAGAATCTAGTGTCCTAACTCCCAACAACAACTAGACCACACATCAAGCTCTCTTCGCAAGTGTGATAAGGGCTGGTGAGTCCCCAGAGGCCTTGTTTTGGGCTAAGCTGTCAGCAAGGAGCTGCAGTCATTCACAGGGGACACAAAAAGCACAGGATTCTCCTTAGAGTTTTGCCACCTGAGAAAGGCTTGAAGAATCCTTCTTTCTCCTGACCAGATGGAAGACAGAATTACAAAAGGAAATATGATGGCTTCTTCATTCCTCAAGAACAGTGAGGTTGGTAGAGTACATAGAAGATCTTCCCAAATGTCTCAAATTCCCAGGTAATGCCCCCTCAGCATTATAAACATAGGTGTTTAGCATCTGTTTTCAGAACTGATGAAAATTAACTGTATCTAGAATTAGACATTAAGCTAAAATAATTTTAAAATAATCTTAGATTAGGAAAATACCAGAGCACTTAGTCTGCAATAATTTCATGATCTATCTACTATCTAAGAAAGGTAAAACCTTGAACATCTCCAGTATTTCTCCCAGGAAGGTGGGGAGATAGACCATTTTCCTGTCAGACATTCTTGTTTGATATTACAGGGCTTTTACGGGAAGACACTACCCTCCACTCTACTAAAGCCATATAAGAATCCAACAGATGTTATATGACTCATAGCAATTCAATAATTCCAGTTATAAATGTCCCTAAGCTGATCCCAAAAATGTATTATGTAATAGTTAATACATACAAAAGAACATATGTGACTAATAGGTATATGATGAAGCATAATAAAACCAAAACTTGTGAACTCACCCCCAATGTCAGAACTAGAAAACTAACAAGATTACCATAGCTGGCTGGAAGCGGTGGCTCATGCCTGTAATCCCAGCACTTTGGAAGGCTGAGGTAGGTGGATCACAAGGTTAGGAGTTCAAGACCAGCCTGGCCAATATGGTGACACCTCATCTCTACTAAAAAAAAAAAAAAAAAAAAAAAATTAGCCAGGCATGGTGGTGGGCGCCTGTAGTCTAGCTACTGGGGAGGCTGAGGCAGGAGAACCGCTTGAACCCGGGAAGTGGAGGTTGCAGTGAGCCAAGATCGTGCCCCTGCACTGCAGCATGGTCAACAGAGTGAGATTTTGTCTCAAAACAAAAACAAAAACAAAAACAAAACATAGCTCCCGCTGTGTTCCTTCTTGATATGAGCCCTGTGCCACATCTTCTTAAGTAATCACTTTCCTGAACTTTTCATTTCTCATTCTCTTGCTTTTCAAAATATTTTTCTTCCAAATATGGGTCTTGAAATGTGGATTTTTTAGTTTGATTAAATCCTGTGAAAATCTTTGAGACCTTTAACTCCATGTGGGTCTGAAGTTGGCAGACAAGAGTGCAGGAGGGACTGGACTGAGATGGCTCAGCTCTCACCATGCTTCCCTAACAAGTATTACATGCCCTACCATCCATCTCCCAAAACAAACTTCTAATGATTCTCTGGTTTCTGCCTATGGAAATCATAAATTTCCCTACATTCTCACTCAATATAGGCATCTGTCTATATAACTATTATCTGAAAGAGGGTAGAGCCTTCTGCCAACCCAGGATGAATCTCTGTACAGTTGTTTCAATGGGTGGACCTGGGGCTGACCACCTCATTGGTGAGGAAGTCTTCCTGCCTGGAGGAGAGGTAGCAACCAACCCGGGCACTTTCTAGGCAATTATCTGTGAATCCACTGCAAGTCCCTCCCCAACTCCTCCTTATAAACAGGAAATGAAGCATCTTTACAGTGATGCCCCTACTTTGCATTATCCTATAATTTGCACCTTTTCCTCCCAAATCTGCCAGTTTTCCCATGTTACTAATGTACTGACCTCTCCTTTCTATTACCCAGTAATTTATACCTTTTCTTTAAGTCCATCATATTCCCTGCATTACTAACATACTGACCTCCCCTTGATATTATCCTGCAATTTACACCTTTTCCCCCTGACTCCATCAGATTTCCCATGTCACTGCTAATGTACTGACATCGTACAATCTGTGCTGCATTTCTTGCAATTTGTACTCATTTTTCAGAAAAGGTGGGGAAGAGCTGCATTGTTCCTGTGTCTAGGGTTAAAGAACAGAGACTGCTGACAGTGGGTTCTCCAGATCCCACTGCAGCCCTATGACGGGGCTCCGATTTGGGAAGGCTAGGCAGTGATTACATATGGAGAGATGGGCCCTGAACTAATGACTAAGTAACTGATGAAAAGGAAGATGTAAATTTTATCATCCATCCCTTTAAGAAAGTTTCAGGGGCTCCACAGAATGACAAAAGTCTGTAACAGCCTAATTTACATTACCATATTCTTTTCCTTTGTGTTCTTATGAACAAGATGCCTTCTCATATAATAATTCAACAGTTTCTCTCCATTTGTTCTATTGCTATTTGCCATGTTTCCTCCTGGCCACCTACGTTGGGTCTTAAACAATTCAGTTGATAAGACAAAGGGAGGCAGGGTTAAGAACATTCAGACCCAGAAAGCCACACGCGCAAAGGCACAGAGGTGCAGGTCTAAGCCTTTAGGGAAGCTGAAATACTTCCGCATGGGTGGGGCACAGTGCAAGTAGGAAAGAGTGCCTTGTGCAGGGGTCTGGGTAGATACTCCACTGACCCAAGGCTTTAAGCAGGGAGAGTACTGCACTGCTATTTGAATTCAGAATAACCTCTCTGACGGTGATATGGAAGATACGTCAGAATGTAGATGATACTGGAGGTATGGAAACAAAGTGGGAGAGTGAGCAATAAGCTCATAAGAAAATGAAGGCAGGTAGTACGGGCTGAATTGTGTCCCCCAAAAACTCATATGCTGAAGTCCTAACCTCCCAGCACCCTAGAATGTGACTGTAATTAGAGATAGGGTTGTTAAAGAGGTGATTACATTTAAGTGAAGTCATGCAGGTGGGCCCTAATCCAATATGACTGTATCCTTATGAGAAGAGATTAGGACACACACACACACACACAGACACACACACATGTGGAAGAATATGACCGTATCCTTATAAGAAGAGATTAGGACACACACACACACACACACAGGGAAGAATATGTGAAGATACAGAGAGAAGGTAGCCATCTGCAAGCCAAAGAGAAAGAGCTCAGAAGGGACCAACCCTGTTGCTTTCTCAGATTTCTAACCTCCAGAACTGTAAGAAAATAAATTTTGCTGTTGTTTAAGCCACTGTATTAGTCTGTTCTCACACTAGTATTAGTATTAGTATTAGTCTATGTCACAGATAAAGACATACCAGAGACTGGGTACTTTATAAAGGAGGTTTAATTGACTCACAGTTCCACATGGCTGGGGAGGCCTCGTAATCATGGTGGAAGGTGAAGGAGGAGCAAGGCACATCTTACGTGGCGGCAGGCAAGAGAACTTGTGCAGGGGAACTCCCGTTTATAAAACCATCAGATCTCGTGAGGCTTATTCACTATCACAAGAACAATATGGGAAAAACCCACCCCCATAATTCAATTACCTCCCACCAGCTCACTCCCATGATATGAGGGGATTATAGGAGCTACAATTCAAGATGAGATTTGGGTGGGGACACAGCCAAACCATATCATTCTGTCCCTGGCCCCTCCCAAATCTCATGTCTTCACATTTCAAAACCAAACATGCCTTCCCAGCAGTCCCCCAAAGTCTTAACTAATTTCATCATTAACTCAAAAGTCCACAGTCCAAAGTCTCATCTGAGATAAGGCAAGTCCCTTCAGCCTAGGAGCCTGTAAAATCAAAAGCAAGTTAGTTACTTCCTAGATATAATGGGGGTACGGGCATTGGATAAACACACTCATTCCAGATGGGAGAAATTGGCCAAAACAAAGGGGCTACAGGCCCCATGCAACTCCTAAATCCAGTGGGGCAGCCAAATCTTAAAACTCCAAAATGATCTCCTTTGACTCCAGGTCTCACATCCAGGACACGCTGATGTAAGAGGTGGGTTTCTACAGCCTTGGGAAGCTCTGCCCCTGTGGCTTTGCAGGGTACAGCTCCCCTCCTGGCTGCTTTCACAGGATGGCATTGAGTGTTTGTGGCTTTTCCAGGTACACGATCCAAGCTGTCAGTTGGTCTATCATTCTGGGGTCTGGAGGATGGTGGCCCTCTTCTCACAGCTCCACTAGTCCCAGTGGGGACTCTGTGTGGAGGCTCCAACCCCACATTTCCCTTCTGCATTGCCCTAGCAGAGGTTCTCCATGAGGGCTCTACCCCTGCAGCACACCTCTGCCTGGATATCCAGGTGTTTCCATACATCCTCTGAAATCTAGGCAGAGGTTCCCAAACCTCAGTTCTTGACTTCTGTGTACCCACAGGTCCAACACCACATGTAAGCCTCCAATGCTTGGGGCTTACACCCTCTGAAGCAATGGTTTCAGCTGTATATTGGCCCCTTTTAGCCACAGATGGGATGCAGGGCACCAAGTCCTGAGACTGCACAAAGCAGCAAGGTCCTGGGCCCAGCCCACAAAACCATTTTTTCCTCCTAGGCCTCTGGGCCTGCGATGGGAGGGGCTGGCATAAGGGTCTCTGACGTGCCCTGAAAACATTTTTCCCGTTGTCTTGGTGATTAACATTTGGCTCCTTGTTATTTATGCAAATTTCTGCAACCAGCTTGAATTTCTCCCCAGAAAATGGGTTTTTCTTTTCTATTGCACTGTCATGCTGCAGATTTCCAATTTTTTTATGCTCTGCTTCCCTTTTAAATATAAGTTCCAATTCCAAACCACATCTTTGTGAATGAATAAAGTGGAATGCTTTTAAGAGTACTCAAGTCAGCTGGGCGTGGTGGCTCACACCTGTAATCCCAGCACTTTGGGAGGCCAAGGTGGGTGGATCAAGAGGTCAGGAGATCGAGACTATCCTGGCTAACATGGTGAAACCCCGCCTCTACTAACAAAAAATTAGCCGGGCGCCGTGGCAGGCCCCTGTAGTCCCAGCTACTCGGGAGGCTGAGGCAAGAGAATGGCGTGGATCTGGGAAGCGGAGCTTGCAGTGAGCCAAGATTGCGCCACTGCACTCTAGCCTGGGCAACAGAGTGAAACTGTCTCAAAAAAAAAAAAAAGTACTCAAGTCACCTCTTGAATGCTTTGCTGCTTAGAAATTTCTTCCACCAGATACCCTAAATCATCTCTCTCAAGTTCAAAGTTCCACAGATCTTTGGGATGGGGGCAGAACGCCACCAGTCAGTGTAGTGCACATGCAGCCGTGGACATCTAAGGGCATCACAGACCTGTTATTGCTCAATCTCAGGTGGCTGAATGCCACTTGTCCCTCTAAGAAGTTGGGGGATGCTGACTGCTCGGGGTTCGCGTAACTAGTTAGCATGCCACAGTCTTGTTCGTTATCGGAATTAAACAGACAAATTACTCCATCAACTAAGAACTGCCATGCAGGGGAACTGCCCTTTTATAAAGACCATCAGATCTCATGAGACTTACTATCATGAGAACAGCACTGGAAAAACCCACCCCCATGATTCCATTACCTCCCACTGGGTCCCTCCCATGACACATGTGAATTATGAACCTACAATTCAAGATGAGATTTGGGTGGGGACACAGCCAAACCATATAGCCACACAATTGTGAGGTACTTTGTTACAGCCAACTAAGATAGCACGGGTCAAGAATGTTGAGGTGGAAAAAAATGGAGACAGATATGGGTGGTAGACGAGACAGAATTTGGTGACCAGTTGGTTATAAGTGGTCAAGAAAAGAGGTTGATTTAGAGGTTCCAGTTATGGGTAACTGGGTAAATGGTGGTATCATGAACCAAAGAAAGTTATACAAAAAAGGAGAAGGATCAGCAGGTTAAAGGTAATATAAACCATTTAGAATATGTGGAGTTTGAGGGGTCATTGAGGATACCCAGAGAAAGACGTTCAGTAGGAGTTGAAGATGGGGGTGAGACACTGAGAAAACCAAGCTGAGCTAAAGGAATGGAACTGGGAGTCCTCCATGTGGGAGTGGAGCCTGTGAGTGAAATATCCCAGAGAAGTATACTGGTAAGGAAGAGAAAATTGGAAAGGGCATGCAGGCAGAGTGCCATTCACCAAGGGAGAGTGGAAGCATTGGCTGTTAAAGGTCAGACTCGACCCAAGAGAGCAGTGTCAGATGCCAATGGAAAAGGGCATCTCAAGGAGGTCATTAGTTTGAATGTTGAAAAGGGTTCAAAGACTGAAGGGTGAAGGTTACATTTGGCAACTGGGAGGTTGTTGGTGAGCACAGCAAAATTATTTCAGTGGAGCTGGTAGAAGTGACAGCCATACTGTACTGAGTTCAGAAGTAGAGACTGTGGGGAAATGAAAACAACAAGCAGACTACTTTTCCCAGAAGCTTGGCTGAGTTAGAGCTAGAGAGAAGGCAGGGCCCAGAATGGGTTCTATTACTAGCATCAGTGGTGGTGGTGGTCGAGGAGGAGGGAGAAAAAGAGGAGGAGGAGGAGATGTTTCCGTTAAACAGATGAGGCTGTATTTAGATCACATCCTAAGGTCAGAGGGTGCTGGGCCTCTTGGTCATGCTATCTCCAAGACAGGGTCAAACATCATCATTACAATGAGTTATTCCTACTCCCATTTGGGTAGCTGATTAGGACGGGGGAAATTTCTATTCAAAATGTGCACATGATTATATATGTAAGATGTGTTTTAAAAAAAGTAAAAAACAAAACAACATGTGCATGGGTTCAGATAGTCCATTTGTAGAGAATTCTTGATGGGCTTCTGTGCAATGCAAGGCAGATTACATTTGTTTGATATTATGAAGGGTTCAGTTGGGGTCACAAGAAAAAAGAGGGGGGAAAGTAAATCAAGGAAGAGTTGAAGAGAAACTTTACCTCTTGGCAGCGCTGCCTGTCATGGCTAAAGTTAAGTGAATTCCAATCCCCGTTTATGCATCTGCTCTCCCAGACTGCAAGGTCCTTGCCTGCAGGACATGTCTTGTTCAGTGTTGTAACTTGGAGCACCTGCACAATGCCAGGCTCCTGGTAGAAGCCCAACCAACACTGAATGAAGAAGCTCTACAACGGCTGTAGGACCAGATCTTCATGAACTGATGCCTACATCCTGCTTACAAGGCAAGAATGAGCCCACGGACTATCCACAATTGATGTCTACATCCTCTCGTAAGGCTAGGATAGGTCAGAGAGGCATGTTTGACTGAGATAGTCAGAGTACTATCTACTCCCAGAGTAGATGACCAAAAGTTTTTTTTTTTTTGAGATGGAGTTTGGCTGTGTCGCCCAGGCTAGAGTGCAGTGGTGTGATCTCAGCTCACTGAAACCTCTGCTTCCTGGGTTCAAGCGATTCTCCTCCCTCAGCCTCCTGAGTAGCTAGGATTATAGGTGTGTGCCACCACACCTGGCTAATTTTGGTATTTTTAGTAGAGACGGGGTTTCATCATGTTGGTCAGGCTGGTCTTGAACTCCTGACTTTGTGATCTGCCCGCCTCGGCCTCCCAAAGTGCTAGGATTACAGGCATGAACCACCGCACCCGGCCAACCAAAAGTATTTTTGAGTGAAGTCAAGGTTACATGCAGTGAAATCAGGTAATGGGGCCAAGAAGAGGTTCTAAAAGGGCAGAATAAAGTACACTGGATAGGATTACTACTGGGTATAAGAAATCTAAAGATAATTCAGAACGAGGTGGCGAAGGTGCACATGATCTTATTTCCTTGCTTCTCTAATACCATTTTCCACAATTTAAAAATTTCTAAATTTGCAAAGCATCTTGCAATTGTTGGTATCTTAGCAGTGTGTCACAGTTTAACAGGCAGAACTTTTTCTGTCATTAGTGGTACATAATATGATGGTGCCCCTAGAATCAATGGTGTCTCAGATTTACTAAAATATGGTATTTTACTCCATGAAAGGGTTTGGCAGTTGTTTGGATCTACTGTTTTAATTAAAAGCACTCAGCTTTAGCAATGGGTAAATCCTAAATACAAATCAGAGTATCTCAAAAGGCACCCCTTCATATATTAAGACATTGGATAACTATTTTGAGAGGCACTGCACACTTTAATTTACCACTCTCAACCTCAAAACACTGAGCAGTAAGAACTCTGATTGGCAGAAGCACTGTGAAGCTTTATCATAAGTAATGACATGTAAGTCCCAAAACTCAATAATAAAAGCCTGATTATTACCACTTTTGTTCAATTGCTTCCACGTGTGTTATTAAATCTGTACCTTTCTTCCAACGCTACAGAACGTTGGTCATTTTCTCAAATGGATAGGGGAAAAAACAAGGTTTGAGATTCTATGATTTCAAAAGACAGATGACTAGGAGAAAAATTCTAGCTTGCAGGTGGGACGTACTAAAAGATGATCTGAGCAATGTTTTGAGACAATAATCCTTTCATTAGATGACCCCTGTGGTAGTGTGGTATGTGGGGTTTGTATTGCTTTTAGTTTTTACAAAGTCAAATCTAAAGCCATATAATGGAAATGCATTCTATTTTAACTGCCAGGTATGGGATGAATTAATTTACTTGTTTATTTTTAAATGCGTCTACTGGCCTTTAGAAGCTATTATTTATATAAAGGTACTTCTGAACTTTACAAACAGGTCAGATGCTACCCACTATTTAAATATTTACAATAAAGTATTAGAGATGTATAAAGCAACAATCCATATCCAAAACAAGAAAATAAAAGATGAAAATCATCTCCAAATGCCCTTCTAAATCACATTTAAATCATTTTTATAGATTTGTTTTATCATACTGTATTAAAATATATTTTCTCAAAATATTCAATTATATGAATGTCTAAATATATCTTCACAGCTTTATATATAAAGAATATGGAGTACATTTTACATAGCAATCAATATCTCTACTTTGAGCAGTTATTTTAATGATTATTATAATTCAGTATCTAACTTTTTTAAAAAACTGACCTAAGAGACAATAACAAATGTGGGTCATTTATCTCAAACTTCTTTGAGGTCTAAATTCATTTTCTTTCTTGGCTCTTCTCATTTTCATCTTGTATCTGACCACTTTACAAGACACATGTCTCTTCTTTTCCATAGTTCCTTTTTCATTCTTTTTTTTAATTGCTTGTTGCTAAGCAATGTGCATAACATTAGGCTATACATTTCATTATCTTAAAACAATGTCTACTTGGTATTATTTTCTTCTATTACTTTACCTTGTTTGAATTAACCCAAAATGTACTTTCTGCCTTGTTTTGACCTTTCTTTTGCCGAGACATGATCCCCCCATCTCCCTGTCCTCTGATCATTACTAAACTGCTATTGTATTCAATATTTAGCCCATTTTTTTTTCTGTTCTCCACTGTTTTTGTTAAGCTCTGGTGGACAAACTCTTACATCATATGACTATTTTTCTTTTTAGTGTACTCGATCCTACTTCCTTCTTTTATATTTAAAGGCATTAGAAAGACACCTTTTATGAAATTCAGTTCATTTCCTATTATTTTCCTTTTATCACTTTTGCTATTCTAGATGTTGGTTCCTTTCAGCATCATAGCCTGTGTTATTGTTCTTTTCCTGACACTTCTTCTTTATGTTAGTGATATTATTAACTATGCTATAATCCTATAAAACCATATTCCTTATTCAATTTAAATTTGTTCTATTTTTCAGTGACTTACAATGCATTTAATTTATCTGGCTATGGTAAGCTACACAAAAAAAAACATAAACATGCCACCCCTCCAAAAAAAAAATCAAGGACCAAACAAACAGAAAAACTCCCAAACACTTCAATTACTTACAAATATATACCATAATTTTCTTTTACATATGTCTGAATAAGTATTTTTGAAGAAGACTAAGAGCATACTTTACTTTTGCCAAACCAAGTTAATTTGTAGGCTAATTTGCACTGCTGGGCTCATATAGACTCTTGTTCCTATTATTATTCATGGAGACAATAATTTTTAAACGAGGGTATGGATGGTTTATGATTCAAGATTACCCAATATTCAGCTTGACCCACTCTGAGTATAACCTTATAAGCCTGCATTTTCTAATTATAAAAAGAGAAAAGTGATGCTTCTTCCCCTATTACAACACAGGGATGTTACAGAAAACTTTTAGCAAAATTCATTACGTATAAACTCTCCAGAACAAACCTGTTCTATCAAAAATGCCAAATATATGTGTGGGTACGCATGTCAGCATTGGTATATCCTCTTTTAAGATTTGGCCTATTAATAGTTTTTCAGTTTCCATTTATTCTAAATGTTGTGAGTATACCTTTCTTAGTATTTACTGTATGACTCGGCTATGTTCTGAACATTTGTGTCTCCCTAAAATTCATATGTTGAAACCTAATAACCAATGTGATGGTATTAGAAGGTGGGGCCTTCATAAGAGTAGGTCACAGGGAAGAGCCTTCATGAATGGGATTGGTGCCCAAGAGGCCCCAGAGCACTCCCTTGTTCCTTTCCACCATGTGACACACCATTCCATGAACCAGGGAACAGGCCCTAACCAGACACTGAATTTGCCAGTGAGTGCCCTGATCTTGGACTTCCCAGCCTCCAGAAGTGTGAGAAATAAAATTCTTTTGTTTATAAGCTACCCAGTCTATGAAGTTTTGTTATAGCAGCTCAAAGGGACTAAGACGAACTGCATTCTCCTGAATACTGGACTGCATAGGCAGATGAAGGTGCTCAAGTTAACTGATGTCATATTAAAAGAGTCTTAAGAATATTTCAAATTGATCCTAAACTGAGACTTCACTTCCGTTTTTCTTTTCTTTTGAAGGTGTTTTATAATTAGTTGAAAAATAATGAAATCGAAATAAAATAGAAAAAATAAATACTAATTACTTCACAGAAAAAAAATGATAAAAACACACCAGCTGTGTCAGTCTATAAGCTCTACGACCTCTTGAGAGGCAGTTAGTGTAGCTGTTAAGAGCGGACTTTGGGGTTAGTCTGCTTGGTACTTATCTTGGTTATTTCACTAAAATTAAACTAATATTACTTGTGGGACAGTACAGCACAGTGGTTAAAAATACTAACTCTGGAGTCATACCACCTGGGTTTGAATTCTCACTTAACCACTTACATAGATGCCTACATGCACATGGAAAGTTACTGTGCTTCTGCATCTCATCTTCCCCATCTATAAAATGGGGAAAGGATAGAAGTCAGAACCATGGTCCATCAGGTCCACTGATGGGTGGTACCACAGAAATCACAAACACACGTCACCCTCTCCTGTGGTCTCTGCAGGCACCCTGAAGTGACTATCCCAATTACTCTGCATTCTTATTACCCTATTTATTTATTTATTTATTTATTTTGCATTTAGAACAACTGGTGATTATATGGTTGTTATCATTGGTTTAGTTTACTTGATACTGTTTTGCCATTTAATGTTACAGAACAAAATTGTCTACTTCACACCATATCCCCAACTGCCTAGCTCAATGTAAGCAAGTAACAGTTGCCTCAATAAGTCCTTGTTAAAAGAAGTAAAAGGCTGAATAACTGAGCTCTTCATCAACCCCCATATTTAGAGATACACAAAAATCTCAGTTTCTCCAAAATCCACTCTCTACCCATCAATAAAATTTTTATCTAAACTATTTTTAGAGCTACTTATATTTTTGGTCTACTTTATGACTTGGCATATATATATATATTCTTTTTTTTTTTCTTTGTCACCCAGGCTGGAGTGCAGTGGTATAATCTCGGCTCACTGCAAACTCTGCCTCCCAGGTTCAAGTGATTCTCCTGCCTCAGCCTCCTGAGTGGCTGGGATTACAGACATTCACCACCACACCTGGCTAATTTTTGTATTTTTAGTAGAGGCGGGGTTTCACCATGTTGGCCAGGCTGGTCTCAAACTCCTGACCTCAGGTGATCTACCCACCTTGGCCTCACAAAGTGCTGGGATTACAGGCATGAGCCACTGTGCCTGGCCTGGAACTAATATATTTTCAAATTCTACTACCAACTATACAAAATCTGTTCTAAATTTTACTTGTCTTAAATTTTCCTTCATTAAAGAGTAAAGGTATGAAGTTGACAGTGTGCATGCACTTGAACAAAAATAATTTCAAACCTGGGTCTACAACCAAGATCAGTAGCATTAAACATAGGAGCATGTATGCTTAGGGTTACATAAGCAATGTAGTATTACTATAATCAATTAACAGAACTTTGACTTCTATTTATAATGCTTCCAAAAACTGGTTTGCTCAAGAGCACCTGTGTGGAGCTATACTGGTTTTCTAATCCCACTTCCCCTTTCAAACACCTTTTTTCTACTTTACAAAAGAAAGGCACATTTCTTACCTAACATGAATCTTACAATCATGCATTGCCTGAGTGTTGAAAAACTTCCTGGGTGCCAGAGGGACGAATAAAATATTGGTATCTGTGAAGACTTTATTCAATGCATTATAAACTCTTCATTGAGAGGTTCAAATACTACCTTGTCTTATTATTTGTTTCTGTTAAGGGTGAAGCACAATGGGAAATGTATGTGCGGCATATGTTGAGATGGTCTAAATTCAAATATGTTATAGAATACTGATCATTTTGATATAGTGACTTTGACTCTTTCCCCACCATGGACAAAGAATGCACTGCCCTGGGAGAAACTCCTACAAAAGGAAGCCAAGAGATCATCTGTGAGAAACCATCTGTGATGTTTCATTTCATCCAGGTGAAAAACCTACAGCAAGTTTCTATGACTTCTCTCACTCTCTCTCTTTTTTTTCTCTCTCTATCCATTCACTCATCTACTCACCTTAAAATAAGGTTGCTTAAGATTTATATAAGCAATGATGGGAAATACCGATTTCCTACAGAGTGTACCTTCTTTGAATTTTCACTGTTCTTAGGAACAAGAAAAGGCCTGGTGAATGTTCTACCCACCTCTCAGTCTGTGGCTCAGTTACATATAATATACAATTTAAAGAAGGCAGAGCTAAAAAGTCCTACAGCTACCGCTATGGTTTGGATGTTTGTCCCCTCAGACCTCCAGCTGAAATTTGATTCCCAGTGTTAAAAGTGGGGCCCAATGGGAGGTGTTTGGGTCCTGGGGGTGGAAAAGTGGGTCCTCATGAACAGATGAATGTGCTCTCTTGGGGTTGAGGGTGAGTGAGTTCTTACTCTATTAGTTCCCACCAGAGCTGGTTGTTAAGAAGAGCCGGGCGCCTCCCCACTCTTTCTTTTGCTTCCTCTCTTGCCGTGTGATCTCTGCACATGCCAGCTCCCCTTTGCCTTCCACCAAGAGTGGAAGAAATCTGAGGCCTCACCAGATGCAAAACGCCCAATCTTGAACTCTCCAGCCATCAGAATTTTTAGCCAAATAACCCTTTTACATTATAAATTATCCAGCTTCAGGTATTCCTTTAAAGCAACACAAATGGACTAAGATAGTTATCTTAACATAATAATATTCTAGTACATCTTTGAATAAAAGAAATTGATATTAGAGGAATGTTTTGTAGTTTCTTGAAAATTTGTTCAGACTCACAAAAGAAATACTGCCATTAAGCTTTGTCAAAAGGTGACTGAATATATAAATATAGTCATCGCTTGGTATCCATGAAGGACTGGTTCCAGGACCTCCCATGAACACTAAAATTCATAGATGCTTAAGTCTTTACTATAAAATATTGTAGTATTTGCATATAACCTAAGCACATCCTCTTGTATACTTTAAATCATCTCCAGATTATTCATAATGCCTAATACATTGTAAATGGCATGTAAACAGTTGTTATACAATATTGTTTAGGAAATAATGACAAAGAAAAAAGTCTGTATATGTTCAGCGTAGATGTAACTTAAAAAAAATATTTTCTGTCCTCAGTTGGTTGAATCCACAGACATGGAACTTGCTGATATAGAGGGCCAAATGTACATTTACTTTTTATTTGGACACAAATGCCAAGTCACCTGTCACTTCTAAACCACTTCTCTGTTCATTTAATTATTCTTCCCAAGTACCTGTTAGATATAGACAAATTTAACAGCATTGTGGAATCTACTACAAATAATGTCCATATAGTCAGGTACAGTGGCTTACATCTGTAATCCAGCTACTCAAGAGATGGAGGTGGGAGACTGCTTGAGGCCAGGAGTTCAAGACTAGCCTGGGCAACAGAGTGAGACCTCATCTCCAAAAAAGTTTTAAAAAACTAGCTGGGCATAGTAGCACATGCCCATAGTCCCAGCTACTCCAGAGGCGGAGGTGGGAAGATTGCTTGAGCCCAGGAGTTTGAGGCTATAGTGAGCCATGCTCTCACCACTGCACTCCAACCTGGGCAACACAGGGAGACTCTGTCTCTAAAAAATAATAAGAAAACAGTAATTTTTAAATGCCCTTAACAAAAAAAAATTATACAATTGTATATCCTCTAAGCCTCACATTTACTAATGGTACAATAGTTCTATTTTTACTATTGGTCTACTGCATATCATCATCACATTAACAGGGTAAAGGAGAAAAATATGATTATGGCAACATGAGCAGAAAAAGCATTTAATAAAAGTCAGTATTTATTCATGATAAAATTTCTTAGCAAAGCAGGAGCTCCCTTAATCTAATAAAGGTTATTTATCCCCTAAAAACATAACAAAACCCAAAAACCTATTGCATATTCCATAGTTAATGTGAAATACTAAAGTTTTCCCCTCCCCCCACCAAGATGGGGAAGAAACAGGATACCTGCTCACATAACTTTTATTTATCACTATGTGGGAGACCCTAGCTGATATAGTAAGAAAAGAAAAAGAAATCAATGACATAAGAATTGGAAAAGAAGAAATAAAACTACTATTGTTTGAAGATGACTTGATTGCATGCCTAGAAAACATAAAATATATACTATTACAATTACTAAGACGAAGTACTAGAATAAGTTAACTTTGTATTATGTACTGAATGTGTGTGCCCACTCCTGCTCTAAATTCTGTGTCGAATCCCTCACCCACAATGTGACAGTATTTGGAGGTGGTGTCTTTGGGAAGTAATTAGGTCATGAGAGTGGGACCATCATAAGGGATTAGTGCTCTTATAAGAAGAGCAAGAGATCCCCCACTCTGTGCACATGTCCAGGAAAGGACCCAGAAGCACACAGCCAGGCAGGCAGCCATCTGCAAGCCAGGAAGAGCCTCCTCACCAGAACCAGACCATGCTGGCATCTGATTGCAGACTTCGCAGTCTTAAGAACTGTGAGAAAATAAATTTCTGTTGTTTAAGCCACCCAGTCTATGGTATTCTGTTACAACAGACGGACTAGACTAAGACATTCAGTCATGCTGCTGGTGTAAGACCAGCATATAAAAAACAATTGTATATCTAAATAAGTAGAAAATAAAATTTAAAAATCTATATAACTACATAAAAACCAAATATTTCAGAATTATCTGATAAAATATGTGTAAAACTTTTACATTAAAACTACAAAACAGCAAGGAAAGTTAAATAAGACCTTTAAAAACAAAAGGATATACTTTATTCATGCACTGGAAGACTTAAAACATTTTGGCATTGTCAGTTCTCCCCAAATTGATCTAGTCTAAAGATTCAATATAAATTCAATTAAAAACCCAGCCAGCGGGCGTGGTGGCTCAAGCCTGTAATCCCAGCACTTTGGAAGTCTGAGGCAGGTGGATTACGAGATCAGGAGATCGAGACCATCCTGGCTAACATGGTGAAACCCCATCTCTACTAAAAATACAGAAAATTAGCCAGGCGTGGTAGCGTGCGCCTGTAGTCCCAGCTACTTGGAGGCTGGGGCAGAAGAATCGCTTGAACCTGGGAGGTGGAGGTTGCAGTGAGCTGAGATCGCACCACTGCACTCCAGCCTGGGTGACAGAGCAAGACTCTGTTGAAAAAAAAAAAGAGAGAAAGAGAGAGAAAGAGAGAAAGAAAGAGAGAGAGAAAGAGAGAGAGAGAGAAAGAAAGGAAAGAAAGGAAAGAAAGAAAGAAAGAAAGAGAGAAAGAAAGAAAGAAGACAGCAACTAAAAGAAAGAAAGAAGGAAAGAGAAAGAAAGAAGACAGCAACTTTTGGGTTTGAAGTTGGCTTCTTGTTTTTTTCTTTTTTTTTCTTTGGTGGAAATTGAAAAACTGACTCTAAAATTTATTTTAAAACACAATGGGCTAAAAATAGCCAAGATAATTCTGAAGAAAACACAAAGCTCTAGGACTTACACTGCCAGACATCAAGATTACAAAGTTATATAATAAAGAGAGTGTGATACTGGCACAAAGATAGACAAACAGACCAATGCAACATAACAGAGAGTCAAGGGAAGAGTTAATGTTGCAGCCTCAAATCTGAAGGCAGCCTGTGGGCAGAACTGCTTCTTCCCTGGGGGACCTACATGTTTTCTCTTAAGGCATTCAACTGATTAGATGAGGCCCTCTCACCTTATAGAAAGTGATCTGCTCGGTCAGGCGTGGTGGCTCATGCCTGTAATCCCAGCACTTTGGGAGGCCAAGGCTGGTGGATCACGAGGTCAGGAGATCAAGACCATCCTGGCCAACTCTGTGAAACCCCGTCTCTACTAAAAATACAAAGAAATGAGCCGGGCGTGGTGGCGGGTGCCTGTAGTCCCAGCTATTCGGGAGGCTGAGGCAGGAGAATGGCATGAACCCTGGGGGCGGAGCTTGCAGTGAGCTGAGATCGCGCCACTGCACTCCAGCCTGAGCAACAGAGCGAAACTCCGTCTCAAAAAAAAAAAAAAAAAAAAAAAAAAAGGAAAGTGATCTGCTTTACTCAAGATCTACTGATTTAAGTATATCTTAAAAATATCAAGACTGGTTTTTGATCAAACACTGAGGCAAATATGACAAATATTAAGACAAGATAAAGGGAAGTGGCTGAAATGCAAGTGTTACACCATATTATTCTCCATACTTTTCTATGTTTAAAATATTTCTAATGGACACAAAGAGATCAAAGTATGTATTTAGTATCTCGATATTTGGAAAGACTCCTGATTTATTGCAGTTTTGGTAATTTACAGCAGATACACAATTCTCAGAGACAGCCCAAAGAGTCAGAAAATTTAATCAGGCTTAGAGATTAAATATATCCATTGTTAACTTTTTAGTTAGCTAATTATTATAACCTAAACCTAAGGTCAGTCTGGATACCTTCTTCACATCCTAAATAATCCACAGAAAATCTTATAGATTTGAATTAACAAAGATCAAATACCATACTAATATAAACAGATTGTTTTTATAGTCTTTAATAAATTCATTAATTTATTCAACAAGTGCTCTGAACTAACCTGAACATCCAGAGGTATTCAAGAACAGACAACATCACTGCTCTCATGAAGCTTTATAGTCAAGCCTGACAGATAGACAATAAGGAAACAAAAACAAAAATCTTCCCTGAGATTTGCTAACTGCTATGAATGACATAAAACCAGGCAGCAGAGATTTACTGGGGATGGGAGATGGAGTGAAGTCACTTTGGATAGGAAAGGCCTCTCTGATGATGTGATATTTAAACAGGGAACTACAAATGCAAAGATCTGAAATAGAAGGTAGCAAACAACTAGATACACATGATCACATAGGAGTAATAAATTAGACATAAGCTTTCTAAGCCTATGGAAACACAGGGCCATTTATCATGTGTAGTTTGAAGTTTTGGAATTCTTTTTAAAAAGTAAAACTAGAAATAATTTGTTTTCTATCCATAAACATTTAAGTAAGTGTCATGCCTAGGTCATATAGCATGACTCCTTATGTGGTATTTAAGTAAAAACAGTACTAAGGTATTAAATTGAAATAAAGTAACACTGAAAATAAATAACAAGGAATCCTTAAGGTATTTACTGAAAGAAACCAGTAAAAGTCAACCTTTTTCTTACATATGTACCAACCATTTAGAAAAGACAACAGACTGTAAATATATTCCTGGGAACAGGTGTTATGGAATAAAGAAAGCAAACTTAGGCAGGGATCAAAAAAGCAGGTGACTATGAACAGTAAAATAATATTACAGTAAGACATTAAACATCTGTATCATATTTCAGCACGTGTTAACACTCGCATTTTTCTTGAAGCTATAATATATTTTCTTGGAAATGGATATAGCAAATAGTGAATCTTCTCATTTCAATTCTAAAAAAATAATCTAAAGTATACTTGTAGAGAGGCAAGCTCTTAGTTATCAGCTATATCCCAGATGGCCCTCTAGCAGCATTTAAAGGCCATGCCCTTAAGTCACTGTTCAACATACTGAGGTAGATAATACGGCCAATACAATGATGAGAATTACAAAGAAGGAAATAAAACAGAAAATGCTGTTGCTATGGTCTGAATATTTGTGCCTGCCCCAAATGCATATGTTAAAACCTAATCACCAATGTGATGGCTGGAGGTGGGGCCTTTGGAAGGTAATTAGGTCATAAAGGCTGAACCCCCATGAATGGGATTGGTGCCCTTATAAGGGGCTGAAGAGACTAGAGTTCTCTCCTTTCACCATATGAAGACTGTAGTAGGCTGTTCTTGCATTGCTATAAAGAAATATCTGAGCTTAGATAATTTATAAAGACAAGGTTTAGATGGCTTATGGTTCTGCAGGCTTTACAGGAAGCATGGCGTTGGCATCTGCTTGGCTTCTGGGGAAGCCTACAATCATGGCAGAAGGTAAAGCAGGAGCAGGCATGTCACATGGCCAGAGCAGGAACAAGAGTTGGAGCAGGGGAAGTGCTACACACTTTTAAATGGCCAAATCTCACAAGAACTCACTAACATGAAGACAGCACCAAGCCTTGAGGGATCTGTCCCCATGATCCAGACACCTCCCACCAGGCCCCACCTCCAGCATTGGGGATTACAGTTCAACATGAGATTTGGGTGGGAACAAATGTCCAAACTATATCAAGGACACATTTAGAAGGTACCATCTGTGAACCAGAAAGTGGGCCCTCCCCAGACTCCAGATTTGCCAGCTCCTTGCTCTTGGACTTCCCGGCCTACAGAAGTGTCAGAAAAAAATTTCTGTTGTTTATAAGCCACCCAGTTTATGGTATTTTTATTATAGCAGCCCAAATGGACTAAGACAGCTGTCCTGTCTTTGTTTATAAAACCATGGCGCTGTGATACTGTCTCTGTTTGCAGTTCTAATTGCTAAATTTCAGAAAATACCAAAAGGGAAATACAGAAAGAACCATGGCAGTAAATTAGTGGTCAAGGACCAGACAAATGGAAAAAACAATTCAAATTCTCCAACCCAGAAGAAACACAGAGGCAGAGAAAAGCCTATGAGATCAGGAAGGGTTTGCATGATAATTAGAATGATTTTTCAAATCTGAAAATTAAGAGCCATGAAACAACACTGAAGATTAAAAGGGGCTGTATGAAGACAATTTCTTCCTTTTTTTGACAATTTATTTTAATCACCATTTTAAGGAAATGTATGGAACATCTTATTCATGAGGTGAGACAAAATGAAAGTAATTTTCAAAAAAACCCAAATAAAGTATTGGATAAAATCATGGATTCGAAGCCTTACTATGAATCCTGTTTTACTACTTATTAGCTGTGAAATATGAGACAAATTTTTTAACTTCTCTATCCCTCAGTTCCCCATCTATGAAATGGTGATTGTGAGGATGAAACGAGTAAAGGGCTTAGAACAGTGCTTGCCAAATGGTAAGTGCTTAAAAAACTTCAGCCACACCTCCACATGTAGAAAAAAGTTAAGACAGCAGACCTGACTGCAATTCTGCTTACAAGCCTGGCCCTTGACTGGCATCTGGGAACTTGGATTTCAGGAAGGTTCCTACCACCATTAACTGGTAAGAGTTGATCACTGTGCTTAAAACTGTTTGTGCAGACAACATGGCTCCCACTGAATACTTGCTTTCCTTCTGCGAGTCTGAAATTTTGGCACATGCCAGACAGAGAATGCCAGTGTGATCAGCCCACAATTAAACCCTGGGCACTGAGTCTCTACTGAGCTTCCCTGGTTGGCACATTTCACATGTTTGGTCACAGCTTACTATTGGGGAATTGTGTTCTCTGTGACTCCACTGGAGGGGAACAATGGGAAACTGGCATCTGGTTTCCCCTGGACTTCACCCCATGTACCCTTCCCGTGTGCTGGTTTTGCATTGAATCCTTTCACTGTAATAAATCATAGCCATGAATACGACTGTAGGCTGAGTCTTGGAAGTCCTTCTAGTGAATCATCAAATCTAGCGTTGGCCCTTGGGGACCCATCAACACACTTGGACACAGTTAATCAATTATTTTGTCGTAGGTATAAGTACTATAAAATGCACTTTTATAAATATTGAGTTCAAGTTCAAGAAAAGTGATTTTTAGATATAATACCTTGATAAAAACAGAAACACTGCATGATTTCTTCTCATAAATAATGAATGCAATAAAAATGTTAAGCTTCAATGACATGATCACTAAATTACATCAGTATTTCCTAATACTATGGTTTTAGGTTATACGAAAATAAATATTTAGCTTACAACTTCTAAATGATATTCAATATAAGAGCAATAAAAGGTCAGAAATACTTGGTCATATTCTTTAAACAGCAATAGAAGATAAAGTAAAGCTAAAATGCCAGAATTACTAAGCTTTAGAAATGCATTACTGATTTTATATATTTTCTATATCTCTTACAAATAAGTGATACTCTTTTCTAACACTTAATAATTCTTATTGTCTACCTAATAAATCAATATTTGGAAAGCAGAATTTAGAAGGAAAAGTTTGGGAGACAAAGTATTTAAGAATTCACATGAGTTTCTGTTTTTGGATACTCAGATCAACTCCCCACTGCAAAAAACTAAAGATGCTGGATAAGACACTAAAACAAAACCACCTTAAAAGGACTGAAAAATTAAAAAGAGCTGCCAGGCCAAATTCTTGAGGCTAGCTTGAACCCAAAGAGGTTAGTGGAAAGAAAGTTGGCATCCCAAAGCCACCTTTGCCCTGAAGGCATTCACTCACATCGTGCACTGGGGCTGCGGTCTGGTAGCCTCATGGGGAGACGAGGCCAGAAGTGAAGATCCAGGACTTTGCCAATTTGGATCATCTCACAGGATAACTTTCCCACATTAAGCTGAAATCCAAAGGACTACATGAAAGTTTCCCTGGTGCTGAGCAAAGGAGTAAGAGAAAAATGAAATAAAAAACGATCATTCACCCCTGAGAAGTTATGAGTGTTGACTGACCCTCACTGGGAGAGTCCCTGGGATCCTAGGTCTAAACATACCTTGAGTGAATACAGAAACTTCCATCTGTGGATTTGTTTTAATATAGTCCTGTACTGACTGTGCTACAAGGAGCCTGGCAAAAACACATAAACCACTCTGATTTCATCCTGGACTTGTGGAATTCCTCATAAATTATTTTTCAAGGTCGGTGAGCTCCAGAAAGTTGAATACAAACAAGTTTACAGGGAAACTAGTCACCATGAGCAAGAACCAGCAGAAGCAGACATAAATAGACTTCAACTAGAGGTTCTATGTTTAAAAATAAATAACTTGAAGTGACTTCAGGGAATAGAAAACTATAAGATGTAACAGAGGATTTTAATAAATGTTTATAACCTTTTAATACCTTTGTACTTTTAATTCATTAAAATTACTTAAGAGTTTGAGATATTATGGTAGAAATCAGAGTTTTTCAAAGTAGCAGAAAACAATGTATTGTCAGAAGCAAGAGGTTTCTGATTATGTTTATAATTAAAGTTATAAAATTTCCAAGGCAATATTTTATTTATATTAAAATAGCAAAATCTGTACCAAATATAAAAAGAGGGAATTCTCCCTAATTCACTGTATGAGGCCAGTATAAGCTTGAAATGAAACAAAACAAGAAAGGAAAATTACAGCTCCATTTTAGACACAAACACACACACACACACGCACGCGCACACGCACACACCACCCTAAGTAAAATATTAGCAAACTGAATCCTACTGTGCATTAAAAAGATAATAGGATAGGGACGCGGCCATGGAGGCCGAGGGCTGCCGCTACCAATTTCGGGTCGCGCTGCTGGGGGACGCGGCGGTGGGCAAGACGTCGCTGCTGCGGAGCTACGTGGCGGGCGCGCCTGGCGCCCCACAGCCCAAGCCCGAGCCCACGGTGGGCGCCGAGTGCTACCGCCGCGCGCTGCAGCTGCGGGCTGGGCCGCGGGTCAAGCTGCAGCTCTGGGACACCGCGGGCCACGAGCGCTTCAGCTGCATCACCGGGTCCTTTTACCGGAATGTGGTGGGTGTCCTGCTGGTCTTTGATGTGACAAACAGGAAGTCCTTTGAACACATCCAAGACTGGCACCAGGAGGTCATGGCCACTCAGGGCCCGGACAAGGTCATCTTCCTGCTGGTTGGCCACAAGAGTGACCTGCAGAGCACCCGCTGTGTCTCAGCCCAGGAGGCCGAGGAGCTAGCTGCCTCCCTGGGCATGGCCTTCGTGGAGACCTCTGTTAAAAACAACTGCAATGTGGACCTGGCCTTTGACGCCCTCACTGATGCTATCCAGCAGGCCCTGCAGCAGGGGGACATCAAGCTAGAAGAGGGCTTGGGGGGTGTCCGGCTCATCCACAAGACCCAAATCCCCAGGTCCCCCAGCAGGAAGCAGCACCCAGGCCCATGCCAGTGTTGACTCTAGGAGAGAAAGGGTTAAAGCAGTCCCAGCCTTAGCCCACCTGGTGGGATGGGGAATGTTAGTATCTCTCTGGAGGACAAATGACAGAAGGGTTCATATAAACAGTATCCTGACACAGTCATGCTTCCTGGATTTTAGAGTCAAGGGTTTCTACAGAAAAGAAAGGTCTGATGGCCAGGCATGGTGGCTCACGCCTGTAATCCTAGCATTTTCGGAGGCCAAGGACAGCGGATCACCTGAGGTCAGGAGTTCGAGACCAGCCTGGCCAACATGGTGAAACCCCGTCTCTACTAAAAATACAAAAATTAGCCAGGCGTGGTGGTGCATGCCTGTAATCCCAGTTACTCCGGAGGCTAAGGCAGGAGAATCGCTTGAACCCAGGAGGCAGAGATTGCAGTGAGCCAAGACTGTGCCACTGCACTCCAGCCTGGGCAACAGAGTGAGACTCTGTTTCAAAAAAAAAGAAAAGAAAAGAAAAGAAAGGCCTGAGAGCCCAGATGTGCAACTTCCTGTCCTTGAGCCTCAGTGTCCTTATCTATCGATGGGGCTCATAAAAGATCCCACCTTGCAGGGAGGTGGTGACCACGAATGAGATAGTGGACAGGATGTGCTCACCCAGAGCCTGCCGCGCTGTGAACTGAATGACAAAAGCTCTCATTCCCACTCCCTTTTTCTTGGCTGTGATGTGCCCACTCTGGCAGCATTCCTGGGCTCAGACACTGAGAAGCCAGCGTCAGGAAGCTGCTGCATGAGCAAAGGCAGGTGCGGGAAATTCCAAGGGGAGCTTGGCTTGGAGGCTCCTTATGTCCTCAGGCTAAAATGATTCTGGGAATGGGATTAATATGTGATGTCAAACCCAGGGTTGCTGGGTTTGCCCCCACCCTAGGCCCAGGGGCTGAAAAATGGATGTTGGAGGCTGGGATGAACACGAATGTGCAGCAACTATGTTGGGCACACAGTGGCCACTGTGATGAGCCACCAAGATCCCCCTTTCTGGCTGGGGAACCCATCAACCCTCTCCCCAGCTGCTGAAGTGCCGCTGGATGATGGACTTCAGCTTGCCCCACTCTCTGGGAAAGGCCCTCCCTTCAGGGCAGCCCGTATCCAAAGTCCATCTCCTGGGGGGCCTTAAAGGCCTTTCCCTCTTGCCCCAGCTCTGGACAACTCTGAAAGTCAAACCCAACTTTATCAGTCTCTGTGGGCTTCATTGAGGACACTGTTGTGACATCATAGCCAAGTTATCCCCCTGCCCAATCCTGCTTCCTTTTCTTCCCCAAACAGGTATCCATTTCAAGAATATCCCCTAATAAACATCTGCACACTCGTCTCCAAAAAAAAAAAACAAACAAACAAAAAAAAAGATAATAGGATAGTAAACTTGGGTTTATATCAAAAATATAAAAGATGAATTGATATTAAAACTATACATACATATACACAGACATGTTATTCATCATATTAATGAATTTCAAAAAATAACATCTCAATAGATACAGAAAAAGCATATAGTGAAATTTAATGCCAATTCTTGATTTTTTTTTTCTTTTTTTGAGACGGAGTCTCTCTCTGTCGCCCAGGCTGGAGTGCAGTGGCGCGATCTCGGCTCACTGCAAGCTCCGCCTCCCGGGTTCACGCCATTCTCCTGTGCCCGCCATCACGCCCCCGGCTTATTTTTCGTATTTTTAGTAGAGATGGGGTTTCACCGTGTTAGCCAGAACGGTCTCGATCTCCTGACCTCGTGATCCACCCGCCTCAGCCTCCCAAAGTGCTGGGATTACAGGCGTGAGCCACCGCACCCAGCCTTGATTTTTTTTTTTTTAATTTAAGTTCTGGGATACATGTGCGGAACGTGCAGGTTTGTTACATAGGTATACAAGTGCCATGGTGGTTTGCTGCACCTATCAACCTGTCATCTAGGTTTTAAGCCCCACATGCATTAGGTATTTGTCCTAATGCTCTGCCTCCAGTTGTCCCCCCCACCTCCGCCCCCGACAGGCCCCCAGTATGTGATGTTCCCCTCCCTGTGTCCATGTGTTCTCATCAATTCTTGATTTTTAAAAAACTCATGATAAACTAGACCAGATAAGAAATTCTTTAATCTGAGAAAGGATCTAACCCCTACGGCTATGATCAAATTAAGTGATAAAATATTGAAATCTTTCCCTTTGAGTTTCAGAACAAGACACTATCACCCCTGTAAGTCCTAGCCAGTGCATATGTCAGCAAAAAGAAATAAATGATATAAGGATTGGAACGGAAGAAATAATTACTATTTTCCACTGATGTCATTATCTTTGTGGATCCTTAAAAATCTACAAAGTTAACAAGGTTGTTAGCTAGAAGATTAACATACAAAAAGCAATTTCATTTCTATTGTTTCTACAAGTAATTTAAAAAACATAATTTTCAAAAGCTACTATTTACAATAGCAACAAAAACGATAAAATATGTAGGAAGAAATCCAACAAAAGAAGAAAAAAAGCTGTGTGCAATATAGAGTAGTAATTAAAAGTATGAACTTTATATCCAAGCACCTTGGGCTAGAATCTTGCCTCTACTATTTACTAGCTGTGTGATCTACAGTGAGTTGATTAACCTCTCTGTGCCTCAGTTTCCTATGTGCAATATTTCATAATAATAGGATCTACCTCAAAAGACTGCTGTAAAAACTGCATACAAATAGAATGGGGGTTGGCATATAAGAAATACAGCGTAAGTGAAAACCAATGTGATTATGATGGTGACAGCAGTGTGATGGTTCAGAAAAAGAATTTTCTGAAATATCCAATGAAAAATATATTTATGAATAGGAAGACAATATTATTAAGATGTCAACTTTCCAGAAATTCATCTGTAAAGTCAATGTTAATCGAAATCTGAACAGTTTCTGGTTTTTAACAAGCTAGTTTCTGGAATTATTATGAGAAAACAAAGAGCTGGAAATAATCAACACACTGCTAAAGACGAAAAATAAGGAGGGAGACTTGCCCTACTGGTATTAAGATTTTATGAGGACAGTGAGAAATTGGTGCAGAGACAGATTAAGTGACCAGTGAAACAACAGAAAACACAGGAGCAGAGGCAGCAAAGCAGAACAGCAGAGAAAAGAGGGCACATTCAATAAACAAAGCTGAAAATACTGATTGTCCATATGGAAAAGGTGAAACTGGGTTCTCACACACGCCCTATTCATAAATCAATTCTAGAAGAATTACAGATTTAATTTTCAAGAGCAAAACTGTAAATTTTATGAAGAAAATATAGGTAATAGGTCTCTGACTTTGGGGGTAATGAAGGGTTTCTTAAACAGGACACCAGCCCTCTAACTATGACAAAGATTCATAAATTTAACCAAACTAAATTTACTTATGTCTGAAAAGTCACTTGAAGAAAGTGAAAAGACAAGTCACAAGCTGGGAGAAGATATTTGTTAACTAGACCGAATATTTGTACTGAGAACACATATAAAGAACACATTCAAATCAATAGAAGATGCAATCGAAAAATGGGTAAAAACCATGAACAGGTATGTCACAGAGGAGACTAGTAAATGTGAAGAGATAAGAGAGAGAACTCATCATCCATCAGGGTAATACAAATCAAGCCGACAATGAGATATTAAACCCACTCAACCGGGAAAGATTAAGAAGTCTGGCGGCCGGGCGCGGTGGCTCACGCCTGTAATCCCAGCACTTTCGGAGGCCGAGGCGGGCGGACCACGAGGTCAGGAGATGGAGACCATCTGGCTAACATGGTGAAACCCCGTCTCTACTAAAAATACAAAAAATTAGCCGGGCGTGGCGGCGGACCCCTGTAGTCCCAGCTACTCACTCACAGGAGGCCGAGGCAGGAGAACGGCGTGAACCCGGGAGGCGGAGCTTGCAGTGAGCCGAGATCGTGCCACTGCACTCCAGCCTGGGTGGCAGAGCGAGACTCTGTCTCAAAAAAAAAAAGAAGCCTGGCAAGAGTTGGAGAGGATGCCCATCAACAGAATATACTGTTGGTGGGAATGTAAATTGATATGAATTATTGAAAATATCATTTGGCATTATGATATTCCAGCACTATCTAAGTAAACATTCGTGTACCTTACAACCTAGCAATTCCATTCCTAAGTACATATCCAGAGAAGCATTGCACATGGGCACTAGGAATTATGACACAAAAGTGTTCATACAGTATTAATAAGAAGAGAAAAAGGAAACAAAGACAAACTGTGGTAAATCCATACAATGGAATGCTATACTATTTTATTTTTTTAGAGACAGGATCTTCCTCTGTCACCCAAGCTGGAGAGCAGTGGCACGAGCATAGCTCACTGAAGCCTCAAACTCCTGCATCTTCAAACTCCTGCAGGCCTTGAACTCCTGGGCCCAAGCGATCCTCCCACCTCAGCCTCCACAGTAGCTAGGGCTATATGTATGTGCCACCACACCTGGCTAATTTTTATTTTGTATTTTTTGTAGAGATGGGGTCTTGCTTACTGCTTGGCGAGTCTTGAACTCCTGGCCTTGACAGGTCCTCCCGCCTTGGCCTCTCAAGGTGCTAGTATTATAGGCGTGAACCACTGTGCCCAGCCGCTAAACACATTTTAAATGAGTGAATTATAGATAAAACAAGGATAAATATTAGAAACACTATTGAGTGAAAAAAAGCAAGTCACAAAGACTACATACATTTGAAATTCTTTTTTACAAAGTTTAAAAACAAGGAAGATTAAACATTAGAGAAACATATAGGTATATATATGTATATGTGCATTTTTTTTTTTTTTTTTTGAGATGGAGTCTTGCTCTGTCACCCAGGCTGGAGTGCAGTGGCGTGATCTTCGCTCACTGCAACCTCCGCCTCCAGGGTTCAAGCAACTTTCCTGCCTCAGCCTCCTGAGTAGCTGAGACTACAGGTGCATGCCACCAAGCCCAACTAATTTTTTCTATTTTTAGTAGAGACAGGGTTTCACTGTGTTAGCCAGATGGTCTTGATCTCCTGACCTCGTGATCCACCCACCTCGGCCTCCCAAAGTGCTGGTATTACAGGCATGAGCCACCGCGCCCAGCCGTGTGCATGTATTTTTAAAGCACGGGAATAATAAACACTCACTTCAGGATATTGGTTCCTATGGAAAAAGGCAGGAAGATAGGATGGAGGAGTGTGCGGGTATATGTGAGTTAATGGTAATATTGTAGTTCTCGGGTTGACTGCATTAATTTTATTGTTAAACACACTAACTTAAATAAAGCAGTCGCACATGGAAAAATTATGTTTAAAAAATTAACTATACACATTTACAAATTTACATCTAGTTACAATCTGATTCATAGTATTACACCATAGTTTTAATTTATGCAAACTTAATATGCCATTTTGGAATAATTTACCATAACATTTAACTTATTTATACAACCTGTTGGAAAGACTAGCATGTAAATACGGTTGAAAATAAGGAAGGAAAACAGTATACATTATTTCCATAAAGCTAATTTAAGCAAGTATGATGAACAGTTCCTTCAGTACTAAGAAACTGAAAAGATGTCATCAACAAAAAGCTAAAAGCACTGAAACCTATGTTTCTGTGAAACCTAAGGAATTCTAGCTAAGGAAATCTAGAAATGCACACCAACTTTATAAAAATAAAGAATAACATTATTATTCTATAATCCATTACAATGGAAAACACACTGTGCCAGGGGCC
Source organism: Homo sapiens (assembly GCF_000001405.40). Taxonomy (NCBI): domain Eukaryota; kingdom Metazoa; phylum Chordata; class Mammalia; order Primates; family Hominidae; genus Homo; species Homo sapiens. Next base: position 89,898,140 of record NC_000014.9, read on the forward strand.
AAGAACCCTGGGTCCTAATCCTATTCCATGCCCACATTCACCCCCAACAAGGTGTGAGGCCTTGCATGGGTCATTTATCCTCGCATGTGTAAAATAAGAGACTGTACCACATGCTCTTTGAGGCTCTTTTTATGGTGAAAATCTATGCATGACCCTACAAGAAACTGTTCTTATGAAGAATTAGCAAAATCATGATGTGATTTTCTTTTTCTCGTTTTTGTTTTTGTTTTGTTTTGTTTTTTTGAGACAGGGTCTTGCTCTGTTGAACAGGCTGGAATGCAGTGGCACGATCTCGGCTCACTGCAACCTCCACCTGCCAGCTTCAAGCAATTCTCTTGCCTCACCCTCCTGAGTGGCTGGAACTATAGGCCCATGCCACCATGTGTGGCTAATTTTTGTATTTTTGGTAGAGACAGTGTCTCACCATGTTGACCAGGCTGGTCTTGAACTCCTGGTGTCAAGTGATCCACCCACCTTGGCCTCCCAAAGTGCTGGGATTACAGATGTGAGCCACCGCGCCTGGCCTCTTTTTTTTTTTTTTTTTTTTAAGGAGGCAAAGTATCACTCTGTCATCCAGGCTGGGGTGCGGTGGTACAATCGTAGCTCACTGAAACCTCCAATTTCTGGGCTCAAAGGATCCTCCTGCCTCAGTCTCCTGAGTAGCTGGGACTACAGGGGTGTGCCACAATGCCCAGCTAATTTTTTTTCATTTTCTGTAGTGACGGGGTCCTGCTATGTTGCCCAGGCTGGTCTTGAACTCCTGGCCTCAAGCCATCCTCCCACCTCGGACTCCCAAAGTGCTAGGATTCCAGGAGTGAGCCACCATGCTTGGCCTGCAATTTTCTTTTATAAGTATCATCATATGCAATTTAGTACTCAAATGCCTTCGGATGATGACAATGTCCACAAACTCTACGGAGAGAATGAAATATTAATACAGCATTGCCATCAGAATAGCTAAAATGCAAAAGCTGTGTTACACGTAGAGAGTTGCCAAGTGGTAGACAAATTTGCTTTTTGGTAGGTCACACTTGTTTTATGGTATAGCCTTTTCATGCAACTATACTGAGGCTAAAAAATCATAATTTAAGCAGTAAGCATTTAATTCTATAATGTAAAATAACTTGAAACATAATGTAAATCTTAGAGAAATATTCAAACTGGCTAATATAGAAAAAGAAAGATGAGCAACTGTTCAAAGTGAGTATTGCAATAGGCAGAAAATCACCAGGGAGACCCCATTTACATGCTCAAGTAACACTACACACATGCTCTCCAAAATTCTAGACTTTGGACATGCCAAACAGTCCCAGGCTTTTTTCTTTTTTTCACGTTCTCTCTAAAACCTCTGGGAAAATATATAGTCCTGTTATATATCAAAAGATAATCCCTCCCCCACAAAAAGTGAGGACAGGCCACAAGTGGGTAAAAATTTCTGTGACTCACACATAAGGAATAATTAGTACCCAGAATATGTAAAGAGCCCCTATAAATCATTTTAAAATAGACTATGCAATATTTTTTATGTGGGCCAATACATAAATAGGAAATTGACATTGAACAGGAAACCCAAAGGGCTAGGAGACATGATGAACTTTGTAAGTAATGAGAAAAATTAAAAATCACAATAAGATGCCATTTCACACCCATCAAATTGGCAAAAACTAGAGTTCAGTAACAAGTGCTGGTGAGTATATGGATAGAAAGGAATTCTGGTGCACTGAGGGTAATACTGTGAACTGGCCCAACCACTTGGGAAACAAGTCAACTGCTGATATGAATACACTAAAGACCCTGCCACTCCACTCTAAAGGGTAAACCTGCTTAATGTGGGCTGTATTTTAGCAAACCAATCCCTCCAATAGAGCTATGTCACTAAGAAAGCTGAAATTTCTATCTATTACTCTCTTGCACTTGGAGTCGAATTTTCAATTGATTCTGGAGGGGAAAAGAAGGTGCTGGTTATTGTGCCCCCTGGTGCCCCAACAGAATACTATACAGTAGGGAGAATAAATGAAAGACACATGGATCAATGTGGATAATTCCTAAGAATATAATAAGAGAAAAAGCAATATGCATTTATATAAGGTATAAAAATAAGCAAACCAATACTCTGTACTATTTAAGATATATAAATCCATGTCATAAAATATAAAGACATACACGAATGATTAAAAAAAAATCAGGACAGTGATGATCTCTAGGGCAATCAGGCAGGGCTACCCAGGGGGCTTTAACCATGGCTAGAATGGAATATTTTGTTTCGTAACCTGGGAGGAACATAAATGGACAAATTTTCTGACTTGAATATTTCATATATGCATCATACACACTTACATACCACACATACATCTATAAGAAAATAAGAAGCACAGCTGAAAAAGCCATGAGGGCTGCCTAAAATGTCTTGCCCTGTCACATTCAGGCTTTGTCAGCTGTTTTCCAGAACCTTCCGGAACACAGCCAGTGGGAAGGATTGGCCATGCCTGGAGATAGATACTAAATGTGGTACTGACTTCTACAATTTTATTCTAAACAGGAGGAAAATCTATTAAACCACAGAATCAGGGAGAGTTAGAAAGAATAAAGCAAAACAAACATCCAGGGAGTGGAATTAATATCAGCAAATCACAGAAAGACTTCTAGAGCTTACCTTTGCCAACATGAAAGGTAAATTATTGCTTTTTTTCTTTTTTAATAACAGTCTTTTCGTTAATTATCTCTGAAGGAAGATTCAATAACTGCTCTTGGTAATGCATTTCAACGTCTTATAAATCACTGGAAAGTTTAATTCGGTGGAAATTTTAAGTCAGTATATTATGACTACATATGGTATGAAGACACGGGGAAAGGAAATAGTCTACATTATTTCCTGATCCTCTAGTGTAAATCAGACACTCTGAATCATAACCATCATAACAGAAGATCTGTGTTGCCTCATTTAAAAGCATATATATTTGTAAACTTTCACATATTTTATTAAACTGCTAATTTTTTTAAAACTTCTTACCCCTACTCTTCCCAGAAGAGAGGTATTCAAATGATAAACACTTCTTGGTGTGATGCATAAGCAGGACTCAAAATCACTTTTTTATGTCTTGTATCGCCAGTGGAGAGAAACAAATGATGACTATGTTAACATTACATATCACTGCCATTTAGATTAGATATTTGGCCCTTATGATCATTTTACTGCTTGTAACCTAAGGATAAAAAAGATGGTACAAAAGATAGGTGCTCACTAATTGAAATAATAGACATAATCTAGGAAAGTTACTCTAAAATGAAAGCCTATCACAATTTCATCTGCATTCATCTGTAAAATGGCCCAAGTGGACTCATCCGTTTCTTGGGCCCAGCACGCACCAAGAAAATATCTGTTGAACTGAATTTAACTGACAATGGGAAAGAAACATGAAAAGAAGCTGGGGACCCCAAGCCAGGATACAGCAACCCACTAGCATGACTTTGTACACTGGGAATGCCAGAAAACCTACATATCTTGAGAAATCTAAGGTCTTTCTTTGACTCTTCATTTCCCTGTAAGGTACAGGGACATAAATATATAATACAATATAAATACACAACATGGTGTGAAATATGATATGACATAATGGAATGTAACACAATACAGAATATAATATGGGTTGAGTTATCCTTAATCCAGAATCTGAAATCTGAAAGCTCCAAAATCTGAAACTTTTTGATATTATACATGATATTCAAAGACAATGTTCATTGGAATGTATAAGATTTCAAATTTTCAGATTGGGCATGCTCAACCAGTAAGTATAATGCAAATATTACAAAATCTAAAAAAAAAAATCCAAAATCCAAAACACTTCTGGTCTCATGCATTTCCGATAAGGGCTACTCACCGTCATATAAAAGAAAGAGGTAGCACCCATGACTAACACAGCATCTTGCCCTGCCTACCTCTCAAATTTTGCTCAGACCTTGCTGCCTCTTGTTCGCTGCAACCCAGCCACTCTGGTTTTCTTTTAGTTTCTCAGTCCCTCTAGGCTTATACCCATCTCAGACCCTTTGCAACTGCTTTTCCTCTTTCTGGATGGCTCTTCGTCATTTAGGTCTCAGTTCAAATGTCAGCCCTCAAAAACATCTTCCCTAACTTCCCAATTTTAAGCAACCCCTTCCCCATTCAAACGTTTTCTATAATTTATTCTGTTTTACTTTTCTTGCAGTGTTTTATCTCTATCTGAAATTAACTTGCTTACTCAGTTATTATCTGTCTTCTCCCAAGGAAACTGTGAACTCCCTGACAGCAGGGACCTTGTTTGCTGTGTTGGTGGCTCTATTCTCAGCATCCAGAATGGCCCCTGGTGTACAGAAGGTGCTCCAATAACCACTTTCCAGTAGATTAATAAAAATATGCCAGCCCAATTTAAAATCCTTAATCTCAAGGCTTCCAAGAATATAACAAATGTGTTCCCTATTTTATCTAATTCATATTGGGTTTACTTAAAAATGGGGGAGGGCAGAGGAAAATAGAATACTTAGAATTAGATTATTAACACTTAAGATTAGATATTAGAGAGAGTTGATACCACTCAGAACACCACTGAACTAAATGCTGTTATTTAATTTACGTATTTTAATCATACTGATCTAAGCCATTCAAGACTAAAAATAAATCCTTTCACTATTTTTACTCTAGGCACTAATTTAATTATATTCTGTTACTAAAGCTATTACATTATTTTCTATCCAAATTACCTTGTACTTTTCTAGCAATGATATTAGCTATCTCAATACGTCACAGGTATTCTTGTAGTATAAGAGATAGCAAGAGGTGAAACACAATGTGAACATATTACTGAATAAAATGCTTCTAAAATGTGGTTCCTTCTCTCAGCCAGAAAAAGGAGACACAACACATTAGGTCAGTCATTAGGAGGAAACAGCCCCATGAACAATGCCGCATCTGCGTTACACATGAATCTGGCTCTCCTACATGTCTAGTAGAATTTGAATAACTGTGTTTTACTGAATACACATTTAAAACAGAAAGCTACCCCTTACAAAACAAATTCAAGAAGCGTTCAAACACAATTTTGCTGGCACAGTTTCAGAATCTAATTATAGTGAGATATTTTGTCTCAGATTTAAACCTCCTCATTTTTCAAGCTAACCTGTTGTAACTAATAGGTTTTAAAATAATGAACAACCACAGAACTATAAAAAATATTCCACTTTCATAAAGCCAAAGATCATTCTGTCTGATATGGTTTCATTTTGAAAACTTCACGCATTTGAAAAAAATTATATACTCCAGGAAGAAATGGTCATTTTCAGTGAAAGAAAATGTTACTGGGATACAGCTTTAGCACAAAAGTGAAATATACACTGCTAAGCAAAGGCTGTTTTGCTATTTGACGAATAGAGAACTTGTTTCCTTATAATGGGTAAAAGAGAAGGGGGGGGGCAATTCTGGGTGTTTGCAAATGAAGAACACAAGAATGCAAAGTTTTAAAAATAGATCTGAGAAAATATTAGCACTTTAAATCAATGTTAATTTTGGACTACGTTCAAGAAACTACAAGAGATAAAACAGAACTATGGTATCAGGGCATGTGAATAACCACAATTTATTATCTACCTTTAAGATCACTTCTTAGAAGTGCAGAACTTTGAAATGCATTAAAACTTTGGTTAAAGAAGCATCTCAAACCACATCTATCATATGTACACAATGGAACAAAAACTCAGGCGCTAATGTGGCAAAAGGCATGGCATCAGATGGATTCCTTTTTTTTATATATTTATACCCATATTTTATTAATTCTGTTCCTCTAGAGAACCCTAACACAAACATATCTGTTTTTTTAATTATTATTATACTTTAAGTTCTAGGTATATGTGCACAACATGCAGGTTTGTTACATAGGTATACATGTGCCATGTTGGTTTGCTGCACCCATCAACTCGTCATTTACATTAGGTATTTATCCTAATGCTATCCCTCCCCCAGCACCCTACCCCCTGACCGGCCCTGGTGTGTGATGTTCCCCACCCTCTGTCCATGTGTTCTCATTGTTCAACTCCCATCTATGATTGAGAACATGCAGTGTTTGGTTTTCTGTCCTTGTGAGTTTGCTTAGAATGATGGTTTCCAGCTTCATCCATGTCCCTGCAAAGGACATGAACTCATCCTTTTTTATGGCTGCACAGGATTCCATGGTGTATATGTGCCATATTTTCTTAATCTAGTCTATCATTGATGGACATATGGGTTAGTTCCAAGTCTTTACTATTGTGAATAGTGCCACAATAAACATACGTGTGCATGTGTTTTTATCGTAGAATGATTTATAATCGTTTGGGTATATATCCAGTAATGGGATGGCTGGGTCAAATGGTATTTCTAGTTCTAGATCCTTGAGGAATCGCCACACTGTCTTCCACAATGGTTGAACTAATTTACACTCCCACCAACAGTGTAAAATTGCTCCTATTTCTCCATGTCCTCTCCAGCATCTGTTGTTTCCTGACTTTTTAATGATCGCCATTCTAACTGGAGTGAGATGCTATCTCATGGTGGTTTTGATTTGCATTTCTCTGACGACCAGTGATGATGAGCATTTTTGCATATGTCCGTTGGCTGCATAAATATCTTCTTTTGAGAAGTGTCTGTTCATATCCTTTGCCCACTTTTTGATGGGGTTGTTGTTTTCTTGTAAATTTCTTTAAGTTCTTTGTAGATTCTGGATATTAGCCCTTTGTCAGATGGGTAGATTGCAAAAATTTTCTCCCAGATGGGATCCTTTGTTGGGGGTGGTCACCTAGACCACCCCTCAGGTTTTGAGATTTATTAGTTTTTTCTATGCTCTTTGCTCAAAGTAAGTCACAAGTCAGCTTTGATTTGGGGAGTGAAGAAATAAATTCTTCCTCCTGCTGGGAAGAGAGCCAAGTCACTTTACACAGGTGCATGCACAGGGATGGAAGGAGCTGTGACCATCTCTGCAAACAATCTACCACTGTATCCTATGAGTACATGTGGTCCCTTTCTAGTGAAATGGGTCTGAATAATAAGGCTTGGAGGATTCACAGGAGATCTCTTAAGTCAATGAAGTCAATATGTGAGATATTTACTATAGTTACCATAAAAATTCCTCTCCTTACCCATGCACACGAAGCATGAAGACTTGTACTTTCTAGGTATAGAACAATGTTCCACATGTTAGGGAGAGATCTAGACCCAGTCCTAACCACCACTAAGAGAGAGACAGATCACATTGATGAAGAGTTGTACAGCAATGCTAGTCAGGTGGCACGTGCTTAGTGCAAAATGACAGGTATAGAGCCTACTGTCACAAGCATTGAAAAGAAGGGATACTCACTGAGGAATGAGCTGATCAAAACACATCTTTCAGGAGAGGACCCAGTCTCATGCTGAGGAAGGGACAGGGCTCACGGACCAGGGAACAGGGGAGAGGCCATCTCAAGAGTTATCATTTGCATAAGGGGATGTAGAAAATGCGCACAAAGTATTTAGGTAACTAGTTCATCTGGAGAGAAGTAACAGGAAAAAGAGCCTAAAAGAAGAGGAGGAGTCAGAGAGTAGCCAGCCTTGAGGACCGAGTTATGGAGTTTGGCCTTTAGCCTGTACATTTAGTTGGGAGGCCTAGACACTAAGTGATGAGAAGAGGGCTGACAGCAGAAAGACACTGAATGAGGAAAGGGACTTGGTAATTGAATGGATTTAGAGCAAAGACGGAAAAGGAAAAATCAATGACTGCAAGAATGAAACAGAAAATCATGATATCACTGACGAAACAGAAAGAACAACAAGGGATGAGGATGATGACTTTCACTTTAAATATGGTGAACTCAAGGTGACAACAAGCAATGTGAAACATTTTCAGCTATTTAAAGTGTGGGACTTTGGGAACATTAACCTCTCCAAGCTCAGTTTTCTTATCTGTAAAATAGAAATAGTAATACTGTACATCTCATAAGGTTATCATGAGGATTACATGAAATACTGACAATGCCTGGCACTCATTAGAGCACTAAAATAAATAAATAAATAAATAAATAAATAAATAAATAAATAAATAAATTAAAGGTAACTTTCCCCATCATCATCATCCAGTTTATCATTTGACAAATAGCCCAATAACTCTTTTCTGTCACATCAATTCATGATTACCTGATATATCTGTTAATCAGGTTTGGTTTTGTTTCAATACAACTGAGATAATTTAAAATATCCTATTCTAATGGCAGTCCTTGTAAATTTCCTATAGCATTTGGGTTTGGGCGATTTATAGCTAGAAAATGGCTTCAATTCTATGACAAATTCATTACTGCAACTCATTGAAACTAGTATGTCAGCTGACGCATCTAAATTAGAAGTGAACATTTGATGTCTACGGTTTTTCCTAAGAAATATAACCTAGTAGGTTTTAAAATGTGGTTTTTTACATTGAAAAATTGAAGACAGAAAATTGTGTGTGATTTAATGATAATTTGCAACATGCTAAAAATCCCTTTGAGATGAAAGATTTTGTTTTGTTTTGTTTGGGGAATATGAAAATAAGATTAAAGAGTATAACATTTTATGGTAATGTTGTAGCCAGGAGGGGAACATTAGCAATGGGAAAACTGAGGGAAGGAAAATCCCAAGTCAGTTTGAGAATTTAACATTATTAGTATACTGGACTGTGAAACAAGTATTTATCATGCACATAGTAGGTGCTTAATGAACTTTTGTGAAATAATGTTAAATGAAATTAATGAAACCAAATTATTTTTTCTTCTCTATTTCTTACCATTAGATCACTGTACTATTAATTATAATATTCTTTAAAGAGTGAGTAAACAAAAGGTTTAGAAAGAGAGAATCAAGGTATTTTAAAGCTAGAAGTCCTTCAGAAGTAGAAACTGAAGTCCAGGGAGGTTAACAGACATCAGTTTCCCTACATCAGTTTCCCATGACAGATGCCTACATCAGTTTCCCACGACTATGACATTCAAACTTGGAAGAACTGACCAACAGCCCCTGCACATCCTACCACCCCATGATGGAGAAGAAAGAGTTACAGAGAAACTCAAGCCTGTCAATTCTGTGATTTGTTTGAGGGTCTAACAAAAGGTTGAGATGAGCAGGTGGATTCTGAGAAATGTAGACTTCAATTATTTAAGTCATAAATGTTTCCTATTATGATGATGTTTAAACAGTTCATGACAGTAAAAAATACAGATGTTTTTGGCCATTAACAGAGTCACATTTTACAGTATTGCAGTATGAGGTTTTTGATATTTTTATCAAAAGATTGTATGACCAAATTGCCAGAAATCAGGCATTTTATAAAAAGAATGTACAATTCAGCTAATGTGTTTTCATATATCCCCAACCTTAGGGCTATGAAAAGGGTTATGGTCATAGATTATATAGCTCTATTTTTTACTATGAAAATTTATATGCTGTCTAGATCTTTATTCTATTGAAACTGAACTGGAAAGGCCTTTAAATAAAATGGTTCCTTCAAAATTTACAGACTGTAATAGATCTGATTGATAAAGAGATTCAAAATCCCTTTTTAAGGGTACACCTGTGGGGAGAGAGAAAAAGGAAAGGCAAAGATCCTCCTTTACACGGTGGCTGTATCTATTTGTGTTTCCAATGTGGAGTCAGACTGTCTGGTCCAAGCCAAATTCCAGCAGTTAATGGGATCTTAGCTAAGTCACTCAGCTGCTTTGTACCTGTTGCCTCGTCAGTAAAATGGGAACAATCACAGTAGCCACCTCATGGGGTCGTTGTGCGGATCAAATGAGTTAAGGCAAGTAAAGCATTTAGAACAGGGCTTGGCACACAGTGAGCACTAGATATCAGCTAGCTATTTTTATCACTCCCTCACATCTATTTACTCACTGGAATAGCCCCCCAGCTGGGCAGGATGTGATACCACTGTCATCTCTCAATTATTCACAGTGAAGAGGAGGGGTGGACCTTTCAAGATTAATACCCATTTGTCTGTTGTCAAATATTCCTGAAGTCAAAAACCTTTTATGTTCTCCCACTTTCCCTAGGGTTAAGTCTAGACACCATAATAACAACATGAATAAGCAGTGAGAGCTAGTTATGGGCCAGGCACAGTGTTTGACAGGCATTCGCTCGCTTAATCCTCCAAACAACTCTGGTGTAAGTTCTCTTAATACCTGCAGTTTATAAATGAAGAAACTAAGGCACAGAGAAGTTAAGTAACTTGCCCTGGAAATCCAAACTCCGAAATGCTCCAAAATCCGAAACTTTCTGAGTACCAATATTACACCACGAGTGGAAAATTCCATACATAAGTATTTAAGACAAACTTCTTATGCACAAAACTATGAAAAATATTGTATAAAATTACCTTCAGGCTTTGTGTATAAGGTATATATGAAACTTAAATGAATTTTGTGTTTAGACTTGGGTCCCATTCTTATGTTATCTCATTATGATATGCAAATATTCCAAAATCTGAAAAAATAAAAAAATCTGAAACATTTCTGGTCCCAAGCACTTTGGATAAGAGATACTCAACCTGTAGCTGGTTCTCCTCACCTTACCTCAATCCATCTTATCGAAGGTATTGTTCTATGTAGGTATACAATGGAGATCAATTGTGAAGTATCTAGGATACTCAACTGCAAGTGGGAAAAGAGAGGGATTCCCTCAGCGGCAGGTTTGTTCTAGACTGGCTGAGCAGGAAGAGCCAACGTGTGAATGGCAATGAATTTCAGGGGTCAAAGGAGATCACTGAACTCAGGCTAGATCTAAGCTGGCACCAAAATCCCAGGGGAGCCAAGATAGTAGGCAAAACAACAGACTCTCTGGGCAATGGTAAAGCCTGGATCCAGTTGGTGCTCCAGATGACACATTTAGTGTAGAGTAAGAGCCAGCCCAGAGCTAGGGAAAAGACACAGTCCTGGCCTTTAAGACAGGAAGCTAGAGAAAGGGAGCTGATGTTTGAGATGAACCCTCATGCTAATCAGAAAAATGCATGCTGGGCTGGACAAACACTGTGGAGTTAAAGAGAAGGCTGAGTTGGGAAAACGGTCCCTAGGATCAGCCCAAATAGAGGCTATTCTTGCCACATTTTAATCCATTCTCCACACTACACTAGGAGAGATCATGTAAGTCTGATCACATCGGCTGGGCATGATGACTCACGCCTGTAATCCCAGCACTTTGGGAGGCCAAGGTGGGCGGATCACCTATGGCGAGGAGTTTGAGACCAGCCTGGCCAATGTGGCAAAACCTCGTCTCTACTAAAAATACAAAAAATTAGCTGGGAGTGGTGGCATGCACCTGTAATCACAGCTACTTGGGAGGCTGAGGCAGGGAGAATAGCTTGAAGCCGGGGGGGCGGACGTTGCAGTGAGCTGAGATCGCGCCATTGCACTTCAGCCTGGGCGACAGGGCAAGACTCTGTCTCAAAAAACAAAACAAAACAAAAAATGTCTGATCACCTCACTTCCCTACATTTCGATGGCTTCCCGGTATCTCAGGATAAAGTCTGAACTCTTACAAGACCCTCATCACCTGGCACTGCCTATCTCTCCAGTCTCATCACTCTGCATTCATCTCTCGTTCCACCCACCCACTGAAAAAAATAGGTGTATTTGATAGTAGGCTAACTATGCGTAACAACTCTGTTATTCATGCTCTCCCGCTGACCTCTGCAGATGCACTCTGTCTAGAATATGCCCTCCCTCCTTCCCTGGCTAAGGCGAAGTCAGGCAAATGGAGACCATCCTCCAGGTCTCACGCCGGCTATCACTTCTCTGATGTCAGCCTTGGTGCCCCCTCCCCAGTCTGCAGCAAGCGTTCTTCTTCTCCATAGTACTTTGTAGTCATCTTTCAGGATTAACCATCTTGGATTCTAACCACCTACATCCTCAACTAGACTCTAAGCTCCTAAAGGGCAGAGCAGTTTCTATCTTGTTCATTTTCATACAATCCCAGTATCTGCAATGCAGAAGATTCTAACAAATATGTGTTTCCAAAACAAAGAAAGATATAAGCCTGAGAATAAAAGAGCACAGGGAAAGATCTCTCTTACAGTGATTAGGGGACAAAGAGAAGGCAGGAGTGCATTTTGGCCACGTTAAGTGTGAGGTGAAGGCCACACATACAATCAGGGGTCTTGAGAGGATTTAAAATGTCTAGTGACCGGGTGCAGTGGCTCACGCCTGTAATCCCAGCACTTTGGGAGGCTGAGGCAGGCGGATCACTTAAGGCCAGGAGTTCGAGACCAGCCTGGCCAACATGGTGAAACCCTATCTCTACTAAAAATACAAAAATTTGCTGGGTGTGATGGCGGGCACCTGTAATCCTAGCTACTCGAGAGGTTGAGGCATGAGAATCACTCGAACCAGGAGGCGGAGACTGCAGTGAGCAGAGACTGTGTCACTGCACTCCAGCCTGGGCAACAGAATGAGAATCTGTCTCAAATACATACATACATACATACATACATACATACATACATACATACATACATAAAAATGTCTAGAGAAGGTCTAAGTTTCGTCACTGAATGTTTACTTACAAAAAAATGGGTGTCTTAGGGTACTCATGTCACTTGGAGTGTTGCCAGCTTCACTCGGAAGACAGGAGAGTCGGACGGGTTTTTATATTGTGGGAAGAAGCAGGAAGAATGGCAGAGGAGGGAGAACGAAAAGATTCAGAAAAGTTAAGCTACTTCTATCTCTTTAGAATTAACATGAGCCTAATGATTGGAGGACAGGGTAAAAAAACAAAGAGCTAAATAAAGAGAACTGGAGACAATGTAGTATAATATTCGGATGTACAAAGTACAAACCATAAAGTCTATTTTGTTTTAATAATTAACAAAGGTGCACCTAGTACACACACTATGGATCAGGCTTGGAGAAAACAGACAAATGAATCCAAGACTACTCATTTTGTGAGAGCTTAAAGCAAACAACTTTTAGCAGTATTTTAAAGCAAGCTAGTAAAATAAATAGAAGTGAAGTCCAAGGGATTTAAACATGAAAATTTGGGGAAAAAAGAACTTCGCAAAGCAAAACAGACAAAATACAAGGCTAACCAAACAAAGGCTAAATCAAATAAATAGGCATTGCCGTGTGCCCTGGAGAACTGCCAAGGAGAGTGAATTTCAACAAAGAATGCTTCTGCCACCAGTTAGGAAAACTTCAATTCCAGAAAGGCTGAAGGAATGCTGCAGGCACTGCCGAGTGACAAGGGGGGTTTGGGGGTGGAGAGGCAGTAGGTCAGACGTTATTTCAGACTACGCAGACAAACACGAGAACCTTCCTCAAGACAAGTAAAGGCAGCCCACTCCCTCCCAACGTGCTCCGCACACAGCTCCTTGTAAGAAACAAATCCAGGTCAAAGATGAGAAATTTGCATCTTCAAGGACTGCCTGTAGCAGCCTTCTCTTCTCAATTTGCAGATAAAAAGACCCCTGTAAATACTTCTCAGCCACCATCCTAGTATCCACAGTCTTGAGATGAAACAAGTCCATGTAGCCCAAGCACAACAAAGCACCAGCAATCATTGTGTGAGCCTGGATGCTGGGAACAGAGTCCTGCGGCTTTGGGGCTAGAATTGCTGTAGATCAACCAAGTATTATTCTCTAGGTCAGAGCACAGTTCTCCATTCAGTTGTGGCCTGTAGTAGTCATGGCAATAGAAACCACCACTGCCACGGCAGCAGTCCCCACTGACAGAGCACGTGTCCTGTGCCAGGCACAGGGCTGAGCAATTTGCATGAATTATCCCTGTTAAGCCTCCTAACAACCTGTCATTATCTTAATTTTATAGCTGTTCCCTCTACAGATGGGGAAACTAAGGCAAGCTGAGATACTTTTCAAAGGTCTCACAGCTAATAAGCAATGCAGCAGGGATTTAGATCCAGAGAATTGTTCTAGAACACGCTTTCTTAGCCAACAGAATGGCCAGAAGTCCACAAAAGAAGGCAGTGGCTAATCAACAAGCATTTATTCATTGTTGGTATGCTATAGACTATGAACTATGTGGGTTAAAACTGAGGTAAAATGGTTTCATTGAAAAAAGAAAAAACTAGAATTCCTTTTACTCCCACTTAAAAAAAAAATCCTGAACTTTATTGGCCTTTAAAGAGAAAAAGGATCTCTATTCTAACGTCTAGCATGTCTATCCAGCAAATATCTAGGTTGTTCAAACCGTTAAGGAGACTAACAAATCAAAACAGGAGTTGATGATACATAGCTCAGGGGCTTTTTTTTTCTTTTTTGATTGGCATTACCCAGGCTGATTTAGATCTAAACACTGGGGGACCCTCAGGATCTGAAGTTCCTTAAGGTTTCCTGGGCTTCCTGGGCTTAGTTAGCATTGTTTTTCCTTCAAATTTCTATACTGCTCTATTGAAATATCTGTACATTAATATATGCTTTTTTTACATGACCTATTTTTCCAGTGGGACTGAGGATGAAAATTACAAATGCATATTTAAAGCCATAGGAATATTTAAATTCTCCCTGTTTTTGTCATACGTTTTAGTACTTTCTATGTGCGACGAAAGATAAAAACTTGTGTGCATGATTAATTGTAATGATGAAAGAATGCTAGGCAGTTGCTTAAGAAACGGGAACAACAAAGGAATAAACTACTGCAGGCATCACCAGGACTGGAATGACACTGCTCTGTGTACTCGATTTCCATGGCAACTAGCAATGGGAAGATGAATGTTTCATAGTCACTCTGCTCTGCAGTACACGTCTATAAATCAAACTTGCATAAAGAGCACAAGATTTCTGCTGTGGGCTGTACTCAGAGCTGGTTTATTTTCCTGTTACTGTATAATTATGGAAAAGAAGCACAAAACAATGAGGTCATTTTTAGTGGGGAACAAACTCAGAAATTACTAATACACCTGCGGCATATGATGCCATTCATCTAGCAAGAAACGAGAAGCAGGCAAGGCAGGCGTGAATGAAAACGCTGCCTGCTTCTGTGGGGAACTCACTGGCTCTGGCTGAGAACTGCACATGACAGGCCTGGTGTGCCCTGCCTCCCCTCAGCTCAGCTCTGAGATGGAAGTAGGAGCACCTTAATTAACTGCCGAAGGTACGGCCAAAGTTTTCATTTTGGTAACAGGGCGGACATGATACTCCATATTTAGCATGAAAGTTTATTGAGATGGGACAAGTATATATTTATCTACTGAAAATGGCTCATTGTATAGGAGTTAGGATGGAAAAATAATGTCTTGGCATGGAGACCTGAGTTTTGATCCAGGTCTATGTAACCTTGGGTGAGTCACATACGTTTGTTTGACTTCCATTTTCTTAGCTAGAAAATAAGGGAGATGGCATATGTGATTCCTAAAGTCCCAGCCACCATCCAGTTCTATGATTCCGTAATCTCTAAATCTTAAGGGTCTGAATCTTTCAATCGAATCTAATCAAAGATGTTAGTTGTGCTATTCCTAAAAAATATATATACCTTATACAGTTGTATTTTAAAATTCTATACTGGGCTAAAGCTCCTAATTAACAGTGTTTTATGACTTTACCAACCACGCTGAAGGCTTCTTCTGATTTGCTCATTCTTCCAAACATGATGCTATCAAAAGCTTAATACAACTATCAGAGTTTTTCAAAGTTAAAATTTTTTTTACAGTCTTATAACTTTGTAAAATAATATTTTAAAAAATATTTAAATTTATCTTTCTTGCTCTTTCATAGATCAGGGCTGCTTATCAATTCCTGCCAAGCAGAAAGCATCCTGCTCCTTGAGTCTGCAGCTCTCAGAAGCATCTTCAGGCTCTCTGGGAATTCATCTTTGTATGCCGGAGACCCAGCAATAATAATGTTGAGTAAAAGTTTGTGGAATAAATGGATGAATGAACTGTTGGGGACACTGTTGCTACACCTGTCAGCAACCCTGTGCTCCCTTCTCCAATCTTAAACATTTAGGCAGATTCAGATCAACATGGAAACATCCCAGGGTAGACGGGCAAATATCTGAACACCACATATAGCTAACAATATGAGTATCTCTTTTGTGAGTTCTTTACAAAATCCTTGTGGAACTTTACAACCTGGAAACATCTTCTCATTAACGCAGCATGAGGCATCATCACACCCAAGGAGGGACTCCGGTCCTAAGGCCCTGGCTAAGAGCATGGGATGTGGTGGAGGCTCAAAAAGAACTGAGTCTGTGCTTAAACTAGAAAAGGACAGGGTGAGGAGCACTTAATCAGCACATCCGTTATCTCAGGTGATGTTTACTCCAACTCTGAGGGGAAGATGTTATTATCTCCATTTTACAAACTGGAAAAACTGAGCAGTAAAAAATCTGCATAAGTAATTAAAAGACAGTTATGAAAGGCTGGGTACAGTGGCTCACGCCTGTAATCCCAGCACTTTGGGAGGATGAAGCAGGCGGATCACTTGAGGCCAGGAGTTGGAGACTAGCCTGGCCAACATGGTGAAACCCCGTCTCTACTAAAAATACAAAAATTACCCGGGCATGGTGGTGCACACCTGTAGTCCCAGCTACTTGGGAAGCTTAGGTATGAGAATCGCTTGAATCTGGGAGGTGGAGGTTGCAGTGAGCCAAGATCGCACCACTGCACTCCAGCCTGGGCAACAGAGTGAGACCTTGGTCTCGAAAAGAAAAAAAAAAAAGAGAGAGACAGTTATGAAATATGTAGGGAAATTCAAAACCTGATCTCTCTGACTCCAAAGGCTGGGTTCTTTTGACTGTATCTCAGGACACATTCAAGCAACAGGCTACTGCTCCATTTGGACTTTTTCAGGGCTAAACAGTAAAGGGTTAAACAAACCTAGCCGCCCCCGCCCACACACACACAAAAAAGCAATGTTCCTGCTGTCACAGGAATATATTAATGGTTAAAAAAAAACACATAGTAATAATAACGCAAGTCAATATTTTTAAAGACCTAAATTCGACAATAAATATAGCCAGGAACATCACTCTTCTTCTCTGTACACATTATTATCATTTGCTCCTCCACTCTCCAGGCAAGCACACTAAAGGCTATTTCCAGGATGGAGTCAGATGTTACACAACTTTGCAATTTCCAATATGTGAATATTAACATAGACCAATGACATTATTACAGAAGCTTACTAGAAATATATTCTGCTGGTCACCAGAGGGATTAGCTTTGCTTCCTAACCTTAGAAAATGCGATAATTTGGGCATATGTTTTCAGTACAAATTTTTCAAAAACTACGAAAAATAACGCTTATTAAGAAAGGCTCCTGGTTAACCTTCTGTTCTTTCAATCAGTTTCTTAGCAGAGTTTTTGGCACCACCAACTGGTGAAAGAGGTGTACTGCAAAGGTGCTCGGCTCTCAATCTGTTTGGTTCATTAAGAGAGGATCATGCATTTATTTCATATTTAATTTACGGTGAATCAATTTATTTTAGTCACTAAATAAAATTAGAAATGCATTTCTTTGTCAGTCAAATAAATAATAATCCACTCTGGCTTTTTCACCTGAGAAGAAAGTATGTTTTGGTTAGTAAAGGTCATCAGAGAAAACTCAATCTACCCACCAAAGTTAATTTGATTTATTCTGCCATAAACTCACACTCAAAAAGCAAACACTGAGAACTACAATGAAAATTAGGAACTAAAAGAGAGAGCAAACTAAATGGTATCAAATACTATGCTAGCCTACAGTGTTTATATAAGACATTAATTTAACCGGAAATAAAAATGATTGAGGAGGTAATTTCACATTTGTTAAAAAATTGAACTTTTCCCACCAAGATTCCTGTCTCAAAGATGGATGCTGCCATTTGACATGTGAATATATATGCTATCTAGCCATCCTTCCTGTTTAATTGAGCCACACCTAGCAATGGATACCAGTATCAAGAGAGCAGAGCCAAGCCCTTAAGGCACAACTCCGATCTCTGCACAGTGAATCATGAAAATAAATACCCCTGAAGAACAGTCTAATTTTTCCCCCCAAAACAATTTGTGTTTTCTAGGGAGAATGGCTCAGAAAAAAAAAAAAGAAAAAAAGAAAAAAACAACAAATTTGTGGATACAAGTTGTCTATGAGAAGTACATCTAGCTACTTGTGATGATAAATTTGTAACCCACAGAATAAATGGCACCAACTCTATGACAAAACTGGTCATTGAAGAAACTTCTTTACTAGACAATGTGAAAGAGACAGAAAAAAGGAAAGAACCATCCAAAGAATCAAATTTGACTCTGATGGCAGGGTTTGGTTAAAAGCCATCTGACAGAGTTTAAAACTACTGTGACAATTTTGTGATAATAGCAGTTTAAATCGCTATACAAATGTGTACTCAATTCATATTTGTTAAAGCCTCCAAGTCTAAATCTCCAATTGAAAGCCTAGTAAAGAAGACCATTTGAAATAGGCCCAGAAAAAAGTAAGGGCCAGCAGCTGCTCTATCCAATTCAACACATAATTTGAACATGTAAACTTTGATCAGATTAATTCTATTCCTTCGTTCATTTCATTCATTTATTTGTTCATGTATTCGTCAAATACTCTCTCCTGCAAACAGAGTTAAATTTTTACAAGGAGAGAACAAGAGTGAGACCCTCCTGCCCCTTCCTCTCCTTGGACAAGAGTCTTGATATCCCACGGCAAGGATTTCTAATTGAAGTCATGACTGGATTATGAGGAATCCTAACAATAAGACTTGGGTTAAGAAAAGCATTTTTAAACTTTTATTTGTTTCTTATATCCTTTAACATGACTCATGTCATGAGTCTCACTAAGTCTGTGTAGACATTTTTTGAGGTATGACTGACAAAAAATTGTCTATATTTAAGGTATACAAGATGACGTTTTTATAAAAGTATACTTTGTGTAATGACTCACAGTCAAGCTAATTAGCATATCCATCACCTGACATGCTTCGTGTGTGTGTGTGTGTGTGTGTGTGTGTGTGTGTGTGTGTGTGTATGTGTGTGTTGAAAACACTTAAGATCTGCTCCCTTGGCAAATCTGAAGTACACAACACATTAACTATAGTTACCATGCTGTACACTAGATCACTAGAATTCATTCACCCTGTAACTAAAATTTTGTATCCTCTGACCGACATCTCCCCATCTTCCCCACTTCCCAGCCCCTGGCAACTACCATTCCACTCTTTTTCTCCAAGTTTGACTAGTTTAGATGTCACATATAAGTAATATCATGCAATATTTGTCTTTCTGTGTCTGGCTTCTTTCACTTAGCATAATGTCCCCAGATTCCTCCATGCTGTTGCAAATGGCAGGATTTCCTTCTTTTTTAAGGCTGAATAATATTCTGCTGTACACACATACCACAATTTCTTTATCCATTCATCCAGTGGTGGGCACTTAATATGGGTTTCCATATCTCGGCTATTGTGAATAATGCTGCAATTAACATGGGAGTGCAGACATTTTATTCTACCTGTAAATTCAGTCTACTCCATCATTATCATTACTAGGCAGTGGCATTTCTAAACAAGAAAATAACATTTTGAGGTTATGAAAACACTTGACCATTAACAAGTACCAGCAACATGATTATAATCAAATAAAAAATTCTGATTGCCCTAGGGGCTTGGTTCTGTGACTTCTTTGACCAAAAAAATAATAATAATTGCGAATTAGTTGTTTGGTTTGAATTGAGCAATAAAGGACTCTCAGCTTTAACTGTAAAATGGATAGAAATGCCGTTGATGTGGAGAGTCACTGTAAGGACTAAGTAAGGCAACACGTAGTTGGTAATCAATGAACGGGAAGCACTGTGACTGCAGTGGACAATACAGTGCAATGAAAGCTGGGGAAGAGCGAGAATCGAGGACTGGCTCTCCAGGCAGGGTGTGAATGCTGTGAGAAGCTGGCAACAATGAACCCTGAGAAAAAGGACAGGGGACAACTGGAGGTACTTAGTTGGGGAGAGCAGCTTTCTAGGATGGATATGAGTATATCTTCAGGCAGGGATAGGCATTATAAACAGAAGTGGGAATGGCTGATGGAGAAATGTCTTAGATCAAAAAAAGGGGAAGAGAGAAGACCAGAACAAAAGAGAGGAATTAGGAAAAAAAGAAGAGACCCCTTTTCCTCAGAAATAAAATTAAAGGAAGGCTGGGCGTGGTGGCTCACGCCTGTAATCCCAGCACTTTAGGAGGCCAAGGCAGGTGGATCACCTGAGGTCAGGAGTTCCACACCAGCCTGACCAACATGGTGAAACCCCATCTCTACTAAAAATACAAAAATTAGCCGGGCATGGTAGCACACGTCTGTAATCCCAGCTACTTGGGAGGCTGAGGCAGGAGAATCGCTTGAACCCAGGAGGTGGAGGTTGCAGTGAGCCGAGATCACACCACTGCACTCCAGCCTGGGCAACAGAGCGAGACTCCATCTCAAAAAAAAAAAAAGAAGAAGAAGAAGAAAGAAAATTAAAGGAATACAGAAAAGAGATGAAGAGAAGGCAGTAAACCCAGGAAGAGGCCATGATCCTCTCCATGAAGAAAAAGGCAAGATCACCTGCAAAGCACAGTAGTGGGAAAGGTTTGGTACAACCATCACAGAGAATACATCCTTACAGAGAGAGCAAGAGATTTGATCTCATATGACAACTCTAATGAGCTGGCTTGGGGTATTGTACTGAGAAGAACTCTGAGTTCTGCAGAAGAGGGCAGCCACAGGTACAGGAGGGGTCAGTGGCAGGCATGTCAACTACGTGCCATCCCTATAACAGGGAACTGAAGCCAGCTGAGTTACATTTCTCCTGGATAGCAATAGGGGTATTGTCTGACCTGAGTGACAGGCATACCAGATCTCTGCATGAAATGGAAGGCATTCTGGAATGACACAGGACCAGGGTGGGGGAACTGAGTACAGAAGACAGATTCTGGTAGCCCAAACACTTTGGTCACATAGAGATCAGTTTCTGCCTGTACTGTGACATGGTCCCATTCTGGGATCAAGGCCGGCACCAGGGGATCTAAGCAAGAGGATCCAGGAAGGTGGATAGCAGAGTTTAGAGATTTCTCAGACATCACACTTGATGAGAGAGAGAGAGAGAGACAGAGAGAGAGAGAGAGAGAGAGAAACACTAATTCACTGTGGAATGTATGATGGGGAGGCAGACACATTAAAGAAAGAAGGCAAGTGGTAAGTAAGCTTCAGATCTCAGATCGGCCAAGAGCAGGTCCAAGCACCTGAGCCCACTTAACAGTGCAGGCCCTGCAGTATGGGTCAGAACAAAGGGCGGGGGCCTTGGACAGAGGCCTAAGTGAAGATAAGGAGGAAAAAGTGGTGTCAACATTGATTCTTGGGCTTAATGGTAGCTAAGGAGACTAGAGGTGTGGCATGTGGAGGACATGGCACTGGGAGAAAGGAGGAGGGTCGGGAATAATGACAAGAGTCCAGGATTCATGTCTAGCCACCGGTAACCAGTCCTGGGATTTTAAAATTCTAAAAACTCCATGAGTGGGAGGCAGGTAAAAGTGAGTGATAAACAGGCAGAGTAGGGGGGAGAGTAAAGGGTATTAGTATTAGTACTTGTTCTGCCTTTCCTGGGGCTGGCTTAGGAAATGGGTGAGCCAGTCTACCAAAGGAGCCATCATCAGTAGCTTCAAGGGCTGGGGTAGGCAGAGGCAAGAGCGAGTGCAGGAACTACGAGGCTTCACAGTAAGTCTATAGTGGATTTAATCACTGCTTTGCCCTGATTTTCTCCAGCAGCAGGTTGCAACCAAGGAGAGAAGAAGAGCAGATAATGTGGCCCAGCTGGAATTTATAAAACACAATGCTAAACTCACAGTAACTGATTAAAGACTCTTCCAAGTGAATCAAAGTATAATCCTCCCTTATGAAGAGAAAGTCATGAATTTCGTTTAGCACTCCCACTCCAGTTAAAATTATGATAAAACTCCTCTCAGCAATTTTCAATATATTTGATTTTTATAATTTATTTGGCAAATCCTTTGGTCTTGTGATATAATTCCATAGGCAAGATGCGTAACACATGGGTTCCTATCAGAGCAATCTGAACTGGAATGCCTTCTACAGTTTGATGGATATAAATGTTGCATCAGCTTCCTTTTGTATATTTTTTCAAATGAAATCTCAAGTATAACAATCCAAACCAAACCACTTCATAGGAACAGGGAAAAGCCATATAATCATGCAACCAGTGCATCAAGAATGCTCTTAGGGCAGAGTGAATAGGCCTTGCTTCCTGGTGTTTATGCTAGGCAATGGAGGGACACAAAAGCATGCTTCCTACCTTCAGGGTCTCTAACGCTGTTAAAAGAAGTGAGAAAGGAATATGACAGTGATTAAGAGCATAAGCTGGAAAGGCAGCCTCCTTCGGTTTGAATCTTGGTTCCATCAGTCACCAGCTGGTGACCTTGAGCAAGTCTTTAGACCTCTCTGAGCTTTTCCCTCATGTGTAAAATGGGGACAGACGGAGCCCAACCCAAGATGTTCCTGTGAGGATCCGTTCAGCACAGTGCCTGGCACATGGAAAACACTTAGTAAATATTAGTTGCCAGTGGTGTTGCGGTTGCTACCATTAAATATGTCAATATGGCAAGTGTTATAGGAGTTCTACAGAAGAGGAAAGATATTTTGTGGGCTGGAGTGATAAAGAAAGGCTACATAGGGCCGGGCGTGGTGGCTCACACCTGTGATCCCAGCACTCCGGGAGTCCGAGGAGGGTGGATCACTTGAGGTCAGGGGTTTGAGACCGGCCTGGCCAACATGGTGAAACCCCATCTCTACTATAAATACAAAAATTAGCTGCGCATAGTGGTGGGCGCCTGTAATCCCAGCTACTTGGGAGGCTGAGGCAGGAGAATCACTTGAACCTGGGAGGCAGAGGTTGCAGTGAGCCGAGGTCGCGCCACTGAACTCCAGTCTAGGTGACAAAGTGAGACTCTGTCTAAAAAAAAAAAAAGAAAAGAAAGAAAGAAAAGAAAGGCTACATAGAAGAATGTTCAGCTAAGGAATGGATACCATTCAGATATGTGGATGGGGTAGTGGGAGGAAGAGGAAAGAGAGCAGTGAACCTGCCATAAACAAAAATGCTAGGAGAGAAATGAGACAGTATATGGCAAGAAGACCAGAAAGGCGGAGTAGGATGAAATACTGGGGGACATGCAAAAAAGGCACAGCCATTTCTGTCTATATGGCCTTGTATGTTTCTGTCTGTAGGGGCCTTGTATGTCAGGCTAAGGAATCTAGACATTATTTGGTAGGGAATAAAAAGCTATTGAAGTTAGGAAGTAACATAAATAGAGATGATAATTTACTCAAATTATCCAAAATTTAACTAGGGTAGGCCAGTGATTTTCAAACTTTAATGTGCATATGAATCACCTAGGAATATTAAACATGTCTGACTCAGTACCTTTGGAGTGGGGCCTGAGATTAGGCGTTGCTAATAAGCTCCCTGATGCTGATGCCACTGGTCTTTGGAGAACTCTTTGAATGTCAAGGATGCATTTATCTGAGGTAGCCTGATGGAGGAGAACGATGGGGTAGGAGGTAGGCAGACAAGATGGCCAGACATAAGGCAACAAACTCATAGGTTGCTGTCATCGATAAAAATGTAGTACTGGAAATCTTTGGTCTTGATTTTAGTCTATACATAAGGTGGACAATCAAAACTTTGATGTAATTCTTAATTCCTGGCCTACTTTGTCATGGCATTTTAAAACAATTGTTAAGTATCTCATAAAATGTGTATTTTATTAAATACAGATTTCTCTTATTTTATAAATATGACATTCAATATTACCAAAATTCCACCTAGAAGTTAGCTATCTACTACAAAAGAAAAACACGAGAAATTGATTCCTTTTTCTATAAAGGAAATGGCATGAATACATTCATGATGTGTGGCTATTAATAACTTCAAGGATGACTGAAAGGGTTAGCAACATTTGGTCATAGAAGGAAACCATGGCAGCAGTTTCCTATGTGACAGCTGAATTAAAAGAAAAATAGCCCTCATGCTATTACAGCAAGAACAGCATATTCAGCCATATATGTAGATGAGGAATTGGATACATCGGCCACAACACTTGCTATAGTGACATCCCAAAAACTAAACCCAGGGTTGGGTAGCTGTCAAACCCAGTAATTTCCTCTTGAGAACAGTCTTTGTCACACTGACAGACCACATCTATATTCATGCTGTGGTGGATTCTGAATAATATCTGTGGTATGCAGGGAAAATAAAGGAGACGGCCATGCCATTCTCCATGATAGATGACGCCACCAGTGAATTTCAGAGCTGGAGAAGCCTGCCAGATTGTATAACACAACACCCTTTTTTCTCAGATGACAGTGCAGTCCAGAGAGGTTCACTGATTTGTGGAAAAATGGGTCAGAGGCAGAGCTGGGCCTAGAACTCATCCTGGGGCTTGACTAGACTCCTGACCTTAACATGGTGCCAGTGTGGTATTTAAAGAGTAAAACAAATAATAGTAATAAAAAGCCTGTGGTTTTTTTTCCAATGAAATAAGCCATTCATTTACATAAGATGAAGTCATCTATTCAAGACCTACAAAACTGTGCTACGGGTGTGGGGAGTGTGATGATGAATACCCTACTATGCCTTCTCACGTTTAGCTTCCATTCTGACACTGGAAATAACACATGGGTACAAATAACTATGAAAAAGCATGAAGAAGAAAGATATTTATGAAAGATTAGGAGTTTAAAGCAGAAGGTGAAGACAATTTCCTTTTTGGGGGTTGCAAGGTGGCAGAGTAGGGCCGGCTTTCAAGATAAGAAATATCTTAACAGCTGGGCCTTGAAGGATGAATCGAATTTGTATCCGGATGGGTTTAACATGAGAGAGGACTTCAAAATCTGAGCTTCCTAAATGTGAAGAGACTAAATATTCCTTCCAATCTAATAATATATCCTTCATAAGTTAGCTTAAATGAAGAAACCAAAATAACATAATCTATTTGAAAATCTATGTAACAAAGTCATCTTCTCTACTTGCTTCCTGGTCCAGTTTCTGAGTTTCAATTCCTCCATTTCTAAAGTTCATACTGGTAAAAAGAGACAATCAAAATCAATTAAGAACCCTCTGAAAAATTGGTATTTTCTTAAAATGACTAGAACATAATTATTTCTATAGCTGAATTTTTAAAGTACAGTTTTATTCAATATATCACATGTGAAAATCCCTAGAAGTCCCTCAGAGAGGAAATTCTGAGGTCAGCTTGAAAAGCTTACACACATTCATACTCCCCATCTTATAAGCATGTGCAACAGGACAATCAGAAAAGGGAATCTCTGACAATATAATTTTGAAACAAAACCATTGAAATAAAAACTAAAGCATTTCCATTCCAGAGAAGACACAAAATTTCATGAAATAAAAGTTGGGACCTCAAGAAGTCTACTTCTTCGGTCATGCCATTCACACAGAAGGTATAGCTGATGACTGTTATCTATGTATGGCTACAAAGAATGAAATATGATTTGTAGGTGTTTTTATGGATGTTTCTATACCTGGAAGCAGGCAGATACTCAAAGACCAATAGTCATAGTCACTAAATTAGGTACTCATTTTAATAACTGTGATCTTACTGAAGTTGCATGATCATACACAGAATCATTCTGAAGCACAAAATAATGACTGGAAATTTTCTCTTGTTAGAGATGGACCAGGAAAATGATACTCCACAAGTTGGCTGCTGGCAGAAAGGAATTATGGGAAGCTAAAAATTACAGTGAGAAATAACATTTCAAAAGAGACGCAAATGACTTGAAAAAGTAAATGTTCTCTGAAATCACTTTCCTTTAGGCCCTCAGCTCTGTAAGACTCTTCCAATCAGCATAACAGAAGAGCCTATTTGTTTTACCCAAGCTGGTGACAGTCCTTACCCCTATAATGGCTGTGATATAACATCTATATAATTTTTCTGCCAAGGGAATATCCATCACTCCCTTTTACAATTGCATTCCTAAGACCCAGCCCCCACTAATACTCTGATTTTGAAAATATCTTATTCAACAAGCAATGACATTCTCATTTTCACCCAATTTCTAATATTCAAAAAAGGAGAGTTAGATGTCCTATGTCCTTTGACCTTCCCTTGTGTAATATGAAGAAAGGGATTCTTACACCAAAAATATCAGGATATAACTTTAAACGTCTCCAGTCATGATGGGAGCATTTGGTGCCTCGATATTGCCACTTTACATCATCATGTGGCAATCTGCCTGTGCACTCAGGATCTTGGACGCTGGGTCAGGGCATGGACCTTATGCACATTCACATTTCATCTCATGACTGGGAAGCAAAAGCAGCTTCCCAGAGCTTTTTGCCAACTGACAGGTGGTGGGAATGTACAAATAGCAGTGCTTACAATGAGATGGAGAAGGTTCCTAGGCATGGAGAAGTAAACATATCCATGCAGAGAAAAATGCCAGCCAGAAATACCACAGGGTGTTGATGGCAGGCAAAGTCAAGAAAGAACTTTAAGTCAGCTTCCTGATGACAGCCGAAGTTAAATCATGCACTGAAAATGCCTCTGAAATAAAGCAAAAAGAGACCACCAGAGATTAATTCATGAAAATCACATGTAGACAGAGGAAAATGGAAAGCAAAGCCACATGTGGCTATGAAGCTCCTGACTGCATTTTAAAGGACTCTTTCCTAGTTTATGAGAAATAAATTAAACCACGAAGAAAACAGAATTTTACTGTCACAGGGTATTTGGAATAAGTGGCAATGGACCAACGATTATTTATTAACTGCAGTGCAAAAGGCAACATGCCAAGGACAGTGGCGATTACAGATATAAGTCCATAAACTCAAAGAACTTGTACTAATTTATGGGGATAATCATAAACACTGTGTTTTCATTTATCAAGTAAGTGAATGAAAAAATACATAACAATAAATACTATCAACATTTAAGGAAAGAAGACTGTACAATGCAGAGAAAGAAAGGCTTTATTGAGGAGGACCTTTAAAGATGGTTTAAACCTGGACAGGTAAGAGTAGAGAAAGGCACTGCAAACAGAATGAAGCATAAATGCACATCACATAATCAAAGGAACAAGTACCACGCCAAGGGAAACACAGGAATTTGGGACTGATGTAAGATGAGTTTGAAAAGGGGACCAGATGTTGGAAAAGAGACCAGATGTTGGAAAGCCAGGTTAAAGAGTTTTAACTATACCCCTTAGAGTCACTGAAGATTTCTGAACATGAAAAACAAAAGATAGCACTACAAAATTTTCAGTCAGTTTTATTAGTGTTAAAGAGGAAAGATGTTTCTTACTTAACTTTTAATTGCTCAAAACACCCTATTATCTAACATTAATTCTATAGTACAAACAGTACTATAGTACAAACAGCTCTTATGTCTCTTGAACTTCTGCCATTTTTAATGGGTAGAAATTCTGACTAAAAATGAAACATCATCTTTGATACAGTACACAAACACACAAATTGTGACTACCAGCTCTAAGAGGAATACAAAGTTATGTTTCTTTCTTTTTTTTTTTTTTTGAGATGGAGTCTTGCTCTGTCACCCAGGCTGGAGTGCAATGGCGCAGCCTGGGCTCACTGCAACCTCCGCCTCCCGGGTTCAAGCGATTCTCCTGCCTCAGCCTCCTGGGTAGCTGGGTCTACAGGCACGTGCCACCACACCCAGCTAATTTTTGTATTTTCAGTAGAGACAAGTTTTTTTTTGAGACAGAGTCTTGCTCCGTCGCCCAGGTTGGAGTGCAGTGGCGTGATCTCGGCTCACTGCAACCCCCGCCTCCAAAGTTCAAGCAATTCTTGTGCCTCAGCCTCCTGAGTAGCTGGGATTACAGGTATGCACCACCATGCTGGGATAATTTTTTTTATTTTTAGTAGAGACGGGGTTTCACCATGTTGGCCAGGCTGGTCTCAAGTGACCCACTCGTCTCGGCCTCCCAAAGTGTTGGATTACAGGCATGAGCCACCGCACCCACCCGAAAGTTTTAAGTTTCAAACACTGAAAAAAGTCTCAAATTTTGAAATCCAAGTATTAAAGATTTTATAATATCTTTAGACATAACAAATGAGTAGCAATTTTGAATTTTGTATATGAGATATCCCTTGGTTTATGAAAGTAATTTGTTCCTCACAACTTTTCTCTTGGTAGAAAACTTGCTTTCATTAATTTATGTGGAAAAAGTTATAATTAGTTTCCCCCAAGCAATCACTCATTTAAAAATAAAATCTGAAAAATCACTGTTTCCCCTAATAAAACAAAGACCTCTATAAAACAAGAGCTGAAAGTAGGTAGGGGAGCTACTACAAAATAACAAGATACAGCAAAATAACAAAAGGATATGAGACATCAGCAGATACAGCTCAAGAAAGAAATGTAAGAGAAAAGTAAAACCAAAACAGAAAAAGAAAAATGCCAAATTGGATGCAGCACAAAGGAGAATAGATATTGTTGAAAATACACGAAGAGACATGGTAATATACTAAGAGCAAAGCAAGCAATTAAAATAAAAATTAGCAAAAAACTTAAAAGGACTTCCAAAATAGGCATAACCAATGTTCTCAAAGAAAAAGAATGTGACTCAAAAATGTTAGCATTCAATCCATTACATATTTTTATTCAAATACAATGACCCAGATAAGCATTTTTGAACATGAAAGACAGTGGGGAATATAATTCTTATGACCCCTACTTGAGGATAAACTTCAGCTAAACAGAAACCATAGCAAAAGGCCTGGAGGTGAGCTTTGAATTCATTCAACTGTAGAGCTATGACTAAAACAAAACAGGAGATTATGATTGCACAACAGAATGTCAACGTTATGAACCCTAATAATATGTTTTCTAAAAAAACACATTGCTTTCATTAATGATAAAATCACTAAAGTAAACATCACCAGAATACCTAGGCAACAATTCACAAACCTTACAAAATTATTTTACATTTAGTTCTCACTTTCAGAATTAATGAATGATACACCAGTGTTCTATTAAATTATAAAGTGAAATGATTCCTTGATGCCTATGTCCAAGTCTCTTTCTTTGGATTGTTTTTGTTGTTTGATTGGTTGAATTGCTGTTGTTTGGTTTGTAAAATTAAAGTGTAATACGGGCAAGTACTTCCGAAAGAGCCTACTCTTGATCTCTAGAAATTTCTTTGGGAAGAATCTGGCAGTCACTGAATTGAAGACTATAAAAACTTATTCAGTCATTCAAGCCACAGAGGACCCCGGCCTAATTAGAATTCTCCCTCTCTAGCTGCCTTCTCCTAGTGCTTTTCAGAGATCAGCTTTTTTTCTGGACCTGTGTAGTGAATTGTGGACCTGGGTAAAGAAACCCATACATGCTAGTCAATTAAGTGAAAAGCTACTCAAGCGTCTCAAAAAGTGAACGTCTAACCTTGGAAACATTAAATAATTTTGCATCACTAATAGCCTCAGCAGCTGATTTTTTTATTATTGAAAATTGTTTGCATGACTGAAATAAGGATATGTGTGATATGTTAGACATCTCTGTTTCTTTGGCCTACTTCAATTTACACAAACAGGAAATATTTTTCCAGTTCGCAACTTCCTTTAATATGTGTTATTCTTTTTTTTTTTTTGAGACGGAGTCTCGCTCTTGTTGCCCAGGCTGAAGTGCAGTGGCACGATCTCGGCTCACTACAACTTCGACCTCCCGGGTTCAAGCGATTCTACTGCCTCAGCCTCCTGAGTAGCTGGGATTACAGGCGCCCACCACCACGCCCAGCTAATTCTTGTACTTTTTAGTATAGATGGAGTTTCGCCATGTTGGCCAGGCTGGTCTGGAACTCCTGACTTCAGGTGATCCGCCCGCCTCGGCCTCCCAAAGTGCTGGGATTACAGGTGCAAGCCACCATGCCTGACCGTGTTATTCATTATTTAGTCTAACTTTGGGATTGTGATATTATAAAAATACAGTTGAGAGTTTAAAAAGCCCATATTCAGTCAACAAAGTATCTTCTTTGGCTGTATGTTACAGTGGTTTCCAAACTGTTTTGGTCTCACAACCCTAGGAAGTACAAGATTTGTGGGCATATACTCCACAACATGAATATACTTATTTATAGAGGAGCACATATGTTATTATATTAATATACTATGTACATGGTTAAAGTATAGAAATTTCTAAAGAATTAAAGATAAAATATTTTATTAATGGCAAATAACTTTCTGATGTCTCTAGAAATTATTAATACTTAACCAGAACAATGTACATTAATATACTCTATTATTTCTGAAAATCTTGGCTTAATATTTTATAAGTGAGCAATTTAAAATTCAATTTGTTTTGATACTTGGTTTTAATGGACAGTATAGGTACCTCATGTAAATACATAGATCTAAATGGGAAAAGCTCATCATGCCACTGACTCCATCCTCTGATAATGCAAAGGTTTAGGAATTTGAAAATTTGTTTTGTTTTCTTAAATTATTATTTTGTTGTTAATGCCAACTAAAATTCAGCTAGTAAAGTCCATCTTTCCTGATATCTTGCTATTGAATTATATATATAATTATGTATGTTTATATATGTTAATCATATATACAATTATTAATAATATATAATTCTGTTGTATATAACTGATTATATTAATTATATAATTATATATTGCATATATAATTAAATAAATGCAATTAATTATATATTATAGATTACATATATAATTAAATAATTATATATTACATATTACATATGCTTAAACATCTATAATTATATATTACATATATACAATTATATACATTTATATAATTCCAATCATAATTATATATTACATATATAGTTCAATATATAATTATATATATAATTCAATAGCTTTAATACATTTTCAAGATATACTCTAACCTATGGAAAGATGGACATATAAATACATACATATATATATATATACACACACACATATTTTTTTTTAGGAGGGTCTTGCTCTGTTGCCCAGGCTGGGGTGCAGGGGTGCAACCTTGGCTCACTGCAGCCTCGAACTTCTGGGCTCAAGAGATCCTCCCATCTCAGCCTCCCAAATAGCTAGCAGCTAGGACTACAGGTATATGCCACCATACCTGGCTAATTTTTGTATTTTGTGTAGAGACAGGGTCTCTGTTGCCCAGGTTGGTCTTGAACTCTTGGCCTCAAGCAGTCCTCCTGCCTTGGCCTCCTAAAGTGCTAGGATTACAGGCATGAACCACCACACCAGGCCGAATTTCTGTTTTTAATAATTGTGTGCTAAAATCACCACAACTTTACAGATTTTTGAGACAGAGTCTCACTCTGTCACCCAGGCTAGAGTGCAGTGGTGTGATCTCAGCTCACAGCAACCTCCGCATCCCAGGTTCAAGTGATTCTCCTGCTTCAGCTTCCCGAGTAGCTGGGACTACAGCGCATGCCACCATGCCCAGCTAATTTTTGTCTTTTTAGTAGACATGGGGTTTCGCCATGTTGGCCAGGCTGGTCTCGAATTCCTGACTTCAGGTGATCCACCTGCCTCGGCCTCCCAAAGTGTGGGGATTACAGATATGAGCCACCATGCCTGGCCAGGACATTCCATTTTAAACATACCAAACATGCAGATATGAATTTTAATAGGTGACATTATGTTTTAAAATAAAATAACATTTTCAAACATCTATTTCAAAAATGTTCTCCCTGTAGCATAGCTTTTCTTCTAAGAAGGTGTTACTTTCTCATTCATCGTTAAAACATTGCCTGTATCTTGAATGGCTATATTTAAAAACATTTTTCAAAAATCTCTATAAGGTAGTATCTACTAAAACCATTTAACACATAAAGTTCATCATATTTGGACAACTGGTCTTTTTGTAAAAAGAAAATGAGTATCAATTTTTAGTTCCTTTGTTAAAAACAACTTTTGTATGGTAGAAGTATATTGATATTCACTACCTATCTCATCACAAAATACAAAGATGCTACATTTTAAAGGATTTGCTTTTACAAAATCAGCTAAGTAATGTTTTCCCATAAGCATTTTGTATGCATCTGGCTTTAACTTCTTTGCTCTTCTTCAATAGCTTGCTCAGTAGCTTGCTTGTCAATGATGCAGCAAATGAATTTCATATATGTCACTGTTAATGATAATGACTGCAAATCTTCATTCAAATAACCTATTTACTAATTTCTATTGAGAAGGGCTGGCTCTGGTCATATTTCATTAAGTTACTTTTATCCCAAATGGGAACATCTGCCAGATGTCCCCCAATATCCATTCTCTCCCCCTCTTCCTTGGTATCAGAACCTCTATTCGTGGGCACATCATTGCCCAGAGCAAAGACTACATTTTCCAAAACCCTTCCCCCTTGCAGCTGTGCATGACCTTGGAACTAAGTTTTGGTCACTGGGTTGTAAGTGGAAATAATATATATCCTGAAAAGGAGTGCATACCTTCTACTTTCTTTTCCTCCTAACCAGCTGGAATTCAGATTTGACTGCTGAAACTTAATATTTGACTGCTGAAACTTAAGCAACCATCTTGAAGCAAGAGGGAGAAGCCAGGTGTTGATACAGCCAGAGCAACAAGAAAAGGGGCAATCTGGATCCTTCCCGACTGTGTGGTCAACATTCGCCCCTGGTTTGCCTATGTTTATATGGCAGAGAAATGAATTTCTATATTTTTTGAGTTTCCGTTCTTTTGGGTTTTCTGGCTCTCGCTGGTGTGCTGAACGCTAATGAATACACCTGTTAACAGGGTTGATGAAGAGCTCATGCTGGGAGTCAGAGAAGAGACAGCTCTGCTGTGTTCTCACGTCAGCATGTGTTTGCACTATTAATATTACCTTCAATCTGCAGTTTCCTAACAAAAACTGCTTTTAAGCCACTTGTCCATTTTGTCAGGATTTGTTCATAAGAACCACATAATATAATCTTTAAATCCACTTTATCAGGTATGTGTGAACAGCAACATGTGTCAGTAGCTTTGAAAGCAAGGGAACAAGGGGGCTACCATCAGGCAACTCCAGCTGTTCTCTCCAGACAACTCAAGAACCACATGTAACCTGTGTTTGTCTGAAATACAGACCATGTGAGGACACCAGCATCCATGCTAAATATTACTAAAGCTCCATTTTCCCTTGGTTCACACGTAAGTATCTGAAGAAGTTCTTTCTTCCTGTTCCTCTCCTGCCCCTACTCATAAGTGCTTGTATGCACCTGCCTGGTGTGCAAGCGCTCCCCCAACTTTACAGTTCACTGTCAGGGGCATGGAAGGACCCATAGCTAACTATAGATTTCCCTCCTGGACCATGACACTATGCTGCAAGAGAAAAATGTTCCAGACTCAAAAATCAGAATAAATAAGTTCTTTCCATAAAGTCAAAAACATGTAAAAGCAAATGGTAAATCAAAAGGTGGTGTACAGAAGGATTTTGATGCCTTACCTGAATACCTCAAGAACAGTCCTTTCCGGTAATTTGGGAGCCACCTGCCTAAATGCTTTTTTGAAATCTTCCAAAGTTAAAAATCCACGATCTATTTGAAAACAATAAAAAATATTCACTTACTTTAATAAGACCTATCAACTGTTACTTCAGCCATAACATTTGTGCAAAACTTATTTTAATATATTACTAGGAGAAAAGCAGTAGTTTACGATTGATTTCACAGATAAGGTAATCTGAGATTGTCTCATCGGAATAATTTAAGATTCTAATAATACTTTCCTTCAGTGCAGTCCCGGCTGATCTTGAAGGTCACTTCTGGCCCTATCATTTTGCTGATTCTCTCAGTACCAGAGATAGCACTATATAGAGACATGCACTCTAACAACGGTGTTAGACTTTGAGTCTTTGCGAGTTGCCAAAACAATGCAGTCTTCAAAATGCATGTTTTTTCCTTTGCGTGGTATTAGAATCATGAAATATTGCTATTTAGAAGGAAACCATAACAGCAGTCAAGACACTGACCCTAGACTCCATGAGTCTTTTCATTCTGTGTATGATCTGTGGGGCCTAGGGGGTCTACAGCCACCCACCCCTCTCAGCCACACCCTATGGGGGAAAACAATTCCACCAATCATATGTAGGTCAGAGCAAGAGTTGATGAAGAAGCCACACGGTCTCCCACACCTCCATAGGTGGCTCATGGCCTATATCCCCCAGGGCCAGTCCTTTTGCAGTCCCCATGACAATCAAGGTACAATATATTAGTACAACTATATAACTGTAAATACTATTTCATCTATGGTAAATGTCAAGAAATCACGACGGAGAAAAAAATGTGCATCAATACCTAAGGTAACAGCTAATGAATACAGTAATATAATCTTCCAAGTATATTATATATTTGATTTACTGGGTATATAATCCTATTTGCAATCCCTTAAAAGTAATTTTTTTTACATCAAAACACTTTAGAGACACTTACAGTAGGTGTCAAAGGCTGTGAAGATGTGTCTTACTTCGTTCCGATATCGTTGAGCTTCCTTCTTTTTCCTGACAATATTTAAAAACCCCTCGAGTAATATACCTAAAAGTTGGGGAAAAAACAATTTGTCAAAGATTATTGTCTTCCTCTTTAAGAAAAAATTAAACAGAAATGGACAGTAATAAATCTCACCAATAATCAAATTTTATCTTAATTTTGGTGAACAGTATTTACTCAAGATCTGTGAAGTTTCCTGAAGACCGAAAAAGGCATTTTGCTAAATGCTAACATTTAACAGATCCAACACTAGAAATCAATAGTGAAAACACAAGACACTTTTAGGGTTCACTGAGCTTTTTCCAGGGGTAAAGGAATGGTGACCTTGAAAAAACTGTAACACTCTTCCCTCTAACAGATCTAATAGGCATGAAACTACTTATTAAACAAGGTCTCATAATTTTTGTTTCCTTATGCTTCTTTGATCCCTTTTTTCCTAGCCAGATGTCACTATGGCAGGTTTTTTTCCAACTGGGAGATCGGGTCAGAGAAGTAGTTTCTTAAAAGTCAATACCAATTGTACACCACAGATAAAGGTGGGGAGAATATTACATAAACAATACAGCTGGCACCATCTCCAGCCCTGGATACGCCCCACAACGTGTGGAGCAGCCTCAGGCTCAGCTTCCTGCGACTCTCATCATAAAAGAGCCCAGCATGATAAAATGAGATTGGATACTGTGCTTACAATGTCTATTAAAACGAATTCTAATGTGATCTTTGTAGTAGGTTTAAAGAGCGAAGCCAAGAATTTAAACATTTTAGTGAACTGAGCTCTACATATATAAAAAGAGTGGTTCATTTTTATAACTCAGAATTTCCATAAAAAAATTATCACTGTTTTAAAAATAGCCTCCAAACATACAATAACCACATGCACATTTTTTCTTTTAGTGATGTAATACTAAGCTGTATACCTTTTCTAAAATAGTTCCAATCATTTAAAAAAATGTAGAAATGATTTTCTTAATTTCCTACATCTTTATTTACATTTAAAGATTTATAAACTGAAAAAGAAATCTGTCTCTTTTTAAATGATTCCTTTTAGGACCTACTATGGGCCAGGCACTGTATTAAGCTTTGGAAATAGAGGGGAAAAGAGAATACACATGATTCCAGTCCCAAGGGAGCTACTGATCTGGTGGGGAAGGCAGTCATTACACAGGTTCAACTGCAAATGCACACCTCATTACAAACTGTGGCATGGGCAATGAGGGGAAAGACAGGAGGTTGTGAAAAAGATTCACAGGAATCCTCATGTCAAGTAGACTCTGGTGACAGAGAGAGCCCTTCAAGGAGGAGATATTTAAGCCAAGACCTAAACCATGAGACAATACCAACTGCCTAATGTTGGGAAGAAGAGCATTGCTGGCAGTAGGAACAGCCTGTGCCGAGGCTGTTGTGTGGCAAGGTGGGAAAATGAAAAAAGGCTGCTGTGGCTGGAACAAAGTGAGCCAGAGAGAAGTGATACAAGATGAGGTTGGGGAGGGCAGCAGGGGCCAAAACTCACAGGCTCTTGTGGGCCACAGTAAATAATTTGGGTTTTATTTAAGTGGCAATAGGAAGTCAACAGAAGGTTTGAATTGGGAAGTTACATGATCTTTCTGGCTATTATCCTGATAAAAGGACGGAGGTGGGGGAGCAAAAATGTAAAAAGAGAGACCAGTTAGGAGCCTACTGGCAAGAGATGTGGTTGCCAGGTTGCTGGCAGTGGGGATGAGAGGAGTGGAAGGTTTCCAGATATATTTTAGAATCTAAATGACATAGCTTGATGAAGAACTAGATGTGGCAGGTGAGAAAGAAAGAGATGTCAAGAATATCCCGTAGATTCTGGCTTGAAGAGCTACTTAAAGAGAGGAGAAAGTCTGGGGGAAGAGCAAAATTGGGGCGAGATGAAGAGTTGCCATTCAGCTGTGTGAAGTGTTCAGTGCTCTGGAGACAACCAAGAGGAGAAGTTCAGGAGGTGGCCGGCTGTCTTCTAGGCAACAGGGCATATCTCCCTCACCTACCAGAGTGCCTGGCAGGTGCTCAATCATACGTACTGTAGCAAATTAGCATATGTAGCATTTTTTTCCATAGTTGTGGGGAATACATATTGATGCAGCTCCATTCTTATCTAATTACCCTTGTGACAGAGAACATAATGACAAATTGTTAGCTGAGGTTAAAATTGAAGTCTAGCTATGCCATGTGCCCATAAGATCATATCCATAACTTTAGCTTCATGAACACCAAAATCTAGTCAATTAAGTAGCATCTAGAGTAGCCGAAATTCTTGAATAATGTATTCACTGATAATGGCATGTCCTAGGAGACCCTTCAGAAACGTACCCCAGTCCACCTCTCAAGGCTTCCTAGTCAACTTCCTGGTGCTTCCCCAAGCCAAGAGGCCCTTTCGCACTCCACACCTTTGCATGTATAGAACACACTGCCTGGAATAATGCACTTTCTCCTTTTTTCTCCTAGTGAATATTTGTATCTCCTTCCAGATGCAACCCAGGCATCATCTCCTGTTTGAATATGTCTCTGATTTCTCTCAGCTAAGTCCTTTTTCTGTGACCCGACGGCCCTTTGTTCATCATGCAATCATAGAAGTGATTAGGATCTACGGTAATTATTTGGCCACATGTCTGCCTGAGACATGCTGAGGGAAAGCAGTGTATAGTGTTCTCAAAATTTTATCCCATGTTTAGCATGATGCCTAGCAGACAGTAGGCATTCATTACATGTTTGCTGAGTAAGTAACATTCAATGAATAATAACAAACAAGATGTTATTTCTAGTTTTTAGCAAAAAGCATTAAAATGCATGTGGGTTTTTTTTTTTTTTTTTTCCTAGAGACAGGGTCTTGCTCTCTTGCCCAGGCTGGAGTGCAAAGGCTAGTCACAGGCATGGCCACAGCGCACTGCAGCCTCAAAATCCTAGCCTCAAGTTATCCCCCACCTCAGTCTCCCCAGTAGCCGGAACTAAAGGCATATGCCACCATGCCAGGCTTAAAATGTGTGTTTTAGAGCAGGTATAATGGCTCATGCCTATAATCCTAACACTTTGGGAGGCCAAGGTGGGCAGAGAGGTTGAGGTCAGGAGTTCCAGACCAGCATGGCCAACATGGCAAAATCTGTCTCTACTAAAAATACAAAAATTAGCCAGGTGCGGTAGCTCACGCCTGTAATCCCAGCAATTTGGGAGGCTGAGGCAGGCAGATCACCTGAGGTCAGGAGTTTGAGATCAGCCTGGCCAACAAGGCAAAACCTATCTCCACTAAAAATACAAAAATTAGCCAGGTGTGGCGGCATGCACCTGTAATCCCAGCTAGTCAGGAGGCTGAGGCACAAGAATCACCTGAACCCAGGAGGTGGAGGTTGCGGTGAGCCGAGATCGTGCCACTGCACTCCAGCCTGGGTGACAGAGTAAGACTCTGTCTCAAAAAAAGAAAAAAAAAAACCCATGTTTTAAATGATCTTATAACTCTGTAAATGAATGCCAAAAAGTAGGTCTCTTTCTATTCACATAGCCAGCAAAATAAACTGTCACTTCAGAAACTCCAATTTCTTAAAACATATGATATAGTAAAAACCAAACAAAATTCAGAGAGAACTACATCGATAATATTTGCTCTTATCATTGCATTTGACTTAGAGAAGTGATAAAGGGAAAAAAGCACAATTCCTGGTTCATCGTGTAATTCACAAGGAAAAAAAAGGACCTGAGTGGTGATATCTTTTAAATTACATATTCAGATAACTCATGAGTATTTGGAGCTGTGAAGTATTCAGGTCTTTATTTTACAATATTGTAGGATAAAAACAAACAGTCTTTAGCTTTTACTAGGAGAAAATGTATGTGGATTTAAACTGTATGCCTATTACCACTTAAAAGGAAAACCCATCCAATAACAAAAATTACTCCGTATGTGTAATCAATTTCTTTCACACTATTTTCCCACACAATCATATGCTTTTATTTCTTAAAGTCCATACTCTAGGGGTTAAACTCATCAAGCATATATTGTGTGAACATATCCCCTCCCTTCTATGCCTTTAATTGTCTTAATCTTCTAACGCAACATTTATCCAAATACAAGACCCTTTTCTAAAAAGCACAGAGGAGTTTTTGTTCAGCTCGGCTCTCATGTTGTAGTAATATGATCACTTTCCAAAGCCAATACATAGTAACATGCTATTCCTGAAGCTCTGCAATGAAAACACATTAATGTAAGCTGTATACATCTAGCTCTTTAAATAACCTAGAAATAGAGTTCCTACTACTAGCTCCACCTGCTGTCACAACATTCAAACCTAAAATTACCACTTCACAAAGGCTTTCAGTAATTCTACTGACATCAGATTTCATACCCAATAAGAAATATATTACCTGTGTCCCCTCCCACCCCGCCTCCAGAGGAAGAATATGTTCAGAAAATTCTAATTTCAAATACAATGTTGAGTCATTTGTGCACACTGTTCCACTACTAATAGTTACCTAAACATCCTTTACCGTGGTTACAAATTAGCATCACAACCTTAGGAACCACACAGATCTATGTGTTTATCTGTGTTTATTATTAATATGTCTGCAGAAGGTATTCAGAAATTGCCTGGGTCATTAGACTCTATCAATAGTTGGCAAACTATTTCTTTTTTCAGCTGTAGGAAAGATTCTTCTTTATATGAAAATGGAAAGCCTCATGTGTAGAGGAGATGAAGGAAGAACTATTTGGTTTGAAGTGGGTGGGCTTCCCATTCTTCCCTATCCAACAGTGTCTTTGAATGTGTCCCCAAAGGATCTAGGATTGAGGTTTGTGGTTTAAAGACCACTGGACCAATGATCTTTACAAATCCTTCTTGACCCTGCAAGTCCATGCATTTTTTTGTACAACTGGAAAACATCTCCTTCCATTTTATAAACAATCCTTGGTAAAATGGACTCTCTTCATGTTCTATAACATATATATATATATTTTAGATGGAGTCTCACTCTGTCGCCAGGCTGAAGTGCTACAGCGCGATCTTGGCTCACTGCAACCTCCACCTCCTGGGTTCAAGCGATTCTACTGCCTCAGCCTCCCGAGTAGCTGGGATTACAGGTGTGTGCCATCACACCCGGCTAATTTTTGTATTTTTAGTAGAGACGGGGTTTCACCCTATTGGCCAGGCTGGTCTCGAACTCCCGACTTTGTGATCCGTCTGCCTCGGCCTCATAAAGTACTGGGATTACAGGCATGAACCACTGCACCTGGCCAACATGTACATATTTTTTAGTTTCCAAACTACTTAATACATGTATATATATCTATGACAGATATATATATAGAGAGAGAGAGACTAGAAAGATTATTTTTTTTTACTTGTTTGTTTTTAAGCAGTTTCTTAGGAGGGTAATCATCTTTCACCACAGGGGAAGATAAATTCAAAAAGTCTAACAAAACTATATAAATTTTTTACTTGAAAGTTCCATTAAGTATAGTTTTTTGTGGTTCACAGTTCTAAGCTTCAGGGTCAGTGCACACAGAGAAATCCTCTTGAAAATGAAGGAGTCTAGCATCTGGCTATCACAGTGAGCTCAACTTAGAAACTGCAATAAACCTGGGGAGAGTGAAGGAGAAAACAATAAAAATCGCAAGTTATTTGGACAGTAAGCCTGGTCCTAGATTTAGTAGAAAGGAAGGGTTCATGTTCATTGTGTCACATATTGATTTTTCCAGGAGTTAAAAAAATGCTTAAAAATTAGGGTTTAAAAGGATGAAGCAGTCTTTCAAAAGACATAATGCCTTCTCTAGTCTGAGACACAAAATTCAAATTATGACTTTTGGAGGCCATGACAGTGAAGGGGTGGGAGAAGGATATAATGTGTTCGCACAGAAAGACTGCAAGGATGGTAGGTGAAAGTGACTTCAAAAATAGTGAGTTGTCACCTATGATAAATGAATTCAGAGGATAATATTTTCTTCCAGCTTACTATGGATGTGTAGGGAAATAAAGAGAAAATAATCTACCTTAATGGAAGAAATCAAGTTTTACTATATAATTGGAGGGAAAATGAGTAAAAACAGTTAGAGGCCAGGTGTGATGGCTCACATCTGTAATCCCAGCACTTTGGGAGGCCACGGCAGGCAGATCACCTGAGGTCAGGAGTTAAAGACCAGCCTGGCCAACATGGTAAAACCTTGTCTCTACTAAAAACACAAAAACTAGCCAGGTGAGGTGGTGCCGCACCTGTAATCCCAGCTACTCAGGAGGCTGAGGCAGAAGAATCACATGTTCACCTCCAGGCTTGAACCCGGGAGGCAGAGGTTGCAGTGAGCCAAGACCGCGCCACTGCACTCCAGCCTGGGCAACAAGAGCAAAACTCCATTTCAAAAAACAAAACAACAACAACAACAACAAAGCAAAAAAAAAAAAAAAAACCAGTTACAGTAGAATAGAGAAATCTGAACCAATAAAATCTTATTTCTATCAAACCCAGGCAGGAATTGTTACTTTTTTATTATACACATCTCCTGCTCATAAAGCTTAAAAGGTTCCTCAGTGTCAAACACCACAAAGTCCTAATACCTTATTCTGGACTTTAAAGCTTCATCCTTCCTTCCGTGCACACCGGTCCTTAATCCTTCCCAGCTCTCATCATGCCAGCTGACTCGGCTGGACACAATTCATTTATAGTTACATACTATATTCCTTGCTGTTGCAGAGGTTAAAAAAAAAAAGTAAAAATCCAAGAAGAGTAGATTCTGTTAATGGGAGGACTGCATTAACAGCATGATAGCTGATATATTTAGGTATGCAAATCTGAGATGGGCGAGAGATTTGTAAAAGAACAGGGATCTAGGAAGAAAAGATTTCAGGCACTGACGTGGACAGCACAGAAGAGGGTCTCTGAAGAACTCTACACAGAGAGCACAGCACCAGCAACAGGAGCAGGAGGCGGGGCACACAGCTGGCACCTGCCCTGCATTCATTTACCGCCTCTTTTCTCCTTTGCTCCATCACTATTTCAAATCCCACCCATCCTTCAGCATGTCCAGCTCCAGGCCCACACCTCCTCTAGGGGGCAGTGCTGCCCTCCTGAACTCTTATAGGTTTTCTTGCCTATAATAGTAATATAACATCTGGCCGTAAAAGAAGTGGCAATATTTCTTTCATCTTCCCTATCACATAAGATATATACACATTTTTTGATGGAGTCTTGCTCTATCGCCCAGGCTGGAGTGCAGTGGCGGGATCTCAGCTCACTGCAACCTCCGCTTCCCAGGTTCAAGCAATTCTCCTGCCTCAGCCTCTGGAGTAGCTGCAATTACAGGCACCCACCACCACGCCCAGCTAATTTTTGTATTTTTAATAGAGACAGTGTTTCACCATGTTGGCCAGGCTGGTCTTGAACTCCTGACCTCGTGATCCACCTTCCTCGGCCTCCCAAAGTGCTGGGATTACAGGCGTGAGCCACCGTGCCCAGC
This sequence comes from Homo sapiens, assembly GCF_000001405.40. Taxonomy (NCBI): domain Eukaryota; kingdom Metazoa; phylum Chordata; class Mammalia; order Primates; family Hominidae; genus Homo; species Homo sapiens. The sequence continues at coordinate 89,940,036 of NC_000014.9, forward strand.
CCACATAAAATATATATTTTTAAATGTCTTTAGGTCAGTGTCTGTGTCTCCTAATTCTTCCCCATCTGTATAGTGAAACATATTCACTGTTTTCTAAATGGGTAATTAAATAAACATGGATGGGTGAATATCTGTAGGAGATTCCATAAAATGCTACGATTATAATTTCAAAATAAGGTAACCTTAATGTGTATGCAGTTTCCTGATTATAGAAAAGAACTAAGAAGCCAATTGAAATCTGAAATCAACCAAAACCTTCATCCCTGCTATACCCTGATCTTTGTTCCATAGGAGCCAAAATAAAAAACCATACACAACAGCAGGTGTTTTATGACAGAAACTAAGACCAGAAAAAGGATATTTAAATTTAGAAAAATAATACCTTTAATAGTCAACTGTCTTGTTTAGAACAAGCCAGACAAGATATTAATAAATAAAAGCATGCAAGCCAACTGACCATTAACCTACTCATCCACAAATTATTTTTCAATTGGACCTTACACTGGATAGCAGTCACACAGTCCATAATTACTGCTATGATGAATCAATCGCTTTGATTTTTCCATCATTCAAAGTTGAGGGTTAAAAGTAAGTTCCTGGAAAGCTTTTTCAAGTATCAAAGTAGAATATGTTCATTAATTTAAAATGGCAATAGTATAAGGAAACAGAAAAGATGCTCAATCTAATCGCCTAGTGAAAACAAAATTCTGAAGTCCTTTTTTCTGGTTTTTAATCTTAGGCATATTTTACATAGATCCGAGATAATAACAAAGAGACAAATGTATGAGGATTCAGTGGGACAATGCTCATTCAGTTCTTATTTATAGCTTTTAGCATAAAGAAAAGCCCTGTAAATCTTAGCTGTTGTTATTTATATAGAATGATCTACAATTTATTCTGGAATAAAGTCAGACCACCTGAGATATGTATACTTGGAACACACAGCCTTTGCCCTTCATAGAATTGCCCTGACATTAAACACTGGTCTACATTGAGAAAAGATGAAGCAACAGCCTTACAAAATTCACTACTGCATTTATTGAACAGCTCATCGACACTGACATCCACTCAGCAGCCTCCCCTCCATGAGACATCACAGAAGAACTATCCCAGGGCAGGAGGACTTATGCCTCTCTAGAAAAATTGTTTTGTTGCATGGACCCTGACTGCAGCTGTGCTTGCTCGTGTTTTCCTATTTGTTCTGGATGCTAGGTAGTCCAGAACCAAATTTGAAATTAATGCCTAACAACTATAGAGAACATGGTGATTTGTTTTTCGTGTATTGATTCTACTCCTGACTTCAACTCATTGATTCATAAAGTTCCTTAGGGGAATGAATACTGGCCTCGATTTTGTCACAATTAGGAGTATGACCCATGGCACTATTAAAAATCAAAGGAAGGGCTCATCAATTGGTTAAGAGGGTGAGCTAGAAGGTCGGATCACGTTGGTCTGGTACTTACTAGCTACCGGTGCCACTCTGGGCAAATTATTTAATCTTGCTAGGCTTCTGGATTTATTTATTTTTTATTTTTAAACTTTTTAGTACTTTTTTTTTTTTTCAGAGATATGGTCTTGCTCTGTTGCCCAGGCTGGTCTCAAACTCCTGGACTCAAGTGATCTTCCCACCTCAGCCTCCCAAGTAGCTGGGAATATAGGTGCATACCGCCATGAATGGCCAGAGTTTTTTAACTTCTAAAATGGGGATAGCCAGGCACAGTGGCTCATGCCTGTAATCCCAGCACTTTGGGAGGCTAAGGTGGGAGGATCACTTGAGCCCAGGAGTTAGAGACCCTGTCTCAAAAATAATCATCTAAAATGATAAATAAAATATAATGAGGATAATATGGTTTGGCTCTGTGTCCTTACCCTACCCAAATCTCATCTCGAATTGTAATCCCTGTCAGGGCAGGGGCCTGGTGGGAGGTGACTGAATCATGAGGGCTGACTTCCCCCTTGTTGTTCTCACCAGATCTGGTTGTTTGAAAGAGTGTGTCAATTCCCCGTTCACTCTCTCTCTCTCCTGCCACCATGGGAAGAAGGTCTTTGCTTCACCTTTGCCTTCTGCCATGATTCTAAGTTTCCTGAGGCCTCCCCAGTCATGCTTCCTGTTAAGTCTGTGGAACTGTGAGTCAATTAAACCTCTTTATAAATTACTCAGTCTCAGGTAGTTCTTTATAGCAGTGTGAAAATGGACTAATACAGAGGATAATCATAATATCATAGTTACATTAAATATAACAATCATCACAGATGAATGTGCTCATCACAGATCTGCATGATAACTGTTCAGGAAATGATTGCTGCAATTATCTATAATAATAATAAATACTGTAAAAGGATTTTGCCAAGTATTTATTATTTTATTATTCCTCTATATCATTTTGTGATTCTTCTCTGAAGCCTAGGTTCCTCATTTTAAAATAAGGACAGATGACTGTTTTCCAGGTCTCTTCTAGTTGCAAGCTTCTTCATTCTATACACTTGGAAAAGTTATGAAGTGCATCACAGAGAATGAGGGTTATAATGAAACCCTCTGAAAGAGGTAGCAAGACTATAAATCAGAACCAACCTCAACTGTGATCTGCCGCTTCCTTTAACTAATGGCTTGATTTTTTTCTCCCACTCATATATTTCCTTGTTTCAAGCAGCCACAACAGTTTTTGCTTATATTCACTTGCTTGTTAGGTTACAGGCAATAAAAACATCATTAGCACCTTTCTGCTACTCACCCTGGCTGCCCTCAAATTCTCCCAGCATGTACACTTCTTCCAGATACTTTACTCTTATTTCTACTAGCTTTGACTTAACTTTTCACTCTTCTTAATTTTCACGAGGAAATCTCTATTGAAATGACCTACTTTTCAAGAGGATTCGAAGCCCTTGGGAAGCAGGGCCTGGGCATCCAGGTTTAGGTATAATCCCGAACCCAAAGTGCAGGGTGTCTAGCTTCCGGACTCTGGCCCTTCCTAAAAGCAGCTGAGTCTGGGCCAACCTAGAATGTGAGTCTGACCTTGCCCTGCAAGCTGGGCAGCAACTGGGCCCTGCAAAAGAATCCTGTGGATGGTGTGTTAGAGCCCTGTTCCGAAGTAAGAAGAACAATGGATAGCAGAGAATTCCCAAGTCACAGCTGTATTATACAGAACAACTTTGGAAAGTTGATTACCTGAATAAATAGTTCCCAGGAGGCCAAGGCCAGCATTTCAGACCTGTTTTTTTTTTTTTTTTGAAACAGGGTCTCGCTCTGTCACCTAGGCTGGCGTGCAGTGGCGTGATCATGGCTCACAGCAGTCTCAACCTCCTGGGCTCAAGCAATCCTCTACCTCAGCCCCCTGAGTAGCTGGGACTGGCATGTACCATCAGGCCTGGCTCATTTTTGTATTTTTTGTAGAGATGGGGTTTCGCCATGTTGCTCTCGCTGGTCTCAAACTCCTGGGCTCAAGTGATCCACCCACCTTGGCCTCCCAAATTGCATGGGACTACAGGCGTGAGCTACCACACCCCGCCAATTTCAGTTCTTCAAGATCCAAACATTAAGAAGAGAGATAATATATGTGGAAAAACATTTAATCTGCACATGTGCTCTCTTCCTTCAAGAGAAATAGCATGTAAAATTGACTCGTATCAATAAGAGGGAAAGAAGAAAAAGTGGATGGTTTGAAATTGGTTCAGTATTGAACAATTCTAATAGAAAAATTGCATGTTAGCAGCAATCAGAGTACAGCAGTGATTTCTTGCTAGGCTATTTTACTCCTTTTCTTGAATGTTTGTGGTCTTGAGTTTCTCCAAATAAACACACACACACACACACATACATACACACTCACACTAGAGTACAGCTGGGAGAATACAGGTGGGGACTGTATTCTTTCTTCCAGAATCCATACCTCTCTGCACATTAGAGAACTAGTTAAGGAAAGAAAACATTCAGTGTGAAGTCAAATCCTTAATTCAAAATCAGAGAACATACAGAAGAAAGAAAGTCTATGAGAATAATGAATGTTAAAATGCCTTCAGCAATAGTCACACTTGATGTATCAGAAAAGCCACTGTATTAATCTTTTCTCATGCTGCTGATAAAGATGAGACTGGACGATTTACAAAAGAAAGAGGTTTAATGGACTTACAGTTCCACACGGCTGGGGAGCCCCCACGATCATAGCGGAAGGCAAAGAGGAGCAAGTCATGTCTTACATGAATGACAGCAGACAAGAGAGAGCTTGTGCTGGGGAACTTCTCTTTTTAAAACCATCAAATCTCGTGAGACTTATTCACTATCACAAGAACAGCCTGGGAAAGACCTGCCCCCATTATTCAATTATCTCCCACTGGGTCCCTCCCACAACACGTGGGAATTATGGGAGTTACAAAATGAGATTTGGGTGGGGACACAGCCAATCCATATCAGTAACATAATAGAGAAACACGATATTATGACTAGGGTAAGATCTTCATCCAGAAAGAATAACTCACTGAATATCAGGGAACTCTTAAGAAAGAGAAATCCTATCAATGCAAAGAATGTGGGAAATCCTTTTGCCAGAAAACAAAACTCTCTGTAGATTGGAATATTCACAAAAAACCCTAATGAAAAAAATGTAGAAAAGGCTTTATCAAGAAGTTGTAACTAATGGAACATCAAACATTATTCTGAATATTTTGAAAGTGAAAATTTTCAACAAGAAATTTAAAACCTGGAGCAATTCTATCAAGTTAGCGATTATATCAAGAACATGTTCTCCTAGCAATAATCCTGAAAGTCTTATTTTAAATGTGATTCTAAACCTTGTACATAAAGTGTATTAGATTTTAATACAATATTAATAAATCTAATAAAATATTAGATTTTATTAGATCTAATAATAAATCTAATAAAATATTAGATTTTATTAGATCTAATAATAAATCTAATAAAATATTAGATTTTATTAGATCTAATAATAAATCTAATAAAATATTAGATTTTATTAGATCTAATAATAAATCTAATAAAATATTAGATTTTATTAGATCTAATAATAAATCTAATAAAATATTAGATTTTAAATCTAAATGTTAGTAATCCCTGCTCTCTTTTCCCCCCCCACTCAGTGTGGGTAGTAGTTTCTCATTTTTATTGATTACCTCAACAAAATCAGCTTTTAATTTTTTCTTGTTTGTCCTCTTTTCAATTTCAACAATTTCCATTCCAATCTTTACTATTTCCTTTCCTCCACTTATTTCGGGCCTTATTTACTCTTTTTTGTAGTTAAAGGTAGAAGATAATTAAAGGTAGAAGCTGAGGTCATCAGTTTGACACCTTTATTCTTTCCTAAACATAGAAAGTTAGTGCTACCACTTTCCAAGTATTGCTTTCAATCCATCCTACAAAATTTGAAATGTGGTCTTTTCATTCAATTCAAAATACTTCCTAATTTTTCCCTTTTGATTTTTTCTTTGACCTATGAGTTATTTAGAAGTGTGCTATTTGTTTGGAACTTTTAAACTTTTACTTGGAACAACTATTTGCAACTTTTCCAGACAGCTTTGCTATTGATTTCTAATGTCGTTCCATCACAAAGAACATACTTTGTACTTTAAATGTATTGACATGTTTAATGGCCCAGAGTATGACCAATTTTATTAAATATACTGTGTAGACTTGAAAAGAATGTGTATTCTGCTTTTGTTGGGTAGAACATTCTATAGATTACAATTAGGTCACACTGGTTGACAGTGCTGTTCACGTCTCCTATATCCTTATTGATTTTATGTCTACTTGCTTAATTATTGATAGGGGTGTTGCAACCTCCTACCATCATTATGGATTTGTCCATTTTTCTTTACAGTTTTATTAGTTTTTTGCTTCATGTATTTTGAATTTCCATTATTAGGGGATTTTTTTTTTTTATTTTTTTTTTTGAGACAGAGTCTTGCTCTGTCACCCAGGCTGGAGTGCCGTGATGCAATCTGGGCTCACTGCAACCTCCACCTCCTGGGCTCAAATGATTCTCGTGCCTCAGCCCCCCGAGTAGCTGGGATTACAGGCATGCACCACCATGTCCAGCTAATTTTTTTGTATTTTTTCGTAAAGACGGGGTTTCATCATGGTTGGTCTCAAACTCCTGGCCTCAAGTGATTCGTCTGCGTTGGCCTCTCAAAGTGCTGGGATTACAGGCTTGAGTCATGGCACCTGGCCAGGGGCATAAATGTTTAATTCCCTTAATGAACTGGCTCTCCTTATCCCTGGTAATATTTCTTCTTCTGAAGTCTACTTCATCTGATATTAACATGCTCACTTTGGCATACTTTTGGTTAGTGTTCAGTACAGTATATATTTCTAATCTTTTTTGCCCTTATGTTTAAAGTGGGCTTCTAGGCAACACAGAGTTAGTTGGTACTCTTTTATCTAATTTAACAGTATCTCCCTTTCAATGGGGCTGTTGAGATCATTTACATCTAACTAAAACATTAATGATTGGATTTAAATCTACCATATTATTTTTCTACTTGTCTATTTCCATCTATTTTTTGTTCCCATTTTCTTCCTTCTGTTGAATTAATTAAGTTTTTTAAGAGATGAGGTCTCACTCTGTCGCCCAGGCTGGGGTGCTGTGGTATGATAATGGCTAAGTGCAACCTCAAACTCCTGGGCTCAAGGGATCCTGCCTCAGCCTCCCAGGTAGCTAAGATTACAGGCACGTGCCATCATGCCTGGCTTTTTTTTTTTTTTTGCTTTTTTGTCGATTCAGAGTCTCATACTATGTTGACCAGACTGGTCTTGAACTCCTGGCATCAAGCAATCCTCCTGCCTTGGCCTCCCAAAGTGCTTGGATTACAGGTGTGAGTCACCACTCCCAGCCAACTGCTGTCATTTTTATCTTTGTTCCTATTCATATGTGTCTTTTTTTTCCCTAGATACACTTATGATTTTTTAACATACTAAAAAAGGAAAGATACTATTAAGGATGTTATTAGATCAACTGACAAAATATAGATGATAAATCAGATAAAACAGTATCAACATATATTTATGAATATGATAAGCATATTTTGGTTATATTCATTACAGAAGAGAAGGGGATAGTGGTAGAAAGTGCAAAGGAGAAGGAAGATGGTGTAAAATGTTAACAATGTCAATCTGGGTAAAAGGTATACCTTACACAGAGAGTAAGCTATTCTCTGTACTGTTTTATTTTGAACTTTTTGGAAGTTTTAAATTATTCAAAAAAAGGTAATATTTAAAAAGCCAATCTAACATGCTCTGGATCCTATCCCCTTACACAATAGGTCTCCTTCCCTCCCTCTCTCTCATCTTCCTTCCTCCTCTTCACTAGATCATTCTGCTAAGCTTGGAAACATGTTCTTCCATTTAAATAGAAACAAGAAGAAGCAAACAAAACATCTCTTGATCTATTGCCACTCTGGACTTAACAAAAGACTCATCTACTCACATTGTCACACTTCATCATCACTTTCCACTTATCTTCAACCCACTCTGCCCTCACCACACTTTGAAATGCCTCTTGCTAAAGTCATCAAACACCTCCAGGTGGCCAACTCCAAAGGATACTCATCAGTTATGCCACCTCACCTTTCAGGAGCATTTGATAGTGCTGACCACACCTTCCTCATTAAAATATCTACTTCTCTTGGCTTTTGATCAAACACTCTTGATTTTCCTCTTGCCCCTCTGTCACTCCTAAGTCTCCTTTGCCATTTCTTCATCTTCCACCTGACTTCTACTGGCTAGAGTTCTTAACATTCTCAGTCCACTCTATCTCTCTAGGTGGTCTCATTCATTCTCATGATTTTAAAATCTGTCTACAGGTTGATGACTCCCAATTTCTTCAGCCCAGAACTTACTTCTGAAATTCATCCAATCTGACTGCTTTGACATAGTAAACTAACACTTCTCAAACATACTCAAAATTGAGCTCTTAGTCTCCCTCACCCCCAGGTATTGCCTGCCCCCTGCTCCCACCCCACCGCCCCACCCGTCTGCCATCTTCTCTTTTCAGTAGGTGCCATGTCCATTCATCCAGCTGCACAAGTCAGAAAACCTAGTATCATTTTTTGAATGTTAAAATTATGAATGATATTTTTTCTTTATGCACTTCAACAGTTTAAAATTTCCCTGTGATAAACATATTTATAAATAATCAAAATTAAAAGAACCTCAAAAGAACACATACAAATGGCAAACAGGCATATGTGAAAAGGTACTCAATATCATTGATCAGAGAAATGCCATCAAAACTACAATAATATCATCTCACCACAGTTAAAATGGCTTTTATCCAAAAGACAGGTAATAACAAACGCTGGCAAGGATATGGAGAAAAGGGAGCTCTTATTAAACTGCTGGTAGGCATGTAAATTAGTACAATCACTATGGAGAACCATTTGGAGGTTCCTCAAAAAACTAAAAATAAAGCTACCATATGATCCAGCAATCCCACTGCTGGGTATATACCCAAAAGAAAGGAAATCAACATATGGAAGATATCTGCATTCTCATATACTGTTTGTTGCAGCATTGTTCACAATAGGCAAGATTTGGAAGAAGACTCAGTGTCCATCAACAGATGAATGGATAAAGAAAATGTGGTACACATACACAGTGGAGTACTATTCAGCAATAAAAAAGAATGAGATCCTGTCATTTGCAACAACACAGATGAAAATGGGAGGTCACTATGTTAAGTCAAATAAGGCACAGAAAGTCAAACACTGCATGTTCTCACTTATGGGATCTAAAAATCAAGACAATTTAATTCATGGACATAGAAAGTAGAAGGATGGTTACCAGAGGCTGGGAAGGATAGTGAGGATGTTGGGGAGAGTTATGGATGGTTAATGGATACAAAAAAAAAAAAATAGAGTAAGACCTAGTATTTGATAGTACAGAATGGTAACTATAGTCAATAACAACTTAATTGTACATTAAAAAATAACCAAAAGAGTATAATTGGATTCTTGGTAACATGAAAGATAAATGCTTCATAGCATGGATACCCCATTCTCCATGATGTGACTATTAATACCTAGTATTTGATAGCACAATAGGGTGACTAGAGTCAAAATGATAAACATTTTAAAATAACTAAGAGTGTAACTGGACTGTTTGTAACACAAAGGATTAATGCTCGAGGAGATAATTATCCCATTTCCCATGATGTGACTATTACACATTACATGCCTACATCAAAACATCTCATGTACCACCTCTCTATATATACACCTACAAAAATTAAAAATTAAAAAAAAATAAAAACCACCAAAACCTTTCTTTTGGACAACGGGAAACAAAATAAAGATGTGCTTAAATATAATGCTATATAGTTTTTATTTATTTATTTATTTGGAGACAGAGTTTCACTCTTGTCGCCCAGGCTGGAGTGCAATGGCTCAATCTCAGCTCATTGCAATCTCTACCTCCTCAGTTCAAGCAATTCTCCTGCATCAGTCTCCAGAGTAGCTGGGATTATAGGTGCCTGCCACCACGCCCAGCTAATTTTTTGTATTTTTAGTAGAGACGGTGTTTCATCATCTTTGCCAGGCTGGTCTCAAACTCCTGACCTCAGACGATCCACCTGCCTTGGCTTCCCAAAGTGCTGGGACTACAGGCATGAGCCACTGCACCCAGCCTAGTTTCTGTTTTTAATTTTCATTTTGTGAGTGTTGTTAGTCTGTTTTCATGCTACTGATAAAGACATACCCAAGGCTGGGCAACTTAGAAAAGAAAGAAGTTTAATGGACTTACATTTCCACGTGGCTGGAGAAACCTCACAATCATGGCAGAAGGCAAAGAGGAGCAAGTCACGTCTTACATGGATGGCAGCAGGCAAAGAGAGAGCTTGTGCAGGGAAGCCCCCCCTTATAAAGCCATCAGATCTCATGAGACTTATCCAGTATCATGAGAACAACATGCGAAAAACCCGCCCCCATGATTCAGTTACCTTCCACCAGGTCCCTTCCACAACACATAGGAATTTGAGATGAGACTGATGTAGGGACACAGCCAAGCCATCTCAGTGTCTAAATAAGGTACTAAAAATTAATATTAACTTTCATATTACCAGAAGTATTTGGATTTATTGAAGACATCACAGAATCCACTTCTATCTAGAAAAGAGGAAAAAATAATAGAACATGTAATTTTATCACGTTTTCACAGTGCAAGTTCTTAATTCTTCAGGTGGGAATAAGGATCTATTTTATGAGAAACCAAGTCTGTTGAACCAAGCAGACAAGTAATGATACACAATAGCTATAATAGTCATTTTATTTTTCCATCAACATCTATAAAATAGCAGACACTAATCTGCTAGTCCCTAATAGCCCCCAAAACTTTATTCCATTGACCAAAACAGTTTAAGAACAGAAAATCAATTTGGCTGTCCCATATATAATATAATCTAACAGGCAGGCAGCCTTTCTACTTTAGACAAATACAACTGTTATAATGGGCTCTATGGCTCTATTTTTAAGATTTTTTTCCTAATTATAAAAGTATCACATGATTGATGTAGAAAGCATGAAAAATACAAAAAATTATGAAGAAAATTAAAAAATCAGCCATCCAATGAAAATCATTGTTATCATTTTAGACTAATCAGCTTTTTTCCCCTATGCATCTTTAAACATTTGAGACTTTACTGTATAGAAAATATGAGGACCTGCTTTCACTAAATGTTAAAATATAAGCCCTTTACCACACTGTTACAAGGGCTTTATAAACGTTATAGTATTAGAGCCTTCGCAGCATCTGACATAATTTCTCCACTTCTGGTCTCGAACCCTTCCCAGTATTTCCTGCATTTTCCTGGTTCCTCTTGTTCCTGCCAAATGGTTCCCACTCCCACTTCTTCAAGTCCCCTCCTACCCTTAAATGCTTGTATTCCCTAACGTTCTATCCTCAGACCATGGCTCTTCCTATTCTGCATACTCTTCCTGGGCAATGCCATCCAGCCTCGTGTTTTGAGCAACCACATGGAAACCAAGGAGCCCCAAGTCTATCTCCAGCCCTATCCCCTCCACCCAATTTCAGATTGCTACATCTCAGGGAAGCAGTAAAATCTAACGGTGGATTTTCACCACCATAACCTCAATAGCCAGCATATTATTTAACGAGTGAATGCACCTGGAATGCTCATAGCTGCCTCAAACTCAATGTGTTCCAATCGAAACTCACTGACTTCCTCTGAACCTACTCTTAAATTTTCTCTTAATTGGTGGCATTGCTATCCCTTCAGTCCCAGTGGTCATGTCACTCTTACCACCACCACATCCAATCAGTCATCAGGGCCTAACTTGTCCCACCACCCACAAAGTGTTCCTAGATACTTATCAGAGTAGTCTATCTTCTCTAGTCTAAATGACCACCCAGACTGTTATAGTTACCACTAGAATTAGGCCTTCCTTCTTTGCTCCCTTCACTTTGTTTTTCAATCTCTTCTCTTTCTTGGTATCTATCACAGTTTTATGTCTTTCTATATTAAACTCTGAACTGCTTCGAAGTAGAGACTGTGTTTCATTCATCTTTATATCACTAGCAACTAGCAAGTACTCCTTTTATTAAATAGAAACAATAAATTTCATTGTGTATGGGTGGGCACAGTAGCTTATGCCTGTAATCCCAGCACTTTGGGAGGCTGAGGTGGGCGGATCACTTGAGGTCAGGAGTTGGAGACCAGACTGGCCAACATTGGTGAAACCCCATCTCTACTAAAAACACAAAAAAAAAAAAAGAAAAAAAAGAACCGGGTATGGTCGTGTGCACCTGTAGTCCCAGCTACTCAAGAGGATGAGGCAGGAGAATTGCTTGAACCTGGAAAGTGGAGGTTGCAGTGAGCCTAGATCACGCCACTACACTCTAGCCTGGGTGACAGAGCAAGACTGCATCTCAACAAATAAATAAACTTAATTATGTAAAAAACTGCATGAATGTATAAGTGATTTATTATATAAGTATTTTATTGCTTCATGACCTGCAGTCAGTGAATATTTCATTTGCTCAAAAGCAATATTAAAAAATTAAACCCCAAACCTCAACCTAGTCTAAAAAAATCTGTTGAATTTCACAGAAATTAAGTGTCACCTGCATAATAAAAGTTCATTGTACAAATGACTAAGTTTATAGGTGACATGCTATTAGTAAATACCGTTTAGTGACCTGCGGTTACTAAATAGTTCATTTGCTTAAAAAATAAAATAGAAAACCTCACCTCAATATGAAAAGTAAAATCTGTTAAATTTCATGGAGTGTATGTACAGTATGTTACATCACTGTATCTGTCATTAAATTCCTCATTCTAAAATTGAAACCAAATAGACTCAAGGGTGATAAAGGCAAAAATGAGACAAGATACCTTTCCAGGTGAATCCAAGTTAAATACAATGCTTCACAGGCTGACTCTTTTCAGCTGACCTGCTTTGTAATTCCAACTGAAATGATTACAGGTAAACAGGAGAGCTGCCATTTCTAAGAGTCAGCCCTGACTACTTCTCTGAGCTCCATAATAAGCTTCTCAGTAACTAGGCAGCCCCTCATAGCTGAGCCACTCTGAACCCACCTGAGCTGTTCATGCAACCTACTTGGGTCAAGAGAATATATTAATACTTATTGTGCATCACAACTTCACAGTAAGTATGTTCTGTTGACACAAATAGGGCGGAGAGGCATGACATCACAGGGTCCCTGGCTTTGCTGGGCTTTCAATCTGACAGAAAGGCACAGTCCACTCATGAGGAGAACAGCTGGGCCCTAATTAACTGCCAAGCTGTCTGGTCTAATGAGAGTGAGGGATGGCATTCCAGGCTGAGCTCTGAGTGCTTCCTTTGCTTGATGGTGGCAGCTCAATTTCTTGAATCTGGACAATATCTTGACTCTGACTAATTCCAGCTTAACAAGAAGGGTGTTGTCTCTCGAATGAATGTAACAGGAAAGCAGAAAAGCATAAAGACAGGGGTGAGCAGGAAACTTGCCCTACTCAAGCAGGAGGTTCATGGAGGCTCAGCTCAACTCTCATTATTGGTGAATTGGTGCAATCTTTTCTGGAGAGCAAATATCTAACAAAATTTTAAACGTACATATTCCATGACCTAGCAGTTATACTTCTAGGAACTTATTCCACAGATATACAGCCACAAGGACATAAATGTGTGTATCATTGCAGCAATGTTGGCAGAAAAAAAAAAAAAACCCCACCTATATAACCCCAGACAGGAACCTGGCTAAAAAGAATATGCAACCATATTTTAAAATGCAGTAGTGGTGTGTGCTTTTAGGTTGATATATTGTTAAATGAGAAAAGCAAGTTAAAGTAGGCACAATATTTACCCATTTATGTTTTCAATAAAAGACTATGCATATGTATGTCATGGATAGAAAATTTCAGAATTACACAAAAAAACTGTTAATGGTAATCCCCTAGGAGTGGGACCCTCTGGTAGGCGGCGAGCGGATTTTATGCTCAACTTTATACCTTTCTGCACTGTTTTAATTTTTTGACCGTGGATGTATTTTATAAACAAAGCAACAAAAGTAAAACGAGAAAGAGACTATGTCATGTCCTATGTAAATTTCTCCTGTTACCAACACTCCCCTCTCAGTCTTCCCTCTTGGCACCTCTCTAGCATCTTGTATTTATAGTAGTTATTAGCAGCCTGGTGGTGAGATAGGCTTGTGTAGACTCCAGTGGAAAAGATTTCTACTTCATCTCTGGGCTGAGGTGTTAAGAGGAAGCTAAAATTCAGCACTGGACACATCTCTGAAATTGCTTATAAAGCAATTTATAAACATCCTAAGCTAGCCCTGTGAACTTTTCTTAGGATCCATTCACCTTTGATCGTCTACCCCATCCCCAAATATATAAGAAAGCTCTACCTTGGAGGGCTTGTACCCAAACAGCATTACAACAGCAGTTTTAAAGTCCTCTCTGCTGAGATATCCTTTGTGATCTTCATCACATGCTTTAAATACCTGAAGAACATTAAATAGCTTTAGTTAATGAGACAGAAATGGTTTATTTTTATTACTAGTTTATTATACAGTTTGGACCTCGAAAATCTAAAACTTGGCCCAGCGGTAGAGTATGAAAATAGAATTTCATTATCCCAATATTAATTCTCAAGAAATCTTAAAGATGGACTGAAATTTTCTTAAACATGGGCTGAAATTTCCCTCAAAGTGCAAACGAGTTAACCGCTAGGTGACGCAAATTAATTCATTTAGGCCACTGAGATAAATTCTACCCAAAATTCAGTCCTGGAGTTAGGAAGGTGAGGCAAAGGGGCTGGCTTTGAAAGGCGGGAGAGATGCAGACTCAAGGTTACCATTAATAGACTATATAGAGAGAAAGGAGATGGAACTTGGAGGTAGCCGTAGTCCTGGACGGGGAGCCAGGAGCCCTGCAGCTCCAGGATCAGTCATTAACCACGACCCTTTGGACAGGCAGCCCAGGTCTTATCTGCACACCCGGCAGAGTGAGACCCAGACACGGGAGAGGAAGCGAGAGGCCCAGGCCAAGCTGAAGTCCGAGGCTCAGTCGCCCTCCGGAAACCTACTTCCACCCACTTCCTGTGTTCCGAGGGACTGGCTTCCCACGTCCGCGACCTGGCTCTGGCCTCGGAGAAGAACATCGCGACTACAACAACCGAGCCCCAGCAACCCAACCAGCTACCACCGCTTTCCCAGCCTGGCTGGCAGCCTACCGCGGCCACGCCCACCGCGGCTCAGGAAGCCGAACTTCACCGCGCAACTCCGACGTCTCCTCCCATTGGACAACCTGCCAGCCACTCGCGTTAATCCCGCAGGGCTATTGGCCAGAGTCTTTGTTTAATTACGTTTCCTTGGAGCCGCCCTGGCAGTGAGGCGCCCAGGCCTGCCCCCAGCACTTGGCTCCACCCCCTGACTGTCCCTTAACTCGTTGAGCGCGGCTGGAAATCCAAGCGCTTCTAGGTGCTGGTTCAATGCCTGGTTCATGATTTATTTCATTCTCTCCCTCCATCTTGCAATAGGTTACTTTTAATCATTTAGATCTATGACACTATGCTAAACGTTATAGGAGACAAAAAGACTGTGAACAAACAAGAAGAACCAAACGAAAAGAGCCAAGTCCAGGATTCTCGTTCAGATCAGCAAGTCATTGGGATCGAGCTCCTAGGGCAGCTACTACATCTGTTATGTCCTCAAGATAATCCCAGCACCTAGCACTGTGCCTGGCACAAAGTAGATCTTCAATGAAAGAACGAAACGAGCCGTTATATTTACACAGATGTATTTCACTCAGTCCTCTGGAAGAGATGCCTAGTGTGAAAGAGATTCCAAGAATAAATACCATAAACAGCACCGAGCCCAAATCCCACAGCAAACATCCTTATTAAAGGCAAGGAACGTGGGGCGAGTTCCTTTTCTCAGAAGATTTTACGAGAACGCAACTGTTGCGAAGAAGGAACAGACATTCGAGGTTCTGAGTCCAATGGGAACTCATTTAACTTTTTATTTTGCAGCAGATTTCAAAGTCTGCACCCAGCCCCTCCCAGGACACAGGTCTCCTTGCAGCTGCCTTTAACCTAAGCGTATCCTCTCTCCACTTTAAACCAAACGCCGCTGCATGGAGCCCTGGGAGCCTGAGCCATGAGAATCCTGTAAAGAGGGTGAGTCTTGCTATTAGTTAACTAGAGCGAAGTTAGGGGACGCCTTTCTGGTTCTCCTCTCGTTTTAAGAAGTCTCCAGGAAGTAAGCCAAGAGCTAGGAGAGACCAGGTTTCCCCAGCCCCGTCCTGGGTAAACACCCGGCGGGCTTTAGGACCCAGCGGTGGGCTCTCCGGAAGGGGAAGGGGCCGGGCCTCGAGGCACAAGCCGCTGCCGCCAGGGTTTGAACTGCGCGCATGCGCGGCGGCCGCCGAAGGGGCGGGATCCGAGGCAAGCGTTGGTTCTGTGCGCCTCAGGTACGTGTTGGGCGGCAGTGGGCGCGGACTCGGTGCGGTCTCTCGCGGGCTGCGGTCGGGCCCGGGATCCTGCTCCTGGCCGAGTCGCGGTGCGCGGGCTGCTGGGGTCCGGCAGGGCTGGAGGCGGACCGCGAGGAAGCGGCGCGGCCGGGAAGATGGGGCAGGGTCGCCTCGGCCCCGGGGCCTCGGTTTCCTCCGATCACAGCGCCTCAGGGGGCGCGCACGGGCGCTGCGGAGACCTGTGTCCTGCCGGGGCGCGGCGCTAGGGGCCCCTGCTCGGGTTTTTATTCCCAGACCTAAGCTTACAGGTGCGTGGTCCCAGAAAGTGAGTAGGAAAGCGCCCACCACGTGCCAGGCGCTTAAGCTTTCTGTGCTCGGTTTCCCAGTATAGGAGGACGGTCACGGTACGTAGTATAGAGTTGTCCTGAGGGTGAAGCGAGTTTACACTTGGTGAGGCGCTTCGAATCGTGCCTGGCCGGCCCCAAATGAGCACGCAGTAAGGTTAGCAGCTGCTGCCGTCACTTCCTCACGTTCTGAATCTGCTCCGTCCCCAACGCCTTCAGCAAGAGCCCTCTCACTTCCTTTGTCTTCAACCCATTCTCCGCAGAGTTGGAGCACACAGCTGTATTAAAAAGGCAAATCGAAGGCCGGGCGCGGTGACTCACGCCTGTCATCCTAGCACTTTGGGAGGCCGAGGCGGCTGAATCACTTGAGGTTAGGAGTTTGAGATCAGCCCGGGCAACATGGTGAAACCCCGTCTCTACAAAAATAGAAAAATTAGCCGAGCGTGATGGTGGATGCCTGTAATCCTAGCTCCTCGGGAGGCTAAGGTAGGAGAATTGCTTGAACCTGGGAGGCAGAGAGGTTGGAGTGAGCCGAGATTGCGCCATTGCGCTCCAGCCTGAGCGGCAGAGCGAGACTCTGTCTCAAAAAAATAAATGTAAATCGGACTCCCCTTCTTAAAGCCCTCAGTGGGGTCCCATTGATCATTGCATAAAATCCAATTTCTTTAACAAGTCTTCTCCCCTCACCCGCTTCGGACCACTGCCTGCCTTGCCTAAGTCCTTTCTTATGACCTCTTTCCCACCTCTGCCGGCTGGGTTCCCTCTACTTGGGAATGCTCTTCACCCCATCATTTAGACAGCAGGTTCCTTTTGGCCCTCTGGGTCTCATTTATATGTTACTTTTTAAGTATATTCCAAAGGTCACCCCTATTTTTCTGTCTCATACTTATAAAATGTAATGAATGTCTAACTCATCTTGGCTATTAAAATTTTTATGTGTGGGTCTGTCTCTTCTGCCCTGAAATTAGCTCTGCTAGGGTAGAAACTATATTGTTAACGCCTCATTCCCAGTTTTTGGTACATAATAGCTGCCCAGTAAGTTATTGAATGAATGAACTCCAGGGGGTAAGCATGATATCCATTTCACAGACTAAAAAACTGAGGCTCAGCAGTTAACTAACCTGCCCAAGTGCACATTTACTCCCTAGTCATGGCCGGGTTTGAGACAAGGGACCATGTTTGCCTATTACTGGCCACACAGGAACTCAATTGAGGAGCATGGCCTCCAGGCCCAGCTGATGGTCTTTAAGCTCAATGAGAAGGAGCAGCTGGAGGTGAAAGAGAAATGCCCCAGCTGGGTCTCATATAGTGGGGAGTGAGGAAACACTAGTAGCTCTAAATGGAGTACCCTTTTATATCCACAACATGTTTTAAAGTCCTTAATAAAAGTGCTAACAGTGTCCTGAGCTAGCATTTGGTGGGAAGATTTCTTAGATTTTTCATGTTAGTGCAGTGTTTGCCAAATTTCACTCACACTCACCTGCCTTCTCCCCAGTTTGCTTTATTCTCTTAACACATGACACAGGATTTATTTCAGGGCCGCTTTGCCAGCTGGAGACCTCCAGCCCTGGGCTGGCTGCAGGAGGTGCCCTGCCCACTCAGCCTGGCAGAATGCATTTGTCTTTCATCCCCGCCCAGATCCCGTGGCCACTATGACTGCATGCTCAGCCCGCGAGGAGTCGGTTTGTGAGTGAGTGAGCAAGCCTGGAGGCCCGGCTGGCTGTTCCAAGTGCTGGCCCAGTCACAGGCTCCATGTAGGGCTTGTGGATGGCCTGGGTGTATGGCAAGTGACTCTGGTAGCAGATTCTGGTGTCCAGACGAGGGGGATGCAGTAGTGCCCAAACACTTGGAGACACCAGGCAAATAGAGATGTATTAACAGCTCTTTTAGTCCCACCATCTGCAGCCCAATGAATGGGGGTGTGTGGCAGCCAGCAGCTCCCTCTCCCATTGCTTCACTAGCGGAACGGAGTGCTACAGGGTTATAGCTCTATTTGCACTCGCTGTTTAGCTGGTCCGAATTTCTTGTCCTGCGTCCAAGAATAATGAGGTTAGGCTGACAACCGAAGGGGAAAAGGGCGGAGGTGAGTTTTACTCAGTGATGAGACAGTTCTCAGCAGAGACGGGACCCCAAGTGGATGGCCCCTGCCCTGACCCCAAGGTGGGCAGTTCGCTGGTGTGACTGAGTCTGGGGCTTTTATGGGCTCAGAATGAGGGAGTGTGTGCTCCATGGTTTGTGAGTATGCAAAAAAGGCTAAAACAAAGGCACCACTCAAAGGTGGGCATGACAATGTAAAAAACCAATTAGGGAAGGGTAGATATATGTAAAGTAGGTGAAGGGTGGGGATTGATCAGAGGAAAGTGTGCCAAGTGGGAAGAGGGGTTATCAATCCGGTCCGTGGATTTACCCAACACTTGTAGCTTGGCTTTCAGGCTTTAAACTGTCTTTGGTTTGCAGGTGGGGTTTCACTGGGGCCCTGCCCCTATCTGCCTAGGGATTTGTCTGCCTCCTGCCGCTATCACATAGACTATCATATACTTAATATTTTTGTTTGAATCCAATCATTCTTTTACATAAAATAAACTTTATTTTGCTATTTCAAATATAACGTAGCCATAAGATACCTTCTGTTGATGGTAAACAAAATTGTTGGTGCCTGCAGAAGAGCCCAAACCCTGCTATTTGTTCAAAATCAAGATTAAAAGCATTTCTACAACACTACAACTTTCTTCTTGATTTAAACAGGGAGTTTGGATTGGAATGGAAAGGGAAGTACTTTCATAATGTCAGGTCCCAATCACTTCCACTTCAGGAAACACTGTGCCGTTCTGATTGAGTGCCAGGATTCAGAATCAACACAGCTATATTGTATTCTGATTCTTTCAGTACCACTTACAAAAAGTGTGACTTCAGATTTATGCTGTACCAAGCACTGCCCAGGCAGGGAAGACAGATGATAAACAATTGAAGGAAAGCTCTCAGGTTCTACATTTCTTAAAACTGTATGACTTGATTACAAAGCACTCTGAAATGCTGGGCACCAGAGCCTCTATGAGGGAAGTAAATTCTGTTACTGGTGACCAGTTATCCAAAGTAAAAGTTTGATATTGGTGTTTACTAGCAGTTCTTTTCCAACTGGGCGGGAGCCTTGATGTCATAAAGAGGTTGGTAAGCTGCTACATTTAACAACAAGACACAATTTTATTAGTCTGTTGCACTAAATTGTAACCCAATAAATTGTATTAGGTTGTAATAAGCAACTCAGGCATATTTTTGAGTTTCAGCAGGTCCAAAACTTTATAGAGCAGAACCCCAAAAAAAGGCTTTGTTCTCTAGAAAATGTCTTTTTTAAAGCTTTGTTTTATTTTTTATCCTCTTGTCCTACTTTGTTGGAGGGAATTCCACTTCCATATGGTTTTAGAAAATGGAGATAATGATAAAACTTAAAAACCTTTGAAATTCTCTAAATAATTCACAGAGTTGCTAAGGATTTTACCTTAGCAACTCTTAGTACATAATAATGTACTTAGCACAGAATTCTCAGTGTTTGGAAATTCCATTTTATTTATATAATGCAGGCAACCATATTTGTTATGGTAGCCTCTTAAGATTCTGCAACTGCTTCTGAGAGTGGAAGCTGAATCCTTTCTCACCAAAAACTAAGACCTGCTACTTACTTTAGAATGGGCAAGGTATCTATAGAGAACAGCCTGAGGACTGTAATGGAAGATTCTATTACTCACCGCCTTGGTTTAGAACTGTTGTAGAATTCAAAGGAACCTAGAGCTGACATTCAGAGAGTGGTTTTTCCTAAGGTGGTTCTTTTGTTCCTAGATAACTTTAAAGTCACGAAACTGTAGCCACTGAAATAGTTTCTTCAAAGTGTATTGTAACAGCTTAAATACCCCTATCCAGCAACTTCTAGACTCTAGAACACTAGAGGAACCTAAGGTTTTGTGGGTTTTTTTTTCAAACCGGAAGGATTAAAAACATTTAAAAAACCACCTCTGAGCTGCTTAAGTAGGTGTTGAGTAGTAAATCAATCTGAATCTCTTTCATGGAGGAAACTGGGCACTCAGACCCCTTTAACCATGACAATACAGTTCTACAAACCCAGTTATCTAGTTTCTTAACCCTTAGCAGATTAGAAACAATTTAGGGAAAATATACCTATGCTATGAGTTTTAACAACCCCTTGAAGTGGGCTGGACAGAGTGTAGAAATAAATAGAAACTTTTAGAAAGCAGATATGAGGGCTCAAAAGAGCCAGACAGTCTAGGGTCACTATTACAGGAGCAAGTGGCCCCAGCCCTCTCTACAGTCAATAAGGCTTTGGCTGTGAGATAGTGTGTTCATGCTGGGTAGGGTAATAATGACCCAGAGCCATGAAGAATGGGCCAGATTATTGTCTTGATGCATTCTTGCATAAAAGTTCCTTGAAATGTGTAATTTACAGAAGGCTTGCTTAACTTGACTGGTAGTTAATTGAAAAAGGTGAAGAGAGAAATTGTGAAAAGGGATAGATACCTTTAAAGTATTTCCAACCCTCCCCTGCCCCGCCCTGCTGTGTTCACTGAAAAAATCATGAGATCTATACATTTAGAAAGGAGAGCTTAGTTCTTATAAAGGGCTACAGCCTGCAGTGTGGCCTGACAGGCTGGGAAGCACAGCCTCAGGCAGAGACCTTTAATGGCATCCCAGGGAGGAGAGGGTAGAACAGAGATTTATACTGAATGGGTTGGCCAAGTATAGTATTCAACAGGTGTGGGAGGAGCTATGAATATTCACCAAGGGGGGACACGTGTGCATGTGTAATGAGCAAACGTGTGTTTTGTGCATCTCGTGTTCACTTTGGGATGGAGACTTAACATTTGAATGAATTACAATTAGGCCCTCTGTCAAAAGGTGAAGGAGAGACATGAAGGCACTCAGTGCTCAGCCTCTGAGGACTGGTCAGAACCAGTCTGTGGTTTCTTTTCAGGAGAAAGTTACTCCATTGTCCAATGACAGCTGCAGTCATGGCCTGTGGAACCAGAGGGGTCAGTTAGTCAAGCATCTGGCAGTAGGTGAGCTGCAATTGTTTAGATATTCCTTATCTCTAGGCCAGTGCTTATTTAGCTGCTGAAGAAAAAAGAACCTTGTGGAAGGTAGAACATAGTTTAAAGGTAGCAGTGTGTGATTTAACCCTTGCTTGGCATGGCCTTAGGTCTTGTTTATGATTTAGTGTCATATTGTCACAGAATCTATTCTGCCAGTCTTACGATCTCTGGTCAGTTGTGTTTAAACCGCAGAAGGGAGGGGATATAACAGGCATGTCTGAGCTCCCATCTCATCATGGCCCGGAACTCAGTTTTTAAGGTTTCTCTGGGGTCCCCTTAGCCAAGATTTTTATTTTTAGTTCTCATCTAGAGACATATGCATATGTATTGATTTGCAAATCTTTTGATGTAGAATAATGTTGAATTCTCTTTTTTGGGGAATGTAGGTTTTGTGAAGGGAGTGTCACCATCTTGGTTTACTCCACTCAATGCATCTTTTCCAGCCTCATTAAAACAGCAGAAACTCGAAGATACTGTTGATCTGAGCACAGACTACTGAGTTTTGTAATTTTCCCCTGGGTCTTGTGCTAAAATGTTAAAAGTATCACATTGAGGAACTGTTCTTTAGCTGTCTGGAAAGTCTACTTAGATAGTCCTTTACCACTGAATTGACAAGATTTGGTAGGTAACAGCAAAAGTGACTGTTTCGTGTACTTTCCTGTTCTCAGAACAAGAAAGTAGAATTTGACTGTGGGGCTTAAAAAATAAAAGTGTGTTGCTTCAGTACAAGTTATTTCTGTGTAGGTGTTAGTAGATTTATGATGTAGCCAATAGGATAATTATATCTTGATATAATTATATCCAACTAATTATAATTAGTTGGGTCCTCATGGAAGTAGTGTAAATAATGTACATACCTAAGTGGTCATTTGGCTTTCCTCTTGAAGACTTTGTTAAGCTTTATGGTAAATGGGTTGTCTTTTGGGAAGTAAGACATACATAATCACTGAAGTCCTGTGGGTGCCTGTACTTGGGTGAAGGCTAGGTTTGTAAATTCCAATTTGACCTTAAGCATTTGAACATAGATTAAATGGACCTTAATCCCAAACGCTTATTGGAAGTTTCGGGGTCAAGAATGAATGTTTGTTTTATTTTGGCATTTGTCTTGATGCATTCTTCAACCCCCTTTCCTAGGACATCTAAGAACAAAGTTTAGATTGAAAGCCAAGGCCAGGCATGGTGGCTTATACTTGTAATCCCAGCACTTTGGAAGGCCAAGGTGGGTGGATCTCTTGAGTCCAGGAGTTCAAGGCCAGCCTGGGCAACAATAATGAAACCCTGTCTCTACCAAAAAAAAAGAAAAAAAAAATTAGCCAGACGTGATGGCGTGCACCTGTAGTTCCAGCTATTCGAGAGGATGAGGCAGGAGGATTGCTTGAGCCCAGGAGGCAGATGTTGCAGTCAGCTGAGATTGAACCACTGCACCACTCCAGCTGGGTGACAGAGCGAGACCCTGTTTCAAAAAAAAAAAGGAAGAAAAAAGAAAGGTGACCAGGACTTTTGCTTGTGATTTGGCAGAATCTGATAGTGGATTCTGGTAATGTGCTTATAAACACCCAAAAAGCAGCTGATGTTAGGTGGTTCAGCCTCTGGAAGGTGTCAGCTCATCTGACAGGGAAGTTGAGAGCAATAAAGTTATTTTGCCAATGCCCTGATGAATGGGAAATGCTGATGTTTCCACTTTTCATTTCCAGGAGTATAATGTCTCAGGAAGGCGATTATGGGAGGTGGACCATATCTAGTAGTGATGAAAGTGAGGAAGAAAAGCCAAAACCAGACAAGCCATCTACCTCTTCTCTTCTCTGTGCCAGGCAAGGAGCAGCAAATGAGCCCAGGTACACCTGTTCCGAGGCCCAGAAAGCTGCACACAAGAGGAAAATATCACCTGTGAAATTCAGCAATACAGATTCAGTTTTACCTCCCAAAAGGCAGAAAAGCGGTTCCCAGGAGGACCTCGGCTGGTGTCTGTCCAGCAGTGATGATGAGCTGCAACCAGAAATGCCGCAGAAGCAGGCTGAGAAAGTGGTGATCAAAAAGGAGAAAGACATCTCTGCTCCCAATGACGGCACTGCCCAAAGAACTGAAAATCATGGCGCTCCCGCCTGCCACAGGCTCAAAGAGGAGGAAGACGAGTATGAGACATCAGGGGAGGGCCAGGACATTTGGGACATGCTGGATAAAGGGAACCCCTTCCAGTTTTACCTCACTAGAGTCTCTGGAGTTAAGCCAAAGTATAACTCTGGAGCCCTCCACATCAAGGGTAAGAGGATGCTGGGTGTCAAGGAGCTGTTGAATTGCCCTTGAGAGTCTCTCCTCCGTGAAACAAGGAGGGCAGCCTAGAATAGTTTCTGAGAACTCTTCTTTGTGTTCTTAACTACTTTCAGGAAAAAAATTCTTGACAGGCAAGTGCATTAGTATAACAGCAGACTGTTTACTTAACTCAGGCAGAGCGTGTGTTCTCAAAACCCTGTAGCTCAACCCCTTATATCACTTAGCACGATGTTTAGCATTATTTAACTTTTTAAGATGAAGCTTGATGAGTAACAGTTTATCAACAAGGTAGCAAATACTTGACAACAGTAGTAGTTCTCCATGGGCCCTGGACCAGCAGCCTCAGCATCACCTGCAACTTGTTAAAATGCAAATTCTCGGGCCCCATTCCCGATTCATTAAATTGGACTCTGAGGGTGAGATCCTGCAGTCTGTGTTTTCACGAGCCCTTGAGGGGATTCTACTGCCCAGTCAAGTTTGAGAACCACTGCTTAAAAGCCTGGTTTTAGTTCCTGGTGAAGAAGAAGAAGAAAAAACAAAATAGTGCCTGAGTGCAAATAGATGTTTCAGTTATGGATCAAAAGATGGCCTTAGTTTGCTCTCCTTATTCCTCAGGGAGCACCTGCAGGAGGAAGAGCAGGAGCTCTAGAATCTGCTTTCTGGCCTCACCACTCATTTGCTGTATGGATTGTTAACACAGGACCTAACATTCTCTGAATTTTAGTTTGCTCATCTTTAAACTGGAAATGCAGAAAAATGGGAGCAAATATATGAAGTAACCAGTGTAATATATTCACATGGCAGATACAATAAACATTATTACCCTTATTTCAGATTTTTTTCCTGTCCCATATTTAAGAATAGTAATGTTCACTGTCAGCAGTGTTGTTCTTTTTTTATATATCCAGTATATAATTGTATATTGTGTGTGATGTATACATGTTGGAGTATTTCATACTGTAGAGTGTTCTACAGGTTGTTTTCTTTTTGAGAATCTCTTATCTTGGTACTTTGTCAAGTTTTTTGTTTGTTTGAGACAGACTGACAAATATTTAGAGAATTTTGCCAAGTTTTGCTCTATATAATAAAATAACCGGCAATTAGCACCAAGGTATTGTGGTAACATGATAGGAGCTCTTACATATATTTTCTCCTTTAATCCTCAGGACAGTCTTATGAGTAGATGTTACAATCGTATTCCTTGGATAAATGATGCATCTGCACTTTAGAAAAGTGCCCAAGGTCGTAGAGCTGGTAATGACATTCTGGCATCAGAATCCATGCTGTTTGCTATAGCACTCTACCATGTGCCATAATTGTAGATGGCTTAGAAGATCTCATGGAGGAAGGGGGACTTCAAAAGGCCTTTGAAAGATGGGTAAAATTTAGAAGGGAAGAAATACATGCTGGTGGGGGCAAATGGAAGAATATTTGCAGTTTATCTCTGCAACTCTCCCAATAAGGTAGAACCTTCCTTAACAATTTTTTTGTTGTTGTTCTCTGAAAATCGTTCTACCCCAGCATCTAGCTCAATGTCCAGAAGATAGGAAGCACTCAGGAAATATTTGCCAAATGAATGAGCCAGTCTTAATTCTCAGAGGCAGTTTAGTGGGTATGAGCGAAGGTGCTGGAGCCAGACAGCCTAGGTTCAAACCCCGACTGTACCCCTTTCTAGCTGTGTGTCTGTGGGCAGCCTCCTAAGAAGGCTCCTCCGATATAAAATAGAAATAACAGACCCCACCTAGAAAATGGATATGAGGAGTAAGTAATGGATGGGAAGTGCCAAGAGTGCTGCCTGGCATCTAACAGGTCTCCACAGATGTGGCTGTTGTAATGGAAGGTCACGATGATGGTGTACTTGCTCTCGTGGTATGGTTTGAGAAGTGAGCTTTCAACTTACCTAACATAAAGCTTGAATGGGTACAAAGTGAGACTTCCCTAGAGATGACCAGGAACACCAGGAATGTGAGTTGATAATTGTGAGTGCCTCTGTCCTTTCATTCACAGGCCACAGGTGCTTTCCAGTCTTTCTGGAAAGTCTTTCTAAACTGTCCACATTTATAAAATCTTTCTAGAAAGTTTTTCTAGTCTTGAGTTGGGAGATTTCCTGGAGAGGGACTTGAATGGGTACTTGGAGGAGGTAGAAGTTCAGAGATCTGAAAAGAATATGTATCATTATTGTCCATATTGAGTTTCTAAACTTGATCAATCATTCAGTACTGAAGTTGTAGATTTTGGTTTTGCATTGTTTTATAAAAGAATGTATGATAAATATTAAATACCATAGGGAAATTTTTTTTGAATTTTATGAAACATTAAAGTCTGACTTTGTAGTAACTGTTTAGCTTACTGTGTTCTGAGTCAGATCTTGATTGTCAGTGACTGTTGAATGAGTTAGTAGTGATTATTATGACTAGAGGATTTTTGTGAGTGTGAATTTGATATATGTTTTGTCTTCTCAGATATTTTATCTCCTTTATTTGGGACGCTTGTTTCTTCAGCTCAGGTGAGTATACCTTTAAGCTGTTTTTTCTTTGGGTGAAAGTAGACAGGTAATTAAACAACTCCATAAGAAAATATGAGAGGCATAGTTTGGGGATCTCAGTCCTGTTCAAAGACTGAGATGGCACATACCTGGAGGCTGGCTCAAGTGCCACAGTAATGAGATCCATGGCCATCAACATAGAATGGGGATGTCACTATCAGGAGAGCATTTGACTCAAGTCAGCCTCCGCTGGCCAAGAAGTCACTTTGGACATTCCAGCTTGAAAGACTAGAATGGGACACTTCTTTTGGGGATACTGATTAACTCATGGGACTGAGTTAACTCTGGTGCATAGAGTGGTGAGGTATGGATAGAGTGGTGAAGGCCAAGTCAAGTTTGATTTAATTTAGAAAAATGTGAATTTTCATGTTCAGTGGCTCCTTCCTGACTGAGCTAGTCCCTTTGTCTTGATAAATCATGTAATGGTCCAGACCCACAAGTAAGTGGTCCAAAGGGCCCTGTCCCTGAAGAAAGGCAGGCTTCCTTTATGTTTGGTTTGGCATTGAAAGTCCTGGTTTCCATTTGGAAGGTGGGGAGCATTTGCAAATGCCCTGTTAGCTCGACTGAGTTACTAAGTCCAGGATTACCCAGGTATGGGGAGGAGCCTCCACGGGTAAGACCAGTACAGAACTTGCATTTAAGATGTAATTGTTAGAAGCCTAGTGAATGTCTGGTCCCAGGTGGCTGTGTACAAAGCTAGCTAATAAGTTAGCCTGAAAGGAAATGTTCTTTTCTGAAAGTCCTGGGATCTTTGTCTCCAGTATCTGTCTTTTTATAATCACCTAGGGGAAAAGGGATAAATTTATAAATCCTTTTATTTAAATTAATCTCAGGGCCATTAGACATAATGTAATAACACCCTGCGGACAAGTACAGATGCTGCCAAAACATGCAGAGATAATTTCCTGGGAACCTGTTATCTCATGTACTTGGCTCCATTTAGGTTCTTTTAACCATGCATTTAAGATAAATTATAGGTTTGTTAGTATTGCAGCATAACCCTCCAGGTTTATAAATAATACATGTAGTGTATCACTATTTTAGAGTTTCCTTAAATGTAATAACTAAACAATTCTCCTTATGAACTGTTTGGCAGAATTACCTATGGCTTAGTTACTCTTCTTTTCTCCCATCTAGTTTAACTACTGCTTTGACGTGGACTGGCTCGTAAAACAGTATCCACCAGAGTTCAGGTGAGTTCCTCAGGGTGACAGACAACACTATAAACTGTAAAGGGGCTTTGACACCTAAGATTTGTATTTCTCAGGTGAAAGCCACTCATCTTTTGAGTTTTTCTTTTGAAACTGTTGAAATCACACAGACATTAAGTTATATCCGGAAAACAGCATTCTTTGATCTATTTAATCCTACACATTCTTTTTACGGATTTTAGCATTTTCCTCTGTGCTCTTTCAGGAAGTAGATAAGGACAGGCTTTAACTCAAATAACAGAATTTCATGTCCAGTCTTAATATGAAGGAAAATACCATCTCCACATACCTTCTAGATCTGTGAATGTGCCAACATGCCGCCAACGTGCCATGCTTTCCGTAGCACATCAATTCTGTTCTGTTTTGAGGATCCCTTTGTGTTTCTGAGATGAGGAAAGGAGGCTTATCTGTGGCCTTCCCTTATCTAGGCTCTGGAGGTGATGGATTTTTAGGCCTTCTGCCTGCACTTCATCAGCCTCATGTTAGGCAATACAGACCAAATAGGGCATCACACAGGTGCCACCCTTCCCTATTTCTAACACATTTACGGGGCAGATTCCCATAACAGCAAGTAGGATGGAGGAAAACACACAAGAAATAATGATTGTCAGGGTCCTCAAAATTCTTGGTACATTTAGGGCATCAGATTGTGGAAACCTTTGACATTAACAGTAGATAAAATGCTGTTAAAATTTTTCAAGCAGCTTTGGCACTTGGGGCTTTTTTTTTTTTTTTTGACCTGTAACACACAGAATTAGTTTTAGCTGCATGTAAAAGAATATTCAAAATAACAATGGCTTAAATAAGACAAATTGTTTCCAGCGTGACACATTCAGATGGTAAACATTTATGGTCTAGATGGGGGCACCAGGGTTCTCAGAGACTTATCCACCTACCCTTTCTGTTCCACCATCCTTGTATGTGACTTCAGTTTTCAGAGTCACCTCGTGGCCCAGTATGGCAGCTAGAGCTCCAGCTTACTCATCTATTCCAGGTAGCAGGAAGGGGAAAGGAGGAAAAGGACAAAAAGGCCCACATTCTAGCTATGCCCATCTAAGCAGCCTTCCTGGAAGTCCCACACAACACCTGCATCTATTTCATTGAGCAGAGCTCAGCTGCATGCTAACCAGCTGTAAAAGAGGCTAGAAATGTCTTTTAGCTTAGCACACCTTTTCCTGAATTAGCCTTTTGTTAGGGAAGGAGGAGAGAATGGCTGTCTGGAGGCAACAAGCAGTTTCTGCCTTGGCTCCTCCTCGCAGTAGTATCCTTGGGTGTCACATTGGCATTTTCTGTTCTTCCTCCCTTTTCTTAAAGACCTTGAAATCAAACTGTCACCCCATTAGAGTGTTGGCAAAGTGCAGACTGCAGTTCCTTTGTATCTGTTATGAGTTAAATTATCTCACCCCCAAAAAAGATCTGTTGGAATCCTAAGCCTCAGTACCTCAGAATGTGATCTTATTTGGAGATAGAGCCCTTACAAAGGTAATCAAGATAAAATGAAGGCATTAGGATGGACATTAATCCAGTATGACTAGTGTCCTTATAAAAAGAGAAATTTGGGTGCAGAGACAGAGATAAGACCATGTAAAGACACAGAACGCCATTTACAAGCCAAGCTCCTAGAAGCTGGGAGAGAGGCTTGGAACAGATGTGCCTCACAGCCTCAGGAACCAATCCTGCCAGCACCTTGATCTTGGACTTCTCGCCTCCAGACCTGTGAGACAATATATTGCTGTTGTCTAAGCCTCCCAGTTTGTGGTGCTTTGTTTTGGAGGCCCTGGCACACTAATACAGTATCCACTGGACTCTCAGTAACTAAAGGGACGAAAGTGTCCTCCTTCTCCCTGCATCCCCTTATTGCCAAATGCATCTTGGGAAGGCTATTACGAGCCTTAGAAGGATGAGGAGTGACCTAAATGGTAAGTTTAAGTAACATCCAGAATTTGTATGTAGAAAAATTCAGATCATAAGGATTTATACCTCAGTATGCTATTGTTCAGGTGCCATCTTTTTGTAATAAGTCGTAGAACCAATAAATTTGAAAGAATTAATGAGGACTTCAGTTTCTATCAGTCATATTTAATCTTTTTAATAACATGACTTGATCTAACATTTTTTATTTCTAGGTGCTAGATGCACGTGTGTTTCTTACATTATTCTGTTTTTCTTACCTAATTTCTAAAAATCACAGGTGCGTGTTTCATAGTTTCATTTTACCTGTCATGTTAGAATAAAGCTATTGGGCAAGAGGTAGTGAGGTATTAGTACTGGAAATAGATGTTTCTCTCTAGTTGATTGTTGTTCCTTTGTGAATGGTAGAGAATCATTCTGCAGTGTGATTGATAAATGTGGAAGTGGGTCGGTTGTTTATCTTTCTTGATTGCTTATATCCAATTTTTGTTGTGTTGGGAGAGCTTGTAGAAATATACTTATTTCTTTTTTTTTTTTTTTTTTGAGGCGGAGTCTCGCTCTGTCGCCCAGGCTGGAGTGCAGTGGCGGGATCTCGGCTCACTGCAAGCTCCGCCTCCCGGGTTCACGCCATTCTCCTGCCTCAGCCTCCCAAGTAGCTGGGACTACAGGCGCCCGCCACTACGCCCGGCTAATTTTTTGTATTTTTAGTAGAGACGGGGTTTCACCGTTTTAGCCGGGATGGTCTCGATCTCCTGACCTCGTGATCTGCCCGCCTCGGCCTCCCAAAGTGCTGGGATTACAGGCGTGAGCCACCGCGCCTGGCCGAAATATACTTATTTCTAAGGATTATCTTGCTTTGAGTTAATCAGAACAAGAATCCCTCAAAAGCCTTTTTAATGTATTCTTGAAGAGTGTTTTTATATTATATTTGGAATTCAAAAATATAGCATTTTCAACGTAGCTTGGGCTCTGTTTCATTGAAATCTAACCACCCATTAGTGAAGCTGCGTCATGCTGTGGGCCTGGCCTGGGCCTGTTCTCTGTTGTATCCTGGGTCTAGCTCAGTACATAGCACACAGGAGGAGTTTGGTGAATATAGATGTGGTGTGAAATGAATCCACCGTGTGGTCCAAAAGAAAAAGCAAAAAGCACTATATTATATAATAATTATTATATATCTTTAATTTATTTGGACTTAAATATTTTAACACAGAACTACTTATGTGCCGTTTTGGGCCAAAGAAGATAATTATTCAAGGACTTTCTTGAGTCATTACCCCTCTGTATTACAACAGAGCTGCAGAATCAGGCCATGTAGCCCCATTATAAAGGTATCTGGTAAATGAACATTAGCTTTTCACTGCTCTGTGTTAGCCCTGTCTTCATTCAACTACAAAGGCCGGAAACATATCGAGTGATAAGGAAGCTAGCATTCCTTAATGAGGCGAGTCCAGCTTCATGAATGATGTATTTTAATTAATTTATTTATTTATTTATTTATTTTTGAGACAGAGTCTTGCTCTGGCACCCAGGCTGGAGTGCAGTGGCTCAATCTCGGCTCACTGCAACCTTCACCTCCCAGGTTCAAGCGATTCTCATGCCTCAGCCCCAGAGTAGCTGGGATTACAGGCACGCACAACCATGCCTTGTCTAATTTTTGTATTAGTAGAGACGGGGTTTCACCATGTTGGCCAGTCTGGTCTCGAACTCCTGACCTCAGGTAGTCCACCTGCCTCGGCCTCCCAAGGTGCCGGGATTACAGGTGTGAGCCACTGAGCCTGGCCATGAATGATGTATATTAAATACTAATGCTCTCTTTTTAGGAAGAAGCCAATCCTGCTTGTGCATGGTGATAAGCGAGAGGCTAAGGCTCACCTCCATGCCCAGGCCAAGCCTTACGAGAACATCTCTCTCTGCCAGGTAAGCCACTTACTGCCGTTGGAGAGCACGCGTAGTCTGAGTTAGAAGGAAACTTAGACATTTAGTCCACCCTCTCACTTAGTGCAGAAATCCTCTCTCCAGCATCAGTCATCAATAGATATTTGTCTAGCCTCAGCTTAAACACTTCCTGAGATAGAGCATCCCATTCATAGTACTCCTCAGGGTTGGAAAGGTTTTTCTTTTTGTGGGCCTGAAGTCTTCTTACTAATTTCTACTCATTGGTCTTAATTTTCCCCTTCTGGAGCCACACAGAATAAGTAAGTCTTTCATCTTACACATGTCAGTGATTCATATATCTAAAGTGATCTGTCCTGTCTCCCTTCGTTTTCTCTCTTTAATTCAAACATTCTCTTTCTTCAGTTTTACTCAATGTAGTATGGATTCTGAGTCTTTCCGCAACCTGCTAGTGCTCCCCTGGTTGCATGTAGCTTGTCAGTATGCCTGTTGAAACCTGGGTTTCAACACTGAATAGGTCCTCTGGATGTAGTTCAGTGGCTGTGGGTTTCTTTTTGTGAGTATCCTGTGAGTGCAACTTAAAACTTGTAGTTTTTTGTGACACCTTATGTAACTTATATTAGCTGCCATTGACACTTCAACGGTAGTCCTTCAACTGTAGTTCTTTTTTTTTCACATGAGTTGCATCTAAGGTCTAAACAGGAGAGACCCATAGATTAAAAAACTGTTAGGAAACTATGTGAGTCGTATGCTGTGTATGATCTAAGTCCAATGTGGAGACATTAAGTGGTCTTGTAACAGGCATATCCACTTGGTTTGCTAGGACCAAAGCAAAGCAGAAAAGAAAGCTATGTTAGTTTGTTCTTGCACCGCTATGAAGACATACCTGAGACTGGGTAATTTATAAAGAAGAGGGGCTTAATTGGCTCACGGTTCTGCAGGCTGTACATGAAGCATGGCTGAGGAGGCCTCAGGAAACTTTCAATTGTGACAGAAGGTGAAGAGGAAGCAGGCACATCTTACTTGGCCGGAGCAAGAGGGAAGAGAGGGGGAAGAGCTACACACTTTTATCAAACAACCAGATATCATGAGAACTCTCTATCACGAGAACAGCAAGGAGGAAGTCCACCCCCATGATCCAATCACCTCCTACCAGGCCCCTCCTCCAACATTGGGGATTATAATTTGAGATGAGATTTGGGTGGGGACATAGACCCAAACCATATCAAAGGCCAAGAAACGGTTATTGCCCAGTTTCTTTATATATTCCCATAATTTTGTCCTAATACTTTGCAGTTAGCATACAATGTGGCCAGTGAGTCTTGGACTTTCATTAGGATCCATTTCTTTAGACTCATCATCTAAAAAGATCTTCTATTACACGTGGCGCATTTTGAGCAAGAAACATGCAAAGTAGAAAGGAAAACAAGGAATACAGAAGAATTTCTCACATTTATGATAACTACTTCCTATAGAAATGGTGATTATGAAGTAGCTGGTGTAATAGTCACCTTTTCCTATTTCTTTTGGCTGTATTCGTTTGTTATGAGAAAACACGAAAGATGCTTTTTATAGCCCTTTTCTTTCCTTATCGTTAGCTTAGTGAAATTGGCAAAAGATTTCTGCTCTGCAAGTACAGAGACAGAGTGAATTACATCCTTTCTGGATTTTTTTTCTCATTTTCCTTCTAGTGTCTTTTTTCCCCATCCACAAAGATGTAAGAATTCCAACTCATATTGTATCACTCTTTTTCCAACTATATATGATATCTTTGTATTTTTTTAAGATTAATACAGTACAAGAGCTCAATCTTGTTAGTTTAAACATACCTCACAACATTTTCCTTATGATTTAACCCACTGCACTTTATAGAGTTGTCATTTTAAAAATGCCTTCTATCCAACATGGGCTCATCTCATGCCCATAGATGTGCCTTTGCTTCGCAGTTGCCAAAATTCCATTGTTTTGCTTCTATTTCCAGCAACATAAGAGGTTATACTGCAGTAGGATAGCTCCCATCAAACCTTATAGTGGGCAGAAAGTAAACTGACACAGAAATCCTGAAAACCAGTGACTAAATGAATGGAAATA
The DNA here is from genome assembly GCF_000001405.40 of Homo sapiens. Taxonomy (NCBI): domain Eukaryota; kingdom Metazoa; phylum Chordata; class Mammalia; order Primates; family Hominidae; genus Homo; species Homo sapiens. Next base: position 89,973,339 of record NC_000014.9, read on the forward strand.
AAGTCTTTTTCAAATATTACCTACCTGTGCTCGTTTAGGAGAGTGGTTCCTGTGCTTGATAGTGTGTTCCAGGCTGGCCACCAGAGGGCATAGTGAGCCACTTCTTCCAAACCTCTTGGAAAGAGCTGTGAAGAAGCTCCCAACTCTAGGCTGACGTACAGGATTGTGTCCTCCTGATCTCTTGAAGCACCTTTATACCTTGTCTGTAAGATAAAGTCTTTTTCTAGCAACGTGAGTCATTGAAACTGAGACACATTAGTCAGAGAATCGGTGGCTGCTGACCCTCTCCCATTTTGCAAATGTGGGACCTAAGGGCAGACATTGAGACCTTGTGGTGGTCAGAGTCACATTGCCTGGGCTCAGTCCCGGCTCTACGTGTGTGTATTAGTCTGCTTGGGTGCTATAACAAAATTACCTGGGTGACTTTTCTTGGACTTGGGTCGCTGAAACAACAGACACTTATTTCTCACAGTTCTGGAAGCTGGGAATTCAGGATCAAGGTGCCAGTCAGTTCAGTTCCAGGTGAGGGCTCTCTTGCCAGCTTATAGATGGCCACGTTCTCACGGTGTCCTCATGAGGGAGAGGGAGGAAGACAGACACATAGGCTGTCTGGTAGCTCTTGTATAAGGACAGCAGTCCTGTTGGATCAGGATCCCACCCTTATGACCTCATTTAACCTTAATTACCTCCATAAAGTCCCTCTCTGCAAATAGTCACATTGGAAGTTGGGGCTTCAACATATGAATTTGGTGGGGGACAGAAGTGTTTAGTCTACAACACTTATTCTGGGCTTGTCACTGGCTTGTCACCTAATTTCTTTATCTTTGAAATTGATTGCTAATGCTGTTCATCCTAGAGTTTACTAAAGGACTTGGTGCACTAGCCCAAAAACAGCACCCAGTAAACAATATCTATTGAAGCTATTATCCTTGTTTTTTGTGCTTAGACTTACCCAGAAGCATGTAACTTTTAGCAAACGAAACAAAAGCCAGGTCTCTTGACCATTGTTCTTTCTCAGCTAAATATCAGTTTATAGAGTGGCAGTCTTCCTTCTCATTTGGTAATTTTGAAAACATGAAATAGAGTTCCCTGCACTTTCTTCTGTGGCCAGAATGCACAGATGCATGCTGGTCTGTGAGCATCTCCATTCCAAACAGGAGCTGTGTTGTAACTCACCTGTGTATTCCAGTCGCCCATTACTGCCCCCAGCAAAGTTTCACCCATGTCATGTGGTAAGGAGGCTGGGGTAGGTAGTGGGGAGAGGTTGCAGTAGTGATTGCCACGATTATAGAGTGCCTATTGCATGCAGGCCCCCGTTGCTCAGCATTTTACATATGTGATCTCGTTCCTGACAACTCTGGATCTCAGAATGGTACCGTTTTAAAGAGGAGAAAGCTGAGGCATAGAGTTAGATGTATTTTCCAGAGTCATACAAAGTTGTGAAGGCAGGATTTGAGCCCATGTACTGCGTTCCTAATTGTGAAACTTTTACGGTTATTTAAACTCTTTCATAATCTGCATCTTGTGACATATTCTGCTTAACCAAGATCTGGCATTAGTGGGTATTAGATAACATGTTTTCTATATACATACCCTCCATTAGTTTGTAAAGGTGTCATTTTATAACATGAAAATGGATTTCATATGTTTTTATTTTCAGCACTTGCTATGCTAATATAAGAACATTTCTATTTTAATTTAACATCCTAAGTCTTTATGTTGCCACCACTTTCAGTGTTTCTTTTTTTGTTTTTGGAGACGGAGTCTCGCTCTGTCACCCAGGCTGGAGTGCAGTGGCGCTATCTCAGCTCACTGCAAGCTCTGCCTCCTGGGTTCACGCCATTCTCCTGCCTCAGCCTCCTAAGTAGCTGGGACTACAGGCGCTGGCCACCACGCCTGGCAAATTTTTTCATATTTTTAGTAGAAACGGGGTTCCACTGCGTTAGCCAGGATGGTCTCCATCTCCTGACTTCGTGATGTGCCCGCCTCAGCCTCCCAAAGTGCTGGGATTACAGGCGTGAGCCACCGCACCTGGCCTTCAGTGTTTCTTTTAAATATGCTCTGAAAACTGTGTACCATTAATTTCTGTATAAGCCAAATATCTAAAACTTTGCATAGAGACTCACTTGTTTTACTAGTTTTTTGTCAACTAAAGAATTTAGGCTTCTCAGTCCTAATTACTGTAATTAAAAATGTAGTATATATTCTGTAGTGTATAATCATTCTGGGTAACAAAATTTGTGTTTTTTTTTTTTTTTTTTTTAATGAGCGTCCCCAGATGCTATTATAAAAGCTGTCTTGTTATTCAAGGGCTTGCCTGGTAGAGATCAGTAAAAATAGTTTTAAAAAAAAAAGTTGACCTGATTGCTTTCTAATGTAATTTCCAGTAGATATGGATATTAGTGAGTTGTTTTTAAATAAATGACTTCTTTTTCATCCTAGGCAAAGTTGGATATTGCGTTTGGAACACACCACACGTAAGCACTTTTTGTGAAATAGGGGAACCCCTCAAGCATTGTCATTTGTCCATTACACGGTTATTCTTAGGAGAGACTGAGCATGGTAGGCCCACCTAGGATCTAGCACAGCGATGCTTAACTGAGCCTGGGGGAGCTATTCTTTTATTTAATGCTCTTATAAAAATTATTTGGTCTTTCCTTTTAATTTTATAGATCAGGAAACTGAGGCCCAGGTTTAGGTATGTGATTTTTCCTTGGGCCAGTAGTGGAGACAGGAATAGAACCTATTTATTCTAACTTTAATTAATATATACACACAATTTTTCAAGATGTGGTCTCACTCTGTTGCCCAGACTGGAGTGCAGTGGCATGATCACAGCTCACTGCAGCCTCCAACTCCTGGGCTTAAGCAATCCTCCCACCTCAGCCTCCCGAGCAGCTGGGACTACAGGCACACGCCACCATGCCTGGCTAATTTTTTTGTAGAGACAGGGGTCTCACTTTGTGACCCAGGCTGATCTCGAACTCCTGGACTCAAACAGACCTCCTGCCTTAGCCTCTCAAAGTGCTGGGATTACAGGCATGAGCCCCTGTGCTGGCATTAACTTTAGCTTTAAATTTGTTCTTGTTTGCTCATTGCTAAAATTTACCTTATTATTTCCTTTGGTCCATTCACCACTACCCCCTCGCTCCTACACACATACTTTGCAGGTTAAACTCAACAGAGCTCTTTTTTTTTTTTTTTTTTTTTTTTTTTTAGACAGAGTCTCGCTCTGTTGCCCAGCCTGGAGTGCAGTGGCACAATCTTGGCTCACTGCAACCTCCATCTCCTGGGTTCAAACGATTCTCCTGCCTCAGCCTCCCAAGTAGCTGGGGTTACAGGCCACTGCCACCACACCTGGCTAACTTTTATATTTTTATTAGAGACGGGGTTTCACCATGTTTGCCAGGCTGGTCTCAAACTCCTGACCTCAGGTGATCCACCCTCCTCTGCCTCCCCAAGTGTTGGGATTACAGGTGTGAGCTACCATGCCTGGCCAAGAGCTCTTAATTCAGAGTTTAAAATGCCTAGGAGGCTGGGCGCTGTGGCTCATGCCTGTAATCCCAGCACTTTGGGAGGCCAAGGTGGGTGGATTATTTGAGATCAGGAGTTCGAGACCAATCTGGCCAACATGGTGAAACCCCATCTCTACTAAAAATATAAAAATTAGCCGGGCAGTAGTGGGACATGCCTATAATCCCAGCTACATGGGAGGCTGAGGCAGGAGAATCGCTTGAGCCTGCAAGGCGGAGGTTGTGGCGAGCCAAGATCATGCCACTGCACTCCAGTTTGGGTGACAGAGTGAGACCCTGTCTCGAAAACAAAAGAAAATGCCTAGGAAAGTAATTACAGTTGAACTTTTCCCAATTAAGTATCTGTAGTTTACATTTTGTTGAAATGACATTATCTTGTAGAAGATTGAGCTCGTGTCTTGAAATTACTTTTAGTTGCTTATTTAAAAAAAAATTTTTTTTTTGTTGAGACAGTCTCGCTCTGTTGCCCAGGCTGGAGTACAATGGCGCAATCTCAGCTCGTTACAACCTCCGCCTCCCAGGTTCAAGCAATTCTCTTGCCTCAGCCTCCTGAGTTGCTGGGACTACAGGCGTGTGCCACCACGTCCAGCTAATTTTTGTATTTTTAGTAGAGATGGGGTTTCACCATGCTGGCCAGGCTGGTCTCGAACTCCTGACCTCAGGTGATCCACCCGCCTCGGCCTCCCAAAGTGCCGGGATTACAGGCGTGAGCCACCGCACCTAGCGTATTTTTAAAATGTTTTAAGAATTAAATACTTCTTATGTTCTTGACACAGCTCAAGAGGATATAGAGTTTTTATTCTTACAGCTTTTTCTTTGGTGAGAGAAGCAAGACAAACATGTGAATTAGAAAAGGAGAATCACCTTCCAGATCATAGTGATGGAGGGTAAACTGCCTTCCCCACCTCACAGGGTAGAGCTAGAAACAGTGAACGAGGCAGTCTTTGAGACTGCATACACTTTGGCACACAAGCCCTGCTCTGTCCAGTTTTGGTTGGATGCCATGCAATCCCGTGGTCTGTCTCACAGTGTTTTAGAATGGGAAAGCTCTTTGGTTTCCTCTAGAGCTGGGAGCAGAGTTAATTCTTATGGCTCCAAGAATCGATAGAGGGGAAAGAGAAAGCCAAAGCAGCTGAATGTCAAATATCCAGATCCAGGTGGTGGCCAGTAGCAAACCACAGGATGGGCGAGGCATGCCTCTTTCCACTAAGATCTGTAGTCAGGCCCCCACCATGCATCATTTAGTCCTCTTTCCCACCAAGGCCATGTCTCCCCCCACCTCACCTACCCCTGTACCAGTAGCATGAAGTGTTCACCGTTGCTGCCACCAGCCCTGTGAAACCATGTGTGGTGAAAGGAGTGCCCTGGCATCTGGCATTTGTGATCCCAACAAGCTCTTCCGCTGGCCCACTTTGTGACCTTGGATAATCCCTGTTAAATGTCCAGCTGTAGATTCCACAATTGTAGAATGAGAATAACTCCTCTTCTGTATTGCTGTGAAGACTTGGTGTGGTAACATACGACAGAGCTTCTAGGATGGCACCTGGTAGAGAGGTGCTTGCCATATGTTAGTTCTCTTCCCCCTTTGCAGGAATAGCTGCGCATTTGGGTTGGGTCCCTTTTGCTGCCTCACAGCTTAGCAGACAGTATGGCAGGTCAGCATTCTTCAAGGGAGATCTCATTCCTCACCCTTTTCTATCCATTTTTAACTGTGACCTTATTAACACTACCATTTTGTCTATGAAAAGATGAATATGGCTACTCTCAAGTTCATAATTCTATTTGATAGCATTCATTGACATTAGTGTGTGATTTGCCTGATAATCGATGTCTTGACTAATGGAAATATTTGTAAACGTTCTATCATGAATCCATAACTGACTTATTCTTAATTACAATCAGCTGCTGATTTGGCAACTGTGTATGTAAATTTGCCCAGATTTCAGGGAGCACATTTCACAAATGGAAAGAAGATGGCACAGCAGCTGTCATTTCTCCAGCTTTGCATTAATTTACTGTTTGCCAGCTTGGGTTAATTTCTCGTTTTGGCAAGAGCTAAATATCTCATTCTCTTGTCTCTTCTCGTACCCTTTTTCTTATCTTTTTATGATAATTTCATCCTGCCCAGATAATGTTCATGTTGTTTATTTGGAGAGAGCCAGTGGTTCACTTTTTTTTGCCATGTGTGAATTGAGTTTCATCAGTAAGTATTAAGTAGCATTTTGGCCTCAATAGAAATGATAAAATAAGTCAAGACAGAGTTACAGCCATGAGAAGTGACACTTTAGTTGGAGAGAGAGAACTTAGATTCCTGAAATATTGAAATAATCCTATTGAAAACAACAGGGAGATAAAAATCATCCATTATTAGATGAGAAAATAAAGCTGTGTACCAAAGGAGTAATAGGAATGTACAGGTGAGAGTGTTTCACATTTAACAATTTTTTTTTTTTTTTGAGACAGAGTTTCACTCTGTCACCCAGGCTGGAGTGCAGTGGTGCAGTCTCGGCTCACTGCAACCTCCGCCTCCCAGCTTCAACTGATTCACCTGCCTCAGCCTGCTTAGTAGCTGTGATTACAGGTGCCCACGACCACACCTAGCTAATTTTTATATTTTTAGTGGAGATGGGTTTCACCATGTTGGCAAGCCTGGTCTCAAACTCCTAACCTCAGGTGATCTGCCAGCCTCAGCCTCCCAAAGTGCTGGGATTACAGGCATGAGCCACCGTGCCTGGCAGCAAAATGTATTTTTGCATTTCACTCACAATAGTCCTGAAGTGGGGTTGATCCTTAGAGATACAAGTGGAAAACTGAGGCTCGGGGACATTGAATGGCTTACCTAGGGTCAAAGGGCTTCTAAATGACAAAGTCTGGAGCTCAGGTCTTCAGACTTCAAATGGAAAGCTTTTATCTATATCCTATTCCCTCTCTCTCACTGCAATTAAAATAAGAGAAATGTGTTCGACTAGAGGCCTGGGGAGGTCACATGGAAAAAGAGTGGACCCCACTAAGTCTGATTTGGGTTAATGAAGAATAGGCAAGACTTACCCCAAGCCCAGATAACACACTTTTGACAAGTGTGGCATCTATGGATACAAAAAACCACTAATGGTAATGAAGCATCTTTTAAACTTCTTAAAATTTCAACTCATAATAAGAAATACACTTTACATTTCAGTGTATTGTGCACTAACATACCTTTGTGCCAAAACAAAATTTCATGAACCAGTAATTAAATATATACAGTATACCAATTTATGCTATTTTAGTTGTTTAAAAAATGCCAGCCATGATGCAGCAAGAGGTTGTTGACCATACTTTGAATCTCAAACACCAGACCAGAAGGTTCCAACGGTCCCTAGTAGTAACAGGTAATGCTGAATAGATAATAAGGGGCCAGGCTGGAGGGATGTGAAGTGCCAGGACTGGCACTAGGGTTGAAAGTTCTTTTACCACCAAATACTCAACCTTTCTGAAAGGTTTTCATCCTATCACTTAGGCAGACTTTCATCATGGTAATGTATAGAAGGGAAGATTATAAATGTTAAGTTTGGGTAATATGAGAGTTTAAAAAAATTCCTTTAGCTATGTATTACATTTGCATTGGAAAGGTATTACATATTTTGAAAGTACTATTAATGCTTTTTGATCCTTTGCTGTTTTTAAAGGAAAATGATGCTGCTGCTCTATGAAGAAGGCCTCCGGGTTGTCATACACACCTCCAACCTCATCCATGCTGACTGGCACCAGAAAACTCAAGGGTTCGTAGGGGCCTGCTCACTTCCTGGCAGTGTGTGTGTTGATAAAGGTCAAAAGCCAGAACATTCACTTTATTCTTTTTTCTATTTTTTTTTTAAGTTGTAAAAATAACACACATGGCCTAGAAAAAGAGTTGTATGCAGAAAAAGTTACTGTATTCTTTTACTACCTGCCCCATTCTACCTTCTTGGGGTAACCAGTGTTAACAGGAGCATCATCATCCACAGCTACCTCTGCTGTACATGTAAACATACATTACTATTTACACACAGTAGTCTCTTCCTAGTTTTTAGAGAAGTGGCATCATATACACTCTACAGCTAAGTAGAGGGCACAGCACATGCAGAGATCTGAGGCAGAAAAGGGGTTACAGAATGAAAGATCTGAACCTATTGTTTTCCTAGTAGGATTTACCAGATAGCTTTTGTGATTTCTCCTTACTCATGTACCCACCTGTATTTTTGCTTACCACTTCCCAAACAGGAATCAAAGGAAAAGTTGGGGTAGGGCCTGGTCATGTTAATAGTGTGCTAAATATTTCCCCACTCCCCCAGTTGGTGTATTTTCTTTGAAACAAATTTAAGCTGGTGTCTTTTTAGAGCCTTTAGTGTGTTAATAAAGTTGTGAATCTCCAAGAGAAGAACTGAATACGAAAGCTTTTATGAACTTTTTAAACTACTAACCCTCTGTACTTGGTGCACATATGCTAGATCCAGGTTTTGATCCCCTTTTCAAGAGGGGTTTGCTTTTTAAAAGGGAGCTTTAGGGATTTGCTCAACAAGTTCAGCTATTGTTCTTGATTATGACTAACTTTAATTTTCTTTTGTTTAAGCCATTTTGTACATCTCTGCCTGTGCTAGAGAAGAGCTGGTTAACAAACAGCCTTCTGTGTTGGGAGAAACTCGGACGTTTGTCTAGCACCATTTCCAGGTTCACGTTTTCTCTGTCATCCTCCTCTGCCTCACCCTGCCCCATATCATTGCCTAGCTTGGGCTAGAACTCCTAATTTGGAGTGTATTACTTTCAGCTAAGCTCTGCTGAGCCCAGGTTACATCTTTGTTTTGTTTGTTTTTTTGAGACGGTCTCACTCTGTCACCCAGGTTACAATGCTGTGATGCGATCACGGCTCACTTTAACCTCAACCTCCTGGGCTCAGGTGATCCTCCCACCTCAGCCTTCTGGGTAACTGGGACTGCAGGCACGTACCACCACACTTGGCTAACTGTCTTTATTTTTTGTAGAGACAAGGTTTTGCCTAGTTGCCAAGTGATCCGCCTGCCTCAGCCTCCCAAAGTGCTGAGATTACAGGCATGAACCACCGTGCCTGGCCCCAAGTTACATCTTAGTTTGAGCTGAAATAGCTTTCCAGTTTCCTTCAACAGGTCTTGCTTCAACCTGAGTGCACTGCGCAGGACAAATGTAATCTCCCTCCCTTAAAGCAGTCCTTCAGAGTTTGAAAGGGAGTCTTGTTTCTGAGCCTTACATCTCTTGTTCCCTCCCCACTCCCTTGCCCCACCATAGCATGTGGCTTTGAGACCCCTAGCTGTAATTCCTGGTCGCTTTTCTATAAACATGTTATAATTTTTCAGTATCCCACTGAAAATATGCTTTTCAAAATGAAGTGTGGCTCTGACTGGTCCAGGGTTGAGGGGATAGCTGCTTGGTCTCTAAGTCTCAGCTGTAGCACTTTCTTGATCTACTGAATTTATGGTTAACTATGCCTTTGGTACCCCAAGAGCTTCTAAGCCAGTTCTCCTGAGCTGCCAGATTGGGTTTGGGGATTCATGTGGCCCTATCAAAAGGCAATGAGATTAATGTAGCTTGTTCTCATGAAACAATGTTACTAAAGGGATTTCTCAGGTTAGCTCTCAGCCTCACGTGGTTCCAAGAATCCCACCCTGGGCCTCCAGCTCCTTCTGAAGTTGGAAGCTTAGCTTACAGGCAGTAGTACTGTCTTGGGATTCTCTGGGGTGGTTGCCAGGAGGGAAGAGGCAGGGATAAGGGCTTGGGTGTTTCTTTTATTTAAAAAAAGTATTTTTTAATTTAAAATTTTGGAAAACTTATTGACTAGGTAGGAACGGTTCAAAACTCAGAAAGTACCAAGACTATGAAATCTTCCTCTGGCAGCCATCCTGGTGTGGGATCCTATTATTTCATGCTTGGCCTATATTCTACTCTCTAATGTTTTGCATTTCATGTTATTTGTGGTAATTTTAAAACTTTTGAAAGCAGTTTTTGTATACAATCTCACTTCATAATTGGTCTACTGTGGTTCTGCTAATCCCCTTCAGCTGCCTCATGATCCACCTGTTGATTTCTCACTTTTTAAAATTAGAACAAGAGTTGCATCCAAAGCTCACAGTAAAGAATAAAATAAAATTATTTGGCTCATTATAATAATTTTCTCATTTTGTGATGTGTTAAAAATGCCTCATATCTCAGCATCTTAGTTTAGAAAGTCATTTGTCTTGTTTCTCATCCAGAACTCACCTGTGAGTGAATCTCTGATCCAGGAGGAGCCTCACTCAGCCTGGGAACTTTGAGGTGCTATTGCAAGGGGAGGTCCTCCACGTCTGTCCAGCCCAACCTGGTCATTTTACACACGGAGGCAAAGGCCCAGAGAGATCACAGAGCTTACCCAAAATGGTATAGTCAGCTAGTCGATCTGGGTCCAGAACATGGGCTCCAGCCCTCATCACACCATGCTACCTCCTGTGCTAAGTGTCTCCCCAGGGTGGGAAGCAGGGGTATGAAATGCCCCTTGCTAGAAACTTGCAGAGTTGAGAAGATGTACGGCCGAGAGTCCTTGCAGTTCTGGATGCCTTCTGCCCTGGTGGCCTGCATCTTGCCAGTCTCCTTCAGGGGCTGCCAGGTGAAAGAGAAATTGGGCAGTTTCTCTTTCAGCTTAATAGATAGAACCCAGGGTGGGGAAAAGGAGAGTAGCCACAGAAGGGGAAAAAAGTAACACCTGATACTTTTGACTGCTCCTGTAAGTCATTGCTTTGCAACAGCCCAGTGAGGCAGCCTTGTTAACCCCACTTTTTTGCATTTGAAGAAACTGAAGCACAAGAGGTTTGAAGCCATTTTAGTAATCTACTGTGGAGCAGTTTATAGAAGGATTGGGATTAGATATGATTGTTTTCTATTTATGGATATAATGTAGAAGTTTTGGCAAAGAGCATTGTTTTCCTCTAGGGAAAAAGAATTAATGAAATGAAAGATGTCTGTAATGCTTCTTCAGTGAATTAAGTGTTGAAAGTTTGAGGTTATTGTAATGTCACTGAATGTGATATATACTTAATCCAGGCACCAGAAAGTATAAGACATAAAAATATGCTGCTATAGGACCTACGTTATGAAAATGGGTTTGTTAATTGAAAATAGATTTTTCACATGCACTTTTGGTATAGATAACACAATTCTTATTTCACATTTGGCTGAAGAGCTGCATTGATGCAGACAAGGGCAAATTCTTGCTTGGGATTACCACTAGTAGCATGGATTTGCTTTAACCGTTAAGAGTAGAATTCTTAACTCTTGTCATCAAGTCTTAGAAAGCAATATATAGGTGCAGAGGTAAGAGGAGCAATAAGGAAGGTTTGGCAAGTGAGAGGGAGCATGGAGGGATGTGGGTTGGAAGAGGTGGGCAGAGCCCAGGTCTTACTGAATCTTAAATTCATGGCAAGACATTCAGGAATAATTCTGAATGTGATGAGAAACCATTGGAGTGGTGTTCTCAGATTTATGTTTCATGTTTCCTAAGATTACTTACCATGTGGAGATACCGAGAATTCACCTCTTTCTTAGGATGAAGGCATAATCGATACAGAGATCATTATGATCAGTTGTGTGCCTGACTGTTAAAGGTTATTTTTTTAATTCCAGAATATGGTTGAGCCCCTTATACCCACGAATTGCTGATGGAACCCACAAATCTGGAGAGTCGCCAACACATTTTAAAGCTGATCTCATCAGTTACTTGATGGCTTATAATGCCCCTTCTCTCAAGGAGTGGATAGATGTCATTCACAAGCACGATCTCTCTGAAACAAAGTATGTGTCAGCTTATCAATTTGGGGTGCTTATGATAGGCTTATACCTTGGGAGCCTCATGAGGTCTGGCATGCAGGGGCCTGGAAAGAGGTGGGGTGAAATCTAGCCAAGCTTCAGGATGTGATGAGGGGATGAGCAGATTCTATCACATCTGTATCTTGTGGTTCTCAGGCATTAAAGTGACAGCCAGTGAATCCTCATGTTTACCTTAGCCTCCCACTGGGTTACTCTCACAATTATTGAGTTCTTTGTCTGGTACTTTACATCTTGTAGGCATTCCATCATTAGTTGATTTGCTTGAAAATGAATTTGAGAGTCAATTCAAGAAAATGGATTGGCTCTTAGATCATTTCTTGATTATATTAGTTTTCATGTGTATTTTGTCATTTTTTTTGGTGCCCAAAGCACATCACTATATTTTATAACTTGTGTTTTTATGTCTTTTTAGTGTTTATCTTATTGGTTCAACCCCAGGACGCTTTCAAGGAAGTCAAAAAGATAATTGGGGACATTTTAGACTTAAGAAGGTAACAGAACTTTTACTATTTTAACATTTTTAAAAAATTTAATGTATATTCTCTCTTTTAAAATAATTATATATTTTGATGCAGCTTCACAATATTTCTGCACAATTCTGGGCAAATAGATACTTGATAAATTGATAATTATAATTCTTAGTAATTACTGCTTTTTAATGTGTTTTGCCTCTTTTATAGCTGTAGGCTGTTAATGGCATAAATATATAGACCTTTTCTAGTTTTTATATTGTAATAAAGATAGAGGCTTCCTATTCATACACATACTGTAGCTTTGATTATAGCTTTTGATTGTTCAGCATATCAAGTTTTAAGATATAAATTCAACAAACAGAAAATGTTGAGTAAAGACTACAACTGAGCTATAATATATTTTGATTATTAAACCAGTGCCCTTAAGAAAACAAATTCAAAAATAATACTTGCTGCTGATATGAAAATGCACGAAGAAAGGTCATAAAATAAGTTGAAGATTAAAGTTTTTTTCATCTCTTTTTAGGTGGTTTACTGACCTTAATAAATTCCCTGGCCAGGTGTGGTGGCTCACGCCTGTAATCCCAGCATTTTGGGAGGCTGAGAGGGGCGGATCACAAGGTTAGGAGTTCAAGACCAGCCTGGCCAACGTGGTGAAACCCTGTCTCTACTAAAAATACAAAAATTAGCCGGGCATGATGGCAGGCACCTGTAATCCCAGCTACTCGGGAGGCTGAGGCAGGAGAATCGCTTGAACCCGGGAGGCGGAGATTGCAGTGAGCTGAGACCACACCATTGCACTCCAACCTGGGCAACAGAGCGAGACTCCGTCTCAAAAAAATAAATAAATTCCCTAAAGTGGCTTTCTTAAAAGCCTTAACCTCTTATTCCATAAACTATTTAAAGTCTAAGAATTTTCCCTTGGTTAATGAAACTTTTTATTTTAATTTCCTTTTATGAAATGAGACCACAGCTTAAAGCAGGCAAGATCTTGAAGACATCTTTATGTCTTGGCCTAGAGAGGAAGTTCAGCACATTGGCCTGTGCCCAGTCTTGGAGGCAGATATCCATAGCTGGGTTCAAACCCTGCTTTGTTATCTACAAGCCGTGTGACCTCGACTTGTTCCTTAACATACATCGGTTGTCATCTATAAAGTGGACATAATAATAGTACTTCCCTCCCGTGATTGTGAGGATTAAATGAAATGATGAATGTAAAATAGTACAGGGCACACAGTAAGTCTTCAGTGCACATACACAGTTGTTTGTGGACAAATGTCTAATGGTTTAGATAGGCTAGATAATAGCACGTATTATGTGTGATCACCATCTGATACTGAAAGTTCAACTGTATGTTAAGAGTTTTCAAACCACTTTTTACACACAGTTGCTCATGTTGCACCACAGCTTTCTTCCAGGAAGGCCGGCCGGTGATTAGGTGCCTGTTTCCACTGAAGTGTAAATCTAAGCCAGAGGCTTGTCCAGGATAGGGTGGCCCTTCAGGGGCTGAGCACTGCAGTAGAAACTGGGTGTTGTAAGTTGTCGGTTCAGCTCTGTTTCCTACACCATGCTGTACCCAAGGTGGACATGGAAACTTTGGGCTTTTTGGGAAGTGTATGTGTAAGTATTAATGCCTAACCTGTGTTAAGGAAAATAATACATATTAAATTAAACAAAACGTCAGTCAGATGAGCTACAGTTTATTTTTCTGCTCTCTCCAGCCCTCTAGGTAGGCATTCAGTACATATTTAAGTGGATACAGTTTCCAAATGTTTTCTTAATTGTTTCTGCAGCTTTGCATAATTATCAAAGCAGGAAATGCAGATCAGTCTTCTGCAGTGTTTTAGCTGGTATGTGTATGTAAATATTCTCTTTTATGTTTAGACCATCACAGCTGCCTGGAGCTCAAGTGTTAAACTATGACTGTTAAGCCTCTTTCAAATGATAGGAGTCAAAATATGTAATCCTTCTAGGTATTGTTTAAGTGTTGGTAGCAAAAAACTCACTTTGTTTCCTCTGCTCTCACACTACAACAGTCAACACAGAAAACTGTGACCAAATATGTGTGGGGTTTTCCTCATACACTAAGCAGGGGACACCAGCTGGGTGTCCTCTAATTCACTTCAGTTCTTATGCTGTCTTCCTGGAGATGTATAAAGAAAGTGACTTTAAAGAAAGTGATGATATAAAGAAAGTGATGGTATAAAAAAAGTTATTTTTTATTCCAAAGCTGGCTTAGAGGAATAAGTACAGGCTTCCTGTCTTAAGGATACTGCTTTGCTCTTGGAGCAGAAAGTGGACACTTTTAAAAGGGGCCTAGCATGAATGGCACGCAGAGGAGGAAGCAAGCAGGTGGATACTTCCTTACTTTCTGCCTTCTCTACCAGGCAGTCCATTTGGTCTCTTCCTGGGCAGAACTAGGTTGTAAAGATGGCTGAAACTCTCCAGGTGGGAGAGTTTCTTAGTGGGCATACTTTGGGTTGTAAATTTACTGCTGTCCCTCGAGGCAGTCCCCTGGTGGGAGAAAGTTCTGCTCTGGAGCTTCTAAGCACATAGATGAACTTGCCCTGTAGGGAGTGTCTAGTAAAGGAAAGGTAAAAGGTTATATTGTATTTCTAAAGGTCTAAGTAGGAAGTGGGGAAGGAGTTGGGGAATAGTAGGGAAAAAATAATTGAAAAAATACATTTTTTTTAAAGAAATATGGGGGTAGCCTCAGATCCCATAGATTGAGGGCTCCATCCCACAAGACTGCCCCTCTCCCTCAGACACCAGTTGCAAGTCTGGGCCTCCAGAACTTCTGACTGACCAGCTTCAAGTTGAGGTTCCCATGACCCTCTCTTTGGGCTTCATTTGCTAGAGCAGCTCGCTGAACTCAGGGAAACACTTAACATTTACTGCTTTATTATAAAGGATACAGATGAAGAGATGCATAGAGCAAGGTATAGGGGAAGGGGCACAGAGCTTTCATGCCCTCTCTGGATGCACCACCACTGTCCAGCAGCCCGCAGGTGTTCAGCTGTCGGAAAGCTCCCTAAACCCTGTCCTTTTGGGTTTTTAATGGAGGCTTCATTACATAGGCATGGTTGATTACATCACTGGCCATTGCTGATCAGCTCAACCTTTAGCCCCTCCTATCCCTGGAGGATGGGGGGTTGTGCCAAAAGTCCCAATCTTCTAATCATGCCTTGGTCTTTATCGTGACCAGCCCCCATCCTGAAGTTGCCTAGGGTCTGCCAGCCATCAGTCTCATTAACATACAGAAAGACTTCACATTGGAGATCCCAAGGATTTTAGTAGTTGCATGCCAGGAAACAGGGATGAAGACCAAATACATATTTCATAGCATCAAAGCTGCATTAAACACTTGTGATTTCAAGTAAAAAAAATCTAATTTCATATGACAAGTTGGTGGTTTATCTGAAATTTCTTCTGAAATGGGCCTTTTTAAACCTGTTTTTGCTTTTAGTACAAATCAAATAATTTTGGAAAGGAGAACTTCTGTCCATCTACTCCATTAAAAATATGTTTTTAGTATTTAAAAAAAATTTCCCAAAGAAGAAGTATGTATGTGTGGGTATGAAATTGATCACTAGTATTTTCAGCTTTTCTTGTTAATTAGGCTTTCCAAGAGCAGAAAACTGTTTTCAAATATTGCAGCATTTCTGTTAAGATTATTTGAGTCACTTTAACATTCACTTTTATTCTTTCCCAGCTTCTGAAAGACCATGCCTCATCCATGCCTAACGCAGAGTCCTGGCCTGTCGTAGGTCAGTTTTCAAGCGTTGGCTCCTTGGGAGCCGATGAATCAAAGTGGTTATGTTCTGAGTTTAAAGAGAGCATGCTGACACTGGGGAAGGAAAGCAAGACTCCAGGAAAAAGCTCTGTTCCTCTTTACTTGGTGAGTTCTCGTCCTCATTGAGGTAGTTTACTTTTATTCTCTACACAGGAGAAGAATTGAAAATTGGTCCTCTTTGTAATGGAGAGATGTTTTATTCTGTGATTCTTTTTTTTTTTTTGGCGTGGCGGGGGCGGGGTGCGGAAAGAGCAGTACATTAGCATCGTCATTTGTAATCAAGTTGCCTTTGCCTTAATATCCAGTGCTAAGAGCTTGCCGATTCGTTCAGGAGCTCCATTGCAGACACAGACTGGCCTGTGATTTTTCTATCCTTTCTTTCAGGTTGTTGAACCAAGGTAGAAAATATTTGATGTAGCACAGCCAGCAGAATTATGGGCATTTTAATTATTTAGAGAACTGTGAATTAATAATTAATTTTCCATTCAATGTTAACTTGAATTTCAAAGGAAAAAATACTCCAATTGAAGTATAATTTTACATCAAATATGGTTCCTGTTGTTTAATTACTAGTTCATTTTTTTCATAAGATGAGAACTTTTAAAAATTTAAAGCATATTTTCTAATTTAAAAGTATTTTTAACAGATTTTCATTTCCTTAAAAGCTGATTATCATTCCTTTTCTTCAACATGGTACATTCCGAGTTTTATTGTTTTCCTCTTATTTTTAGATCTATCCTTCTGTGGAAAATGTGCGGACCAGTTTAGAAGGATATCCTGGTAATTCTTGGGGAGACTGTCTTGATTGTGTTTTATGTATATTTCATGAATGTCCTGGTAAAGTTTTACTACTATTGCGTAGAAATTTGGAGATGGTTTTCACTTAACTATATAAGGATCATGAAAATAGGCAATATGAAGCTCTGCATTCCGCAGATGATACCCTTCAGTTTGGGTGTGTTATTAATCCTTACAGAAACCCTCTGCACAATAGTTTTCATTTTTACCAGTAAGGTAACCAGCAGGTTGGTTGTCCAGACAAGATAGCCAAATAAAATCAGCTTCCCCTTACTCTTCAATGCGTTTTCAGAGCTTATCCAACATACCTTCCTCTCATCTCTGCATATCCTCCCTTCCTGTGTTTGAGGTACCATGTGGTCCTTTTAAATGCCTGCTATAGATAACATTTAAGGTCCGGAATTTTTAAAATTTTGCCTTTGGTATAACTTTGTTGATATGTCTATTCTGTCAAGGGTGTCATCTGCAAATGCCTAAGATTTTTTGTAGGCATCTGTCAACGCTGTCCCTTTCCCTTATACTCATACCAGGCACTAAACCTTTATTTAGAATTCAGCAGCCCCGCTAGTTAGTGTAATCAGGAGATGTTAACTGAAAACCCACATAGTGGTTGTCTCTGGAAAAAGCAAAGTCTAATTGGCATTTGTTGATGGCTGAAAGCAGAATGCACTGAATTAAACTAATTTAGTCCATTTATTGCTTATCAGGCTCAATAAGAAAAATCTGCCAGGAAAATTTCGCTAGCGTTTGGAGTGTATTAGCCCTTTTTTTTTTTTTTTTTTTTTTTAATGGCAAAACCAAAATTACTTCACCGAGACCCAGGGATACAGTGGTGGTTTTTCTTTGGTACTCTTTTTGTGCCTCTAATAGGCTAGATTCATTCAAAGTGTACTTTTAATGGGGGAACAACATGGTATTTTTAACAAAGTTGTTTTATAACTGGCTTTGAAACTGAATGTTTTTAGTTATTTGAAGTTGAAGACAGGACATGCCCTATTTGATATGTCAGAGATGTTTGGATATAGATCTCTTTGGGTGTAGATCAGTGTGGAGAAGTTCCAGCATGTGTGTGGAAAGTCACTGATAATCCACTGTGGAGTTTTCTTCATTTTAAAAATGAGCAAGCATTGACTTCTAATTGTATTTCCACTTGGAACTTTCTTTATTCTCTTTGCAAGAATAAGGCTTTTAGAATTCCTTTTTTCAAACTGAACTGTTTACTGAACGTTTTGTTTTTTAGCCATTCTTTTCTGTTTGTCAGAATCTGCTCAGCCAGTACAAAGTCTGTTTGGAAATAGTGTGTAAAGGTGAAGTAGAAGGGGCACTGACATCTTGTCCTAGATTTTCCTCCCCAAGTCCCACGGTCTTGGGCAAAACAGAGGCTGTCCAGCTGTGTCTTATTTGCATAAGGAGGGTAGGATGGGCCAGGATTCTAACACTTCAGATCTGTGCAGGTATAGATGTTAAATTATCATCACCAAGTAATTCAATTATAATTTTTTGTTTTCAAAGTGTACTTTTAATGGGGAACAACGTGGTATTTTTAACAAAGCTGTTTTATAACTGGCTTTGAAACTGAGTGGTTTTAGTTATTTGCAGTTGAAGCTTTTGCAGGAAAAAGCTCTATTCTGCTTTACTTGGTGCGTTCTCGTCCTCAATGAGGTAATTTACTTTTATTCTCGACACAGAAGAATTGTAAATAGTCCTTACATTCCTGATGGGAGAAATCTTTTTAATGTGTTCATAATTCTTGCTCTGAATGTTGAATGGGTTTCTAAAAAGTGATTAGCGAGTTGTCATTAGTTTTCAGTATGTTTGTGTTACATGAGCCTTATTTAAAGGCATCCCATGACTATACTTCGTAAAGTATATGATCATCACTTACTTTTGCTTATAAGTCTGGATGTTTATAAGATTTGCATAAAGTTAATACTGAAGGAAGGAAACCTCGTTAAGAGAACATATCTAGTGCAACTATAGACATTTTCTTTCAAATAACTATTCTATAAGATGAAGTAATAGAAGTAGTTTTTTTCCTGTTACCTTCTTGCTGTTTATTGTAGATTTTCCTCTTAATGAGGGATCCTCAAATTATATTTCATAATTTTTATTGTTTTATTTTTCTTTTAAAAGCTGGGGGCTCTCTTCCCTATAGCATCCAGACAGCTGAAAAACAGAATTGGCTGCATTCCTATTTTCAGTAAGTAATTGGTTTAGACTGCTGCTATTGCTTCTTTAGGAATTAGAGTGTTATTTATGTCACTGGTTTGTTTTTTTTTTTAAAAGGAACTTTATGTAATATAGCTATATTCTTTCATCTACATATGTTAGTGATAGAAATAATTTAAAACAAGGTTTTGAATTTTTTTTGGAATAGGTTTTTAATACCAAAGAGGAAAATTTATTGCTGTGAGGTTTCTATTTAAATATTGGCATGCCAAGAAAGACAAATAGAAGATCATGTTGGGTAGTTTAGAATTTACATAAGCAGCATTTTAGTTCATTTTTCCAAAATATAAAGTATCATTATTCTGTCTGTACCGTCACACATGCAGCTGCAAGCTTGTTGAGGGCAGATTCTTTGCTGCCGTTTCCTGAGGATACAGGACAGTATCTGGCGTGTTGTCAGAGTTCAGTAAATGCTGAGTGGACAAGTGAAGGGAATGTCCTTCACCCTCCTCCAGCCACAGCAGTTGCACAGCCTGCATATGCAAGGCCAGTCTGTTTCATGCTTGTCTCAACAGGTGTTTGCTGTGCTGGTTAGCCAGAAATGAAAGCAGAATTACTTTGAATTATAGCTTTCAACTGTAAGTCAGTGTGTAATCCTAGAGCTTTTCTTTAGTGCTTTCTTGAGAGGTTTTTCCTTACAGAGGACATTTCTTTAAATTGAACTCATTTAAATATTATATTATTAAATTCACTTGAATGAAGACAGTGATGGTACCTACCTAAACCTGATTCTGTTTTCACAGACCATCTGTTAATCTGGAGGGACCATCCTCTTATATTCATAAGTAAAGATTGTTGCTTCATGATATAGGTTCCCATAGAACCATAGTCTGCAATATTGGAAACTTAGAAACCAAACTCAGATTTGTGAATGTCAGCATTTGACTAAAGTATTTCTGCCCTCGCTTTTCAACATTCATTTTTTTCATATACTGTTTGTATTTTGCCTTTTTTGTATTTTGTTTCATTCAACAAGCTTTTGCTGAGCCTCTACTCATAACACACCGTGGAAGCATGATTCTTCCCTTTAAGGAGCTCACAGTTCAGGCAGGAGACATATACACACATGCTGTTAAAAGCACAACAGAAATAATATGTATGCATGTATGTATGTTCATGGCAAAAATGGAAAGGCTATATGCTGAAAGGTTGCAGTGCTTCTTGTGAAAAGTGGGAAGTTTATAATTCTAAAATGGGCATGCGTTACTTGAATGGAGTTTCATAAAATCTCACAGGTCACAGAGTCGTGTAGCCACTGTTGATTTTTAGATAATAGGCTCTTTGTTTTCATGCAGTTTCCTAATATTAGGATTATGATCAATTTTATTTCATAATTAGTAACTTTTGTCTTTTCTGTCACTAGCAAATGGTCAGCTGAGACTTCTGGCCGCAGCAATGCCATGCCACATATTAAGACATATATGAGGCCTTCTCCAGACTTCAGTAAAATTGCTTGGTTCCTTGTCACAAGGTAAATAGTCCTTACATTCCTGATGGGAGAAATCTTTTTAATGTGTTCATAATTCTTGCTCTGAATGTTGAATGGGTTTCTAAAAAGTGATTAGTGAGTTGTCATTAGTTTTCAGTATGTTTGTGTTACATGAGCCTTATTTAAAGGCATCCCATGACTAATCCCTTTGTAAAGTATATGATCATCACCTACTTTTGCTTATAAGTCTAGATGTTTATCAGATTTGCATAAAGTTAACATTTACTTCTGTTATTTAATACCTCAATAGGGGTTATGCAAATTGACATTTGGGGTAAGTACAGAAGAATAATGAAATGTTAAAATTAATATTTTTTTCTTAATTAGTTTCTCCTTAGGTAATTGAAATCTGAAGCAATCAAATCTCTTATGTGTCCTTTTCTAAAACATCTTTAAGGTGTAATTCACGTACCATAAAATCTGCCCATTAAGTCTCTACTGTTTAATGGTTTAGGATAGTCACAGAATTATGTAACCATTACCATAATCTAAATTTAGAATATTTTCATCACCCTATAAGAAACCACCTACCTGTTGGCATTTTTGTGTCTATTTTTATAGGAAGATAAATTGCTATGCCCTTTGAAAACTAGAACTTTAGTTCCTGACTCCCAGGCTGAACCCAACGATTAGGCATCTCTTTATGATTCAGTAACATAATTAATGTCAATAGCAACTAATTAAAGTATCACAGAGTAGAATTATTTCTTTAAGAGAGGAACAGCACTCATGAACAAACTTTTAAACAAAAGAGCCACTTACATCTTCTTGGCGAGAGAGAAAGATTTATTTTAAGGAATTGGCTCATGCAATTGTAGGGGCTGGCAAGTCCAAAATCCATAGGGCAAACCAGCAGCTTGGAGATTTAGTAAGACTTGATGTTGCAATCTTGAGTCTCTTTCTACTTTATTGGAAAAGTTTAATTTAATGTCTGTTTGGGTGTTGTTTTCCCTCAAAGTGTAATAAAAAGGTGATGTACTTCACAGAAATTACGTATTATTGATTCTGTTTCAAGGGCATTAAGGGAAGTGGAGATTAAAGTAACCCTGTGAGTAATCTTTTTCTAAAGGCAAAGTTTTTGTAGTTCAGTTCAATGGCAGTGTGTGCTTGACTGTGGGAACACAAAGAGCCAGGAAGCACGAGCCCTGCCATGCATGTGATGTTGTATCCTAGTTGTTTACCTGTGTGAGGACCATAGTGGAAGCACTGTTAGAAATGTATTGCCTTGCTGGGGCAGAGGCAGGATCAAATGAGAGATCAGCTAAACTAAGTAAAGAGGTGCTATTGTAAGTAGGCCTAGAAGTAAGCCTGAGAGAAAACCCAGACGGATTAGAAGGAACTAGTGAGGACAAAGGCCATGGAGGTGGGAAAATACACAGGATTTTCAGGGAAAATCTGAGTGATTCCATGAGGCTATGTAAAAGGAAACACAGGTTCAGATACCTTTGGCATGTATTTTCTAAAGTTAAGTCAAAAAACATCCACTGTCAGTTTACTCATTTAATATTTGTCAGTTTTGTACTGTGAATATCTGCTTTAATGTCGAATGGCTGTTACTAAATTAAGCAAATTATAGTTATTTGAAGTTTATTGTAAGAATTTGAAATTTGTCATTATGGCTTTGTAGCTTCTAGTTTTATTCTGTAATAACTGGACTGAAAGCTGTATCTACTTGCCTAAATGTTTAAAGATGAATAGCAACAACATTCATTCAGTAATTTCAATATGCCAGACTGTTCTGGGTGAGCAATCATGTGTATTTACTTATTTAATTCTCACAACAGCTGCATGAGGACCAGGAGGCACAGAGTGATTAATAAGCTGCCTACTATCATGCAGTAATAAGTGATGGAACCCAGATAGGAGCACACCTCTCCTCTACTGTCTGATGCCCCCTCTTAATCAACATAGAGTTTTAGTGTGCCTGTTTTCTACAAAGACTAGTTAATTCCAAAGAAATTGTGTCAGGCTTTACTTTGATTGCTGTATAAAAGAGGAAAAGGACATTGAGCATTCCAATATGATTAAAGGATTTCTAAGAAACATAACTTAAATAACAACTTAGATACATAGAACCCACTCTCTCAGCCCTTCCATAATAAAGGAAAGTATAGTTTCCAAATATAAATGGCATCTACCAGTAAGGAGCTCCCTTGATTAGGTTTGGACATTTTGTTTTGTCTGTCACTTTTTCTGAACCTGTCAGAAAGAATGTTCCCAAACCGAACTCATGTAGATGGAGATTTCTTTTCCCAGAATTCTTCTTTGCCCTTGTGGCACCTGTCTCTTATTACCAAGCTTAAAGCCTGAATGTCTCTTTCACTATTCCCTCAAATGTTTGGCAAACATTTGCTGAGGTCCTCCTGTGGATGCCAGGCACTCAGGATAAAACAGAAGATTTAGATAGTGTCTTTTAGATGCTCACAGTCTCTGATGGAGGAGCCAGACACAGAAATAATTACAATAGGAAGAGACCAATTATGTGCTTGAGGTGGGCACATGGATGCTTTGGAAATAGCTGTCAAAGCCTATTTATCTTTGAAATGTTTCAAAAGTTTCCTCTTCCAGTCCTTGCAATTACCAGGTCAGAAACTTATCCTCTGGACTTCTGAAAGGGTTTCCTATCTGTTGTGTCATCACGTGGATGTTCTTCATAAGCCACTCATCCTGGTTGCCCATGCCCCTTCACCTTTCTGAAACATAGAGTTTCCTCATTGTTCCATGTTCAGAATTCCCCACGTCCTGTAGGCTAAAGTACAGATTCCTCAGTTTGGAAGTCATGCCCCAGCCACACCATTTTCACCATTCTTACCCATTAATCCCCAAGAGGAGCCTTGAGAAGAAGCCAGGCTAGCCTCCTTTGCCCCTGAAGTCATCCAGCCAACAGCCCATGTAGTTTCTTCTCCTGATCCTTTCATCCCTTTTCTCTCTTTCTTCAGTTGCTGTTCATCTTTTAAGAGTTGTGTTCAGGTCCCATCTCCGCCTGGAGCCTCTTTCAGCCTCTGCTGGTCCCTCCCTGTCCAGATCCTTAGATCCGTGTGCCACCAGTGGAGCTCACAGCTCCTACCTCACTATTTTGTCTCTCAAGCATGAGCTTTAACATTGTCAGACAGTACTAGATGAGATGGTCATGTCTACTATTGAACAAGTCTTGCCTTGGACAAGTTTCTTAACCTCTCTGAGCCTCAGACTTCTCAACTGCACAGCAACTATGAAGGTTTAAGGTGCCAACTATGGTGACCTGTGGGAGTAAGAAGAAAGGGGCAGGGGAGAGAATTGACCTGCATTAAGTAGCCACCATGTGGCAGACACTTCTGGTGCTTTACCTACATAGTAGTGTCTTTCAGTCCCCACAAGAGCTGTGAGGTGGCGTTATCCCCTCCCTCCACTCAATGAGGAATAAGGCGGCAGAGTTGAGGCAGTTCTACCCATTACTCAGCAAATATGTATTGCCCGCTGTGGCAAGAATAGAGTAATTAAGATGAGGTTCTCACAGAATTTACATTGGCATGAAAGAGATTTACCAAAGAATTCATTGTATACATATTAGTTAATTGCACTTGTAATGCTTTTTGACTATTCTACATAGGTGGGTTTTTAGCCAAAACATCACTTCTGGAGCCTGGTGGCTTCCATAATGCCCTAGATTCCTGCATTGTCAGCGTTCTTTCCCTATTCACTGTGGTTGCTTGTGTAATTATCTGGCTTCCCCTCTAGACTCTGTGAGGCCAAGTCCATGCCTGTCTTGTTCAGCATACCCTGGTGACTGGCCAGGTGCCTGACATGTGGAGGCTGATGAAGCCTAGGATTGAAGTGGTAACCATGAAAGCACTGCCTAGACTGCATAATGGAACATGGGAGGGCCCTCAAAGGTGATTCCTGAGTTTGGGGTATGTAGATGGGGATTGTCACTGATATCAGTATAGAAGTCAGGGAATGGAACTGGCCTACCACAGTGGGATGATGGTGAATTTGATTGAAGATTGATTTATCATGGTGGAGACTTCAGGTGGAATTGTTTGTTGGAGATGAACTTAAAAGTTTGGTGTACATATAGTATGTTTTGGAGTTTTGGTTAGTACTGATTGTTAACACCGTAATCCTTTGCGACTTCCAGAGGAGAATATAGCGGATCAACGCCTGGGCATTGAGGAACATACAAGAAATACATATCAGGTGGGCTTTTCATGCCTACCAGGTGTTCCATTGCCAAACAAATGAATTGGATTCAAGCCATCCCTCCTGGGTTGAAGAGCAACTGGTCACACATTCTCCATTACATAATTTTTCTTCTACCTAAGAAAAATGTTTTATATATATATTCTATTTTGGGTATCAGATTTAACCATTTATCCAGCACATAACTACTGAGCACCTACTATGCACCACACACTTTTCTAGGTGCTAAGAATGCAATAAACAATAAAACATCTTGACTTTTATGTTCTGGTGCTGGGAATTACACAAAAAGCAAAGAAGTGTGTTTATGTATGCAAATGGTGGTAAGTGCTATAGAGAAAAAATAGAATGATAATTTAGGTGCACAATCCTTTATTCTAAATTCTTGGTACCAGATGTAGTTCAGTATTTGGATTTTAGAAAGATAATATGGTACCTATACTGTCTGTTAATATCCCTAGTGGTATCTGGACCAACACTTCATAATACAACATTTTGGAAGCAAAGATCACAGGTAGCCCCATGTCATCTTAGTTCAACTTTTGTTGCCCAATGAGTTAAGATCAAGTTTTGCTATCAAATGAAATGAGTTAAAAGCTTTATTTCAAATTTGGTTTAGGTTATTGTTTTTAAATTTTCAGAGCTAACATGTAGTTCTTAACCAGCAGTTCCAGGCACAGTTCCAAGCACATTATATATATATATATATATATATATATATATATATATATATATATATATATGTATGTATGTATGTATGTATATGTATATGTATATATATGTATATATTAATTCATGTAATTCTTATAGCCGTTCTACAGTGTATCCATTAATCCCCTTTTCAGATGGAAGAACTGAAGCACAGAGGTTAAACAATGTGCCCAAGAATCCAGAGTCCCCACCCTCAAACACTGTCCTGTAGGGTGTGAGTGCTCGGGTTGGGGAGGGAGGCTGCTCCTTAAGGAAGAAGGTCAGGGAAGGCCTTCTGACGTGGTGACATTCATGCAGAGACCTGAAAGAAGTAGGGGAAGAGCCATGTGGATGGGTTGCTGAGGGACGCGGGGTGGGGAGTGGGAATATGCTTACTGTGTTTGATTAACAGCAAAGTGAGTGTTACTGGAGTCAATAGGATGGGAGGGTAGGTGAGTTCAGAGCAGTAGTGGGTGGCCAGACTTTGCCTTTTTACCTGCTTTCAGATATTACCGTTTCTTTGATGTCTCCGGGGTTGCCTGAGGCCTTATTAGTCGTTGGTCTATGGAAAGCAGTTCAATGAATGTTATAATTTGAATTGATTGGAATAATTGAGTGCTTTTCTAAATGCTTGTTCCATGAGATTTTCTAGAATAAGATGTGGTTTTAAATAGTCGACTTCAGCTTATACTCAAATAGTGTGTCTCTCAACAGGGCACTATTGTTATTTTGGTCAAGATAATTTTTTGTTATACAAGATTGTCCCATGCATTATAAGTTATTTAATAACCTGGCCATCACATATTAACTGCCAAGTCCTAGTGAAAGCTGAAAAAAATGCCTTATACATTTCTAAATATTCCCTAGATTTTATGCTCTGGTGGACAATATCATCATCCTTGAGAATAAATTCGTTATGAACAACTGATATATCCTTTCATTTAATATATTTACTTGCTTTAGAATAGTGAGGCAGGATTGTAGAGAGCACTGTGGATTCTAGTCCAAATGAAGTGCTCATGCCCAGCAAATCTAATGCTCTGTCAGCAAAGTAGCAGACATACTAGTTTTAAGAATTGGATTTTAGCCAAAGGTAAATACATCAAAAGCTACGTAAATTTAACTTTTGATATTTTTCTACTTTATTATTACTGATCCGTATTAATGTTTGGGTTTGGAATGAATAACCCACTCCTCTTTATTAAGTACAATAAAATTAAAACAAATTCCCCAGAAAAAAATTATAGGAGTAATAAGCACAGAGAATTATAGGCAATATGAATTTTGACTTTTAACATGATAGACTTTAAAAAATAATCTAGAGCTGCATATCCAAAAAAGTATTATGATCACCCTTTGAAAGTAGGTGCTTTGGCCAAAAACATTGCCATTGCTCAAGTTTTCTTTCCACTCTTCCAAGTTCTTTCAAAATAAGTTGACATGACACATTAACAAATAAGTATTGTTTCTTAATAGACATTCTTTGTTTCCAGCCTTGCATTAGTTTTCTGTTGCTATGTAATATATGATCACAAACTATAAGGGGGCTTAAAACAATACAAATTTACTATCTCATGGTTCCCGTGGGTCAGGAGTCTGGGCGTGGATTAGCTGAGCCCTCTGCTCAGTGTCTCACCAGGCTAAAATCAAGGCGTCAACCCAGCTGTGCTCTCATCTGAAGCTTGGGAGTCCTCTTTCAAGCTCACGGTTGCTTGTGGCTGTAAGCCTGACGTTCCTGCTTTCTTGTTGGCTGTCAGCCCGGCGTTCTCGGCTCCTAGGTGCTGCCCGTGGTGGTCTGCTGCATTCCTCATGGGATGCTTCTTGGAGACCAGCAGGAGGATCTATCTCAGGAAGGACCCAACTCAGGCCCACCCAGGATTGTTTCCCTTTTGAGTAACTTAATTAATTGATAACCAAATTATGCAAGTGAAACTCTATCATATTCACAATTCTGGCTTATCCTCAAGGAAAGGGGATATACAGGCATGTGCACCAGGGGCCATCTTTCGATTCTGCTTTCCACAGACTTCACTGATGGAGTTCCGCTCTTATTGCCCAGGCTGAAGTGCAATGTCACGATCTCGGCTCACTGCAACCTCTGCCTCCTGGGTTCAAGCAATTCTCCTGCCTCAGCCTCCTGAGTAGCTGGGATTACAGGCATGCGCCACCAGACCACGGCTAATTTTGTATTTTTAGTAGAGATGGAGTTTCTCCATGTTGGTCAGGCTGGTCTTGAACTCCCGACCTCAGATGATCCGCCCACCTCGGCCCCCCAAAGTGCTGGGATTATAGGCATGAACTACTGCACCTGGCCCACTGATATTTCTTTCCTGGTTCGATTTACCCATCTTATTCTCCAATTTTGGCTGGAATTAATTTTTTACTGTTTCCAAAATTGGGGTTTGTTTTTTGTAGTTAAGCAAAAGTACCCTTGTACACACTCAAAAGACTGAACCTCTGGCTCCAAAGCTCTTTGAGAAGTTCTGTACTTTCTTGGAGCCAAAAGAGGCAGCTGTACTGGAGTAAGGGACCAACCCCGCAGCATGACTGCTTTGGAGAACCATATTTACTTGGGTATGTAGAGTTGTTAAAAATAATAGTCCTATAAAAGATTCATAGAATCACAAAAGATCTGATTTCCTAATCTTAAAAAATCTCATCCCCTTAGGAAATGTATTTCGTATGGTTCCTATTGGGTCTACGTAATATCTTATTGCCTGTTATGTCTCTACCCATCATAAGTAGAGGATGTTGACTTCCTGATCATTTGGACTTTGTTTCATCCAGTTGACATTTCACAAATGTGAAAACTGGCTACAGAAGGTCAGGAATTGGAATCTTATAAAAATGCTAGCCTTAATATAGTTTTTAATCTTCCCTTTTATTATTTTAAATATAAATCATAGTTTTCATTTCCTCTCTTTCATTATGTGTTGTGATTGAGGTTCTGACTGAAAACATTTTTCATAGATCCTGGGTCACGTTTTAGTATATGGTTGCCATAGTTACCACGTCACCAAGAATCATAAAATCTGCACCAAAACCTTTTTTAATGAAGTTTCTGTTGAACTATCTGCATTAGAAGTTTCCTTTTACTGTAGAGAAAAAATGAGTTTATAATTATCATGCTTCATTTCCTACCAGAATACTCATTGTGATCTTTGGTAATTATTCTTTAATGTTTGTGCCTTCTGGCAGATTGGCTAATATAGTGCCTAGTTCAGTACCTGGCCTGTAGTGGCTCAGAACTGAATGAATGGTATCCCCCTTAATCTAAATGCAGTTTATTTTCAGACTGCTTCTCAGGTTTTATTTTTTTCTGTACTGTCTACAATAACTATACTTTTCTTTCAACTTCTAATTCAAATGCTCCCCTTAAAGTGAAACTTTTTCTAGCTCAGCAGGCATAATTATTTTTTCCTTTGTGTTTTCATGGCGCCTTTTGCTTGGTCCTTTTTTCATCTTCCCAGTTTATTTTATTTATTTTTTAATTTTTTGAATATCTTCTCACTGCTTCTGTAGGCATCGACCTGGTTGCTTCTTTATGGGTCTCTTTGCTTCCCTGTGTCATGAGCTTCAGGTGAGCAAGGTGCCTGATCTTACTCATCTTTTTCTGCTTAGCATCTAACACTGCATGGCACATGGTTACTGACCAAAAATTATTTGAATCAGTACCCTTTTAAAAACTTATTTTTTTCCAATAGGTAACATACACAATAAAATAAATGGTATATAAAGAAGGTATGTCTTCCCATTCCTGTTCCCCAGCCACCCTGCTCCTCATCCAGAAACCACTACTACTAGTTGCTTGGGTTTAATAGCTGTAACCCATCAACATTTTCAAACCCAGGGTCCACAGATGGTGACATTACCCAATCATCCAGCATATTATGGAGGAAATAACCTGAGATAGAGTCCAAAGATCCAAGTCCTAATTTGAGATTGCCACTTACTAGCCTTGCCACTTAAATTTTGGAAAACGCATTTATACCCTTGGCTTTTATCTCATTTATGGAATCCCAAGGATGATGATAGAAAACATGCGGTTGTTTCCTATTAAACAGTATGCTGTGTTTAATATTAGTTCACTGCTTGATTTTTCATGTCTCTCATATTCATTAGGCCTCTTAGGATTTAAGAAAGCACCTTATAAAGCCTTTATCTGTTTTGCCTGTGTAACACATCCATATAAAATATATGACCTTAAGACGTATTCAAGCTAGGTGCAGTGGCTCACACATGTAATCCCAGCACTTTGGGAGGCCAAGGCGATCGGATCACTTGCGCTCAGGAATTCAAGATCAGCCTGAGCAACATGGTAAAACCCCATCTCTACAAAAAAAAAAAAAAAGGCGGGGGATGCTTGGTGGTGTGCGCCTGCAGTCCCAGCTACTCAGGAGGCTGAGGTGGGAAGATAACTTGAGCCTGGGAGATTGAGGCTGCAGTGAGTCATGATGGCACCACTGTACTCCAGCCTAGGCAACAGAGTGAGACCCTGTCTCAAAAAAAGAAGATCTTTTCATAGATATATAGCCTTTTCTAAACTAAATATGTGGTTATTTTTATTTTATTTATTTATTTTTTTTGAGATGGAGTCTCGCCATTCACCCAGGCTGGAGTGCAGTGGCATGATTTCGGCTCACTGCAACCTCCGCCTCCCGGGTTCAAGCGATTCTTCTGCCTCAGCCTCCCGAGTAGCTGGGACTACAGGCGCATGCCACCATGCCCAGCTAATTTTTGTATTTTTAGTAGAGATGAGGTTTCACGGTATTGGCCAGGCTGGTCTCGAACTCCTGACCTTGTGATCCGCCCGCCTTGGCCTCCCAAAGTGCTGGGATTACAGGCGTGAGCCACTGCGCCCAGCCATATGTGGTTAATTTTTAAATTGGTCACAATTACTCTATTTAATCAGGACAAGTACCGTCAGCCAGATTTATACATTCAGAGAAACTCAAAATTAACAGTTCACTTGAACTTATTAGGATGTTATATTAGCTGGCGATTTCCTCTTTTGATTGGTTACTTTTATGGAGAGATATTTATGGTTTTAATAAGATTTCCCTCCCATCTGTTTTGATCCTACCGTAAAATCATCCCATGTTTGATGGGCAGCCGGTTGTTAGGGAAATTATTGGGACATGATGACAAATGTGGTATTTAAATTTTACCACAGGACTAAGCAGGAGGAAGATGAGGTTTAAGAGAAGCCTTGGCTAAGAGGATAGTGCCTAGGTGTAATTGGCAAACCCAATGAGAACAGTTACGAAAGTTGTGTATTGTGGGTGGTCAGAAGCAAGGTGGGTACCTAACACATGCTGGATCACTGTTAGAGTTGCCTAGCAACTGACAGGCAATGCGGATAGTCAGGGATGAGCAGAAATGTTGGTGCTGCCACTTCGGGAGAAAACGAGACAAGTGCTTGACTGCAAAATCACTGGCTTTTTGAGGAAACATAAAAGACATTCTCTCTCCTCTGCTTTTCAATATTACTATGCAGTACTCCTTCTCTAATGTCTGTTGCTTTGATTCTGAAACAAATCATCTCTTTTTGTTCTCCTTTGTCTGAGTATTTTGGTGAAAATAAAATTGGATTACACAAGAAAATACTTACAGATGTCATTGGGTAGACTTGCTTGCCTGGCCCTGTGGCTCTAAGATATTGGGATTAGCTGGTATGCTTCATGTGCTTTGTTACAAATGATGGTTATCAGTACTAACGCCTACAAGTGACTTCCTTTATACGATAGAGATGACTCAAGGTCATATTACTACCCTCACCTGCCTACATCTGGTACAAGCAGAGTGAAGACAGAGCATACCCCTTTCTGTACTCATATGAGAAAGTCTTGTGAGCATCATCACTGATGGAAAAAAGCTTGAGACCCCTGACTTAGTGCCTCTAGACCCTTTGTACACTGGCATTGCTAGTCACTAAGTGCACATCTGGCTTGAGATGAGGAGGTGCTACCTGGAATTTCCCACCAGGGACTGGCCTCCAAAGAAAGCCTCTCACAAGTAATATAGCAAATACTTGTATGGTGCTTACTATATGCTGGCCAAGCGCTTTTTTATACTAGCTCATTTAATCACCCAAATTGGGAGCTAGGTACTGCTACTATCCCCATTTTAGAGATATGAAAACTAAAGCATAGAGAGCTTAAATAGCATGCCCCCAAGTGACCCAGCTGGGAAGCAGGAAGAGCTAGGATTTAGACCCAGATAGTCTGATGTGACTGTTTCTTGTTTATGTGCCAGGTGCTATTCTAAGTTTTAGTTATAGATGATGGACAAGACAGGTGTGGTCCCTGCTCTCATGAACTTGCCTTCTAATTGATGTAGACCTATCGTCTCTCTGCTTTGGGATTGGCACAGAAACATTATTGCAGGAGAGTCAGCAGGATGGTGACAGGCTGAGAGAAGGAAGGGAGGAAGTAGGTTGCCTATAAGGT
The DNA here is from genome assembly GCF_000001405.40 of Homo sapiens. NCBI lineage: Eukaryota > Metazoa > Chordata > Mammalia > Primates > Hominidae > Homo > Homo sapiens. The sequence continues at coordinate 90,004,820 of NC_000014.9, forward strand.
TGTGAGCACAGCTCTCTAGGAGAGTTAAACATGCTGTTAGGCTTTCTGGAGCTGATCAACAGCCCCAAGGAGGCTGCCCCTCCAGCTATCTCAGGTCTTAGTGGAAACCTTCCTTGTGCTATGCAGCACCAATGCTTCAGGCTCCAAAAAGACAAGAATCATTCCCAGGACACTGTGTACTATGGGACTCAGGAAAACAAAGGTAAGGCACCAGCCTTCACACACTTTATAAAGGAATCATCTTCAGAGAGCTTTTCAAGGTCTCCCAGGACCTTGACCAAATGCTGACCATATATTGGACTATTCAGTCTTACTGGCCATGTGAACAGTCCATCTGCTCTGCAGCCACACTCTTAAGACATTTGTTTCTGCTTTCTAGGCCCATTTCCCCATCTGTAAAACCAGGGGTTGGGCTAAATCAGTGGATTTTATGCTGTGTTCCTTGGAGCCCTGTGGGCTCTGGAAACCCCTTTCAGAAGCCACCACAACAGTGGGCAGAGAGAGATGAGTGCAAGTAATTCACCCAGAGATACTCGCCCTTGTTTGCTTAAAATGTTTCCTTTGAACAAAGGGTTCTCGAGGTTTAAAAAAAAAATTTTTTTAAATCATTATAATAGATCATCTCCCAAGGCCCATTCTAACAACCATATCATAGTTCTGTTAAAAGCATTAACCATTTCCAAACCTCACCTTTGTGAGGTGCATTAAAATTTACTAAGCACTTGCACCTAGATTATTTCATTCATTCCTCATTATAGCCCAGTGTAATGAGCAGATGGTGTTAAGTCCTTATTATAAGTGAAGAAATTGGTGACCTAAGTACTAACCACAAGGTAACAGAGCTAGCCAAAAGCAAACTCATATCTTACAAGTCTGTTGCTCTTTTCAAGTCCTTGTATTTATTGCCTTTCCACTATAGGAGATAGACTAAAACATTGGAACATTTCATTAGAAAATAAAACAGTAAGCAGTTTTTGGTTGTCACATGGGTTACTATTAAATATATACTCAAATTATTTGGTATAGTATTCTAAATACCAATTTTGACCTGAAATTTGAAAAGCACTTTTTTTATCCTTGGCAGTAATTTTTGTCATTTTGGATTATTGATGTGATGACTTCTAAAGTCCTTGTAATTCCATCTGTGGGATCAAGAATAGATGGATCCTTTTAAAGACTAGGTCAACAGGTAGGCTGGACTATGCCATCGGGCACCAAGGCCTCCATTTAGAGTCCAACATGGCTATGAAAGACTGCTTGTCGGGGGAGGGTCATGATAGGCCTGTGACTGAGGAACAAAGTGAGGTTGCAAGTAGATTTGTCCAAATCTATTTGGTGGTTTGTCAGACTTTACACTTGCAAAACCCCACACCCAAGTGTCTAATCTTCTTTAGTGTTTTGCTCTTATCTGCTTGAAAACATGCATCATAATCATTTTCATTTTTCTTTTCTTGCTGGCTTTTCTTTGTTAATACACTGTATCTGTAAGACCTGATAGCCACCCTGGAAACACAGCTGATGTGTTGCATCCTCTTAGTAGTTAATCTCCCAAGATTCTTCAACATCTGCAGAATTTTGAGATAGGATTTCACGCTGTCACTCAGGCTGGAGTGCAATGGCATGCTCACTGCTCACTGCATCCTTGACCTCCCAGGCTCAGGTGATCCTCCCTTCTCAGCCTCCCCAAGTAGCTGGGACTACAGGTGTATGCCACCATGCCTAGCTAATTTTTTTTGAGACAGAGTCTTGCTCTGTCACCCAGGCTGGAGTCCAATGGCATGATCTCAGCTCACTGCAACCTCCACCTCCTGGGTTCAAGCGATTCTCCTGCCTCAGCCTCCCAAGTAGCTGGGATTACAGGTGCCCGCGACCAAGCCTGGCTAATTTTTTTGTGTTTTTAGTAGAGATGGGGTTTCACCATGTTGGCCAGGCTGGTCTCGAACTCCTGACCTCAGGTGATCCGCCCACCTCAGCCTCCCAAAGTGCTGGGATTACAGGCGTGAGGCACCATGCCCAGCCCATGCCTGGCTAATTTTTGTATTTTTCATAGAGATGGAGTTTTGAAATGTTGCTCAGGTTGCTGTTGAACTCCTGAGCTCAAAACTCTCTATCTGCCTTGGCCTCCCAAAGTGCTGGGATTACAGGTGTGAGCCACCATGACCAGCTCCTCTTCCTCTTTATTATTCACCAATATTTTCATTCCACCCTTTTTTGGCTTTCAAAATTAGTCATTGTCATTATTACTTTACAGTCACTTCTTGTTTACAGTTACCCATAAGTTTACTCATTTCTTTGTTCTTTTTCTTCCCGGTAGCCCTGTCCTTTCAAACAAATTCAGTTTTATTCCTGAACTGTATCTTTTATAGTTATTTCACTGATGCCTTCTTACTGGCAATAAGCTCTTATTTGTTTTTCTAAAACTCCCTTTATTTTTGCCCTCATTTTTGAGTGATAATTTAACTGAATTTAAAATTCTTTGGCCGGACGCGGTGGCTCACACTGCCCATACCTGTAATCCCAGCACTTTAGGAAGCCAAGGCCGGTGGATCAGTTGAGACCAGGAGTTCAAGACCAGCCTGGGCAACATGGTGAAACCCTGTCTCTACTAAAAATATAAAAATTAGCTGGGCATGGTAGCTCACACCTGTAATCCCAGCTACTCAGGTGGCTGAGGCATGAAAATCGCTTGAACCCAGGAAGCAGAGGTGGCAGTGAGCTGAGATCGCTCCACTGCACTCCAACCTGGGTAATAGAGCAAGACCCTGTCTCGGGGCGGGAAACTGGGACAAAGTAACTGCCAACTAAGATTTTTTTTTTTCCTTTTAAGGCAGAGTTTTGCTCTGCCACCCAGGCTTGGTTCACTGTAACCTCCACTTCTCGGGCTCAAGTCATCCTTCCACCTCAGCCTCCCAAGTAGCTGGGACAGGTATGCACCACCACACCTGGCTAATTTTTTATTTTTTTTTAGAGATGGGGTCTCACTATGTTGCTGTTCTCACACTCCTGAGTTCAAGCAATCCTTCCACCTCAGCCTCCCAAAATACTGGGATTACAGGCGTGAACCACCATGCCTGGTCTTCCTCTAAGTTCCTTAAATATTTTTTTCCATTGGCTTTTGAGCTCAGTTGTTGGTATTGAGAAGTTGCCATCTAATTGTTGCTCCTTGTGGAAAAGCTGTCTCATCTCTGGCTGTTTTTAAGATTTTCTTTATATTTGGTATTCTTCAGTTTAGCTACGATGGATAAATAGGTATGGATTTATTTTTATTTAGTCTCAGCAGGGTTTGTTGTATTTCTTCACTCTAAAGAACTGATTTTTCAACAGTTCGGTAAAATTATTGGCTATTATCATTAAGCATATTGACTCACCCTCTCTCACTTCCTTCTTGCAACTCTTATGAGATGCTTGTCGGACCCTCTCATTCTATCTTCAGTTTCTTACTTTGCACCTCTTTGCCTCTGAGTTGCATTCTACCTAATTTCTTTAGATCTTTCTTCTGTTTCATTAGTTTTGTTTTCAGCTGTGACTCATGGTATTTAATTCATCAGTAGAGTTTTTAATTCTAGTGACTGTATTTTACTTTTGGACCTTCTTGGATACCATATGTTTCATGGTTTAGAGTTCAGCCCAGAGTCACGCTGCCTGAGTTCGAATTCTTACTCTACCACCTAGTACCTGTTGAAATCTTGGGCAAATGACTTCCATTTTCTCATCTGTTAAGTAAGTATAGTAATAGAATAGGTATCTAATAGTTAAGAATGAAAATAAATAGAATATATAAAGGTATTAAAACAACATTTGGCAGTTAATAGATGCTGCATATTAGCTGCCATTATTAGCAAATTTGTTTTATGCTTGTTTCATTATTTCTTTTGTATGTTGTTTACTTTGAAATCTTTTGTTTATTTTTGTTTTGTTTTTTGAGATGGTGTCTTGCTGTGTCACCCAGGCTGGAGTGCAGTGGCACGTGATCATAGCTCCTGGGCTCAAGCAATTCTCCCATCTCAGTCTCACAAGTAGCTGGGACTGCAGGTGCACACCACCCTGCCTGGCTAATTTTTGCATTTTATTTTGATATGGGATCTTGCTTTGTTGCCCTGGCTGGTCTCAAGCCTCTGGCCTCAAGTGATCCTTCTGTCTTGGCTTCCCAAAGCACTAGGATTACAGGCATGAGCTACCATGTCCAGCTCAAATCATTTTAAGTATACTTATTTTTAACTCGACATCTAATTGGTCAATCATCTGAAGTTCCTGGAGGTCTAATTATATTTTCTGTTGTCTTGCTCATGATGGATTTGGATTATTTTCCCTTTTATTTTAAAATTTGTGTCTTCACTGAAGCTTTAACTATAAAAATTATCTGTGACTTGAGTGGACAAACCTCTGTACCTCCAGATAGATTTTGTTGCTGCTGGTCTCTTCAAGAACCTGGAACCAATGTCTATGTTAATATCTTGACATAAGGTAGGGGCAGATACCTAGCATTCCAATATTTGAGAGATCAGGTGGAAGAAAAGGAGTGACCAGAGAGGTTGAAAGCAGAAAGGAAGCCACAAAGTGTAGCAGAAAACAAGGAAGAATAATTACAGTAATGTTTCAATTATGCCAGGGGATAAGAGGCACTGATGGTAGAAGTCTCATGCTACAGAGAGATTAAGATGAGAGTAAAGAAGTTTCCATTGGATATGGCAGTGTGGAGTGACTTTAAGTGGTTTCAGGATAGTGGTTTGGGGAAAAGTCTTATTGAAAGCACATAATAGATTGAAGGGTAAGTGTGGTTCTCTGCAGTATTGTACTGGAAGTTATAGCCAGTGCAATAAGGCAAAAAAATAAAAGACATAAAGATTATTAAGGAAGAAGTAAAACTATATTTGCAGAAGATATGACTGTGCATTTGTAAAACCCCAAGGAGTTTAAACATGATTTCAAGATTCACTATAAAAGCAGGGTAAGACTGTGATATCAGCATAACAATAGATAAATTGATGAACAGAACAGAACAGAGTCCAGAAATAGACACATATATCATCAACCATTTTTGACAAAGGCACCAATGTAATTCAGTGGATGAAGGATGTTCTTTTCAATAAATATTGCTAAAGCAATTGGATATTGATGCAGGAAAAAAAAACCTTAGCCTATCTTAGGACATAGACAAAATTAACTTCAGATGTATCATATGCCTAAGTGAGAACGCTAAAGCTATAAAGCCTAGAACAAGAATACCCTACAACCTTGAAGTAGGCAAGATTTAGTACATAAGACATAAAATGCACTTGCAAGAAAAGATTTACACATGTTTGGACTTCAGAATATTTTAAAACTTTATTTTGTCAAAAGACACCATTTTGGGATGGATGAAAAGGTTTTTCTGAGTAAGACCTCACACCCAGAAGCTATAAAGTCAAAAACTGCACCTTGGATAACTTCCTTCCTCGCCCCAAAATGGAAGAAAACAAGCAAAAATTACCTTCTGAACTATAAAGGTTTTCATAAACAAAGTTATAACTGGGCAAACATTTGCAACATAATTGTAATATATGAAAAGCACTGTGTGGTGGGCAGAATAATGGCCACCCAAAGATGTCTTTGTGTAAAATCCTCAGGGGCTGTGACTGTTAAATTATCTGGCAAAGGGGAATTAAGGCAGCAGGTGGGATTAGGTTTGCTAATCAACTGACCTTAAAATGGGGTGGTTATTGGGGGAGGGCCCAGTATAATCACAAAGATACTTAAAAGTGGAAGAGGGACAAGTCGAGAGAGAGAGCACTGCATGAAAAAGGACTCAGCTAACCTCACTGGCCTTGAAGATGAAGGAACAGAGACATTCCAAGGGGAATGCAGACAGCCTCTAGAACTAGAAAAGGCAAGGAAATGAATTCTTCCTGAGGGCCTCTGGAAGAAACACAATCCTCCTAAAACTTTAATTTTACTTTACTTTGTGTAAGATAATGAATCTTTGTTTTAAGTCATTAAATTTGTGGCATTTTGTTAGAGCAGCAGCAGGAAACTAATGGGCACTGCATATCAAGAGAAAAAAACAGTATCATAGTTTAAAAATTGATACTTCACGGAGGTAAACATCAGCGTTCAGTAGTGATATGGGCTGGCTGTATCCCCACCCAAATCTCATCTTGAATTGTAGCACCCATAATCCCCACATGTTGTGGAAGGGACCTGGTGGGAGGTAATTCAGTCATGGGGGTGGGTTTTCCTGTGCTGTTCTCATGATAGTGAATATGTCTCATGAGATCTGATGGTTTTTATAAAGAGCAGTTTCTCTGCACACACACTCCTGCCTGCCACCATGTAAGGCATGCCTTTGCTCCTCCTTCGCCTGCTGCCATGATTGTGAAGCATCCCCAGCCATGTGGAACTGTGAGTCCATTAAACCTCCTTTCCTTTATAAATTACCCAGTCTTGGGTATGTCTTTATTAGCAGTGAGAGAACAGACTGTTATAGTAAATTGCTACCGGTAGAGTGGGGTGCTGTTATAAGGATACCCAAAAATGTGGAAGTGACTTTGGAACTGGGTAACAGGCAGAGGTTGGAACAGTTTGGAGGGCTCAGAAGAAGACAGGAAAATGTGGGAAAGTGGGAACTTCCTAGAGACTTGGAGGGCTCAGAAGACAGGAAGATGTGGGAAAGTTTGGAACTTCCTAAAAACTTGTTGAATGGCTTTGACCAAAATGCTGACAGTGATATGGACAATGAAGTCTAGGCTAACATGTTCCCAGATGGAGATGAGAAACTTGTTGGGAACTGGGGCATAGGGGACTCTTCCTATGTTTTATCAAGGAGACTGGTGGCATTTTGCCCCTGCCATAGAGATCTGTGGAACTTTAAACTTGAGAAAGATAATATAGGGTATCTGGCAGAAGAAATTTCTAAGCAGCAAAGTGTTTGAGGTGATTTTGGGTGCTCTTAAAGGCATACAGTTTTATTCATTCATAGAGATACTCTTTGGAGTTGGAACTTATGTTTAAAAGGGAAGCAGAGCATAAAAGTTGGAAAATCTGCAACCTGACAATGCAATAGAAAAGAAAAACCCATGTTCTGAGGACTACAGAAATTTGCATAAGTAATGAGGAGCCAAATGTTAATTGCCAAGACAATGGGGAAAATGTCTGCAGGGCATGTCAGAAGTCTTCACGGCAGACCCTCCCATCACATGCCTGGAAGCCTAGGAGGAAATGGCTTTGTGGGCCAGGCCCAGGCCCTTGCCGCTTTGTGCAGTCTTGGGACTTGGTGCCCTGCATCCCAGGCATGGCTAAAAGGTGCCAACATACAGCTCAGGCCATTGCTTCAGAGGGTGCAAGCCCCAAGCCTTGGTGGCTTACACATTGTGTTGGGCCTGTAGGTACACATAAGTTAAGAATTGAGGTTTGGGAACCTCTACTTACATTTCAAAGGATGTATGGAAAAGCCTGGATGTCCAGGCAAAAGTTTGCTGCAGGGATGGAGCCTCATGTCATTAAGTGTTTATGGCTTTTCCAGGCACATGGTGCAAGCTGTCAGTGAATCTACAATTCTGCAATCTTGAAGGATTCTGGCCCTTCTCACAGCTCCAGTAGGCAGTGCCCTAGTGGGGACTCTGTGTGGGGCCTCCGACCCCATAATTCCCTTCCACACTGCCATAGCAAAGGTTCTCCATGAGGGCCTCGTCCCTGGAGCAAACTTTTGCCTGGACATCCAGGCGTTTCTATACATCCTCTGAAATGTAGGTAGAGTTTCCCAAACCTCAATTCTTAACTTCTGTGTACCCGCAAGGCCATTGCTTCAGAGGTGTGCTGCAGGGGTGGAGCCCTCATGGAGAACCTCTGCTAGGGCAGTGCAGAAGAGAAATATGGGGTAGGAACCCCCACACAGAGTCCCTACTGGGGCACTGCCTAGTGGAGCTGTGAGAAGAGGGCCACCATCCTCCAGACCCCAAAATGGTAGATCCACTGACAGCTTGCATGGTGGGCCTGGAAAAGCTGCAGACACTCAATGCCGGCCCCTGAAAGCAGCCAAGAAGGGGGGCTATGCCCTGCAAAGCTACAGGGGCAGAGCCTGTCCAAGGTCATGGAAGCCTACCTCTTGGATCAGCGTGACCTGGATGTGAGACATGGAGTCAAAGGAGATCATTTCGGAGCTTTAAGATTTGACTGCCCTGACAGATTTTGGACTTGCATGGGGCCTGTAGCCCCTTTGTTTTGGCCAATTTCTCCCATTTAGAATGGCTGTGTTTACCCAATGCCTGTACCCACATTGTATTTAGGAAGTAACTGACTTGCTGTTGATTTTACAGGGTCATAGGCAGAAGGGACGTACTGTGTCTCAGATGAGTCTTCAGACTGTAGACTTTTGAATTAATGCCGAAATGAGTTAAGACTTTGGGAGGCTGTTGGGAAGGCATGATTGGTTTTGAAATGTGAGAACATGAGATTTGGGAGGGGTAAGGGGTAGAATGATATGGTTTGGCTCTGTGTCCTCACCCAAATGTCATCTTGAACTGTAGCTTCCATAATTCCCATGTGTCATGGGAGGGACCTGGTGGGAGGTAATTGAATCATGGGAGTGGGTTTTCCCAAGCAGTTCTCTTGATAGTGAATAGGTCTCACGAGATCTGATGGTTTTATAAAGGGCAGTTCCCTGCACACGCTCTCTTGCCTGCCGCCATGTAAGATGTGCCTTTGCTCCTCCTTTGCCTTCTGCTATGATCGTGAGGCCTCCCCCGCCATGTGCAACTGTGAGCCCATTAAACATCCTTTCCTTTGTAAATTATCCAGCCTCGGGTATGTCTTTATTAGCAGCATGAGAACAGACTGATACAAGTAGATACAGTTAAAAATACTTGATATGGTTTGGCTGTGTCCCCACCCAAATCTCATTTTGAATTGTAGCTCCCATAATTCCCACATGTTGTGAGGGAGACACAGTGGGAGATAATTAAATCTTAGGGGCAGTTTCCCCCATACTGTTCTCATGGTACTGAATAAGTCTCAGGAGATCTGATGGTTTTATAAGAGGAAACCTCTTTTACTTGGCTCTCATTTTCTCTGTTTGCCTGCTACCACCTTTGTAAGAAGTGACTTGTTCCCCCTTGCCTTCTGCCATGATTGTGAAGCCTCCCTAGCCATGTGGAACTGTGAGTCCATTAAACCTCTTTCCTTTATAAATTACCCAGTCTTGGGTATGTCTTTATTAGCTGCGTGAGAACAGACTAATACAATACTTAATATCATTAGTAATCAGAGAAGTCAAATATAAATTAGATATATTTTGCCTATTAGACTTGTAAAACTTTTAATAGATACTATCCACCCAGTGTTCTCAAGAGTCTAAGAAAAGAATACTTCTATACAATGTTGCTAATAATCTAAATAGGATAGATGCTTGAGACAGAAATTGGACAGAATTTATCAAAATTAAAGATTATGTTCCTGTGTATACCTGTATACAACTTGAATCTTTTACAGTGAGAATATCTTTACATATCACTTGTGAAATGTCTTTTCAATCCATAAAACAGAGCCTAAGAGTAATACAAGAAAACCTACAGAGAATGCAAAATGGAAGGAAACCTACGATGTCTGTGTTTGTGGCACACACACTGCCGTGGAGTTTTAGGAAAGGGCAACAGCAGCATTGGCTGGAGTCATGGTTTCCCCTCCACGTCAGTACAGCTGCTTGGTCTCCATCTTCTCCAGCACACAGTTAACATTCTGTTTTATTGCAGCTGTCTGTGAACATGTCTGTCCCCTCATCCCTGGTCCTCTAGAAGTGCAGTGGCCAAAGCCTCAGTCTGTACATTGTCTCATTGTCTCTGTACTCTTTGTGCTGCTGCTGCTGCCTAGACTGTTAAGTAATTAATGATGAAAAAGAAATATTTTATCAGTGGACGTATGTTCCCATAACAGCAGTCACCCTTGGGGACTTGTACATCTTCTTAAAAAAAACTTAAAAGTGAATCTAATCAGCCACTCTAATTGGTGTTCAAGCAGGGATTGGTGATGGCAACTGTTCCCATTACCAAAGTTCAGGTTTTGAAAGATGCTTGGAGCAGGGCTTGGCCCAGAGGTCATCTTCATAGCTCCCCACTTCCTTTCTTAGGCAGTTGTTTCCCCCATGTGTTACCATGAACATCCAACAAGTACTCCACTCCCCAGTGGTAAACCTCCAGTGAAACTCAGAGATTTTACCTTAGGATGAGACTACATCACTGGAGGGGAACACTCTAGTTCATGTGAGCATGGGTGTCTCTCATCATTGTAGACTCTAGCCTGGAAAGGGATTTTTGGTCTCATAGGCTGACAGCCCTCATTCTGGATATAGGAACCTAAAGCCCAGGGAGGAGAGGAGTGGCTTAAGGAGTCACAGCTAATGGGGAAGCTGAGACATAAACTGCTCCTGATTCAGGGTCCAGGGCTCTTTTCTCAGCATGTGCCTGCCTGCCTTCTCCATGTGCCTAACATGCCATTCCTGTGCTCTCCTGAGATTTCCTGTACGAATTTTTTGTCATACGTTTTCAAGTTTACTCTTAAAAATTTAATCTTTGGGACAGAATGTTCATATTGGGGACTCAGGTCAAACCTGTAATAAGCAGTCACACCTCACAAGCTGTGGCAGGGTATTCTGCCACCATTTGCACTCCTTGTAGGCAAGGGGACAATAAACTGCCAAATGAGCAACATATCATTAGTCAGCTTAGCTGTGGTGGCTTGGTGCCTCATTCAGCTCAGACTGCTATACAGAGCAGCTTATAAATATATTTCATAGTTCTAGAGAATGGAAGTTCAATGTCAGTGTACCAGCATGGCCAGGTACCGGTGAGGGCCTTCTTCTGGGCTGCAGCCTGCTGACTTCTCACTGTGTCCTCACAAGGTAGAAAGAGGGCAAGGCAGCTTTCTGGGGTCTCCTTTATAAGGGCACCAGTCTCATTCATGAGGACCCCCTCCTCATGACATAATTAACCCAAAGCCCCTGCTCCTGACACCATCACATTGGGGGTTAGGATTTCAACATATGAATTCTGGAGGACACAAACACATTGGGGGTTAGGATTTCAACATATGAATTCTGGGGGACACAAACATTCAGTTCCTAACACTCGGTAATGGTCAACTTGTCTACCCTCAACCACAATTTCCAGAATTCCCTTTCTTGTATGTTTCCAATTAGGTGGGCCCCAAGGGAGATTCTTATATTTGGAGAGCAAATGTGAGACAGCAGCCTTTTTTTTTCTTTTTTTTTTTTGAGATGGAGTTGTTTCGCTCTTATTGCCCAGGCTGGAGTGCAATGGCTCCATCTTGCCCCACAGCAACCTCCTCCTCCTGGGTTCAAGCGATTCTCCTGCCTCAGCCTCCTGAGTAGTTGGGATTACAGGTATGTGCCACCACGCCCGGCTAATTTTGTATTTTTAGTGGAGACAGGGTTTCTCCATGTTGGTAAGACTGGTCTCGAACTCTCGACCTCAGATGATCCGCTGCCTTGGCCTCCCAAAGTGCTGGGATTACAGGTGTGAGCCACTGTGCCCAGCCGAGACAGCAGCCATTTTTATAACTCATGCGTTGTCACTGTGTCCAGCAGAAGCTGGACCTCACACCCTCCCAAGTCCTCCTTCAGCTTTTCTAACTCCTGGCCCTCACCAGGTATGTATTTTTTCTGTGATGAAGGCCCTGTCTTCTGCAAGACATCCACACCTCCAGTGCCAGAGGCACAAAAACCACATGGGTTTCCATCCTCACAGTCTTCAGTCCCTGCCTGTGGCTCCAGCTAGTTATTCTCCACTTTATGCCTGTCCTCCTCTGGCTTCTGCCTGCTCTGTAGACTTCTAGCTCCAGCATCAGGACAAAGATAACACCCTTATAAAGACTTTAACCAGCTCCTACAATTACATGATAATAAATTCCTTTAAGAAATACACACACACACACATATGTATACAATTTCCTAGTTATGTTTCTGTGATTGAACCCTGACTGATACACCCCCAGAAGCTACTGTCACTCAACATGACTTTAGTAAGGGTTTGGGTAGTGTTTCTGGTAGATGGTAGACCATGGGACCTCCAGAGTTCTACCCTAATGATCTAAAGTAAATTAAATACCCCACCCCTCTTTAGTGATGAAGCATCACTCGGTATCCAGCAGCAACAACACAAACCACAGCACTTGGGAGAGAAAGCAGCCCAGTCCAGTAGAAAAAAGAACAATGGAAGAGTGAGGGCAGGGGGAACAAAATGGTGAAAACGAGTTTTCAACAGAAGCCAGGACAGGCAGTGGACAATGGATTCCATGTGGAGAACAGAAGCTAGAACTCTTTGGAGTTGTGGGAGCAAGAGACCCCTGTGGTGTCGCTGTGCCTCATGAAAGACATAGTGCTTTTGCTGTACATGACGGGCGTGTGTGTGCACGCACACACACACACTCCCCCCACCCTCCCTGCCTCCCAACCCCACAAGAGTTTGGAAATACCCCATCTTCCTGGCTGCCCCAGGTGCCCGTGATTCAAAGTATTAACCCAGAATGTAAAAAGTTATTAAAGATGATATCTCAGGGAATGTTGATTTATCACCTAGACAACCTGCAAGTGACTTTCAGGCTCTCAGTGTTCACAGTAGAGTTTCTAAGGTTCCAAATGCTTAGAAATCTGTTACAAGCCAAATAAAAGGAGGGATTGGAGGAAGCCATCTGAAAGGCTGTCCTTGTGATCTCTGTTGAACATTACTTTGGAATAAGCCCTCAAATCTTGGAATGCTAAGAAAACACAACTCATGGGGAAAGAATGAGAACAGCCTTCCAGAAGATACCTCCCGTCTTTGTTGTCATGATACTGATAGTCAAGAGTTGGCCAGAAAGCGATCATCTAAAAACTGAGAAAAACACCTCAGACCCACTGGTTGGTTTTGCCGTTAGACTTTCCTCTTCGCCCAGGAGATGACCTGTTTTACTAACAGGTGAAAGACCTAAAAGCAAGATGTCATCTTGGACTTTTAAAAAAAGTTTTTTTCCTAGAATCATAATACCAGTTTATCATAAACATCAGCTTCCTCTTCACTTTATGTCTCAACGACGTTATAGACAGTGATGTTCATGATTGTGGTCCTTGTGCAAAGGTTTCCTGTCCTCAATATGGTTCATTTAGGAAGCCAGGAAAGCTTGTAAATAATGCTCTATTTGCTTAAGTCAGCCTAATCGCTTCAAGAGTTTTCCTTAGCTCTGATTTCCACATTCTTCTTTCTCTGTTCCCATAGAACCCTTAACAAACTTTTTTTTTTTTTTTTATCTTACTTGGTCGTTGTTTTTGTTTGACTCTCCAATTCCAGCAGACAATAGTTCCAGCACATAGCTCAGAAAACATACTTGGTGCACCAGTGAGTGAATCTCGAAATAGTCACAGTCATCCACAAAGTCAGGCTCTAAAGAGTTTTCTGAATAGCTGAGGTTTATATGTTTTAAAAATGAAATAGAACTTGGGTGAGCCTAACTGAAAAAATGTTTATGGTGGGTTTATGTTAGTCTCTGCCACATTCGCTTATAAAAAGAGTCTCTGAAGACGCCTCAGAGCTTAGTGGTCTCCATTCCTGAGCACCTTAATATGCACCTTGGCACCTCTTGCAAGTTCAGTGTCCAGTCTCCTTTGTCCTGCTGCAGCTTGATTTTTTTTCTTTTTCTTGAGACGAGGTTTTAATTGTCATCCAGACTGGAGTGTGGTGGTGTAGTTTTTGCTTGCTGCAACCTCCACCTCCCAGGCTCAAGCGATCCTCCCACCGCAGCCTTCCAAGTAGCTAGGACTGTAGGTTCGCGTCACCATGCCTGGCTAATGTTTTTTAGAAATGTGGTTTTGCCATCTTTCCCAGGCTGGTCCTGGGTTCAAGTGGTCCGCCCGCCTCGGCCTCCCAAAATGCTGGGATTACAGGAGTGAGCCACCATGCCTGGCTTGTACCATGATTTTTTTAGCCACAACTCTTTGAACATATAAAACATCATTCTGAATGTACCATTTATCTCTAGATACAAATAACAGTCTTTGCCCTCAGAGCTGTTTTCTTCACATTGAAAGTAGAAATTAGCACTACCTGGCAAAAAAACTGAAAAAGGAAATATGAAGCTTAAGATACTACTACATAAGATAATATTAACTTTCTTCTTAAATGCTAGTTTTATGTACAACAAAACCAGAAATCCTGGCTACTCCAGGATCGTGAAAAGAAAAGGGGCTTTAGAACGAAAAAAATAAAATCTAAGGAAAGATAATTATTTTAATAGCTGCCCTCAGGAAAATGCAGATGAGGGTGAAACTATCCCAAATTAGCAATTAGATAAATCTCGAGGATTAGAGAACAGCAGATTTTAAATTCTCTTTTCAAAAATGCAGCAACTCTGCTAGAAAATGAATGAATGTGATTGCAGCTATATATTTTTTTGACCGGTGCTCTTGCAGCTGTGGAAGTTTGACCCACACTGAGATGCCTCCCTGAGTCAGCCCTATCTGTGTCCTTGTCTCTGCAGCGCAAATCTGTCCAAGGCTGCCTGGGGAGCATTGGAGAAGAATGGCACCCAGCTGATGATCCGCTCCTACGAGCTCGGGGTCCTTTTCCTCCCTTCAGCATTTGTAAGTTTACACTTCCAACTGCACAGTGGGTCACATGGGAGATGAATTGGGCTTTGTGTTCTCTTCCTTTAGTCACAACAGCTTGCCTAAGGTAGGCAGGAAACAGTCGGGATTCTTACCCAGAGCCTGCACTCTTAACCGCTGGTCTGTACCTCTGAGCTTACTGAACACTCACCAGTCTGGGTGCAGTGGGATACCTGCTTTCAAGGCATGTACTTGATTAGGAATTGACTGTGTGCTTCCAGCGAAATTAATAACATTTAAAATAAATATTGTGAACTACAATGTGAAGATTTATCTCGAGGTGGTAGATGACAAGTCACCAAAGGAATGGCCCAATCAAGCACAAGTTGTTTTAGGTAGGGGTGACTGGAGGATGAAGTTGGGAAGCAGGAGAGCTTGGCAGAGTATTTGAAAGATGCTTAGGATGTAGGCTGTATAGAGAGAGGTGGGAATGGCATCAACGTTGGAAAGGAATTGGTAGTAGCACAAACTGGGAAGCAGAGATTGGTTCACATCATCGGCTAGAGTTTGGCTGGGCGGGGCCAGTGGGGTGGCACAAAGGACATGTGCTTCTGGCCCAGTAAGCCCCCTGGAAAAGCACCGTGTCGAACTGGTCTTTCGAGATGTCCAGCACAGCCAGCTTGTCTCCTAGCTCTGGAGCCACTTGAGATTTCTGTGTCCAAACACCAGAAAGAGTGGCTGTGTCCAAACACCAGAAGGAGTGGCTTGCACATAGGGGCTGGGGTGTACAAGCCATCTGTTTCTCTAAATGCTAGAATCACGCTTGACCCAGAGAGATATTCTCACCATAAGAGGCACATGGACTGAGATCTCCCATGTCACCTCCTTATACTCACTGTGGGTACACACACACAGAATACAGAATCGCCCACACAATGAGATGGCTAATGCTTTTTCCTTCCTTCCTCCCTTCCTCCCTCCCTCCCTCCCTCCCTTCCTTCCTTCCTGTCACTGTGGGCACACACTCAGAATCGCCCACACGATGAGATGGCTAATGCTTTGCCCACATGATCAGATGGCTAATGCTTTTTCCTTCCCTCCCTCCCTCCCTCCCTCCCTCCCTTCCGTCCCTCCCTCCCTCCCTCCCTTCCTTCCCTCCCTCCCTTCCTTCCTTCCCTCCCTCCCTCCCTTCCTTCCTTCCCTCCCTCCCTCCCTCCCTCCCTGCCTGCCTTTGTCCCTCCCTCCCTCCCCGCCTTCCTTCCTCCCTCCCTCCCCTGCCCTCCTCACTGGCTATAGTTGAATTTATGACAAACACACATGACAAAGCTCCATTGTGGACAACACCAACTGGACCAGATGATTTAGCTGAGGGGTTGGTGTGTGCTTGTCCTCAGACTTCAATCTGGACTAATCCAGTCTTTTTTTTTTTTTTAGACAGAGTCTCGCTCTGTCGCCCAGGCTGGAGTGCAGTGGCATGATCTCGGCTCACTGCAACCTCCACCTCCAGGGTTCAAGTGATTTTCCTGCATCAGCCTCCCTAGTAGATGGGACTACAGGCGCCTGCCACCACGTCCAGCTAATTTTTGTATTTTTAGTAGAGACGGGGTTTCACCATGTTGGCCAAGTCTCCAACTCCTGGCCTCAAGCGATCTGCCTGCCTCAGCCTCCCAAAGTGCTGGGATTACAGGTGTGTGCCACTGCTTAATCCAGTCTTAAGGCACGCTGGAGAGCACCCACCTTCCCAGCCCACCCCAGCGTCGTTCACTGTTTCTCACACCGTGCTCAGGTGAAGAGCTCTTTTCTCCCTTTCTCTCTCCTCTTCTCACCAGTCTATCCATTCTTTCTCTTTCTGTCTCAGTTTCACTACAAAACTATGTAACTAACCTCTTTTAGTTATAAGATTTCAGCTTTATCATACAGCTTGTGGGAAACAATGAAGTCACATCACTAGGAGGTGTGATTATAGTGACTGTGGCTTTTATAATAACTGTGGCTGGAGTTCTCTCCCAATAATAAGTAATGGAATAAATTCCACATCACTCCTGTTTGGCTTCTGTTGTCAGCATTTACAAAAGTCTGGTCCTTTGTAACTGTTCTGACCATGAAAATGCTGATCATGAAAATGCTAATAGGAAGAAATGTATTGCCCTTCCAGGTCCTCTAAACCCTTCTGAGCTATTCATTTTTTACCCCAGATATTCTTTCTCTGACTATCCATTAATGAAGGCTAATAGAGAAAAAGAAATAATCATTTGGAATCCCTAAACCGACCTTATAGGGGGGCTCTTCTATATTTTGGAATAAGAAAGAGCCCCATTATAGCACATTCCAGGTAAAATAGAGATTGCATTATTTATAAAGACCATCAGACAAGAATATAAAACAGATTCCACCCCTTCTAGACTATGCCAACTGATTCAAGAGCTAGGCACCAATTAGGGTGACGATGTAATTAACAGTCTAAGATTGTAACAGATTTTCCAAGAGTTTGTTAGCACATCTCAAAAAACAGAGCCTGGAACAGTGCTTTCCAGCAGGCTTCCGTCATGACCCTGGTGAGGCCCCACTCACTATACCTATCTTGTCATTAGTCATTGTCCCTTTGGTTGGGCTGTGTCCTTCAGTGAATCACAAATGACTTGGGCAGAGTGCTCTAATCAGGCATTGTGGACGGTACACAGAATGGCTTTACCCTTCCCCTCCCAGGGAGCTCATAGGCTAGTTGGGCAGGGTGGTCATAGAGTCAGATGGCCACCTGATACACCTAAGCAATGAGACAGAGACATCCTTCCTGGGTGAGAGCTGGGTGCTGAGATCTGAGGGAGGTGCCTACCTGAGTGAGCAGAGCCAGAGGACTTTGTTGTGCATTACAGAAACCAATTTGTGCCCACAGAAGCCCACAGATGGAAGGAGTTTACTGAAAAGATGCTGGGGGGATGTCATGGGATCAGAGGAGTTGCTGAGTAGCTGAGACTTGGGAGCAACGGGCCCAGGCCCTCTTAGGGGACTCAGCAGCGGCCCTTCTCCCTGGGTTCTGCAGCTAGCATGGCTCTGCAGCCCAGGTGCTGGCCAGTCCGCATCCCAGTGACACCTCAGGCCTAGATCTGCCTTCCATGACTCAGGACTCTCCCAGCTCCATTCCCGGAGAAAGAGCCTGTTTCCAGAGAAGGGAGGATGGATGTGAGCGAGGAAGTCACCCTAAGGGGTAGATACTACCAAGGGGTTTCACCCATAAGTGAGTTGATGTGCGTCTTGTCAGTCTGTAAAAAGGGTTGTTGGGTTATTTTGATATAGGAGACTTTATCTTAAAGTGCTTATATCACAACATCTATGTTGTCTACTGATATGTGAAGCTTCTGGAAAAAAAGTAGACCTTTGCTTGGCCTTCACAAAATTAACATTGATGGTTTTGACCTTGAGGATGACCCAGAGATTTGTGCCATGAGGTAGTTTGTCGTTTCGCTGAGTTTATACGTGCACAGGAGTGAGATGCTTAACTTGTGAAGGAGAGGCTGTCCAACGGAACAGCCCGACGGTTCCCTCCTCAAAGCATACCCCAGGCTCCTACCTGGACGTTCCAGTGGCCTGGGACTACCCACCTCCATACTCACTTCAGTCCCACACATACCCTGTGCCTGCTGTCTTCCAGGCCCCTGCGAAGAGAATAAAGGATGAAGTGGAGGCTTCGTTCTCTGGTAACGCATGGATAAGCTGAGGAAACAGACACTGGTGATTACAATATATGACAACAACTAGGGTGTGGGGCATTCAAAATACAGGGGCTCTGAGAAGAGGGACCATGTGGTCTGCCCGGGGGGCTTGGGAAAGGCTTTGTTAAGGAGGTGGCATTCGATCTCACTCTTGAGAAAGGAGTATGAGCTTAACTGCTGTCAGGGAAGAGGAGGCTTCCAGACAGAGATAATAGTGCAGGCTGTGTTTGGGAAAGAGCAAACAGTTCTGTGTGCTTGGAATGGGGATGGGGCGTGGGTATGAGAGGCTTGGAATTCCAATCTGAAGGAGACTGGAGAACAGAACACACCACTGGCCTTGGTTCCACGTGGATAGTAGAAAGGCATCAGTTTTTTAAGCAGGGCTAGTGGTCTTAGGCCAGTTTTCAGAGAATTTGAATCTTACAAAATATAATTCTGAAATTAGGATTATGATTTATACTATTTAAAAGGTACTTGAGGATATAGCACATTGCATGTATTATCAAAATCATCATCTTAGCCATGTAAACCACACTGTTTAACAAACCTGATTATTAATGAGTCACTGTTACTATTCACCTCACTCTCTTGGCACGTCTTTTCTTTTTTTTTCCTTTGAGACAGGCTCTTGCTCTGCCGCCCAGGCTGGAGTACAGAGCTGCAGTCTCCACCAGGCTCAAGCAGTCCTCCCACTTCAGCCTCCTGAGTAGCTGGGACTACAAGTGTGTGCCACTACACCCAGCTGACTTGTTAATTTTTCTGTAGAGATGCGGTCTTGCCATGTTGCCCAGACTGGTCTTGAACTGCTGGGCTCAAGTGATCCTTCTCAGCCTCCCAAAAGATCTTGTCATTTCTCACTCCTTAATGCTTCTTGATAATCTGTTCCCTCTGAACACCCCCGCAACATCACATGCTGGGCGAATCAGCTGTTACTGCCATGGCCCCCACTTCACCTCCCTGGGCCACATCTATGCTACTCCTCAGTCCACTGTGGGAATGGGCCTTGTAGACCACAGATCTGGTTTTGTTACCTGCTGGAGATCCTGTAAGGTAGAATCCAGCCTCCTTAGCAGGGCTTCTTTTCCCCTTCGTGCTCCGACTCCTAACCTCTCGTTCCTGGTACTTACTGTTTATGCTGTGCAGAACTCATGGCTCTCACTACGAGCCAGGTCCACCCTGCTAGCCAGCCATAATCTGTACTGAGAATGACACCTTTACGCCCCACCTCTGCCTGCTGCACCTGTCTCCACTCCAGGCACCCCTCCTCTGCATCCACAACTTTCTAGAACCTGGGGCTCAGCACATATCCCACCTTGCATTGTGACCTTTGACTCTTGTCTCCTGGACCAGAGTGAGCTGAATGGGTCATGTGGGAGGCTTTTCCTAAGTGTCTGTTAGTTGAAGTTGTTTCCTTTAAGTTGATCCATACCGAACAATGTGAGAAGTGTGTGAAACAGTATGGAGACTGTGATTTTGGTCCAGTGGGTATTGTGTGCAGTAGGTGCTTAAATATGTTCACAAACTGTGTTGTAAAGCAATTTGCAGTATGGAATAGCTCATCTGTAGCTGTCTTGAAATTAAAATACACATACGCTTAGGAGTCCACTGCAGTACTTACAAATGCCAATCCCTATAAATTAATTTAATAAATATCTTAAAGATTTCTGTATCATAATCCTAAAATGTTTACTGACAAGAATGCAGTTTATCATAAAATGAGGCCAGGAGTTAATATCTTTTTTTAGGTTTCCCTGTTCAGTACCAGCAAGACATGCCTTTTAGTGTTTTTGGCTTCATGTTTGCCAAATAGACTTACTTAATACAGAATTTTTTAGACATCCTTCAGACTGGACATCATCCAGAATTTACTTCCTTGAGATCAGCCCTCCTTCATATCTCTTGGGTAGAACTCTGTGTCCGCACCACCCACATGTCTGAGGTATCAGCAGCCAGAGTTGCCACTTTTGTCCTTCACCAGTAGGCCGTGTCACTTGCTGTGTTCTGAGGGGCTCATTTGGAGCCATTGTTGCAGATAGTCAAGCTTAGTGCCCAGAATGGCACAGTGTCACACACTGCAGAGGCCTCACCTAGAAAAGGAATCCTGCAGTTCTCTACTTCCCCACAGCCATGATTAGGACCTGTCACTCTGGAACCAAGTTGCCGTGTGATGTGACACTACTGTGAACTAAAAATACAGCAGGTGGAGAACCAGCATTTCCCATTCATGATAAAGATGCCATTTGAAACCTGGGATTGATCTGGAGGCTGATAAGTCGCTGGTACCATGTGTTCCTATTTTTTTTCTTGTTTTTTTAAGTGAATAAATCTGGAAATACATCCTTTTGAGAGAAACCTAACTTGTAAAGTATGTTGTCAATAGCTTCCCCTTTGACTAAGAACACTTTCAAGAGCTTTGGAGAGTCATGTCAAGGTACATTTGACTTTGTATGCCCAGTACTTAGTGATGTTTGGTGTATAGTAGTAGTAGTCGCCTAATAAAAGTTTGTTAATTTAAATCAAAGACTTTATTCTTTTCAGGTCTAAAATCAATTTATCAATTATGTAATGTTTTCTGGGTTGTCCCTTTAAGTGTATTTAACTTTTAAATTAGACTACGGTTCAGAAAGTCTCAATATAGGAAAGCTGTGATTATTTCAAAGATCAGTAGCTGTATTCCAAACCCAAAGGCCTCTGTGAATATATCAGGGAGGTACAAGTACTTCTCTCTTTGGACCTCATTCCTTTGGTGTTTATTGAGCACATACTCTGTCAGCCACTGAGTAGGCACTAGACTTGAGCCTGCCTAGTGCACTGTGGCTAGAATTCCTCCTGCCTCTGGGAATAATATTGCACATAAGCATCTGAGAAGCCTGGATCAGGGTCCAATACTGCTTACTTCCGGATGAAAGTAGCCCAGGTGTCCCTGTGCTGGTCTCAGCCTCTTCTGAGCCCCAGGGTCACTTGGTCCTGTGCTAGTGGGTTCCAAAAAGTCAAGTCTCTACTTTCTCTTTTCTCTGTTCTGTTTAAATTTTTTCATTGTAAACATGGTGTGTACCAAAAGTACATGCACTCTTATGATGTGGCTCTGGCTGGAAGAACTAATACAGTTTACAAGAGCCACCACCTTAACCCTCTCTTTGTCTTCTTCCTCCTGACACCAATGCTGCCTACCTGCCTTGGGCCCAGCCCATCTGTTATGGGTCCCCAGGGTTTCCCAGGAGGCCACAGCCGGGCAACAATTTGACATGGCGTATCTTGGTACCTGCTGATGTTCTCGCATCCAGCGAATAAAGCCACGGCCCTTGCATTCTACTCCTTCCTCTCACCTGTCCACATCCTATACCATCTGCCCTGGCAAGAATTTATTTTCTTTTTTTTATTATTATACTTTAAGTTCTAGGGTTCATGTGCACAACGTGCAGGTTTGTTACATATGTATACATGTGCCATGTTGGTGTGCTGCACCCATTAACTCATCATTTACATTAGGTATATCTCCTAATGCCATCCCTCCCCCTCCCCCTGCCCCACGACAGGCCCCGGTGTGTGGTGTTCCCCACCCTGTGTCCATGTGTTCTCATTGTTCAATTTCCACCTATGAGTGAGAACATGTGGTGTTTGGTTTTCTGTCCTTGCGATAGTTTGCTGAGAATGATGGTTTCCAGCTTCATCCATGTCCCTACAAAGGACATGAACTCATCCTTTTTTATGGCTGCATAGTATTCCATGGTGTGTATGTGCCACATTTTCTTCATCCAGTCTATCATTGATGGACATTTGGGTTGGTTCCAAGTCTTTGCTATTGTGAATAGTGCTGCAATAAACATACGTGTGCATGTGTCTTTATAGCAGCATGATTTACAATCCTTTGGGTATATACCCAGTAATGGGTTGGCTGGGTCAAATGATATTTCTAGTTCTAGATCCTTGAGGAATCGCCACACTGTCTTCCACAATGGTTGAACTAGTTTACAGTCCCACCAACAGTGTAAAAGTGTTCCTATTTCCCCACATCCTCTCTAGCACCTCTTGTTTCCTGACTTTTTAATGATCGCCATTCTAACTGGTGTGAGATGGTATCTCATTGTGGTTTTGATTTCCATTTCTCTGATGGCCAGTGATGATGAGCATTCCTGGCAAGAATTTCTCTGCCTGTTCCTACTGGTTGTCACCTTCTCTCTCCCCTGGATGAACTGACCCTTCCCTCCCTGTTTTCCCCATCTCAGGCTACTGCTGGGTTTCTACCCACATGTCAGGGTCTGTGTTCCTCTGCCCTTAAACCCTCAGCAGCAATCTTTGGCCCACGAGATGATGTCCGGACTCCTTTGTGTGACATCAAGGTCCACTGTGAGCTGGAACAGCATGTCCCCCAGGCTCCAGCCACCCACAAGTATTTGTTAGCATATTAATGCACGTAGGCTGTAGCAGCAATGGCCCCTTTTTACTAGCAGTGTGATCCTGGGATCTACTGCTCTTTGTCTCAGAGACTCTGAAGTAACTTGGTAAGAGAATATGGGGAAACACATTGGACAGATCCCTTAGGGACCTCAGATCTCTAGGAGCCAAAATGAGAGAAAGAGAATGAACTTTGAAGTGAGACAGAGAGGAGCTAGGATCCTGCTTACAAGCTGTGTTAGATTTGGCCTCCTTATTCTACTTCCGTAGGCCCCTTTTTCTCGTTGTACAATGGAAACAATGTAACTCATAGGATCTCATGTGAGATCAAGAGTTATAACCCATAAAGTGTTTACAACAGTGCCTGGTACTTAGCAAGTCTCAGTAAAGGTTGCAGTTGACATTAGCAGTAGCAGCAACAGCATATAAGCCACACAGTTCAACAGAAGGTTGAAAGCAGGGGCTGATACTCCATGGGTTTTCAGTCAAATCAGAATCTTGATGTCACTTCTGTGATGACGTTGCACTCTTTTCTTTCCTTCTGAACTGCATTCCCCCAGCCCCACACAAACAGCCCTTTGCTTATCAAAAACCCATCCTTCAAAATCCTGTTAGGTTTACACTTCTCCACAAAGCTTTTCCTAAGCCCCTAGCTGGAAGCACTTCCAGTTGTTGATCCTATACTGCCTTGCAGGAAAGATGCCACCACCTTCCTATAATTTACTTCCTTGCCAATTAGTTGGTCTTTGACTAAGTGTGCCCCTTCTGGGAAGTTCAGCTGCTATCACTGTTTTATCCAGGAAAGCCTGATGCCTTGTGTAGGGTTTTACCACTTGAGGTTGCTACTCGGATAGCTGCAAATAAAAACATAAATTACATCTCTAACTGAAACTGAAGCATGCCTCCTGTTCCCTATGATTGAGCTAAGCTGCTAAACATAAATCATCAGAGCGACAATCAGCTCTTTCACTCCCAAAGCTGAAGAAAGGAAAAGCCAGCAATTTCTCATGTGTGATATATGTCCACCCTCTCACCTGGTGTTTTATAAACGTATTGTCTTAACTGTCTTCTAAGTATCTGTGCCTGGGAGGGTGCCTTCCTCTGTTTTGTAAAATGCCAAGTGATACCACTGTGATATATAAATAATGATAATTAGAAGACAGCCTCAAATTATTTGACATTCAGATTGAAGGGGAAAGTAGTACTTTTTTTTGTAATAACCTAGAATTTGGATCAGAAATGGCATTCAAAATAAAAGCATATTGGTTTCTGTCAGACAGGGATAGTTCAAACCTTCTCATATCTGAGGTCGAATATCACAAAATGGAGTCATGGGTCGAGCACACAGCCTCAGATCTGGGCCCAGGCTGTAAAGAACCATAACCTGTGGCCACGATATATTTGAAAATATCAGGACTAATAGGAGCTAAAGAAGAGAGAAGTCATTTTTTACCTGAAACTCCATAAAAGTATAATAATCATTAACTTGGAATCACTTCCCAGCCACTAGCCTCTTTGTTTTTTAAAATGTCCAAATACCAGGGTTTCTAGAATTTGGCTCATCTTGACCCTGCCTGCCTTAAATTTTCAAGGAATTCTTCCTTTGTCATAGTTCCTGGTGGTGAATGTGAGACCATTTGTTTGCTTGGTGGAAGGAATGTAGGACCAAGAATCAGAAAGACGGTTTGATTTCCAGCCCTGCCATTATTTTTTTTTTTTTTTTTTTTTGAGACAGAGTCTCGCTTTGTCACCCAGGCTGGAGTGCAGTGGTGCCATCCTGGCTCACTGCAACCTCCGCCTTCTGGGTTCAAGTGATTCTCCTGCCTCAGCCTCCTAAGTAGCTGGGATTACAGATGCGCACTACCACACCTGGCTAATTTTTTGTATTTTTAGTAGAGATGGGGTTTCTCCGTGTTGGCCAGGCTGGTCTCGAACTCCTGACCTCAGGTCATCCGCCCGCCTCGGCCTCACAAAGTGCTGGCATTACAGGCATGAGCCACCGCACCCGGCCTTTTTTTTTTTTTTTTTGAGACAGAGTTTCATCACTGTCACCTAGGCTGGAGTACAGTGGCTCGATCTCGGCTCAGTGCAACCTCTGCCTCCTGGATTCCAGCGATTCTCCTGTCTCAGCCTCCCAAGTAGCTGGGATTACAGGCATACTCCACCATGCCTGACTAATTTTTGTATTTTTAGTAGAGACAGGGTTTCACTATGTTGATCAGGCTGGTCTCGAACTCCTGACCTCAGGTGATCCACCCGCCTTGGCCTCCCAAAGTGCTGGGATTACAGGTGTGAGCCATTGTGCCCGGCCTTGCCACTTTTAATAGCTGTGTGGCCTTGGGCAACTATTTAACCTCCAAATATGTTTCCTTCTCTGTAAAATAGGAGTGATTACATCACAGAGAATTGTCCTGAAAATACTTATAATTATACTCATTTGTTTCCTGGAATAAGTACCATGGGCCAGTCATTGTTAAATAACTTAAATATCCTCACAGTAGCCCTATGAATTAGGTGCTCATATCATCTTCATTTCATAAACGAGGAAACCAGGGCCCAGAAAGGCTAAGTAACTTGCTTAGAGCCACACAGCAAGTAAGCAGTCTGCAAAAGCAAGAGATAATTAGGGACTTCCTCAGATCCAGAGTGTGTCAAAGGTAACATGTGAGCAGGGAAACCTGGGGGCAGGTGCTGCCGAGCTGGCCTGCCTGCCCTCCGTGTCTTCCCTGTCCCCCTCCTCTGTGTCTTCCCTGTCACCCTCCTCTGTGTCAGTGCCCTCGCCCTCCCGGGATGTGCCTGCTCTGTGCTTTGCTGACCCTGCCTTTGATTATGCTGTTCTCACGCTTGGTATTCTTCCCTATCATCTCTCTGTTTATTAAAATTACACCAATTTTTCAAGCCCTAGCTAAAATATCCTCTACAAAGCCTTTCCTTATCCTTCTTGGATAAGGAAAATGACTAGAAGAAGGGCACTTCTTCCTATTCTGTCTAGAGTTTGTGCCTGGCATCTGCCACCTCCTGCCTTTCACTGTATTACTGATCACCATCTTCATCAGTGCTGTAACCCATACCTTTCTGTAGGTCTTGACATGCACAAAACACTTTCACACAGGTTGTGCCATTTGCTCTTATGCAGAAACTTATAAAGGAAGCAGGAAAGGAACTTTAGTTCCATTTCTACAGATCGGTATTTCTTGAACACCTACTATGTACCAGGACTTGTGCTGGGTGCTAAAGTTAGAAATGGTAATGTCTCCAGAAGCTTGATTATCTCATTTTTACTCTTTTTTTTTTTTGAGATGGAGTTTCACTCTGTCACCTAGCCTGGAGTGCAGTGGCGTGATTTTGGCTCACTGCAACCTCTGCCTTCTGGGTTCAAGCTATTCTCCTGCCTCAGCCTCCCAAGTAACTGAGATTACAGGCACACACCACCACTCCAGTTAATTTTTTTTTTTGTATTTATTTATTAGAGATGTGGTTTCACCATGTTGTCTAGGCTGGTCTTGAACTCCGGACCTCAAGTGATCTGCCTGCCTCGGCCTCCCAAAGTGCTGGGATTACAGGTGTGAACCACCACACTCAGCCTTTCCCACTTTTACAAACACAGAACATTTTTTTTTAAATTTTATTATTATTATACTTTAAGTTTTAGGGTACATGTGCACAATGTGCAGGTTAGTTACATATGTATACATGTGCCATGCTGGTGTGCTGCACCCATTAACTTGTCATTTAGCATTAGGTATATCTCCTAAAGCTATCCCTCCCCCCTCCCCCCACCCCACAACAGTCCCCAGAGTGTGATGT
The DNA here is from genome assembly GCF_000001405.40 of Homo sapiens. Taxonomy (NCBI): domain Eukaryota; kingdom Metazoa; phylum Chordata; class Mammalia; order Primates; family Hominidae; genus Homo; species Homo sapiens. Next base: position 90,031,295 of record NC_000014.9, read on the forward strand.
TCCCCTTCCTGTGTCCATGTGTTCTCATTGTTCAGTTCCCACCTATGAGTGAGAATATGCGGACAAACACAGAAATTGAAACCTAGGCACAGTGGCTCACACCTGTAATCCCAGCACTTTGAGAGCCTGGGGTGGGTGGATCACTCGAGGCCAGGAGTTCAAGACCAGCCTGAACAACATGGTGAATCCCTGTCTCTACTAAAAATACAAAAATCTGCCAGGCATGGTGGTGCATGCTTGTAATCCCAGCTGCTCGGGAGGCTGAGGCATGAGAACTGCTTGAACCCGGGTGGCAGAGGCTGCAGTGAGCCGAGATCACACCACTGCACTCCAGACTGGGTGACAGAGTGAGACTCTGTCTCCAAAAAACAAAGAAACCTAATAAAAGTGGCCAACTGTCCCACTCAACATCTGTTTTAGTCCCTGGGACCTGCCAGGCTCTTTGCCACCTCTGGGCCTTTGCGGATGCTGTTCCCTCCACCTGCAACATAATTCTTTCCACTCCCACCTGACCAAACTCTGCTCATCTTTCAGAGTTTAATAAAGGTGTTGCTTTTTTAAGAGAGGCTTCCACTGATCACCCGCTCCTGCCAAGTCTAAAATAGGCCTGCTATTCTCTTATGGCACTCCTTTGCTTTTCTTTGCAGCACTTAGCACAAATAGTAATTTTTATTTTACTTTTATAGATGTATTTTATGTCCCTCCACCAGACTGTATACTCCATGAGGACAAGGATATTGATGTTTATGTTAACTCTTGTACACTCAGTGCCTGGCACCATGCCTGACCCAGAAGAGGGACTCGAGAAATAAAGTGTCGAATGAACGAATGTGCAGACATCAGTCATTTACTCAGCTTAATAAATGCCAGAGAAAAGTCTAGAACCCAGATTATCTGAAGCCCAGTCAACACGGACCTCCCCATGTTCTTTGACACTGCCCATGACCAGCCTCCGCTTGCTAAGTTGCACCTCAGTCTTTGTTCTTTTTATGGGTTCCTAAGACATCAGCACTGTTGGGTATGTGCCTATTGAGGATTTGAAGGGTGGATATGTGTGTGGATGGGTGGACAGAAGGAATGAGAGACAGACGGACAAGCAGAATGCCAGGATGATCCACGAAGGGGCAGGAGTTGGTCAATGTATGGAAGCACGAGGGGGCACATCGGTCATGTGGTAAGCACCTGCACTGCGGCAGGCCTTGTGTTGGAAGGAAGTGGCAGTGTGAACATCAGCCTAGATATAGAACCTCCACTTCCACCCTGATTAAGATCTAAAATTAATACCCTATTCTAGAGTTCTTGGAATAAACCTTCCATTTTGATAGGTCTTAAAGAATTTTCATTTTTATACTTCTGTCACATTATATTGGAACACTTTCATTATACATGAAAGCAGCTTTTATTTCTTCTTACTCCAGGCAGCCTGTTACTATAGCAATGTTGGAAGTATTTTGAGGTATTTTTATACAGTGAGTTCTACAAACTCCCTGCAAACTGTACATAATGTTGGGTTGAAATGGGCTATCATATCCAAAATTGTCTCTCTTGTTTCTTTGTATCCTTTGAAAACTTTTGCAAACTTTGCTATAACTTAATTCCTGAAAATTAAAGCTCTTATGTTTAGAAAGGAAAATAATTTGGGGCGGGGGGGTTGTAAATATATTTGCCTATGAACATTGAAAATACCTCCAAAATAATTTGAATTTTATTTAGGTACCATAAAGATATTATTGCTTCTTGAGGCCTTCTGGTTTTTTTTTTTAAACCCAGAAAATGGGGTGCAATCATAGATTTCCTCTGTGTGTCTGCAGGGTCTAGACAGTTTCAAAGTGAAACAGAAGTTCTTCGCTGGCAGCCAGGAGCCAATGGCCACCTTTCCTGTGCCATATGATTTGCCTCCAGAACTGTATGGAAGTAAAGGTGAGACACAGATAAAGGAAAACCACGGGTGGATATGCATAAGAAAAACAAACAGAGCCCAGGAGAAGCCTTTGGTCTCAGTGGGATCCTGGCTCATGGAACCCTCTGGAAGCTCAAGTTTGCAGAGGGCCCTTTGCCAGCCTGTCTGGGGCCTTGTAGCCACTGGTTAGTCTTGGAATCCCTTTGCACTCCTATAATTACTATACAGATCCTTCCTGACTTACACTGGGGCTACATGCTGATAAACCCCTCATGAATTGAAAATATCATAAGTCAAAAATGCATTTAATGCGTCAAATCTACTGAGCACCATAGCTTAGTCTAGCCTACCCTAAACATGATCAGACCTCTTAAATTAGTCTACACTTGGGCAAAATAAATCAAAGACTGTTTTATAATAAATTGTTGACTATCTCATAGAATTTATTGGAGACTACTAAAGTACTGTTTCTACTGAATGCGTATCACTTTCACACCATCATAAAGGTCAAAAGGTCATTAAGTCTAACTATTAGAAATTAAAACCAAGAAATGTAACAATAATAAATCTATTGTAACGTACATTTATGCCAGGCACGGTGGCCCACACCTGTAATCCCAGCACCCTTGGAGGCCGAGGCAGGAATATTGCTTGAGGCCAGGAGCCCAAGGCCACCTTGCCCAACATAGCGAGAACCAGTATGTAAAAAAAAATTTGTTTTAAATAGCCGGGTGTGGTGGATCATGCCTGTAGTTCCAACTATTTGGATGGCTGAGGTAGAAGAATCGCTTGAGCCCAGGAGTTTGAGGCTGCAGTGAGCTATGATTGAGCCACTGCACTCCAGCCTGAGTGACAGAGCAAGACCCCAACTCTAAGGAAAAAAAAAAGTTCTTATGACAATTTCCAAAAAGAAGAAAATAGCAAGGAAAGTGGTGTTTTATGTTTTTGCAAGCCTCTTTATGTGCATCTTAAAAGGTGACACCTGAATTCTCATTGCTGTGTTCTCATTGAGGCTGTTGTGATATCACATCGCATAGCCTCTGTATACCTGTGTAAAAATGAAAATGAAAACAACAAATGATGGCTTAATACTACAATGAAAATAATGTTGACTTCACAGGCCCTCCCAACCACCATGCTCACAAACCCTCAAAAGGGAGGTCCCCAGGGGCTACACTTTGAAAACTGCATGCATTGAGTCTTAAGGGCAGTGACCAAGTATCTTTCACAGTAGAAACACAATAGGAATAGCTGCAGAAGGTTCAGTTGTGCTCAGAGGAAGGCTGGCTGGCATCAGTGTACCCACCTATGTCTGGCCTGCGTGTGTCCCAGCCTCACAGGCTGCTCTGCTGCTTTTATCAGCCCTGAGAATATCTGTCTTTAAGGTGGGTCCACACTTAGCAAACTCAGACAGGATGAGATATATAATCAAGACACACTTAATTTAAAATGGCAAATTACATCACCAAATCAGCATATTCTCCACTGGAAAGGAGAGGCCCACATAGCCAAATTATAATCTGCAGGTTTCTGAGCCAGTGTTAAATCTGAACAGAGAAAAGATTTTTTTTTCAATTGGCAAATTTTAATGACATCACTCATTGATACCCCAAAATCTCCAGTTCTTACCAAGCTTGGCCTTGCCCAGTGGTTCCTCTGTTCCCTCAACAATGTTTCATGGAATCTAACAACTTCCCTACCCACTAACCTTCTCAGCTTTCATGGTGAACCAAGCCTCCTCTGTCGCACTAACCTTCCCAGCTTTCATGGTGAACCAAGCCTCCTCTGTCCCGCTAACCATTCTCAGCTTTCATGGTGAACCAAGCCTCCTCTGTCCCGCTAACCTTCTCAGCTTTCATGGTGAACCAAGCCTCCTCTGTCCCGCTAACCATTCTCAGCTTTCATGGTGAACCAAGCCTCCTCTGTCCCACTAACCTTCTCAGCTTTCATAGTAAACCAAGCCTTCTCTGTCTGATGGGCCCTTTCTTAGATGGTGTTAACACATCTGACAAAGTTAATCCTATCTCATGCTGTCCAGTGTGCCATCCTGCCTCTTGCTGGTAACTTTGTATTTCTCTAATCAATAGTTTGATGCTAAGTTTCAGGAGGCATTCTTTTTCTCCTTTCTAAAGTGTGGAAATCCCCTATGCCTTTCTGTTGAGTCCTCTAAATTTCTTGTGTATTCATGCATATTTCGTTTTCGGTAGCAAGGCTATCTAGATTTTTATCAGAATTTAAAGCAGTCTGTCAGGATCTTACCTGCCACCAAAAAAAAAAAAACCCCAGGAAAACCCTGCTTTAAAATCAGGCCATGTTTCTGTGCCAACTCCACAACTTACTAAATAGACTTGGGCATTTAGTTACTTTCTCTAGGTTTTAGTGTGTCTGTCTACACAGTGAGGAACTGTGAGTATCTACCTTATAGGGTTATTGAAAAGATTAACTGAGATTATCTATAAAGTACTTATCTTCCCTCTTTTGGCTTTGTGCTACTTTTGTCTTTTCTCCCCTTATCTGTTCTTCAGGTTCCTTTTCTTCCTTTTTTTTTTTTTTTAACCCAAGTTCTCCTCCTCCCTGTTGGAAGTGGGGACTGACTGACTAGGCTTTATCTGCTGGGGTCTGGCCTTGGGCCCTGCACTTCCCACCCCCAGCCCTGCACCCTGGCTGGATTCCACCCCCTTCATTTCTTTAGTCCTAATCTTCAAAGGACTAAGAAGGCAAAAATGGAAGCACTAGAAGAGCCTGAAAAATGTTCCAAGGGCCCTTTCCTTCCAGTAAAGTAAGCATTCCCAGGAACTTAGAAGTTTACAGCTAGGTATAGTGTCTTAGACCATGGAATGAGAAATCTTTTATTTGGCCAGCAAGCAGAATGCTTTCCAATGTTTAAATGAGTTTTGTTTGTTTCTTCAGCATTTCTTTTGAAAGATACATATAATCTCAGGGTATGCTTAAGCTAAAATAATAATAATAAATTTTTTAAAAAATAAAGATACATACAAGAGAGACTGGAGCATTTTATTTAATATTGGTACTGTTTTGTCCTCTACACTGCCTCAGTTGCATGTAGGATAATGCTAGTAATTCAGTATTACCAGTTCATATATAGCCAACATTCCTGGGAAGCCATATGGACTATAGAAAGGCATTTACCAAGATTGAAAAAGTAAGTGGTTAAGAACATTTGAAAAGCACTTCATTTTAAAAAGTGATTTTCAAGCCATTGTAACACCTCTAAGATCTTGTCAGTGTTATTTTAAAGACAGAAGACTACAAAAAGCTTAGCAAAGGAATATACTGCTGTGAATGAAGTAAAGCTCAATGCAAGAGGCTGCCAGATATCTTGAAACCAAGAAAATGATCAAAGTAAAGCAAAAACTAAGACTCAGCTACCAGTATACCCTGCTTGGTGCAGTAGTTACTGTTTATTCATTCTCTCCACAGATCTATATTGAGAGCCTATTGTGTGCAGACACCATCTAGGTGCTTGGAATATGTTGGCAAACAAGACAGGCACAAATCCTTACTCTCATCAAACTTACATTCCTCTTCTCCTGAAAAATCAAACTTAACCAAACCCATTTTACTAATAGTAATTTTAAAAGAAGCCCCTCCCCCGCCCCTTAAAAAAAAAAAAAGATAGGGTCTCGCTCTGTCACCTAGGCTGGACTGCAGTGGCATGGTCTCAGCTCACTACAGCCTCAAACTCCTGGGCTCAAGTGATACTCCCACCTCAGCCTCCTGAGTAGCTGGCACTACAGTGCGTGCCATCATGCCCAGCTAATTTTTAAGAAATGTTTTGTAGAGATGGGGTCTCGCTATGTTGCCCAGGCTGGTCTTGAACTCCTGGGCTCAAGTAGTCATCCTGCCTTGGCCTCCCAGAGTGTTAAGATTACAAATGAGAGCCACCACACCTGGCCCAAAGAAGGCTTTTATAAAGCAAAATCACCAACTTTTAAAATCTAACACAGATTATTTCCATATGTCCCACTTGCTGTGTGACCTTGATTTTGAAGAGGAAGCAAAATAGACTGGTGTGTAATCTTAACCTTTCTTCCAAGGGCATCTGTTTTGCACTCCCTTCTTAGCTTATATTCACTTTGTTATCTTATATGCTATCTAGAGAGTAAAGGGTGAAGAAGTAATGAGCTAAGGGTGAAATAAAGCCTATCTTATTTGGACTTAATAAATTGTATGACTCCTTTAAGAAGTAACTGAACATGCAAAGCTTCAGAGGTACTAGTTATAGTCTATTAAGGAGGTTGTTTCATTTTTATTATTTTAAAAAAATACACATATGAGTACTTATATAGTATTTTTTTCCTTTCAAAGTTTTGGCATAATTCCAAATTTACAGAAAAGTTTACAAGAAGAGTACAAAGAATTCCTGCACACTCTTTACCCAAGTTCCTGAATGTCAATATTTTATCACATTTACATCCTCTCTCATATCAATTTTTCTCATCTATTTGAGAGTAGCAAACGTGATGTCCTTTTATCCCTAAATACTTTGATTGTATATTTCCTAAAAAGAAAGGCATTCTCTTACGTAACTACAGTACAGTGATCAATATCAGCAGTTAACATTGATCCAAAACTGTATTCAAATTTCATCAGTTTCCTCAATAATGTCCTTTATAGCAAAAGAGAAAGTTCATGCATTGAGTTATGTCTCTTTAGTCTCCATTAATTTGGAACAGTTCCACAATTTTTTGTTTCATGGCATCAACACATTGCATAGCATGGACCAGTTATTTTATAAACTCTGAGGAACATTCTACTTTGGGTTTTCCACTCACCGTTTCTTTATAATTAGACCCGGGTTATGTACTTTTACCAAGAATACCAAAGAAGTAATGTGTTCTTCCTGGTGCATCATATCAGGAGGCACATCCTATCGATCTGTCTGATTACTGATGATGTTAACTTTGATTGATTGGTTAAGTTGGTGTTTACCAGGTTGTGAATAATTGTTGACAAGTATAATTTCAAAATTTTTTTTAAAATTTAAGTGGCTGAAACTAAACTAATAAACTGCAAATGTAGTTAATAGAAGAGGTCCTTAAAAGCTGATTGGCACATGAGGTATGCATAATGTAGATTTAGCATATACATAATATACATAATCCTCCAAAAGGTTTTAAAACCATTTGTTCCTAAATGGTCTAACCATTCTCCCACTGCCTTATTAATTTTAAATAGCTCCCTACTTTCAGATAGTAGCAGAATAAACTTCACTAAACCTGTTAGAATTATTGCTAGAGTCCAGAATCATCAAGTATTTTTCTAAGGGAAACTAAGTTGATTGGATTATCCTTTCCAAATAAAATGCACAAAAGGTATATTGCTTTAAATTGTTGGTATGGCTGGATGTGGTGGCTCACACCTGTAATCCCAGCACTTTGGGAGGCAGAGGCGGGCAGATCACTTGAGGTCAGGAATTCAAGACCAGCTTGGCCAACATGGTGAAACCCTGTCTCTACTAAAAATACAGAATGTAGCTGGGTGTGGTGGCACATGCCTGTAATCCCAAGTACTTGGGTGGCTGAGACAGGAGAATCACTTGAACCTGGGAGGTGGAGGTTGCAGTGAGCTGAGATCGTGTCACTGCACTTCAGCCCGGGTGACAGAGCGAGACTCCATCTCAAAAAAAAAAATTGTTGATATGTTTTATTTTTAAGGACCTGTTTTTGAAAGATCTTCAGAAATGAAGTTTTTTTTTTTTAATGAAGTACCCCAAAACATTTTTTAGAATGATTTTGGCCATCTCCTTTAGTAAAATCTATTTTTGTTTCATAGCACAAACAGAAGGCTAAAAGTAAACTATGAGTTCAGCTTTTAAAATTACTTTGTAATCAGGAAGCTTAAGGAAATCTAGAATTGAAATTGATTCTTTTGAAATAAATAAGTACTGAATTTTCAGCAAGTTGAATTTATCCTCACACCAGTAAGATGGTTCTATTCTGCTGTATATAGTCACAGATTAATATGTGCAGTTCACAGAGAAAGGTGTTAATGGGTTTCAGATAACATTGATACCGTAATTACAAATAATTGCATTTCTACTAACTTGGTAAATCAGTGCAAAACACTTTGGAGCTCTCTTTGGCATTTCTAGCTGGCATGTCTCGTACATTCCTTGATTTCAGAGTAGGCTAATGTAAAATGGCATTGGATCTTTTAGGATAATTGGTTCATCTCTTTGGCATTCCACCCTGCCCCCACACCCTACTTTACTTATTCCTGGTATAAGAATTAAAAGTGACTGCTCAGGCGAAGACAGTGACAGTGGCTTCTGGAGGTCGTACATCAGGTTTCGCATAGAGATGACAGTGGAAAATGTATGTGTGGGTGTTCGGGCATGGGGGTGAGAGCAGAGTCATAAGTCCTTAACCCGTGGCCATTTCTTAGGGGGTTGGAGAAAAGACCTTATTACCTGGCTAAACAGGATTTTGTACGTCACTTGGATTTATCTGATTATTAAAAAAAAAAAAAAGAAACTGTTAAGACCTACATAGTACATAGGGTGACAATCCTTATCCTCTGTGAGTTGAGGGAGGTGAGTAATCTCAAAAGCAGCTAGCATTCATTAAGTACTTTTGTGTACTAGGAACTCATATGAGCACTTGACATGAATTAATTCATTGTATCCTCACAACCGCATGATGCAAGTACGATAGTACAATCCCCAATTTCCAGATGAGGAATCTAGGGCACTCAGAGTAACTTGGTCAAGGCCCCACTGGCAGTCTGGTTCCAATGCCCACACCCCCTTTCCCGTTACATGGTACTACCTCCCCGTGGAGAGCTAAGTTCTAGAGTTAAAGAGGCAGAAGAGGCACACAGTATGACCACAGGGAGAGATGGGACAGAGACTCTGTATATAAAGAGATCAAAACCACATGGGCTGTCATTTTCATCCTTCCAGCCATGGCCTTAATGTAGGCCTCCTCTTTCTCACCCAGCCTTGCTTACTTGTTCATCTTCCCAGTTCTGGTCTCCTCCCACTGGAAGCCATCCTCTACAGTGCTACCATGCACATCTGGTCATGACCCTCCCCTCTTTTAAATTCTTCCACTATAGTCCAGAAAAAAGACAGCTTCCCATCCCCGTAGCCTTGAATCCCAAACTCTGACTACATCAAGATCATCTTTAGAATTTGATAAAAATGCATATTGCCAGGCCACAACCCAGACCTACTGAAACAAGGTCTCTGTGCATGTGTCCTGGGAAAATGTTCTCTAACAGGCTGCCCAGCGTTTCTCATGTCAGCCAGGTTAGGGGACTGCTACACAGATGTGGAAAAGGTCAGAACTCCACCTCTGTGGCATGCCTGCTTGTCTGTCTTCCCCACTGGACTAGAAGCCCTGCGAGGTTTCATGCATGGCTTATTCCCCTCTGTCCATAGCACCTAGCAAATCTCTGGCACCTAGCCAGCATGCAACAAATGTTTTAAATACGTGCATGAATTATTACAAGGCAAGTTGTTCTCTCATGGGACAATTTAGGAGGATTGCATAAAGCAGGTTTTCCTCTCAACCAGTGAGTATTAATGCTGATTTCCAGGAGTGATGAGTTAAAAGAATCACAACCACCTTCTTTTCTCCTCCTATGGTTATTTTTCTAGCTTTGCCTCCAGGTAGTGATGGGCTTTTCAGCCAGCTATAGACATTCTACTCATTTAAACAGCAGAGTTTAGTTTTTGTATTGGAAAGGCTAAAAACTCAAAAAGCAGAGCTACAGGGAATTTGCCAACAGAGTGGTTACCAGGTCCTTGCTTGGTCATTTATGACCTAATTTTGAGGGAGAGGAGTAAATGCAACAGTGATATTTAAGTTACTGGCTGAGTGGTAAATGCTTGTATCAAAAATCCTGCATTGCTGAATAGTATGTCTAATAGCACTCATAGCAAGAATTGGGTGTCATTGGCCTTGGGAATGAAGCAGAGCTGATGTTACCCAACAGAACAGTATACAGGAAACGATGGGTAAATAACAGAAGTCCAAGCACAGATGGAGTTTCCAGTGGAAGAGAGCAAGGGCTTGCTGAGGCCAATGAGTGCAATGGGGAGTCAGATCTGTCAGCCCTGCCAGACCCTCAGCCTCTTAGGAAACAAGCATGCAACACAGACCCAGGTGTATGGCTCTCTAACAAGCTTGTTTAGTTAACAAAGAAGTGTTTGGTTTCATGCTTTCAGACCATCCCAAAGCCAGAGACAGACAAACAGCGTTCTGATGATTTGCTGCCATCTTTGGTATTTTTTCCTACCTATCCTGCTGGGTGCTGCTGTTCGTATGATGGCTCTGAACAAACCGTGAGGCTGCGAGAAGACAGCAGCAGATACCATTGTTTGTCAGACCTTCCTGTGACCTACCATCTGCCTCTGTTCAAGAGAAAGGGAAAGGTTGCCCCAGAGGCGAGTTCGCAGTTGGGAGACACTGCTTTAACTTGGTGGTCCATGCCAGACCCGCCAAGAAGCAGTTTACAATGTGCATTCTAGCCCCTTGAAGTTTCTCTAACACTTACCAAGACAATAATATGGGGAGTTATTTTTAATCCTTGTGATGTATTTACGGTCTACCCATATTATAGTTCTTTTGAAATGGTTTGACTCTAGCAGTGGCAATGTGTGGTAAAAGTGATCTGTTGAAATGTTTTCAATTTCTGAAACATCAGTTAAGATGAAGAAAAGTTCACATTTATTGAGCACCTACAACAGGAGCTTTCACAGATGTTCTCATTTGTGCTCCATAGTAATCCCTGCCAGTTGCTAAAGTAATTAATTCCCATTCCATAGAGGAGGAACTTGATGCCATAACCCACATGCCTTCCCTAGGGTATTAAGAGGGACGGAGGAGGTGGAATTTGACATGGTCCTCAGTGTCCTTTCCATTGTACCATACCCAGGCATGTTGTTTTCTTCAGCATTGGTCTACAGTTATTTATACAGAGGCCTTCATGTTTCATCAATTATTAACCCTTAACAATAGAACAAAAACATTTTATAAATGTGACTGTGGGCCTCTTGGTTACGTGTGACCAGCTGAGAGCTGCACCTGTGGCTGTACCAACTATTACTGTTGCTTTCTTCAGCTTCCTAAAAGAAGAAAGGAATTGCTGCCCTTTGTTAGGCCTTTTCTGTCTGCCAGATACAATGTCTATGTGGATTTTTCTCAGTCCTCGTGACAGCTCCACAACATAGGTACAGATAAGGAACCTGGGGTTCTGGTTAAAGTGATTTGCCAATGTGACACAGCTAGTAAGTGGCAGCACCAGGATTTGCCCCTGTGTCTCTGCCTGCCTCCCTGTATTAGTCTGTCCTCACACTGCTAATAAAGACATACTGGAGACTGGGTAATTTATAAAGGAAAGAGGTTTAATTGACTCATAGTTCCACATGGCTGTGGAGTCCTCACAATCATGGTGGAAGGCGAAGGGGAAGCAAGACACATCTTACATGGTGGCAGGCACGAGAGCACTTGTGTAGGGGAATTCCCCTTTATAAAACCATCAGATCTTGTGTGAGACTTATTCACTATCATGAGAACAGCATGGGAAAGACCCGCCCCCATGATTCAATTACCTCCCACCAAGTCCCTCCCACGATATGTGGGAATTATGAGAGCTGCAATTCAAAATGAGATTTGGATGGGGACACAGCCAAACCTTTTCATTCCCCATGTTCACTCACCTAGTGTCCTAATAGGAGCCTTCGCTAAAAGCTGTTGTCTGAAGGGGGAGAATCTTCTGGGCTTGGTTCAGAAAATACTCTACCACAGTTTAGAGAGTCAAGCACATAAGTGTTTTTATGCCATCAGGTGAGTGCATTTTCTACCATCCTATTCAAATAAATATTACGTAATGTGTTTTTCCCCCAGATCGGCCATGGATATGGAACATTCCTTATGTCAAAGCACCGGATACGCATGGGAACATGTGGGTGCCCTCCTGAGAATCTTGAGGCACTGTGAAATTTAAGTGTAAGACATTGAGCCACAAACATGGAATCTCTTCTTTGTACTGGATGTCCACTTCCCTTAAAGTCTTATTTGCACCCTTACAAAATCTTTCCAAAGGTCACTCTTATGAATGGATGTTGGTTATACTTTTAATGGACATTAACATTCCTAATAAAGTATTAGTTTCTTAATTCACTTTTATATGTTTTGGAAAGAAAATTAGTGAACTTCTCTATGTTAAAAATACGTACTGCTTGAGTATCCCCTGTCTGAAATGCTTGGGACCAGAAGTGTTTCAGCTTTTGGATTTTTTTGAATTTTGGAATATTTGCATAGCATAATGAGATATCTTGGGAATGGGACCCAAATCTAAACACAAAATTCATTTATGTTTCATATACACCTTATATACAATAACCTAAAGGTGATTTTATATGATATTTTGAGTAATTTTATGCATGAAACAAAGTTTTGACAGGCTTTTGACCGTGATTCATCACATGAGTTCAGGCATGGAAATTTTCATTTGGAGCATCATGTCAGCACTCAAAAAGTTCTGGATCTTGGAGCAGTTCAGATTTTCAGATTAGGGATGCTCAAATCTATATAGATATAAAATTATCCTCACAGTAACATAGAATCTCTTGGTGCTGTCAGCTGTTGGGAATTGAAGATTGACTTTGTGCTTCCACCCTCCATCCAGAAAGGCACCCTTCATTCCACCAGAACTTTACCCAGGAAGAACACGATCATTTCCTTTTTCACCGATGCCCTCTCTCAGCTTTCTGAGTACGTCTCTTGGGGTCGCTGGAGGTGATCCTAGGATCTGTCTCTGAGACCAATGTGCTGTTTCAGCCCCCTGCAGCTAAGAATTGTATTGACTGTCCTCACAGCGGCTTTTCATAGCTTTCAGCTTCAGCTTTACGAGGCTTCTCCTCTCTCCCTGGCACCCTGCTGGCTGCCTCACTGCTTACAGACAGGTCCCACCAAACCCAAACACCTGCCTAGGGTAAATGGGTCTCTCTTCTATCCCCAGAAACTTTCAGAGGAAGCAGCTCATAGAAACATACAAAAGCACACAAGTATTTTGGGAAAAAATCCTAAAAGGTGACTTAATTTGATGCCTTAAATTCACAAGTGAGGAAGCTAAGGCCTAGAAGGTTAAGGATGTCCCCAGGGTCACACAGTGAGCGGGGCTCAGAGCTTGAGTGTCTTTGTGCTTTGTGTACATTGTGTTCTCCCTAGGGTGCTTTAGACCCTGTTTGTTTTCTTCTGCATGAGGCTGATTTCCAGTTTGTCATCAACCTCTTTATCTTATAATTTAGGATAGAGTTGAACGTTAGTCTTGAAAGATTTTCTAAAGTAGTCTTTCAAACTGTTCCTCAGAGGCCTAGGATTTTCCAAAAGTACCTTAGGAACCTTGTAGGCTGCAGTGGGGGTGTGGCGATAGAGCAGGAGGCAGGGAGACAGGGCTGCAGGGCCTCCCACCTTCCAACAGACAGGCTCTGCTGTATCTGTTGTACATACTGGGATTCTGTAAAGGACATTATCTGGGGTGTTGTATGTATTTTTGTGTGTTCTGCTTTTTTTAAATAAACTTGAAAAGCTACTGAACTAATTTAACCAGTTGATTTTGCAGATAAGGCTTAAGCCTTTTGTGACCCTACCCTCTATGTACGAAAACATTACAACTCGACATCAGATGAGCTCAACAGCCATGAAAGGAAACAGGGAGAGCCCTGGGGCTGGTAGTGAAAGGCGACATCATGGTGGGGCTGGCCCCGCAGTTTAATCCGAGTGTCCAAAGGACCGTGGCAAAGAATGTGCGATTCTTACCATGCACTGGTCCCACCCACGTTGGGGCAGGGGCAGCATAGGCTTCCAGGTAATGCCAGGCAAGCCTCACAGTCAGCAGGGCATCCTCATCACAGCTGCAGTCAGTTGGCCTGCTCTGGAGCAGGACCCAGCCAATCAAGACAATGGTGGCAGATTGATAGCTACATGATGGCTATGTGGGGGTCACACGGGTACATTGCTTATCTGATCCACATAACAGCACAAGGAGGTGGATTGGCAAAATGGGTCAGAGCTCAGAGCTGGAGTCAGGTGGGCAGGGTTTGAATCTCAGCTCTGCCACTTACTGGCTGTGCAGCCTAGATCAGGTTATATAACTTCTCTGTGCCATGGTCCCCCAACTACAAAATGAAGGTGGTGATAATAATACCGTTTGTAGAGGGTTGATGTGTCTGGTGACTTAGTACATATAAAGTGTTAAGCCACGCCTGCACAGAATGAATACAAGTGCTTACTGCCGTCACTGTTACAGGTAGGTCATTAGGATTGTCTATGTTTTCCTGAAGGAAATTCAAAAGGTAAAATGCTTGTCCAAGGTCATACTTCTACAAAGTGCACTTTAGCAGCACCTGAACTCAGGTCAGACAGCACCTAAAGCCTCTTCTGTTAACTACTGGACTGTACAGCCAGAGCTCCAGGGCAGTGTGGTAGGCTGTATCTAAGGAGGTGGACTGTTTTTCCCAATCTATTGTGGACAGATGACATTTTTAGAATATAAAGTCAGGTGCTTGGATTGTGTCAACACTGTCAAATTGCTATGGAAGTCTCTGAATGCTTGCTTTGACCTTCTGAACTCAGCACCAGCCGGCCGTGCTGAGTCTCCATTTCCAGATGGGCCCTCCCAGGCCTAGAGGAGTACTACTCCAAGTCTGGCAGTAGTACTCACACTTGGAGTAGTATTCCTCTAGGCCCTGGGGGGGCCCCACCTGGAAATGGGGAGAGAAGTTCTGCAGAATGGGCTGAATAGATAACATTGAAGTCACATTAGGGAGAGTCCATGGTCAAGGAGTTTGCACTTGGTAGGTGTCCAGGCCCAACCCCTGACAGCAGTGCTGTGCCCCTTGCCAAGGTGAGGGGCTTAGGGAAGGGCAGGGCTGAGCCAGGCCAGTGGGGGGTAGGGTCACTACCCTGTGCTTTCTGGCACAGCTGATAGCACACATGGGAAGTAAAGTAACTCCCCAAAAATAATCAACACATGGGAACACAGAAAACAAGCAGTTCTACCCATTGGTCTTTTTTTTTTTTTTTTTTTTTTTTTTTGGGACTGACCACAACATGCCTAATGTTTTTGAGGAAACCATGCTTCCATCATTCTCCCATTGAGGTTTAACAATTACTTCTCCCTAACTGAAGAAACCCTCATCTCCCCTCTGTTGGCATGAAGCTGCGTGCCCCTGATTTGGAAGGCTGTATTTTTCCACCTAACAGTAACAGCGAATGTTTCCTGAGTTCTTCCTGTGTTTCAGTGCCTGTGTCTAAGTGCTTTACACTTAATCTTCACATCAACCTCCTGAAAAATGTACCATTATTAGCCCTTTTTTTTTTTGAGATACAGTCTTGCTCTGTCACCCAGGCTGGAGTACAGTGGCACAATCTCGGCTCACTGCAACCTCCAGCCCCCAGGTTCAAGTGATTCTCCCAAGTAGCTGGGACTACAGGCACCTGCCACCATGCCCAGCTAATTTTTGTATTTTTAGTAGAGACGGGCTTTAGCCATGTTGGCCAGACTGGTCTTGAACTCCTGGTCTGCCTGCCTAGGCCTCCCAAAGTGCTGGGATTACAAGCATGAGCCACCACGCGCTGCCTTATTACACCTATTTTACAGATGAGGAAACTGAGGTTCAAGGGAGTTAAATAACTTAAAGTCCACGGTAAGCAATGGAACCAAGACTCTGCTGTCTCAAAAGTGCACACCTTCCTGCATTGCACTACACACAAGTTCAGCTTGGTTTTCCTGGATTCTTTAGTGGAAGTTATATAGTTATCCCTAATATAAATTAATACAGTATTACGTGATTTCCAGTGTGAATATGGTACTAACACCACATTATGCCTAGGTCAGATCCTCTTATAAAATCTTTGACAAATTTTCCAAGTTTAGTAGCCCACTTATTTCAAGCAAATCCAGGACAAAAGAATACCATAAACTGTACAATTTCTTACTGTGTTTCTATCAACTAGTAAGTTTGGTGGCCATTGCTTATATAATAGGATTCACACATCCAAAAAATGAGAGATCAAAGGTGGTCTGTGGCCATATGCCCCTGGGAATGTCAGCAATGACATGACCAAGGCCCACCTGGAGGCTGGTGATCAACTCAGCCTGGTCTGTGTCCACTGGTCCTTGAGCATTAACATTGGCCAGCAAGCACTGAGCGCTTTGTGCCAGGAACTCTTCTATGGGTTTTGTGTTTATTTAAATTTTCATAACCTTATCAAAGACATACCACCGTCATCTCCATTTACAGATAGAGAAATAACAGTTATTTTTGAAAAGTCGCATAGCTGGCAAGTGGTGGAGCTGGAATTTGAACCCAGGCATTTTAGCTCCAGGGTCATCCTATACTGCTGTGAGGATCCAGGCAGCAGATGTTCCCAAGGTCCAGCCAAGGGGCAGGCTTTGAGATATGGCTTGGCTGTGTCCCCACCCAAATCTCATCTTGAATTGTAGCTCCCATAATCCTCACATGTTGTGGGAGGGACCTGGTGGAAGATAACTGAATCATGGGGGTGGGTTTTTCCCATGCTCTTCTTGTAATAGTGAATAAGTCTCATGAGAACTAATGGTTTTATAAATGGGAGTTTCCCTGCACGTGCTCTCTTTCCTGCCACCATGTTAAGATGTGCCTTTGTTTCTCCACCATCCGCCATGATTATGAGGCCTCCCCAGCCACATGGAACTGTGAGTCCATTAAACCTCTTTTTCTTTATAAACTACCCAGTCTCGTATTTTTTCATAGTAGTATGAAAATGGACTAATACACTTGGCATACGTGATATGTAACTATATATACAAGACTGGGTACGCTTTCATCCACTGTAACAGCAAATCGTGGTTGACATGACAGAACCAACTAGCAGCACATAAAGTCACCCACTAAATGTCACATCAGTGTGCAGGACTGAGCCATGGAATTATTAAAGCCAGACCTACAAGTGGAGTGGGCTCCTTTCAGGTAAGAGCATAAAGGGCTGAACACTTGCACTGTTAAGTATGATCTATTAAATTTTCTGAAACCTACCGTTTTTGTTGACTCAGTAGATCTAAAGCACAGAGCTGGAGGAATGAGGCCAATGTCAGAAGAGAAGGCAGCATGGGAGATACCAGAGATGGGGAGGGCAAGAGGCAGCCCACACTAGCGGGTGGTGTGCAGAGCATGCAAGTCTTGGTGCAACTCCTGTCCCGTATTTCACAGAGTTCCAATCAAGTCTGTTTTAAAGCAGAATTCAATCGATGTGTATAAATTATATTTTATTCACAGTAGGCCTAGAAGGAGCTCCACAGTCTGACCAACTTTATGGTTCATGTATCTAAGGCACATGTTGCAGTGTCTCCTGTTCCCTTTGTAGGAAGGTTTTCAAAGAGCCCCTTGCTATTTTTTGTTGCTGTTGTTGTTAAAGAGATGGAGTCTTGCTCTGTCACCCAGGCTGGAGTGCTGTGTGGCACGATCATAACTCACTGTGGCCTCAAGCAGTCCTCCTGCCTCAGCCTCCGCAGTAGCTGGGATTATGGGCACAAGCCACCACACCTGGCGTCCATTGCTTTTATCAAGAACTGGAAGGCATCTGGACCAGTCACCTTTTTCATTATACAAAAAGAGAAGCTTAGAAAGGAACGGCAAAGGGGAAATTGCATGCATGGGGCATTTATTACGGGTAACTCAAATCGTAATTTATGATCATAGGTATATACATCTTCACACAATGGGGCAGGTGATACTATCTTAATTTTATTATATAGAGGGAAAAATAAGGTTCAGGGTTACACAGCTGGTTAATGAACAAGATCTGTGCCCCATCTGAGGTGCTAAGTCTATCCTAGCTAAGCCAATGCTATCCCTTTCTGGACCTGAGGACATAGATGATGCTACTGTGTGTGCCCTGGATGGCTGTTTGCTCATAGGTTCTTTAGAAATTAACAGTTAAACTGAATGCTGATTTTGTTCTCATATAATTGACATTACTAAAATTTAAAAGCCTCAAATGTTTGCTACTCAATATTTTATGAATATTTTTATGAAAGAATACATTAGGTTTCTTTTATAGTTACAAGAAACCAGGTTAATTAGATTTGTACAATGAAAGAGACTTTAACAAAAGTCTGGCAACTGTGCTGGAGCCAGGGAATCCCTAATGTAACAGACTGTCTCCAACTTTCAGCTCTGCTTTCCAGAATGTGGGCATCATTCATTCTCAAGCAAGCTCTCCATACTTGGAGGCCAAGATTCCCCCGTGGCACTAGGATCCCATCTTTCTTCCAGCTCCTTATTCCAGAGAAAATACTCAACAACCCCAGGAAAAGTCCCTGGACGCATGGGATTGGCCATCTTGAGTCACAAGTCCTTTCCTGATCCAATTACTCCAGATCCTGGGGCTGCCCCTGATGGGGAGGGAGGGAGGGAGCAGATGGGAAGTTCTCCAAAGGGAGATGGAAAATGCCTGATGTCTCCTCCACAGTGAGAAGCGTCCCTAGGTGACCTATTAATATTGCACCACAGAAACCTATGCCTCTTAAATAATTTGTGCAAACTTGTAGAATATATTGAAAAGCAAAAGGAAACCAAGTAGAGAAATATTTTTTAGTTTCTTGAAAAAGTCACATAAATTAGTGAACCCTTGTGTCCTACAACAGTGATTTTTTAAACTATGGGTCACAACCCTTTAATGAATCCTGAAATCAATTTAAGGGTCATGACCAGCACTTTTGTTTTTTGAACCAGGGTCAGCACCGTTGCCCAGTCTGGAGAGGGCAAAATCAATTTAAGAGTCATGACCAGCACTTTTTTTTTTCTTCCTTGATACAGGGTCAGCACTGTCCCCCAGGCTGGAGTGCAATGGTGCAATCATAACTCACTGCAGCCTTCACCTTCCAAGCTCAAGCAATTCTCCTGCCTCAGCCTCCGGAGTAACTGGGACTATAGGCACGTGCCACCACGCCCAGCTAATTTTTTTTTTTTTTTTTTTTTTTTTTTTTTTTTGTAGTGACAAGGTTTTGCCATATTGCCCAGGCTGGTCTGGAACTCCTGGAGTGAGCCACTGTGCCCGGCCATGACCAGCACTTTTTAATGAAAATATCTGTGTGTAGCACACAGTAGACTTATTTTTGCTTCAATTTACATATCGATGAGTGTGTTCCTTTCCAGGTTCCCTCGTTCATCCACCCTGAATGAAGACAGATACTCACCTGGTAATGGCCTGAGATCTGACTGAAGCCTGAGAGGTGACTCAGCCACAAGACACTCAGGGTTCATTAGAATTGTCTAGTCCCAGGTCTGCTTCCTCCAAGCGGTGAGACCTTGAGGCATTGCAGTAACGCCTCTTGAGTCTTCCTTTTCTCATTTTAAGGACAGGACTAATACCTGTCCTGCCCTGCCTCATGGGGTTGTAATAATGATCAAATGAAGTGGTGCTCTTGACCAGTGGCAAGAACTTCAGAAATGTGAGTTGTAACAATTTGTATTTGTTAGCAGTAAATAAAAGTGCTTGGAACCGGCAGCCTCTGGGGCAATTAAATATAGAAGATAAAACCCATGCCTTTTGGAAACTAGCATTCTTCCACAAATACTGCTTCCAGACTACTAAATGGAAGTTGTTTCTGGAAGATGGATAGATTTAAGAATCTTGGCCACGGAGCTCCTTTTTGCATCCCACAGAAAGGGGCTCTGCTCACAAGGAAGTCTTCCTCCCTAGACTGAGCCTCCCAGAAGCACACCCTGAACAACTCTGCAGAGCTGAGCAGCATACTTCCTGTCCTACAAGTACTGTTTTAGTGATACCTGCTGCCTCCCAGAGAGAAGTGGCAGCATCTCATTGGTGGGGTTGGGGGAATTAGGGAATGCATGTTAATGTGAACCCCAAGAGTGAGTTGATAGCTGGTGAAGAGGGAGAAGGTAGAGGTGAGGGCCTTTAGGTTGGCCGGCTGGGCTTGCCTTGCAGTCAGTAAAGCCCCCTCATGCAGAGCCATTCATCTCCTGTTGGGAACGCTGACCTTTTGGTTCAGATGCCTGATATAAACTCACTGATATGGGAGGGGAGGATCTGAATGGGTAGGAAGGAAACAGGGAAAGTTACTAGGACAGACAGATTCTAAGGCTTCTCTGAAAGGAAGGAAGGAGTTGTGATGTGCTACCGGGGAGGTCCAAGGGAGAAGGGCCTGGGCAGTGTGCACCACTGGTGAGGGTGTGAAAAATGGGCTGGTGACTGGCCACCAAATGGCTTGGGGAGAAGTGGCTGGAGAGAGGGTCACCTGTGTGGTGGGAGGGATCGGACAAGTGTTTTTAGATGTTATGAGAATGTCTAAGTTTGACACAAGACACTCCTAAGTTTGCAAAGAAAGGATATACAGTCACCTTCCTTCAATATCAGAAACAACATGCTGGGGATTAAAAATAAATACTTGGCCAAGAACCTGACCATTTACCAGGTGCATCCATACAGTAAATATCTGAGTGTCTCTTACATGCCTGGCATGTCCCACTTCACCCACAGGAAGAAGTCCATTTTATAAATGAAGAAACTGGGGCTCAAAGAAGTATGTGAACCTAAGGTTTCAGTCTTCTTAAATCCTGCTTCTTGATCTCCTCTAATACCATAGCACACTCAAGAAATGAGCATCTTTAATTGTGCTTGGATTGGCAGAATCTGCCTTTAGCTGGAGGAGCAGACGTAATGGCTTTAATGAGCTACTTAACTACTTTCTAGAGACAACCAAGAGACACTTGAAGAGCCCAGTCTGAGACCTGGTTCCACCTTTCCATCCCTTCTGTGTCCCTGCCTCCAGCCCCCACCCCCAGGACACATCTGGCAGTGAAGGGACTCCAATTCCTGTTCTAGGGAGTGGCCCCCACTTGTGCTCAAAGTATAATTAAGTGGCTTAAAAGTAAGTGCAAGGGTCCGGAGAAGGACTTGACTGCATGAGGGAACTTTTAGAGGTTATAGAAATGTTTCTACCATAATTGTGGCATTGGTAACATTTAACAAAACTCCTTGAATTATATACCAAATTGGTAATTTTTATTGTATGTAAATTATAGTTCAATAAAGCTGATTTTTAAAATACTCAATGTAAATCCTGATATGTGCATTCATTGTATGTAAATTCTACATCAGAAAGGAAAAAACTAAACAGTTGTTGAATTCCAGTTAATGATATACATGCTGAAGTATTTAGGGGCAAGCATATAGATATCTGCAGTTTACTCTGAAATGCATAAAATGTAAGATATATTAATGGACAAGTAGATACATGATCAGGCAAGTAAATAAAAATGTAATTGTCCAATCTAAGTGGTCAATTTACAAGCTGCCATTGTAAAATTATTCTTTGATGTGTTTGAAAATGTCATTATACAATGTTGGGGGAAACCAGGTGACTTCAGGTTTTTGGCAGAGCCAAAGAGTTCCTATTGGACCAATTCTTTAGCAAATAAAAACTGTAAGCTCTGGAAAAAAACCTTCTTTAAAAACCAACTTCTTAAAGATACTGAAATAGACCAAAAGCAGGCAGATACCGGAGAGGAGTCAGTGGAGGAAGGGCACGGGACTGTGTGAGTTACCTGTTTTTTTACCACCGTTAGCCTGAGGCCAGGTGTCCGTGCACTGTGCAGGACAGGTAAGCCTCCAGTGTACAATCTACAGTCTCGCTGGCTTGAGGAACCAGAGTAGAGAGTTCAGAGCATCACAGCCTCTCGAGAGTAAAGGGGGAAATAACAGAAAAGCAAGCCAGAGAGGGGATTCCTAAATTCTGTATATAAACTGCTCAAATCTCTAGCTGACCACTGAACTATGCATGCAGAACTAAGGCTGAAAGAACTGAACTAAAAGTTGAACTACTTCCCACTGCAGGGGAAACAGTTTTGTCACTGAGTTCAACCAAGTTAACTGCATGTTTTAAAATAATTATTTTTCAGAGGAATATAAGAGAATCCTGAGTTTCTACAACACAATGTAAATTATACACTAAATACAATGTCTAGGATACAATCCAAAATTACTCACTATCTGAATAAACAAAAAAGTATGCCTCATTCTCACGAGAAGAGACAAAGGAGATCAACCCCAAGAAGTTCTAGTCAAAGCTATTAAAGCAGCTATTAAAACTGTGCAAGAATGTGAAAAAAGTTCCCATGGTAATGGCCGAAAAACTCCCAAATTTGGTGACAGACATAAAGTTACAGATTCAAGAAGTTCAGTGAATAATAAGCAGGATTAATACAAAGAAAACCCCATCTAGGTGCATCATAGTCTACTGAAGACCAAACTTAAAGAGAAAATATTGAAATCAGCTACAGGAAACTAGGGAGTAATGATTTAAATGACTGCTGACCTCTCTTTAGAAACATTGGAGGCCAGAAGACAGTGCAACATCATCTTTAACACGCTGAAAGGAAAAAAAAGTCACCCCAGAGATCTGTATCCAGCAAAAATATATTTCAAGAATGAATACAAAAAAAAACTAATATTTTCAGATAAAAGGAAACTAAGAGAATTTGCAGATCTAAATTACAAGAAATGCTAGAGGAAGTTCTTCAGGCTAACGGGAGATTTTACCAGAGGGAAACTCAAATCTTTAAGAAGGAATAAAAGCCACTGAAAATAGTAAACATCCGAGTAAATACAAAGGATGTCTTCTTTCTCCTCTTTAAACTGTGCATTACTGTTTAAAGTAAACAATAGGCAGGTGCGGTGGCTCACACCTGTTATCCCAGCACTTGGGGAGGCCAAGGCGGGTGTATCACGAGAACAAGAGATCAAGACCATTCTGGCCAATATGGTGAAACCTCATCTCTACTAAAAATAAAAAAATTAGCTGGGCATGGTGGCACATGCCTGTAGTCCCAGCTACTCAGGAGGCTGAGGCAGGGGAATAGCTTGAACCCAGGAGGTGGAGGTTGCAGTGAGCCGAGATTGTGCCACTGCACTCCAGCCTGGCGACAGAGCAAGACTCCATCTCAAAAAAGGCAAAAACAAAAACAAAAACAATTGGTGGGATTTTAGCATATGTAAATAATTTGAATGACAATCATGGCATAATAGATGCAGGGAAGGGAATAGGAAAGGATCCTATACAGTAAGCTATCTATATTTTATGCAAAGTGATACCATGTTAGTTAGCTCTTAACTGTGAAACGTTCATCCCTGGAACAACCACTTAATAATGTAGAGATAGAGCTAAAAAGCCAATAGATAAAAATGTCTGCTCTGAGAAAGACACCATTAAGAGAATAAAAAGACCAGCCACAGACTGGGAGAAAATATTTGCAAAACAGTTATCTGATAAAGCCCTGTTAACCAAAATATACAAAGAATTTTTACAATTCAACAATAAGAAAACAATGAGATTAAAAGATGGGCCAAACGAGGAGTTTGAGACCAGTCTGGGCAACAAGGAAAAAAAAAAAAAAAAAACTTAGCTGGGCATGGTGGTGCATGCCTGTAGTCCCAGCTACCTGAGAGGCTGAGGCAGAAGGATCACTTGAGCCTAGGAGTTCAAGGCTATAGTGAGCTATGATTGTGCCACTAAATTCCAGCCTGGGCAACCGAGCAAGGCTCTGTCCCTTAAAAAGAAATAGGCTAAAGACACCTCACCAAAATATACATGTGGCAAATACACATAGGAAAAGATGCTCCACACATCATATGTCATCAGAGAAGTATAAATTAAGACAATGAGATACCACTACACATTTATTAGAATGGCCAAAATCCAGAACACTGACATCACCAAATGCTGGCAAGGATATCGAGCAACAGCAACTGTCATTTATTGCTCATGGGAACACAAAATGGTACAGCCACTTTGGAAGACAATTTGGCAGCTTCTTATAAAACTAAATATAGTTGCCATATGATCTAGCAGTTGCACTTCTTAATATTTACCCAAAGGAGTTGAAAACTTATGTCCACACAAAAACCTGCACACAGATGTTTATAGCAATTTTATCCATAACTGCCAAAACCTGAAAGCAACCAAGATGTTCTTCAATAGGTGAATGGATAAATAAGCAGTGGTACATCCAGATAATTGAATATTATCCAGCGCTCTTAAGAAAATGAGCTATCAAGTCATGAAAAGGCACAGAGGAAACGTAGATCCACATTGCTAAGTGAGAGGAGCCAATATGAAAAGACTACATACTGTATGATTATACCTATGTGACATTCTGGAAAAGGCAGAACTTTGGAGACAGTTGAAAGACCAGAGGCTGCAGGAGTGGGGGTGGTAGGATGAACAGGCAGAGCCTAGAGGATTTTTAGGGCAGTGAAGCTACTCTGTGTGATACTATAATGGTGGATACATGTCATTATACATTTGTCCAAACCCATAGAATGTACAGTACCAAAAGTGCACCCTAATATAAACTATGGACTTTGATAATGTGTTAATGTAGATTCGTCAGTTATAACAAATGTACCGCTCTGTTGGGGGAGGCTACGTGTGTGGGGGAGCAGGGGTATTTGGGAAATGTGTACCTTCCTCTCAATTTTGCTGTGAACTTAAAACTGCTCTGAAAAATACTCTATTAACTAAAAAGACCCAGTTAATCCAAAAGAAGTCAGGAAAGGTGGAACAGAGAAGCCAAAAATAGTGGGGACAAACAAGACAAATAGTAAGATGGCAGACTTAAGTCCAGTCGTATAAACAACTACATTAAATGTAAATGGTCTCTATCTGCACTAAGACGGCAGCCACAGGCCACGTGCGATACTTGTTAATTGACATTAAATAAAATTTAAAAGTCAGTCTCTTCATTGCAGTAGCCACATTTTAAGTGCTCAGTAGTGACTCCCATATTTCACTAGTATATTGAAGAGCACAGATATAAAATATTTCCATTATCACGTAAATTCTATTGACCAGCATTGGTCTGATCAATCATGGAGATTATCAGAACTGATACAAATTCCCCCCAAAAAGACCCAACTGCATGCTGTTCACAGCAAGTCCACTTAAAATACATAAACTACACAGATAAGTTAAAAGTAAATGGATGGGAAAAGATACCATGCAAATGTCAAGCAAAAGAATGTGGTGACTGGATTAATATCAGATAAAGTAAACTTCAAGGCAAAGGGTATTACCAGAGATAAAGAGGGACATTTCATATTAATAAAAGGGTCACTACACCAATAAGATACAATAATTATAAATGCATATGTTTAATAACAGCTTAAAAGTACATGAAACAAAAAGTGACATAAAGGTAGAAATAGATGATTACACAGTTACAGCTGGTGATTTTAAATATTCCTCTCACCAATCAATAGAATAACTAGATCAAATGTCAGTAAAGATAGATCATAAAAATACCATCAATTACTTTTAACTGACATTTATAGAACACTACAGCCAACAACTGCAGAATACACTTTCTTTTCAAATGCACATAGTACATTCACTAAAATAGACCATCTGGTTGGACCATTAAATAAGTCTCAACAAATTTAGGAAGATTGAAAACATACTGAATATGGTTCTCTGAACGCACTGGAAATAAGTTAGAAATAAATAATGTGTCTTTTTTAAACTCCAGATATTTGGAAATTAAGCAACACGCTTCTAAATCATGTGCCCCCAAAAAAATCAGAAAATAATATGAATAAAATATGAAAATACAACATACCAAAATTTTTAGGATGCAGCTAGCACCAGGCTAACAGGGAAAGGTATAGTTTAAAAATACTAATGAGAGCCAAGTGAGAGGGGGTCGCTGGAGAAGCTCCAACCAGCCTGCCTACTGAGGTGGAGCTGGAGCCTGGGGAAGTTCACGACCCTTGCAGCAGGGAGGAGCCCGGCCCCTCCTCTTCTAGTGTGGAACCTGGGATTCAAGCTGCCGGCTGGAAGCGCTCTAGCAGGGACTCTGGCCTAGTAAGAGTCCCTGCTTCTCCCTTTTCTTCCCTTTCACCCAATAAAGCCCTGCGTTACTCACCCTACAAACCCTCTGCTAACCTAAATTTTCATGGCCGTAGGACGGACAAGGACCCCATCTTTAGCTGAACTAAGGAAAAGTCCAGCAACACTAACATTAGCAAAGAAGAAAGGTCTAAAATCGGTGATCTAAACATCCACCATAAGAAGCTAGAAAAAGAAGAGTAAACTCAGAAGTAGAGGAATAAAAAGAATAGAGTGGAAACCCCAAGTGCAACATATCCCAGAAATGCAAGATTGGCTTAACATTAGAAAGGCAATCAGTGAAATACAACATATTAGCAGAATAAAGGAGAAAACTATATGATCATCACCATAGATGCAGATATGGCATTTAACAAAATTCAGTACTCATTCATGCTTCATTAAAAACAAAAAACTCGGCCAGGCGCGGTGGCTCACGCCTGTAATCCCAGCACTTTGGGACGCCGAGGCGGGTGGACCACGAGGTCAGGAGATCGAGACCATCCTGGCTGACACGGTGAAACCCCGTCTCTACTAAAAAACAAAAAATTAGCTGGGCATGGTGGCGGGCGCCTGTAGTCCCAGCTACTTGGGAGGCTGAGGCAGGAGAATGGCGTGAACCCGGGAGGCGGAGCTTGCGGTGAGCCGAGATCGCGCCACTGCACTCCGGCCTGGGCGACAGAGCGAGACTCCGTCTCAAAAAAAAAAAAAAAAAAAAAAAACAAAAAACCAAAAACACCAGAAAACTAGAAACAACAATAAAAGGAAACTTCCTTAATCCGATAGTTTCTATGAAAACCCCACAGCTAACATTATATAAATGATGATAAAAGGAAAGTTTTCTCCTAAGATCATAAGACAAGGATATCTGCTTCCACTTCTATTGAATAATGTACTGAGGCTCTAGCCGTTGCAGACAAGAGGGGGAAAAGATGATAAAGATCAGGAAGAAAAAAGCAAAACTTGTAGATGACATGATTATTTACAAAGAAACTCCTAAAGGAATCAACAAAACATGTACAACTGATGACTAAAGTAGCAAGGTTGAAGAATTCAAGTATTTTTGCAACAATCGTGTATTTTTATGGACTACAGCAAACAATTGAAAAGTAAAATTTTGAAATTCCATTTACAATAACATCAAAAGAATATAAAATACTTTAGAATGAATTTACAAGAGATGTGCAAAATCTCCATATGAAAACTTGGTTAAGAAACCCTAAATAAATAGAGGAATATACCTCTTTCATGAATTGTCAAGATGTTCTTCCCAAAATAGATCCAACACAATCCCAGAAATCAAGATCCCACAGCTTTTTGGAGGAAATTAAGCTGATTCTATGATTTTTTAGTGGAAGTGTAAAAGTTTTATAACATCCAAAGAATCTTGAAAAAGAAGAACAAAGTTAGAGGACTCAATTATAGTCCCACTAAAGACCTACTATAGAGCTATAAGTATGTAAATCCTGTGGTATTAGCATAAGGGTGGGCAAATAATGAACAAATTAAATTCCTGAAACTCAGGCATATTTATCTTTTCAACAAATAGCATTGGAATAACTGGAAATCCACCTGGACAAAATGACCTTTGACTCTTACCTCATACCATAAGGAAACAAACTTAAATGGATCGTAGACCCAAATATAAAAGTGTGGGGAGACAGAAAACCTATGCAACCTTGAAGGAGGTAATGATTTCTCAAAGGGCACCAAACATACAGAAAACATATTTAAGAAAATAAATAGGCAAATCAGAGTTAGAAAATATTTGCAAGATATGTATCTGAGAAAGTACTCGTATCCTGCATATATAAAGGATCTCTATAATTCAGTAACAGAGAAACTAATTTTTTAAGTGGGCAAAATATTTCAACAGAAAATTCACAAGAGAAGGTACACAAGTGGCCAGCAAGCGCATTAGACATCAGGGAAATGCAAATTAAAACCACAGTGAGATATCGCTACATCCACCAGTATTTTTAGACATCAGGGAAATGCAAATTAAAACCACAGTGAGATATTGCTACATCCACCAGTAGTTTTAAAATTAAAATGACTGATACTGCCAAATGTTGACAAAGATACGGAGCATCCAGAACTAGTGTACACTGTCAGTACAGCTGCTTTGGGAAAATGTCGGGCAGTTTCTCATAAAGCAAAATACATACCTACCCTATGACCCAGCAATTCCGCTCCTAGGTCTTTACGTAAGAGATATGAAAACATATGTCTACATAGTTGTACAAGAATGTTCCTAACAGTTTTATTTATGATGACCAAAATTTTCTAACAGTTCTCCTTTCTATCAATAGGAGGAGAATGAATAAACAAACTATGGTATACCCAAACAATGAAAAACTAGCAATAAAGAGGAAGGAATTACTAAGACATATAACATGGGTAAATCTCAAAAACATAATGTTTTCCACCAAAGAGTACATACCGGCATGATTCCATTTATATGGAGATTTAGAACAAAAAAACAGTTCTATAAAAGCGAAAGTAATCGATGGTAGAAAAATTCTGAACAGTGGTTTTCTCTGGAGGAATGTGGGTAGGGAGTTACAGGGAAGGGACTTAGGGGGACCCTGTTGGTGATGTTTGGCTGGTAGGTTGGATAGGTGATTTGCAGAGGTGTACCCATTTGTCAGAACTCACCTAATGATACACTTAAGATTTGTGCATTTCATTGTATGTAAATTTTATCCGAAAAGGAAAAAAATTCTGCAAGTAAATATTGAACCCTACGTAGTGATATGCAGGCAGAAGTACTGGGGATGAGGGCGGAAGTGTACCAAGCTCTGCAACTTACTCTGAAATGCATCCAAACAAGATGGGTTGATGGATGGACAGAGGGACGGGTAGATATCTAATAAATCAAGTATAGTAACATGTTAATTGTAGAATCTAGGTGGTGGGTATACGGGTGTTCACTGTAAAATTCAACTTTTTAGAATGTTTGAAATTTTTCATAATAAAATGGATTTAAAAGGTAATTGCAGTACTCACCCTGGGTGTATACACATGCACCCATTCTCGCGATGCCCCTAAAGCTCTTGCCCCTCAGAAGGCTAGATGAAAGAGGGGCATTGGGGAGTGAGTAACAGAGCCGAGAGGACTGCTAACAGCACCAGGGTTTCTGATGAAAATGCACTCGCCAGAGCTGTGTTTCTTTATTCGAAATCACACGGTTTTACTCAACAGGGCTCCTAGCCCTTCTGTCTCTGCTCCTGGTGCGTAAGGGCGGTGTGTGGGGCTCTGCGCCTGAAACCGCTCTCTCGGAAGGTGGGAAGATGCCCACGTATCCATTCCTCTCCGCGTACAGATTCGCTCCCACACGCCCGGGCGGGTGATTCCGGAGGGCCGCGCGGGGCTGTGTGCGCGGGCGGGGGCGGGATGTGTCTGGAGGGGGCAGAGCGCCCTCTCCCGGCCCCGGAGGGCCCACGCGGACCGGCTGAGCGTCCCACCAGCCGGTTCTGCATCCACTACCCAGATCTGCGCGCCCTGGTGGGAGCACCGCAGCCCCGGGTCGGCCCTTCGAACGCCGAGCGTCTACCCGCGGAGACCAGCGCAGGAGGCGGGCCCGCGCGCAAGGAGGCGGGCGACAGGGTGGAGTCGCCGCAGCTGGCAGCCGCACGGCTCTACCTGTTGCAGCGTCGGAGCGCGCCCGCCTGAGAAGGCAGAGCGCGGTGCGGACCTGTGCTCCGCGCGCCGGCTGGCAGGGCAGGGCCGCGGCTGCCAGGAGGCCCGGGAACAGTCCCGACGGAGCGGCGCGGAGAGGGCGCTCCCCGGAAGGTGAGATCTGAGCGCGGCAGCGGCGCCAGCGCCCGCTACAAGGCGGGGTCTCGGGGAGGGGGCCCCGGCGGTTTGCTGGAGAGCCTTGCTACTGTTCTGCATGAGGTGGGGGATGCCTTCTGCGCGGACCCCGCGTCCAGGCAAAACTCTGGAACGCACTAGGCAGCCAAGCCCGGGGGGAAGAGATGGAACGCTCCAAGGTCAAGGTCTCCTGGCCGCGGAGCCCTTCCAGCCCCCAGTGTTTGGCCTCCTCTCCGGAAGCGGGGCTGGCTCGCGGTGCGCGCTTGGTCCGGGCGGAGCCTACTAGTAGGCGCAGAGGACGCCCCCGCGCAGGATCCAGAGACCAAGGGCGCTCTGGCATGGTCAAGGCGAGGGAGGCTGCCCGGGGGAGAAGCCCCTAACTTCCTTTGCTCCCTGTTCCAACCTCCCTTTCTGGTCTCCTCTCTCCAGCCCGTCCGCCCAACGGATGCGCAGCGTTGGGGCCCGGCCGGAGGTCGGAGCCCTCGGACGCCGCAGCCCTCGGACGCCGCTCAGCACAGCCCCTCTCTCCGTGCGCCCGCCCTGGACCCCCTCCATCCCTAAGCCCCGGCAGCCGATTCGGAGACTCGGGAGGCCACAGGCTCAGCGCGACACCACGACCACAACTAGGAGGCACCATCGTCGATCTACCTGGGGAGGCACCTACAAAGCCAGCAGACTGACACCCGTGTCCTAGCCGTCGGCGGCCTGCGAAGCGATAGTCAAAGGAACCAGGACCCAGGACCCCGGCGCTCTGCTTACCCGCAGACCTCCGGACCGCGCCCCCCCCCCGCCGCCCCGCCCCGCCCCGCCCCGCCCCGCGACCGTCTCTTTGCGGGAAACTCGAGTTGGCTCGAGCTTGCCCTGAAGACGCGCCACGCCCCCTCCCCTATCTGAGCCGGACAGGGAGCCGGGGTGGAAACTGCGCCCGCATCCCAGCGCCAAGCAGACGTGAACTCTGCGCCCGTTCCCCGGGACCTTCAGCGTTAAGGAGAACTCCGAGGAGAGCAGGGGGAGTGGAGGGGAACGGCGGCGACAAAGCGGATTTGAAACTAGGAGTCAAGGAGGACGTGGGGAGCTGGCGCCACAGGAGCTACCGAGGCGGCGGCCGGGGGAGCCTCGCGGCCTGCGGGAGAGCCCGGCGGTCATGGGCGAGCCGGCGGTGGGGCGCCCGGGAGCTGGCTGAGCGCCGGGGCCCTTATTTCCCGGGGGTGTGGGCGAGACTCCGCCGACGCCCGGTGCCGTGGGCCTGGGGGCTGCCCCCGGGGGCCCGGCCATGGCTGGCCGGGGTTTCAGCTGGGGCCCGGGCCACCTGAACGAGGACAACGCGCGCTTTCTGCTGCTGGCCGCGCTCATCGTGCTCTACCTGCTGGGCGGCGCCGCCGTCTTCTCCGCGCTGGAGCTGGCGCACGAGCGCCAGGCCAAGCAGCGCTGGGAGGAGCGCCTGGCCAACTTCAGCCGCGGCCACAACCTGAGCCGCGACGAGCTGCGCGGCTTCCTCCGCCACTACGAGGAGGCCACTCGGGCCGGCATCCGCGTGGACAACGTCCGCCCGCGCTGGGACTTCACCGGCGCCTTCTACTTCGTGGGCACCGTCGTTTCCACCATAGGTAAGTGTGCTGGCCGGACTCGCTGACAACCTCCGGGCGGCCTCCACTTCCTCCGGGGGGCAGGACCGACCCTCTCATCCTTTCATTCATCCATCTGGGCGCCCAGCCAGACTCCACTGACATGAGCTGTCGCCTGATCAACAGGTGGTATTGCCTCCCCGCTGCTCTAATGTGGTCCAGGCACCGGCAGCTTCAGCGTCACCTGGCAGCTTGTTAGAAATGCAGTCTCAGTCCCCTCTGCAGACCTGCCGAGTCAGAATCTGCATGTTAACAAAGTCCCCAAAGGATTGGAATGATCCTTAAATTGGAGACGCTCTGCTCTGGGAGATTTTCAGTCTAATGAAGGAGACACGGCTTGAGTTCATGGGGAAGAAGGCTTTTACAGATAGGGACAGGAAACTAAACATTTACTGAGTCAGTCAGAGGGGAAGTGCAGATTTTAAAAGATTCTGCCCTCGACTTCACACTTACCGAGAAAAAATCAGAACAGCAGACTGAAAGTGAGGAAGCAAAAGTGCCAATGACGGTTCAAAAGATGGAAAATTTTCCACCAGGAAGAACCAGGGAAGTGACCTTTGGGCTGAATCAATTCGTGTTAGGCATAACTTGGGTTTGGGAACTGAAAGCGCGGTTGCACTCTAGAGTAGGAGAGAATCGCACTCAGGGGCCCCATGAGCTGGTTGGAGTGGTGGAAGGAAGACTAGGAAGGTCTGCTGGCTAATGGGATGGAGGCGGGGGTAGGACCTTCACTGACAGACTGAGGAGCTGGAATTTACCTAGAGGCACCTGGGAGCCATTGAGAATTTTTTAGCAAAGATGTAGCACAGCTACAATCAGCTGTGTTTATTTCCCAGCAGAAGGAAAATGATTTGGGGGAGTCTGCGCCACACCCCTAAAGATTGTTCATCCTTGAAGAATAATCAAGTGATTAATGGGGGTTAGGGAAGATGCTGTAGAAATAAATTCTGAGGGGGGCAAAAAGAGACCTGGAGCAGGGGAGGGAGGTTGGAAGAGTTAGACGGAGAGGAAGTGGCCTCCAAGCTGCAAAAAAGGCTGGCAGTTGCAAACAGCCCAGGGTGCATGTGCTGAGCGCTCTGTAGCTACTGCCCCTGTGCACTCTAGAAGAGCTCGCTGGTGAGGTGGGGCGACAAGTTGAGCCTCCTTGAGGCTCCCACACATGGCTGTGCTACATAGACATTCTGCCAGGAGAAGCAGCACAAAAGACAAAAGAGATTGGCTTCAGGTCAGATTCATCATGAAAGACTTCCCAGGGCTAGTCCAGGAATCCAGGGCTTCAGCTGATGCACAGGAGGCGAGGCAGAGGACCAGTATGATTAGGGACACACCGGCTGTATCTGAAGTGCCTGGCTCCCAGCCCCCATCCCATCCCAGATGGTGCGGCCCATCAGCAGGCCATGATGGCACCACCATAACTGGGTATCAGGCAGGAAACCTTGCAGCAGACCAGAATGGGCCCAAGATTGGTGAAGGAGGAATAACACCCCCATGGTTCTCCCCCTGAGCCCACACTATCTGCTGGACTCTTAGCCGTGTTCCACAAGCCCCTCCTCACATCACCTCCCACGTCCCAGAAGACAGTTCCAGAATCTCCACATAGGCAAGACTTGGGATGAACAAACTGATTAGGAGGTGTCACTTTGGAAGTGACCTTGACTCTACTGTGTTTGCATAGCAAGTACAGGATTTTTTTAGATTGAATGGTAACTTAGGGTGGTTTTGATGGGAGATTTGATGGCTGAATCTTTCCCACCACCATGAAAAACCATCTCTTGGTGCTCCCAGTGGGCACAGAGGCAGGAAGGAGCAGAGTGTGTGTGTGGACAGGTGCATCCATGTAGCAGGAACTGAGAGTGGCATGGGTAGGTGGCCATATAGGAACATGGGCTTTGGGGATACGAATATGACAATGTGGCATGGAGGAGTGGAAAGAAACCTGGACAAAGAGTCTGGAGTGGGAGCTTTTCATCCTGCCTCTGTATCTTGGGCAAGCCTCTTAACTATTCCGAGCCCCATCCTTTTCTCATCTGAGGCATCTACAGAGTGCCCACCTTGGTATCTGGCACATCAGCTATTTGGTGAATATTAGTCCTGCCCCCTGCTCCCTCCGTCTGCGTAAGCCTGCCCCTGTCACAGGGTTCTTGTGAGGGACAATGAGCTCTTGTAAGTGCGTGCGTGTTAAAAGGTAAAAAACATGATGTCAGTGTGGGCTGATTTTTATTTCTCATTTGTAACATTTCCTTTTAAATTGTTTCACTAATTGTTGTAATAACAGCACTGGCTAACCTTTATCAGGCCCGTATTAGGCACATACTGTATGATTATTATGTGAATGTGCAATGCAGCTCATTGCTGTGTGACATTCACACTTCATTTCAGCCAACACAACTCCATGAGGTAGGCATAACACTCCCCCGTTATAGATGAAAAAGCTGAAGGTTCAGGTTTTTTGTAAAATAAAGTATAAAGAAGAAAAAAATCAAGTTATATGCAGTAATATCATCCAAATTAACCACTGTTCATGTTTTGGTCCATTTTCTTCTGGTCTCCTTTTTCCTCTGCGTATACTTATATACATATGCATTTTTAAAAATTAGAATTATATTCTATAAACCACTCATATCTTGCATTTTTATTGTAACATTACATGATGGTGTTTTTCCTCTAAAAATTAATTCCACCATGCTTTATTCTGCAAAGACTTTGAGGTAGCAGACAAAGTATACAGGAAAATAATCATAAAATACAAATAAAACTTCAGAACCAGGGAAAAGAAGAACAGAAATACGGGATGCAAGTGGAGCTACGAAGTTGCTAGAGAGGAACTTTGTCTTAGTTTGGGTTCCCTTAGAAGCAGAGCTTGAGCCAAGAATTTGAGTGTAAGCAGTTTGTTGGGAGGAGCAAGGGATACAGGTCGGTGCAAGGGAAAGTGAATCGAGGAAGGAAAGTAAGTTAATCCAGGATACGCTATTAAGGCAGGTGCCACAGTGGGCAACTGGTACCTAATCCCAAATGGAAGCTTGGAAGCAAAGCAAAGCTCTTGACCCAGATATCCCATGCAAGAAAGCTGGGATGTTTACACAACCACACCTGTCAGGAATTGGTTAAAAAGCTGTCTGGGGAGGATGAGAAAGGAGCACGGGGATGTAATTTCCAGGTACTTCTGGCCTTATTTTCTTTCATGGACAGCCCAAGGGTAGCCCTCACGCAGAGATAGGCTCTGCTGTTGGAAATGAGGCCAGTGTGCCAGGAAATGATAACACGATCCCAAGGAATGGTGGGGAATCCCATGGAAGGCAGAGAACCAGCAAGCTTCAGATTTGGTTTCAGGCTTCATGGCAGACAGAGTCATGACCCATACTAGAATTCTTAATATCAGAAACGAGGAAACATAAACCTTTCCAGTACCTAATTCTCCTTTTTTGAGACAGAGTCTTGCCCTGTCACCTAGGCTTGAGTGCAGTGGCACAATCTTGGCTCACTGCAACCCCTGCCTCCCGGGTTCAAGCAGTTCTCCTGCCTCAGCTTCCCAAGTAGCTGGGATTACAGGTGTGCACCACCAGGCCCAGCTAATTTTTGTATTTTTTTTTTTTTTTTTAGTGGAGATGGGGTTTTGACATGTTGGCCAGGCTGGTCTGAAACTCTTGACCTCAAGTGATCCTCCTGTCTCAGCCTCCCAAAGTGCTGGGATTACAGGTGTGACCCACTTTTTATTTTTTTATTTTTTGAGGGAGTCTCAATTTGCCACCCAGGATGGAGTGCAGTGGCATGAGCTTGGTTCACTGCAACGTCCGTGCCTCCCAGGTGCAAGCAATTCTCCTGCCTTGGCCTCCCAAGTAGCTGGGATTACAGGTGCAAGCCACCACACCCAGCTAATTTTTGTATTTTTAGTAGAGAGAGGGCTACACCATGTTGATCAGGCTGGTCTTGAAATCCTGGTCTCAAGTGATCCGCCCACCTCAGCCTCCCAAAGTGCTGAGATTACAGGTGTGAGCCACTGCACCTGGCCCCAGTACCTAATTCTCAAAAGTATTTTCTCTTTGGGATTATATGTAGGAGACATTGTGTAGGACAACAGATGATATTCACAAACAATATTTTCCTGGAAAATGCTATTGAGGATTTCATGTAGCTGTGATCTAATTGAGACTTTTGACTTAAAAGTCAGAGCTTAGAGTGAAAAACAGTTTGCCAGTTTCTCTACAGGTTAAACATAGAACTACTTTATGACCCAGCAATTCCATTTCTAGGTATATATCCAAAAAAAAATCAAAAGTAGGGATTCAAACAGATATTTGTACGCCAGTGTTCATAGCAGCATTATTCACAATATCCAAACAACCCAAGTGCCCATCAACGGATGAATGAATTAACCAAATGTGGGCTACATACAATGGAATATGATTCAGCCAAAAAAAAAGGAATGAAATTGGCCAAGCACGGTGGCTCATGCCTGTAATCCCAACACTTTGGGAGGCCAAGGCAGGTGGATCACGAGGTCAGGAGTTCGAGACCAGCCTGGCCAATATGGTGAAACCCTGTCTCTACTAAAAATAAACAAATTAGCTGGGTGTGGTGGCCTGTGCCTGTAGTCCCAGCTACTTGGGAGGCTGAGGCAGGAGAATTGCTGGAACCTGGGAGGCAGAGGTTGCAGTGAGCTGAGATCGCGCCAATGCACTCCAGCCTGGGTGACAGAGTGAGACCATCTCAAGAAAAAAACGAAAAGGAATGAAATTTTGATATATGCTGTAACATAGATGGACCTTGAAAATAATTATGCTTAGTAAAATAAGCCAGACACAGAAGGACAAATATCATATGATTCCATTTATATGAGGTACTTAGAATAGGCAAATTCATAGAGATAAATTAAAATACAGGTTACCAGGGGCTGAGGGACGGCCAGAAGTGGGAGTTATTGTTTAATGGGTACTTTCAGTTTGGGATACTGAAAACATTTTGGGTATAGATAGTGGTGATGGTTGTACAACATTGCAATTATATTTAATGCTATTGAATTGTACACTTTTAAATGGTTAAAATGATAAATATGTTAAGTATATTTGACTGCAGTAAAGAAAACCTCAGGGCAGAGTATTAAAACACAATTCAGAAATGTTGATTCTGAAAAAGGCTGGAGATCAGACGTGAAACAGGGATAAACTTAAAGTACTCAGAAAAGTAGAATGACAGTATGTCTTGTAAATGATCTTCTGTGAATATCTTTTCTCTGAAACTAGCTTTTGTTAGGAGCTTGTCCCCGTGTTTGCTGGTATATCTGTAGGTAGCTTCTGTCCCCAAAGGGTTTGAGGTACTCTGCATTTGACAGAGTCGGGGAAGGCTTAGGTTTTGCTGCAGTAACAAGCTACTCCCAAAATCTCAGTAGCTTAATGTAATAAAAGTGTACTTCTTACCCACACCAAGTTCACTGTGGGTGCTGGTGATGCTGCCGGGCGGTTGTCTCTGTGTTGCCCCAGCGCTTCAGGCCTCTTCTGTCTCTTGGCTCCTCTTCCTCAGCACATGCTTCCAGGATTGCTCTAGAAGGGGAAGAAAGGGCTGAAGAGTCAAGCACCAATGATTAAATGGCCACCACCACCTGCAAGTAGCACAGGTCCCCTCCACTCCCACATCCTTGGCCAAATCAAGTCACAGAACCACCACTCCCTACTTCAAAGGGTCAGGGAAACGTTATCCCATCCCCTTTGTGGCAAGTTGCAGAAGAAATGTTTCTTCCAGGCTAAAAAAGCACGTGTTGGGCCCAGCGGGGTGGCTCATGCCTGTAATCTCAGCACTTTGGGAGGGGGAGGTGGGTGGATTGCTTGAGGCCAGGAGTTCGAAACCAGCCTGGCCAACATGGCGAAACCCCATCTCTACAAAAAAAATAGAAAAAATTAGCCAGGTGTGGTGGTGCAGGCCTGTAGTCCCAGCTACTTGGCGGGCTGAGGTAGGAGGATCACTTGAGCCCAGGAGATTGAGGTTGAGGCTGCAGTGAACCATGATCATGCCACTGCCCTCCAGCCTGGGCAATAGGGCAAGACCCTGTCTCAAGCAAAAAAAAGAAAAGAAATGCAGACTCTCAGGTCAACCCCAGACCAACAGAATCAAAGTCTGTGCTTTAATAAGACACCCAGGTGAGTCCTGGGCACATTCAAGTTTGAGAAATCTGGAGTCTAGAGGGCCGTTCATGTTGTGATGTTTCTGACTAGGACAAGCCCTCCCATGCTTTAGAACATAGACAAACTGGTGGCCAGGCAGGTGTGGTGAGGAGGTGAGCTCACCTGCTGTCTTATGACCTCCTCGCCAACTGGAAGTCAAGTGCGCTGAGGGCAGGTTCATTACACACCATCCAGATGCAGGGATGTGCCGGGCTCAGGCTGAGAAGATGACCCGGCTCATGAGGACCTGAGATGCTCAGATGGAGAGGCTCAGCCTCGCCTCGTATGTGACTAGATTCTCAACAACAGTTTTTATTCTTTTTTTTTTTTTTTTTTTTTTTTGAGACAGAGTTTCCCTTTGTCACTGAGGCTAGAGTGCAGTGGCGCGATCTTGGCTCACTGCAACCTCTGCCTCCCGGGTTCAAGCGATTCTCTTGCCTCAGCCTCCTGAGTAGCTGGGATTACAGGTGCCTGCCACCACACCCAGCTAATTTTTGTATTTTTAGTAGAGATGAGGTTTCACCATGTTGGTCAGGCTGGTCTCAAACTCCTGACCTCGTGATCTGCCCACCTCGGCCTCCCAAAGTGCTGGGATTATAGGCTTGAGCCACTGCGCCCAGCCCTATTCATTTTTATTAAACAGAGATAATTATGCAAGTGCCCTTTTCTGTCCCGGGGTGTGGCCCATGATTGGCTCTGCATGGCTGTACTCTACAAGACCCCCATGGGATTCTGGGGCTCAGCTGGTAGGTGTCTTGTTGGCCCTGGTCAGTGTGTAAATCCATGTGGTGCTGAACTGAATATTGCTTTGGAAATCTTTTTTTTTTTTTCTCAGAGGAACAAGGCTGAGGAAAGAGCTTTTGAAATCAAAGTATATCAAGTCCAAACAATAAAATATTGAAAGTCACTATTTTACAGTATAAAGTTATAAACTGACATCAAAGAAGATGAGGCATTCAGAAAGAATAAAAATATCCCACGAATGCATTAATGATATACATTAATGGATGTTATGCATGGGTCAAGATTTAAATCATACATTGAACACTTCAGATGTTACCAAGCATTTGTGCACAAACCTTATGGGATAGGCAGGGAAGTTATTACTAATTCCATTTTGCAAGTAAGGAACCTGAGGTGCAGACAGCATAGATATCTTGCTTCAGACCACACAGCTATAAAGTGGCAGAGTTAGAATTAGAACCAAGTTTTGTTTTGTTCAGTGTCTAGTGACAAAATATATATTAATTTTGGAAGACTGGGAAAGTATAAAAAAAAAGTAGAAATCATCCATAATTCTACCAACCAACAACAAACACTGTAAATAGTCTGGGAAATCATATCATACATATTGAACCTAAAGTGCTATTTTTAAAATCTAAGCTGCATCATTATTTTATGTACCATCAAGAAAGAAACACTGCCAATTAAATTCTGACATGTTACCTGTTGTGGGATGCATCTCGATTTCAGAGATATTAAAATTTGGGGGAAAGGTGTATCTTAAAATCACTGAAATGTATTTTGTATCTCATTGCTTTCTATATAACCATTATAACATGAGCAGAT
The DNA here is from genome assembly GCF_000001405.40 of Homo sapiens. Taxonomy (NCBI): domain Eukaryota; kingdom Metazoa; phylum Chordata; class Mammalia; order Primates; family Hominidae; genus Homo; species Homo sapiens. The sequence goes on from NC_000014.9 coordinate 90,070,282, forward strand.
TGTTGTAATTAGGCAAAAATGAATCTCCTTATAATTAATAGCTCTGATTTTCTATTAAAGTTGATTGATTCAAAATGTTGATTAAAAAATACTTACAGTTCATCTTCTCTGAATCAACTAATTCTTCCCCCATTTTTCTGCTGGGAGCAGGGGGAATGCTGTGTTAATCAAAGTGTCTGTGTGCTTTATAGTTTAAAGATTTCGACCCTGTCTAAAGACTGAATGTGTCATATTTTTCATCCTTTATTCTCTGCTCAATGTCTATAATTTATTATTTATTACTTAGATAGAGAAATGTTTTTCATTTCAATTCAGTTTCGTATTTCAGTCCTTTCCTTGTGCTTTCTTCCATTGTCTTCGTGCTTAAATCTTTTTCCATCCAGATTCCGTAAGAATGCAAGCTTTTCTTCAATATTTTTGCAACTGCTCTCCGTTTCCAGTTATAGCAGTGGCTTTTAAAGCACTTTAATGTGTTGTTTCATGCGAACAATGGCAGGTGCGTTTGGAATTATAGCTGAGGAGCAATGTGTGGTCGTGGGGAATGAGAAAACTGGAAGAGTAGCTGGTGAGAGCTTACCTCCACTCAGGATAGGGTGAGAGGGCCATACCTCTTCCAGCTTCTAAAATTTCGTGGGGAAGCTCAGACAGTCCATTCTGAGAATCCTGGATTTGTTCAATTATTTGTTTCCTGCTGGGAACATTTCAATATCTGGAAATTAGAGCTGTGTTGTAGGACACAGCCCTCACTCTCCATTGCCCAGCATTTAGTATTCATATATGCTCATCTTAGCCCATTGCATTAGAAATTCTTGTTTATATTATAAAATAGAATGGCTTCCTTTTCTTTTATCGTAAATTCCATCCAGTTCTCTCTTTCCCTCTATCCCTTTCTCTATGAAGGAGAGATGGGTTTGGTATGAGTGTTAACCCAAATAATTCTTGGGCTCCTTGGGGTCCTGTCCAAGAAGCTGTCTTCTTTTGAAAGAAGCATGGTCTGTTAGCCACAAATAATGAAAAATAAATTTGATTTTTGCTTGCATCTTAAAAGAACCTTAAAGAGTCTCCAATTTATAACCAAAGAAACTTCTTCCTTTTCTCCTCTCCCAGTCTCTCATATCTCAAAGGAGTTCTGGAACCTCTTATCCCTAAACTCCTCCCCAACTTTCTCCCAACCATCAGCCCTCTGTCTTTCTGTCCCTCCTGGTCCCATCTCCCCACATCTCTCTGTGCTCCCTGTTATCAGGATTGACTTCACTTCTGCAACATCATTTAGCTTTCTCTCAGCATATTTCCTGGATTCCCCACAGTAAAGGACAGTCCTGGTAGTTGACCCAGCAAGCAACAATCTTTTCCCCTTAGAAGGAAGGAGAGAATTGGGAGGCCAAGGTGGGCAGATCATGAGGTCAGGAGATCAAGACCATTGTGGCCAACATGGTGAAACCCTGTCTCTACTAAAAATACAAAAAATTAGCTGGGTGTGGTTATGCACGCCTGTAGTCCCAGCTACTGGGGAGGCTGAGGCAGGAGAATCACTTGAACCTGGAAGGCGGAAGTTGCAGTGAGCCGAGATCGCACCACTGCACTCCAGCCTGGGCGACAGAGTGAGACTCCATCTCAAAAAAAAAAAAGAGGGAAGGAGAGAAGAGTAGGGGAAGATGGTGATCATTAATTAAAGTCATTAATGACTTTACACCTGGGGAACATCTCAGCCATTAGAGGAGGACATTTCTGTGTTCAGACCCAGAAGCACGCAGTCCTGCCGAGGACGGTGGGGAAAATCACCTCATCAGAAGGCACCTCTGTCACAACCCGGCCCTCCCTTCATCCTCCAGCCTTTTTTGCCTCTTTTGGTTCAGCTGATGTGAATTGCCAGACATTATACCAGGACCTTCAGCATACCTACTGCGTCTTCCTTTGGCCAGAGAGTCATCCTTATAAGCCTAATTAGGTGCTCAGGGTATATTTTTCCCATTCTCTAATCAGCTCTCCTGTGTCTCTCAACGAATCGCCTCTCCTTGAAAGGGAAACACTGTAATCCATGAACTCAGGGGTCAGACCGTGAATGTAAATGAGTGTAACGGGGTGTAGGACATTAGGGAGCAGTAGGGCCTTGTGCCCTGGAGAGAGCAGCCCCAACACAGGCATTCAGAGTCTCACTTTGAAACAGCATTGTGCTGGCCAGACGGGTCTGATGGGTGGAGTCCCCCAGTTGAAGGTTTGATGATCATGAGCTCTGGGCTTCCTTATCTTTGGGAGGGAGGACAGGGAGCGCATAGCATCGCTCTTGAGTGTAGCAGAGCTTGCTTTTTATAGTTCACTTAAAGGACGCTTGTTCACAGAGGGTGAACCTTGCATGCACTTATTTCTAAAAGGAACTAAGGGCAGTTACACTCTCTTAAACTCTTCTGATTTCTGCGACTACACATAGTTATTGAAATCTATAAGTATGTATGGACTATTAGCTTTTTCACATTATTTCCTATACACTTTCTCAAGAATTCCACATGTTTATATGAATGCAGAATGGTTTAACTATCCTCAAAGAGTTGGACTTGGGGTTATATGTGATTTTTTTTTTACTATTGCATAAAATAAAAGTATGAAATTTTGGATTTCACCATGGTTAAACACAGTGCACATCTTTGTGTACGTTTAGTTCTAACAACAACCCCATAAGATTGGTACTATTAATACTCTCATGTTGCAAACAAGGATCCTGAGGCTCCAAGAGCTTCTGTGCTCCGTCTGAAGCCACCCAGCTGGAAGCAGTGTGGCATCTCCCTTCAAACCTTACACTCTGAACCACCACTTCTTTGCCTTTTCTTCCTTTAGGGTCCTCGTTGTGGGAAGGATCGCCAGTTAAAGTGACCACGTGTGGTCTCTTTTACAGTGTGGTGGCCCTTAGGTGACCTAGGATAGTCTAAGAAGACAGAAGTGGTCTGGTTAGCAGAATCTCAGGGGAGGCTGATGATGTCTGTGCTACTACGGGTGTAAGGTTTGGGTAGCGTGCTGCCTACCGCCCAGGAGTCCATGCAAACAGAGACTTCTGCCTCCCACCGGCAGTCCTCTCAAAGCTGCAACCTCTCTGCCATCACCATGATGAGGGGTACCCGCCCCCAGGACTTTCATCTCCAATTCAGACATATTTGATCCCAGATGTCACTTCCTGACTTTGCCTATTAACTCTTGGCATGTTGGCACCAAGGTTCTCTGTGTCTTGGGTCTTCTCTCCTTTTAAGCAGCTGATGAAGATCACAAGGCATGGGCCCTGAAGATCAGCCAGGGCTGTGGTTTTCGAACTGTGCTCCCCGGAGCCCGTGGGGTTCATGGTATTTTAAGGGCTGCCTCAAGGGCCAAGAGGACCCCTCAAGTTGTTGTGTTTTTTGTTTTTGTTTTTGTTTTTTCTGGAGACAGAGTCTCACTCTGTCACCCAGGCTGGAGTGCAGTGGCACGATCTCGGCTCACTGCAACCTCTGTCTCCCGGGTTCAAGCAATTCTCCTGCCTCAGCCTCCGGAGTAGCTGGGATTACTGGCACGTGCCACCACGCCCAGCTAATTTTTCTATTATTACAAAATAGAGATGGGATTTCACCATGTTGGCCAGGCTGGTCTCAAACTCCTGACCTCAGGTGCTCTGCCCACCTCAGCCACCCAAAGTGCTGGGATTACAGGTGTGAGCCACTGCGCCCGACCAAGATTTTTTTGTTTTTTTGATGGGGGGACGGAGCCCAGGCTGGAGTGCAGTGACGCGATCTTGGCTCACTGCAACCTCCGCCTGCCCAGGTTCAAGTGATTCTTCCACCTTAGCCTCCCGAGTAGCTGGGACTACAGGCATGCACCACCACACCTGGCTAATTTTTGTATTTTTGATAGAAACAGGGTGTCACCATATTGGCCAGGCTGGTCTCGAACTCCTGACCTCGTGATCCACCCGCCTTGGCCTCCCAAGGTGCTGGGATTACAGGCATTGAGCCACGCCTGGCCTCAAGTTTTTATCTATTTGATTGTTTCAGAGCAGAAGAACTTGATATATTTATATGTCTAAAATATTTATCTTGTTCAGCCACTTTTTTATTGGCTTAAATTTTTTGGTATGTAGAAAAGATTTTTATAGAGCCAAATACACTCACTTTGACCAGCAGCATGTTTTCTATAGCTTTTCATAAATTCAGGTCCCCTCCATGGTTGAGATAAAGATTCTTATCCATTCTCTGTTAAGCTCTTTAACTCATCTCAAATGTTATTTTGAATGATTGCTTTTAAAAAGGTTTTGTGAGATTGACTAGATAGTGATGCTTTGACTTATTTCTAAAATTATCACATAGTGATTTGAGAATATGCATTTTGCAGATTTCTCCTTTTTATTTGTTGTTTCTGTATATCCTGGTGTCTGTATTTATTTCAGTTGGTTTTTCTCTTATGTTACTGAATTTTGGACCTGGAGGAAACATTATCCACAACCACCCTCCAAACAGAAGACACACCCAAAATGGCATTTCATTGTATGTTTATGGGAATATAAATTCAGTGCTATTGCTTTTATCACTTGCATAATTTTTATTACTATTTCATTATAATCGTATTGCCTTTATTTACCTCTGAATGCTTTCTATGCTAATACCTATTTTTAAACTGAGATAAGATTAAATTTCTGCATCATATTAGCAGATACTTGCTGACTTTTAGACCATCTCTTTAGTTGTAATCTTTAGTAATTTTTTTTAAATTAACCACTTAACACATTTTTGTATTTTTATTTTATTATTTTATCTTTGTAGGGAAATTTGATGGACTTAATATTTGGTTTCATTGGTATTATCCTCCTTCATCCTATTTTTCTTATTTTTTAAGTCTGTTTTCAATTCTATATTTTTATTATGATGGCTTAGATGTTCTTTTTGTCATTTAAATGTGATCAGAATGAAATCATATCTAAACTATCTGAGGATAAAAACCATTTCTACCACTATTTTTTATGTTTATAAATAAAATTGAGACCTCGGTTTATTGGTGATACAGAATCTTTCAGCTTGGGGTTCAACCCATTTCCTCCAGCCTCCATGCCTCCCAGGTCCTTGTTGTATCTTTTTCTCTGGAAATGCTTCTTTAAATGACATTTTTACATCTTGGAATCTACCTTGTATCATCACATCTTTTAACTGAGAGCCCATGACCTCTTTAACCTCTCCAGTGGTTTATGGACTTTTCTTTTTTTGAAACAGAGTCTGGCTCTGTTGCCCAGGCTGGAGTGCAGTGGCACAATTTCGGCTCACTGCAATCTCCACCTCCCAGTTTCCAGTGATTCTCCTGCCTCAGCCTCCTGAGTAGCTGGGATTACAGGCGTGCACCACCATGCTCGGCTAATTTTTGTATTTTTTTAGTAGAGACAAGGTTTCCCCATGTTGCCCAGGCTGGTCTTGAACTCCTGACCTCAGGTGATCTGCCCACCTCGACCTCCCAAAGTGCTGGGATTACAGGCATGAGCCACTACAACAGGTCTAGACTTATCTTTTTTGATCTTCCCATCTTTCTCTCTAGTTTCATTCTTCTCATGCCTCTGGACCCTTAGGCTTTGGTTCATCATTCATTTAAACCCCATTGGATCTCCTCAAGCTTTGCTTGTGCCTTCAGACAGAAAGTAAAGGCAAAATAATGAACCTTTGAGAGAATGACTTTTCCTTTGTGATCTGAAAATGATGCCCCATTTAATACTTAGTGGAGTTGGAGGAAAGAGGAAATAACACCACATTTGTTACCTATTTCTTCTGTGTTTTCTGTCTGGTGCTTTTCTTACTCCTAACTCTTTAGCCACTTTTATTGGTACTTAGGTCTCAAGGTACTAGTGTTCCTTTTTGTTGCCTGTAGTACTGCTTCTTCAAAATGACAAGCATATTGACTGCAGGTTGCATTGGGCTGCATGTAGTAGGAAACTCCAATACCAATGGTTTAAACACATAGAAATTTATTTTTCTCATATAGCAAGAAGTTCAGAGGTCTGTGGTCCAGGGCTGATATAATAGTCCCACAAGACCACCAGAGTCCCAGAACCTTCTGTCTTTCTGTTCTGCCAGGCTTAGATGGTGTCTCTGTCTCTCTTTTGCTCATAAAACAGAAATTGTAAGCACTATCAAGACAGGAAGAGGGAAGGAAAGAGGTAAAAGGTGTGTGCCAGCTGAAAAGAACTTTCTGGGACAATTCCAATAACTCATTGGCGTGAACCATGTCAGATTGTCCCCCAACCCCCATCTGTACGTGAGCTCAATGCTATCTCATTGGCGCAAACCATGTCAGATTGTCCCTCAACCCCCATCTGCACGTGAGCGCAATGCTATCTCAAATGCAGCTAGAGTTTCTTTATTGAGACAGAAGGGAAGTCAATATTGTGTAGCAATGATAGTGTGTAGACAACTAACAGTGTACCTCCTGGAAAAATAAAATATTGTCTGAGCGTCTCTCTCTCTGGAATTGTTTTGGAAGGTACTCTGTGAGCAGTTAATGTCTTGCTCAATTGTTTTTCTATTCTGGAGATTAAAAAAAAATTTTTTTTTTATTTCTTAGAGACAGAGTCTGGCTCTGTTGCCATGCTGGAGTGCAGTGGCGTGATCTCCGCTCACTGGAAGCTCTGCTTCCCGAGTTCACTCCATTCTCCTGCCTCAGCCTCCCGAGTAGCTGGGACTACAGGCATCCGCCACCACACCTGGCTAATTTTTTGTATTTTTAGTAGAGACGGGGTTTCACCATGTTAGCCAGGATGGTCTCGATCTCCTGACCTCGTGATCCGCCCGCCTCAGCCTCCCAAAGTGCTGGGATTACAGGCATGAGCCACCGCACCTGGCTTTTTTTTTTTTTTTTTTTTAGACGAAGTTTCTCTCTCATTGCCCAGGCTGGAGTTCAATGGTGCGATCTCAGCTCACTGCAGCCTCCGCCTCCCGGGTTCAAGCAATTCCCCTGCCTCAGCCTATTGAGTAGCTGGGATTACAGGCACTCACCACCACGCCGGGCTAATTTTTTGTACTTTTAGTGTAGACAGGGTTTCGCCATGTTGGCCAGGCTGGTCTCGAACTCCTGGCCTCAGGTGATCCGCCCGCCTCGGCCTCCCAAAGTGCTGGGATTACAGGTGTGAGCCACCATGCCCGGCCAATCCTGGGAATTTTTCTTCAAATATTTCCTTAATGTTAGTTCAGAGAATCCCTGCATTTTTATCTTGTCATACTTATTATTCTCAAGTTGGGTATTCGTGTTTTAAAAAGTCTACTAGGTACTTTTGCTTTGTTTTCATCTATTTGCTTACTTTGATATTGTGGATTTGATTCTCTACCAGCTCACTAATTCTTTTCTCCATTGTCTGATGGCCGTCTGCTGACAGTGCTTTCAGCAGATACTATTTCAGCAGCCTACTGTGTGTCAGGCACTGGCCTGGCATTCCTCTTTGCTATTCTCCTGCTGCCATCCTTTTTATTATCATGTGATAGTTATTGATAGTATCTTATTGTGATCTCTCTCTTCTCTCTTAACATGGATTTTCTTCATTAAATCTTGCTCGCTTGTGGGGTTGCTTCCCTTTCAATTTCTCTGCCTGTTTACTATAAGCCACTCCCATTCCCAACAGAATCACGAAACCTTTCTTTAGGGCTCAAAATCTAAAAACTGAACTTAGGCTACATTTATCATTTTCCTCAGTAAAGCCTGTCTTATTCCTTCTAGCTGCTGATCCTTTTGGCTCCAGATGTTACATATCTGATATTTGGAATAGAGACACGCTATACTATTTCTCAACCTACCATATTTTGAGAGGACTTAGTTTCTTTAACAGACTGTGACCCAGTAACAGCAGCTGTATAAAGAAATGTATAAAAGGGCCAGGCACAGTGGCTCAAGCTTGTAATCCCAGCACTTTGGGAGGCCGAGGTGGGCAGATCACCTAAGTCAGGAGTTTGAGACCATCCTGGCCAACATGGCGAAACCCGGTCTCCACTAAAAATACAAAAATTAGCTGGGCATGGTGGCGCACACCTGTAATCCCAAATACTCAGGAGGCTAAAAGAGGAGAATAGCTTGAACCCAGGAGGTGGAGGTTTCAGTGAACCAAGGTCATGCCATTGTACTCCAGCCTGAGTGACAGAGCAAGACAGTCTCAAAAAAAAAAAAAGAAAGAAAAAAAAGAAAGAGAGGAAGGAAGGAAGGAGGGAGGGAAGGAAGGAAGGAAGAAAGGAGAAAGGAAAGAAAGAAAAAGAAAGAATAAAAGGCATGCTTGGAATACACAGTGATGTAGTTGTGCAGAAAGAAGGAAGGAAGAGAGAGAGAGAGGGAGAAAAGAGAAAGAAAGAGAGGGAGGGAAGGCAGGCAGGCAGGCAGGCATGCTTTGAATACACAGGGATGTAGTTGTGCTGAGAACTCAGCAAAGGGTGAGTTGATTTCATGGGCTAATGGGTGAAGACCGAGCTCCCGGAGCTGATAAAATAGCAATCATCACTCCTTCAATTAAGTAAGAACATTTTTCCTGGAGGACATGGGGCCTAGGGGCTGTTTGGGAAGAGATCATGACCTGCTCATTCTTTCAACAATCCTATGAGTTAGAGAAAGTCAGGCTCAAAAAGAGTGAGTAACTTTCCCAAGTCCACACAGCTGTTAAGGAAGCATATTGCTTAGGAATTTTGTTTGCCTTCAGTGTTACAAAGCCCTGAAAAGTAGCGAAAGCACACAGGGTTTTACTCTATCCCGTAGAAGAGGTCTGCCCTGCAGGTACTGCATGTAGGCAGTTCAGAGTTGCTGTGGGGACTGCACAAAGTCAACCAGGAGTTGGGCCTCTTCAGCTCGGTGGTGTAACCCTAGTGCTCAGGTTCAACATGGCTGCTGGTGTGCTGGCCATCACGTCGACATGCTAGGTAGTAGGATGGAGGAAAGGGAGAGCGAGGGGGTGTCCCTTCCCTTTTGAGGCACTGTCTTTGGGCAGTTTCTCTAAGAAACAGACTCTGGGCTAAGGATTTGGGAGGAAATGATTTATCAAGGAAGTGCTCCCAGAAAAAACTAGTAGGAGTGTGAGGGAATTGAGGATGAGAAAAGGGAATTGAGGATGAGAAAAGGGAAAAGTCAAATGAGGTTATTTTATGGAGCATAAATTACACCTTAGAATTTGGCCCACCTTGAGGCAAAGGAACTGGGTTTTTATACTCCCACACCAGCCAATCATTGGCTGTGGCTGGTGGGGTAGAGGGGCCTACACCACCCAGGTCTCACCTGTGTGCAGTCACAGGTGTGAGCCATTAGCAGCAGAGCCTGCAACTGCTGGGAGATGGACTCACAAGGCTCAAGGGGTTTAGAGGAATCTGGATGGGGCACAAATAGTGTCTCCTATAAGGGGCTTCCCAGAAATTCCAGTTACTTCCCCTTATATTTCATTGACCAGAACTTTGTCACACGGCTGCAAGAATGGCTAAGAAATGAAGTCTTTATTCCAGCTAGTAATGTGTCAGAAAGCAGTACCCAGGAACTCAGAAAGAAAAAGATCCTGGCTCCTGGAGCCCCTGAGAAGAGCTCTGCAGGCCCTGCCTGGGTCATGTTTTCATGACAGACACTTAATGAGTGAGGTCAAGGTCACACGTCCACCTCTGGTGTGAGCAGGGAGTGGGTGTGTTGGGAGGCACACAACTGAAAGTGGAGAAGGAAACAGGTCCCAAAGCAGAAGACTCTTTGCAGATGAGGGAGAGAAGGAGGGAGGGTTGTCCCTGGACACACACTAGTGAGAGTCACTTGGTGGACAATGCTATTGTTGTCTGAGGACGGGATACCAAAGTGAGGACGGCTGGAGGGATCCCTAGTTGAGTTTTGAAGGTATTGAATTTAGGGAGCCGTTGGGACCTTGGAATGGAGACATTCAATAAACAATTGAAGGCCAGGTGTGGTGGCTCACACCTGTAACCCCAGCACTTTGAGAGGCTGAGGCGGGCGCATCACCTGAGGTCAGGAGTTCGAGACCAGCCTGGCCAACATGGTGAAACTCCATTTCTACTAAAAATACAAAAAAATTAGCCGGGCCTGGTGGCGGGTGCCTGTAATCCCAGCTACTTGGGAGGCTGAGGCAGGAGAATTGCTTGAACCCAGGAGGCAGAGGTTGCAGTGAGCCGAGATCACTCTATTGTACTCCAGCCTGGGTGACAGGGTGAGACTCCATCTCAAATAAATAAATAAATACATTTAAAAAATTGGAAAAAAAGAAGTATGACGCTCAGGAAAGAGGTTAGGACTAGAGGTTCCAGATGTCAAAAAAAAATGTTTTATTGTTACTATCTTAGGAGGATGGGATCAGGAATAACAGGTTTTCAGACTTGCTTTTATATTTGCAGCCATCATCCTTTTAACAACAGCAACAGTAATAAAACTCAGTATTGTTTTTTCTCTTTCTTCTTTGTATCCCCAGCCCCAGGGTTCCCCGTTAGGATACTCCTCACCCTAGACTGTCTGGGATCACCTGTTTTGGATTCCCCAGGGCTAAGAGAAAGCCCTAAATAGCTAACCGGCCCATGTCCATTCCCTTAAAAAAAATCTGTGACCCTGGAGCAAGGTTTCTCCACCTCAACACAACTGGCATTTTGGACCAGAGTCTCCTCTGTTGTGGGGCAGTCCTGTGCATCCTAGGGTGCTTGGCACCACCCCTGACAGTGTGCCCCTAGTTGTGACAACCAAAACTCTCCAAATGCCCCCTGGGAGAGAATGACTGCCCTAAAGGGAACCAAAGGATGAGAATCTGCCAGAAGAAAGAGTCTCTTTGGTTCTCTTCTTTCCGCAAGCCTTTCAGGCACTGCGAAGGGCTCAGTGCTGAGCACTGGGACCAAAGAGGAATAAGTCCAGGTTTCAGAAATTGAAAATATGTGGTGATTTCCATTAGTTGGGAAGTTCTAGGCCAAAGGCAAAATTTGGAAACACAAGATTGTGAGTGCGTGGTCCTCTCTCCCCAAACTTTAACTTCAATTATTAACTGCAAGGTGGGTTTTCTTTTTAAAAATACTTTTTCCATTAAAAAATTCTTAATATGTATGCATTTGGATGCATTTTCAAATCATTTCAAAGTATTTAAAGTAAAAAACCAGTCTCCCTTTGCTCCCCCATCCTACTCTCCGGAAATAACCAACTCCAAGAGTTGGATGTGGATCTTTCCAGAATTGTTTTCTCATCCACAAACATGTAAGCCCAAGCACACACACATGAGGTCCTTCACACATATATGTGGTTCTTTATGTAGTTTTTGCAAATTCATTTTTTACACCTACTGATGGTTCTTCTTTAACAGCTTTATCAATGTATAATTCACATACCATAAAATTCATCTATTTAAGGTATACAATTCTGTGGTTTTTAGCATATTTACAGAGTTTTGCAACCATCATCACCATCAATTTTAGGACATTTCAAGTTCTGAAAAAAGAAACCTCATACCCTTTAGCGTTTGCCCCCTGTTATGGTTTGAATATGGTTTGTCCCCACGATAACTCATGTTGAGGCTTGGTCCCAGTGTGGCAGTGTTGGGAGGTGGCGCCTTGAAGGAATGATGAGGACATTAAGATCCATTAATGTCTTTCTCTCCAGACTGGGTTGGTTCTCTCAGGAATGGATTAGTTCCAGTGAGAGTGGATTGTTATAAAGGGAGGTTGCCTCTCATATTTTGCCTGTTTTCCTTTCCATTTCTCCACCATATTTTGATGCAGTGTGAAGCTCTTGCCAGAAGCCACTAGATTCAGTTGCTCAATCTTGAACTTCCCAGCCTGCAAAACCATGAGCTAAATAAACCTGTTTTCTTTTTCAAAACAGAGTCTCACTTTGTTGCCCGAGCTGGAGTGCAGTGGCATGATCTCAGCTCACTGCAACCTCTGCTTCCTGCGCTTAAGTGATTCTCCTGCCTCAGCCTCCCCAGTAGCTGGGACTATAGGCATATGCCACCACACCCAGCTAATTTTTTTTTTTTTTTTAGTAGAGACAGGGTTTTGTCATGTTGGCCAGGCTGGTCTTGAACTCCTGACCTCAGATGATCTGCCTATGTCGGCCTCCCAAAGTGCTAGGATTACAGGCATGAGCCACCGTGCCTGGCCTCCTCTTTTCTTTATTAATTATCTGGTCTCAGGTATTGTGTTACCTGAGCAACACATAATGAACTAAGACACTATCCCCTCCAGCCTTAGGCAACCAATAATCTACTTTCTATTTCTATAGATCTGCCTATTCTGGACATTTCATATAAATGGAATCATACAACATGTGGGCTTTTGTGACTGACTTCTTTCACTTAGCATGTTTTCAAGTGAGCCAAGTTGTAGCATGTATTAGTACTTCTCTCCTTTTTGTTGCCAGATAATATTCTGCTACATGAATGTACCACATTTTATTTATCAGTTAATCAGTTGATGGACATTTACATTGTTTCCACTTTTTAGCTACTATGAATAATACCATACAATGTCGAATAAGTTTATAAAAACGTATGTCCACAGAACACAAGTTTTCTGTGTGGACATATGTTTTCATTTCTCTTGAGCATGTAGGTTTGGAATTGCTAGGTCATGTAGTAACCCTATTCTTTATCTTTGGACAAACTTCCAAAATGGCTATAACATTGTATATTCCCACCGACAGTGTACAAGGGTTCCAATTTCTCCACACCCTTTCCAACACTTTACTATCTCTCTTTGGATGTGAAATAGTATAATATTGTGGTTTTGATTTGCATTTCTTTAATGACAAATGATACTGAGCATTTTTGTGTGTTTATTGGCCATTTGTATACTATCTTAAAAGAAAGATCTGTTCAGATTCTTTGCCCATCTTTTAATTGGGTTATTTGTCCTTTTATTACTGAGTTATGAAAGTGCTTTATATATTCTAGGTTCAAGTCCATTAACTGATATATGATTTGCAAATATTTCCCCCTTCTGTGGGTGTCTTTTCACTATCTTCTTGATGTTCTTTGAAGCACCAAAGCTTTAAATTTTGATAAAGTCCAATTTATTGGATAGAGTTCTATTTTTCCTTTTGTTGCTTATGCTTTTAGTGTCATATTGTAAGAAACCATTACCTAATCTAAGGTCATGAAGATTTATACTTATGTTTTCTTCTAAGAGTTTTATAGTTTCACTCTTACATTCAGGTTGTTGATCCATTTTGAGTTAATTTTTGTGCATGGTATGAAACATGGGTCTGCTGTGGTTTCAGTGTTTGTTTCCTCCACAACTCACATGGAAATTTAATTGCCATTATAACAATATAAAGAGGTGGGACCTTTAAGAGGTGATTAGGTGATGAGGGCTCTGCCCACTTGGATGGGATTAATTGTGTTATAAAAGGGCATGTTTGGCCTCCTTCTCTCTCTCCTTGCCTTTCCACGATGTGATGTATTCCCTCCTGTGATGACAGCAAGAAGACCCTTTCAAACTGTCAGTGTCTTGATCTTGGACTTTGAAGCCTCAAAATTCTAAGAAGTAAATTTCTGTTCTTTGTAAATTGCCCAGTCTGCGGTATTTTGTTATAACACCACAGAATGGACTAAGACAGGATCCAACTTAATTCTTTTGCATGTGGATATCCAGTTGTTCCAGCATCATTTGTTGAAAAGACTAGTCTTAGCCCCATTTAATTGTTTTAGCACACTTGACAAAAATCACTAGTCTTAGCCCCATTTAATTGTTTTAGCACACTTGACAAAAATCAATTAACCATAAACATGAAATTGACATCTGGACTCTCAATTCTATTCCATTGACCTATCTGTCTGTCCTTATTCTAGTGTCTTGATTACTGTGGCTTTGTAGTAAATTTTGAAATCAGGAAGTGTGAGTCCTCCAATGTTGTTGGTTTTTTTTCCCCCAAGATTGTTTTGGCTATTCTGGGTCCCTTGAACTTCATGTGAATTTTAACATCAGTTTATCAATTACTGCAAAGAAGACTTACATTGAATTAATTTGGGGAATTTTGCCATCTTAACAATATTAAGTGTTCCAATCTATGAACATGGGATGTCTTTCCATTTATTTTGATCCTTTAATTTATTTAAACAATGTTTTATAGTTTTTTGGAGCATAAGTTTTGGACTTTAAAAAAATTTCTTAAGTCATTCATTATTTTAATCCTATTGCAAATGAAATGGTTTTCTTGATTTTATTTTGAATTGTTTATTGCAAGTGTGTAGAAATGGAATTAGTTTTTGCATGTTGGTCTTGTATCCTGTGGCCTTGCTACGCTAATGTATTAACTCTAAAAATTTTCAGTCAGTTCCTTAGGATTTTCTATATACATGAATATGTCACCTGTGTGTCCAGATAGTTTTAGTTCTTTCTTTCCCATCTGGATTTCTTTTATTTCCTTTATTTCATGCTTGACTAGAACTCCCACTGCAATGTCGAATAGAGATGATAAGAGTGGGCCTCTTTATCTTATTCCTGATCTTGAAGGAAAGTTTCAGTCTTTCACTATTGAGTATGAAATTGGTTTTGTAGATGGCCTTTACCAGGTTGAGAAAGATCCCTTCTATTTCTAGTGTGTTGAATGTTTTTATCACAAAGAGCTGTTAGATTTTTGCCAAATTCTTTTTCCACATCTATTGAGATGATCATGTGGTTTTATTTTTTATGCTATTTATATAATGTTTTGCATTGATTTTTGTTTTTTATTATTATTCATTTATTTATTTATTTTGAGATGGAGTTTCACTCTGTCCCCCAGGCTGAAGTGCAGTGGCGTGATCTTGGCTCACTGCAACCTCTGCCTCCCAGGTTCAAGCGATTCTTGTGCCTCAGCTTCTGGAGTAGCTGAGATTACAGGCGTGTGCCACGACGCCCAGCTAATTTTTTGTATTTTTAGTAGAGATGGGGTTTCACCATGTTGGCCAGGCTGGTCTTGAACTCCTGACCTCAAGCAATCCACCCACTTTGGCCTCCCCAAAGTGCTAGGATTACAGGTGTGAGCCACTGTGCCCAGCCTAATTTTCGGATATTAAATCAATCTTGAGATAAGTCCTACTTGATTATGGTGTATAATTTTTTTAATATGTTGCTGCATTTGGTTTGCTAGTATTTTGTTTAGGATTTTTGCATCAGTATTCAAAAGAAATAGGCCGGGCATAGTGGCTTATTCCTGTAATACTAGCACTTTGGGAGGCCGAGGCGAGTGGATCACCTGAGGTCAGGAGTTTGAGGCCAATCTGGCCAACATGGCGAAACCCTGTCTCTACTAAAAATACAAAAATTAGCCGGGCATGGTGGCACATGCCTATACTCCCAGCTACTCAGGAGTCTGAAGCAGGAGAATCATTTGAACCCGGGAGGCGGAGGTTGCAGTGAGCTGAGATCCATGCCATTGCACTCCAGCCTGGGTGACAGAGTGAGACTCTGTCTCAAAAAAAAATATATATATATATTTTATTTATGTATATAAATTTATATATTATATATACTTATATATAATATATATATACTTATATAATTATATATTATATATTATATAAATTATATATATTATATATTATATACTTTATATTATATATTATATTATATATTATATATTATATATTATATAGATATTATATAAATATATAATATATAAATTTATATCTATCTATCTACCTTTTTCCTTTTCTTGTGCCCTTTTTCCTTTTCTTATGCCCTTTGTCTTGTTTTGGTATCAGGATAATACTATAGATCTATAGAATTAGTTGGGGCATGTTCATTCGTAGTTCTTGTATCTTTGTGAGGTTGCCCAGGATACTTAACTATGATATGGATATTCATTAATTTAACCATTCTTCCTATTGTAAGACATAGGTTATTGCTAATTATTTGCTAGCACAACTGCTTTATACACCATATTTTCACTGTAGTATTTAAATTTTAAATATTTTATAGGTACTGCCAAGTTTTGGAGAATTTTTAAATTTAAATATTGTCAGCTAATTTGCAATAATCTTATTCTCACTGCTAACATATACTATATTTTTCCTCTCCTGTGGTACTATACAAAGAGCTCTACATAGATAAACTTTCATCCTATGGGGTAGGACTATTATTTTCCCCCATTCTATAGGTGAGAAAACTGAAGCACAGAGGTTACATAGCTTGCCCAAAGCCACACAGCTAGTAGGTGGTAAAACTTTGTTTCAAACTTTGTTCAGCCATGATTTAAACTGGGAGAAGTGGTGGGTAGCCTCCAAGATAGTCAAAATTCTAGTGAAAACTGAAATAAAACCTATGGCCCCGGTTCAGTATTTCTTTTTGTCATCAGTGGATGTTTTTGTGTTTTATTTGATGTTACTGATGAATATATTTTGCAGGCTATTGCTTTGAAGAAACAGGGCTGCCAGGTTGTATACTAAGGAAGACGTCTGGGGGTCCCATGCTTGGTTTGAATGGTGTCTTTCTTCCCTGCTTATCTCCTTAGAACCACACCCAGCACTCATCCCATATCAAATGTAAACCTCAGTTTGGTTCAGTCAGAATTTATTGAGTTCTTACTATTGGCCCAACCTGACTGCAGGAGTTCTTAAGCCGGGCCCATGAATAGAATTCAGAGCATCTATAAATGTAGATGGTAAAATAATTCCATCTTTATATTTACTGGCATCCAACTAACCCCTGAGGGACTAACCTTGAGCATATCTTCCAATGATGAATGATGAATGTAGGTAACAACCCTGACATAGGATGAGCAGGGCCTGTAGCTTTGGCACCAGTGAAATCACAGATCCATTCCCTCCACCTGATAGTCAGGGCAGATCCCTTATCCTTCACCCTCACCACTACCTTAAAATCATGGTGGTTATTAGCCTTAATTTTATTATTTCATTTTATATATATATACATATATATATACATATATATATATATATATATATATATTTTTTTTTTTTATTGAGATGGGGCCTCACTATGTTGCCCAGGCTGGTCTCAAACTCCTGGGCTGAAGCAATCTGCCTGCCTCAGCCTTTCAAAGTGCTGGGATTACAGGCAAGAGCCACTTGCCCAGGCCATTATTTCGTGGTTTAATAACAAAGCACATTTAATGTGTCGCACATTTATTTCATTGTTTAGTAACTGTGTTTTAATACAGCTGCTTTTGTAATTTTATACATTTTATTTCATTCATTAAAAATAAATTATTCTAAGAAGGGACCAATACACTTCCCCAGACTGCCAAAGGCTCCGGGTAGCAGAAAACAGGAATTGAGAACCAGACCAAGGTTAGGCTAGTTTTGAATGAAGAGAAAAAGGGAACCTGCCACTGCCTCCATCCCCGCTTCTCATGATAGAGCATTCATCCACTTGTAGTTGTTTGAAAACGGACTTGCAACACTCTCGTTGCTCAATCACTGCGCAGCATAATCTCAGCTCTTTGTGATGATTCAGAAGCCATTTCAGGATGTTGCCAGGTGCTGAGGGTCATCATTGGCAGCATAATTTACCACAGTCCCTTAGAGCAGTGGGGGAAGAAGCAAGCATTTGGAAATGTCCTATTTATAGAGTACCCTTTGTACAGTGTAGGGGACTTTGTTCAGAGTTCCCGCCCTGCTCCCTTGTCTCTGCCTTCTCAGCTAGTGATGATGTCCTTCTGGTGCTTAGCCCACCACCTACCCTGTGGTTTCAGCATGCCATGTATACTTGGCTGTAAATGCTGATTTTGGAATATATAATATTGCTTCTTGGTGATTCAATGCTACTTCTTGCTTAAGTTTATTTATTTATTTATTTTTATTTTTTAATTTTTGAGACAGAGTCTCGCTCTATCACCCAGGCTGGAGTGCAGTGGTGTGATCTCAGCTCACTGCAACCTCCACCTCCTGGGTTTAAGCGGTTCTTACACCTCAGCCTCCCGGGTAACTGGGATTACAGGTGTGTGCCACCATGCCTGGCTAATTTTTGTATTTGTAGTAGAGACAGGGTTTCACCATGTTGCCCAGGCTGGCTTCTTGCTTAAGTTTAAATTAGAAATTGCCACTGGCCTTGGACCAAAGGCAACATGCTTTATTAGGTCCACAGATGTTGATGAGTTGGTAAATGTTTAACAACAAGCTTAAAAAGAAAGAAAGAAAGAAAGAAAGCTCTGATTCATAGCATTTGCCTATTTCTGTGGTGTAAATATTCCCACAATGGCTGGTTTCAAGCCATAAAAGTGAAGTTCCCGAAGGCAGAAGGCAGAATAGAGAAGAGATGTGCACAGTCAGCTCTCAGGCGCCTTTCCCAGCCAGCTCCACCTCACTGCTGTGGACCTCAGAGTGCTTGAGAAAACCTGAATTCACTGTCAACTTTTTAACATCAGATTTCCCAGTCGAAATATAGATTTCTGATTTCTCTTGGGAAAATGGAAAATCTGGCAATGTCAGGCCCACATTCCTCTGTGCCAGCCATTCACTGAAGATGAGCTACAGATGATCCCTTTGGGGAGTGATATGGTTTGGCTCTTACCCCACCCAAATCTCATCTTGAATTGTAACTCCCACAATTCCCACGTGTCATGGGAGGAACCTGATGGGAGGTTATTGAATTATGGGGTTGAGTCTTTCCTGTGCTATTCTCATGATAGAGAATGAGTCTCATGAGATCTGATGGTTTCAGAAACAGGAGTTTCCCTGCATGAGCTCTCTTTGCTTGCCACCATCCATGTAAGACTTGACTTCTCCTCCTTGTCTTCTGCCATGATTGTAAGGCCCCCCAGCCATGTGGAACGTAAGTCCATTAAACCTTTTTTTCTTCCCAGTCTCGGATATGTCTTTATCAGCAGCATGAAAACAGACTAATAGAGTAAATTGATACCAGTAGAGTGGGGCATTGCTGAAAAGATACTTGAAAATGTGGAAACAACCTTGGAACTGGGTAACAGGCAGAGACTGGAACAGTTTGGAGGGCTCAGAAAAAGACAGGAAAATGTGGGAAAGTTTGGAACTTCCTAGAGACTTGTTGAATAGCTTGGACAAAAATGCTGATAGTGATATGAACGATAAGGTTCAGGCTGAGGTGGTCTCAGACAAAGATGAAGAACTTGTTGGGAACTGGAGCAAAGATGACTCTGGTTATGTTCAGCAAAGAGACTCAAGGCATTTTGCCCCTGCCCTAGAGATTTGTGAAACTTTGAACTTGAGAGAGATGATGTAGGGTGTTTGGCAAAAGAAATCTCTAAGCAGCAAGGCATTCAAGAGGTGCTATTGAAGGTGCTGTTAAAGGCATTCAGTTTTATAAGGGAAATAGAGCATAAAGTTTGGAAAATTTGCAGCCTGACAATATGATAGAAAAGAAAATCCCATCTTCCGAGGAGAAATTCAAGCTGGCTGCAGAAATTTGCATAAGTAACGAGGAGCCAAATGTTAATCCCGAAGACAATGGGGAAAATATCTCCAGGGCATGTCAGAGGTTTTCACAGTAGCCCCTCCCATCACAGGCCCGGAGGCCTAGGAAAATAATGGCTTTGTGGGCCAGGCCCAGGGTCCCCGTGCTGTGTGCAGTCTAGGGATTTGGTGTCCTGTGTCCCAGACAATCCAGCCATGACTAAAAGGGGCCAAGGTACAGCTCAGGCTGTGGCTTCAGAGGGTGCAAGCCCCAAGCCTTGGTAGCTTCCGTGTGGTGTTGAGCCTGCAGGTGCACAGAAGTCAAGAATTGAGGTTTGGGAACTTCTGCCTAGATTTCCGAGGATGGTGGAAATGCCTGGATGTCCAGGTGGAAGTTTGCTTGAAGGGGCGGGGCTCTCATGGAGAACCTCTGCTAGGGCAGTGTGGAAGTGTGGGGTTGTAGCCCCAACAAAGAGTCCCTACTGGGGGCCCCTACTGGGGCACCACATAGCAGAGCTGTAAGAAGAAAGCCACTATCCTCCAGACCCCAGAATGGTCAATCCACCGACCGCTTGCACCATGTGCCTGGAAAAGCCAGACAATACCAGCCATGAAAGCAGCCGGGAGGGAGGCTGTGTCCTGCAAAGCCACAGGGGCAGAGCTGCCCAAGACCATGGGAACCCACCTCTTGCATCAGCATGACCTGGATGTGAGACATGGAGTCAAAGGAGATAATTTTGGAGCTCTAAGATTGGACTGCCCTGCTGGATTTCAGACTTGCATGGGGCCTGTAACCCCTTTATTTTGGCCAGTTTCTCCCATTTGGAGTGGGTATACCCAATGCCTGAACCCCCATTGTATTTAGGAAGTAACTAACTTGCTTTTGATTTTACAGGCTTATAGGCAGAAGGGCCTTGCCTTGTCTCCAATGAGATGTTGGACTGTAGACTTTTGAGTTAATGCTGAAATGAGTTAAGATTCTGGGGGACTGTTGGCAAGGCATGATTGGTTTTGAAATGTGAGGACATGATATTTGAGAGGGGCCAGGGCAGAATGATATGGTTTGGCTGTGTCCCCACCCAAATCTCATCTCGAATTGTAACTCTCACAATTCCCACGTGTCATGAGAGGAACCCAGTGGGAGGTAATTGAATCATGGAGGTGGGTTTTCCCATGCTATTCTCGTGATAGTGAATGTGTCTCATGAGATCTGGTGGTTTTAAAAACAGGAGTTTCCCTTCACAAGCTCTCTTTGCCTGCCGCCATCCATGTAAGGCATGACTTGCTCCTCCTTGCCCTCTGCCATGACTGTGAGGCCTTCCCAGCCATGTGGAACTATAAGTCCATTAAACCTCTTTTTTGCCAGTCTCGGGTACCTTTATCAGCAGCATGAAAACAGAATAATACAGGGAGCTCAGTGCTTCTTCTGGTCCCACCTGCCTAGGCTGAGTGTCACCTGCCATTCATCTCTATGTTTGACCTCTTTCCTGTCCCTTGGCTCAAGTGCCGAGGTTCCTCTTGTCTCTGAGATATGTGAACCAAGTGATCTTATCACCTAGATTTTTAATCAGAATCTCAAGAAAGAGTTAGAGGGCCCCACATGATATTATTTTTTTAAATTGCATCCAGTTTGATCATGGAGCAGTCAAGGTTTTCCTGATGGGGTGCATGGAGATTTTATTCCATTCTTGTTGATTTCCCTCTGGGTGTCCCAATCAGTAGGCGCAAGAGCTTTTCCACTTAGGATATTTAATTAATGAGAATCGAACCGGTAAAGAATGAACTCTATGGCTGGCTAAAGGTTTTCCTATGGGAAATTAAGACCCACTAACTGGAAATGGTGAAAAGTGACAAGTTCAGAGGAAACTCAGTACAGTCATTAAAAATGTATCAAGTCCTATACAGTAGCCAGTTGACACAGCACAGTCAAAGAAAAATAGCATCTCTAAGGTCTTGTTGGATACCATCCATGTTGATTTTGGATAATGCCCAAAAGCCTGTTTCTGGGGGAAAGGCTGCTCTTAAACCTGGAATGCAGAACACTGGGCATGCCAAATGCCTCATTATTTATGAGTTCCATGCAGACAGTGATGCATGAAGGGTAAAAGACATGCCAATACCCTCTTCTCGGTGGGGTAGAGTGCTCCTGAAGATGATTTAGGAAGTGAGGTTTGAAACAGAGTCTATGGAGAGAGTCCTGGAGTTACCAGTGCTGGCAGGGGAGAAGGAGAAGACCATCAGAAAAGCAGTGGTAGCTATGTTAAGAATTGCATTATTATGTACTTACCTAAACGTTGGCAAGAATGCTGTTATTTAAGAATAAAATCAATTTCATTTTGGGAAAGAGAACTCCTTTTTTTTTTTTTTTTGAGACAGAGTCTCACTCTGTCCCCCAGGCTGGAGTGCAGCGATCTCAGCTCACTGCAGGCTCTGCCTCCCAGGTTCACGCCATTCTCCTGCCTCAGCCTCCCGAGTAGCTGGGACTACAGGTGCCCGCCACCACACCTGGCTAATTTTTTTTATTTTTTAGTAGAGATGGGGTTTCACCATGTTAGCCAGGATGGTCTCCATCTCCTGACCTCGTGATCTGCCCGCCTTGGCCTCCCAAATTGCTGGGATTATAGGCGTGAGCCACCGCACCCAGCCGGGAGCTCCATTCTTAAAGACACTTTTTGCAAACATTTACCTTGCAAAACATTTGTAGTGACTCCTCTGTGAACAACTCCATGTTGATTGGGAGGTAGAGAGAAACCCACTGCTAAACTACATCCATCTGTGCAGGTTTTTCTTTCTAATAATTGATATTCCATGAAAAGAGGAGAGGCTTTGTCATGGGGAAAATGTAGGTTATGAAACACAGATGCAGTAAGGGCACACTTAAAAAGAAAGAACAACACTGAGGTTTGCAGGCAAGACATAAGGAAACATGGAGGACAGAGGTCAAAGGGAGCATTTTGGAGGAGCAGGAAAGCCCTCTAGTGATTAAGAGGATGGATGGGATCAAAAGATACAGAAGACCAGCTTTTCAGAATTGAGTGTTTTCATTTCTCTGCCTTTAAAGAAACATCACAAGGCCAGGCTTGGTGGCTCATGCCTATAATCCCAACACTTTGGGAGGCCAAGGAGGGAGGAGTTTGAGACCAGCCTGGGCAACATAGCAAGATCCCATCTCTGCAAAAACTAAAAAATTAGCTGGGCCTGATGGTGCATGCCTGTAATCCCTCTACTCAGGAGGCTGAAGTGGGAGGTTTGCTTGAGCCCAGGAGGTCGAGGCTGCAGTGAGCCATGACCATGCCACTGCACTCTAGCCTGGATGACAGAGTGAGACCCTGTCTCCAAAAAAAAAAAAAAAAAAAAAAGCATCACGATACTCAGAAACAGGCGAGGGAGACTAAACACCCACCATTTCTTAGACCCTTAATTTGCGCTGGGTGCTAAGCTTCCTCTGGGTATGGGGTGGACACTCCAAATAGGGGCCCCAATTCCAGTAATTAAATGTGTTGAGCCAGGCACTGCACTAAGTGCTAGTGTAAGTGCATCATCTCATTGGATCCTCACAACAACACTCCATGCAAGATGAGGAAACTGAGACAGGAAATTTGCTCCTCACTGCACAGCCAGCAGAAAGAGAGGCAGATCCGCTTGGCTCCAGGGACCACGCTTCTTCTAGATGTCTGTGTCACCCTCAAAGCCTCAGATTGTATTGTGAACTAATTAACTAGTTGAGCAGAACGTTCCCCAAACACATGGTGTAGAATTGCTATTGTTCTCCCAGCATTGATGAAGAAAATTAACTCGCAGTAATATCAGTTGGAGATGGAGTCAGTCCCATTTCCACTTGATTTTATTCTTCCTTGATAGTTTTCTGAATAACAGCCTGTTACTATTGCCCTGATTTCTCTTTGCCACCTCTACATTTTAAGCAAATCTAGGGCAAGTCAGGAAGCAGGATGGATGCTTTTGATGCTGTATTCCGAGGCACCCCTGGTCCTCCCCAGCGTGCCCAGCCTAAATTAGATGAAGTGGAAATGTTGCAAAAGGGCTGAAGGGGCCCCCATGGAGAGCAGATGGTGGTTGGGGTTATTTGAGGTTTCCTGTGGAGATTCTCTGTCTCCCATTCACTTGCAGAGAACATTATGGGCTGTCTCAGTTCCATAGGGTGGCATCCCTCCCAGCCATCCTCCCAGAGCATTCTAAAGTTTCCTTGTTCATGGGTGGAGATTTATGTCAAATCCTCATTCCTGGAACTCTGGAATACAGTCTGAAGTCTTGATATTTGGATTGCCTTGAATGTGCTTATTCTGTAACTGAATAAGTGCCTAGCATTTGGTAATACTGATTTATTATATAATTGACTTGCCATATTGGGATTTGTTTTAATGGGATTTGCAGGGGGTGCCATTTTCCACCTCTGGCCTCTTTCTCTCATGACAGCAGATCTCTTCTGCTTGAGCTTTCACTCCATGGAGAAGGGTGAGACAGACATCTCTGAGGTCGTGCTGTCTGCATGGAACCAGGAGCTCCTTGTCTGTCTCTATCTCATTCCCCTGTGTGTGCCTGCACCTTGCACAAGGCTGGCATGCCATAGGCCTCAGTAAATATTTCCTGAGTAGATGAATCAATGGAAACTACATCCCATCTGCTTTGACTATAATGTCCTTGCATTGTCTCCACTGAATGAGAACCAGGTATTCACATGACCTCCCAAAGTAATTGTTTCTTCTGACAGCCCCAAGTACTATGAGCCAGCCATAACACTTGTCTAGTGTTTGCTCAATTGAATTTTCACCAGTGAGGCAAATACGAAGGGCTTGGTTTTCATAATGAAACAGATTCTATTTCTTGTAATCTATGAGTTAACTTCAGAGTATGGAGTACTTGCTTAACTTGTTTCCTCTTCCTGTGGCTAAACCAGATCAAGTCCTAGCTCACATCAACTCAAGTCCTAGCTCCAGTCAACTGGAAGGAGACAAGACTCAGTCCACATGTCAGGGGCAGCACAGCACCACTGGGTTTATTTGGCACCTGGAGGATGATGGTCTTCATTATCAGGGACTTTTCTTTTTTTTCTTTTTTTTTTTTTTTTTTTTTTGAGATGGAGCCTCACTGTCGCCCAGGCTGGAGTGCAGTGGCGCGATCTCGGCTCACTGCAAGCTCCGCCTCCCGGGTTCACGCCATTCTCCTTCCTCAGCCTCCCGAGTAGCTGGGACCACAGGCGCCCACCACCACGCCTGGCTAATTGTTTGTATTATTAGTAGAGACGGGGTTTCACCGTGTCAGCCAGGATGGTCTCGATCTCCTGACCTCGTGATCCTCCCGGCTCGGCCTCCCAAAATGCTGGGATTACAGGCGTGAGCCACCATGCCCAGCCTATCAGGGACTTTTCTAAGAATTAAAGTTTTGTCTAGAATTGTGTGTTTGTCCCAAATTGTTTTTATCTTAACCATTTTGGTGAAAGCATTTAAAATAAATGGATTACGTGTTATCCCACCTCTTCAAAAAATGTGTGCCAAATATAATTTAAGCCCTTTTGGATGTTTGAAGTTCATCTTTATGGGCAGAGAATCACAGCGTCTCTGTCAAAAAAGGCAACACCATCAAGGAACCACTGCGGCTAGCTTTATTTGTCCCTACATTAATCTGTGATATCTAGAGTCCTTTCTTTTCTCAGATGTCCTTTTGTGCTGAGATCAAGTGGCTCTTTCTAACAGGGGTGCATGGTACAATCTCCTAGGAAACTAAAAAAAATGTATAACTGCCGTGAAGACTTGACTGGGCTTTTGATTCAGTAGCTCTGAGACAGAGCCTTGGTAGCACCATTTGAAACAAACACCAAAACTTCCTAAAGCGATTCTGATTTTTGCTCTTCCTTGAGAGTCAGTGTTATAGTCAACATATCTTCTGCTGCTTCTAATCAGCTATCTTATTTTTTTTTCAGATGTGTTTGGGTGAAGACCCCAGAAGGGCCTCTTTTTTCTTTTTCCCTACTAAGTTAGAGCAGTTATTCTCAAACTTGTTCAGATGGTCTAAGAGTGGAAAAACTTAAGCTGTTTTTTTTTCTATTCTCTCAGTCAACAACGATCAACACAGAAGGCTTCTGTGACCAGAAGTGTGAGGGTATTATCCTATATATCAAGCAAGCCAGCATCCTCTGCAGCAAACACCAGCTGGATGTCTTCTAATTCAGTTCAATTCTGACACTATCTATCTGGAGATCGAGTCAGATCTCACAGGTCGAGGGCTCAGTCCCTAACCTGCCCCCCACCTTCAGGTGTCAACTGCAGGCTCCGTGTTTGATCTGTGCTTCTGACTGACTGGCAATAAATCGGGTCCCACAGCTCCCTCC
Organism: Homo sapiens; assembly: GCF_000001405.40. Taxonomy (NCBI): domain Eukaryota; kingdom Metazoa; phylum Chordata; class Mammalia; order Primates; family Hominidae; genus Homo; species Homo sapiens. The sequence continues at coordinate 90,095,922 of NC_000014.9, forward strand.
TTGGGTTTGCTTACTTTGCTAGAGTGGCTCACAGAACTCAGGGAAACACTTAGGTTTACTGGTTTACTATAAAGGATATTACAAAGGATACAGATGAAGAGATGCATAGGATAACACCTATAGGAAGAGGTGTGGAGCTTCCAGACCCTCTCCAGGGTGAACCACCCTCCAGGAACATCCATGTGTTCAGCAATCTGGAAGCTCTCCAAACCTTGTCCTTTGGGGTTTTTATAGAGACTTTATTATATAGACATGATTGATTAAACCATTGGCCATTGGTGATCAACTCAGCCTTCAGCTCCTCTCCCCTCCCTGGAGGTTGCGGTGTGGGGCTTTAAGTCCCAACTCTCTAATCATGCCTTGGTCTTTCTGGTGACCAGCCCCATTCTGAAACTACCTAGGGGCTGCCAGTCAACAGTCAACTCATTAACATACAAAAAGACATCACATTAGAGATTCTACAGATTTTAAGAGTTATACATCAGGAACCAGGGACAAAGACCAAATATGTATTTTACAATATCACAGGTGGTGAGATGCCTGAATTCTTAGTCCTCTTTGCAAAATACAATAAAACATAATAAATTATTCTCTTGTAAAAACTAGGAACAATTTTATTAGCAGTATATATGACCGTGTTTTCTGTATGATCTTAGTCAAGGCCCTTTTGCTTGCAAATATTAGGAACTCACCTGAATCAGCTCAAGACAAATTGTTGATTGTATTGTAAGGATACATACAGGGGTAGTTCATGGAACTGCAGAGCAGGAAGCAAATTTGAGACTCACAACAGTGCTAGGCCAGAAAGTGGAGAATCAGCAAGAATTGGCAGCCATTTTCTTGGGCTCTTGCCTTTGCTTCTCTCTTTCTTTTGCTTTTGACTTCTGCTTTCTGCTTCTTCTCATTCTTGGCTGCTGATCACCACCCCTCAGCCCTGAGTTTTTGTCCCCTCAGTTGAAACAACTAACGATGACTGCCTACTGTTTCTTAATCCCAAGTTACATTCCTGAGAGAATCTGATTGGCCAAATATGGGGGTCAGGTGTTTATCCCTTGTCCACTGAGGTGCATCTTGGGGGCTTGGATCCAGCAGCACAAACATGGCTGCCACACGAAGTACTCAGGGAAGGGGAGTGGGAGATGAAACTCAAACCTTGTTTTCTATATTTTGTTCTACCTCTTACCGTAAACCCTCCTTCCTATACACCCAGAAATGCCTCTGCCCAATAGAACCAGCTATCTTAGTTCATCCTGTGTTGCTATAACAGAACTGAGACTGGGTAATTTATAAAGAAAAGAGGTTTCTTTAGTTTATAGTTTTGGAGGCTGGAAGTTCAAGGGCATGACCCTGGCTTCTGGCAAGGGCTTCTGTGGTGCATCTTAACATGGTGAAGGTCAAAGGGGAAGCAGACAGGCATGAACCCCAGGGGTATTCTGGCTTTATAACAACCCACTGTCAAGGGAACTGATCCATTCCCATGGAAACTAATCCAGTCTCACCAAAGCGAGAACTCACTCAATGCCACAAGAATGACATCAAGCCATTCATGAGGGATCTGCCCCCTGTGACCCAAACACTTCCCTCTAGGCCCCACCTTCCACCACCACCACATTGGGGATCAAATTTCAGCATGAATTTTGGTGGGGACATATTCAAACCATAGCCAAACAATAGCACCAGCCATCTCATTGACTGCCACAAACTGTATTCCCCATCCCTGATGGGAGAATATTCAAAGTCCTGTTGAGCTGCAGCACGCAGAGGCTCACGCTCCCCAGATATGAATGCTCACCAGCTGCCATTTGTGGACTAAGCAATCAGATTAAACCATGCACAACACGCCCAGTATACAATACTGGAAGAAAAACAAGACAATGGCAATGAACCATTCCTCTTTAGAAAAAGAAATAGGGTATAGGAACCCCCATGTATCTCTCATCCAGTTATTAGCCATTAGTAATGAGTATATAATGAGGGGCAGAGGAAGGGGAAATGGGACTGTTTAAATCCAGACCTGCTCAAACTAACATAAGCAAACAGGGAGAATTCATCACAAGGATCCAGGTCTCTCTCTCTCTCTCTCAGTGTTCCAGGGCAGAAACTTCCCTCCTGGGGCGGGGATGACTCTGTCTATCTCTAGGCCTGCATCTCATGCATCTGCCTCATGTGTCTGTCTATATGCTCCATGTGCCACACATTCACCTGTGGGTTCCTCATAGACTTTAAAATGTGAATTCAGAAAACCTGGATGTTCCCAAGTACCACGGGGGCCACACATCATTTCCAGTAACACATGGAAGACAGTGTATTTTATTAATGACTATTTCATTGGCATTTATTATTTATTTCCATTTTTGTTTATTTAAGTGGCACACAAAAATAGTCTGATTTCTTGGCTCTCATTGCTTAGGGTGAAGTTAAGTTAAAGTTTTGAAGTGCTATAATTTATATAACAATATTAAGCACATGACCACCTAGGCTGAAGGTCAATGTGGTCACATCACAGAAAGTCCTTCTGGAGACCATGAAAACCCCATCTACGGCTGGGCATAGTGGCTCACGCCTGTAATCCCAGCACTTTGGGAGGCCGAGGTGGGCGGATCACCTGAGGTCAGCAGTTCGAGACCGGGAGTCCTGAGACCAGGAGTTATAACCCGGGAGGTGGAGGTTGCAGTGAGGCGAGATCATGCCACTGCACTCCATCCTGGGCGACAGAGTGAGACTCGGTCTCCAAAAAAAAAAAAAGAAAACACATTGCACTGGGGATGGAATTGTCCCCCTTAATTGATTTCTCTCTCATTACCAAGGAGTACTAGGATTCTACTGCGAATCTTTAGAAAATAATTTTATATTTACCGTTGAAATTAAGGAACAAGGCCAGGCGCGGTGGCTCACGCCTGTAATCCCGGCACTTTGGGGGGGCCGAGGCAGGTGGATCATGAGATCAGGAGTTCAAGACCAGCCTGGCCAAGATGGTGAAACCCCATCTCTACTAAAAATACAAAAATTAGCCGGGCGTGATGGCAGGTGCCTGTATTCCCAGCTGCTTGGGAGGCTAAGGCAGAGAATTGCTTGAACCCAGGAGGCAGAGTTTGCAGTGAGCCGAGAGTGCGCCTGCACTCCAGCCTGGGTGGCAGAGTGAGACTCTGTCTCTATAAAAAAATTTTTAAAAATTAAAAAAAAAAATCACCTATTCAGAGTGACCACTTACGTTTTTGTGCGATTCTTCCCAAACACTGTGTGTATGGTTGTAACATAGTTGAGAAGAGATATTTTTAAATATGTTAGTCCACTCTGCTTTCTCAGTCAGTCGAGGTTTCTCAGCGCAGTTGAACTTTCACGTGAGGAATGTTCAGGACTGTGCATTGCCTCTGACATTGTTAGGAGTAACGGCCGGTGTAGAGGCTGTCAGACATGGAACTCTTCACCTTTATTCAAGATACCCCTTGGTGGCTTTGTCAATGTCCCAAATAAACTCTGCTGCATCTTGTTTCTTGTTAATGACCTCTTTTTCCTACAAGTTGAGTATATGAAAAATTCCAAGAGAAATAGAATGCTCATGGATTTGGCTCCAGGAGATTGAGGATTGATTTATCCCTAGAGTGAGTTATTAGAAAGGTGTTTCTGGCTCAACAATTGGCTGTATATATAGCATCAAGTTTCCCATTTTGGACAACTAGGGAGAAAAGTGCTGATTGTTTAGGCAAATGTTGAGGACTCTAGATGGAAGTCATTGCAATTGCACAGCTAAGTAAACCCTGCGTAATTGAAGCAGCAAGCCAACAGCCGTGACAACCTGACCACACAGCAGATAAACAGACAGACAATAGGTGGGTGAGGTGTTTACAGAATTCTTCACGAGGATCTGGGACCTCTGCTCAAGGGGGAGGGTCCCAAAGCCACATCCTTTCTCATACCAAACCAACATAATTTTTTCTTCCAGGGGAGGTAAAAAGCAGGGCAGACTGTCCCAAATTTGTGCTTATTTGGTTTTGACATACACACAAAACTCACATCTCCTTCCCTGATGGAGACTAAGAACCCAACTAACCACGCAGCTCTGGACTCTTCTGAAGCTGCTGTTCTGTTTGCACATTACCTAAGGCTCAGCTTGCTCCTGCCCTTCCCATCGCAAGCCAATATTAAATTAATTTGTATGTTCTGTGTTAGGAAGTACCGAGGGGCCAGAATAAAGTTTTTTGGAGTCGATCCCACTTTGGAGTTAATAGCATAGATAATCTACACTTGGATAATTAGGGTTTGGCCAGAGTAAAAAATAACTCAATGAAACTAAAAATATCTTCATTTAAGAACCTTGATGTAAACACGTGAGTCCATGTTTCCACCCAAGAAACTCTATAATAGGTGCCGTGGCTGCATTTTGGTGACCTATTTATCACTGGCCAAGTCTCAAACCTCAGCAATGCTGGCCCTAATGACATCTAAACTGGAAGCTGATTCTGCATGAAATTACGTTCAACAAGCTACTTTTTGGCTGGTACTGGTGACCTCGGGGATATAAGGCCTACTTCTGTTTGCTGGAGAGAACATTGCCTACCTAATAGAAGAGGAAGGCCTAATCAGTCCCAAGGATGTTAGGGAGGCCGCAAAGTGTGAAGCAGTGGATTGAACAAAGGAAAGCAGTAATTTCATCAGATTAGTAGTGGCTATTTTTATAACTTTGATTTGTCCATGTGAAACAGAGGAATGACTTCGAAAAATAGTCTGAAGACCTGCAACTTTTAAAATTGCATTTGCATCTCAGCACTAGGTTGGTTGGTTTTTCTTGGGACGGGGCCTTGCTTTGTCGCGCAGGCTGGAGTGCAGCGGTATGATCACATCTTACTGCAGCCTCCAACTCTTGGGCTCAGGTGATCCTCCCACCTCAGCCTCTCCAGCAGCTGGGACCACAGGTGTGTGCCCACCATGCCTGGCCAATTGTTTTATTTATTTGTAGAGACAGAGTTTCACTATGTTGCCCAGGCTGGTCTTGAACTCTAGGGCTCAAGCAATCCTCCCACCTCAGCCTCCCAAAGTGCTGGAGTTACAGGTGTGAGCCACCGTGCCTGGCCAGCACGAGATATTTGAGTCAAGCAGATGCTTCCACGTGCTTTGCAACTAAGGAGGTTGCAGTATATGATGGAATTATGTCATTCGAGGTACTTCAATCCCCTGTTCAGTTTCTCAGTCTGTAACATGGGCTGATAATAATCACACCTCAGAGTTGTTCTGAGGAGTAGACCAGGTGACGTAGGCAGGGTGTTTGGAACCATGTCTGCTTCACAGTGAGCACAAAATACTCACTGTTGCCCTTGTTGTTCAGTCTCTCTCTGAAATCGCTTCTGGCACCAAATGGGCAGGAGATTTGATTTCTCTGAAATCTTGATCTGAAGTCCCAGCACGTCTCCACTCATATCTTGTCCCGGACCAGAGTGTTGTCCTCGTATGGCAAAACCAATACTTAGACGAGGGGGCAGGGGCATCACATTCAGAAATTCTCCCATGGGGTGCAACGCAGGAGAGGGATACAAGACTACAAATTGGGTTCAGGGTATGCTGCTCTGGTGATGGGTGCACCAAAATCTCACCAGTTGGCCGGGTGTGGTGGTATAATCCCAGCACTTTGGTAGGCCCAGGCAGATGGATTGCCTGAGCTCAGGAGTTTGAAACCACCCTGCGCAACATGGTGAAACCCCATCTCTACTAAAATACAAAAAAATTAGCTAGGTGTGGTGGCGTGCTCCTGTAATCCCAGCTACTCGGGAGGCTGAGGCAGGAGAACTGCTTGAACCCAGGAGGTGGAGGTTGCAATGAGCTAAGATCGTACCACTGCACTCCAGCCTGGGCAACAGAGTGAGACTCCGTCTCCAAAAAAAAAAAAAAAAAAAAAACCTCACAAGTCACCGCTAAAGAACTTCCTCATGTAACCAAATACCACCTGTTCCCCCGAAAACCTATGGAAATATTTTCTTTTTTTTTTAAACGGAGTTTTGCTCTCGTTGCCCAGGTTGGAGTGCAATGGCGCGAACTTGGCTCACTGCAACCTCTGCCTCCCAGGTTCAAGCGATTCTCCTGCCTCAGCCTCCCAAGTAGCTGGGATTACAGGCATGTGCTACCACACCCGGCTAATTTTATATTTTTAGTAGAGATGGGATTTCTCCATGTTGGCCAGGCTGGTCTCGAGCTCCCGACCTCAGGTGATCCACCTACCTTGGCCTCCCAAAGTGCTGGGATTATGGGCATGAGCCAACGTGCCCAGCCAGAAATAAAAAATTTTTAAAAAGAAATCCCCCCATTGAAATGGACTCCTTCAGATCTATACGGGCTCCAGGAATTCCCTTTAAGGCAGAATGTACAGCTGTGATGTAGAGCTGGTAACAACACCAGCCAGCATACAGAAAGCTCACTGGCTGCAGATTCAGTTCATAACTCTCCCATCAACTATAGTATCTTCATTAATTGATGTAAAATTGAAGCTTAGAAGAATCAAGTAAGAATCTTGCCTGTGCTGCAATGCTGGGTGGCAAAGGCAGGATTTGATCCCAGATGATTGGACTCTAGCACCCATCATCTCAATCCCTACCCTATGCAGCCACCTTCAGGATGTTGTCTTCTCTCCTGTTGCCTTCCTGGTTATTGGGAGTCAATGACACGGAGAGTAGAGTCTCTCCCATGACCCCCTATGAAATTCCTCCCATTATTCCTCATAGCCTTTGGGAAGTGCTTTTCCGCAGAGCTTCTCAGTCAGTATGGCTGTGCTGTCTCAGATGTTAACACTGACTTTCTGTCTCCCTGTGGGTTGCTGTCTTCCAGTTGAGTTGCCAAGCTTTCATCTGAGATATTAGACATTAGATTTGGGGGAATTTTAGTTCTGTTAACATTCTGGGATTTTTTTCCTCCAACTTTTATTTTAGATACAGGAGGTACATGTGCAGGTTTGTTACATGGGTGTATTGTACTCAGGTAATAAGCATTATACCCAGTAGGTAGTTTTTCAACCCATGCCTCCCTCCATCCCTGCTCTAGTAGTCTGCAGTATCTGTTATTCCCATGTTTATGTCTGTGGACGCTCAATGTTTAGCTCCCACTTATAAGTGAGAACATGCAGTATTTGGCTTTCTGTTCCTGTGTTATACACTTAGGATTATGACTGCCAGCTCCATCCACATTGCTGCAAAGGACATAATTTTGTCCTTTTTTAAGGCTGCATAATATTCCATGTTGTATATGTATAATACCACATTGTCTTAATCCAATCCACTGTTGATGGGCACCTAGGTTGATTCTATGTCTTTGTTATTGTGACTAGCAAGGTGAGGAACATACCAGTGCATTTATCTCTTTTGAAAAATGATCTGTTTTCCTTTGATATATACCTAGGAATAGGATTTCTGGATCAAACGGTAACTCTAAGTTCTTTGAGAAATCTCCAAACTGCTTTCCACAGTGGCCAAAATTACTTACATTCCCACCAATAGTGTACAAGTGTTCCCGTTTCTCTGCAGCCTCGCCAGCATCTGTGGGATTTTAAGGGCAATCTGAGTTATTTTATCTAGGACCTTTTCCCATGAAAAATAATGCAGGTATTTTTGGAGATTCAAACACACATAAAACTAGGGCATCCTGTCCACCCCAGGGAGACAGACAGGTTTTCTTTTCTTGGGGGACGGAGTTTCGCTCTTGTCAGCTGTAATGCAATGGCGTGATCTTAGCTCACTGCAACCTCCACCTCCCGAGTTCAAGCGATTCTCCTGCCTCAGCCTCCCGAGTAGCTGGGATTATAGGCTCCCACTACCTTCCCCGGCTAATTTTTGTATTTTTAGTAGAGACGGGGTTTCACCATGTTAACCAGGCTGGTCTCAAACCCGGGACCTTAGGTGATCTGCCTGCCTTGGCCTCCCAAAGTGCTGGGATTACAGGCGTGAGTCACTGCACCAGGCCCAGACAGTTTTTTGTTGTTGTTGTTTCTCTCTCTCTCCTGGACCAGAGAGATCTCTAAGTGTATCTCCTACCTCTAAAGACTTTGCCCTTTCAGCTTCCATTCTCAGCAGCTCAGTGAGACATGGGCCATACCCAGATGTATAAGATCAGTCTCTAGGCTTCCTGAAGACCCTGTCTTTCCTCTTCACATTCCTGTTGGGCAGGAGTCAACTTCTCTTGTCTCTTTTTCTCTCCTGATCTTACCCTTTTCTGAAAACTCACTCATCTCGCTCCTCTACTCAATTTTCCTTTGACATGAATTTTTCTCTTCTCAGCCGAGCCTCCTAATCTTGTTCTTCCTCAAGGACACCTTGGAATAAAAGCCTGGCATGTCCCTGAGTGCCTCCTCCTCCTGTGAATGCCTTTTGGCCCCTCCCTGCATTCTTGTTGGGTGTCAGGAACTGCGTGGTTTCTGGGCCTTCTCTCCAGACCCCTTTTCCCCTCCTAAAACAGTAACATCTTTGAAATCTATGATCATATAGGCCATTCTTTGATGAGTTTCTGGAAACCTCACTGAGAACACATTGTCTGGAGACCATTTTCTCTCTTGGCACAGCAGCACCCAGAAGGCAATAAGACACCTTGTCCCTGTCACACATACATTCCTATCTTTGGGGACTCTTGGGATTTGCTTGATAATAGTATCTTTTTTATGTCTTTGAAGGCTTTGTGTGATCACTTGATGAATCCTGCCAGAATTGTCTCACAAAGGTGATGTGCATTCTGTTTCTTTCCTGGGCCACATATCCTCCTGGGATGGTCAGATTAAGCCCAAGGGAGACGCCATCCTACCCAGGTTGGGCAAGGAAGGTGGAAGAGTCTCGGGGGTCCCTTTCCATATGAGGTGTCACTGTCTTGAACTTGGGGATCAGCTACTTTCTTTTCTTTTCTTTTTTTTTTTTTTTTTTGAGAGAGTCTCACACTGTCACCCAGGCTGGAGTGCAGTGGCACGATCTTGGCTCACTGCAACCTCTACCTCCCAGGTTCAAGCAATCCTCCTGCCTCAGCATCCCGAGTAGCTGGGATTACAGGCATGCACCACCATGCCTGGCTAATTTTTTGTTTTTCAGTAGAGATGGGGTTTCACCATGTTGGCCAGGCTGGTCTCAAACTCCTGACCTCCAGTGATCTTCACGCCTCAACCTCCCAAAGTGCTAGGATTACAGGCATGAGCCACCAGCCAGGATCAGCTACTTTCCAACTCCATTTTGCTACGTTAGGTAAATGGGTTACATAAATAGGGTGAGGTTGGGTCCATCCATCCATCCAAGGCATTCAGCAGCACCGTGTCTCTCATTCACGCTGGTCTCCTGTCTCCTGATTGTCCAAGCTTGTTTCTGCTTTAGGCCCTTTTCTTCTCTCAGCCCTTTTTTCTCTCAGCTTTTTATAAAACTGGGTCCCCATCTTCAGCCGCACCTGAAGACATGAGATCTTCTCTCACCCCCTTGGTGAAGTAGTCCTCACCTCATTTATTCCCTCTAGAGTCCTCGCCTGAAATCACAGATGTTAGAGGAAAAAGGGGTCCCTTGACTTTAATATACAGGATAAATCAAGTGACAGAACAACCAACGTTGGAGCAACCCAAGTTTTTATACAGTTGATGGGGACATTCTGTGTATGGAAACTAAGTACCACCAACCCTGTGGCCCTGGATTGTGGTCGTTGAGGGTACTAGGGTACTCATGGGTTAGAGTCCCAAGCTTTGAGTCTTTAACTACAAAATCCATTGTCTCCCCAAATCAAGGAAGTTGTTTTTTTTTTTCCTTTTGGCCATTTTTCTTGAAGGCCCTTGAATCCAACTCTAAACAGACAAGGACAGGCAGCAATTTGTGTCCAAAGAGAGCCAGGCACAAGGGATCTGTTTATTTTATAGCTGTAATTTCTGCATACGAAAGAAAAGGTCCTAGGTTAAAAATAATAATAACAGTCCGACAAAGGTTTTGTGCTTCCTAGTAAGACGGCATGATGTTCCAAATCATTGTCCAGGCCTTGGCAAAAGCAGGGGCATAGAAGGAGGTTTTCTGTGGAGACAAGGAGCCCTCCAGAGACTTGGGCAGGCTGAGCCGGCAGTGCTGGTGGCAGGAGGCCAAGTCCTGGTTGGGTCTGAATTCATGGCTGTCTGGTTCTTCTGAAACTAGTTATCCCTGTGACCTTGGGCATTCCATCTCCCTGGGTTTCAAGGCCTTTGAAAAATGAGGTGATTCAATCAGAATAGTTCTGCTCAACTCCTATAATACCTGCTAACTCCCTTTTTATGTCAAAAATAATTTAGGAGCTCGGTGCCATAAGGCCTCACAGTAAACACAGAACTTCTGAAGAGATCTCATTTTGACATACTCTACCATCTGAAATGTTTTGCACATCACATACTAATATGCAAAATAAGAAAGGTCCTGGGCGCAGTGGCTCACACGTGTAATACCAGCACTTTGGGAGGCTGAGGCAGGTGGATCACCTGAGGTCAGGAGTTCGAGACCAGCCTGGCCAACATGGTGAAACCCTGTCTCTACTAAAAATACAAAAATTAGCCAGGCATGGTGGCTCATGCCTGTAATTCCAGCTACTCAGGAGGCTGAGGCATGAGAATCATTTGAACTCAGGAAGCAGAGCTTGCAGTGAGCTGAGATCTCGCCACTGCATTCCACCCTGGGTGACAGAGTGAGACTATGTCTTCAAAAAAAAAAATTTATGATACTATCATGAAATTTTATAAATATTTATTATCCTGAAATGAAATTTTATAGATAAAATAAACTATACATATATTTTAGAAAGACATTATACTGCCCTAATTATAAAAGAATAAACAACAGAAAACATTTATAGTAAAATAATATAGGCTGGGTGCAGTGGCTCATACCTGTAATCCCAGCACTTTGGGAGGCCAAGGTGCATGGATTGTTTGAGGCCAGGAGTTCCAGACCAGCCTGGCCAACATGGCGAAACCCCGTCTCTACTAAAAATACAAAAATTAGCTGGGAGTAGTGGTGCACGCCTAGTCCAAGCTACTCCAGGAGGCTGAGGCAGGAGAATCGCTTGAATCCGGGAGGCAGAGGTTGCAGTGAGCTGAGATCGCACCACTGCACCCCAGCCTGGGAGACAGACTGAGACTCCATCTCAAAAAAAAGAAAGTACATAAATATATAAATGCTAGAGTCTGACTATAATGAAGCGCTCGGGTGTTTGTACCTGCGGGTAGGCTGACACAGGTGCTCTGTACCACACACCACCGCTTTACTGTCCATGATGAGATTGCCTGAGATGGTGCACATTTGGTTACTCTTAAAGTACATGTTGGCCGGGCATGGTGGCTCATGCCTGTAATCCCAGCACTTCGGGAGGCCAAGGTGGGCAGATCACGAGGTCAGGAGATTGAGACCATCCTGGCTAACATGGTGAAACCCCATCTCTACTAAAATAGAAAAAATTAGCCAGGCGTGGTGGCGGGCGCCTGTAGTCCCAGCTACTTGGGAGGCTGAGGCAGGAGAATGGCGTGAACCTGGGAGGCAGAACTTACGGTGAGCCGAGATGGCACCACTGCCCTTCGGCCTGGGCGACAGTGTGAGACTCCGTCTCAAAAAAATATATATATATACATGTTGAGCCTTCCCTCAACTTATAGGGCAGTTGCCTGCCTGGAAATTTCAGTAAACATTACGATTGTGCAAAAGTAAAGAGTGTGTTTATTTGTAAAACAAGAATTAGGTTTGGCTCAATACTCATGCAATACCTACAACTGAGGATTCTTCCCAGGGGGACCGCAGCCTGTCAGCATGGCTCAAGAGTGTGGGAACTACAAAATCCAGCCTGGGAAGGTGGTTGTGTTCATCAAGCCCACCTTCCCATTCTGCAGGAGGACCCAAGAGATCCTCAGTCAACTGCCCATCAAACAAGGGCTTCTGGAATTTGTCGAGATCACAACCACCAACCACACTAACAAGATTCAAGATTATTTGGAACAGCTCACGGGAGCAAGAATGGGGCCTTGAGTCTTTATCAGTAAAGATTGTATAGGCAGATGCAGTGATCTAGTCACTATGCAATAGAGTGGGGAACTGCTGACGCGGCTAAAGCAGATTGGAGTTTTGCAGTAACCACAGAGCAGGCCACACGCTGACTTTCCTCCTCAAGAGCTGGATGGCATTGCATGTGATGACAGCACTTCCTGGTGGATGAATTTGGGGGGCACAAACAGCTTTTTTCTTCTTTTGCCTCAGTATTTAAAAGTGGATCAACTTGCTCTTGACCACGGGGCCAAGAAGGTTGATGGGCCATCTTGGTTTTCTTCTTGATGTGCTCTTTGGTTTTCAGAAGATTGTGACAAGTTCTGGCCTAGGATTCGCTCACTCACCCTCAATTGTTCTTTCTCTTTGGCACGCGTTTCTTACTGTTCTCCACGTGTCGGCATGCCTCTGCCTCTAAGCCAGTGTTTTTCAACTATGTTTCTACAGACTCCTTCTCCACAATGATGAATCCTTGGTTGGTTTTCTGCTACTGCCCATTAGCTGAAATCATTTTTCCTCTTGACTTTGTGGAGTTGGTGTTATGAAATCAGTGGGTATTTTGAATGTGTTCTTTCAAACGACTGCATCTCTCCGGAGACACAACCCCACCCCATCCCATCCCACCTTGAGAATCACTGCTCTGAACCAGTGTTGTCCACCTTGTCCTCTCACAGATCTCATAGGAAATGTTCAACAATTCTGTGAAAGCTCTCAGGACTCAACTGGAGAAATCATATGAAAAGTTAAGCATAGTTGGTCTTGCTGTCATATGGATCAGAGGCACAAGTGCAGAGGCTGTGGTCGTGTAGAACACTCTGTTATTTAAGATGGCCATCCAGATAATCCTGAACACTGTGTATTTATTTGATTTAGAGTACCAGCAAAAATTAAAGCACAAAATGTAAAACATTGAGAAAACTTACAGCCCCCTACCCTAAGAGTGTATCTCTGAAAGAGCCCCCAATGCTTTGAAAACTAAGAATCCCTTGGGCCAGGCGCAGTGGCTGACGCCTGTAATCCCAGCACTTTGGGAGGCCGAGGCAGGCAGATCACGAGGTCAGGAGATCGAGACCATCCTGGCTAACACGGTGAAACCCCGTCTCTACTAAAAATACAAAAATATTAGCCGGGCATGGTGGCAGGCGCCTGTAGTCCCAGCTACTCGGGAGGCTGAGGCAGGAGCATGGCGTGAACCCGGGAGGCGGAGCTTGCAGTGAGCCGAGGTTGCGCCACTGCTCTCCAGCCTGGGTGACAGAGCAAGACTCCGTCTCAAAAAAAAAAAAAAGAATCCCTTATGAAGTTTGCCTCCTTCTAGACTTGTAAGATTATTAATTTCCTTCTTCAGTCTCTAGTGAGAATGTTTAATTTCTTTTCTAATAAAAAAATACCTATAGATGAAAAAAAAGAATTAGGTTCTAGGCTCAGATAAATGCAGACATGTATACATAAATATCCAGTGAGACATTTGGAAGTTGTACAGGATGCAGGACTTCCTTTTCTTTCCTTTTTTTTTTTTTTTTTGAGGCGGAGTCTTGCTCTGACATCCAGGCTGGAGTGCAGTGGTGTGATCTCGGCTCACTGCAAGCTCCACCTCCCAGGTTCACGCCATTCTCCTGCCTCAGCCTCCCGAGTAGCTGGGACTACGGGTGCCCACCACCACGCCTGGCTAATTTTTTTGTATTTTTTAGTAGAGACGAGGTTTCACCATGTTAGCCAGGAAGGTCTCGATCTCCTGACCTCGTGATCCGCCCACCTCAGCCTCCCAAAGTGCTGGGATTACAGGCATGAGCCATGGTGCCTGGCCCTTTATTTTTTTTTTTTTGAGAAAGGACTTGCTCTGTCACCCAGGCTGGAGTGCAATGGTGCAATCACGGCTCACTGTAGCCTCAGCCTCCCGGGCTCAGGTGATCCTCCCACTTCAACCTTCCGAGCAGCTGAGATCACAGGCATGCACTACCACGACAAGCTAATTTTTGTATTTTTTGTAGAGACAGGATTTCGCCATTTTCCCAGGCTGGTCTCGAAATCCAAGACTCAAGTGATCCATCTGCCTCAGCCTCCCAAAGTGCTGGGATTATAGGCGTGAACCACCTCACCTGGCCAGGATGTTTATTTAATGTGCTGGACATGTAACAGCCCTACCCCCTCCACACTAAATGCCGATCCTTGTGACAGCCAAACTACCTGCCCAACTCAAATTTCCTGAATGCCCTGTAGGGGCAGCGTTGCCCCTGTTGAGAACTGTCTTTAAGGAACCCAGAGGTGTGCTACTACAGCTTTAATGTGCGTGCAGATTACCAGCAAGACCGCATAAAAATGCACCTGAGCCGGTGCGGTGGCTCATGCCTGTAATCCCAGCACTTTGGGAGGCCAAGACGGGTGGATGACTTGAGGTCAGAAGTTCGAGACCAGCCTTGCCAACATGGTAAAACCCCGTCTCTACTAAAAATACAAAAATTAGCAAGACGTGGTGGCAGGCACCTGTAATCCCAGCTACTCGGGAGGCAGAAGTTGCAGTGAGTCGACATCATGCCACAGCACTCCAGCCTGGGCGACGGAGTGAGTCTTCGTCTCAAAAAAGAAAAAAAAAAAAAGCATCTGATTCAGGAGCTCTGGAATGGGACCCAGGATTTTGCATTCCAGGTGATGCCACTACTGCTAGTCTGGAGCCACACTTTGAGTAGCAAGGACATAAGGAGTCTCATAGTGCCTCCTGAGCTAAGTGTCTGTGGATTCAGGGCATGTCTTTCTAAAGTGGCATGTCTTTGAGAACCACATACTATTGAATCTTCTGGGGTACTTACCAGATATGCATATCCCTGGCCAAGTGCGGTGGCTCACACCTGTAATCCCAGCACTTTGGGAGGCCGAGGCGGGCAGATCACCTGAGGTCAGGAGTTTGAGACCAGCCTGGCCAACATGGTGAAACCCCGTCTCTACTAAAAATACAAAAATTAGCTGGACATGGTGGCAGGTGCCTGTAATCCCAGCTACTCAGGAAGCTGAGGCAGGAGAATTGCTTGAACTCGGGAGGCAGAGTTTGCAGTGAGCTGAGATGGCGCCATTGCACTCCAGCCTGGACAACAAGAGCAGGACTTTTGTCTCAAAAAAAAAAAAAAAATCCCTGAATCTCTGAGTCTCACTCTGAACCCCCTGATCAGGAACTCCCTGCATTAGCCTATTAATACTTAATTCCCTGAATGTTGCCTTAAAGCCACTAAGTTGAGAACTCCAACTTCATTTCTAGACATCTCCAGATCTTGCGGATCTTTGCAAAACAAAGCTCTAGTTCTCCGTCCAAATCTCAGATTCTGTGCAAGTCAAGAAACTGCTCTGGGGTGTCAGATAGAGGATGGAGAGTTGGCCACCCACTGAGGTTCTGGAAATTTTCTATTTCTTGACTGGGTATTAGTTACAAAGATGCTCAAGCCACTTATACATTTATTCACTTTTTTCCCCGAATGTGTTACATTTCACACATACACAGAGAAGAGGACCTCTCCTTATTGGCTCTAGGAGATGTGGTTGATTAGCTCAGGGAAAGAATGAGGGGAATTGTTAGTTGTTACTCAAGCCCAATTATTTCCCAGCTGTGCCCTTTTTCTGTGAATTTCATTGATTCTAGTCTGGCAGTGGGAGAGGACAGTATGGAAGACAGTGAAATGTTCGCTTTTGTTGTCCTGAGACCAAGCAGAAAGATGTTGACCTGCACTTCTTTGGAGAAGGTTATTTGGGGCATCTGGAGAAGGGTCTGAGCCCTTTCGTCTCTAGATGCAGAATGTCCCTCTCTGTGACAACACTGCCCCAGATGGCTTGGCCACAACAATAAAGCCACTTTCCCTCTGTGCAGGCAGTTGCTTACTATAGAGTATTACAGCTAAACCTTCTCTTGTGACTGTTTTTTACCTAAATAAATAAGGTGACTGATTTCTTCAGGTGAATCAACTTCTCTAGTAATATTCTGGCCCCACCTCTTCCACGCATCCCTCACAGGTGGGTCACTGGGCCACACTCCAGGCTCTTAAGAGAGAATCCACTCCTCCCGGGGAGTCTAAGGATCCTAGGCTAGTCGTTCAGCAGAAAATCAACCTTGGGGCTGGCCCCACCCTGACCTTATATCCCAATTCTGGGAGCTGGGACGTCTTCTCTTAGATCAAGGCTCTGCCTTAGCACCATGTCTGGTCCCTGTGTCTTTGCCTGGAATTCAGCCAAACATCCTGCTCTGCTCGTTCTCCTTGGCCCTTCTTACCTTTTTCTCACATTCCTGCACCGTCCTGCGTATCTCTAGCGATGCCATTTACATTGTGTTCCGTGGGTAAGGCGGTGCTGCTGACATGCAGGGACTCCCACCCACCAAGGGAAGCTTTTAAAAAGTTTTTTTAAATGAAGCAGATCATTTCACTCACTTGACTCATCATCTATTCTTGCTCTGCTGGTTCATGTGTGAACACAAACATCAAAAAGAACTGGATGAGCAATACAGTTGATTCATGCCGGCCAGTAGAGCATCTCTAGAGTGTCTGAGAAGAGCCATTCAGTTCTTCCGTGGCTCAACTAAAAACAATGCAAATCATCAATCTTGTAGTCGTCACTGCAAATATTATTGGTAGAAAAAACACAAAAGGAAATATAATAGTTAAAATTGCAAGTGATAAAAAAATTGTTGCAAATGAGAAACTACAGAAAGTAAACATGGTAAAGTTGAAAAGTACAACAACTGAACTGCAAAAAATTAAATGTGATAGAAAACTCAAATGAAGTAAAAGCAACAGAAGGAAAAATGCACATGGTAAAATTGCTTTTTTTAATCAATAGAAGGATCACATCTTGGCAAATCTGGATATGCAGAATTTGACTCAGGAAAATTGATCTTGGTGGAAATGTGATCATCCAAGGAAACTCAGATTGTCAAAAACCATGAGGGACAGCATTCATATAGACAAAAAGTAATTGATGAACCAAATATTTTTGGTAAAATTTATTGTATAAAAAAAGTCTGTTGAAAAGATTTTTTTTTTTTTTTTTTGAGACAGGGTCTTGCTCTGTCGCCCAGGGTGGAGGGCAGTGGTGTCATCACAGCTCATTGCAGCTTCATCGTTTTGGGCTCAAGCAATCCTTTCACCCCAACCTCCTGAGTAGCTGGGACCACAGATGTGTGCCACCATGCCCTGCTAATTTTTTATATTTTTTGTAGAGACAGGGTTTTGCCATATTGCCCAGGCGAGGCTTGTCTTTAACTCCTGAGCTCAAGCAATCTTCTCTCCCCAGCCTCCTAAAGTGCTAGGATTACAGGCATGAGCCATTGCACCTGGTTGAAAAGTTTTTTTTTTAAATGGAAAAACATGGTACTGGTTTACCTGCATGGAAAAATTGTTGAAAGAATTAAAGTAGCTTGTAATGGAATTCACTGAGGAAAAGACGGTCTCAATAAAATTTCTTCAGTGGTAAAATTCGGACGAAAATATATATTCATAAAGACAAAACAAAAATGTTTTTAAGTTTAAAGCACCAATTGAATCAAATAGAGTGTCTGAAAATGGTGGGGTACAAATGAAACCTGATGACTGAATCAATGCACCATCTTCAATTGGATCCTGGAGCAGAAAAAGGACGTTGATGAAAAATAGGTGAAATCCAAATGAAATCTGGAGTTTAGTGGGTAGTAACGTACTAATGGTGGTGTTTTGAGTTTTGACCCATGTGCCATGGTAATGTAAGATCTTAATATTAGAAGAAACTGAGAGAGGCCGGGCACGGTGGCTCATGCCTGTAATCCCAGCACTTTGGGAGGCCAAGCTGGGAGGATCATCTGAGGTCAGGCATTCCAGACCAGCCTGAACAACATGGTGAAACCCTGTCTCTACTAAAAGTACAAAAATTAGCCGAGCATGGTGGCATGTGCCTGTAGTCCCAGCTACTTGGGAGGCTGAGGCAGGAGAATCTCTTGAACCCAGGAGGTGGAGGTTGCAGTGAGCCAAGATTGCGCCACTGAACTCCAGCCTGGAGGACAGAGTGAGACTCTGTCTCAAAAGAAGAAGAAGAAAAAAAAAGAATGAAAGAAAAAGAAACCTAGAGGGATGTACAAGAACTTTCTGTACTATCTTTGCAACTTTTCTCTAAGTCTAAAATTATTCCCTTAAGTATGGTGGGGTCAAAATGCCCTAGACCAAAGAAAAAGCAAACTCAAATTTTCGTTGCAGCTCTTCCTTGAGTACCTTGGCTCACTTCCCAGTGGATCCCCTTAGCTGTGCCAATTTATTTCCAATTTCTATCTAGAGCATCATAGTTGTTGCTGCCCTTCGTGGACTTGTGTGTACTTCAAGCCATCTGCCCCTCCCCACGTATCTATACTCAGGCTCCAGACAGCTTCCTGTTGTTTCTCTCTGCACCCAGACCCCCTTGGACTTCTCTGGGTGTAGACCAGGGCGCTCAAACTTGGCTGCACATTGGAATCACCTGAGGAGCTTTAACAACTACTGACATCTCGTTGACACCCGCAGAGATTCTGATTTAAGTGGTCTGGGGCATGACCTCGGCTTTGGGATTTTAAAACCTCTGCAGGTGATTCTAAGGGGCAGCCAAGTTTGAGAAAATGGTGTCAACCTAACTAGAAATTCCTTCGTTCCTGGGAAAGCCCGGTTAAGCCTGGCCTTAATTACAGCAGACCTTCCCCATTCTCAGGACCACGGAGGTCACCTGCGTTCTAAGGTAGATGCTTGCACATGTATATTGCTCCCAATCTTTTTTCATGTATGTTAATTACAGCCTCTGGGCAGGGATTTTGTTCCATGCTTCTTTGTGTCTCCACCACCAGGAGGTGTACGCTCCTGATTCTCCGGGTGTTCCTGTGCATCATCCTTGAGAGTGAGACCTAGGTTGTTGGTTTCTCTCCTGGAAAGAGATGGCAGTGGCTGTCCTGAGGCATTTCATTGCTAGTTGAGCATTGCCAGTGCTCACCAGGTAGCAGCCTCGCAGTGTGGGTTTCCCCTTCTGCTAGGTGGCCCCTCTTTCTGCATGCAGGTGCAGGTTCACCTCACTTTCTTTGCAGAGCAGAGACTTTGGAGTGCCCTCCAACTGCGGCCTGGGCAAAACCAGCTCTCTTGTTTGCATTTAAATCCAAAGTCCGATCCAAATCACTTCTACCAACCCAATGCAGATTCTGGCAACCAGGAGGAATTGCACCTTCAAAATTTTGGGACTGGGACCTGGTCTCATTTCAGCTCCTGATTGTAAATGGTCCCAAACACAGAGAGGACTTTTGGGGTTTCGTTGTTTTGGGGTTTTGTTGGTTGGTTTGTTTATAACAGCAGTAGTTGGACCCTACCCCAGAGCGACTGAGTGTGAATCTCTGAAGGGTAATTACTGGGGATCTGAGTGGTAAACGTTCCTCACATGATTCTGGAAGAGCCAGCCCGCTCCTGCTGGTCACTGGGCTCCACTGGGAACTGCATCACCACAAAGCACCAAGGGCCCTAATTCAGAACCGGGGGATCCCCAAGAAAAATCTCCTGTGAAACTTACAAAGAAGTCCTGCCCAAGCCTCATCCTGGAGAGTTGGAGTCAGAAGGTTCCAGGTGGTGCTGAACATCTTCTTGTGTTTTATAAACTCCACATTCAATTCAGATGTCTGACCCAGGGGCCCTTTCTGTAAAGGGCCAGCCAGCAAATATTTCAGGCTTGCCGACTATATGGTCTCTGTTGCAACTGCTCAACTTTGCGACTGTAGCCTGAAAGCAGCCATGAGTTTACATAAATGAACATGGATGGGTGGGTTCCAATAACGTGTTATTAAAAAAAAGAAAAAAAACAGGCAACAGGCCGATCTAGGTTGTGGGCCATGGTTTGTCCACCCTGAAAAACCACCTGGGGAGCTATAATGTGTTCTTTTATGCCCAGGCAATTAAATCAGAATCTCTGTGGGTGGTGCCCAGGCATTGGTATTTATTAAAAGCTCTTCAGGTGATTTTCAATCAGCCAGGATTAAGAACCACTGCTGTAATGCATGGTCATTGCACTACTCATTCTAAGGAGCAGCTCTTGCTCTGATACAGTGTTTAAACTGCTCCAGAAGGTTCTGTGTTTCTTTGTGTGTTTGTTTGCTTGCTTTGTTTTCATTAAATGGAATGATTCCAAGCATATTTTTCTATGCCTGCCTGCCAAAAAAAATTTTATTGAGATATGACCCATATACTGTCAAGGATATAAATCTTAAGTATACAACTTGATGAATTTTTACATTTTTGTTTGCACTCTTCTTCACATATATCGTAGCCACATAACCACACAGATAGAAACATAAGAACACTCAAAGGAGTCCTTTTTTCCCTTCCCAGGCAATAGTCTCCTGAAGATGTTTGAAGCCTGCCTTTAAATCTGTCTTCTGTCTGAATGGATGTCACTAAGTCACCAAGTATTTGGCAATTTGCTCATAAATATTCTCGGCATTATGGGGGCAAAAACAAGCATGGCTGTGGTTGAGATTTTCTATTGCACAGTTTAGTTATAAACTATCGCACAGTTATAGCAATTTTCAGTTGCTATGGCAGACCGCATCCCTGAAAAGGAAGTTCCGTGTGCCCTGTTGGCTCATGTATATCAGGGGACAATGAGGGCTGTCAAGCAGCAAGCAGCCTGTAAGCAGCAGGCCCCGGCTAGGTCAGCTCATCAAACCTCCATGGATGCTTTGGGAAAGGAGACAAGCCCAAGTGGATTTAGACCGCTCATTACAACATAGCAGGCAGCGTGAGCTTCGGGTTTGCAAAGGTTCCCCTTGCCCCACAATTCCCAGGGGGTCATGCACAGCAGGCAAGGTGAATGCAGCATACCCCACGGGTCTGTGTCACAACTGCTCAGGAAATCCCCAGTCTTACAAGGGGTTGCAAGCAAATGCGCTCATCTTTTCTCCTACTGGGAGATATTACCCTTATTTTTTTAATTGAGGTGAAATGTGCATACATAAATTAACCACGTCAAAATACAGTAATTCCTCCCTTATATTTAGAGAATCTATTTCAAGACCCCAGGTGGATGGTTCAAGCCTCAGATACTACTGAACCCTATATGATACTGTGTTTCCTGCACATACGTATCTATAATAACATTTAATTTATAAGGCACAGTAAGAGATTAACAACAATAACTAAGAATAAAATATAACAATTATAACAATAGCCAGCATCACTACTGTCATGCTTCTGAGCCATTGTTAAGAAAAAGAAGGGTGACTTGATACAAGCACTGCAGCAGTGGATCTGATAGCCTAGATGGTTACTCATTGACTCAGGGGCAGCAGTGTATACAGCTGGACAAAGGGATGAACATGTCTGAAGTGAGACAGAGTGGGACAGTGAGAGGTCTCATCATGCTCCTTAGAACGGCACTCAATTTAAAACTTAGGAATTGGGCTGGGTGCAGTGGCTCACACCTGTAATCCCAGCACTTTGGGAGGCTGAGGAAGGTGGATCACCTGAGGTCAGGAGTTTGAGACCAGCCTGGCCAACGTGATGAAACCCCGTCTCTACTCAAAATACAAAAATTAGCCAGGCGTGGTGGCGCGCGCCTGTAGTCCCAGCTACTCGGGAGACCGAGGCAAGAGAATCACTTGAACCCAGGAGGTGGAGGCTGCAGTGAACCAAGATTGCACCATTGCACTCCAGCCTGGGCGAGACAGAGCGAGACTCTGTCTCAAAAAAAAAATTAGGAATTGTTTATTTCTGGAATTTTTCATTTAATATTTTGGACCATAGTTGACCACAGGTAACTGAAACCTCAGAAAGCAAAACCTTACGTAAGGGGGGACCACTTGTATACAATGAAGTGGTACTTAGTACATTCACAGTGTTGTGCACCCATTACCTCTATCTAGTTCCAAAGCATTTTTATTGCCCCCAGTGAAAACCTCATACCACTTGAATGGTTACTCCTCATTTACTCTTCCCTTCCGCCCCTGGCAACTACCAACTTGTTTTCTGTCTGTATAGATTTATCTATCCTAGACAGTTCTCATTAAATGGAATCCTTCAGTATGTGACTTTTGTGTCTGGCTCTGTTTCTTACCCACACAACAGGTGAGTTCGATTGCTTGGCCAGTGACAGCTCAATGACTACAACCAAGGAGGACTTAACAAAGAGATTTTATTACTTGCAGCAAGTAAGAAGAACATTGGGATAGTTCCCAAAGCAGTGCCTCCCCAAATAATAGTGAAAACAGGGCTTTTATTGGGCTGGTAGCTGAGTCATTGTACGTAAAGGTAGAGTAAATGCAGTGAAGGCACCGTTACCCATCATGCTTCTACATATGTGTACAGGAAATGGTGAATAAGCAAGCTCTTCCCTGGGAGGAGAGTTTAGTATGGTAATGAGGGGAGTTGGGCAAAGTTCATCTCCAACCCAGGCATCTCTGGATCCAACCCACGTTTGTTTTCTAGGGCTGAGTTTCTTCCTGGAACTTTTTAGAAACATCAAGAACTTAAGATGCAACAGTTACAAGTATGTTCTTTTTCACAGTGCATACCCAAAATTCCAGGATTCTGGGTTACACTTTCACTTAGCTTAATGTTTTCAAGGTTTATCCACATTGTAGCATGATTCAGTGCTTTATAGTTTATGGACATGTGAGTTTCCACCTTTTGGCTTTTATGAATAGTGCTGCTATGGACATTCGTGTACATGTATTTGTTTGAGTACTTGTTTTCAATATTTTTGAATATTTAAGAGTAGAATTGCTGGGTTATATGATAATCCTGTTTAACTTTTTGAGGAACTGCCATACCGTTTTCCACAACAACTGCAACATCTTACATCCCCACGGGAATGCACAAGAGTTCCAGTTTCCCTGCATCCTGGCCAACACTTGTTATTTTCATTTTTAAAAATAACCAAAATCAGACCTGAACTGGAGGAAAGTAGAGGCATGAAAAACCATTCAAAAGATCAACAAATCCAGGAGTTGGTTTTTTGAAAAAATTACTAAGATAGATAGTCCACTAGCTAGACTAATAAAGAAGAAAAGAGAGAAGATCCAAATAAACACAACTAGAAATGGCAAAGAGGATGTTACCACTGACCCCACAGAAATAAAAATAACAATCAGAAACTGCTTTGAACACCTGTATGCACACAAACTAGGAAACCTAAAGAAGATGGATACTTTCCTGGACACATACATCCTCCTAAGACTGAACCAGGAAGAAACTCATTCCCTGTACAGACCAATAACAAGCTCCAAAATTGAATCAGTAATAAATAGCCTACCAACCAAAAAAAAGCACAGGACCAGATGGATTCACAGCTGAATTCTACCAGATGTACAAAGAAGAGCTGGTAACATTCCTACTGAAACTATTCCAAAATATTGAGGAGGAAGGACTCCTCCCCAATTCATTCTATGAGGCCGGGGTCATTCTGATACCAAAACCTGGCAGAGATGCAACAAAAAAAGAAAACTTCAGGTTAATATCCTTGATTAACATTGATGCAAAAATCCTCAATAAAATACCTGTAAACTGAATCCAGCAGCACATCAAAAACTAATCCACCACGATCAAGTAGGCTTTATTTCTGGGATGCAAGGTTGGTTCAACATATGCAAATCAATAAATAATCATCACATAAACAGAACTAGTTACTAGAAAAATGCAAATTAAAACCACAGAGATATACCAGTGCATACCCACTAGGATGGCTGTCATTTTCTGTTTATTTATTTATTTAGAGACCAAGTCTCACTCTGTTGCCCAGGCTGGAGTGCAGTGGCATGATCTTGGCTCACTGCAAGCTCCGCCTCCCAGGTTCAAGCAATTCTCCTGCCTCAGCCTCCCAGGTAGCTAGGATTACAGGCACCCAACACCACGCCTGGCTAATACTTGTATTTTTAGTAGAGAGAAGGTTTCACCATGTTGGCCAGGCTGGTCTTGAACTCCTGACCTCAAGTGATCCGCCCACCTTGGCATCGCAGAGTGCTGGAATTATAGGTGTGGAGCACTGCACCTGGCCTTCTGTTTATTTTTTAACTTAAAAAAAATTTAGGTTCAGGGGTACATGTGCAGGTTTGTTATATAAGTAAACTTGTGTCACAGGAGTTTTTTGTACAAATTATTTCATCACCCAGGTACTAAGACTGGTACTCAATAGTTATTTTTTCTGCTCCTCTCCCTCCTCCCACTCTCCACCCTCAAGTAGGCCTCAGTGTCTGTTGTTCCCCTGTCTGTGTCCATGTGTTCTCATCATTTAGCTCCCACTTATAAGTGACAACATGCAGTATTTGGTTTTCTATTGCTGTGTTAGTTTGCTAAGGATAATGGCCTCCAGCTCCATCTATGTTCCCACAAAAGATGTGATCTTATTCTTTTTATGACTGCATAGTATTCCATACGTGATGTGTGTGTGTCTGTGCACTATTCCAGTGAGGATGACCAAGTCTCCCCACAAGAGTTTACTTTGAGTTTTATCTACTGTGTTAGTCCATTCTTACACTGCTATAAAGAACTGCCCGAGATTGGGTAACTTATAAAGAAAAGAGGTTTAATTGGCTCACAGTTCTAAGTGGCTGGGGAGGCCTCAGGAAACTTACAATCATGGTGGAAGGGGAAGCAAACACGTCCTTCTTCACATGGTGGCAGGACAGAGAAGTGAGTGCCAGCAGGGAAAATGTCAGACGCTTATAAAACCATCAGATCTTGTGAGAACTCACTCACTATCATGTGAACGGCATGGGGGCAACTGCCCCGCATGATTCATTTACCTCCCACTGGGTCCCTCCCACGATCTATGGGATTATGGGATTAAAATTTACGATGAGATTTGGGTGGGGACACAAAGCCAAATCACATCATTCTGCCCCCGGCCCCTCCCAAATCTCATGTCCTCACATTTCAAAACACAATCATGCCCTTTCAACAGGCCCTCAAAGTCTTAACTCATTCCAGCATTAGCCCAAAAGTCCAAGTCCAAAGTTTCATCCGAGACAAGGCAAGTCCCTTCCGCCTATGAGCCCATGAAATCAAAAGCAAGTTAGTTACTTCCTAGATACAAGGGGGGTACAGAATTGGATAAATACACCCATTGCAGTCTGTAGCTTGGGAGGTTATTGCAGTTGTTGAGGGAGAGATGGTGGTAGCATTGGCCATAGGAGAAATTGACTGACTGGAGGATGATTTGGAGTCCATTGTCACTAGGACTTGAAGGACTGAACATGACAATGAGGGTGAGGGAGGCAACCAGCTAACGTCTAGGTTTCTGGCTCACTACTGAGGTAGGAACTGCTATGGAGAGCATGCTGCAAAGAATAAGAATAATATTTGTGCCTTATCAGAATTGCCCGTTTATGTAAATATTGACTTTCATCGACAGGTTTCTGTTAAATTAATTAAGAAGAATGTTTTGTAACAGGGATAGAAGAGAAGTTGCTGAAGCAGCACTTGGCAGCCTCTGTCCTTTGCCTCCCTGTAAGCACCGTGGCTTCCTTAGGATGTGTTTTACACCCACATCAGGAAAACCTTCTGGGGAGGGATGTTGTTACGCCGTGGCAATGTCATTAGCTAAATGGTGTTTGATCATTCCCAAGCATTGTAATGGGATAGCTGAATCCTTAAGCAAAATAGGTCTCCTGGGTCCTGTTTCTGTTCTTTATTGTTGGCTGTTTTATATTAACTCTATTTTCTCCCATGATAAATGTAGTATATGCTCATTATAGAAAAAAGTCAGGAGCCCAGAGCAGCAAAGGTCAGGAGGGAAATCACTCATCGCCCACTGTTAAGGCACCCACTTTATTAGTACCTTGTTGGATTGCCTTTCAGCCTTACCTTTGTGCTTTTTATTTTATTTTATTTTTTTTGAGACAGTCTCGCTCTGTCGCCAAGGCTGGAGTACAGTGGCACAATCTCAGCTCACTGCAACCTCTGCCTCCCAGGTTCAAGTGATTCTCCTGCCTCAGCCTCCCGAGTAGCTGGAATTACAGGCGTGCAACACCACGCCTGGCTAATTTTTGTATTTTTATTAGAGATGGAGTTTCACCATGTTGGCTAGGCTGATCTCGAACCGCTGACCTCAAGTGATCTGCCCGCCTCTGCCTCCCAAAGTGCTGAGATTACAGGTGTGAGCCACCATGCCCAGCAGATGCATTTTTAGCCTGTATATTTTATATCTTTTTCTTAAGAAACTGCCATCATGTAAACGTTTTCCACAATTTTAATAGCTCCATCATAGTCTATGATGGGCATGTACTATATTTTATTTGTACCCCCTTACTGGACATTTAGATTTTCACTATTTTTTTCAGTTATATATAATGCTATAAGTAATCTACTTATGGATAAAACTATTTCTGTATTTAGCAGCTTTTCCTCAGAAGTGAGTAACAGAAGTGAATTTTCTGGATAACAGGGCATGAATATTTTAAAGACTTTTCACCCATAATTTTTTTTTTTTTTTTAGACAGAGTCTTACTCTGTCACCCAGGCTGGAGTGTAGTGGCACAATCTCAGCTCACTGCCACCTCCACCTCCTGGGTTCAAGCGATTCTCCTGCCTCAGCCTCAGCCTCAGGCTGAGAATTCCCGGCCTGTAGCTGGGAATACAGGTGCCTGCCACCACACCCGGCTAAATTTTTTTTTTGTATTTTTAGTAGACAGGGTTTCACCATGTTGGCCAGGGTAGCCTCAAACTCCTGACCTCAGTTCACCCATAATTTGACATTGCTTTGCAAAAGGGTTGTACTCACTTACTGTTTAAGGATGGAGTGTGAAATTGTTGAGTTTTGTTTGCGACACGATATTCACAAACTGGCCCGAGGCACTCAATGAACATGAAAAAAAAGGGAGAAACTAACTTGGAGGAGACCAAAGGTATTATAAAACTAATTTTTAAAATATAGCTGAGCTGATAGAAGAAAAGGTTTGCATGGTTTGCTCTGTGACATTGTTCATTCATTCAATACGCACCTAATAAGCCTTCATATCCAAATCAAAATCAGGCAGGCTGTGGAAAGATCTGGGTAGATTTCCCAGCACGGTTCCGTCACACACTATCTCAGCACTCTCATGGAGTGGCATTTTTCAGATGAAGACTCCGAAGCTTGTTAACTTAGCCGAGATCACATGGCCAGTTAGTGGCAGAGCTGGGACATAAGCCCAGGGTCACAGCTGCTTTAATTGTATTTATTGAACTATAGCTATATTCAAACAGCCTGATAAGCATCAGGGAAATGAAGGTGAGAAAGCAAGTCCCACCCCCAGGAACTTGCACTCACTGAGGAAGCTCAAAGGCACCTGGTACTTCCTTCAAATCTGTATCAGTTGGCTAGGGCAGCCATAACCAAGCCACTGGGTGGCTTAAACAGCAGAAGTTTGTTTTCCTACAGTTCTGAAGGCTGGAAGTTTGAGATCAAGGTATCAGCAGGATTGGTCTCATCTGAGACCTCTCTCCTTGGCTTGCAGGTGACTGCCTTCTGCCTGTGTCTCCATGTGGTCTTCCCTCCGTGTGTGTCTGGGTCCTGATCTCCTTTTCTTATAAGGACACCAGCCAGATTGGATTAGGGCCCACACTAAGGATCTTGTTTTCATTTAAGTACCTCCTTAAAGACCCTGTCTCCAAATACAGTCACATTCTGAGGTACTGTCAGGTTAGGACTTTGACACAGAAATTTGGGGTGGACACAATTTAGTCCATAACAGAAGGCAATAGAATGAGAAAAGTTGCCAGTCCTCGTTTGTGAGATATGGCTATTAGTAGTAGTAGTAGTATTTTTGAGACAGAGTCTCATTCTGTTGCTCAGACTGGAGTGCAGTGGCATGATCATGGCTCACTGCAGCCTCAAACTCCTGAGCTCAAATGTTCCTCCTGACTCAGCCTCCCATGTAGCTGGGACGATAGCCATGCACCACCACACCTGGCTAATTAAAAGAAAAATTTCTGTAGAGATGCGGTCTCACTGTGTTGCCCAGGCTGAGACAGGGCTAATTCTAAGCCAGTGACTCAACCCCAGCTTCCCTTTCAAATCACCTGGGCGGTTTTTAACAGATAGCAATGCCTCCAGAGATTCTGACTTAATTGGTCTCTGAGGGGCCTTGGCATAGATATTTTGTAAAAGCTCCTTGCTGATTCTAATATGTACCCAGGACCAAGAACCTTGTTTCACTGAAATGCCAAAGAGAAATCTGAGCTGCTTTCATTATCCTACACTGTCATGCTTTCTGCCCAGCAAACAATTAGTTTTTCATGGATAGGATACTTTCTAATCAGCAAAATATCAGCACCGCAGCAGAACTGTGCGTCTCCGGTTAATGTGCACTCAGCTCGCAGTGTTCTTTAGCTCTTTCATTCATTAAAGTCATTAGTCTTTTGTTGAATGCCTGTGATATGTAGACACTGTGCTGATGGAATAGGCCAAATAATGGCCCCTGCCCCAAGACAGGTTCCATTCCCTGGAACCTGTGAATAGGGAGATTATCCTGCATTCTCCAGGTACACTCAACTTAATCACATGAGGTCTTAAAAGCAGAGAATCTTTCCTAGCAGAGGTCGGAGAAATATAATAAAGGCAGAAGAGATTCAAAGCATGAAATGGATCACACCCACCATTGCTGCCTTTTAGATAGAGAAAGAGGATCCCCAGCTAGGGAATGTGGGCAGCCTCAATAAGCCAGGAACTGGAGCTGGCAACAGCCTTCAGCTGATAGCCCACAAGGAAACGGGGACCTCGGTCCTGCAACCACAAGGAATTGAATTCTGTGGGCAACCTGAATGAGCAAGGAAGTTATTCTCGCCTAAGATCTCTGGGAAGAAGCAGCCCTGCGGACAGCTTGGTTTTAGCTTGCTGAGACCCAGGTCAGACTTCTGACCTGTAGGAGTGTGAGATTATAAGTGTATGTTGTTTTAAGCCACTAAAGTTGTGGTCATTTGTTGCAGCAGCAATAGAAAATGAATACAGCTAAACTCTGAAAAATACAATAAGAAGACAATCTCTCTGTTGTCATGGAGCTTAGCAACTCAAATTTGCAAAATTTGTAAAAGTAGAAACAAGTGAAGTTTGTAGTAACTCAAGTGTTAGGCTGAAGAAGTTATTGAATGGAGGGTCCCTGGGTGTTAGGTGCTATGTGAGACCCAAGCTCCACGCTTTTTGATGGAAGTTCCAGCTAAAAGGAGAATGAAGAATTTTTTACTGTAGATGGAAGGAAAAGGGACGTTTTTGTAATAAAAATATAGAAAGAAATGATCATTTAGGAAGGATAGGCTTTTGTCAAAATAATAGTAATGATAGCTCCTCAGACTTCAAAGGAGTTCTTATCCTTCCCCATCCCCAACCCCCAGATCTACTTAATTTTTTTTTTTTTTCTTTTTGAGATGGAGTCTCACTCTGTCGCCGAGGCTGGAGTGCAGTGGCGTGATCTCGGCTCACTGCAAGCTCTGCCTCCTGGGTTCACACCATTCTCCTGCCTCAGCCTCCCAAGTAGCTGGGACTACAGGCGCCCGCCACCACACCCCGCTAATTTTTTGTATTTTTAGTAGAGACGGGGTTTCACCATGTTAGCCAGGATGGTCTCAATCTTCTGACCTCGTGAATTGCCTGCCTCGGCCTCCCAAAGTTCTGGGATTACAGGTGTGAGCCACCTTGCCCAGCCGATCTACTTAATTTTAATATGAAAGCTCATGGTAAAATCATATGTACCAAATAAGGAAGTGCGTAAACACACACACGCACACACACACACACACACACACACACGCGCACACACACACAATGATGGAGTATGTCAAAGAGACACAGGACTCAATTGAAAGCACTCTCAGTGGCCAAAGCTGGAATGATTTGAACAACAGAATAAGTAAATTAAAGTTGGGTCAGGCACAGGAGTTCACACCTGTAATCCCAGCATTTTGGGAGGCCGAGGCAAGTGGATGGCTTGAGCCCAGGAGTTCAAAACCATCCTAGGCAACATGGTGAAACCTCATCTCTACAGAAAAATACAAAAATTAGCTGGGCGTGGTGGAATGCACCTATAGTCCCAGCTACTCAGGATGCTGAGATGGGAGGATCACCTGAGCCTGGGGAGGTTGAGGTTGCAGTGAGCCATGATCATGCCACTGCACTCCAGCCTGGGCAACATAGTGAGACGCTATTTAAAAAAAAAAAAAAGTGGAATTGGAGTTGGAAAATAACTCCAATTATTGGAAAATACTTAATTGGAAAGTTGGAAAATACTTAAATATAAAGTAAATATCCCTAAGTCCACACTGATTTAAGTAAATGATTCAATAAATAAATGGAATAGAAACAAATCTCCTCTGAAGAAGAATTTAGTATAATTTTTATAAATTATTTCACCCTCAAGGAAGTGGGCCATGAACTCCCCACTCCTAAGTGTGGGCTGTGCATAGTGACTTCCTTCCAAAAAGCACAATATGGAAACAGCACGGGCCGAGGAATGTCTAACTTTGCAGTGGAAAAACCTGCCCAACGCTGCCTCACCTAGGAGCTCAAGGTTTTAGCCTCATCGGTGATAACTTATGTTGATAGTGTATCCCCTTGATGTGACGTGATGTGACGTGACGTGACGTGACGTGACGTGACGTGATGAGAATAGCACTTCCCCTCTCTGGCCTTCTTTCCCAAAACCCATGACTCTATTCTTGTTGTTGTTGTTGTTGTTGTTATTTTCTGAGATGGAGTCTCGCTCTGTCACCCAGGCTAGAGTGCAGTGGTGCAATCTCGGTTCACTGCAACCTCCGCCTCCTGGGTTCAAGCGATTCTCCTGCCTCAGCCTCTGAAGTAGCTAGGACTACAGGCACACGCCACCATCCCTGGCTAATTTTTATATTTTTAGTAGAGACTGGGTTTCGCCATTTTACCAGGCTGGTCTCGAACTCCTGACCTCAAGTGATCTGCCCACCTTAGCCTCCCAAAGTGCTAGGATTACAGGTGTAAGCCACGGTGCCCCGCCTCCAGTCTAATCATGAGAAAATATCAGGCAAATTCCAATTGAGGGACATTCTACAAAATACCTAACCAGTACATCAAGATTGTCAAGGTTATCAAAACCAAGGAAAGTCTAAGAAAGTGTCAGACCAGCAGAGTCTAAGGAGACATGACTAGTAAATGTAATGCAGTATCCCGGATCCTAGAAGAGAGAAAAGACATTAGGGAAAAATAAAGGAAGTCTGAATAAAGTATGGAATTTAATTAATAATATATCAATGTTAATTAGTTGCAACGAATGTACCATATTCATGGAAGATGTTAATAACAGGGCAAACTGAGTGCAGGGTATGATATGGGAACTCTGTATTATCGTCACAACGTTTCTATGAATCTGAAACTCTTCTAAAAATAGAAGTTTATTTTTAAAAAATGAAAAAAAAGTGTATGCACCTTAAAATGTTTTCTCCATGCCTGGCACCCTATATGTTTTGTAGCGTGAAAACAGCCTTTCTGTATTTTCTGCAGGGAATGAAACCTGTGTGTATGGATCTGAGCCGGCCCCCAGAGCAGTCCTGTTTTGGGGACAGGACATTTGTTCTTTGGGTAATTTAAAGGTAAAAGTGCTCACCATACTTTTTTTTTTTTTTTTGTACATTGGTTTCTCTGCCTCACATACAATTCATTCATCATAGTATATTAAAGGTATTTATGGCCAGACGTGATGGCTCATGCCTGTAATACCCACACTTTGGGAGGCTGAGGCAGGAGGATTGCTTGAATCCAGGAGTTTGAGACCAGCCTGGGCAACATCTCAAGACCCCCAACTCTAAAAAAAAAAAAAAGAAAAAATGAGTGAGGGGCAGTAATGTGCTCCTGTAGTCCCAACTACTCATAAGGCTGAGGCGGGAGGATCCCTTGAGTCCAGGAGTTCGAGGCTGCAGTGAGCCATGATTGCACCACTGCAGTCCAGCCTGGTAGACAAAGCAAGATGCTATCTAAAAAAAAAAAAAAAAAAAAAGGCTATTTAATGTTTCAAGAGTATGTTTCATCTAACAGAGTACATTCTGTGACCATTCTGAGTGTACTTTTGGGAAATAAGGAAGAATATATATTGTAGAAAACAGATGGAGCTTTGGTAGTTGCCCAGGTTGAAGGCAAACCTGGCTTGACCCCAGACCTATGGGAATCCAATTCTTGTCCCCTGTGTTAAATAAGACCATTTAGAATAGCTTTCCACAATAGGATTGGAGGCAATTTTAAATCAGTCTGCCCATGGAAATAAAAAATATGGACCCTCTGGCCTATGGAGGAAGAACAGGAATTGTGTATCTCGTCTTTAACACTGGATCAATGGTGCAAACATTTAAGTACTTTGTGTAGCAGTTATGTACTCCATCTTCAGTTGAAATGTATTCTTTCATTCCGGGAAAGATTTACAATTTTCTAAGCGGCAATTTACTTCCAGTCCCAGGGAGGATTCACTTGGTGTTTAAAACAAACAAACAAACAAACAAAACAAAATTTTTAAGTAGTAAAAACACCTGTATGTATTTAGGCATTTTTCAGGGGCCTCTTTATCCTTTTACCCCTTGGCCAGCCGCTCCCTTTCATTCCTGTCCTCACTTCCCTTCAGCTCATTCACTGCACTGACTTCTCACTGTGTGGCACGTGTGGGCTCTCAAGTGATGGGTGAATGCATATCCCAAACAAGCATAGCGGCAGAAATAAAGGGCCAGCCCTCAGCACCTTACCATCCTGGAGACAGAGGTACAGACGGAGGTAAAATAAGGAATCCTCTGTGCGTTTCAGCCTCCTTCATGGCTCACCTGTTCCTCTGAGGCCACAAACCCTTCCAAGCTGGCTCCACTCGAGAATTTTCTCAAACATCCTATCTCTCACCGAATACTTTTCCTGAGCAGCATTCTCCGAATTGAGCAAGAGATAGTGTGATACTTGGCAGAATTCATCCCCATTCCCCTTTTTTAAAAATCTGATATTTGATACATACAGAAGAATACGTGTAACATAAATGTAAGGCATGCATCCTGCTAATAAAATGGACACCTTGAGCCGTCCCCACCGCCAACCTGAGGACGGAGGCATTATCAGTACTATCCTATCCTGCGTCTTCCTCCCCGCCCCCTAAGAGGGACCACTACCCTGAACTGGGTAATTATCATTCTTTTGTTTTTTCAAAATTTATACTTTTATCACATAAGTAGGTAACTCTAAGCAATGTATTGCTTCACTTTTGACTTTGAGATTACAAAAGAAGCAGCATGCCACATGTGGTCAACTGCAACCTTCTTTTTAGTCTCAATCTTAGGTTTCCAAGATTCATCTACATTGTGTCTAAACTAGAACCTATTTATTTTTGCTTCTATATAATATGCTATCATATGAATATTCCACAGTTTACTTATTCCTTCTCCTGGTTTGGGGGCACTGGGGCTTTTTTCCAGGTTTTTGCCATTGTGATCAATGGCATAGTGAACACTCTTGGCAGATGTCTCCTAGAGGCACATGTGTGAGCGTTCCCTGGTGCAATTGTTCACAAGTGTGAGGTGGCATCAGAATTGCTCGGGAAGAACACATATGGCTGCGCCCCATCCCCAGTACTTCTGATTCACTGGGTCTAGGGTGGAGCCAGAGATGTTGCATTTTTCATAAGCTTCCAGGTGAGGCTGAAGCTGCTGCTCCAGACTCCACTTTGGGAACCACGGTCTAAGGTCTAGGAGTGGGATGGCTGTGCTGTAGGGTGTGTGTGCCTGCTTCACATTATAAAATAATGCCCAATCGTTTTACTATGTTGCTGTGACACTTTATTTTCCTATGACAGTATGAAAAGTTCCACTGAACCACATTTTCACCAGCTCTTAGTATTATTCATCCCCCTTCTCTGCATTCAGTGTGACTGAAACTTAGATAACTGAGACTGGTGTGTTTGCTGTTTTATTTAAAGAACATAGGGGACTTTATGTCATTTGGGTGTGTTTTTCCTTGGGCTTAACAAGCAGAAGAATGGGCTCTAACAGGTTTTCCAAGGAAAGTAAACAGTGAACAATTCAAATAACTTTAACAGATTGTCTTTAGCAGAGTCAGGGAGAGCCCGATGGTGTAGTCATTTAGGTCCATTTTAAGTAGCCATTACAAAAGCGGAGATGGTTCCTAACATGTTAGCCGAGACCATCAACGGACATGTTTTGTCTGTTCTTTCAATGGAATATAATGTTGTTTAATCAAAAGGCACTTCATTTTGAAAAGACTCAGAGGAGATGTGACTGAAATTGCTTGTGACAGATAAGATGATCATGGATTAATTTATCACATGCTAGAACTGGAAGAAGATGGAGAAGGACATTTATTTATTTATTTATTTATTTATTTATTTATTTTTCAGACAGGGTTTCACTCTCTCGCCCAGACTGGAGTGCAATGGTGCAATCTCGGCTCACTGCAGCCTCCGCCTCCCAGGCTCAAGCGATTCTCCTGCCTCAGCCTCCTGAGTAGCTGGGATTACAGGCACGCACCACCACGCCCGGCTAATTTTTGTATTTTTAGTAGAGATGGGGTTTCGCCATGTTGGCCAGGCTGGTCTTGAACTCCTTATCTCAAATAATCTGCCCGCCTCGGCCTCCCAAAGTGTTGGGATTACAGGCATGAACCACCACACCCAGCTAGAGAAGGACATTTAAATAAATAGGAGTGTTGGCCGGGCACAGTCGCCCATGCCTGTAATCTCAGCACTTTGGGAGGCCGAGGTGGGCAGATCACCTGAGGTCAGGAGTTTCAGACAAGCCTGGCCAAAGTGGCAAAACCCCATCTCTACTAACAATACAAAAAATCAGCCAGGTGTGGTGGCGGGCATCTGTAAGCCCAGCTACTTGGGAGGCTGAGGCAGGAGAATCACTTGAACCCGGGAAACAGAGGTTGTGGTGAGCCGAGATCGCACCACTGCACTCCAGCCTGGGCAACAAGAGCGAAACTCCATCTCAAAAATTAAATAAATATATAGGAATGCAGATTTCTTTGTGCAGTAAATGGTACAATTACTTGGCTCATGAGGTAGCAAAGTCGAGTATGGTGGGAACCGTATCAGCTTTCGTCAGCGAGACCCAAGTTTGATTCCAGCTCCTCTAGAGAAGCCCGAGTGTGAGAGAGGGCACAAGGTGCTTGGTCTCTCCTTAGCTTCAGCTTCCTCATCTATGAATTTGGATCACTCCTGTGTGCCTCGCAGGGCTGCTGAGTTTCCATGAGAACTTATGGAAAGCACCTGGCACATAGTAAGGCACTCAGTAAGTGTCATGTCTCCTCTTTTTCCATTCAAACACATTTTATAAGAACAGTAACTATTCCTCTTCACACCCATTAGGATGGCTGTTATTGTTATTATTTATTTATTTATTTATTCATTATTATTATGTTTTTTGAGACAGAGTCTCACTCTGTCACCCAGGCTGGAGTGTAGTGGCGTGATCTCAGCTCACTGCAACCTCTGCCTCCCGGGTTCAAGTGATTCTCCTGCCTCAGCCTCCCGAGTAACTGGGACTACAGGCACGTGCCACCACACCCAGCTAATTTTTGTATTTTTATTAGAGACGGGGTTTCACCATGTTGGCCAAGATGGTCTCAGTCTCTTGACCTCGTGATCTGCCTGCCTCAGCCTCCCAAAGTGCTGGGATTACAGGTGTGAGCCACCATGCCCGGCCATATTATTTATTTTTTCAGAAAGAGTGTCACTCTGTCATCCAGGCAGGAATACAGTGGCATGATCGTAGTTCACTGCAGCCTTGACCTCCTAGGCTCAGATGATCCTCCCACCTCAGCCTCCCAAGCAGCTAGGACTATAGGCGTAAGCCATCACACCCAGCGAATGTTTTGTAGATTTTGTAGAGGCAGGGTATTGCCCAGGCTGAGGATAGCTATTATTGAAAACAACAGCAACCACAAAAAGGAAAATAGCAAATGTCAGTGAGGAGACAGAGAAATTGGAACCCTTGTGCATTGCTTGTGGGAATGTAAAATGGTGCAACGGCTACAGAAAACAGTATGGTGGGTGCCCCCAAAATGAAACAGAGTTACCATAGGATCCAGCAATCCCACTTCTGGGTATACCCCAAAGAATCGAAAGTAGGATCTTGAAGAGATATTTATACATCCATGTTCACAGCAGCATTGTTCAGAATAGCCAAGAGGTGGAAGCAACCCAACTGTCCGTTGATAGGCAATTGGAAAAACAAAATGTGGTCTATACATACAATGGAATATCATTTAGCCTTAAAAAGAAGGGAAACTCAGGCACATGCCATCAACATTGAATGAACTTTGAGGACATTATGCTAAGTGAAATAAGCCAGTCACGAAAGGACAAAGAGTGTGTAATTCCATTGATACGATGTAACAAGAGGAGTCAAATCCATAGAGACAGAAAGTAGAATGGAGGCTGGGTGCAGTGGCTCAAGCCTGTAATCCCAGCACTTTGGGAGGCCAAGGCGAGAGGATCACCTGATGTCAGGAGTTTGAGACCAGCCTGGCCAACATGGCGAAACCCCGTCTCTACTAAAAATACAAAAAATTAGCCGGTGTGGTGACATATGCCTGTAATCCCAGCTACTCAGGAGGCTGAGGCAGAATAATCACTTGAACCTAGGAGGCAGAGGTTGCAGTGAGCCAAGATCTTGTCACTGCACTCCAGCCTGGGCAACAAAGTGAGACTCTGTCTCAAAAAAAAAAAAAAAAGAAAGAAAGAAAGTAGAATGGAGTTTACCTGGGTTGGGAGGAGGAGGGAATAGGGAATTATTTAGTGGGCCTATAGTTTTCATTTTGCAAGATGGAGGAAATGAGGTCTGCAGATGGTGGTGGTGGTTGTACAATGTGAATGTACTTAATGCCACTGAACTGTGCACCTAAAAGTAGATAAGATGGTAAGTTTCATGTTATGTATATTTTACCACAATTAAAACAAAAAGAATAGTAACTATCGCCATTTGTACCTCAGTTCACTGTTTACAAAGCCCTGTCCCATATCTAATTCTCATAACACCCTGAGAGACACTATTTCCATGATCCTCATTTCCTGCCACTTCACCTTTCCTGCCTTGCCTCACTGGTATTTGTACTGATACTCTGCCTTTCCCACTGTACACCATTTTCACGTTGGAACAGCTGTGTGCATGAGTCACGGCTTCATAGCTTATCTAACGTTTGGACGACAGGATCATTGTAGACAGGAGACATTTGACCTGTCCTCTTCCTTGGCTCCGCAAAGAGATGTCAGCAGGAAGAGATCTCACATTAATGAGAACTTACTATGGGCCAGATGTTTGACAAGCTTGATCTCATTTAAACTTCACCAAACAAATCTACCTCTGAGGTAGATTCAATTACTAGTCTCATTTTGTACGTGACAAATCAGGCACAGACCTCAAAAACATTATGCTGAGTGAAAGAAACCAGTTGCAAAAGACCATATACTGTGTGATCCCATCTATATGAAATGTCCACAACGGATAAATCTCTAGAGACAGAAGGTAGATTAGTGGTTGCCTATGGGATGGGAGTTTAAGAGGAAACGGGGAGTGACTGCTGGTGAGTATGAGGTTTCTTTTAGGGGTGATGCAAACGTTCACGGTGGAGACTGTAGAGATGGTTGCACAACTCTGAATATCTGAAAAGACATTGAATTGTGCACTTTAAATACATAAACTGTACAGTGTGTGAATTATATCTCAATAAAGCTGGGTTTTCAAATCTTATTTAGAACAAAAACAAAACAGGCAAAAAAAAAAAAAAAAACAGTTAAGAAATTGCCCAATGTTACAGAGCTAGCAAGTAACAGAGCTGGGATTTGAACCAGGCAAGTTGAGTTCAGAGCCCACACTTCTGGCTTTCACTCTTCCCTTTGTCTGCCTGAGAAACTCTTCCTGCTCCTTTGAGACACAGCTCAACTCTAATCTTCTGTAAGACTTCCCTGCTTTCCAGGCAGCCTCCATGATCCCTCTCCTGGGGCCTCGCTATCCAAAAAACAGCTCCTCTAGAGAGCTTTTCACAGTGCACTGTGAGGCAGTCTACCCATTTGCTTTCTCAGTATAACTCCATGGGTGCTTCTAGAGAAGAGAAAATGGATTCTTCCCATCCATATTCCCAGGGCCTACCTCGGGTCGGGCACCAATTATGTGTATCAAGTCCCAACAATGTGGCTGAAACCCTGGGACATAGGCCAGATACTTCTACCAAGCATCCTTTGGCACTAGAATCAAATAAGACTCCTGCTTGTGGTCCCAGTTACTCGGGAGGCTGAAATAGGAGGATCTCTTGAGCCCAGGAGTTCGAGGCTACAGTGAGCTGTGCGTGCCTCTGCACTCCAGCCTGAGCAACAGAGTGAGACCCCATCTCTATTTTGTGTAGCCTGTGCAGTTGGTAAGATGGGAGACTAGGTCAGAATGTATAGAATTTGGGGAAATGCATTGTTGCCTCTAGAAAAACATCTGCAAGTTCATGTCCAAGTGGTAGAAATAAACACTATTTTCTTGTACGCAGAGGTAACACTTCTCAACTTTTCTTATTGTTTGACTGTCTTTCTTCCTGTTGTAGTTTATGGAACATAGCCTTAGAAGATTAGTCAGAACTGAGCTGAAATTGGACATAGGTAGGAATTTTAAGAAAAATTAACTCTCCATAAGAAAGATCCAATGTTTATGAAATGTTGATGTTTGTAGACACACACACACACAAAGACTGAATGGAAACACGTCAAGGTGTTCACAATAATAGCAGCTCACGTTATTTAACTCTTATGTGCTAAGTGCTTTACATTAGTATAGGATAATCGTATGATAGATTACATTATAATCTCATTTAATCCTCATACTATTCTTCATCTCCCACTTTACTAACAGAGAAACTGAACTGCAGAGAGACGTGTGTGATCCCTTTTCTGAACGGTGAGATTATGAATGGTGTTTTGCATTTTCTGAATTTCCTACAATGAAGATATATTATGGTGAATAATAAATATGAAATGTTACTATAATCAAACGTTGTTAGAAACAAACCATAAGAAACAGGAACTACTGAGAAGAAAACACTTTCCTAGATGATAAGCCTCCCCTGAATTGGGAATTGTGGAGCTCACAGTAGCCTGCTCATCGTAGACATGACTGATTTGAGAGTTTTTACCCCGCTTCCAAGGTTTACTCAATTCATCTTACTTTCAGAATCATCAATAGATACTTTACATTGCACGTTGTTAAATCGCAGAGAACTGGGCCTAGTGGCCCACTTGGGGAACTCACACCTCCACACTGCTGACCCAGGTCTTCTAATAAAAACACACACATCTCTACTGAATCCTGCAATTGGGACTCATTCGAAAAGAAAACAAAGATAAGGTTGAAGTGGGTTTCATGAAAGAAAACTCTTTATGTGCTTGATGACTTTTTGGCAAAGGAAAGAGGGGAAGTGTGCTGCCGTCAAGCGTCTCCTTGGGCCGCCTCAGGGTCCAGCCAGCCCGACATGGCATGAGGTCAACATTTGTCTCACTGAGGACCAAGGGAAGGGAGGTGCTGAGGTTCACCGACATCTCAAACTGTTTCAAGGCTGATAAAGGATGCTGCATAAATGATTTTTCAGATTTCTAAAACATAAAAATGTTGAGGTTCCATTGTTTTCTGTTTGATGGCCACTACCCGATGTGGGGTCTCGAGAGGACCTTTTCTGCCTTCCTCGCCATATGGCAGATGATTTTCACAGGCCCGTGGACAGACGTTAGAGAGAAGATGGCCTGTAATGTCATTGGCAGGATGTGGCTCCCACATCAGGGTTGGGCATGAGAAGTGTCTGGCCTTGTTGGAGAGAGGTTGGAGGGTCTTCGGCTTGCTTTCAAGCTTTAAGCCATGCTGGTGCCCTCTTCAAGAAAAGGACTCTTTTTTGTTCTGTGTTTAAGTTTTCATTTCTGGTTGAGTGTAGGGATCTGGCATTGTTTGTAGAGTATTAAAGAAGTTTCCCAAAGGCTTGACCTATCAGAAGAGTTCACCTTCATGGTGACAGCCAGGATGTTGATAAGCTGCTTTTTTCCCTTCAACAGATGAGAACATGCATTCAGCTGTCATCACTTCTCGGGCATAAAGAAAACTCACTTCACAGGTGCTGGGAGCACCAGGGCACACCCAGCATCACAACACAATGTCTGCAAGACACACACACACCTGGCCCGGGCAGCAGTATGGTGGACAAGACCAGGGGATGGCATCCAGAAATAGAGATGTGCCACCAAGAAGGAGATTGGGCTGGGAGTCATGAAAAGTGGCCAGAATGTGGATGACAGCAGATGGGACAAGCAGAAGGCTGAACGTCAAGGAAGTTCATGCACATTGAGCTCACATTTCATGCCTCTGGCCTGCTGTTTCTGCATTTCCTGCAGATGAAATGGATGGAGTAGATGGTCCCTGGTCTATTTTACAGGTCTTCCATGTCCATCATGGTCCCTTCTAAGTGGGGACAGGTAGATGGAAGCAGGTGGCTGCTGACTGAGGTCCGGTGCCTGGGGATGAGGAATCTGGAGACTCTTGGCAAATAAATCCTGAGTCCAAGTGAGAAGAGAGACTCCTTTAATAAGGACCCCAAGGAAGGCAGAGCAGAAGTCTCTGCCTCAGAGCAGGGACACAAGTGAATTGATTTAAGGAGGAGGGAATTAAAAAAAAAAAAATCTTAGC
Organism: Homo sapiens; assembly: GCF_000001405.40. NCBI lineage: Eukaryota > Metazoa > Chordata > Mammalia > Primates > Hominidae > Homo > Homo sapiens. The sequence continues at coordinate 90,136,534 of NC_000014.9, forward strand.
AAAACCTGAACTGCCTAAGGTTTTATTGAAAGCAAAATAATCAATACCCATGATAGTTATTATTACAAGACAGCACACAGCATTGTGTAGTAAAATAGTTATTTACTGGCTTTCTTGCCAACTGAGTTTTGAGCTATTTGAGAGCAAGGAGTCCTTCATCTCTGTCCTGTTGTCTGGCTGGAATAGACATTGAATGAAGCTCCAGGACCCAGGGAATGGAGAAAGCCTGGCGAGAGAAGGAAAGTGCTCCATTCCTCCCGCCCCTCATTCCAGGTTGAACCGAGAGGGTCAAATACAGACCCAGTATTTGAAATAGCACTTTGGATGGCAAAAGGTTACCCCCACGAAGGTCTTTAAAGTCTCAAGGTGATGTTCATTAGCGTCGTCATGTGTATTTCTCTGGCCAAGACAGATAATGAAAGAAATGAAAGGAAGAACAAAGCAAGGGTCACTCAATCGCAAAACAGGCAGTGAGAGTGTAGTTTCTAGAAGGAATTACCCACAGGTCATGGAGCAGTTCACCAAGTCCTTCTGATTCATGTTTCTTCATGTTTGTGCTCATTTAAAAACAGCCAAAGTCAACACAGAAAAGTAGTAAACCTTCTGCCTTCGTGGCCTTTGATTTCCTTTCTTTTAAGGGGCCACTGCCTACTGCACCCCACTGCATTTCCTGCTAGTAACAAGGTACCTAGTGAATTTGGCAGCCTTTTTCTTTTTTCAACTTTTCTGCCTTTGGCCAGTGTTTCTACTCTTGATTTATTTTATTTTATTATTTATTTATTTATTTATTTTTATTTATTTTTTTGAGATGGAATCTTGCTCTGTCGCCCAGGCTGGAGAGCAGTGGCATGATCTCGGCTCACTTCAACTTCTGCCTCCCAGGTTCAAGCGATTCTCCCACTTCAGCCTCCCGAGTAGCTGGGATTACAGGCGCCCGCCAACACGGCAGCCTAATTTTTGTATTTTTCATAGAGAAGGGGTTTCACCATGTTGGCCAGACTGGTCTCAAACTCCTGACTTCAGGTGATCCACCCACCTCGGCCTCCCAAAGTGCTAGGATTATAGGTGTGAGCCACCGTACCCGGCCCCAGTCTTGTTTTAAAATGACACGTTGAGAACAAATGAAAGAAGGCTATTAGTTGTAAAGTTATTTCTAAAAATGGAGGAAATAAATGAGATGTAAAATTGTGAACAATGTAATTGACTCCCAGCTGTGTGTTCATCACATTAGAACTGCAAATGTCAGAATTTATTTTCCTACTCAGTGGTTTGATAAAATGGTAATAAGTTGCTTACACACACGATTGTGTGTTTAAAAAGGCTGTAGCTTCTTATAATTAGAGATTGATTCCACTGTTAGCCTGGCAAGTGGTCCAGCTTTTAGCGTGAAGACAGGATCGGTTCTCAATGAGGAGTTGCTGTTATCTATGGTGGAGTAGGGAGATATTCTAGGGCTGATTATTCACCCGTTGGCATCCTCTGACTTGAGTCATTTTGGTCATTTCCCTGCTTATTAGTACCCATAACAGAGAAAAAAATGTAGGGTCAAGAACCTGAAAGTCAAAGCAATTAATTTGACTTTTTACTTACAGCTTTTTATTTCCATGCTATTTTTTTCAAAATGTAAATAGCTTTATTATTATTTTCTGTTTGTAGAAGTAATATGTGCTCATTGTAAAAATATATATATGTAAACAATTCAGAAATATATCAAGTATAAAGTCCTATTGCAAATTTTACTCCCCCAAAATAACTACTATTAGGAGTTTTATCTCTATCCATACAGGTCTTTCTGTCCATGACTGAAACATGTACTACCATTTTGGTTTCCTAATGGGATCATATTACTTACAGAATTCTGTAACTTTTCTTTCTCCCAATGTGCTGATGTCATATGGTTGATAAAATGTGACAGTGTGCTTAAAGTGTTTAGCCCAGCACCTGTCACACAGTTAGGACTCAGTAAGTAGTGACATTTATTCAAGGGAGATTTGGAGGTTGTCTTTGGCTTTCATATCAGCATTCCCTATTTACCATGGATAATTGAGAATTTATATAAAATGTCAGAGAAGGGAGACTTACAGAAAGGAATCTAAAAATCCATTCAATGGGGCTTGACATAGGATCTCTGAGATCTCAAAAATGCCATGTACGGCTGTGTGATGTGTGCACTGCACAAAGGCCCCCAGCTGAGGGGTAAGCCCACCCTGCCTGCACTCCATAGCTGCACCCATGGGGCCTTTTTCTTCTCAGAGGGGAGTTTCTTTCCAATTTGCACAGATTGGTGCTATACCCACTAGTGACATCTCTTTGACTGCTGGTAAGAGGTTGCTTCTGGGGTTAATTTTCTGTTATATGGCCCAGAAGAAATGGCCAGGGGAAGAGTATGGCCAGAAAAAAACACATCGAGGCAGGCAGTGTCTAGAAGGCAACAGTGGGGCTCTGGGGAAGTCAGCAAGGTCAGCAAGGCACAAAGTGTTTTGTTCCGTTAATCAGGCACAGTGGGGCTCAGAAGGCTCTAGAAGGATAGAATCACATGGGACCAGTGTGGTTCAGACATCCAGTTAGCACTGGAGATGCTAACTGGTGAGGTCCGTCCTCTCACAGAGCTTTAACTTTATCATAAATTGCATAAATACATGAGAGGTTATTTGAGATGGGGCAAGTGATGTTGAAAGCAAACAAACACAGACTGTGATGATTGAATGCAGCTGGGGAGCGGGGCAGGCTACTCTTCAGGTGGCCAAGGGTCTGGGGAAGTGATATTGAAGCTGAGACCTGCATCCAGCAGTGTGAATGAGGAATCGGGGAAGAGCATTCCAGGCAGAGAGAATAGCAGATGCAAAGGCCCTGTGGTGGGCCAGCATAGCTAAGGCACAGTGAGCAAGGGGGAGAGTGTGATGAAATGGGGCTGGGGGTGAGGCAAGACTTCGAGCATGCGGGGGCCCTGTAAGGCAGTGAGGAGGTGGAGTTCTTTCCTTTTGTACAGCGTGGTGCCGTTGAAGGATTCTAAGCAAGGGAGTGATGAGATCCAATTTATATTTTTAAATGATCACTCTCATAATGAAACATTAACAATTTACTCTGACACTGGGAGGAAACAGTGTTGTACGTGAGCAAGAAAAGAAGCAGAAACATCCGATAGGGGCTGGGTGCGGTGTCTCATACCTGTAATCCCAGCACTTTGGGAGGCCGAGGCAGGTGGATCGCTTGAGCCCAGGAGTTCAAGACCAGCTTGGGCAACATGGCAAAATCCCATCTCCACTAAAAATACAAAAATTAGCCGGGCGTCATGGCACACGCCTGTAGTCCCACCTACTCGGGAGGCTGAACCATGAGAATCGCTTGAACCTGGGAGCTGGAGGTTGCAGTGACCCGAGATCACACCACTGCCCTCCAGCCTGGGTGACAGAGCGAGAGTACGTCTCAAAAACAAACAAAAAAAAATTCTGCTAGGAACGTGCACAGTGGTCCAGACCAGCAGTGAGGTCTTCGACTGTGGGGTGACTGTGCAGATGGCAGGTAGTCAGATTTGAGATTTTGGGATGCAGGACCCACCATTTCAGGGGAACCAGGCAAATTATCATGAAAGAGACTGGAGACGTAAGGGTTAAAACAGGCCCCTTGGCTTTGGGGTTCGATGTTGGAGTGTGGTTATAAGAACAGGGAGAAAAACCACACCTCAGAGCCTCTGAGCCATCATGCAAGGCTCCTTAAATTCAAGAGGTGGATTCTCCCAGTGCCTGTTCTCACCTATAAAAGATGTAAGAGACTTGTTCATTTCTTCTGGTTCTTGAAGTCCTACCACGCATCAAAAACATTCTGGTTCTTGAAGACCCATTGAGAAGCAATGAACATGAACATTTTAACGTACCGTACTACAAGGCAGTAATTTGATACTGGGGGAAGAGGGAACAAAGGAATGGTGCTATTAACTGTTCAACATTGGTGCAGGGCTGGGGACTGTGAGTCATCATCCCTTCCAGACGAGTCCCCTCTCTCTAAAGAGAGAAATCTGGTACTAAAACTGGACAAGCACGGAAATAAATTGAAACCCATTTCATTTTAATGTTGCGCCCTTGAAAATCCCACAGGATTCCCTGTAAGATCCTGCTGTACCCTCCGAATTATCTGAGGAAGATTAGTCATGCCCCGTAGAGTTTGCGGGTTAAGGATTTGGATGGGAACTGCGGATAAATGTGCCTGTGACTTCTGTAAGTTTTAAGTTCCTTGATGAGAAATAAATCAGCAAAGGTCATTGTCTCCCCGGGGCGCAGTGGATGTTTTAATGATCATTCCTCTGGCTACTTTTGGCAGAATTCAGATTAAGGAAGTAAATGATGGCAACTTAAAGGCAACATGTGGCAGAGGGGACCTGAGCCCCCCACAGCTCTCAGCCACCCACTCTCACATTAGGGGAAGTTACGTTGTTTCTCAGCTGACCAATTTAAGCTCCTACCCATAGCGAATGAGAAGGAAGGGCGTCACTCCGCCACCTGCCACCCCATCCCCTGGAAATGGGGGTTCTCCTGGACACTGTAGCTTCCCCAGGTCAAAACCAAGAGAGCTGGACCCTGCTAGCAGCCCTTCCTCCTCCATTACTTGCCTGTCCCTCAGGAAGTGACTCAAAGGTTGACTGCATTCCCAGGAGGGTTTGCCTTCAATGCAAACACACACAAGAAAGTGGCGTCACAGTTTGAGGCTTGATAGTATAACCAGAGCTATTTGTTTTAAACCATAGCTCTTATTTCTTGCAGCTTTCTTGAACTATAATTGACATACAATAGTCTGCACATACTTGACAATTTAATGAGTACACAAATGCATACAAATACATGCATTCCTGAAACCATCTAAGCGATTTAGGTAAGGAACAGATGCATCATGCCCAAGCATCCTTATGCCCTCTTGGGTTTTTTTGTTTTGCTTTGTTTTGTTTCTGAGATAGAGTTTCGCTCTCGTTGCCCAGGCTGGAGGGAAATGGCACGATCTTGGCTCACTGCAACCTCTGCCTCCAGGGTTCAAGCAATTCTCCTGCCTCAGCCTCCCGAGTAGCTGGGATTATAGGTGTGCACCACCACACCTGGCTAATTTTGGTATTTTTAGTAGAGACGAGATTTCACCATGTTGGTCAGGCTGGTCTCGAACTCCTGACCTCAAGTGATCTGCTGGGCTCGGCCTCCCAAAGCGCTGGGATTACAGGTGTGAGCCACCACGCCCAGCCTTATGCCCTCTTGGGTTTTTGTTTTGTTTTGTTTTTTGGGGGGGGGGACGGAGCCTTGCTCTGTCACCCAGGTGGAGTGCAGTGGCGCAATTTTGGCTCACTGCAAGCTCCGCCTCCTGGGTTCACACCATTCTCCTGCCTCAGCCTCCCAAGTAGCTGGGACTACAGGTGCCTGCCACCATGCCTGGCTAATTTTTTTTTGTATTTTTTTAGTAGAGATGGGGTTTCACTGTGTTAGCCAGGATGGTTTTGATCTGCTGACCTCATGATCCGTCCGCCTCAGCCTCCTAAAGTGCTGGGATTACAGGCATGAGCCACCGTGCCCAGCCTTATGCCCTCTTGTAGCTCACCCCTCCCTTCCCTGTCCCCAGGTAACTAGCGATCTGCTCTCTGTCACTACAAATTACTTTGCATTTTCTAGAATTGTACGGAATTGGAATTGCACAATATATGTTCTTTTTTGATTGGCTCCTTTCACTCAGCATAATCATTTTGAGATTTATTTATATTGTTACATGCATCAATAATGTGTTTTCTTGTTTTGGCTGTCCAATTCTTTTTTTTTTTTTTTTTTTTTTTGAGACGGAGTCTCGGTCTGTCACCCAGACTGGAGTGCAGTGGCATGATCTCGGCTCACTGCAAGCTCCGCCTCCCAGGTTCATGCCATTCTCGTGCCTCAGCCTCCCAAGTAGCTGGGACTACAGGTGCCCGCCACCATGCCCAGCTAATTTTTTTTATTTTTAGTAGAGATGGGGTTTCATCGTGTTAGCCAGGATAGTCTCGATCTCCTGACCTCGTGATCCACCCGCCTCGGCCTCCCAAAGTGCTGGGATTACAGGCATGAGCCATTCTGCTCAGCCTTGGCTGTCCAATTCTTTAAGCATCATTTGTTAAAAACATGTTTCATTTCCAAGTGAATTGCCTTGGCACTGTAAGGGAGGAAAAATATGTTTTCCCTGTATCCTCCTAGGTTCTTAAGTTGGTCCTGTAAATTAAGCTGACAAAAGACGGATTAAACAAACAGGTTTATTAACATGTGCTTATGTATGGGAGCATTCACTGGTAACAAGGTTGGTTAGGACTTGGGCTTACATAGCACCTTAACAAAAGATCAATATATTTTTAAAGAAGTGACAAGACACAGGAAAAGGACTATACGTTTCTAGGGGAGCAAATTGTGGGAAGGTAAATGTATGGGGGAACTAGTGGAAGATAAGGGCTAAAGGGCTAGTTAATAAGGTTTGTTACGTAGATTCCTCTGGTGCCAATTGCTGGGCTGATGAACATCTAGAGTTATCTCCTGTGAGTAAAGTTTGTCCTTCCTGGTAAGGAAAAAAGGTAGGGACACCTTTACAAATTTATGTCCCTGTTTTAGGAGAAGAGCAGAAACTTTCTTTCTTTCTTTCTTTCTTTCTTTCTTTTCTTTTCTTTTCTTTCTTTCTTTTCTTTCTTTTCTTTTTTTTTTTTTGAGACAGGGTCTTGCTCTGTCTCCAGAGCTGAAATGCGGTAGCGTGATCTCGGCTGGCTGCAACCTCTGCCTCCTGGGCTCATGCCATCCTCCCTCCTCAGCCTCCCAAAGTGCTGGGATTCGCAGCTTTTCATACATCTGCTTCTTCTCAGTTGCCTTCAACTCAGAATAATCCTTATGCCAAAGCAGCACATTTGGGAGTGGCATATTCTGCTACCCTTCAGCATCTTTGTAAAGAATCAGTTGACCACGTATGTGTGGGTTTATTTCTAGGCTCTCTATTGCGTTCCACTGATGTACATGTCTGTCTTTATGCCCTCACATTATCTAGATTATTGCAGCTGTATAATAAGTCTTGAAATCAAGTAGTGTAAGTCTTGTGAAAAGAAAAACTTTAGGCAAATTAAATTTAGTAGAGTTTAATTGCACAAAGAACAATTCATGAATCAAGCAGATCCTAGAACTAGGACAAATTCAATGAGACTCTGGGGCTGCTATGTGCATGGATAACATTTCTAACAGAAAAAGGGAAGAGATGTGCAGAAAACAGAAGCGAGGCAGAGAAAAAGAGCCCAGTTGGCTCCAGCATGGTGTTTGCCTTATTGAACATAATTTTGACAGTTGGCCGCCTGCAACTGACTGACACTAGACTGAGACTCAGCTATTTGTCACAAAGGCAAATTCCTATTTGCTTTTCAATTTGTTTATGTACTAAGTTAGGTTGCAGTTTGCTATGTAGGACTTGGACGGAGGCTTCTAAAGCCCAAATTTAGTTTAACAGTCTCTAACATTGTTCTTTTTCAAAGTTGCTTTGGCATTCCAGGTTCTTTGTATTTCCATGTGCATTTTATAATTGTCATTTGCTACAAAAATGCTGCTGGAATTTTGATTAGAATTGCATTGAATCAATCTGGGGAGAACTGACATCCTAACAAAATATTGTCTTCCGAGCCATAAACATGGCATATCTCTCTACTTATTTAGGTCTTTTTAAGTTTCTCTCAGTAATGTTTTGTAGTTTTCAGTGTACTGGTCTTGTACATCTTTTGTCAAATTTCCCTAAGTATTTCATATTTTTGATGCTATTGTACATGATATCTTAGTTCCATTTTTTATTGTCCATCGCTAATAGATAGAAATAGAATTATTATATTTTGTGTCCTGCAACTTTAACAAACTTAGTTATTAGTCTTGCTTCTCTGCTAGATTCCATTGAATTGTTTACATAGACAATCATGTCTACTGAGAATGAAGGCTGTTTTACTTTCTCTTTTTTTTTTTTTTTTTGTGAGATAGAGTCTCACTCTGTCACCCAGGCTGGAGTGTAGTGGGACAATCTCAGCTCATTGCAACCTCTGCCTCCCAGGTTCAAGCCTCCCAAGTAGCTGGGATTACAGGAGCCCACCACCATGTCCTAGAGATGGGGTTTCTCCATGTTTGCCTGGCTGGTCTCAAACTCCTGACCTCAAGTAATCTACCCGCCTCAGCCTCACAAAGTGCTGGGATTATAGGCTTGAACCACCATGCCTGGCCTCTGTTTTACTTTCTTTACAATGCTTTTTATCTCTTTTTCTTGCCTGATTGCACTAAAACCTCCAGCAGAATGTCGAATAGAAATGGTGAGAGTGGATATCCTACACTTGTTCCTGATTATAGGGGGAAAGCATTGTCTCTCATCATTAAATATAATGTTAATATTAGCGGTAGGGTTTTTGTATTTACCTTTTATGACACTGATGAAGTTCCTATCCATTCCTAGTTTGCTAAGAGTTATCACCATGAATGGATGTTGGATTTTGTCAATGATTGTTCTGCATCTACTGAGTGATTACATGGGGTTTTTTTTTAGTCTATTGATATGGTAAATTACATTGATTTTCAAATATTAAACAAATAGAAAGGTGGGGCACAGTGGCTCATGCCTGTAATCCCAGCACTTTGGGACGCTGAGGCTGAAAGATCTTTTGAGTTCAGGAGCTTGAGACCAGCCTGGGCAATATGGCAAAAAATACAAAAAATTAGCCAGGTGTGGTGGTGCGCGCCTGTAGTCCCAGCTACTTGGGAGGCTGAGGTGGGAGGATCACCTGAGCCCAGGAAATTGAGGCTGCAGTGAGCTGAGATCACTCCACTGTACCCCAGCCTGGGCGACAGAGCAAGACCCTGTCTCAAAAAATTTAAAAAGAAAACAAAACCCAGAATAGTCCTGGGATAAATTCTCCTTAATTATGATGTATTATCATTTTTATACATTGTTGGATTCAAACATGCTGAAATTATGTAAGAATTATTGTGTCTGTGTTCATGAGAGATACTAGTATGTACTTTTGTCTTTTTTTTCTTTATGTTGGAGTAATGCTGAACTCATAGAATGAATTGGAAAGCACTTCCTCCTCTTCTATTTTCTTTAAGTTTGGATAGAATTGGTATTATTGATTCCTTATTGATCCTTACTGATTTTCTTTCTATTTGTTATGTCATTTATTAAGAGATGGTTGGCCAGGTGTGGTGGCTCACACTTGTAATCCCAGCACTTTGGGAGGCCAAAGCTGGAGGACTGCTTGAGCCAAAGATCCAAGACCAGCCTTGGCAACATGACGAAACCCCATCTCTACAAAAAATTTAAAAATTAGCCAGGTGTGGTGGTGCATACTAGTAGTCCCAAATACTGGGGGGGTGGGGAGGTGCCGAGGTAGGAGGATCACTTGAGCTCAGAAGGCCAAGGCTGCAGTGAGCCATGATCACGCCTGGGTAACAGAAAAAGACCCTGTCTCAAAACAAAACAAAACAAAAACAAATACGAAAGTGAGAGAGAGAGATAGTTGTTGAAATCTTAAGCCCTAATTTTCAGTTATAATTGCAAATTTGTCTATTTCTACATACAGTTCTAGCAATTTTTGCTTCAAGTATGTTGAATCTCTGTTATTAGGTGCATAAACATTTAGAATTTTTATGTTCTCTGGATGATTTTGTCTCTTTATCCATTATAGAAGATCTTCTTAGAATTGATCCTCTTTACCATGGTAATATTCTTTGCCCTAACCTATATTTTTCTTTTGTGACTACCACTCCAGTTTTATTTTGGGTTAATGTGGAATATCTTTTTTAGTGGGGGGGCAATCTCGCTCTGTCACCCAGGCTGGAGTGCAGTGGTACAATCTTGGCTCACTGCAACTTTTGCCTCCTGGGTTCAAGCGATTCTCCTGTCTCAGCCTCCCAAGTAGCTGGGATTACAGGTGTGCATCACCATGCCTGGCTAATTTTTGTATTTTTAGTAGAGATGGGGTTTCACCAAGTTGGCCAGTCTGGTCTCGAACTCCTGACCCCAGGTGATCCACCCACCTCAGCCTCCCAAAGTACTAGGATTACAGGCATGAGCCACCTTGCCCATCCTGGAATATCTTTTTTTCTTCCTTTTGTATCTAACCCTTTGTGTCTTTATACTTAAAAATGGGTTGCTTGTAGGCAGCATATAGTTGAATTTGATTTTTTTTTTCCAATCTGACAATCAGTGCCTTCAAATTTGGTGTTCAAAGGTTTACACTTAATATGTTTATTGGTATGATTGTGTTTAAATATACCATTTTTTATTTTATCTTTTTCTATCTATTATTTGTTCTCTTTTTCCTCATTTTCTGCCTTTTTAAATAATTGAGTATTTTTATAATTCCATTTTGTCGTCTTTGTTGGCTTATTAGTTAAAATTCTTCAGTGTGTTATTTTAATGGTTATTCAGTAACCATTAAAGGTTTATAAGGTTATAACCATTAAAGGCTTAAGGTTTATAATATACATGTTAACCTATCACAATCTACCTTCAAGTATTATTATGCCACTTCACATATAATACAAGTATCTTAAGATAATGTGTTTGCATTTCTATGTGCTGCCTGCTGTCTGTGTCTGCAAACTCTTATTTCATATGTTTGTACATTGTTTTAGTTGTTTAAGAAAGGAGGGTATATCTAGTTCCTGTTATTCTATCATAGTCAGATGTGGAAGTCCTAAGAGATTTTCAGGCATATTTTTCTAATTTTTTCTTTTTCTAGAGACAGGGTCTCACTCTGTCACCCAGGCTGGAATGCAGTGGCACAATCATAGCTCATTGCAACCCTAAACTCCTGGGCTCAAGCGATCCCCCCTCAGCCTCCTGAGTAGCTAGGACTACAGACATGCTACCACACCTGGCTTGTTTTTTTGGTTGGGATAGGATCTTCTTTCTTTCCCTCCTGGTTTGTGATGTTTTTATCAGTTTGTGTACACTTAATATTTGAAAAATATTAACATTTTAATTATGGCAGACATCTTTTCTTAGATTTCTTAGATTGTCACTTGCCTTTTTTAATGTATAAGATATTTTGAAATTGATATATAGTCAAAGTTATTACAATATTTTCCTTTGAGATTTCTTCTGTTGTGTTGGGGCTTATATCTCTCATCTCTGTCCATGAGATATTTATGTTTAATTATCCTAGTATTTTTAGAGGTCAATATTCTTACATTTAATGATTTTATATACCTGTGATTTAATTAATTATATGCTGTGAGGTTAGGTTATACTTTTTAAAAATATTGAATGTTCCTGGCCTCACTGACTGCATAGGTCTTTCTTTCTCTCCTGTTTTGTGATGCTGCTTTTACCACTCATAAGTCTTATGTTTATAGGAGCCGGGCATGGTGGCTCAGGCCTGTAATCCCAGCACTTTGGGAGGCTGAGATGGGCAGATCACCTGAGGTCAGGAGGTCAAGACCAGCCTGGTGAAACCCTGTCTACTAAAAATACAAAAAGTATTAGCCGAGCGTGGTGGTGCATGCCTGTAGTACAAGCTATTCGGGAGGCTGAGGCATGAGGATGGCTTGAGCTCAGGAGGTGCAGGTTGCAATAAGCTGAGAGCACAGCACTGCACTATGGCTTGGGTGACAGAGTGTGACTCCATCTCAAAATATAATAATAATAATAACAAGTCTTAGGTTTACAGGGGTCCCTTTTGGAGCTTTTATTCTCTTTTATAATGTGCCTGCCCATTCTTGCCGTAGCACCACACTATTAATCCTATAAAACATAAATCTTATAAAGCACAATTATTCAGTCAGAAGTCCTTTCTAGGGCACCTCCCATGTTATACATGCCACGATGAGATCCTCTCCCTGCCTTCAAGGGCCTTACTGGCCCATCATGGCCCAGAAGGGGAGAATAACCTGCAAACAGATCATTTCATATGGATAATAAATGCTGCCACAGATAAGAAAGGAGCATTAACTCTGCCAGGAGAAGCTGAGCAAGGTTCCACAGAGAAAGTGGCCATTGAACTAGGCCTTGAATGGGAAGAAGAGGGGCAGGGTAGGCAAATGATGTACAGGGGCAGTACTCCAGAGGTGCAGAGTGACAAGGTGCCTTTGGAATAGCAGAAGCTCTGCTGCGCAGTGGGAGGGATCAGAAGGTGGCGGGGAAAGTTCAGATTCTGGCAGTCCCTTGGGACCCTGCTAAGGAACGCATATTTTATCGTATGAGCAGAAGGGTGCTAATAGAGAACTTTAGGAAAGAATGTAATAAATCATATTCGCTCTGCTAATCATCACTCAACTTGTGAGATGCTGGACAGACACAAATGAGTAACAACACACTGTTCTTGCTATCCAGCAGCTCCCAGTCAAATACAGGAGGTCAATATTTTGCACTGAATTACAAATACACTGTAAAAGTGCTATTGTGATGGTAACATCCAGTTGTGCCTCCCTGAAAGATGAATGAGGTCAGGAAAGGTTTATATATTGCATGGTGTATTAGTCCGTTTTCATACTGCTATGAAGAAATACCTAAGACTGGGTAATTTATAAAGAAAAAGACGTTTGCCCAGGCACGGTGGCTCACACCTATAATCCCAGCACTTTGGGAAGCTGAGGCGGGGTGGATCACGGGGTCAGGGGTTCAAGACCAGCCTGACCGATATGGTGAAACCCCATCTCTACTCAAAATACAAAAATTAGCCAGGCATGGTGGTGCATGCCTGTAGTCCTAGCTACTCGGGAGGCTGAGGCAGGAGAATCCCTTGAACCTGGGAGGCAGAGGTTGCAGTAAGCTGAGATCACACCACTGCACTTGAACCTGGGCTACAGAGCAAGACTCTGTCTCAAAAAAAGAAAGAAAGAAAAAGAGGTTTAATGGACTCACAGTTCCCCATAGCTTGGGAGGCCTCACAATCATGGTAGAAGGCAAAGGAGGTGCAAAGGCACATCTTACATGGTGGCAGGCAAGAGGGCACATGCAGGGGAACTGCCCTTTATTAAACCATCAGATCTCGTGAGATTCACTATCACAAGAATAGCACAGGAGAAGTATGCCCCCGTGATTCAATTACCTCCCACCAAGTCCCTCCCACAACATGTGGGGATTATGGTAGTTACAATTCAAGATGAAATTTGGGTGGGGACACAGCCAAACCGTTTGCCTGTTGCTGTGGCTGGGGACAAGCCATGAGGTCATCACAGCAGGCATGGTGAGTTGTGAAGAAGGTTTAAACCAAGGTGCTAGGGTCATGGTGATGGAAAGAAGAATTCAGAAGGCATTTTTAAGAAGCAACTTGAGTACACACTGAATTCAGAGACATGGGAGAGGGCAAAAGATGATTGAGGTTTCTTACTTAATTCCACAAATGCAAATAGAGCACTTACTATGTCCAGGCATTGTGCTAGGCACTGGAGACATAACAGCGATCAAGTAATCCACAGCCCTCCAACTGTTTAGCATCTAGTAGGTGAGACAGTAAAGTGAACCAGCAATTACAGTACAGAGCTATGGCTACCAGAGGGGTGTGTACATGTTGCTCACATAAAGATACATAAGCGCTCAGAAGAGGGACCCATAACCTAGTCTTCAGAGATTTCGTGGAATTGTAATGTTTAAACTGACTTGAAGTACGCTGTAGAAATTTCCCAGCCAAAGAAGGGAGTGGAAAACTGAAAGAGCATCTCAGGCCGAGGTACAGAAGCTGGAGAGGATGTGGCTTGTTTGGGGATGATAGTTAAGTACGGCTGGTTTTGAACCTGGGAAGTCTGGTTATACAGCCCATGTGCTTAACTACTATGCTCTCCTGTTAAAGGTAATATCTGGGCCAGGTGTACTGGCTCACACCTGTAATCCAGCGTTTGGGGAGGCTAAGGCGAAGGACTGTTAGCGGCCAGGAGTTCAAGACAAGCCTGGGCAACATAGCGAGACCCTGTCCAGACAAAAAGTAAAAATAATAAATGAAATAAAGGTAAAATTCTCAATCTGTCTCTCAAAGGTCTTCATGAGTGAGACACTCCAACCTGCAAAATCCAGAGACATATTTGATGAGGCAAAAACCAGCCACATCAGAGAAGGTCTGTCTGATGCACAGGAAGGCAGGTTTCCAGTTTCAGGTGTACATGCTAACAGGAACTTCTTCAAGGAAGCCCATGGTTAGCAGAGTGATATGGTTTGAATTTGTGTCTCTGCCCAAATCGCAAGTCAAATTATAATCCCCAGTGTTGGAGGTGGGGCCTTGGTGGGAGGTGATTGGATCATGGGGGCTTTAGTGCTATTCTTGTGATAGAGATGAGATCTGGTTGCTTAAAAGTGTGTGGCATGAGCCAGATGTGGTGGTGCATTCCTGTAGTCCCAGCTACTGGGGAGGCTGATGTGGGAGGATCACTTGAGCCCAGGAGGCAGAGGTTGCAGTGAGCCAAGATTGCGCCACTATACTCCAGCCTGGGTGATAGAGCAAGACCTTGTCTCAAAAAGAAAAAAAAAGTGTGTGGCACCTCCTCCCTTCTTCCTCCTGTTCACACTTTATGATGTGCCTGCTTCCCCTTCACCTCCCTGATTGTAAGTTTCCTGAGGCCTCCCCAGAAGCCAAGCAAATGCCTGTATACTTCCTGTACAGCTGTGGAACAATGAACCAATTAAATGTCTTTTCTTTATAAATTACCCAGTCTCAGGTATTTCTTTCTAGCAATGCAAGAATAGCCTAATACACAGAGCCTCAAAAGTAACCTATTTTATTTTTTCACATTCCCACCAACAGTGTACAAGAGTTGTCTTTTACCACATCAACGACACTTACCTTTTGGCAGGAATAGCCATCCTAACAGTTGTGAGGTAATATCTCACTGTTGTTTTAATTTGCATTTCCCTGATGATTAGTGATGTTGAGCATTTTTTCATGTAACTCTTGGTGATTTCTATGTCTGCTTTTGAGAAATGTCTGTTCAGGTCCTTTGCCCATTATTAAATTATCTGTTTTCTTGCTATTGAGTTGTTTGAGTTCCTTATGTATTTTGGATATTGGCCCCATATCAGATGTATGGAATAGAAATATTTTCTCTCATTGTACAGGTCATCTTTTTACTCTGATTATTTTCTTTGCTGTGCAAAAACTTTTAGTTTGATGCAATCCCATTTGTCTATTTTTGCTTTTTGTCGCCTGTGTTTTTGGAGTCATATCCAAAAAATCATTGCCAAAACCAATGTCAAGAAACTCTTCTGTGTTTTCTTCTAGTAGTTTTATAGTTTCAGGTCTTAATGTTTAAGTCTTCAACCCATTTTGAGTTGATTTTTATGTATGGTATAAGGGTCCAGTTTCATTCTTCTGAATATCAATATCCAGTTTTCCTAACATCATTTATTGAAGAGACTGTCCTTTTCCCATTGTGCATTCTTGGCACTTTCGTCAAAGATCAATTGACTGTAAATGTGTGGATTTATTTCTGAGATCTCTATTCTATTCCATTGGCCTATATATCTGTTTTTATGTCGATACTGTATTGTTTTGGTTACAGTAGCTGATATGGTTTGGCTTTGTCTCCACCCAAATTTCATGTTGAATTGTAACACCCATAATCCTCACATGTTGTGGGAGGGACCAGATGGGAGGTAATTGAATCATGGGGGCGGGTTTTTCCCATGCTGTTCTCATGGTAGTGAATGAGTCTCACGAGATCTGATGGTTTTATAAAGGGCAGTTTCCCTGCACACATTCTCTTGCCCGCTACCATGTAAGACATGCCTTTGCGGCCGGTGCAGTGGCTCACGCCTGTAATCCCAGCACTTTGGGAGGCTGAGGCAGGCGGATCACCTGAGGTCGGGAGTTCCAGACCAGCCTGACCAACATGGTAAAACCCCATCTCTACTAAAAATACAAAATTAGTTGGGCGTAGTGGCGCACACCTGTAATCCCAGCTACTCAGAAGGCTGAGGCAGGAGAATCGCTTGAACCCGGGAGGTGGAGGTTGTGGTGACCCGAGATCGCGCCATTGCACTGCAGCCTGGGCAATAAGAGCAAAACTCCATCTCAAAAAAAAAAGAAGGGCATGCCTTTGCTCCTCCTTTGCCTTCCACCATGATTGTGAGGCCTCTCCAGCCATGTGGAACTGTGAGTTCATTAAACCTCTTTTTCTTTATAAATTATCCAGTCTCAGGTATGTTATTAGCAGTGTGAGAATGGTCTAATACAGTAGCCTCATAGTCTATTTTAAAATCAGATAGTGTGATACCTCCAGGTTTATTCTTTTTGCTCAAGATTGCTTTGACTATTTGGAGTCTTTAATGGTCCCATATGAATTTTAGGATTGTTTTATAAGTAACCTATTTTAATTGACATAGAGTCTCCCCCTTCAAGGAGGTTTCATTCTATGGGTTTCTGAGGCCTAGGAGATCTGTAGCACAGGATCATGCTGGACTGCATTGTAGTAAGGGCCTGGTCTGGGCCTTGACATTTCCCTAGCTTTGCCCCTCTGACACTCAACTCTGCCCATCCCCATTGCCACCCTGCTGACACTTGCCTGAGCACACCATGCTCTTCCTATGCACTAGAAGTTCCCTGAGCCTGCATTGTTTCTCCTGCAACCCTACCTAGACCACATGTACTGATTCTTCTGGCCTCAGCTCAGACATCCCCTGCCTCCCAGGGGAAGCCTTCTCTGACCTCCCTGACTCTCCTTCCCCTGGCCTTCCCAGACCCTAGTCAGAATTAGGTATTCCTCCCACTGTACTCCCTAAAGCCCCAAGAATAAGTAGGGCTTAGTGATTAAGGCACATTCTTTGGAGTGAGAAAGACTGTAGTTCTCATACTGGCTCTGCTTCTTCCTAGCTGTGTGACCATGAGCAATTTCTTTTACCTCTATAAGTCTCTGTAAAATAGAAACTTAATACCAGTACTATCTATCTCACAGTTTCCTGAATAAAATGATCCATGTAAAAGTTTATAGCACAGAGCCTGGAACCCGGTACATGCTGGATAAATACTAACTGTTGCTGTTATTATCATCACCATAGTTTACTTATCCTTATTTATGAGTCTATTTTCACTATTGCACTTGCAGGCAGGAACTGTGTTTACTTTTTTGTCATGATCTAAGCATATAGCACATAATCTGGCATGCAGTGAATATGCAGTAAATATTGTGGTATGGATGAAGTTTCCATTTATGGAAAGCCCTTGATCTAATGTCATCAGGAGTACTGAAAAGGGATCATGAGAAGAAACATGGGCTGCAGTCTGAAGGCCTCTGAGCTGTGAAGATCAGCTTAGATCTCTCTCGACTTAGAGGCAGGGAGCTGTCTTCAGGCATGGCAGCCACAGCTCTATGTCCTGTGTGCCCAGCCTTTCTCCCAAGAGCGGTGACACCTGGCAGCCCCCATCTGCCCACCAAAGAATGTGCTTAGAGCAGGCCACCTAGCCTCTGTCCTGGCGTCACCAGGTGGTGGTGGGTGGGTCTTGGCATGGATCTTGCCCCCTGATGTGGTTAGTTCCAGTTGGACTCAGCCTCTTATCTGGTCTGCATCTCTGATTGGCCCTATGCTCTGACTTCAGTCAGGATTTTATCCTTTGCTTCTGCCTGACCCTAATTAGGCAGCATGTGCTCTATTTGGTTTGCTCTGAAACTATGAGAATGTTCTGCCCTTGCCAACAGTCCTGAATGATCTCTACCAACACTGAATGTGGGCTTTCCTACAACAGCACCACTTCTACTACCCACAATGCTGTGCTCTCCTACCCATAATGCCTGCTCTTCTACCCACAATGCCTGCTCTCCTACCCACAATGCTGTGCTCTCCTACCCACAATACCTGCTCTCCTACCCACAATGCCATGCTCTCCCACCCATAATGCCTGCTCTCTTAACACACAATACCTGCTCTCCTACCCATAATGCCTGCTCTTCTACCTACAGTGCCATGGTCTTCCACCCATAATGCCTGCTTCTCTACCCACAATGCCTGCTCTACTACCCACAATGCTTGCTCTCTTACCCACAATGCTATGCTCTTTACTAAGCATGTGCTCTACTAGCCTAGCCCATCCTGCAGTCTGTTTCCTGGTCAGCCTGTCCAGCTGCCATTGCGTGATTGGTTACAATGACAGGAGAGGATAAACAGGACCATTCAGACATACTCAGAACTATCAGAGGTATCAATAAGAATGGCTTATAAAAAACCAATCAGTTTGTTTACATAAATGGTTACTTGTAGGTTAAGGACATTTGTAAATCACTTATTCTCTAGATAATTTCAAAATTTTCCCTTGGACACTTGCTTACCCTATTAATTTTATTAATTTAATTAGCTAGCCCTTCCCCTGTGAGATATTGCATTGGCAAATTTAGGTGGGAATAATTGCAAAAGCTGTACAGGAAGAGGTGAAGTTAATCTGACTATGTACTGTATGTACAAATGAAAATAATATTTGTTGAGCCCTTACTATGTTTCAGGCATCATCCTAGGCTCTGAGGATACAGCAGTGAACAAGACAGACAAAAATCTCTGTCCTAGTGGAACATACATTCTAATAGGAGAGACAATAAATAAATATATAAAATATATGGTATATCATACTGGTGATATGTGCTGTAGAAAAATTACAGTAAAGCAGGAAAGAGGGATGGGAGTTTTGAGTTTTCTTTAGGGTGGTTGGGGAAGGCTTCACTGAGAAGGTGGCATTTGAGCAAACACATGAAGAGGTGAAAGGATGAGGCTTGCAGCTATCTGGGGGAAATGCAGAGGAAGCAAGAGGTGCAGCGGGGGCCTGGGATGGAGGAGGAGCAGCAAGGAGGCCATGGAGCCAAAGAGACTGAGTGAACAGTGGAGGGGCTGGAGAAGAATTTAGAGGTAGGATTGGGGAGGGGAAGATTGGGGCAGCTTTGTGGGCTCTTGGAAAGACTTTGGTTTTCACACCAGGTGAATGGGGGCCAATGGAGAGTTTGGGGCTACGGGGTGTGTGATCTGACTTGTTTCTGAAGGATGGCTCTGGCTGCTGCAGGCTAGGGAAGGATAGCTGCAGAGGGACCATTCAGGAGACTCCTACAAGAATTCAGGGAAAACAGAATATTTTGGACTGGAGAGGTAGCAGGAAAGGTGATGAGAAATGGTTGAGTTCTGAATATATTTTGGTAGGTAGAACAAACGGGATCTCTTGATGGATCGGATGTGTCAGAGGAAGAGTACAAGATGACTATTTTATTTTAGTCCTCAACAACTGGAAGGGGAAAGTTGCTATTTTTTGAAAAAAGAAAAACTGTGGGTGGATCAGATTGGAGGGGAAATAAAGGAATTCCATTTTGGACCTGTTAATTTGAGAATCAGTATTACATAGCCAAGTGGAAAAGTAAAACAGGCAGCTGGATG
The DNA here is from genome assembly GCF_000001405.40 of Homo sapiens. Classification (NCBI taxonomy): domain Eukaryota; kingdom Metazoa; phylum Chordata; class Mammalia; order Primates; family Hominidae; genus Homo; species Homo sapiens. The sequence continues at coordinate 90,155,866 of NC_000014.9, forward strand.
CACGAGTATGGAGTTCGGCAGAATGAGTTCAAACTAGAGATAAAATCTGGAAGACAGGCCAGGTGTGGTGGCTCACACCTGTAATCTCAGCACTTTGGGAGGCCGAGGCAGGCAGATCACTTGAGGTCAGGAGTTCGAGACGAGCCTGGGCAACATGGCTAAACCCCATCTCTACAAAAAATATGAAAATTACCCAGGCATGGTAGCGCACACTTGTAGTCACAGCTACTTGGGGGGCTTGAGGTGGGAGGATCACTTGAGCCCGGTAGGTCGAGGCTGCAGTGAGCCACGTTCGTGCCACTGCCCTCCAGCCTAGGTGACAGAGTGAGAGTCTGGCCAAAAAAAAAAAAAACCTAAAAGACGTCAGCATAGAGATGGTATTTAAAATCATGACACCAAATGATATCATCAAGGGAACGAACAGAGAGAGTGGAGAAGAGGCCCCAGGACTGAGGGATGGGGTGCCCCAATACTTAAAAGACAGAAATATGAAGAAGAGCTAGCAAAGGAGACTGAGAACGAGAAGACAGTGACTTAGGAAGAAAACCAGAGGAGACTTGTGTCTTGGAAACCAAATGAAAAAAATAATTTAGTATGCCAAAGGAGAAGGTTCGAGAATTGAGATGCCAGGCCAGGGTTTTGCAAGGGAGCAATTGATTCTCTGTGAATACTAAAGCCACATAGAATTGTGGCAGGAATAGTGTTGAAGAGAAGGACAACTGTGAGCCAGGGACTGAAATATTCAAGGAACGGGGGCCAAAACAAGGAGGAGCAGCAGGCACATTATATACTCCATTTCACTGAATCTGACCCCCAGTCCTGTGGGGTATTACGATCATCCCATTCCACAGATGAGGCATAGGGGAGGTTAAATACCATATCCAAGGTCCTCGTGTGCATGAGTGGCAAAAGCAAGATGTGAGTCCCTGCTTTTCCCCATGGTGCTCTTCTGCCTCACATGCAGGAGGCCACCTGCTCTCCTTCTGCAAGCTGGAGCCTTCTAGCCCTGACAATATATGTCTCAAGGGTATCTTTCCAGTTGGCTGTACTGGGGTCCAGTCCAGTGGTTATACTTTCTCGTGTTGCATAAATGCATAGGTTTGGATTCTGAATAAACCAGAGTTTATTCTAGGTACAAGTAAACATAGAAAGTGCACTTACTGGAATTCAAGCAGCAAGGAATTTCATATAATCAGACACTCCCATCAATGCTATTTCAAAATAATTTGTGCTTATTTTGATAATTTTGATGTACTGCAAGAATCTGAAATGCCATCTGGACCATCAAAGATAGTTTTAAATATAATCTGGTAAATTTGTGTGATGGGCACATTTTGACATACTTTGATAATTGCACATTTGTATCTACTATCTATTGTAATCCTCAGTTAACCAGAATATTAATTGAACCAAAATTCATTCTGGATAAAAATCTGCTGTACTCGTGCAGGCCCTTTTCATCCCGTTAGAGTCATCCTGTCTTAGTAGTCAAGCACGTTGTAACCACGAAAAAAAAGTGTCGGCATTTATTTAGTTTTTAATCTTTTAGAGATGGAGTCTCACTGTGTCACCCAGGCTGGAGTGCAGTGGTGCAGTCATAGCTCACTGCAGCCTTAAACTCCTGGGCTCAAGAAATCCTCTCGCTCCGGCCTCCCGAGTAGCTGAGACTGCAGGCATGTGGCACCACACCCAGCTAAGTTTTTAAATTTTTTGTAGAGACAGGGTCTTGCTATATTGTCCAGGCTGGTCTCGAACTCCTGGACTCAAGTGATCCTGCCTTGGCCTCCTAAAGTGCTGGGATTACAGGCATGGGCCACCATACCTGGCTTGGCTTTCCTTTTTTTTTTTTTTTTTCAGACAGAGTCTTGCTCTGTCACCCAGGCTGGAGTGCGATGGCCTGATCTCGGCTCACTGCAACCTCTGCCTCCCAGTTCAAGCAATTCTCCTGCCTCAGCCTCCCGAGTAGCTGGGACTACAGGCATGTGCCACCACGCCCGGCTAATTTTTGTATTTTTAGTAGAGATGGGGTTTTGCCATGTTGGCCAGGCTGGTCTCGAGCTCCTGATCTCAAGTGATCCATCCACCTCAGCCTCCCAGAGTGCTGGGATTACAGGTGTGAGCCACTGTGCCTGGCTAGCATTTATTTTTTCGAAGGATCAGATGGCAATGGCAATGAACCCCCGACCTTGGGAACTCCTGCTGGTGGTGCTTGGTCCCATGCCCTGGACTGAGCTGAACAAACCTTCAGGCTGATTGCAGGTTAGAAGGGAGGCGACCACAGCAGGAGCAGACCTGTCAATGGCCCAGAGCCATGGTTGCCCAGAGCTCCAGGGCCTCCTGTGAGAAGCTGGTGAAGATACCAGGGCTGGCCTGGTGTTCCATCTACCCTGACAAGACATGGCCCCAGGGACCACAGATAGACTGTGGGAAATGTCCCCGCACCCATGCCCTCCCAGCTGGTGTCCATCAGGGAAAGAGGTGGAAGAACAAAGATTATTCGTTTATTATCTGTCTCTGATAGGAGAGAGAAAAAAATATGGGCTAAGTCAAAATTCCTAAAAGGAAGCATTCATGACCTGGCCCAGGCCTTGACCTGTAACCGTGGCCACCTCTTGGCCAAGCACTGGGGACCAGAAGGGAAGGGGGGAAAACACCAGGATGGGCACAGTCCTACTTTTGAATGGTTTACAGCCTTGTTTTCATGTTTCTTTTTCTTGGCTCCCAAAAACTGGAGAAAAAATACATTTCAAAGAAGGCTTCCTGGGGTGCAGTGTTTGAGAAGTGAGTAGGTGGGGTAGAGGAGGGAGAAGGTTCCCTTCCTCCCTTCCTGCCTGCCTGCCTTCCTTCTTTCCAAATATTTGACAAACATTGTCCTCGAGTCAAGGTCTCTGTCCTCATGCTGCGTATGTCCTACTGGGGGAGACATGCAAATGTAACAAGACCTAACAAGCAACGTAACCACAGCCTGGGACAGGCCGTAAGAGGAAGGCCTCCTTAGAACTTGACAGTAGTGTTGATTAGCCAGGCTTGTGGGAGTCTGTGGGTCCCCAGTTGGAAGAGGGCACACTTGGGAGCTCCAGAACCCCTCAACCATCATACTGTCTTAGTCCGTTTGTGTTGCTATAACAGGATACCCTAGACTGGGAAGTTTATAATGAACAGAAATGGATTGGCTTGCAGTTCTGGGGCTGGAAAGTCCAAGGTTGAGTGGCTGGCATCAGGCAAAGGCCTTCTTGTTGCATTATCCCTTGGTGGAAGAGCAAAGAGAGGGTGAGAGAGAGCAAGAGATCAAACTCACAACCTCAGGCCCTTTTATAGTCGGCATTAATCCACTGAGAGTGGAGTGCTGATGACCTAAACACTTCCCATTCGGCCCCACCTCCCAACACTGTTGCTTTGGAGACTAAGTTTCCAACACATGTTTTTCCAGAGGTCTATGCAAACCATGACAATAGCTAAGACCTTTCTGCCCTGATTAGAAATCAGAAACGGAGCCAGGACTCAGGGCCTGCCTGTCCTCTCTTTCCAGGAGTCTGCTGCCCTCAGGGCCATAAACACAATCAATCAGGCAGATGGCCTGGGTCTGTCTGTTCTTGATAACTGGTTCTTGTCAAATACAAATGGAAATGCTATTCCAGCTGCAGGAGGGCAAAGGTGTGATTAGATGAGAAATCTCCCAAGGTGTACAATGGAAGACCCAATTAACAGAAAGTGTTACTCAGCAAACACGGGGGCTTGGCACTGTAGATGTCAATCACAGCCTCCCCTTAGAAGGGCAAACTCTTAGAACTCTAAGGCACATATCTAGTGTTTTATCTATATTAGGTTATTTAGTTCTCACAAAAGTCCTACGAGGGTGGTACTGTTAGTATCCTGTTTTATAGATAAAGAAACTGAGACACATAAGAGGTTAAATAATTTGCTTAAGGTTAGAATAATGACCCCACATTGCTGGGGTTTAAATTCCCCCTGTATCCCTTTCTAGATGGGTGTCCTTGGGTGAGTAGTGACAGGGCTGAGATCTGAACCCAGATAGCCTGACTCCAGACTTGGTATTCTTAATAATCGTGTGTGTGTAGGGGTGTGTGTGTGTGTGTGTGTGTGTGTGTGCACATGCATGCATACAGAGGGGGTTGCAGGACAAGCCTCTGCTCCCGAGGAGCTTAAAACTTAACAGAAAATACAAAGTTGTATTGATTAGGCCTTCAGGCTGCGGCAAAAAAGAATATACACAATTTAGAAAGAGAAATTACTTTTCTTGTGAGGAAAGTGAAAGAGAGATATATTCAAGTGTGTTACTGGCCTACAGTAAATACCTAGACATTGACAAAACAACCTGGCACTTTCGAGAAATTCACCTGCTTTCGTTGCCTCAAAACCACTTCTGCAAAGTTAATGGAGTCTTCCTGTTGCACCTGCCCTAACTCCCTTTTGCCTTTGTGAATAAACTCGTCTAGAAGACTCAAAAGCACAAAGAGAGAACCGAGTTTTCATGAACAATTACATGTAATAGTTTAGGGTATCTGGTGTGTGCTGAGCTCATGGCTAAGAGTTCATGAATGACTGTCCCTGTGAGGTCAGGGCCTGTACAAACAGAAAGGGCATTTAGCAAGGGCCTTGAAAGATGAGTACTTATATTTTGGGTGATTTTTTATTTTTGTGTTTGGGTAGATGGAAATGTTAATTTTTTTTCTAATTAGAAATGTAATACTCATGCCTGTAATCCCAGCACTTTGAGAGGCCAAGGCGGGTGGATCACCTGAGGTCAGGAGTTCAAGACCAGCCTGGTCAACATGGTGAAACCCCATCTCTACTAAAAATACAAAAATTAGCCGGGCATGGTGGCAGGCACCTGTAATCCCAGATGCTCTGGAGGCTGAGACAGGGGAATCGCTTGAACCTGGGAGGTGGAGGTTGCAATGAGCCAAGATCGCGCCATTGGACACCAGCCTGGGTGACAAGAGCAAGACTCCAGTTCAGAAAAAAAAAAAAAAGAAAAAGAAAGAAAGAAATGTAATACCTTTCCCCTGCTATCTGCCACTAATAATCAGTTGTGAAAAAATATTAAATATTCTTTTTTAATATGTACCCAAAAGAATTAAAAGCAGAGACTCAAACAGATATTTTCACACCCCTGTTCCTAACAGCATTATTCACAGCCAAAAGGAGGAAACAACCCAAGTGTCCATGGATGGATAAATGGATAAACAAAATGTGGTCTATACATACAATAAAATGTTATGCAGCCATAAGAAGGAATGAAATTCTGATCCATGCTATAACATGGATCAGCCTTGACAACATCATGCTAAATGGAAGAAGTCAGACACAGAAGGACAAAATATTACACGAGCCCACTTATCACTTATATGAGGTACACAGAATAAGCAAGTTTATAGATAGACAGTAGAATAGAGGCTGCCGCAGTGGGGCGAGGGAACAGGGAGTTACTGTTTATAAGCACAGAGACTCTGGGATAATGAAAAAGTTCTGGAGATGGCTAGTGGTGATTGTACACATCATGCATGTACTTACTGCTACTGAACTATACATTTTAAAATGGTGAAAATGGCAAATTTTATATGTATTTTACCACTATAAAAATCAATAATAAGAAAACAACCAAAAATATGTATGGTGGGAGAAAAGATTCCATCTGCAATATCTACAAAAGCTATGAAATGGGAATCAGTGTGACAAGATTTGTGCAGAATTCATATGAAGTAATTACAACATTCTACTAAAGCTCATTTTTAAAAGGTTTCTATAAATGGAGAGACACTGTGTTCCTAGTGGAAAAACTCGGTTTGGTAAGGATGTCATTTCTCCACAAATGAATCTCTAAATGTAAGGCAACCCTAATCACAATCCAAATATCTTTTCTGGAACTTAACCAAATGATTCTAAAGCTCATCAGGAAAATTGAACATGAAATAAGCAAGGGCATCTTTGAAAACAAAAAGGGAAAAGGAGGAGGAAGAGAAGAGAGGTGAGGGAAGAGCCCTCACAAGCATTAAGAAAAGGAGAACAGGGCTGGACGTGGTGGCTCACACCTGGAATCTCAACACTTCAGGAGGCCCAGGAAGGAGGATTGTGTGAGCCCAGGAGTTTGAGACCAGCCTGGGCAATGTAACAAGACCCCGTCTCTACAATACATCAAAAAACTTACCCAGACGTGGCAGTGCGCACCTGTGGTCCCAGGTACTTGGGAGGCCAAGGTGGGAGAATCACTTGAGCCTGGGAGGGCGAGGCTGCAGTGAGCTGTAATTGACCACTGCACTCCACCCTGGGCAACAGAGTCAGACCCTCTCTCAGAAAAAACAAAACAAAACAAAAACAAAAAGGAGAACTGTCTACATTTTTGGTACCAGCCCCAGCATAGGCAATGGATCAATTAAACAAAATATAAAATCCAGAAACAGATGTAAGAATTTTGTCTCTGATAAGTGACATTTCGGGAGAGTGGAGAAAGAATAGACTATTCAGAGATGGTGCTGAAGAGCCTACACATGAGAACTAAAGACACACTAGCACAAGTCCAACAGGGGAAAAGGAAAAAGATCATTGGATTGTATCAATGTCAATATCCTGGTAGTGATATTATGCTGTAGTTTTGCGAAATGTTGCCATTGAGGAAAACTGGGTAAAGTATAAACAGAATCTTTCTGTATTATTTCTTACAACTGCTGTCAGTCTGCAATTATCTCAATAGAAATTTCAATTTAAAATAGTGATAAGAAAAATAAACTTTTTAAAATGTTATGTGCCTGCAATTAACAAGGAATTAAATATTACATTGTTTTTGAAAAGCACAGCCATAAGTGAATACTGGAATATTCCTAGGGTAAGGAAGGAAAGACTTTACTCTCTGTGACCCCAAAAGCCAAGAGCCACAATAAAAGAAATTGATTTACCTAAACAAAAATTAAACTTTAGTGTAGCAGCAAAACATTTATGCACAAATAAAAGACAAACACAAATGGGGAAAATATTTGCAACATATATAGAAGACAAAGGGTTAACGTTCTTAAAAATATGTAAAGAGCTCTTACCAACCAATAAGAAAAACCATAAATACCCTAATAGGAAAGTGGGCTAAAAACATAAGCAGGCAAGTCACAGAAGAAGAAATACAAAAGGCCAGTAAACACATGAAAAATGTAGGCAATGAAGCAGAAACTGCTGGAGAAACAACATGCAAATTCTGGAAGAAATACAGTTTAAGGAAGCTGAGAGGTAATGTCTTATTTACTGATAACAATGAACTCCACATCTGGCATGTAGTAGATGCTTTACTAATGTTTGTTGAATGAATAAGTGGAAATGATGAACACAAATGGCTTGTCAAGGAGAAGGAACATTCCAGATGCAGGTAGGAGAGAAAAGTAGAGTCACAGAACAATCCTTAAGGAAGAGAAACGCAAGTTAGGTGAATTCATTTTAGAGCCTATTTTTGCCAGTAAAACTAGAAATTATGTCATCAGAAGAAAATCCCTTTGTCTCAACTCCCAGAAGCCTGCAGTGAAGACACTCAGATAGGAGAGCCTCTGAGATATGGTTCAGGATTTAAATCATTCTCTTCAGTGCCTTCTGTCTGCCTCTGTAGCTGCTCATTCCTCTTTCTGTTGCCCAATGGATAACAATGACTTCACCCTTTCTTAGCCACATGCTTGAGCCACCAAGTCGGACCCCACTGAGCATAACAGTGTGACTGACACAAAGCACATCAGGTGCAGGATGAACTTGAACTGTGGTTTGCACTGGGTGCTTCACACTTGCTAGCTGAGTTGGCAGTTCCATCTAACTTCACGTTTCTTATTTATTTATTTATTTATTTATTTAGAGACGGAGTCTTGCTCTGTAGCCCAGGCTCAAATGCAGTGGTGCAATCTCGGCTCACTGCAGCCTCCGCCTCCTGGGTTCAAGCGATTCTCCTCCCTCTGCCTCCCGAGTAGCTGGGAGTACAGGCATGTGCCACCACCCCCAGCTAATTTTTGTGTTCTTTTAGTAGAGATGGGGTTTCACCATGTTGGCCAGGCTGGTCTCAAACTGCTGACCTCAAGTGATCCTCTTGCCTCAGCCTCCCAAAGTGCTGGGATTACAGGCATGAGCCACTGTGCTCAGCCCACATTTCTATGTTTAAAAGTCACTTACCAAAGACTCTGGCATTTGGGGTAGCAGCCTGGAGTTCATGGGAGGTGTCTGTCTTCAGTCTCTGTTCCCTTTGTGGAAAAATAAATCCTAATGAATCAGCCCATCCTTTCCCCATGACTAGCTAAAATGCCATTGCGTTACAATATTTTTGAACTTTTCCTCTGCCAGCTCAATTATTATACCCATCCCATGTGTGCCACAAATGTCACAATGCTTTTAAAGAATGGATCTATACTGGCTTTGGCCAAAGGAAAGTTACAACTTCTTTCTGACACTAATAATACTAAAATTAACATTTTTAAGGAAAGGCCCCAAAAGAACCCCCTCAAAGAACCATTTCTTGCAGAACAGTGATTCATTTAGCTATGCCTAGAAGGCGCCTCTAAAAAGAATGAGGTTTCAGTTGTATCTCTTTAAAGACTCTTTTAAAGAAATGGAAGGAAGGGGGAAGGGAAGAAAGAGACTAGAAAAGAAGGAGAGAATGGAGAAGAGAGAAGAAAAACTTAATCTTCTACTAGGGTTGTTCCCTAGAGTTACTGTCATAGCAAATGTGAGGTGTGTGTCAAACATTTCTTGGAGTTTGTAGGTTAATGCAGTATACCTAGTGGTTCAGTAGTACCATAGGAAATTTCATGATTTTGTAGGAAAGAGCTACAGACTGAAAGAACACATACTGTAAATAACACATTTATTTCAAGTCTTTTTGATTCTGTCATTTTGTATCCCTGGGCCATGCTTTATTCTTGACACTTAAGTAAAACCATAAAAGGTGAGAGAACCACTAATCCTTTGTAGGTCTTTGACTTTCAAATGGGATTTCTGGAAGCATGAGGGTCCCACAAATGGGCCTGTATTAGTTTGTTTTTATACTGCTCGTTCATTTCTCACTGTATTTGTTCATTTCACACTGTTCATTTCGCATACCCCTTACCCATGGGTAATTTATACATGCAAAAGGATTTAATGGACTTACAGTTCCGCGTGGCTGAGGAGGCCTCGCAGTCATGGTGGAAGGCAAAGGGGAAGCAAGACATGTCTTACATGGTGGCTGGCAAGAGAGCTTGTGCAGGGAAACTCCCGTTTTTAAAACCATCAGATCTCGTGAGACTTATTCACTATCACAATAACAACCCAGGAAAGACCCACTCCCATGATTCAGTTACCTCCCACTGGGTCCCTCCCACAGCACATGGGAATTCAAGATGAGATTTGGGCGGGGACACGGCCAAACCATATCAGGGCCAAAGAGGCTGCCATGGGGAGAGGGAGAGTGCTGATCAGGGTGGGGCTGGGACCCACCCTAGGCCAAGAAGTACAGCTCATCTTCTTCTGCTTTTTACACCAACGGCCACCTCTCCAGAGGGGCCTTGTGTACCTGTCCTCTGCAGCAAGAAATTCAAAAAGGCAGGCAGATTCAGGTATACTTGGCCCAGAGGTCCATCAAAATAAAGACATAGTCATCATTCTTCAAAATGTCTCAGAGCCAGATTTTCTCACTCACGTTGAAGAAAAGGCACAAAGGCACCTTTCATCGGTTACATGCCTGTGTTGGTAACATTCTACTTAATTGAACCATTTCTTCTCAGTCTGAGGGAGGGCAATTTAGTTCAAGAGAGAACATAATTATATCTGCTTGCTTTTAAGGAATAGTTTCACAATTTTAGAAGTTAAGAAGCACTGGAATTGGGACACCTCCTTGAGATAAGTAAATCACATTGTTTTTCACCTTAAATGAGGGTAAAATCAGAAATAATGACAGCATTTATTGCTTCTAGCATTCATTCCAACCATCATCCTGGCTGACCGTGAGGAGGGAAAGCTTGTGAAAGCAGAAAACACAGCACTAAATGCCCCCAAGATGCAGTGACTCTCAGGGAAATGAAACGTTTTGAATTCCTCTTCGCAAGCTGATGCACTCTGATTCCCATGCAGCCGATTTTTGTTATTTCTGAGTGCAAGAACTACTGTGATTTGTAGTAATGCAGATGATTTAAAGAGTCTCTATTTATCATACCCTCGTTTTCAGCTTATACAGTTAGAATAGCTGTAATTTATTTTTCACTTATAAACTACTTGTTGCTGAAGAGTCTAGAAACATCCCCATAGTTCAGAAGTTACCTGGAAAACAGTTTAATCTGTGCTACATTCATAATCTTTTGTCAGAGATGCTTTACTGTTATGGAAATGAGAGAGGAGTCATAACCCTAAAAATATCAAATTCCAAGAATATCTGTAACTTTGGGAAGAACTGTATTGATAGCGGTAACCGCTGCAAAATGATAGCTCAAGCACAGAGTGGAAATACGTTCCCTTTGGCTTACCTGGCAAATTTTAATATGCTTTAAATCAGCCTGTAACATATTTTTTAGTTGAGAAGTGTTACAGATAGAAATTTTCTTTGGGTTGCCGGGCGCAGTGGCTCACGCCTATAATCCCAGCACTTTGGGGTGCTAAGGCGGGCAGACCACCTGTGGTCAGGAGTTCAAGACCAGCCTGGCCAACATGGAGAAACCCCATCTCTACTAAAAATACAAAAATTAGCCAGACGTGGTGGCAGGCACCTATAATCCCAGCTACTTGGGAGGCTGAGGCAGGAGAATCACTTGAACCTGGGAGGTGGAGGTTCCAGTGAGCCAAGATCACACCACTGCACCCTAGTCTGGGCGACAGAGCAAGACTCTGTCTCAAAAAAAAAAAAAAAGAAATTTTCTTATTTATTTGGGTAGACTGTGGGTCTACCTGCCTGGCCTGTGGAAGGAGAGCTGCAGAGGCAGGGTGAGTCCTCCCCAGAATCCTGGGATGATGGCATGAGCAGAATGAGCTCTGATTGGTGCCCTGCACACACACACCCAAATCACAGAATATTGACATTGGAAGGTCCTTAGACCTCATCTGGAACACCCTATCCTCATTTTACCAAAGGGACAACCAGAATAAGTTGTGGGCATGACACAGTGAGGTTATTAACTGGGTCTGCACTAGCACCCAGGCCCTAACTAGCTAGCTACATGACTTTGAGCAAGTTACTTAACCTCTGTGTACTTCAGATTTCTCAAGTGTAAAAGGGGGATGAAGGGTTCCCACCTCTCAAGGTTGGCATGAGGATTATGGGAAGCACCAAACTCAGTGCCTGGCTCTGAAAATCGGGCACAGACTGTCATCATGACTGTCCTCATTATGGCACAATTCTGACAGTCAAACAGCTTTGTGCTTAGGGACCTAGAGAGGTTTAACCCTCGTATCGCAGTCATGAACCAAAAGCCCAGGAGCGAAGGAAGAACTTCCCAAAGACGATCTATTTTCATTGCTTTTCTCACCACCAGGTAACACAGATATAAAGAGTACAGTTATCCTGGAAGCATAACATTTATTGAGTTACTTAATTGCCAGTCCTCCTTTGGTCTATTAAATCATGGAGCAACGCTGTCTTGAATGGAAAACTCCAGAACAGTGATTCTCCTGCTGTAGGGTAATCATTGTTCTAAATGCAGGGAACTGGATTCAATCCCAGACATGCTGATTTGTAGGTAAGGCTCAGGAATCTGCATTTAAACAAGTTCCTCAGATGGTTTTGATACCAATGGTTAAGGTGCCACACTAGAAAACACTGCCTAGAACACTGGGGACCCAGGCCTGCTCATTCGCTGAGGCAGTCCACCAAGCTAGCAAACACCCCTGCCGAAAGCTGGTTCGGAAGTGACTGCCTCAATCCTCTATCACATTGCTGCATCTCCCTCTTCCTCTGCTACCCCCACCCCCTGCCAATAATCCCAAACCTCATTTTACAAAAATAAACTGGGACTAGCACCTGCCTGGCTCACATGACAGGAGGTGTATTGGCTGGGAAGAAACACTTTCCTCTCTTCACTTCCTTTATCAACATGTAGGAAGTAGAAGGTCCTTGAATACTTTGGAAGTCAGTTCCATCCAAAGGAAGAGTAAGGAGCAACTATTTTCCTGTCGGCCACAAGGCCCCACGGTTAACCCAGAACTTCTGAAGACAGCTCATTTTACGTACTGTACCATCTGAAATGTTTTCTGCATCACATACTAACATACAAAACAAGTGAGGGGCGGGGTGTGGTGGCTCACTACTGTAATCCCAGCACTTTGGGAGGCTGAGGCAGGCAGATTGCTTGAAGCCAGGAAGTCGAAGCCAGCCTGGACAACATGGCAAGACCCCATCTCTATAAAAGATACAAAAATTAGTCAGGCATGGTGGTGTGTGCCTGTAGTCCCAGCTACTGAGGCTGAGGTGGAAGGATTGCTTGTGCCCAGGAGGTTGAGGCTGCAGTGAGCTGAGGTCACACCACTGCACTTCAGCCTGGGCGACAGAGTAAGACCTGTCTCAAAAAAAAAAAAGTGAGGGTTGCTTTTGCTTCCAGGACCCCAGAGATATTGTTATCCTTTGCTGGGTTTTGTTGGGGAATAGGGACACCATTCTTTAGACTCTTCCCCAGGCACACTTGACTTTTGTTGCCTTCCACAAACCAACACTGTCTACCCCAGTGCCATGACTCTAGCTCGTAGGTATTTCCCTGAGTGAGGTCTGTGGCCATTGCATCAGATCACTATTAGGCACTGGTTTAAAATGCATGTTTTCTGGTCCTACTCAACCTCCTGAATCAGACTATCTGGTGATAAGGCCTAGAAATCCCAGTTTTTAACAAGCTCCTCAGGGGATTTCTTGGCATACTAAAGTTTAGGACCTTTGTCCCAGGTGATCTAAGTTTCCTTCTACCTTATTCACTGACATGGTTTGTCTGTGTCACCACCCAAATCTCACCTTGAATTGTAATAATCCCCACGTGTTAAGGGTGGGGCCAGGTGGAGATAATTGAATCATGGAGGGGGCCATTTCCCCCATACTGTTCTCACAGTAGTGAGTAAGTCTCATGAGATCTGATGGTTTTATAACCTCTGGCCTGCCACCATGTAAGACATGACTTTGCTCCTCATTCACCTTCCACCATGATTGTGAAGCCTCCCCAACCGTGTGGAGCTGTGAGTCAATTAAATTTCTTTCCTTTATAAATTACCCAGTCTCAGGTATGTGTTTATTAGCAGCGTGAGAACAGACTAATAATACATTCACCTTTTATATGCAGTATAAAAGTTAATTTTTATAAACTAAAAAGTTAATTTTTAAATACTGCAAATAAAGATGTGATCAGATCTTCCATCCTCTCTGAAGCTTGGCAGAAGTTTTTATGAAGTTTTAAGAAGTTTTATTTTGGGCATATATCTTTGGTGTCATCTGCAGGTGACTCAGAAGAGGTGTTGACTTGATTTTGTACACTGCCTTGTGCAGGTCGCCTTCTTGTGTGTTATTTCTAGTACTTTATTTCCTGGATCAGGTTTGAAACTCCTGGAGGGCAGAAACTATCGTCTCACTACTACCTCCTCTCCTTGCTGTCAACACAGTGTTTGAAACCTACGGAATACTCAATGCTGCCTTATTTGATTGTCACAGCAGCACTTTCCTTGCATGCCTCTCTCAACATGAGAAACGAGGATTTCCCAGAGGAAGTCAGCTTTGATGGGGAACCCCTGCCCCTCATATGGTAAACGTTTATCTCTAAGCATTTTCTTTAGGATATTCATAGAACTTTATCTGCAGACGGGCTCTCAGTAGCCTGTGAAGTACAGATGCCCCCTGGACCTCTCCATGGGCCTCCTCCCTCTCCACATAACTCCTAGCATACATATCCCGAGGTACTTACTTGTCCCGGTCTCTCCTTACCTTAAGTTTCTTTAAGGGACTCTCATCACCACTCTGGCACTCCCAAAAGTTAGGTTTTTTAAAATTTCTAACATTCTGTACTTTCTTCTTCTGCCGGGGGCAGAGATGATTTTAAGGAACAGCCTCCAACTGAGGGCAGGGGTAGGAGGAAGAGAGCATTCTACTGTTGATAAATATTTGGCTGCTTCCCAAATTGGGCTATAAGAATAGTGTTTCCACAAACTTTTTTGTACATGTCTTTTTGAGATGAAGCAGGGATCCCTCTTAGGAGCCTGCTGGCCCACTCCCAAACCCACAAGCATGGAAATAAAAGAAAATAATTGAGTTCCTTCAGGGGAAATTCCAGGTACCTAGGTACCCCTGAGAAGTAAATCATCCAAGCATTTAACTAAGAGAAGATTTTACCCATATGATTGTCAATCAAAAAAAAAAATTACAAGCCTCAATCATTTTATTATTTATTTATTTTGAGACAGAGTCTCACTCTGTTGCCCAGGCCAGAGTGCGGTGGTGCAATCCCAGCTCACTGCAACCTCCACCTCCCAGGTTCAGGTGATTCTCCTGCCTCAGCCTCCCAAGTAACTGGGATTACAGGTGCCCACCACCACACCCAGCTAATTTTTGTATTTTTAGTAAAGACACGGTTTCTCTGTGTTGGCCAGGCTGGTCTCCAACTCCTGACCTCAGGTGATCCACCCGTCTCAGCCTCCCGACGTGCTGGGATTACAGGCGTGAGCCACCGCACCTGGCCTCAATCATTTTAAGAGATTTATTTGCCAAAGTTAAGCATGCGTGCCAGGGAGACAGGTCTATGCCTTTCTCTGAAGATGATTTTGAGGGCTTCAAATCTAAAGGGGAAGGGCGGGATATTGAGAAGTATACAATTTTCCTGTAAGAGTAGGATAGGGAAAAAATAGACATTCATGCCTTTGTCTGGCTCAATGAATCTGTATGTTTTACATAAGATGACGTAAACAAATGGGGCAGAGGAAAAATGCAGGGAATCTGCATTTTCTGTCAGATAGCATAGACAAAATGGGGCAGGGGAACAATCAGATATGCATTTGTGTCTGTTGGACAGGGCTGACTGCACCTGTAAAGATAAGCTATCAATTTGCATTGCTGTGGTGAAATTTTAACAGCTCACTAGGAATTTCCTTGTGGGCAAAATATGGGGGAGGATGTAGCTTTTCATCTTGTAGCCATCTTATTTAGGAACCAAAAGGCAGAGGCAGGTTTGCCGGACCCAGTTCCCAGCTTGACTTTTCCCTTTGGCTAAATGAGTTTGGGGTCCCAAAATTTAATTTCCTTTCACATAATCTCCTGGTAAATACCAGTTCACTTGCCTAATCGTGTCACCAATCCCTACAGCTCATTTCCAGCTAGGTGAGAAAGGAGACAGACCTGCTGAGCCCCTCCTTGGGGAGGCTCTTCTCTGTAGGGCTGAGACTGCTAAGCAACAGATTTATTCTGTACACAGGAGCCCCAAGGCACATGGGTAGACTATGAAGGAAAACTCATAGAGGCCAGAGAAGGCCAGTTTCACATCCCATTATTCCTTCTTGGTAATTTTCCAGTGGTGTTTGTGAAGAAGGAACGATGTCAAAGGAGAGATATCCTTACCTTGATTTTCATAATTCATAAAGACTGCTTTTTTGATTTGTATAAAGCAGATTATGATTGTGGACCCTGAACATGTGAGACATGTCTAAGTTAATTTAGAAAGTTTATTTTGCCAAGGTTGAAGACACGTGCCTGTGATGCAGCCTCAGGAAGTCCTGACGGCATGTGCCTAAGGTGGCTGGGGCACAGCTTGGTTTTATAAATTTTAGGGAGACATGAGACGTCAATTAATATATGTCTGGAAAAGTGGGACAACTTAAGCAAAGGCAGGAAGAATGGAAGTGGGGAGGGAGCTTCCAAGTCATAGGTAGGTGAGAGACAAATGGTTACATTCTTTTGAGTTTCCGATTAGCCTTTCCAAAGGGAAGCAATCAGATATGCATCTATCTCAGTGAGCAGAGGGGTGACTTTGAATAGAATGAGAGGCAGGTTTGACCTGAGCAGTTCCCAACTTGACTTTTCCCTTTAGCTTAGTGATTTGGGGGCCCCAAGATTTATTTTCCTTTCACATGATGAACACAAACATGGAGCAATGTGAAATTTCACAGAGACAAAACTAAGTTCTGTCTACTGGCATCATTCTGTCTTGCAGAACTCAGTGGGCAGTGTTCTTGATGGGAAAAAATTGACTTTATAAAGTTATAGAAGGGGCCAGGCGTGGTGGCTCACACATGTAATCCCACCGCTTTGGGAGGATTAGGTGGGCAGATCACCTGAGGTCAGGAGTTCCAGACCAGCCTGGTCAATATGGTGGAACCCCGTCTCTACTAAAAATACAAAAATTAGCTGGCTGTGGTGGCAGGTGCCTGTAATCCCAGCTACATGGGAGGTTGAGGCAGGAGAATTGCTTGAACCTGGGAGGTGGAGGTTGCAGTGAGCCGAGATAGTACCTCTGCACTCTATCCCGGGTGATGGAGCCAGAGTCTATATCAAAAAAAAAAAAAAAAGTGATAGAAGGGCTTGGAAAAGGATTTTGAGTCACCAGCTTGTACCCTTGCCTTAGATTTATAGGTGTACAGGAGTTCCTCGAGGGCGAGGTGACCGAAATTGTTAATTTCCTACGGAACATGTAAGCCTTTGGTGCACAACTATAGCTTTCGATTATAGGATCCAAACCCTGGCTTGTCAAATTTGAATCCTGATACAGTGTTAACATGAGCATGTTCTGGTGTTATTGTATTGTCTGAGTGGTAACTTAACCATAAAACACTTCAGTGTAAAGTGTTACACTGATGTGATTGTATTGTTCTGGTGTTATATGAGTGGTCACTTACCATAAAACACTTCAGCATAGAGTGTTATAAGTGTGTGGGTTTGCATAAGTTCACTTCAATTTATACCTGAGAGGCAATTGGCCATGCAAGTGTCTATTTTGGAATCCATTCTAAAGAGGTTACTATTAAGCACGATCAACATTGTCATCAGAATCTGCACCACAGAGTGAATTGGCTAGGGTAAAAAAAAAGCTAGAAATAATTTTCAATCAGAGAAATGAGTGTTGTGAAAGATAAAAGGCTGGCCAAGCAGATTGTGTGAAACCCACTGCCCTTGCATGAATGAGGCAGTAAATTCACCCAGCAAACCTGCCCCCTTCCAAGCCTCACTCAAGGCCTAGAGCTTCAATATTTCTATGTCACCTAGAAATCAATAATAAACAAGAGAAATGGCCAAAATAAGTGAGCAGGTGCTAAAGAGAATATTCAAATTACCGTGAAACCTATGAAAAGATGTTCAACTTGATTAGACATGAAGGAGATGCGAATGAAAACCACTATGTATCCACCAAAATAGTTACAATGAATATCAGCGAGAATATGAAGAATATACTAGGTGTGGTGGCTCATGCCTGTAGTCCCAGCTACTTGGGAGGCTGAGGCAGTAGGATCACCTGAGCCCAGGAGTTTGAGGCTGCAGTGAGCTATGATTGCACCACTGCACTCCAGCCTGCGTGACGGAGTGAGACCCCACCTCTAAAAATTCAAAAAGAATATGAAGAATATGAACTGAAGCTCAAACTTTGATGAGGGGAGGGTAAATTTGTACATCCACTTTGCTGAACATATTCATATTATGTGAGTCATCAATTGCATTCATAAGTGTATGTATCCAAGAGAAATATGTACATATGGTCACCAAAATGTTATCGAACTGAACTGGGGTCCACTTGCCAGGTGCAGTAAGGCCAGATATCCACACCAGGGTTTGAAATGGGGAGAAAGGAGGGTGTTTGTTTGCAGGGCACTAAACAAGGAGAATCAGGCAGCTCAGGCTTAAGACCCAAACTTCCCAATGGCTTGCAAGCAAGGGAAAATTTCAGGAAAGTAGAGGTTACAAGCAGAATTGTAAGTCAATACATGAAGATTATACATTGGTTTGGCCTAAAAGGGCAGGATATCTTGAAGCAGGGGCTTACAGATCATAGGTAGTGTATTAGTCCGTTTTCACACTGCTATAAAGAAACACCTGAGACTGGATAGTTTATAAAGAAAAGAGGTTTAATTGACTCACAGTTCTGCATGGCTGAGAAGGCCTCAGGAAACTTAAAATCATGGCAGAAGGGGAAGCAGGCACATCTTACATGGCAGCAGGCAAGAGAAAGTGCAAAGAGGGAAGAGTCCCTTATAAAACTGTCAGATCTCGGCCAGGCGCAGTGGCTCATGCCTGTAATCCCAGCACTTTGGGAGGCCGAGGCGGGCGGATCATGAGGTCAGGAGATGCAGACCATCCTGGCTAACATGGTGAAACCCTGTCTCTACTAAAAAAATACAAAAAAAATTAGCCGGGTGTGGTGGTGGGCACCTGTAGTCCCAGCTACTCATGAGGCTGAGGCAGGAGAATGGCGTGAACCTGGGAGGTGGAGCTTGCAGTGAGCCGAGATTGTGCCACTGCACCCCAGCCTGGGCAACAAGAGCGAGACTCTGTCTGAAAGACAATAAAAAATAAATAAATAAATAAAACCATCAGATCTCATGAGAACTCCCTCACTATCATGAGAACAGCATGGAGGAAACTGCCCCCATGATCCAATCACCTCCCACCAGGTCCCTCCTTTGACACGTGGGGATTATAATATGAGGTGACATTTGGGTGGGGACTCAGAGCCAAACCATATCACGTAGATTCAAAGATTTTCCAATTTGCAATTACTTAAGGAAAAGAAGCTTTATTTAAAAACTGGAGGTCAGGCCGGGCATGGTGGCTCACACCTGTAATCCCAACAGTTTGGGATGCCAAGGCTGGCAGATAGTGCTTGAGCCCAGAAGTTTGAGACCAGTCTGGGCAACATAGTGAGACTTCATCTCTACAAAAAATCCAAAAATTGGTTTTGTTTGGTATTGTAAACCAATAGTCCCAGCTACGTAGGAGGCTGAGGCAAGAGGATTGTTTGAGCCTAGGAGGTTGAGGCTGCAGTGAGCCGTGATCACACCATTGCACTCCAGCCTGGGTGACAGAGCAAGACCCTGTTTCAAAAAAATTAAATAAATAAATAAATAATAAATAAAATAAAATAAAAATTTAGGGTCAGCAGAGAAGAATGTTAGCTCTGGCTAATGGGCATAACCTCCTCCAGGATGCTCAGGAAGAACTTTAGAACAAAGGATAGCACTCAGAGTTCAGTCCTCAGCTCCCCCTTATCTGAGATGTACATGACAGTGGATCCATTTGGTGGGGGACCAGGTTTCTGAAAAACAACTCGGAGACATATATTAAGATGTTATCTTTAGTTTCTATAGGGAACCAAAAACCTTGTGACTTCAGCTTCCTTAGCTATTGTTTTAAGCTACTACTCCCTTCTTGGTCATCAAGTTGCTCATTTACTTCTCAGGGGTACCTAGGTACCTGGAATTTCCCCTGAAGGAACTCAAGATTTTCCTTTATTTCCATGCTTGTGGGTTTGGGAGTGGACCAGCAGGCTCCTAAGAGGGGTCCCTACTTCATCTCAAAAAGACATGTACAAAAAAGTTTGTGGAAACATTATTCTTATAGCCCAATTTGGGAAGCAGCCAAATATTTATCAACAGTAGAATGCTCTCTTCCTCCTACCCCTGCCCTCAATTGGAGGCTGTTCCTTAAAAATCAAACAGGTTCAACAGCCTGCTTGATTTACAAGTTGAACCTCCATTAAATTCCACATACCTTGCAAGGCCTCCTCTTGAAGCCCCTTTAAGTCCCTCACACCTAATTTTCAATGGAAAATGGAGCAGGGAGCTGAAGAAGAGGAGGAAGATAGAGGGAAACAGGTGCCTGTTGAAAACACTGAAAGTCCCAGACAGAAGATATTTCATTATCCATCGCTGTGTGGCAAACCTCCCCAAGTGAGTGGTTTGACCAACCATGGGTGTTTCTCACAATGCTGTGAATTTCCTGGGCTCAGCTGGCAGTTCTTTGGCTCAACTCAGTGTCAACTGCTGACTCTTGTGACTGCATCCAGCTGTAGCCTTGGCTTGGGCTTTACTCAGTACCTGGCACTAGGAATCCAGTCATCTAGGAATGGCTGGGCCTGTCTCTCCAGCTGAGTGGTCACCCTTCTTACGTGGTGTCTAGGGGATCCAGAGAGAGGAAGCTGAAGTTCCTAAGCTTCTGACAGCCTAAGCCTGGAACTAGTACAGCATCGCTCCCACCATATTCTGCTGGTCAGAGCAAGTCTCAGGGTCATCCAAGATTCAAGGAGAGAGGAAATAGGCTTCATCTCTTAATGGGAAAAACAGCAAGTGCTTACAAGGATGGGAGCAATTTGTTTGAAATCATCTTTGGAACCTATGTACCACAAGCAACAGGAGGAGAGGAGAGAAGTCTGCATTGCAGACATGGGATCTGAATTTAGCCAAGCCTCCACAACCTGTGAAGATTGCCTGGCTTATTGAAGCTTCAGTTTCCCCACCGATAACTTGAAAAGCTTGGACTAGAATGTCATGAAGTCTGTCCAGCTTTGAGAGTTGTGGTTTCATAATCCACATAAATACAATGGGCCCAGTGAGGACCCAGGGCCTCCTGCTGATCTTCTAAGTCTTCCATCATTGAACCCACTTCCCATCCCCCACCTCACCCCTCAAGAATAATCCACAGGAGTCTGTTCTTGCCTCCTTTCTTCATCCCAGTTGACATTGGAGGGGCTTTTTACCAAAAAAAAAAAGTCTGCCAATTCTTTTGTAGTTTCATCCCACATGAGAAGGCTTAAACTGTTAGCATCAAAAAGATTGTGGGAAAGTATATGCAAGTCAAGCTTTGGTTCCTCGGAGTATTGAGAAGAATGAATCAAGAGGTATGCTGCAGGTATCTGTGCAGGTGTTTGACTGCAACTTGAGAAAACCTGCTGAGAAACATATTTTTCTCAGTTTAAAAATAATGAAAGAGGCCTGGCTCAGTGGCTCATGCCTGTAGTCCCAGCACTTTGGGAGGCCGAGGCAGGTGGATCACGAGGTCAAGAGATCAAGACCATCCTGGCCAACGTGGTGAAACCCTGTCCCTACTAAAAATACAAAAATTAGCTCGGCATGGTGGCATGCGCCTGTAGTCCCAGCTACTCGGGAGGATGAGGCAGAAGAAGCACTTGAACCCAGGAGGCGGAGGTTGCAGTGAGCCAAGATCACACCACTGCACTCCAGCCTTGCGACAGAGCGGGACTCCATCTCAAAAAATAAAATAAAATAAATACAAGAATTAACCAGGTGTGGTGATGCAACCTGTAATCCCAGCTACTTGGGAGGCTGAGGCAGGAGAATCGCCTGAACCTGGGAGGTGGAGGTTGCCATGAGCTGAGATCACGCAACTGCACTCCAGCCTGAGTAGCACAGTGAGATCCTATCTCAAAAAAAAGAAAAGCAGTAATGAAAGAGGCTGGTCTGAAGGTAGTGAGTTATTTCAATTGATTGTTCACAGTTACAGATAGCACTCTTTGTTCTACTCCTTCCCCCATTCTCACTACTGCACTTGGCTAGTCTTTAAAAAAAAAGTAATGAAAGATAAAACATTAGAAAATAATTAAATCATTTGTGTTATCATCACCTCGAAATAACCTGATTGAAAATTTCGTGTATTTTTCCCCCCTTTTCTATGTATGTCCGTGGCAGACATTGTCATTTCTGAGGTCCATCTCTTCCCCCAAGGGAATCTGATGAATCCTGACCAGAGGAATCTTTCCTCTTATAGATAATTGGTTTTCGGAGTATGCATGTAACTTGGGCTGGTCAGTGGTATATAATGGCAATTTTGCCAAAGGATTTCTGGAAAGGATACACAAAGTAGGAAACCATTTTTCTGACTCTGGACACTGGTGTGTGAAGGAGTGGTTCCTGTAACTCTTGGTATGAAGGGAGCCAGCTGACATGGTGATGGGGCCAGAGCTGGGAAGGAGTCGGTCTTGATTCATGCATCATATTCTAAAGTCACCATATTAACCATCCCTGGAGCTGCCCTCTCTCTCAATTTCATGTTCTAGGAGCTAGCCCCTGCATGTTTAAGCCACCTCTATTTATGATTTGCTGTTCCTGGCAGCCAAAAGCATTTTAATTGCTGCAGTATATAGCTACATAAATATATTTTACAAAGTTTATTCCTTCATCCAACAAATATTTAATGAGGATGCCCCATATGTCAGGCGTGACTCATGCTGCAGACACACTGCAGACACACAAAGTTGCTCTGCTTTTTTCCACTTAACATTTTCACCAGTCATTGAGAACTCTTTAGATACACAATTTTAATGGCTACTTGATTTAGTCATTTCCCCATTATCTGATATTTAGGTTGCTGAGGATTTTCATCATTAAAAGTAAAGACATGGTGAACATCCATGTGCATAATTGGTCACATTAGTCATAATTTGGGAGACATATTCCTAAAAGCAAAAAAAAAAAAAAAAAAAAAAAAAGGATACCCTGATGTGATTATTATTATTTTTATTTTTTATTTTTATTTTTTTTGAGATGGAGTCTCGCTCTTGTTGCCCAGGCTAGAGTGCAATGGCGCAATCTCATTTCACTGCAAACTCCACCTCCCGGGTTCAAGTGATTCTCCTGCCTCAGCCTCCGGAGTAGCTGGGATTACAGGCATGTGCCACCACCCCGGCTAATTTTGTATTTTTAGTAGAGGAGGGGTTTCTTCATGTTGGTCAGGCTGGTCTTGAACTCCCGACCTCAGGTGATCCGCCCGCCTCAGCCTCCCAAAGTGCTGGGATTACAGGCATGAGCCACCACACCGGGCCTGATGTGATTATTATGCATTGTATGCCTGTCTCAAAATATCTCATGATACACCTACTCTGTACCCATAAAAATGAAAAATAAAAATAAATATATAAATAAAAACAGAAAAAAAGTGTCTGACACATATTCCCAAATTGCTTTCCAGACAGTTTATACCAATTTTTATGTCCTCGTGTAGCATTTGAGAGTTGCCTCTGCATATAAGAACACTCTTGAAATACACAATGCTTTTTTCTACCCTCAAGTATTTCTAGAAAAAAAAAACCTGATTAAAGTCTACAGGACACAACAAATCAAGGGCATACCAAATGAGAGGGGAGATTGTTAATGAATGAAAGAGGCTGAAGAGCTCTGCTAAATGTGGGTGCAGCCTGTTGGATCTTGATTCATACAAATCATCCGTAAAAAGATAATTTTGAGAAACCTGAATATGGACTGGGTATTATTTGATATTAAGGAATTAGTATTAATGTCATTAGGTATGGTAATGGCACAGTGGTTATGTTTGAAAAATAAAGGCCTTGGCAGTTAAAGATGTGTCTTTATTAATCAAAGAAATGGTATGTTATCTGGGATTAACTTTACAATACACCAGCAAATAAAGGGGATGGGTTGGGGTGGGATGGGAGAAGCATGGTTGACAGAATGTTGATAATTTGGAAAATAGGAGTTTATTATACTTTCTGCTCTGCCTTTGTGCCTGTTTGAAAAATATCATAATACAAAGCTTTTACTTTTTTTTTTTACCTTAATTGAATTTTGAAAAAAAATACGTAGTTGACAGCATATACATAAAAGGCTGGGAGACTATGGGCCTGCTCTTCATGGGCTGAGTGAAGTGTTCTGTGGGGGTGGACTGGGACCTTGGCAGTCCCTAGTAGCTTTATTCCTAGCCCCAAGGACAGCAGAGAGCCTGGGATTGGTCCCAGAATCTGCCCCAGAAATTACAAGCACATTAACAGAGGTCTGAAATGATTTAAAGGAACTAGACCAAATCAGCTGTGAGTTTCACTGGCCTCCAAGCCAATCTCATTCGCCGTTGGTTCTCGATCCACTCATCAGCTCCCAGACTCGGGCTGAACACCGATCAGATAACTTCAGGCTTGAAGCACAGGGAATATATTACGTATTGAAAGGTACCACCTGTGACTGTCAGTTTCATTTGTATACCTACAAAATATGGGGAGACTGAAATGCATGGGGCATAACAGCTTTTAAACTGATGTAATTATATCATTTGTTGGAAGAGACATATATACATTCAGAAATATGTTTTATATGTTTTGGTACATGAAAATTTTAAGGTTTTAGCTTGTGATGCCAGCCAAACCCTGCCCCCCCTCTCCGGTTTTGGTACCAGGTTTGGCAGCCACTGCGGTCTGGGTGTCTGTATAAAGCATTGAACTATGGACACTTGGCTAATTTCCTTCCCTCCGTTCTGCTCATGGCTTGTACCTTGACAGTGATGACAATGAGCTACACTCAGCCTAGTCAGGTGGAAAAAAGCACAGGCCTGGGAGACAAGATGATCTAGGTTCTGATTCTGGTTTTATGACTTTAGGCAAACCACTCAGCTTCTGTAGTTTTTTTCTCATTTGTCAAATGTAACTAGTAGACTAATAATACCCAGCTCCCCAGTGTGGGTGTGAGGAGTTGCTGACAAGCACACAGGCTGGCAGAGGAAAGGCCTTTGATAATAATCCCTGAGCCCTTTTCCTCTACCAAAAAAGGACCCTGAGGGTTATTATTCACCATCTGAGCCATCTTCAACTCTCAGCATTATGGGGCTCAAAAAAGGGGAGGGTTTCTATGGAAAAGCCTGCATTATTAGCTTACTTACACACTTTTCAGCGCTGAGAGTAGTAAAACCACCTCTCACACCTCCAACTGCAGACATGAGGAAGCTGTCTCCCTTTGCTTCCATAAATACCACCATTTGTACCATTTTCTGTTATTTTTGCTGATAGGAGAGATGGCAGTCATCCATCAAACAGTAGATAACCAAAAGTCATGATTATCCCTCCTTTAACAAAATTGAATATGTTAAAACCAAAAAAATAAGATAGAATCTAGAAATGTTAAATCTCTGGAACATGTCACTAGAAACCTCATTCACTGGAAAAATCAGCTCATCAAGTGTATCTGCTGGCATCAGCACTTCACTGTCTGTGCCTATGTCACTCATCCCAAAGTGAGGCTGCATTTGGGCCCCTAAACCCAGATAACTCCATGGTGCTTCTGTGTTGGCCTTTGACTCACTGTGGCTTGATTTTTTCTTTTTTTTTCAGACAGGGTCTCACTCTGTCACCAGGCTGGAGTGCGGTGGCGCAATCTTGGCTCACTACAACCTCCACCTCCCGGGTTCAAGTGATTCTCCTGCCACAGCCTCCCAAGTAGCTGGGACTACAGGCACATGCCACCACGCCCAGCTAATTTTTGTATTTTTAGTGGAGACAGGGTTTCACCAGGTTGGCCAGGATAGTCTTGATCTCCTGACCTCATGATCCGCCCACCTCGGCCTCCCAAACTGCTGGGATTACAGGCATGAGCCACCATGCCCAGCCCACTGTGGCTTGTTTTGTAGATAGTTAGTCTCAGCCTTGGATGCTGGGGTCAAGGACTATGTCTGTGTCATCTTCTTTGGCCATCTTAGTCCACATGGGCTGCTATAAGAAAATACTGAAGACTGGGAGGTTTATCCACAATAGAGGTTTATTTTTCATGATTCTGGAGACTGGGAAGTCCAAGATCAAGGCATCAGCAGGTTGAGTATCTTGCGAGAGCCCTGCTTCCTCATACATGGCACCTTCTTGTGTCCTCCCAGGGAGGAAGGAATGGATGAATCACCTCTTTTATAAGAGCACTAATCCCATTCATGAGAGCACCACACTCACCTCTCGCAAAGACACCACCTCCTAATACCATCACTTTATGGGTGATGGATCTCAACATATGAATTTGGGGGGCACATAAACACTCAGACCACGGCAGTGGCCCAGACATGTAGTGAGGGCCTTGAACTTAACAGGTGCTCAGTAAATTATTGCTATCACTTTGGCTGGGAGCAAATCCCTAGCAACTCCTGTAGCTCAGCTTTCTGAGAGTAGAATGACTAAATCACCTCTAAAACAGGTAAGGACTACCTGAGAATGTTCTTTTCTAATTGTCTGAAAGGACCCTCCCCCAGCCCACACATCTCTCTTCATGTTTCTGAACCTTCCCTATTTTCATTGACTTCATCCGGCTTCTAGAATAAATGGCCCCAGACAAATGTTTCCCCCTTTTTCTGCCTGTTTGCTGCATTCAGTTCCCTGTGTTTAGTAACTACAGAAGCAATACTCTCTGGTCTTGCAGCTTTGGGGTCTACATTGAGCCTCCACTGCCAAGAATTGCTGAGGGACTTTGATTTTGAAGAGTTCCCAGAGAAGAGATGATGGTCTGATTTTCTGTCTAGCATGAAGGGCCCTAAGTAATTCTCAATGGAACTATTCCCT
Organism: Homo sapiens; assembly: GCF_000001405.40. Classification (NCBI taxonomy): domain Eukaryota; kingdom Metazoa; phylum Chordata; class Mammalia; order Primates; family Hominidae; genus Homo; species Homo sapiens. The sequence continues at coordinate 90,182,085 of NC_000014.9, forward strand.
GTCCCTCGATCCTCCCTTCCCAAATCATCCTGGCAATTCCTTTCCATCCCATCTAGCTCAAAAGCTATACTTGGTATCTTCCTCTAGTTTCCTGACTACATGCTGTTAATTTCTTACCCAAATGCAGCTCCTTGTGTGCTGAGAAAGGAAAATTGTATTTAGTTCTGAATGGTAATACAGTATGCACACCTGGATGTTTGGGAAAGGTGGCCCCTTGGCTTGACTTGAGCAGACCAGCAGGTCATAACCCCAAAAGCCCACACATTTCAAGGTCTGGTCTGAACACTTCCAGGGTGCACTGGGAGGCAGCCGTTGACCGAGCTGTAGCAACAAGGAACTATATCAGCTTGGTGACAAGTGGGGTATTATCAGGAGGGAGGATCATGAGAGAGCTCTTGTGATCCAAACGATGGGACCCAAGTTAGAAATTTGAACTTGAAAATAAGGAAAAACTGGGTTGGGTATGGTGGCTTATGCCCGTAATCCCAGTGCTTTGGGAGGCTGAGGTGGGTGGATCACTTAAGACCAGGAGTTCGAGGCCAGCCCAGGCAACAAGACAAGACCCTCATCTCTACAAAAATTTGAAAATTAGCCAGGCATAGTGTGCACAGCTGCAGTCCCAGCTACTTGGAAGGCTGAGGCAGGAGGATCACCTGAACCTGGTAGTTTTAGGCTGCAGTGAGGTGTGATTGCACCACAGTACTCCAGCCTGTGGGACAGAGAGCAAGATCCCATCTCTTTAAAAAAAAAAAAAAAGAGAGAGGTTTGATGGTTTGATTTTAATAAGAAACTGACTCAGGGAGGCATGCTCAGTATTCTTTTTATTTTTTAATGGTGTTTGTAGTCAGAGTGACTCTGATGCCAACCCCTCCACCCATCAGCCTTCTCATGTTTACTGAATCATTTGCTTGGAAAGAACCCTCATCCCTCTGATGAGAGTGGGCTGACCCTCATTGCCCTTTCATGAGAAATCCTGAATGTATCATTGCTCTCTTTTCTATTTCTGTTTTTCTTAGTAACATCCATTGTTCTACAATATGCATTCTTAATGGTATGCCTGTGTGCACAGGTAGAAAGGTCAGGAGGGTGGAAATGTGAACAGTTAGAGGCAAAGGCAAAATGAACGTTTTATAGTTTATCAATGTATAGCATCCAATACTTCTGTTATTATTCCAAAAGCATGAAGTGTGTGTTTGAAGAATTTTGTTTAAAAGATGGGTAGATCTTGAGCAAATTTCTCATTTCTATGTATGCTAGAAATGCCCATAATCCCAGTGCTTTGGGAGGCTGCTGTTTCTCTGCCTGGAACATCCCGACTTCTCCATCCCACCACCACCACACACATACACCCTTCTTGCCTGCCTAACTCCTCTTTAGCTTTTGGGTCTCCCTGCTTCATCTTTTCTAAGCCCCACTTCTTAGATGGGTTCCCCTCTTAGGAGTTCCCATAGAATCCTGTACTCCCTCTAGCACCACACTTACCACACAATATCATCATCATCTTACTGGACTAGGGCTCCATGAGGGCAGGGACCAGAACTGTCTTTTCCACAGTTCTATCCCCAGGTCAATAAGTGTTTGCAGAATAAATGAATTCTGATGAGTCTGTATAAGCCTCTTCTTTGTATGAGCCTTTGCTTCTCTCTCTAAACATGATCTGTTGAGTATGGTTGTTCAGGTTGTGGACTGTACAAGGATATCTAGCAGAGAAGGGAAAGGAGGCTGAAATCCAGCCCACATTCTTGTCACCAAGCCATTTTTTGCTGGCTGTGTCCACCATGAGGATGAGGTGCTATTCTCCTGATTTGCACAATAGCACCACACAGGCTTTCAGCAGCCTAGCTCTGAACAACACTTAGTGTCTTCAAAAGCAGGTGAGAATTCTCCTGCTCATTCCTAGAAAGACTAAGGCTGAGTGATTTTATGAAACTCTCTTTAGGTCCTTTGCCAGCCATCAAAGCCAAGACCTAGACCCCATTCACAGCAAAGATTTCTCTTACTCTTCTCTCATTTTTCTCTCCTGCAGGGTTTGGGATGACAACTCCGGCGACAGTAGGAGGAAAAATCTTTCTGATCTTTTACGGCCTTGTTGGGTGTTCCAGCACCATCTTGTTCTTCAACCTCTTCCTGGAGCGCCTGATCACCATCATCGCCTACATCATGAAGTCGTGCCACCAGCGGCAGCTCCGGAGACGAGGGGCCCTGCCCCAGGAGAGCCTGAAGGATGCGGGGCAGTGTGAGGTGGACAGCCTGGCCGGCTGGAAGCCCTCCGTGTACTACGTCATGCTGATCCTATGCACAGCCTCCATCCTCATCTCTTGCTGCGCCTCAGCCATGTACACCCCCATTGAAGGCTGGAGCTACTTTGACTCACTCTACTTCTGTTTTGTGGCTTTCAGCACCATTGGCTTTGGGGACCTGGTCAGCAGCCAGAACGCCCACTATGAGAGCCAAGGCCTCTATCGCTTTGCCAACTTCGTCTTCATCCTCATGGGTGTCTGCTGCATCTACTCCTTGTTCAATGTCATCTCTATCCTCATCAAACAGTCCTTGAACTGGATCCTGAGGAAAATGGACAGCGGGTGCTGCCCGCAATGCCAGAGAGGACTCTTGCGATCACGCAGGAACGTGGTGATGCCAGGCAGCGTCCGGAACCGCTGCAACATCTCCATAGAGACAGACGGGGTGGCAGAGAGTGACACGGACGGGCGCCGGCTCTCAGGGGAGATGATCTCCATGAAGGACTTGCTGGCAGCCAACAAGGCCTCGTTGGCCATCCTGCAGAAGCAACTGTCTGAGATGGCCAACGGCTGCCCCCACCAGACCAGCACACTGGCCCGGGACAATGAATTCTCAGGGGGGGTGGGAGCCTTTGCAATCATGAACAACAGGTTGGCAGAGACCAGTGGGGACAGGTAGAAGCCAGGAGTGGATGCTGGGCAGAGGCCAGAGTAGAATGGAGGATGATTGCCGCCCAGGGGACGAGCTCAGCCCTGCGCCTTGGCTCTGTTCCTTCTGGGAGCTGTTCCCGGGAGCCTCCGCAAGCATCTTTAGAAATCTGATCTCGGCTCCAACCAACAGCCACCTTCCAGGGATGGGGGGCCTGAAGCCTCGATGCTTGTCTCCTGATCCTTATTCTTTAAGTCTAAATTCAGTCTTTTCAAAACAAATCACAAAAGCAGCATTAGACATTGCCTTGTTTCATTAATCTTGTTTCAGAGCTTTAGCTGCCTGAGGAGATAGGTTTTCCTTAAGCCTTGATTTCCTGAAGCTCTCTCTGTTCCTTATTTGGGAACAAAAATTGCGAAGACTCATCTTTCCCTAGAACTCTGAATGGATGAATTTTTAAAAGTGGGGAGAATGTTTGGGGATGTGTCTGGGCTTTCTTTTTGCCAGGCTTCCTTCAAAGCATACCTGCCAATGGTGTCTGCATAGGGAAAATGTCTGTTGTACTCTTTATACCTGTTTCTGTTTTTTGTTGTCCCTTTCTTTTTATTTTTAAGGCCTTAATGCCTGGCTGTGGCGTCTGTGAGACCTCAATGTAATAAGAAAATTAAATTCAGCTTCAGGCCTTTAAACTGCAGCAAGATGGTGGTGTAGGGGTGTGGGACGGGGAGAGACTCACTTTTGTAACTAAAGAACATAGCTTAACATTTTCCCTTTGAATGGTCACACAGACCATTTCATTTTTACCAGGGCTTGGGGACCCAATGCAAAGATGATGACTATTTAATAAAATGGAAAATTTAATAAATCCTCATTTTATTAACTAAGATTCCATGAGTGCTCATTGTGGCCAGTGGAGGACAAGCACCTAATTAAACAGGCATTTATTGGACTCAGAGAAAAAGGAAATGGGAAATTGACCTTCACGGATATGAGCGTCATTTTGGTGTCTTGACTGGAGAAACATTCTAGGCCAGATAATGAAATCCGGCTTTTTTTCCTTTGTGCCTTCTGAGACTGTAACGATTCTAGTTTTATAACCTCCCTACTAGATTAATCATCCACACTAGGAACAAAGGCTGTTGACCTTCATATACACAGGAGAATGCATTTGGGGGGATGACAGCAGTGTTCAAAAATGATAGCTGTTGTTTTTCTAAGGTAAGAGTGGTGCAAACACAGCCCTTTCAGAATTGATGAGGAAAGGCCGGGCGCAGTGGTTCACACCTTTAATCCCAGCACTTCGGGAGGCCAAGGCAGGCAGATCACCTGAGGTCAGGAGTTCGAGACCAGCCTGGCCAACATGGGGAAACCCCCGTCTCTACTAAAAATACAGAAATTAGCCAGGCATGGTGGCATGTGCCTGTAATCCCAGCTACTCAGGAGGCTGAGGCAAGAGAATCACTTGAACCTGGAAGGTGGAGGCTGCAGTGAGCTAAGATCACGCCACTGCACTCCAGTCTGGGCAACAGAGCGAGACTCCTCTCAAGAAATGATGAGGAAAGATGGCCACCGTAAAGAAGACAAAGCTGAAAACCTATGCCTCGTGAAACTGAAATGTTGAGCAGAGAACATTAGAGCTGGTGGAGGACCCCTTAGAAACCATCTCATCCAGCCTCCTTGTTTTTGACACCAAGAAACAGGCACAGGGTTTGTCCCTTGTCTGAGGCCTTAGGGGTGGATAGTGTACAGCTGGGGAAGGAACCTAGGGCTCCTGATGGTGAAGTCCAGGCTGTTGTCCCCTACTCCACACAACCTTGCCCCGTTCCTCAACAGGTCCCTCTTCAGGCTCAGTTGCCTTTCCTTCCAGCTCGCAAACCCAGATATTTTCTTTACAGTACCAGAAGTGCCTGATAGAAGTTCGACAAGCAGCAACACTGGGCTTTGAATTTAGTGCTGCACGGCTCCAAAGTCAGAGATCTTAAAGTATTCTCTATATCACTCTTAAAGGGAAAGCATCCTGGAGCTACTGCAAAATGCTTGTTAGGAACCTGTGACCCCAAACAGAGCTTCTCATGGGCTCTGTACCGTACCAGGTGCTGTGGGGATGGAAAGAGGAGCACCTATGGGATTCCTTGATCTCCATATTTCTAGTACATGGGTTGGAGTAAAGCAAGTGGTTGCATCTCCAACACAGGTTCCTGGAGGCCCTGATGGTGTGCTGGAGGCCAAGGAACATCAGCATACCCAAGGCTCATCTTCCTAGAGGGTCAGTTGTACTAAGCAATTTTTGCAGAGAGATGTTATATCAAAACACATGACTTTCTTTAAATAAGATCCAAAATGGGCATAAACTTTTTTTTTTTTTTTTGTGGGGGGACAGGGTCTCGCTCTATTGCCCAGGCTGGAATGCAGTGGAGCAATCTTGGCTCACTGTAACCTTCGCCTCCTGGGCTCCAGCAGTCCTCCCACCTCAGCCTCCCAGGTAGTATAAGCAAGTTGTTTAGTAAAAGGAGGTGTTAAAGACATGCTAGCATCAAGCAGAGACTTTCTCTGTGATGTAACCAAAAGGACTGGAAGAGTCTTGCAAAGGCAATAAATTTCTCACTGTGTGATTAATTAATTCCACACTTGAGGGCCCCTAAAATCATCTCATGTTCTACCCAAATCATTGGTACACATCCCACATGTGGGGCAACAACATTCAAATCACAAAATACCCCAGAGAAAGCACAGTTTCTGAGGTCTGGCCAACCACATAGTGAAGAACAGTTCTTGGCGTCAACATACTTGGTTTGAACACCAGTCCTGATAGTTCCAATGTGGGAGAGGTTGGGCAAGTGTGTCAACCTCATTGTGCCCCATGTGGAAATGGTAACAACACTGGCTACCTCGCAAAGCTGTGGAGAGGGTCAAATGAGATGAGCCTCAGGGGAGGCTTTGTGAACCCCCAGGAAAGGCACAGACTGTGGGCACTGATGGGCCACATGCCGGGGCGACGGGGGGATGCTGCATCCAGCAGTGAAAGTCTTCGTTTTGTTCTTGCACCTGGTATCTAACACTAGCCACATGGTTTCAAGGATGGCTCTTGATTATTAAATGGTGCCACTCCTGGTGATACAGTTATACCAAACCACAAACTGCGAAGTATTTCTTTCTCTTCCACTGGGTCTTTTTATTTCAATATCAGCTGAGGCTATTGAACCATTTGACATAGTAAAATGTTTTGGAAAGGCTGTAGTAATATCCTGTATCTTACTAGCATTTTTACGGTTTTTAAGTCTTACCTGTTCATAATTATAATATTTTGACCTTCATAACCACATTGTAGATTTCTAGCCTAGAAGTAGGCAGGGCACTTATCTTCAAACTGCCCTTGATCTTTTCCAGAATAAGAGGGATAAATAATTATTTTATGTATGAGTTGACTGGGATTCAGATTGACAGTGGTTCTAGAATAAGCTTTGAAATTATTTACTGTGGTGTTTTACTGGTAATTTTCTATTTCCCTGATTTCTTCTGCATTTATTAATTGGAATTCTTCTGTGTGGAAGAGATTTTTCCTTCTCTATTGTTTTAAAACGTTAAAGAACTTTCTTCAACATTTCTCATAGAGTACGTTTTCTGGCAGTGAGTTCCCTCAGTTTTTGTTTGTCTGAGAAGGCCTTTGTTTCTTCTCTATTTTTGAAAGGTGTTTTTGATGGATATAGAATTTTGTATTGACAGGCATTTTGTAAAAATAAGCACTTTAATGATGTCACACCAGTGTCTTCTGACTTGTATGGTTTCATATGAGAGGTCGGCTGTAACTCCTTTCTTGTTCCTGTGAATGTAATATTCCTTTTTTCTCTGGCTGCCTTCAAGATTTTGTCTTTTGTTTTCTGCAGTTTGAATATAGTATGTCTAGATGGGTGTGTGTGTGTGTGTGTGTGTGCATATTGTAAAACCAAAGTAATAATTGCCACAAGCAAGATCCACTGATGGATGCTAAAATTAAGGGTGTAGAAGTTTAAGCCAAAAGGGATATTTGCAGTCTCAAAGGATCTCGACCAAAATAGTTGGTAATTACAAAGAGAAAAATAGTAACTTTACAGTGGAGAATTCTGGCAGATATCAAATTAATCAAGTGACCAGAGTTAACCTCGCCATTAGCACCTACCCATCATGCACCACCTGATTTGATGCATTGAGAAGGCCCAGCATCTCTGTGGAGTCCTTCACAAGAACTTCAATCTAATCACGGAAAAACACCTGACAAACCCCGAATCGAGGGGCATTCTACAAAGCAATCAATACTCTCTTCAAAAATCTCAACATAGGAGATATAAGTAAAGCCTGATGAACTGCTATAGATTGGAGGAGACTGAGGAGGCCCGATAAATGAGGCGGGGGCACCACAGGCCTTAATCATCAGCATATTCCATCTGGATTTTTTAAATGGAATCCGACAGCTCATTGACTCATTTTCTTAACATGGTGTCTGGGATTCAGTCCCAATACAGACAACTTGCATGTTGCAAAGAAAATCCACTTGATGACTGTAATTACCCAAACTTCTGACTCACCTTTTTCACTACCTTAAAACATGGCTTTTGCCACTAACCAAACACAATTCTGTCCCTGAGCTAAAGAGCCAGCTCCAGAGGGTGAACCAAGCTGGGGTTGGGGAGGAGGTCAGGCCTCTTTCCACACAGTTCTGGGTTTATTTTCCATGAAGCCTTCTTCTTCATTCAAGAAGAAAGTGGCCTTCATCCAAGGCCATTCCTAGCCCAATGACTGCAATCACACCCTGAGAGAGGCAAGCCCTTCTGAGACTATCTGATACGCTTGCTGTCCACAGAAATTGCTTGGAGGATTTCAGGAGCAGCTCCTTTGCTGCCATCACAGGAGTTTGGGGACATAGAGGACATCTACTACCTGGAGAGGGTGAGGAAGCAGAAATCTTGTGAGTGGCCACATCTCAGCCTGCCCAAAGGGTGTGTAATCCCAGCAGGTTAATTTTCTAGAACCCAAGAAGCAGGATGCATTACAGGCCCTCTGTTTTCCTCTGGGAGCTTTTACAAGGCCAAAACATCTGACTGAAACGATTACAGGCTCAGCAGCTCCCTGATTACACTCTATCCTGGAGCTCAGAACCCATTTCTATAGGACCCATGACTGGATAGTCTAGCAAACACTCCCCCAGAAATGTACCCCCAACCCATCAACTGATGATGGGATACATGAGAAGGGCATTACTTAGCATTTGCTGGCACACGAATATACCACGGGTAGGGAGGTGGTGAGAAGGAGAATGGAGATAGTTATTTTAACTCTCCCTTTCTTTTTGGGGAAAGAAATGATTTTTTTTAAGTCAAGTTACTGGAGAAAAGTAACACCTGCCTCCAAGTCTAAGTTAAAGGTCACAGAACATCTGAATCACATTTCCTTTTCTTCTCCTTTTCCTTCACCACCATGAGGGCCTTCTGGAAGGTTCTCCTCCATTCTGGGGCTATTCGATACTCCCTTTCCCAAATCTCCTGCATGCCCATTTCTGGCTATGGGGCCCCTTGTGTCCTTGATTGGGAGGCATTTGAGGTCAGTGCTTAGGGGGTTTCTTGATGCAAAGTCTTCAGAGCCTGGGGCGCCATCTAATTCCCTCTGAATGAGAAGCTCTATAGGTAGGCCTGGAACTCTGCATTTCTAGAGAACTTCAGAGGTGTTCTGAGAGGGAGCTGCTGGCCCGCCTCATTCAGCATCATCAGTCTGGATCCGGGCCCTGCTTTTGGCTCTGGCCTGTTCTTGCCACTGGCAAAGGTTTCAGTCTGGGTCCTTTTGAATGAGTTGCCTGAGTTGTGTTGAGAGATCCGGTCACCATCTCCATGCACTTGCCCCACCCCTACAGGCTGCCTAGTTTGGGGCCTGCTCATCCTCGTATGGCCTCTGTGTTACAAATTCCAACACCTTTGGCCTAACTCTCCTCCATTTAGGGTCTGTGCAGGAGCCTGTCCCACTAGTGCCCAATTCTCAAACACTGTCCCCTCCCCTGTGAACCCAAGCATCATCTAATTTTGCTCAGGCTGGAAGCTGCTCATGTTGTCAATGCTAAACAAGAAAGGGTCCCTGGAGCTGGCCAGAGCCAAGAGTATATGGATGGGCTGAGCTGAAAAAAGCAGACTGAACTCTGACGGAAGCATGACATCAATGGACTGACACAGCTAATCTGCAGAAAGAGGAGAGGATGGAGGCGAGTGGGGGCAGTGTGAAGTCAAGGGCTCATGGTAGAGGAGGAAGGGGCAGACTCAGGGAAAGTTTGGGCCCCCGTGACTTCCAGTGCTGGCCTATGGCTGGCAGCCCCGACACACAGGGCAAGTAGGACCAACCACATGAGCCACACCAGGTGGAACGATGCCAACTTATCGGGCCACTGGGCACACCCTGCTTCTATTGTCTGTCAACCTAACAAAACACCCTTTGCCACTTTCTTAAGTCCCTGGCTCCTGGACAATCACCTGGGCCTGCCCTATGCTCTCTGGGTAAACACTTTGCCAGCCTCCCAGCATCAGAGATCATGCCACTGTCTCCAAGAACCTGCCCCACCTCTAAGGGCTGCCTAGTCTGGGGCCCACGCCTCCTGTTCTAGTCTGCTGTGTTACAAATTCCAACACCTTCAGCGTAGCTGTCCCTCCTTGCAGGAGCAAGGAGAGGGGTCCGGAGCCAACAGACAGCCTCAGTCAGTCGTTTGTCATTCTTAGGGCCTCTCTGTGCCAGGCACTGGAAAAGTGGTGAATAAAACAGACCCAGGAGCAATCCTGTCCTCAGGCAGCCTGGAGTGTCGTGAGAGGGCAGCAACGGACCATGTAAATGAATATGGAACTTCTGCCCCTAACCAGTGCTGGGAACAAAAACGACGTGGGAGCCAGGTCAGGCATCTGGCATCAGGGAAGAGGAATGGTTTCTGCTGAGCTGGTCAGAAGCCCAAGGGACAAACATAATCTGGGGGACTTAATCTAGGCCCATCACTTAGATTAAAGGAGTGATGGGCCTCACTGGGGTCTTCATGGGCTGGACTGGATTCCCAGCTGGGCCACCTGAGAACCCTGGCCTTGAAACCTACCCAACTAAGGCACTGGGTGTATTTGTCCATTTTGCGTTGCTTATAAATCACCTGAGACTGGGTGATATATAAGAAAAAAGGTTGATATGGCTCACTGTTCTGCAGACTGTACAAGAAGCATGGTGCCAGCATCTGCTTCTGGTGAGGCTTCAGGAAGCTTTCATTCATGATGGAAGAGAAAGGGGAGCATGCGTGTCACATGGTGAGAGAGGCAGCAAGCCAGCGGGAGTGGGGGGCAGGAGGTCCCAGACTCCTTAACAACCAGATCTCATGTGAACTAACAGAGTGAGATCTCATTCATTACTGTGAGGATGAGGATGGCATCAAGACATTCATGATGGAACCACCCCCATGACCCAGACACCCCCCATTAGGCTCCACCTGCAACACTGGAGATCAGCTTTCATCTGGAGATTTGGAAGTGACAAATATTCACACTATATCACGGGACAAAAGGCTCAGGTCATCCTGAAAAAAATCCTTCAAGCAGAGGACAGGGGCAGGACAGGCTTTGGACAGGTAGGACGGGCAGATCCAAATTAGACTCCTGGTTCCCACTGGGAGGGCTTGGAAAAGTGGCCCCTGCTCTCTGAGCTTCAGTTTCACCATCTATGAAAATGGAACTGCACAAGGATGACACACCAATTCATGAGGCGTTCCATAAGAAAAGAAAGACCCAAGGAAGATGCACCCATTCTAACCAGAAAGATGCACTCCAGCCGGGCAAGATGTCTCACGCCTGGAATCCCAACAGTTTGGGAGGCCGAGGTGGGCAAATCGCTTGAGCCCAGGAGTTCAAGACCAGCCTAGGCAACATAGCACAACCCCATCTCTACAAAAAAAATACAAAAATTAGTCAAGTGTGGTGGTGGCAACTGTAGTCTCAGCTGCCCAGGAGGCTGAGGTGGGAGGCTCACCTGAGGCCGGGAGGTCGAGGCTGCGGTGAGCTGTGATCATGCCACTGCACTCCAGCCTGGGCAACACAGTGAGACTTTGTCTCAAACAAAACAAAACAAAAAAAGACACATTCCTTAGGAAGCCTGCTGGGAACCCCTTATGCATGGACTGACTCTCCACCCCACGTGTCCTAATGGTTGCAAGGGGTGGCACATGACTCTCCAAATCAGGGCAACTTGTCCACCAGGCACTGCTAGCACTATGCCCTGGGCCCACAAAACCAGTAGGGGCCTGCAAAAATGCTTTAACCTTTTTCAAATCAGAAGAGCAGCCTGGATGTGGTGGCTCATACCTATAATTCCAGCACTTTGGGAGGCCCAGGCAGGCAAATCGCTTGAGCTCACAAGTTTGAGACCAGCCTGGGCAACATGGTGAAACTCCATCTCTACAAAAAATACACAAATTAGCTGGACGTGGTAGTGCATACCTGTAGTCCCAGCTACTCAAAAGGCTGAGGTGGGAGAATGGTTTGAGCCTGGGAGGCAGCGGTTTCAGTGAGCCGAGATGGCACCACCGCATTCCAGCCTGGGAGATAGAGCCAGAACCTGTCTCAAAAATTTAAAAATTTAAAAATAAATAAATCAGAAGACCACAAGAATATGATCTGCCCTTGATAATATTTCTCTTTCTACCAATACAATCAGAAAATATAATTGTAATATGTTTTATAGAGAAAAGAGACCACAAAAATCATACCACGGCTCTGCTCAAAGCGCAGGTAATTGAAACTTCACTTTTAGTGATTTCTGCATTAAATGCAGGTCCCTGAGGGTCTGGGGCTTCCATGCTCCCTCGGGGTAAATGTCTGTCAGCCAGTGTTCCTAATAACAGTGGAAACAGCCAGAGAGGGCAGGGCACGGTGGCTCACACCTGTAATCCCAGCACTTTGGGAGGCTGAGGCTGGCAGATCACATAAGATCAGGAGTTTGAGACCAGCCTGGCCAACATGAAACCCATCTCTACTAAAAATACAAAAATGAGCGGGGCATGGTGGCGCATGCCTGTCCCAGCTATTCGGGAAGCTGAGGCGGGAGAATCCCTTGAACCCAGGAGGCGGAGGTTGTGGTGAGCCGAGATCGCTCCACTGCACTCCAGCCTGGGTGACCTCTAGGGGGCAGTGTTAAAGGAGGTAAGGAGTGGCTGAAGGTAGAGTCCACGATGTTGCTAAGGGTTGGACTTGACCTTAAGCACACTTGTTCTATTAGCTCCACTGGAACTGCCCTCAGTCCATGCTAATTGGATTAATAGTAAATAGCATAAATACGTGGGCAAACAGGTTAGTTTGAAATCATAAATGAAATTAAATGCACAGAGCCCTAATCTCTGGAGAAAGAGGCAAGATTGTAATCAGTGGAGTACGGCCAGGCATCCCCCACCTTCAGGGGGCTCACTGCCTAGAGAGAGAGATGCAGAAGGAAACAAATAATCACAAACTAATATTACACTAAAGGGACAGTGAGAATACAGAAGAGGAAAAAGTTATGCCTCAAAGAGTCAGGGATGATTTCATGAAGAGGCTACATTTACAATGGGTCTTGATAGATGTGTAGAAATTTGCCAGATGAAGAATCAATGTGAGAAAATGAAAGAACATGACATTTGGAGTCAAGCAGACCAATGCTCCAATCCCAGCCTTGTTCTTTTCTATTGATGTAACCAGAGACAAGTTATCTCGCCTCTCTGAGATTCAGTTTACTTATCCATAAGATACCTACCCTTTGGAGTTCCTTAGAGGATTAAAGGCAATAATATACATACAATACCTGGCACCTGATAGGCTTTTTGTAAATAGTAGCTACTAAAAGGAGAAGATGTGTTCGAAGCTGAGGGTTTGTACAAAGGTGTGTTGCAAGCATGAGTCACACAAAGATTGGGGAGAGGGTGGGCCGGAAGCGTGGGAGTCCAGAGAACCTGGATCTGAATCTCTTGCAGTCCTTGATGTATCAGCTGTGTGGCCCTAGGTGAGTTATTTAGCTTCTCTGCAACTGTAAAATGGGGTAATGACGGCACAGCCTTGGAGAGCTATTATGTTGGGACAATGAGTTAGTGCAAGTAAAATGCCCAGCGCAGAGTGAGCCATCAGCAAATGTCAGCTATTACTGCTGTTTCATCATCACCATTGCTTTTTTGTCATCATTGGAAACAGGAAGTGAGGGAATGGGCTGAGAATGAACAGATCGTATCTGGCCCTCCACTGATCTTAATATGATATATTGATTGGTTTATCATCCCTTCATTGTCTCTCCCTATTAGAATATAACCATCTCCAATGAGATGGGCTCGTTGTCTTGTTCACTGCTCTATGCCCAGTATCTAGCAGAGCACCTGATGCATAGGACAGTTGGCCCTCCATATCCATGGGTTCTGCATCCACAGATTCAACCATCCTCTCATTGAAAATATCCAGGTTCCGGTGCGATGGCTCACAGCACTTTGGGAGGCCAAGGCAGGCGGCTAACTTGAGTCCAGGAGCTCAAGACCAGCCTGGGCAACACGGTAAAACTCTGTCCCTACAAAAATATGCAAAACAATAATTAGCCAGGCATGGTGGTGCGTGCATGTAGTCCCAGCCACTGGAGAGGCTGAGGTGGGAAGATCACCCAAGCCCAGGAAGTCAAGGCTGCAGTGAGCTGAGCTGTGATCACACCACTGCACTCCAGCATGGCTGACAGAGTGAGACCCTGTCTCAAAAGAAAATATTCAGAAAAACAATTCTATGAAGTTCCAAAAAGCAAAATTTGGATTTGCTATGCACTGAGTGCATTGAATCTATGTAAATGAAGTGATGTGTAAGCATTGTATTAGGTATTAAAAGTAATCTAGAGATGATTTAAAGTATACTCTGCACAGGCTATATGAAAATACTGTGCTATATTTATATAGGGGACTTAAGCATCTGCAGATTTTCTTACCTAAGGGGTGTCCTGGAACCAATCCCCAACAGATACTGAGGGACAACTGCACATGCTTGATAAACACATGTAGGATGGATGGATGGATGGATGGATGGAGCTATGCTTGCAAGTGATAGAGACAGGAAATAGCCAAGGGTCCCTGGTGAAGCCCCGCCTTCAAGCCTAAAACAGCCTGAAGGGTGAGAAACCGGACCGCTAGTCCTGGATGACGCCTGCGCTTTCCTGACTGATTCTCTCTGAACGACACCCACCTGCACACTGGGAGGACGGGGTGGAGCCTGGGGAAGTTCACGCCATTTGCAGAGGGGAGGAACCCGGCCTCTTCAGTATCAGGGTGGTGACCTGGGATTCAATCTATGAGGTGGGAAACCTGCTAGCAGGACTCTTTTTCGCTTTGCTGAGAGTTATCTTTCCTTTTTCCTTTTCTCCCAATAAATTCCGCTCCTCACCCTTCTATGTGTCCGTGAGCCTAATCTTTCCTGGTTGTGTAACAAGAACCCGGTTTTAGCTGAACTAAGGAGAAAGTTCTGCAACACAAGAAAGGAAGGAAAGACAGCAACTTCTGAACCTAAGTGCAGGGTCAGCAGACCTTCAAGGGATTCCTTGCCAGCCCTCAGCCACTGGCCCTAGAGATCCTGGAACAGTGATACGATCACCTGTGCTTCAGTTTCTGCATCTGTCCCATGAACATGAGGAGACCTAGCTTCCAAATTGTGGTGAGGATTAGACATAAACAATGTGAAGTACTTAACAGTGCCTAGAACAGAGGAGGCACTCAACAGAGGTAGCTGCCATTATTATTACTATTACAATTATTAGTAATAATAAAAAGGTACTTCATAAATTGTTACAATCACTACTGCAGCCCAAAGGAACCTCTCTTTTCCACTGAACAGCATACAGACAGCTTCTTCTGGTTCAGCTGCAAAATTCCCTTTGGAGTTGCGGCCCATTTGAATCACCTGTGTTATTCTTTTTCCTGGCCGGCAGGGAGCTCTTGGGGCACATGCCTGCGTTCTCTGTCTCCATCACACACTCTCTCTCTCCCTCTCTCTCTCTCTCTGTTTCTCCCTCCCTTCTCCCCACCCTCTTTCTCCTCCTAATTCTACTCAGCCCCACCCACCACCACTATCATTAACCAAAAATGACCCTTCTCCCCCTCCTTTCTTTCTCCTTCTTCAGTCCTCTGTGGGTCTTTTCACAGAGCCTCAGTTTCCTCATCTGTAAAAATGGGTATGACACTACCATCTCACAGGGCTGTGGGAGGATTCAGTGAGATGAAGTAGACAAATTGCTTAGCCCAGTGCCTGGCACATAGTAAATGCTCAGTGAAATGAGAGCCATATGGTTATTTTCTTATTTCTATATTTGCACCTTATTTCCTTCACTTCATTGAGTTTTTTTGTTTGTTTGTTTTGATTTGGTTTTGTTGTTGTTATTTTTAGAGACAGGGTCTAGCTCTGTTGCCCAGGTTGGAGTACAGTGGTACAACCACAGTTCACTGCAGCCTTGAACACCTGGCCTCAAGCATTCCTCCCGCCTCAACCTCCTAAAGAGCTGGGACTACAGGCATGTGCCACCACACCTGGCTCATTGTTTGTTATGAGTCTTTGAGCCAGGGGTTGAGCTCTGGAACCATCTCTGCATGATTCCCAGTGTATATCGTAGGATTAGTTTGGAGAAGGAGCAAAAAAGGGGGAAAGAGTGGAAGGTCATGAGCTGTCCCTGCTCCCAGAGACAGTTCTCTTTCTGTTTGAAAGAGAACAGCCTGCTGAGGAGGGCTGGTGTTTAAAACAAAATGTGGTTCACACTTCTTCCTTCTCGTGAGATGAAGCCACCAGAGGGACATGCTTCTGCAGATGGGACTGGCACGTTAAGTTCAGGTGCATGGGGGTGGGTAAGAGCCCAGGATGAAAGAGCCCATGGCCTCTCCGGCCACACAGCTGTTAATGATGGGAGGTGCCTTTATGACATCCAGCCATTACCCCAGTGGTATGAGGTGGAGATAATTACCTACATTTCACAGATGAGGAAACGGAGGCCCAGAGAGGTTAATTAACTTGCCTAAGCTCATGCTGTGCCAAGGGGGAGCAGCAGGGACTCTAATCCAGCCCCAGCTATTTTTTAACCTATTAGTGTCACACAGAACAAAACTTGCATCGTGAATAGCAGCAAGGCGAAGAGCCCCTGACTCTTTGAGGCTTTAATGAAAAGCATCCCGGTACACAGGCAGAGCGCCCTCCTTCGGGGCCCCAGGCATTAGTGTGGGAAATATCTGGAAGATGGACAAAAACACGCGTCTTCAACCCACATAATAGGAGGCCTCCAGCCACTACATTTGCTAAGAAACTACCATTTATTGAGACCTACTATGCGCTGGCACTATTACAGTAGGTAACTAGTCAAGCATGAGCAGGGAAGGAGAAGAACTTGAACCCACCTCCCGACCCCACTCCCACCCCCTCTCCAACCAGGAATGTCAGGCAACCATCAGGTGATGGTCAGGCAGTTGTTAACTATCTCCCTAAAATAATAATTGGTGACAGCCAGCACCAGGAAAAAAAAAATTTCCCAACGGACAGAAAAAACCTGAAACTGGTGATCAGTGGCTTCCCGGAAGATCTCTGGAGTTGGGCAAGTGGGCTCAAGCATTGGAAAGAGGCAAAATGGCGGAGTTTAATTAATTAATTTAATTAATTAATTAAATGACTTAGAGACATTTGGTAAAGGAAAGACACCTCAAATGAGCATGCGTACAACTCCAGTAAACACACTGGGCATGCTCCCCCCAGGCACTAGCAGGCCACTGCGCATGCGGACAGCCCGCCGCAAGGCAACAACCAGAGGAGAAGGGATGCAAGACTGCAAGACTCCAGAAGGGTAAGACCCCAAGTCAAAGGTCAAACTGTGCACTTCATCTCTCAAGTCGCCCACTCGGCCCTCTTGCAAGTGTACCTTACTTCCTCTTGTTCTTGTTCTAAAGCTTTTTTTTTTTTTTGAGACAGAGTTTCACTCTTGTTACCCAGGCTGGAGTGAAATGGCACGATCTCGGCTCACTGCAATCTCCACCTCCCAGATTCAAGCGCTTCTCCTGCCTCAGCCTCCTGAGTAGCTGGAATTACAGGCGTGCACCGTCACGCCAGGCTAATTTTGTATTTTTAGTAGAGACAGGGTTTTTCTATGTTGGTTAGGCTGGTCTCAAACTCCCGACCTCAGGTGATCTGCCCGCCTCAGCCTCCCAAATTGCTGGGATTACAGGCCTGAGCCACCGTGCCGTGCCCAGGTTTTTAATAATTTTTCACTCCTGCTCTAAAATTTGCTTCCGTCTCTCCTTCTGCCTTATGCCCCTCAGTCAAATTCTTTCTTCCGAGGAGGCAAGAACTGAGGTTGCTGCAGACCAATATGGATTCACCACCACTAACAGTAGTATGCTAAACCCTTTTGTATATTTTATTTCGCTTAATGCTCAAAGCAATCCTAAAGGGAACTTTTTTTTTTTTTTTTTTTTTTTTTTGAGACGGAGTCTCGCTTTGTCGCCCAGGCTGGAGTGCAGTGGCGCAATCTCGACTCACTGCAGGCTCCGCCTCCCGGGTTCACGCCATTCTCCTGCCTCACCCTCCCGCGTAGCTGGGACTACAGGCGCCCGCCACCACGCCCGGCTAATTTTTTTGTGTTTTTAGTAGAGACGGGGTTTCACCGTGTTAGCCAGGATGGTCTCGATCTCCTGACCTCGTGATCTGCCCGCCTCGGCCTCCCAAAGTGCTGGGATTACAGGCGTGAGCCACCGCGCTCGGCCCAAGGGAACATTTTTTAATCCCATTAGACAGATGAAAAACTGAGACAAACTAGGTGGTCCAAAGCAATAGAAATGTATTCTCGCCCATAGTTTTGAAGGCTACAAGTCCTCTCTTTATAAGAACACCGGTCACACTGGAGTAAGGGCCCACCCTACGTTAGTATTAACCCACCCAACTTAATTAATTATGTCTAAGGTCATGCAGTCATTAGATATCATTCATGTGACCATCCTCTCAACCCCCAGGTTTCTGTGGAGGTTTAAGGGAACACCCTCACTGCTATTTCAGTCTCACTGTGTGTCATAGCTTCAAGTAACCAGTGTCATTTGCAGACCTGGATGTAAACCCTTGGGGGTTTGTATCAGTTTGCTTTTGCTACAGTAATCCTGCATAACAAAAAAGTCTCAAAACCTCAATGGCATACAACAATGAGCACTGGTTCGGCTCACGTGGCCCAGCTCTTGGCCAGGTGTCTCTCATCCTCCTAATGAGTCTGCAGGCTGCCTGGAGCATTCTTCTCATGGTGATGGCAGAGGCACAAGAGGGCAGGTAGAGACGCAAAAGATCAAGCATAAATGATTAACCATCACTTCCATCTGATTGCATTAACCAACACCAGTCACATGGCCAACCCAAAGTCAAGGGCAGGAAAACATATTCCACCCATGGAAATGAGGGGGCTGCGAGGTCACATGGTTACCAGAAAGGGGTCCCAATCCAGACCCCAAGAGAGGGTTCTAGGATCTGACACAAGACAGACGGGGCCAGTCCATAATGTGAAAAGCAAGTTTATTAGGAAAATAAAGGAATAAAGAATGCCTATTCCATAGGAAGAGCAGGGCTGCTGGCTGCCCATTTTTATGAATATTTCTTGATTATATGCTAAACAAGGGGTGGATTATTCTTGAGTTTTCTGGGAAAAAGGTGGGCAATTGCCGGAACTGAGGGTTCCTCCCCTTTTTAGACCATATAGGGTAACTTCCTGACGTTGCCATGGCATTTGTAAACTGTCATGGTGTTGGTGGGAGTGTCTTTTAGCCTGCTAATGCATTATGGTTAGTATATAATGAGCAGCGAGGATGGCTGGAGGTCACTCTTGTTGCCTTCTTGGCTTTGGTGGGTTTCAGCTGGCTTCTTTACTGCAACTTGTTTTATCAGCATGGTCTTTATGACCTGTATCTTGTGCTGACCCCCTATCTCAATGCGTAACGTCCTAGGAGGGCAGCCAGTAGGTCTCAGCCTCATTTTACCCAACCCCTATTCAAGATAGAGTTGCTATGATTCAAATGCCTCTGACAACATGGCAAAAGGTGTGGATTCAGGGAAAAGGGGAGATTTGTGGTCATTCTCTCTCCCTCTTCCTTTGTACCTGGCAGCATTTGGGGATACAAATGAGACATGGGAAGATCTCGAGTTCTCTCCAGAGGACAATGGATTTGCTGACTTCTCACCTCCCCCTCACTGGGATGAACTGGTGTTGCTTTGACTAGTCACACTTCAGTGTGTTGTGAAAAAGTATTCACTGTACTTTTTCTTCATTGTCTCTCATGATAATATTAATGATAATATAATTTACAGTTGTCCGGGTCTTGAAAGACTACAAGGCATTTATTGTCTTGCTGCTCCTCATATTACCCTGCAAAGCATGCAGAAGGGGGAGTGAGCCCATGATAGTATATAATTAATAACAACAGCAACAATAGCAGCTAGCACTTCGTCAGCTCTTGCTTTGTTCCAGGCACCGATGAACACAACTGACTCATTTAAGATAGAGTAATTGCTCATCACTGGGGCTCTGGAATCAGAATCTGCCCTGGAATCTCAGGGGGTCTGCTTCACAGCTGTGTGGCCTTGGGCAACTTACTTAACCTTTCTGTATTCATTTCCTAAAGCTGCTGCAACAAATCACCACCAACTTGGTGACTTAAAACAACAGAAATTTATTCTCTCCCACAATACTGAAGGTTAGAATGTGGAGTCCTGATGATAAGTAAGCAATAAGGAGGAAGGGGCCCCAGGTAGGGGAGGGCCCCAGAGGGGAAGAACAATGAACAATTGTTCTGAGAGACCAGCTAATCACAAATAAACTGCAGGCACCACAACTAAGTTCTGCAGGTAGCCCTTTTGGCACAGCCCCGTGAAACTTCCCTCCAGCCCCTGCCTCTTTGCAGACAGCCCCTTCTCTGCTGTGCTGCCCGTTGCTTGCTTGCTTTCTTTCTTTCTTTCTTTCTTTCTTTCTTTCTTTCTTTCTTTCTTTCTTTCTTTTTTTTTTTGAGACTGAACCCAGGCTGGAGTGCAGGAGCATGATCTTAGCTCACTACAACCTCTGCCTCCCAGTTTCAAGTGATTCTCATTCCTCAGCCTCCCGAGTAGCTTGGATTATGGGCGCCCGCCACCACACCTGGCTAATTTCTGTATTTTTATCAGAGACAGGGTTTCACCATGTTGGCCAGGGTGGTCTCGAACTCCTGACTTCAAGTGATCCACCTGCCTCGGCCCCGCAAAGTGCTGGGATTACAGGCATGAGCCACTGCGCCCAGCCCCATTGTTTTCTTGTAATGTATTTTCATACTGTCTCTAATAAATCTGCTTTTCTTTACCTACAACTGTCTTGGTAAATTCCTTTACCACTCATGCCACTGGGCCCAGCTAGTTGCTACCTATGACATAGAAGTCCTCTCTTTATAAGAACACCAGTCATACTGGAGTAAGGGCCCACTCTATGTTGGTATTAATCCACCCAACTTAACTAATTATGTCTGCAATGACCCAATTTCAAATAAGGTCACGTTTTAAGGTTCATGGGTTTTGGGAGGACACTAGCCAACTTAGTACACACTCAAAGCCTTGTTTTTTTCCTTTTCCATCTATGAAATGGTGCTGCTAGTAGGCTCTATATTAGAGGATTGATACAAGGATTGGGTAAGAAATGGCTGGACAGCTCTTGGTTCAGAGCCTGTCACACTGAAAGTGCTCGTCACATAGAAGCTGTCATAATCACTGTCACCATCATCTCCACTTTGTAGTTGAGGAAACCAGATCCAGAGAGGGAAAGTTGGCTGTGCTCCTCTGTGTGATGAAGCCAAGTTTTCTAATTCCTGAGCAAGTATGGCATATATACAGTAGATGCTTAATAAATGTTCCATGACAATGAAAACCAAAATTAAAATATGAAGCCCCTCCACCAATGGAATGGACCTCTCCTCTCAGCCAAGGCATTCCTAAACTATCCTGATGGGAAGTGGGGTTGGACGTGCCTCATTATACCCTCCTCCACTGGGAATTCAGGCACAGCTGACCATCTTTTAAAGACATTAAAACAGAGACCTTAAGGCTGACAAAGCAGACTCTTGGCAGCAATAAGATACCAACATGACAGATAGCAGGCCCTAGAAGAAATCAAAGCATTTTACCCCAAAATATATTTCTTTGACATATTTTGAAATGGCCTTGCAAAGCTGTCTCTTATGGGGAAAACCCTTCCTTTCCAGGAATTTTCCTGATCCAGTAGAGAATTAATTAAGAGTCTGCCACCTTTTAAAGTCTAATAAGAAACATTTACAATTTAGTCTCTCTGAAGCCTGCAACCTGGAGGCTTCATCTGCCTAATAAAAACCTTGGTCCTCACAATCCCTTATCTTAACCCAGACTCTTTCTTCCGTTGATTCCAGGTCTTTAGATAAACTCTTTCAACCAATTGCCAATCAGGAACTCTTTGAATCCACCTATGGCCTGGAAGTACCCCCTACTGCCCTTGCCACCCCTATCTGCACTTCAAGTTGTCCCCATTTTCTGGACAGAATCAATGTAAACCGTACATGCATTGACTGATGACTTATGTCTTCCTAAAACACAAAATCAAGCTGTAGCCTGAGCACCTTGGGCACATATTCTCAGTTTAACCACCCACTGGGTTCACCTTGCCTGCTGCCTAGACAGAGCCAATTTCTCAAGACAGGGGAATTGCAACAGAGAAAAAGTAATTCATGCAGAGCTGGCTGTGTGGGAGACCGGAGTTTTACTGTTACTCAAATCAGTCTCCACAAGCATTCAGGGATCAGAGTTTTTAAGGATAACTTGGCGGGTTGGGGGAAGCCAGTGAGCCAGGAGTGCTGATTGGTTAGGTAGGAGATAAAATCATAGGGAATTGAAGCTGTCCTCTTCATGAGTCAGCTCATGAGTGGGGGCCGCAAGATTAGATGAGCCAATTAATCGTTCTGGGTGGTGCCAGCTGATCCATCAAGTGCAGGATCTGCAAAATATCTCAAGCACTGATCTTAGGAGCAGTTTAGGGAATGTCAGAATCTTGTAGCCTCCAGCTGCATGACTCTTAAACCATAATTTCTAATCTTGAGGCTAATTTGCTAGTCCTACAAAGGCAATCTAATCCCCAGACGAGAAGGAGGTTTGTTTTGGGAAAGGGCTGTTATCGTCCTTGTTTTAAACTATAAACTATAATAACCTCTTCCCAAAGTTAGTTCAGCCTATGCCCAGGAACGAACAAGGACAGCTTGGAGGTTGGAAGCAAGATGGAGTTGGTTATGTCAAATTTCTTTCACTATCTCAGTGACAATTTTGCAATGGCAGTTTCATCAGGCCCTCCTGAGGCTGTGTCATGGGCATGTCCTTAACCTTGGCAAAATATACTTCTAAAATGATTGAGACCTGTCTTACATACTTTTTGGTTTACAGCAACAATCTGAAATCCAGTGAGCATGGAGCCCTGTGATCACTCAGGGTTGGAACCTAGAGGCCTGGAACGCAAGCCCTCTGACTATGAGAGCTTTCCACCTCTACCCCTGCTCCCTGGCTCTTCCCTGCCTTTAAAACCAGCTTTTTATTCCACTGCTCTCTGCTGGGGGTTAGGGCTGGCACACCTGGGTAATAATGTTTACCACTAATTTTGCAAATGGGTTTCCATTAATTAGCCAGCCTGTTGCTGTCAGCTGCCTGGCTGGAATTCTTTCAGCAGCTGGCTTTTTGGCTGTTAAAATGCCACAGGGACTTGTTGCTTGATGCATTTCCTCAGGGGGTTTGCTCTGTCAAGAAGGCTTTGCCAAAATAGAGAAAGCTAAAACTCCTGTTAACAAATTGCACCTAATCTTATCTCCATGTAGGCTTCCCTAGCTGATTTGTCCTGGGAGTTGGGGGAGCTTGTGGGAACACATATGTATGCACTGGAAGGGGGGGTGGGGGCTGCTGGCATAATGTGGGCAAGTTTGGGCAGAGCCAGGCCCAGGCAGGTTGTGGTAGAGACAGAGGTCAGCTCAGAGGTCAGCTCAGATGGGGCTGTTTGGCTCTTGTCCCAACACCCATCTGTATCACCCTCCCTCCATGGCCTCAGTTCTATTCTCTTGCATTTCCCCATACACAAGCCACTGGATCAGACTCAGGTCTCAGGAAACAGGCACAAAACAGACATGGCCCCTGAAATCTCAGCTCGGACAGGGGTTAAGGCAAACACAACCTCCCTAATTAAGTCAATGAATGAAAAGACTTTCAGAAAAGAAGGCAGGAACACAACCTGCCGAGAGGATCAGAAAATGCTTTATTGACAGGTGGCATCTGAGTGGGTCTAGAAGGTTGAATGGGAATTCAATGGCTGCTGGCAGAGTTACAAGTATGAGAAAAAGCAGGGAGGTGGGAATCCCAGGGCATATACGAGAAACATTGATTTCAACCAATTTGGCTGAAAAACAGGGAATTAGAAGCAACTACAGAGGTGATAACAAATAATAATAACAGTTCCCTCTGAGAAGTCAATCTGTAAATAAACAAGCTCTAGAAAATGTCTACAAGCTCATCAGAGTCCCAGTTTCTTAATGTGATGGGTGATCCAGAAGCTATTAGTAAGCACTCACCAAGGGTGTCCCCAAGGCTGTGACTAAAACACACTTCCACCCACAGCCCAGCCCCTGGGACTCCCCTCCATACATCCCATTCCATTTCATCCTCATAGCGCCTGAGGAGGTAAGATTATATGCCCACTCTACAGATGGGGAAAGTGAGGCCCAGGATTTTGAGGTAGGCAACAACATGTTCAGGGTCTCGTAGTGTGAAGTGCTTAAAAAACAAAACAAAACAAAAAAAAAACGGTGAATAAAGGAGGCAGATTTTTCCAATGAACTTACAGTCTTTTCAGAGTTTTCTTTAATAATTCAATGCATGTGTTCATTGAGGCGCTGGGGATAATAGGGTGACCCCAGGCTAGGAGGGGAACTGAAACATGAGCCAATGATTAGAGCAACACAGTGTTGCCATAACCTAGGGAATGGAAGGAGGGATTCCCAATGCTGCCACGGAGCTCAAGGATGTCTTCCATGGGAGGTGAAGCCTGACTGAAATCTGAAAGAATCTCATCCTGTGCAGAAAGATGGACAGAGCCAGGAATGCAGGTAGAGGGAACAGCCTGTGCAAAGGCACAGAGACACGAAACACAAATTGACTAGAATATAAGTTCTGTGAGAACAAGAGCTTTGTCTTCATCAATATGTCCAGGCCCTGACCATAATAGATGCTCTCAATGAATATTGAATACATGAATGAATAAATGTATCAACAACTGAATTTTATTAACTTTCAGGAAGAGTTCAAACCGCAAATTGTTTTAATCTTTTCCAACTTGTCCTTTCACCCATGTCTTGAGGAATCCTCCTTTCCACCCCTTAGGCAGATCCCAGCATGTCTGTCCCTTCTAATATTAAGAATAGTCGCATTTTTGGAAGACTCACTCTATTAAGAAGTTCACTCTAGTCCAAAGCATCCTCCATCCCCAGCTCAGACCCAATTCATGGCTCAAGACCTCACAGTGGGGAAGGGGCAGAGCCTTTCCTTATTCCTCTCGTCCTCCCACTCTGCTGCTTCTAATGCCCCAGTGTCATGGCATGGGGAGGAGGGATTTGAGGAAAAGTTGTAGTCTTTCATTGAATCAGCTGTCTGCAATGAGCTACACTCCATTTTGTTTTGTTTGTTTGCTTATTTGTTTGTTTTTCTTTTTTTTTTTTTTTTGGCCTGGCTTTTTTCTTTTTTATGTATTTGTTTATTTATTATTATTATACTTTAAGTTTTAGGGCACATGTGCACAATGTGCAGGTTAGTTACATATGTATACATGTGCCATGCTGGTGCGCTGCACCCACTAACTCGTCATCTAGCATTAGGTATATCTCCCAATGCTATCCCTCCCCCCTCCCCCCATCCCACAACAGTCCCCAGAGTGTGATGTTCCCCTTCCTGTGTCCATGTGTTCTCATTGTTCAGTTCCCATCTATGAGTGAGAATATGCGGTGTTTGGTTTTTTGTTCTTGCGCTAGTTTACTGAGAATGATGATTTCCAATTTCATCCATGTCCCTACAAAGGACATGAACTCATCATTTTTTATGGCTGCATAGTATTCCATGGTGTATATGTGCCACATTTTCTTAATCCAGTCTATCGTTGTTGGACATTTGGGTTGGTTCCAAGTCTTTGCTATTGTGAATAATGCCGCAATAAACATACGTGTGCATGTGTCTTTATAGCAGCATGATTTATAGTCCTTTGGGTATATACCCAGTAATGGGATGGCTGGGTCAAATGGTATTTCTAGTTCTAGATCCCTTAGGAATCGCCACACTGACTTCCACAATGGTTGAACTAGTGTACAGTCCCACCAACAGTGTAAAAGTGTTCCTATTTCTCCACATCCTCTCCAGCACCTGTTGTTTCCTGACTTTTTAATGATTGCCATTCTAACTGGTATGAAATGGTATCTCATTGTGGTTTTGATTTGCATTTCTCTGATGGCCAGTGATGGTGAGCATTTTTTCATGTGTTTTTTGGCTGCATAAATGTCTTCTTTTGAGAAGTGTCTGTTCATGTCCTTTGCCTACTTTTTGATGGGGTTGTTTGTTTTTTTCTTGTAAATTTGTTTGAGTTCATAGTAGATTCTGGATATTAGCCCTTTGTCAGATGAGTAGGTTGCGAAAATTTTCTCCCATTTTGTAGGTTGCCTGTTCACTCTGATGGTAGTTTCTTTGGCTGTGCAGAAGCTCTTTAGTTTAATTAGATCCCATTTGTCAATTTTGGCTTTTGTTGCCATTGCTTTTGGTGTTTTAGACATGAAGTCCTTGCCCATGCCTATGTCCTGAATGGTAATGCCTAGGTTTTCTTCTAGGGTTTTTATGGTTTTAGGTCTAACATTTAAGTCTTTAATCCATCTTGAATTGATTTTTGTATAAGGTGTAAGGAAGGGATCCAGTTTCAGCTTTCTACATATGGCTAGCCAGTTTTCCCAGCACCATTTATTAAATAGGGAATCCTTTCCCCATTGCTTGTTTTTGTCAGGTTTGTCAAAGATCAGATAGTTGTAAATATGCGGCATTATTTCTGAGGGCTCTGTTCTGTTCCATTGATCTATATCTCTGTTTTGGTACCAGTACCATGCTGTTTTGGTTACTGTAGCCTTGTAGTATAGTTTGAAGTCAGGTAGTGTGATGTCTCCAGCTTTGTTCTTTTGGCTCAGGATTGACTTGGCGATGCGGGCTCTTTTTTGGTTCCATATGAACTTTAAAGTATTTTTTTCCAATTCTGTGAAGAAAGTCATTGGTAGCTTGATGGGGATGGCATTGAATCTGTAAATTGCCTTGGGCAGTATGGCCATTTTCACGATATTGATTCTTCCTACCCATGAGCATGGAATGTTCTTCCATTTGTTTGTATCCTCTTTTATTTCCTTGAGCAGTGGTTTGTAGTTCTCCTTGAAGAGGTCCTTCACATCCCTTGTAAGTTGGATTCCTAGGTATTTTATTCTCTTTGAAGCAATTGTGAATGGGAGTTCACTCATGATTTGGCTCTCTGTTTGTCTGTTACTGGTGTATAAGAATGCTTGTGATTTTTGTACATTGATTTTGTATCCTGAGACTTTGCTGAAGTTGCTTATCAGCTTAAGGAGATTGTGGGCTGAGACAATGGGGTTTTCTAGATATACAATCATGTCGTCTGCAAACAGGGACAATTTGACTTCCTCTTTTCCTAATTGAATACCCTTTATTTCCTTCTCCTGCCTAATTGCCCTGGCCAGAACTTCCAACACTATGTTGAATAGGAGTGGTGAGAGAGGGAATCCCTGTCTTGTGCCAGTTTTCAAAGGGAATGCTTCCAGTTTTTGCCCATTTAGTATGATATTGGCTGTGGGTTTGTCATAGATAGCTCTTGTTATTTTGAGATACGTCCCATCAATACCTAATTTATTGAGAGTTTTTAGCATGAAGCATTGTTGAATTTTGTCAAAGGCCTTTTCTGCATCTATTGAGATAATCATGTGGTTTTTGTCTTTGGTTCTGTTTATATGCTGCATTACATTTATTGATTTGCGTATATTGAACCAGCCTTGCATCCTAGGGATGAAGCCCACTTGATCATGGTGGATAAGCTTTTTGATGTGCTGCTGGATTTGGTTTGCCAGTATTTTATTGAGGATTTTTGCATCAATGTTCATCAAGGATATTGGTCTAAAATTCCCTTTTTTGGTTGTGTCTCTGCCCGGCTTTGGTATCAGGATGATGCTGGCCTCATAAAATGAGTTAGGGAGGAGTCCCTCTTTTTCTATTGATTGGAATAGTTTCAGAAGGAATGGTACCAGTTCCTCCTTGTACCTCTGGTAGAATTTGGCTGTGAATCCATCTGGTCCTGGACTCTTTTTCGTTGGTAAGCTATTGATTATTGCCACAATTTCAGCTCCTGTTATTGGTCTATTCAGAGATTCAACTTCTTCCTGGTTTAGTCTTGGGAGAGTGTATGTGTCGGGGAATTTATCCATTTCTTCTAGATTTTCTAGTTTATTTGTGTAGACGTGTTTGTAGTATTCTCTGATGGTAGTTTGTGTTTCTGTGGGATCGGTGGTGATATCCCCTTTATCATTTTTTATTGCATCTATTTGATTCTTCTCTCTTTTTTTCTTTAGTAGTCTTGCTAGCAGTCTATCAATTTTGTTGATCCTTTCAAAAAACCAGCTCCTGGATTCGTTAATTTTTTAAAGGGTTTTTTTGTGTCTCTATTTCCTTCAGTTCTGCTCTGATTTTAGTTATTTCTTGCCTTCTGCTAGCTTTTGAATGTGTTTGCTCTTGCTTTTCTAGTTCTTTTAATTGTGATGTTAGGGTGTCAATTTTGGATCTTTCCTGCTTTCTTTTGTGGGCATTTAGTGCTATAAATTTCCCTCTACACACTGCTTTGAATGCGTCCCAGAGATTCTGGTATGTTGTGTCTTTGTTCTCATTGGTTTCAAAGAACATCTTTATTTCTGCCTTCATTTCGTTATGTACCCAGTAGTCATTCAGGAGCAGGTTGTTCAGTTTCCATGTAGTTGAGCGGTTTTGAGTGAGATTCTTAATCCTGACTTCTAGTTTGATTGCACTGTGGTCTGAGAGATAGTTTGTTATAATTTCTGTTCTTTTACATTTGCTGAGGAGAGCTTTACTTCCAAGTATGTGGTCAATTTTGGAATAGGTGTGGTGTAGTGCTGAAAAAAATGTATATTCTGTTGATTTGGGGTGGAGAGTTCTGTAGATGTCTATTAGGTCCGCTTGGTGCAGAGCTGAGTTCAATTCCTGGGTATCCTTGTTGACTTTCTGTCTCGTTGATCTGTCTAATGTTGACAGTGGGGTGTTAAATTCTCCCATTATTAATGTGTGGGAGTCTAAGTCTCTTTGTAGGTCACTCAGGACTTGCTTTATGAATCTGGGTGCTCCTGTATTGGGTGCATAAATATTTAGGATAGTTAGCTCTTCTTGTTGAATTGATCCCTTTACCATTAAGTAATGGCCTTCTTTGTCTCTGTTGATCTTTGTTGGTTTAAAGTCTGTTTTATCAGAGACTAGGATTGCAACCCCTGCCTGTTTTTGTTTTCCATTTGCTTGGTAGATCTTCCTCCATCCTTTTATTTTGAGCCTATGTGTGTCTCTGCCCGTGAGATGGGTTTCCTGAATACAGCACACTGATGGGTCTTGACTCTTTATCCAATTTGCCAGTCTGTGTCTTTTAATTGGAGCATTTAGTCCATTTACATTTAAAGTCAATATTGTTATGTGTGAATTTGATCCTGTCATTATGATGTTAGCTGGTTATTTTGCTCGTTAGTTGATGCAGTTTCTTCCTAGTCTCGATGGTCTTTACATTTTGGCATGATTTTGCAGCGGCTGGTACCGGTTGTTCCTTTCCATGTTTAGCGCTTCCTTCAGGAGCTCTTTTAGGGCAGGCCTGGTGATGACAAAATCTCTCAGGATTTGCTTGTCTGTAAAGGATTTTATTTCTCCTTCACTTATGAAGCTTAGTTTGGCTGGATATGAAATTCTGGGTTGAAAATTCTTTTCTTTAAGAATGTTGAATATTGGCCCCCACTCTCTTCTGGCTTGTAGAGTTTCTGCCGAGAGATCTGCTGTTAGTCTGATGGGCTTCCCTTTGAGGGTAATCCGACCTTTCTCTCTGGCTGCCCTTAACATTTTTTCCTTCATTTCAACTTTGGAGAATCTGACAATTATGTGTCTTGGTGTTGCTCTTCTCGAGGAGTATCTTTGTGGCGTTCTCTGTATTTCCTGAATCTGAATGTTGGCCTGCCTTGCTAGATTGGGGAAGTTCTCCTGGATAATATCCTGCAGAGTGTTTTCCAACTTGGTTCCATTCTCCCCGTCACTTTCAGGTATACCAATCAGACGTAGATTTGGTCTTTTCACATAGTCCCATATTTCTTGGAGGCTTTGCTCATTTCTTTTTATTCTTTTTTCTCTAAACTTCCCTTCTTGCTTCATTTCATTCATTTCATCTTCCATCGCTGATACCCTTTCTTCCAGTTGATCACATTGGCTCCTGAGGCTTCTGCATTCTTCACATAGTTCTCGAGCCTTGGTTTTCAGCTCCATCAGCTCCTTTAAGCACTTCTCTGTATTGGTTATTCTAGTTATACATTCTTCTAAAGTTTTTTAAAAGTTTTCAACTTCTTTGCCTTTGGTTTGAATGTCCTCCCATAGCTCAGAGTAATTTGATCATCTGAAGCCTTCTTCTCTCAGCTCGTCAAAGTCATTCTCCGTCCAGCTTTGTTCCGTTGCTGATGAGGAACTGCGTTCCTTTGGAGGAGGAAAGGCGCTCTGCTTTTTAGAGTTTCCAGTTTTTCTGCTCTGTTTTTTCCCCATCTTTGTGGTTTTATCTACTTTTGGTCTTTGATGATGGTGATGTACAGATGGGTTTTTGGTGTGGTTGTCCTTTCTGTTTGTTAGTTTTCCTTCTAACAGACAGGACCCTCAGCTGCAGGTCTGTTGGAGTACCTGGCCGTGTGAGGTGTCATTCTGCCCCTGCTGGGGGGTGCCTCCCAGTTAGGCTGCTCAGGGGTCAGGGGTCAGGGACCCACTTGAGGAGGCAGTCTGCCTGTTCTCAGATCTCCAGCTGCATGCTGGGAGAACCACTGCTCTCTTCAAAGCTGTCAGACAGGGACATTTAAGTCTGCAGAGGTTACTGCTGTCTTTTTGTTTGTCTGTGCCCTGTCCCCAGAGGTGGAGCCTACAGAGGCAGGCAGTCCTCCTTGAGCTGTGGTGGGCTCCACCCAGTTCGAGCTTCCCGGCTGCTTTGTTTACCTAAGCAAGCCTGGGCAATGGTGGGCGCCCCTCCCCCAGCCTCGCTGCCGCCTTGCAGTTTGATCTCAGACTGCTGTGCTAGCAATCAGCGAGACTCCGTGGGCGTATGACCCTCCGAGCCAGGTGCGGGATATAATCTCCTGGTGCGCTGTTTTTTAAGCCCATCGGAAAAGCGCAGTATTCGGGTGGGAGTGACCCGATTTTCCAGGTGCCATCTGTCACCACTTTCTTTGACTAGGAAAGGGAACTCCCTGACCCCTTGCGCTTCCCGAGTGAGGCAATGACTCTCCCTGCTTCGGCTCGCGCATGGTGCGCGCACCCACTGACCTGTGCCCACTGTCTGGCACTCCCTAGTGAGATGAACCCGGTACCTCAGATGGAAATGCAGAAATCACCCGTCTTCTGCGTCGCTCACGCTGGGAGTTGTAGACCGGAGCTGTTCCTATTCGGCCATCTTGGCTCCTCCTGTTTGTTTGTTTTTCAAGACAGGGTCTTGCTCTGTTTCTTAGGCCGAAGCATAGTGGCATGATCACAGCTCACTGCAGCACTCCTGGGCTCAGGTGTTCCTCCCACCTCAACCTCCCAAGTAGCTGGGATTACAGGCATGTGCCACTAACCCCAGCTAATTTTTTGTATATTTTGTAGAGATGGAGTTTCACCACATTGCCCAGGCTGGTCTTGAACTCCTGGGCTCAAGCAATCTGCCCGTCTTGGACTCCCAAAGTGCTGGGATTACAGGTATAAGCAACCACACCCAGCCTGCATTACATTTTGGAAGGGCCATTCTTCATTGTCCTGAACCGTTGCATACATCACGAGATGTCCAGCACCCCTGCTCACTAAATACCAAGAGCATCCTCCCAATCACTGGGACAGCAGAAAACACAAACACCCCCTCATGCTGACAAATGCTTCCAAGGGAGTGATATCTGACTCTGAGAACAGAGTCACAGCAGAGGTGTTTGCCAAGCTCTCCTGGCTGACCCCACGTGGTAAAAATGCCAGCTCTTTCTTGAAGCACACTGGGGTTCTAAAGAGGCTCCCTGTGGGGACCTTCACAGGCCCGGCCCCCTGAGTTTGGCCTTGAATTATCCAGATGACTTATGATCCTCGGTTCCTGCCCAGGGATACAGACCCTCTCCCTGCTGGGGCTCCTTCACACTGGCAGACAGCCTCTTGGTCGGGATCCATCAAAGGTTTGAGCCAGCTAATTTTCTGTGGCATTCATTTGTCCCAGGAGGAGTCACAGATATGCCGGCTGCCTTGTGGCTGCCCTGTCTTTTCAGCAGCCACAGCAAGCTGCCTTCATCATCATCTCTCTGCCAGTGAGGGACAGACATCAATCTCTGTCCTTGTGGGTATTGTCTATTCTCATACTGCTAATAAAGACATACCTGAGACTGGGTAATTTACAAAGGAAAGAAGTTTAATGGACTCACAGTTCCACATGGCTGGAGAGGCCTCACAATCATGACAGAAGGTGAAGGAGGAGCAAAGGCATGTCTTACATGGTGGCAGGCAAGACAGCTTGTACAGGGGAACTCCCATTTATAAAACGATCAGATCTCCTGAGACTTGTTCACTACCATGAGAACAGTATGGGGGAAACCACGCCCATGATTCAGTTATCTCCATCTGGCCCTGCCCTTGACACATGGGGATTATTACAATTCAAGGTGAGATTTAGGTGGGGACACAGAGCCAAACCATATCATTCTGCCTCTGGCCCCTCCCAAATCTCATATCCTCACATTTCAAAACCAATTATGCCTTCCCAAAGGTCCCCCAAAGTCTTAACTCATTTCAGCATTAACCCAAAAGTCCACAGTCCAAAGTTTCATCTGAGACAAGGCAAGTCCCTGCCACTTATGAGCCTGTAAAATCAAAAGCAAGTTAGTTACTTCCTAGACAGAATGGGGGTATAGGCATTGGGTAAATACACCCACTCCAAATGGGAAAAATTGGCCAAAAAGAAGGGACTACAGGCCCCATGCAAATCAGAAATCCAGCAGGGCAGTCAAACTTTAAAGCTCCAAAATGATCTCCTTTGACTCCGTGTCTCACATTCAGGTCACATTGATGCAGGAGGTGGGTTCCCATGGTCTTGGGCAGCTCCACCTCTGGCTTTGCAGGTTACAGTCCCTCCTGGCTCCTTTCACAGGCTGGCATTAGGTGTTTATGGCTTTTCCAGGCTCATGGTGCAAGCTGTCAATGGATCTACAGTTCTGGGACCTGGGGGATGGTGGCCCTCTTCTCACAGCTCCAGTAGGCAGTGCCCTAGTGGGGACTCTGTGTGGGGACTTTGACCCCATAATTCCCTTCCACACTGCCATAGCAGAGGTTCTCCATGAGGGCCCCATCCCTGCAGCAAACTTTTACCTGGACATACAGGTGTTTCCGTACATCCTCTGAAATCTAGGCGGAGGTTCCCAAACCTCAATTTTTGTCTTCTGTGCACCTGCAGGACCAATGCCACATGGAAGCTGCCAAGGCTAGGGGCTTGCACTCTCTGAAGCCACAGCCTGAGCTGTACCTTGGCCCCTTTTAGTCACAGCTGGAGCAGCAGGGATGCAGGGCACCAAGTCCCAAAGCTGTACACAGCAGGAAGACCCTGGACTCAGCCCAGGAAAACATTTTTCCCTCCTAGACCTCCAGGCATATGGAAGGGGCTGCCGTGAAGGTCTCTGACATGCCCTGGAGACATTTTCCCCATTGTCTTGTCAATTAGAATTTGGCTCCTTGTTACTTATGCAAATTTATGAGGCCAATTTGAATTTCTCCCTAGAAAATGGGTTTTTCTTTTCTATCACATCATCAGGCTGCAAATTTTTCAAACTTTTATCCTATGCTTAGAAATTTTTTCCACCAGATATCCTAAATCATCTCCCTCAAGTTCAAAGTTCAACAGATCTCTAGGGCAGGGGCAAAATGCCACTAGTCTCTCTGCATAGCAAGAGTGACCTTTACTCCAGTTTCCAACAAGTTCCTTACCTCCATCTGAGACCACCTCAGCCTGGACCTTATTGTCCATATCACGATCAGCATTTTGGCCAAAGCCATTCAAGAAGTCTCTAGGAAGTTCCAAACTTTCCCACATCTTTCTGCCCTCATCTGAGCCCTCCAAACTGTTCCAATCTCAGCCTGTTACCTGGTTCCAGAGTCACTTCCACATTTTTGGGTATCTTTACAGCAGCATCTCACTACCTAATACCAATTTACTGTATTAGTCTGTTCTCACACTGCTAATAAAGACATGCCCAAGACTGAGTAGCTTACAAAGGAAAAAGGTTTAATGGACTCACAGTTCCACATGGCTGGAGAGGCCTCAATCATGGTGGAAGGCAAAGAAGGAGCAAAGGCATATCTTACATGGTGGCAGGCAAGATAACTTGGGCAGGGGAACTCCCATTTATAAAACCATCAGATCTCCTAAGACTTATTCACTACCACAAGAACAGTATGAGGGAAACAGCCTCCATGATTCAATTATCTCCACCTGCCCCCACTCTTGACACATGGGGATTATTACAATTCAAGGTAAGACTTGGGTGGGGACGCAGCCAAACCATATCATTGTGGGTCCCCCAACTCCGCTCATATATGTTAAGTTCCACCAAAACTTCTCCCTCCCCATGTTGCAATCCGGTGCCCACCCATGTCTGAAACTTAGCAAACCTGTAGCCAGAGAACCAGATGCCAGACCCCTTTCTTAAAGGAACCCCAGCCTCAAAGATGATTCTCCTTGAGACTCACTCACTTAGCTTGGGACGGAGAAGGGAAAATCCGAACACTACCTACTTCCATATGTACTCTCCTCTCTACAATATCTAGTCATCTGTCATAGAGGTTGTTATGGCAGCTGGTGGGAGTTGGTAGGACTAAGCCCTGCAGGGTGCAGGGTATATCTGGCACCTATCTTGGCACATGGAAAAACAGGTTTTGACCCAATTTCTGAAACAGCTGTGAATGTCTCCTTCCATCTCCCCTTAAAAATGAGTGAATAAACACAATGTGTTTGGGGAACTGTAAGAAGTTTCTTGTACCTAGAAGTCAAGTTGCATATAGAGAAAAGAGTGAATGGGTCAGCTGGAATTCCAAAATGTGTACACTAAGTGTTTATTATATGCTCAGCTCTGCACTGTGGGCTTCCTATGAATTATCTCATTTAAAATCTAATTTTACAGAGAAAGAAACTAAGACTCAAAGAGGTCAACTGACCTAGCCAAAGTCATCCCAGTGAGGTGGTAAAGACCTGGGCTATGAACCAGGATGGTCTGGGGACAGCCTTATTCTGAAGTCCTGCTCTGATTAAAGTCAGGTTCTAGGAAGATCTATTCCACTTGACTGTAGCTGGGACCACAAACACCCATGGAGAGGCTCAGCCAAAAAACCAGAGGCTTAGTTACCTGAGTGTCTATTATACCAACAACCATCATTCTCAGCCTGCAGGAAGCAACACTGCCAGTTTAATAATAAATTAATCCCTTATAAAACCAGTCCCACTAAGCCATTCTTCTCCCCTCTACATCCTCTCCCCACACATGGGGTCAATATCTCTGTCCTAAGTCTCTTGCTGATGTCTGATTGTCAAATGTTGTCATCAAGATGCAAATCAAATGCAGAGTAAAGCTGAGAATCTTTCCAGTGATGCAGGACTTTGGGAAGCCCATAACAGTTATGTCGGGAACGTCTCCCATCACAAGCAAAAGTCTGGCCCAGGGAGGATCTGGTGGAGGCAGGTTAGTTAATGCACCAAGATGAGGACTTCAACAGGGGGTCTGGGAGTAGAGACACCAAAAGACAGTGATTGGACTGTGAGAATTTAGAAAGGCCATCTAGTATTAAGTTTTTTGCTAAAGTGACCTTTCTGCGTGTGCCGTGACAATCAATTGGGAGTGAAATATTTAGTATCAAACTCTCATATAA
This sequence comes from Homo sapiens, assembly GCF_000001405.40. NCBI lineage: Eukaryota > Metazoa > Chordata > Mammalia > Primates > Hominidae > Homo > Homo sapiens. Next base: position 90,217,265 of record NC_000014.9, read on the forward strand.
GCTTTTCAGAGTAATTACTCTAAGAGGCCATCTCCAAATAATCAATATCTGATTTATTCTTTCTTCACTTTTAGAATTCATGCAGAGAGCCATTACCACCTAAAATTTTGTTATGTGTTATTTTCATAATTATTAGTCTTGTTTTTCAAAATTGAGTCCTAGTCATATATTTTTTCTCTACTTCCACCTTCTATTTCATTTCAGTCCTTGCTTTAAGAGACTAATAGGATTAGGAAGGAGAGAAAAGACTGAGGTTACAGAGAAGTGAAAGGGGAAATGGAAAGAAGTTAGGAGACAGTTTGCATAAAGGAGACACAAAAGAGCCACAGCTTTCAAATTTCAACTGTGCCATGACAGAAGCAGTGAAGGTGGGAATGGTAGCTCATGAGGGGCATTACCAAATTTGGTGGATGTGGCATGACTCTAATGGGTCCGGGGAGGCTTCAGCCATTCCTTTATCCACATATATTCACTGAGTGCCTACTGTATGCCAGGAGTGGCACTGGGAACTCAGAAATGAAAAAGACCTTACACCTCATAATCTATTAGGAGAAGGAGATACATAAATAGGGCATTACTTTTTTTTTTTTTTTTTTGAGATGGAGTCTTGCTCTGTCACCCAGGCTGGAGTGCAGTGGCACAATCTTGGCTCACTGCAACCTCTGGCTCTAGGGTTCAAGTGATTCTCCTGCCTCAGCCTCCCGAGTAGTTGGGACTACAGGCACACGCCACCACACCTGGCTAATTTTTTGTACTTTTTAGTAGAGATGGGGTTTCGCCATCTTGGCCAGGCTGGTCTCAAACTCCTGGCCTCATGCGATCTGCCCACCTCGGCCTCCCAAAGTGCTGGGATTACAGGCGTGAGCCACCGCACCCAGCCAATCATTACTTTATAATGTGATTAGAAAGGAAGAAAGCTAATAGTCAATGACAAGGGAATTCTGTTGTTATGGGTTGAATTGTGTCCCTCTCCAAAAGACATATCTTGACCTCAAGTACCTCAGAATGTGGCCTTATTTGGAAACAGGGTCATTATAGATGTAATTAGTTAAAATGAGGTCATATTGAAGTGGATGGACCCCTACTCCCATATGACTGGTGTCCTTCATTTTTAATTTTTTTTTTTTGAGGCAGAGTCTCACTCTGTTGCCCAGGCTGGAGTGCAGTGGTGTGATCAGCATGCACCACCACACTCAGCTAATTTTTGTATTTTTAGTAGAGACAGGGTTTCGCCATTTTGACCAGGCCAGTCTCAAACTCCTGGGTTTAAGCAACCTGGCTGCCTCAGCCTCCCAGAGTGCTGAGATTACAGGCATGAGCCACTGTGCCCAGCCAATATGACTGCTGCCCTTTAAAGAAGATAGTTGTGGCTGGGCACAGTGGCTCACACCTGTAATCCCAGCACTTTGGGAGGCCAAGACGGGTGGATCACCTGCCTGACCAGCCTGATCAACATGGTGAAATCCCGTCTATACTAAAAACACAAAAAAATTACCTGGATGTGCTGGCAGGCCCCTGTAATCCCAGCTACTCAAGAGGCTGAGGCAGGAGAATCGCTTGAACCCAGGAGGCGGAGGTTGCAGTGAGCCAAAATGGTGCCATTGCACTCCAGCCTGGGTGACAAGAGCAAAACTCCGTCTCAAAAAAAAAAAAAAAAAAAGAAGAAGAAGAAGATAGTTGTGTGAAGACAGAGACACACAGGGAGATCACACACATGGAGACAGAGACTGAAGGTGTGCAGCTGCAAGCCATGGATCACCAAGGAGTGCCAGCAACAGCAGAAACTAAGAGCAAGGCATAGAACAGATTCTCTCCTGGAGACTTCAAGAGAGAGCATGGCCCTTCCAGAACCTTGATCTTGGACTTCCAGTCTTTGAAACTGTGAGACAGTATATTCCTGCTGTTTTAAGACACTTAGTTTGTGGTATGTTTTTACAGAAGTCCCCACAAACTAATGCATATGCTGAGTGAAGAAGAGACAAGAGCTTTCTATTTTTGCACAAAACATAAATAGAATTCAAAGCATACCATTACAAAAAATGGTCAAACCAAAGGAAGACAGCAAGAGAGGAAGAAAGAACCAAATTATCTACAAAACAACCAGAAAACAAATTATAAAATGGCAATAATAAATTCTTACTTATCAATAATTACTTTGAAATTAAATGGATTAAATTCTCTAGTCAAAAGACATAGAGTGGCTAAATTATTTTTAACGCACCAACTATATGCTGCCTACAAGAGACTCACCTCAATTTTTAAGGATACACAGATTAAAAGTAAAAATATGAAGAAAGATATTCCATGCAAATGGAAACCAAAAGAGAGCAGGGATAGCTCATATTTATGTCAGAAGAAATAAGCAACAAAACTATAAAAAAGAGGCAAAGAAGGATATTACATGATGATAAAGTGGTCAGTTTATCAAGATGATATAATAATTTTGAATATATTTGCACCTGACTTAGGGATACCTACATATATAAAGAAAATGTTTAAGAAACTGAAGGGAGGCTGGGCACTGTGGCTCACACTTGTAATCCTATGATTTTGGGAGGCCAAGGCAGGTGGATCATTTGAGGTCAGGAGTTCAAGATCAGCCTGACCAACGTGGTGAAACCCTGTATCTACTGAAAAATACAAAAAAATTAGCTGGGCATGGTGGCAGAAGCCTGTAATCTCAGCTACCTGGGAGGCTGAGACAGGAGAATTGCTTGAACCCAGAAGGTGGAAGTTGCAGTGTGCCGAGATTGTGCCATTGCACTCCAGCCTGGGTGACAGAGCAAGACTCCATCTCAAAAGAAAAAGAAAGAAAGAAACTGAAGGGAGACATAGATCTCAATACAATAATAGTAAGGGACTTTAATATCTCACTTTCAACAATCCAGACAGAAAATTAATAAAGGACCTGAAGAAATAGAAAATCTAAACAGATCAATAATGAATATAAAGATTGAATCAGTAATAAAAAGTCTTCCACCAAAGAAAGACCCAGGACCAGGACCTAGTGCCTTCATGAGTGAATTCTTTCCAATGTTTAAAGAAGAACCAATACCAAGCCTTTGCAAACTCTTCCAAAAATATCAAAGAAGAAATACTTCCAAACTCATTTTACAAGGCCAACATTACCCTGATGCCAAAGCCAGACAAAGGCATTATAAGAAAAGAAAATGATAGGGCGATATATCTGATAAACCAAGATGTGGAGGCCAGGTTCACGCCTATAACCCCAGCACTGTGGGATAATTGCTTGAGCCCAGGAGTTCAAAACCAGTGTGGGCAACATAGTGAGACCCTGTCACTACAATTTTTTTTTTAATTAGCTGGGCATGGTGGCACATTCCTGTAGTCTCAGCTACTCGGAAGCTGAGGCAGGAGGATTGCTTGGGCCCAGGACATGGAGACTGAAGTGACCCACGATCACACCCCTGTACTCCAGCCTGGGTGACAGAGTGACTATGTCTCAAAAAAAAAAAAAAAAAAAAAAAGATGCCAAAATTCTTCACAAAATACTAGCAAACCAAGTTCAACAGCACATTAAAAGAATCATTTACCATGATCAAGTCGGATTTATCTCTGGGATGCAAAGATTGTTCAACATATAAGATATAGTTTAGATATTTTCCCCTCTCCAAATCTCATGTTGAAATGTAATCCTCAGTGTTGGAGGTGGGGCCTGATGGGAGGTGTTTGGATTATGGGAACAGATCCCTCATGAATGGTTTGGGCTATCCCCTTGGTGATAAGTGAGCTTTCACTCTGACTTCACATGAGATCTGCTCATTTAAAAGCGTATGACACCTCCCCCTTGTCCACTTTCTGTTGCTCTCATTCTCACCGTGTGATGTGCCTGCTTACTCTTTGCCTGCCACCGTGATAAGAAGTTTCCTGAGGCCTCCTCAGAAGCAAATGCCACTATGCTTCCTGTAGAGCCTGCAGAACCGTGAGCCAATTAATCCTCTTTTCTTATAAATTATCTAGTCTTAGGTATTCTTTATAGCAATGCAAAAATGCCCTAATACAATATGCAAATCAATAAATGTGATACATCACATTAACAGAATGAGGAACAAACGCCATATAATCATCCCATTCGATGCAGGAAGAGCATTTTGGCAAAATTCAACATGCCTCCATGATAAAAACTCTCAACAAATTAGGTATAGAAGGAATAAGCCTCAATACAATAAAAACCATATTTGAGGCTGGACACGGTGGCTCATGCCTGTAATCCCAGCACTTTGGGAGGCTGAGGCAGCTGGATCACCTGGGGTCAGGAGTTCGAGACCAGCCTGGCCAACATGGAGAAACCCTGTCTCTACTAAAAATACAAAAATTAGCCGGGCATGGTGACATGCACCTGTCATCCCAGCTATTCGGGAGGCCGAGGCAGGAGAATCTCTTGAACCCAGGAGGCAGAGGTTGCAGTGAGCCAAGACCCCACCTTTGCACTCCAGCCTGGGCAACAAGGGCAAAACTCCGTCTCAAAAAAAAAAAAAAAAAAAGTTGAAAGCTTTTCCTCTATGATCAAGGGCAAGACAAGGATGTTTACTTTCATCACATTTATTGAATGCATACCAGAAGTCCTTGCCAGAGCACTTAGGCAAGAGAAAAAAATAAAAGGCATCCAAATAGGAAAGGGAGACGTAAAATTGTCTCTGTTTGCTGGTGACAAGATCGTATACATAGAAAACCCTAATGACTCCACAGACCAAAAAAAAAAAAAAAAAGACTGTTAGAACTAATAAAGAAATATAGTAAAGTTGTAGTATACAACTATCAACATACAAAAATTAGTAGTTCTTATACATTTAAAAAAACTATCAGAAAATCAAGAAAACAATCCCAGCCACAATAGCTATAAAAATATTAAATACTTAAGAATAAATTTAAATGAGGTAAAAGATATGTGCATTAAAAACTATAAAACACTGATGAAAGAAATTGAAGAGCCAGGTAGAGTGGCTCATGCCTGTAATCCCAGTTCTTAGGGAGGCAGAGGCGGGAGGATAGCTTGAGCCCAGGAGTTGGAGATCTCCCTGGGAAATATAGTGAGACCCTGTTCTCCACAAAAAGAAAAAAAAAGGGGGAGAAAGAAATTGAAGAAGATACAAACAAATGGAAAAATGTTCTGTGTTCATGGATTAGAAAATTAATATTGTTAGGCCAGGTACAGTGGCTCACACCTGTAATCCCAGCACTTTGGACGGCCAAGGTGGGCAGATCACCTGAGGTCAGGAGTTCGAGACCAGCCTGACCAACATGGCAAAACCCCATCTCTACTAAAAATACAAAAAAAAAAAAAAAAAAAAAAAAATTAGCCACGCGTGGTGGCAGGCACCTGTAATCCCAGCTACTCGGGAGGCTGAGACAGGAGAATTGCTTGAACCCAGGACGTGGAGGTTGCAGTAAGCCAAGATTGCATCACTGCACTCCAGGCTGGGGGACAGAGCGAGACTCTGTCTCAAAAAAAAAAAAAAAGAAGAAGAATTAATCTTGTTAAAATGTCCATACTACCTAAAGTGATATGCAGATTCAGTGCAATCCCTATCAAAATTCCAATGTCATTTTTTTACAGAAATAGAAAAAAAATCCTAAAATTCATATGAAACCACAAAAGACCGTGAATAGCCAAGGCAATTATAATAGGCTATAAAGAACTACCTGAGACTGTGTAATTTATAAAGAAAAGAGGTTTAATTGGCTCACAGTTCCAATGGCTGGGGAGGCCTGAGGGAACTTACAATCATGGTGGAAGGGAGAAGGGGAAGCAAGCACATCTTCACATGGCAGGAGTAGAAAGAGAGAAAAGGGGGAAGTGCTACACACTTTTAAGCAATCCGATCTTGTGGGAACTCACTCCCTATCACAAGAATAGCAAAGGGAAAAATCTGCCCCCCATGATCCAATCACCTCCTACCAGCTCCCTCTTCTAATATGTGAGGATTACAATTCAACATGGGATTTGGGTGGCGACACAGAGCCAAACCATATCAGCAATCTTGAGCAAAAACAACAAATCTGGAGGCATCACACTATCTGATTTCAAACTATATTACAAAGCTATAGTAATCAAAACATCATGGTACTGGCATAAGAAGAGAAACATTGCTCAGTGGAACAGAATAGAGGATACAGAAATAAACCTATGCATTTATGGTCAATTTATTTTCAACAAAGGTGCCAAAAACACACGATGAGAAATGAACAGTTTCTTTAATAAAGAGTGTTGAGAAAATTGAAAATCCACTGCAGAAGAGTAAAATTTGACTCTTATCTCATACCATATACAAAAATCAAGTCAAAATGGGTTAAAGACTTAAATGTAAGACATGAAACTGTACAACTGCTAGAATAAAAAGGAGAAAAACTATGTGACATTGGTCTGAGAAATGACTTCTTGGATTTGACCCCAAAAGCATAGGCAACAAAAGCAAAAATAGCATGGGATTGCATCAAACTAAAAAGCTTCTTGAAAGCAAAGAAAATGATGAACAGAGTGAAGAGACAAACTACAGATTGCGAGAAAATATTTGCAAGCCGTGTATCTGGTAAAGGGTTAGTATCCAGAATATATAAGGAACTCAAACAATTCAATAGCAAGGAAAAAGATACTCAGATTAAAAAATGATCAAAGGACCTGAACATACATTTCTCAAAAGAAGACATACATATGGCCAATAAATATATGAAAAAATGCTGAACATTATTAATCATCAGGGAAATGTAAATTAAAATCACAATGAGATATTATCTCACAACTGTCAGAATGGCTAATATCAAAAAGAAGAAAGATAACAAATGCTGGTGAAGATGCAGAGAAAAGGGAACTCTTATACACTGTTGGTGGGAATGTAAGTTAGTACAGCCATTATGGAAAACTGTATGGCGGTTCCTCAAGCAACTAAAAATAGAACTAAACTATGATCTAGCAGTTCCACTTCTGGGTATATATCCAAAGGATTTGAAGTCACTATATCCAAGAGACGGCTTCACTCCCATGTTCACTGCAGCATTTTTCACAATAGCCGGGAGATGGAACCCACCTAACTGTCCAACAGCTGATTAGATAAAGAAAATGTGGCATATATACACAATGGAATACTATTCAGCCTTCTGGACGAAGGGAACTCTTATTTGCAACATGGATGAACTTGGAGGACATTATGCTAAGTGAAATAAGCCAGGCACAGAAAGACAAATTCCACATGATTTCTCTTATATGAGGAAACTAAAACAAACTCACAGAAGCAGAGAATAGAATGGTTGTTATCAGAGGCTAGGGATGGGGGGAATGGGGAGATGTTGGTCAAATGGTACAAAGTTTCAGCAAGACAGGAGGAATAGGGAGAATTTTTTTTTGAGACAGAGTCTCTGTTGCCCAGGCTTCAGTGCAGTGACATATCATGGCTCACCACAGCCTCAAACTCCTAGGCTCGAATAATCCGCCTCAGCCTCTCAAGTAGCAGGGACTACAAGCATGTGCCACCACACCCAGCTATTTTTTTTTTTTTTTTACAGAGACGAGTTCTTGCTATGTTGTTTAATTAATAGATAAACTGATTCTCAGAGAGAAAAGAAAGGGAAATGGAGTCAGAGATTGACTGCAAAGGTAATGGGGAAGTTTTAGACACTATAAAGTGTTCTAGAACTTGATCATAGTGGTAGTTTCATGAGTATATACTTTACCAAAACTCATTAAACTATATACTTAATATGGGTAAATTTTATGATATATACATTATAGCACTAAAAAGGTGCTTTTTTTGGCCGGGCATGGTGGCTCATGCCTGCAATCCTAGCACTTTGGGAGGCCAAGGCGGGTGGATCACGAGGTCAAGAGTTCGAGACCAGCCTGACCAACATGGTGAAACTCCATCTCTATTAAAAATACAAAAATTAGCCAGGCATGGTGGTGTGCGCCTGTAATCTCAGCTACTTGGGAGGCTGAGGCAGGAACATTGCTTGAACCTGGGAGGCAGAGGTTGTGGTGGGCTGAGATCGTGCCATTGCACTCCAGTCTGGGCAATAAGAGTGAAACTCCATCTCAAAAAAAAAAAAAAGGTGCTTTTTTTTTTTTTTAAGACGAAATACTTAAGCAGACATGGCACTTCATAGAAGAGGCCATATAAATAGCCAGTGAGCCCATGAAAAAATGATCAACATCATTAGTCATCAGGGAAATACAAATTATAACCACAAATTATAACTACATTCCCACCAGATTGGCTAAAAGTAAAAGGACAGATAATACTAAGTGATGGAGAATATGAGGAGCAACCAGAACTTTTGTACACTGCTGATGAGAATGTAAAATTGTACAACTACTATGGAAAATAGTATCTCTTAAAGCTGTGACCCAGCACTTCCACCCAAGAGACATGAGTACATGTATCTACCAAAATATATGTACAGAATGTGCATAGAGATCTTATTGGTAATAGCCAATGGCCAGAAATAGCCCATGTGTCCATCAACAGATAGACGGATGAACGTGTTGGGGCATAACTATTCAAAGGAATACTAGACAACAATAAAAAGGGAATGAATTGTTCATACATGCAACAACATAGATAAATCTCAAAAAGTATATTGAATGAAAGAAGCCAAATACCAAAATGTATGTGCTATTTGGGTCATTTATATGAAGTTCTAGAACAAGTAAGACTAAGTGATGGCGTTTAAAAATCAGATCAGTGTTTGTTTCTGGATAGCATACATATAGACTAAAATGATGCATGAATTCCAGCACTTTCGGAGGCCGAGGCAGGGGGATTGCTTGAGCCCAGGAGGATCGCTTGAGCCCAGGAGTTGGGCAACATAGTGGGATCCTGTTTCTACAAAAAAAAAAAAAACAAAAACAAAAACAAAATGAAACAAAAAAAACCATGACGAGAACTTCTGGGGTACTGAAAGTGTTTTATATCTTGGTCTGCATGGTGGTGGCAGCACGTGGATATAGACATATAGATGTATACATGTACAATTTGTCATGCCGTGCAATTTATTTTTACTTATTTATTTTTGTACTTTATTGAGCACCTCAGTTTTAAAAGTCCAAGTTTTAGAAATAGCTAAAGCTAGGAGAGAAGGTGGAAGAAGCTGTGGGAGCCATCTTCATTGAGATGCTGGCTCAAGCCACAAGCCTCTCCAAGGGAGAGGACTTGGAGAAATTATCCAGTGAGGTCCACGGCTGACTCTCCAAGATGGCTGTAATTGGAGAGAAGGGAGCCAGGCATGAGGAGGGGCAGCCAGTTGGATGAGAGGAAAGTCTTAACAGAGTGTATGTCAGGGAAGCAATAGACAGGGAGAGATTTCAAGCAGGTTGGTGGTGTTGAATGCAATGCAGTGGTCTAGAAGGATAAGGGCAAATATCAGTATCTCAGATATTGTCCTATGAGAATCTCTAAGGTGCTTTCCACTAACACCTTCATATTCCCCTGGTGGGAGGTAGCCTGGTCCTGCCTTCCTCAAGGCAATTTGGAATATGTCAATGCTTTAAAAAAAGGCTAGGTGCAGTGGCTCATGCCTGTAATCCCAGCACTTTGCGGGGCCAAGGCGGGTGGATCACTTGAGGTCAGGAGTTCGAGACCAGCCTGACCAACATGGTGAAACCCTGTTTCTACTAAAAATACAAAAAATTAGCCAGGTGTGGTGGTGGGCGCCTGTAATCCCAGCTACTCAGGAGGCTGAGGCAGGAGAATCACTTGAACCTGGGAGGTAGAGGTTGCAGTGAGCCAGGATTGTGCCACTGCACTACAGCCTCAGCGACAGAGCTAGACTCCATCTCAAAAAAAGAAAAAAAATTGCTAACTTTGACTCACTCATTCTACTTCTAGGAATTTTTCCTACAGAAATTACTAAATGTGGGCACAAAGATTTGTGTACACTCACTGCAATAATAATAACAGTTAATTTGTGCTGAGTGTTTTGCATGTATTATCTCATTTTATCATCAGAAAAGCTCAACGAGATCAATGCTAATTTTATACTTATATTTAAAATGAGGAAACTGAGGCATAAGGGGATTGAGTAACTCATCAAAGACACACCGTATGTGGGCAAGTTTGGATTTTAGCTCTGATCTTTCTGACAGAGTCTCTGCTATCAAATATGAAACCAGTATAAATATAAAAAAAATAAGGTTAGTATAAATTATGGTATATCCAAGAGCCAAAGTATTGCTTTATCATATATTTCTTTCCCACTAGAAGGTCAGCTTTGTGAGGATAAGGACCTTGTCTGGCTTTTTCTTCAATGCTTAAAACAGTGCTTGGCACACAGTAGACTTTCAAAAAATATTTGTTGAATGAAGAGATAAGCCTACATAATAAAATATTGTGAGTTTTTTTGTTTTTTTGAGAAAGAGCTGAAATTGTGGAAAACAGACACTCTTATCATGCGAGTGGTTGACCTGCAATGAAAGGTGCATGCACAGCCTTGCCAGGCGTCTATTGTTAAAGGGAGGGCATTGACTGGAAAAGAATAGGACCCTGCAACTTGGAATGGGGACGTGTGGGAGGACCCTGATGAAGCTGGGGACACTGAGTTTATAAACTCTGATGCAACTTTTTTGCCAAAAGAAACAGTTTCCCCATCCCCAGTAGTGGCAACATCCCCTCCACAACGCACGCTGCCATCAGCCTTTCCACCTTTGAGGAGATAAACCCTGCGCTGCTTGAGGCAACAGTAATGGCCTCTCTTGAGGCAGTTGCCAGGTTGATTATGATAATATTGATTCTCCTCAGGAGCCACCCTCAACACCCCTGTCTGCTTCTAGACCTATAACTAGACTAGTCTAAGTCCTGTCGGGCCCCTAGAGATGAGGTTGAGAGTGTGACCCATGAGGAAGTGTGCTACACTCAAAAAGAACTGCTTGAGTTTTCTGATTTATATAAGCAGAAATCTGGAGGACAGGCATGGGAATGGATATTAAGGGTGTGGGAAATGGTGGAAGGAACAAAGAGTTGGATCAGGCTGAATTTATTGATTTGGGCCCACTAAGTAGGGTTTCTGCATTTAATGCTGCAGCTTGGGGAGTTTAAAAAAAAGGTTCTAATAGGTTATTTGCTTGGTTAGCTAAAATACGGATTAAAAGATGGCCCACTGTGAGTGAGCTGGAAATGCCTGATCTCCCTTGGTCTGATGTAGAGGAAAGGATCCAAAGGCTTAGGGAGATTGGTATGGTGGAGAGGATTAGTCACTTTAGACCTACTCATCCCAGCTGGGAGGGTCCAGAAGGTATGTCCTTGACCAATGTTTTACAAAATAGATTTGTGAGGGCACCAGCTGCATTTTTGAAGATCCCTGTAATTGCTCTTCTCTGTACGTCAGATCTAACAGTGGGAATCACAGGCACTCAACTACAAAATTTAAATGCAATAGGAATAATTGGATCCCGAGGTGGCAGAGGCCAGGTGGAGGCACTCAACTGTTAAAGGCAAAGTGGGCATCGCTACCGTAATGGACAGCAAAGGCAAAGCAGCAATCAGAATATTCTCACTCATGTGGCACTGGCTAATTAATTATGGTGTTCCTAGAAGTGAAATTGATAGAAAGCCTACTGCATTCCTACTTAATTTATATAAGCAGAAAACTTCCAGGTCAAATGGACAAAAGACTAATTTGAATTATAAAAACAGAGAATCATGGCCCCTCAATCAATTTCCAGACTTGAGCCACTTTACAGACCCAAAACCCCTTGAATGAATGGGAAGGCTGGGTCCCCTTGAGGAAGGGCCCCACTACATTATCGACAATTTATGCTGTTAATCTTTCTCCCATCCTCCCCCAAGGAGACCTCCAGCCTTTTACCAAGGTAACTGTGCATTAGGGAAAGGGGAATGATCAGACACTTCGGGGACTATTGGACACTGGCTCTGAGCTGACATTGATTCCAGGGAACCAAAATGTCATTGTGGTACTCCAGTTAAAGTAGGGCCTTATGGAGGTAAGGTAATTAATAGAGGTTTAGCTCAGGTCAGACTTACAGTGGGTCCAGTGTGTCCCTGGACTCATCTTGTGGTCAGTTCCCCAGTGCCAGAAGGCGTAATTGGCATAGACATACTTAGCAGCTGGCAGAACCCCCACACTGGCTCCCTGACTAGTAGGGTGAGGGCTATTATGGTGGGAAAGGCCAAATGGAAGCCATTATAGCTGACTGTACCTAAAAAAACAGTAAATTGGCTGGGCGCAGTGGCTCACGCCTATAATCCCAGCACTTTGGGAGGCCAAGGCAGGCGGCTCACGTGGTCAGGAGTTCAAGACCAGCCTGGCCAACATTGTGAAGCCCTGTCTTTACTAAAAATACAAAAAATTAGCCAGGTGTGGTGGCGGGTGCCTGTAATCCCAGCTACTTAGGAGGCTGAGGCAGTTGAATTGCTTGAACCTGGGAGGCGGAGGTTGCAGTGAGTAGAGATTGCACCACTGCACTCCAGCCTGGGCGACAGTGCCAGACTCCTTCAAAAAAAAAAAAAAAGTAATAAATCAAAAACAATATTGCATCACTGGAGGGATTTCAAAAAAAAAAAGTAATAAATCAAAAACAATATTGCATCCCTGGAGGAATTTCAGAGATTAGTGCCACCATCAAGGACTTGAAAGATGCAGGGGTGGTGATTTCCACCACATCCCCTTTCAGCCATCCCATTTGACCTGTGCAGAAGACAAATGGATCTTGGAGAATGACAGTGAATTATTGGAAGCTTAACCAAGTGGTGACTCCAATTGCAGCTGCTGTACCAGATGTGGTTTTATTGCTTGAGCAAATTAACAATCTCCTGGTACCTGGTATGCAGCCATTGACTCAGCAAATGTTTTTTCTCCATTCTTGTTGATAAGGCCCACCAGAAACAATTTGCCTTCAGCTGGCAAGGCCAGCAATATACCTTTACTGTCCTACCTCAGGGGTATATCAACTCTATGGCTTTGTGTCATAATCTTATTCAGAGAGACCTTGATTGTTTTTCACTTCCATAAGATATCGCACTGGTCATTGATGACATTGATGACATTATGCTTATTGGATCCAATGAGCAAGAAGTAGCAAACACACTGGACTTATTGGTGAGACATTTGTACACAAAATGATGGGAAATAAATCTGACTAAAATTCAGGGACTTTCTACCTCAATAAAATTTCTAGGGGCCAAGTGGTACGGGGCCTGTCAAGATATTCCTTCTAAGGTAAAGGATAAGTTGCTGTATTTGGCCCTTTCTACAACCAAGAAAGAGGCACAATGCCTAGTGGGCCTGTTTGGATTTTGGAGGCAACATGTTCCTCATTTGGGTGTGTTACTCTGGCCCATTTATCAAGTGACTAGAAAGGCTGTCAGTTTTGAGTGGGGTCCAGAACAGAAGAAGCCTCTGCAACAGATCCAGGATGCTGTGAAAGCTGCTCTGCCACTTGGGCCATATGACCCAGCAGATGCAACGGTGCTTGAGGTGTCAATGGCAGATAGAGACGCTGTTTGGCACTTTTGGCAGGCTCCCATAGATGAATCATAGTGGAGGCGTCTAGGATTTTGAAGCAAAGCTCCGCCATCTTCTGCAGATGACTACTCTCCTTTTCAGAGAAGCTCTTGGCCTGTTACTGGGCTTTGCTGGAAACTGAACATTTGACTATGGGTCATCAAGTTACCGTTCGACCTGAACTGCATATCATGAAGTGGATGCTTTCTGACCCATCTAGCCATAAAGTGGGTTGTGTACAGCAGCATAACATCATCAAATGGAAGTGTTATATACGTAACTGGGCTCGAGCACAAGCCCTGGCTGAAGGCACAATTAAGTTACATGAGGAAGTGGCTCAAATGCCCATGGTCTCCATTCCTGCCACCCTGCCTTCTCTCCCCCAGCCTGCACCAATGGCCTCATGGGGCGTTCCCTATGGTCAGCTGACAGAGGAAGAGAAGACTAGGGCCTGGTTCACAAATGGTTCTGCCTGATATGCAGGCACCACCCAAAAGTGGACAGCTGCAGCGCTACAGCTCCTTTTTAGGACATCCCTGAAGGACAGCGGTGAAGTGAAGGGAAATCTTCCCAGTGGGCAGAACTTCAAGCAGTGCACTGGTTGTGCACTCTGCATGGAAGGAGAAATTGCCAGATATGTGATTACATACTGATTCATAGGCTATAGCCAATGGTTTGGCTGGATGGTCAGGGACTTGGAAGAAGCATGATCAGAAAATTGGTGACAAAGAAATTTGGGGAAGAGGCATGTGATGGACCTCTCTGAGTGGTTAAAAACTGTGAAGCTATTTGTATCCCATGTGAGTGCTCACCAACGAGTGACCTCAGCAGAGGTGGACACCACTCAGCCTCTTTCCCCAGCCACCCCTGTCATTGCCCAATGGGCCCATGAACAAAGTGGCTATTGTGGCAGGGATGGAGGTTATGCATGGACTCAGCAACATGGACTCCCACTCACTAAGGCTGACCTGGCTACAGCCACTACTAAGTGCCCAATTTGCCATCAGCAGACACCAACACTGAGCCCTCAATATGGCACCATTCCTTGGGATGATCATTCAGCTACTTGGTGGCAGGTTGATTGTACTGGACCTCTTCTATTACAGAAAGGGCAGAGGTTTGTCCTCACTGGAATAGATGCTTACTCCAGATATGGACAGATATGGGTTTGCCTATCCTGCATACAATGCTTCTTCCAAGACTACCATCCGTGGACTCACGGAATGCCTTAACAAACATCATGATATTCCAACAGCATTGCCTCTGACCAAGGCACTCACTTTATGGCTAAAGAGGTGCAGCAGTGGGCTCATGCTTATGGAATTCACTGGTCTTAGCATGTTCCCCATCATCCTGAAGCAGCTGGATTGATAGAATGGTGGAATGGCCATTTGAAGTCACAATTACAATGCCAACTAGGTGACAATACTTTGCAGGCCTGGGGCAAAGTTTTCCAGAAGGCCATGTATGCTCTGAGTCAGCGTCCAATATATGGTATTATTTCTCCCATAGCCAGGATTCACACATCCAGGAATCAAGGGGTGGAAGTGGAAGTAGCACCACTCACCATCACCCCTAGTGATCCATTAGCAAAATTTTTCTTTCCTGACCCAGTGACATTATGTTCTGTTCGCCTAGAGGTCTTAGTTCCAGAGGGAGGAATGGTGCCACCAGGAGACACAACAACGATTCCATTAAGCTGGAAGTTAAGATTGCCACCTGGACACTTTGGGCTACTCCTACTTTTAAGTCAACAGGCTAAGAAGAAAGTTACAGTGTTGGCTGGGGTGATTGACCTAGACAATCAAGATGAAATCAGTCTACTATTACACAATGGAGGTAAGGAAGAGTATGCATGGAATATAGAGATCCATTAGGGTGTCTCATAGTATTACTATGCCCTGTGATTAAGGTCAATGGGAAACTACAACAGCCCAATCCAGGCAGGACTACAAATGATCCAGACCCTTCAGGAATTAAAGTTTGGGTCACTCCACCAGGAAAAAAAACAAAAACAAAAACAAACATGAGCTGCTGAGGTGCTTGCTGAAGGCAAAGGGAATACAGAATGAGTAGTAGAAGAAGGTAGTCATCAATACCAGCTATGACCACATGACCAGCTGCAGAAACAAGGACTGTAATTGTCATGAGTATTTTCTCCTTTTTTTGTTAAAAGCATGTTTATGCATGTATACACTTGTACTAAGAAAATATCTTCATTTTATTTCCTTTTTTTTTTTTTTTTTGAGACTGAGTCTCACTCTGTTGCCCAGGCTGGAATGCAGTAGCATGATCTCAGCTCACTGCAACCCCCGCCTCCCAGGTTCAACCGATTCTCATGCCTCAGCCTCCTGAATAGCTGGGATTACAGATGTGCACCACCACCCCCAGCTAATGTTTGTATTTTTAGTAGAGATGGGGTTTCACTATGTTGGCCCAGCTGTCTCAAACTCCCGACCTCAGGTGATCCACCCACCTCAGTCTCCCAAGTGCTAGGATTACAGGTATGAGGCACCTTCCCCTACCTCCTTTTTCCTTTATCATGTGACATAAGATTTATTGACTTCATATCAGCATTTAAGCATGGCTAACTTTATGTAATAGCATTTGGGCTGGGGATTGGTGCATTTCTGGTCGTACGAAGGATAGTTGTATCATGTTAGGCATAATTCTGACCTTATTACTGTCTTTATTTGAAGATTGTGTATGATCTCAGGAGATGTGTATGGGTTCAAGTTGACAAAGGGTGGACTTGCGATGGTTAATACTGAGTGTCAACTTGATTGGATTCAAGGATACAAAGTATTGGGTGTGTCTGTGAGCGTTTTGCCAAAAGAGATTAACATTTGAGTCAGTGACCTGGGAAGGGCAGAGCCACCCTTAATCTGGGTGGGCACCATCTAATCAGCTGCCACTGCGGCCAGGATATAAAGCAGGCAGAAAAACATGAAAAGATCAGACTGGCTTAGCCTCTCAGCTTATATCTTCCTCCCATGCTGGATGCTTCCTGCCCTCGAACATCGAACTTCAAGTTCTTCAGCTTTGGGACTCTGACTGGCTTCCTTGCTCCTTAGCTTACAGACAGCCTATTGCAGGACCTTGTGAACATGTGAGTTTAATACTCCTTAATAAACTCCCCTTTATGTGTGTGTGTATATATATATTCTATTAGTTCTGTCCCTCTAGAGAACCCTGACTAATACAGATGGGCTTACTGGGACATAACCCCATTGTAAGTCAAGGGGCATCTGTATCTAACATAGCAAGGAAAAGGGAGCAGGAAGAAAAAGCTTCTATGGGAAGAACAAATGGGTTTCTTTAGAAAGGACAAAAGGGTTTATAGGAGAACAAACGGGAAATAGAAAAGTTTGTGATTGTTTATGCAGAAGTGAGTGGTCTTTCCATTTTCTTCACGCCCATGGAACTCCCCCAGAGTGGGGATTTTTGGTAGGTTTCCTCTTGGTCTCTATCCTGGGAATAGGCCCACCCATGAAGAAGGAATTTCTGGCAGCTTTGTTTCCCAGAAGTTGCTGCTTTTAGTCAGATAAGGGAAGTTCCAAAAGGGCTTCTTTCTGCATCTGTTGACTCTCAAATGTCTTCATATAATCTTAGTAATAAATTAAAATAATCTTCATATCAATTCTGGGGTTCTGAGTAGTCCCCACCATGTTTAAGCTGAGACCTGAAAGTTAAGCAGGAGGAAGCCAGGCAGAAATGTCTCCAAGCAAAGGTTGTACCTCCCCACTCAGGGCTGGCTGAGGCATTGAGTACCTGGATGGGAAGTGGAGTTTAAGATACATCCCAATCAGCTGGGCGCAGTGGCTCCCACCTGTAATCCCAGCACTTTGTGAGGCTGAGGTGGGCGGATCACCTGAGGTCAGGAGTTGGAGACCAGCCTGACCAACATGGAGAAATCCCGTCTCTACTAAAAATATAAAATTAGCCAGGCATGGTGGTGCATGCCTGCAATCCCAGCTACTCGGGAGGCTGAGGCAGGAGAATCACTTGAACCTGGGAGGTGGAGGTTGCAGTGAGCCAAGATCGCGCCATTGCACTCCAGCCTGGGCGACAAGAGCAAAACTCGGTCTAAAAAAAAAAAAAGATACATTCCAATCCTAAAACTCTGGATTTCCTTGAGACAGAAAGAAGGAGATGAAAATTAAAATTGGGGCTCAACATTAGGCTTGGAGTCAGAATGTCTGAGTTAGACCTGACTGCCCATCAACTGTGTGGTCCCAGACAGGTCATTTAATGTCTCTGAGCCCCAATTTCTCATGTGCAAAATGGGAGTGACGCACCAACCTCAAAGCACCGTGGTGAGGTCGGATGAGCCAGTCTAAGAGAGCAAAGAGCGGGCATTCAGCAAGTTTAAGTGGAATCTGAAGTCTGGCTTTAGCTCATCTCTTGGTATCAAGTGCCCAAGTCATGGGCCTGGGGTCCAATGACATGGAGTGGTCTGGCTCCAGTCTGAAAGTGCCAGTCTCTCTCCAGCCAGTCCCGGGTAGCCAGGTGGAGCCTGGACAGAGAGAGGGAGGATGAGCCTGCAGATTGCAGAAGCAGCCCTGAAGACCAGGCTTTGAGCAGGATAGAGGCAAAATACTAGCCTTTCGGCCAAAGGGCTCAAGGGCCACGGTGAGAAAGAGCAGGCCAGCCCCGGGAGTGGGTGGGCAAGGAGCGTCCGGTCCGAGAGCGCCCAGGGCGTTTGGAGGCTCGAGGGGCAGACAAGTGCTCCACAGAGCACTTCTTAGGCAGGGAGGAACCGGCCCCTGCGCGGTATTTGGTATGCGGCGCCCTCTGCTGGTGAATATCTGAACTGCATGCACCTGTCAGAACCCGGGAAAATTCATTCCTTCTTCACAGGAAGCACTCAAGACAGTCACAGGCCGCCCGGGCTCTAAAGCTGAGTTTAGTTTTGGTGGCAGATTACCAAGCCTCAGGTCATTTTACCTAAACGCTTCATTTGAAAAAAAACTTTTAACAAACTTGCCTGCCGGGCACTGTTTTAGGTACATTACAAATGCCACCCAGCTTTTTATTCAAAGTTATGTGAGCAGGGTCTATTAGCATATCCGTTTTACAGATGAGGACACTGGTGCCAGGGCTTACACGCTGACATGTAAGCATGCATGTAAGCTGACATGCGGCAACCGGGGGGCACCCAGGAAGCCCGGCCACAGGGTGCCTGCACTTCACCATTCCAGTACCTGCCCCCCTTTTTTTTCTTTTTGATATAACAGCTTAATTGAGATATAATTCACATACCATACAATTCACCCACTTAAAACTCACAACTCAGCGGTTTTTAGTGTGGTCACAGGTGTCTGCAACCATCACCAGAGTACGTTTTAGAGCATTTTAATACCCCCTCCAAAAAGCCCCTTACCCATTTGCACTCACTTCCCGCCCCCTCCTTCCTACCCCCAGAAAACCACTAATCAATCTTTCTTTTTTCTTTTTTTCTTTCTTTCTTTTTCTTTCTTCTTTCTTTTTCTTTTCTTTCTTTCTTCCTTCTTTCCCTCCCTCCTTTCCTCCTACCTCCCTCCACTCTCTCTCTCTTTCTTTCCTTCCTTCCTTCCTGCCTGCCTGCCTTCCTTCCTTCCTTCTTTCTTTCTCAAAGTCTCTCTCTGTTGCCCAGGCTGGAGTGCAATGGTGCAATTATGGCTCACTGCAGCTTTGACCCCCGAGCTCAAGTGCTGCTCTCACCTCAGCCTCCGAAGTAGCTGTGTCCACAGGCATGTGCCAGAACACCCAGCTAATTTTTGTGTTTTGTAGAGATGAGATTTCACCATGTTTCCTAGGCTGGTCTCAAACTTTTGGGCTCAAGGGATTTGCCTGTCTTGGCCTCGCAGAGTGCTCGGATTAAAGGCATGAGCTACCTACCATGTCTGGCCCACCAACCTACTTTCTGTTCCCTATGACTTCACTTAATCTGAACGTTTCGTATGAATGAGAGCAAATAATATGTGCTGTTTTGTGACTGACTTCTTTCATGTAATGCAATATTTTCAGGGCTCATTCATGTTATGTAGGCATCATACGTCACTCCTTTCATGTCTGAATAATATTCCTATGTATGGATATACCACATTGTGTTTCACATTCCTCAACTGATGGACAGTTGGGTTGTTTGCACTCTTTTGCAATTATGAATAATGCTGCTATAAAATTTCATATACAAGTTTTGGGGAGACATATGTTTTCAGTTTTCCCAGGTATATATGTAGGAGTGGAAATTCTGGCTCGTATGGTAACTATGTTTAACCTTTTGAGAAACTCCTAGACTGTTCTCCTCATTATTCTTTTTAAAGGTAAGAACACTGAGTAAGGCCCCCAGATTCTCTTCCTACCTTCCCCCACCACCTCCACCCCCCAGGCAGTCAGGGGAGGGAGAAGCTTCCTGCTTACTGTGGGTGGTTTCTGTCGAATCTGCTTTCTATGTCCTGAGGTCTCACTGAAGCTTATGAAAGTCAAAAGCAGGCCAGGCACGGTGGCTCATGCCTGTAATCCCAGCACTTTGGGAGGCTGAAGTGGGTGGATCACGAGGTCAGGAGATCAAGACCATCCTGGCTAACATGGTGAAACCCGTCTCTACTAAAAATACAAAAAATTAGTTGGGCGTGGCGGCATGTGCCTGTAGTCCCAGCTACTTGGGAGGCTGAGGCAGGAGAATTGCTTGAACTTGAGAGACAGAGGTTGCAGTGAGCTGAGATCATGCCACTGCACTCCAGCCTGGGTAACAGAGCAAGACTCTGTCTTGAAGAAGAAGAAGGAGGAGGAGGAGGAGGAGAAGGAGGAGGAGGAGGAGGAGAAGGAGAAGAAGAGGAATAAGAAGAAGAAAAGAAGAAGAAGAAAAGAAAAGAAGAAGAAGAAAAGAAGAAGAAAAGAAGAAGAAAAGAAGAAGAAAGAAGAAGAAGAAAAGAAGAAGAAGAAAAGAAGAAAGAAGAAGAAGAAGAAAGAAGAAGAAAGAAGAAGAAAGAAAGAAAGAAGAAAGAAGCTCCCTGTCCTCTGCTTGGTGCCAACCTCCCCATCCCTTCCTGCAGCAATGAATCCAGGACAGCCCAGCTGAATGGGGGAGATGGCAAAGAGTAAAAGAATATGCTGGAGAAACAGCATTGGTGAGTATTTAGAGGTGATTATCCCACCATGCCACCTAATGGGGGAACAACATGAACAAAGAGCAAAGGCAGGCTGGGCACGGTGGCTCACGCCTGTAATCCCAGCAGTTTGGGAGGCCCAGGCAGGCCAATCACTTGAGGTCAGGAGTTTCAGATCAGCCTGGGCAACATGGTGGTATCCCGTCTCTACTAAAAATACAAAAATTAGCCGGGTGTGGTGGCAGATGCCTGTAATCCCAACTACTTAGGAGGCTGAGGCAGGAGAATCGCTTGAACCCAAGAGGCGGAGGTTGCAGTGAGCAGAGATCAAGGCATTCCACTCCAGCCTGGGCCAGAGTGAGACTCCATCTCAGAAGGAAAAAAAAAAAAAAAAGGAACAAAGGCAGGAGTGGAGCTGGAGAGGGTATAGGGGAAATCCAAGGGGCCAAGAGCAGAGAGGAGAGGTGATGAAATAAAAAAATGTGGAGACCAAGGGTGACTGCCTTAGACGCTGCTCTTGGAGGCTGCTTGTGGTCTCCAAGATGCTTGGATAGCTCACCCATGAGTTTTTTTTAAAGTTGAGCACCAAGTCTCATTTGCGTATGCATGTATTTATTATCTATATGTGTAAACAAATCCCCATATGTGTATTTATATACAGACGCCACCATAGAGGTCTTTCCACTTGGATATGCACTTCACTAGGGTCTGGGGATCTATTTCTTGTTCCTCAGTTGTCCCTGTGTTCTCTTTCCTAAAATTTGATCTGAGGACTAAGCTCTGATTTTTTTATCTTGCCCAAATTCCTACCTAAGGGGTCTAGGGAGTCATGCCCTACACCCCATAAATTCTTATCAAATGTGTTTTATTTGACCCTATACATCATGACTTACTTTCCAGTCTGACTTTGGAATAACATTATGAGACAAGGAAAAAATATTTAACCCCAAAATTATATTTCCTTGCCATACCTTGAAATTGCCCTGCAAAGTCTCTTGTGGGAAAAAATTCACATTCTATAGAGAATCCTTTTCCCCTTTGTTTACCTTCCTTTCTTTCCAGATCTAAGAGATAATCAACTAAGATCCAGGCACTCTTTTAGGGCTATTAAGAAACATTTTATAACCTACTTTCTCTCTGAAGCCTGCTATCTGAGATTCCTTTGCACAAACTTGGTCTCCACATCCTTCAGGTTAACCTGAACATTCCTTTCTATTGATCCCAGGTCTTCAGATAAACTCAACCAATTGTCAACCAGAAAATGTTTAAATTTACCTATAGCCTGGAAGCCCCTGCTTTGAGTTGTCCTGCCTTCCTGAACCAAACCAATGTATTTCTTAAATGTATTTGATTGATGACTCATGCCTTCCTAAAATATGTAAAACCAAGCTTTACTCCGACCACCTTGAGCTCATGTTCTCAGAATCTCCTGAGGGCTATGTCATTGGTCATGGTCACTCATATTTGGCTCAGAATAAACCTCTTCAAAGATTTTAGAGAGTTTGACTCTTTTCATCGACAGTAATCTGGCGCCCAACATGGGGCCTCTGAGAAGACTCAGGACCCTGAAGGAGTTGCCTGAAACTGGAGCTAAGGTACC
Organism: Homo sapiens; assembly: GCF_000001405.40. NCBI lineage: Eukaryota > Metazoa > Chordata > Mammalia > Primates > Hominidae > Homo > Homo sapiens. Next base: position 90,239,429 of record NC_000014.9, read on the forward strand.
AGCAGGGGCTCACTGAAACCTCACTGAGTTTGAGCTTCTCCTCTGGTGGGACTGGTAAGTCCTCCTGAGCCCTGGACCTCCCATTTTGGTTGATGGTCCTTGATTTATCCTGAGCTGTTTTTCTCTCTCTCTGTCTCTCTCTTTTCTCCTAGAAAGTTGGTTAAAACCTTAATTTTAGTTTCAGTGGTGCATTCAAAAGGGTCTTTATCCATTGCCTTTTCTCTCAAAATTAATCTCAATTGGCTTGTGGGTGCTCTGCGTGTGGAACTGAACAGTTATTTTTCATAAGTAAATGACAGACTGAGTTCCTCAGCTCCAAAGAGAAAGGGCATTTTGCTCCTCCCAGCCGAAAGTCACCTCAGGGTGACTGGGGGCCTTGTGGGAGTGTCTGGGGGGTTGACCAGCCCATGACTTGCAGCAGCCCTATAGGAAACTCCCAACAAATATTAATTTAAAAAGGCTTGTCCAGGAAATGTATGTAAGGGCTGATCGCCCAGCCTTTTAATCCCACTCAGAGGTGACAGACCTCTGAAGAGATAAACTGAGACACGTAAGAGGGTGGAAACGACTCAGTGGTGACACACAGTGGAGTCCTGCCCACAAGCAGCACATATCAGTCCACCACACAAAACCTTAGGCACAGGTCAGTTTTCTTTTGTTTATTTTATTTTTTATTTTTTGAGCCAATATCTCACTCTGTCACCCAGCCTGGAGTGCAGTGGTATGACCTTGGCCCACTGCAACCTCTGCCTTCTGGGTTCAGGTGATACTCCTCAGCCTCCCAAGTAGCTGAGATTACAGGCATTGCCACCATTCCCCGTTAATTTTGGTATTTTTAGTAGAGACGGGGTTTTGCCATGTTGACAAGGCTGGTCTGGAACTCCTGATCTCAAGTGATCTGCCCGTCTCAGCCTCCCAAAGTGCTGGGATTGAAGGCATGAGCCACTGGGCCTGGCCAAGTTCCAAAAAAAAAAAAAAAAAAAAAAGGAAAATAAACCCTCCAAAACAAGAGGAAAGGCAAGAAGAGTGGCCCCCTATGGGCACCCAGCTGGGTTTAGGTGTAATAATTGTGGCCTCTTTACTTCCAAGTATTTATGTAAATGGGCAGATCTTACTAAAAATGACCTAGGTCTAAGTTTCCAAAATGGGGAACTTTTGATATCCCTAAATTGATTTTCTTGCACTCCAGATTAGAAAAATTAGGCTACAAAATCAAAGAAAATGAATGGGAATTGTACTTTAGCTGGCACCTAGAATTGTCAAAAAGAGGGAATAATAAGCTTCCCTCCCTCCAGGAAGTTAATTAAAAGTTTTTCGAAACTGTCTCAGAATTAAAGAAATTAGTAGAAGCCACCTCTGAAATCAGGAAGGCTCCAGAAACTGTCTCTCCTTCTGCTCCTTTTGACCCTCTTCTCTCTGAACTTCCTTTTCTGGGCAATTTCATTTTTCCTCCTCCTTCCCCTACTCTCTTGCTTCAAGCCACAGAGGGACCAGAAATAGCTGGAGAAAATAACATTGTAGTTGTTCCTTTTAGAGTAAGACCCACAGGCAGAGGGGATCCTAACATAATGTATAAACCCTGGACCAAGTCAGAGTTAAAGGCCCTGGTATCTGGATTCCCCAATCCGAGTGAAGATCCCTTTGGATTTGCTAAGGAATTCCAATTAATGCTTTAGACTTATGATCCGGGGTTCTCTGACCTGTATCAGCTGATCGAGTTAGTGGTCCCCAAAAAAAAAACTGAAGAATGGTTTAGAGCAGCAGATTAGAAATAGCCTTTAGAAGATTTTGACAAAATAGATGCAACTGGAAGAGAGAGATGCAGAGAAGCTTTGCATTTGCCTCCATGAAACTGTATCACGGATATTCCCCAAGGTCATAGATTGGGCAAAGGTGCAACAATGTAAAATACGCCCAAATGAAACCGTACCTGACTTTTATATCAGGTTTGAAAAGACATTCAAACAGTTTTCAGGAATACCTCCTGAAAACTTTGAACGTGGTAGAAGTGACATCTTACTAAATTTTGGGTTTATTCAAGGTTTAGATAAGGAGTTAGCAACCCTAATAAAGAGGAACAATGTGGCTTGGGCTTCCTTGCCTACTAGCCACCTAGTTACCTTAGCTGACCAATTGTCACAAACAATCATTAAGAAAGAAAAGGAAACAGTCTCCAAAATTATGAGTTTACAACTAAAACAACTTAGTAACCAAGTTGGGAGCTTGCAAGGGTCCCATGGTCCCCAGAGATCTAAGCTACCCCAAGAGGAAGCAATTTGCCACCACTGCAAAAAGAAAGGACTTTTGTTGTTGTTGTTGTTGTTGAGACAGAGTCTCACTCTGTTGCCCAGGCTGGAGTGCAATGGCACACAGTCTGGCCTCACTGCAACCTCTGCTTCCTGGGTTCAAGTGATTCTCTTGCCTCAGCCTCCCGAGTAGCTGGGATTACAGGCGCACACTGCCATGCCTGGCTAATTTTTTGTATTTTAGTAGAGATGGGGTTTCACTGTGTTGCCCAGGCTCGTCTCGAACTCCTGAGCTCAGGCAATCCACCCTCCTCAGCCTTCCAAAGTGCTAGGATTACAGGCGTGAGCCACTGTGCCCCACTGTGCCCAGCCAAGAAAGGACATTTTAAAAAAGAATGCAAAAAACTTAAATGGGTGCTTACACAAAGGGGGCAAAAGACCCCAAAGGAAGGCACCAGAACAATTCAAAAATCAGAATAGGGATGTTCTGAGGGAATAGAGATGGCTTTCCTCCTACTTCTATCTAATGCTTTAGGAGAAGTAGAAATATTCATAAATGGGGAAGATACCAAAGTCCTTGTCAACACCGGCGTTACACTGTCAGTTTTTAACCCTACCTTGATTAAAGACCTTTTCCCTTGGAGTAAAGAAAAAGTCTAAATGGTAGGGGTTTCAAACTCTCCTATTGTAGCCTTTAAATCAAATCCCCTTCCATTTCAATCAGGAAAACTAGTGGGGCATCACGTTTTTCTTCTAGTAGATAGTGCCCCCTTAACACCTGCTGGGTTGGGATTTCCTAGTGACCCATAATGCTCACATCTCATTTTTACAGAGGGAGAAATGAAATGGTTCTCAACTTGGAACACACAGAAGACTTAGAAAAGCCCATATGTAATGTTATGATTGGGAAAGTTAATCAAGATTCTGGACAGGAAAAATTAGAACCTTTCTTATCTAAGGTACCAGATTCCTTATGGGCAAACTCTTCCACAGATATTGGGAGAATTAAGTCAGCAGTCCCTATAGAGATAACCATAAATCTATCCAAACCTCTGCCAAATGTAAGGCAATATCTCCTTAGACCAGAAGCCTTACTAGGAACCAAACCAATCTTTCAGGACTATTTATACAAAGGACTCATAATACCCTGCACCAGCCCTTGCAATACACCAATCCTCCCAGTTAACAAGCCAAATGGTGGCCGGGCATGGTGGCTCATGCCTGTAATCCCAACACTTTGGGAGGCCGAGGTGGGTGGACGACCTGAGGTCAGGAGTTCGAGACCAGCCTGGCCAATATGGTGAAACCCTGTCTCTACTAAAAACACAAAAATTAGCTGGGCGTGTTGGCAGGCATCTGTAATCCCAGCTCCTCGGGAGGCTGAAGCAGGAGAATCAGTTGACTCCGGAAGGCAGAGGTTGCAACGAGCTGAGATTATGCCACTGCACTCCAGCCTGGCCAACAGAGCAAGACTCTGTCTCAAAAAAAAAAAAAAAAAAAAAAGCCAAATGGGAAAGGCTGGAGATTTGTTCAAGAACTAAGAGTTATAAATAAAATAATAATTCCCAGACACCCTTTTGTTCCTAACCCCCACACCTTACTGTCCAAATTCCTATCACTTCCAGCCACTTCTCTGTAATAAGGTAGTGCATTTTTCAGCATACCTGTAAAGCAAAATAGCCAGTATATTGCTTTCACTTTGGAAAATCACCAATACACATGGACAGTCTTACCCCAGGGCTACTCTGAAAGTCCTATGTATATATATATATATATATATATTTTTTTTTTTTTTTTGAGATGGAGTCTTGCTTTATCACCCAGGCTGGAGTGCAGTGGTGCAATGTCTGCTCACTGCAACCTCCGCCTCCTGGGTTCAAGCAATTCTCCTGCCTCAGCCTCCCAAGTAGCTTGGATTACAGGTGCCCACCACCACGCCTGGCTAATTTTTGTATTTTTAGTAGAGACAGGGTTTAGCCATGTTGGCCAAGCTGGTCTCGAACTCCTGAGCTCAGGTGATCCACCTGCCTCGGCCTCCTAAAGTGCTGGGATTACAGCTGTGAGCCACCACATCCAGCCTCTTTTTTTTTTACTTTGAGTTCCGGGACAGATGTGCAGAACGTGCAGGTTTGTTACATAGGTATACATGTGCCATGGTGTTTTGCTGCACCCATCAACCCGTCATCTAGGTTTTAAGTCCTACATGCATAAGGTATTTATTCTAATGCTCTCCCTAAAGTCCTACTTATTTTTCTGAAATACTAAAGGCAGATTTAGATGACATTGAATTTCCAAATGAATCTACTCTAATTCAGTATGTGAATGATTTATCATTGTGTTCATCCTCCATACCAAAATGCAGAGACGGTACTGTCCACCTATTACAACAGCTTGCTCTTAAGGGACACAAAGTGTCAAAAGATAAATTGCTATTTTGCCTTCCCCAAGTTAAATATTTGGGACATATGATTTCCCCAAGGTGGCTATTAATAAACTGTGAGAGAATCTCTGCTGTTATGATCTTTCCCATGCCCAAAACTGAAAAGCAGTTAAGAGGATGCTTAGGGTTAACGGGCTATTGCAGGAGTTGGATTCCAAACTACTCCTTCATGACCGAATCCCTATATAAAAAACTAAACAGACCCAGCTGGACCCAATCCACTGGGAAGAGGGGGAAAACCAACACATAGAAGATCTAAAACAGGCTCTCACCCAAGCACTTGCTGTAGGCCACCCCAATTACAGCCTTCCTTTTTCCCTCTTTGTTCATTAAATAAATGGGAATGCTCTGGGAGTATTAACTCAAAAACATGGTGACAATCACAGACCAACTGGTTATTTCAGTCAATAGTTATATCCAGTTGCAAGGGGGTGCCCTCCTGATATGAGGGCTGTATCAGCTGCAGCCACCCTATGCAAAACAGGGAAGAATTTGTCCTAGGGTCCCCTCTGACCATCTATGCACCTCACTCTGTGAAATGTCTTCTTGTTTTATTTTTTGAGATAGAGTTTCACTCTGTCACCTGGGGTTGGAGTGCAGTGGCATGATCTTGGCTCACTGCAATCTCTGCCTCCCAGGTCCAAGCAATTCTCCTGCCTCAGCCTCCAGAGTAGCTGGGATTACAGGCAGGCACCACCACACCCAGCTAATTTTTGTATTTTTAGTAGAGACAGGTTTTCACCATGTTGGCCAGGCTGGTCTTAAACTCCTGACCTCAGGTCATCCACCTGCCTTGGCCTCCCAAAAGTGCTGGGATTATAGGCGTGAGCCACTGTGCCTGGGTGAAATCTCTTCTAAGCTCTCACCAGACTCAATGCTATTCTGTTAGCCACCTTGTCTCTTATGAGGTACTCCTGCTTTTTGCCCCCAACATCACTTTGAAGCACTGTAACACTTTTTTTTTTTTTTTTGAGACAGAGTCTTGCTCTGTTGCCCAGACTGGAGTGCAGTGGCATGATTTGGGTCACTGCAACCTTCACCTCCCGGGTTCAAGCAATTCTCCTGCCTCAGCCTTCTGAGTAGCTGTGATTACAGGCACGTGCCACCACACCTGGCTAATATTTGTATTTTTAGTAGAGATGGGGTTTCACCATATTGGTCAGGCTGGTCTTGAACTCCTGACCTCAGGTGATCCACCTGCTTCAGCCTCCCAAAGTGCTGGGATTACAGGCGTGAGCAACCACATGTGGTCGAAGTGCTGTAACACTCTTTTTTTTTTTTTTTACTTTACTTTTTTTTTTAAATTATTATTATACTTTAAGTTTTAGGGTACATGTGCACAATGTGCAGGTTTGTTACATATGTATACATGTGCCATGTTGGTATGCTGCACCCATTAACTCGTCATTTAGCATTAGGTATATCTCCTAATGCTATCCCTCCCCCCTCCCCCCACCCCACAACAGTCCCCGGTGTGTGATGTTCCCCTTCCTGTGTCCATGTGTTCTCATTGTTCGATTCCCACCTATGAGTGAGAACATGCAGTGTTTGATTTTTTGTCCTTGCGATAGTTTGCTGAGAATGATGGTTTCCAGTTTCATCCATGTCCCTACAAAGGACATGAACTCATCATTTTTTATGGCTGCATAGTATTCCATGGTGTATATGTGCCACATTTTCTTAATCCAGTCTATCGTTGTTGGACGTTTAGGTTGGTTCCAAGTCTTTGCTATTGTGAATAGTGCCGCTATAAACATACGTGTGCATGTGTGTTTATAGCAGCATGATTTATAATCCTTTGGGTATATACCCAGTAATGGGATGGCTGGGTCAAATGGTATTTCTAGTTCTAGATCCCTGAGGAATCGCCACACTGACTTCCACAATGGTTGAACTAGTTTACAGTCCCACCAATAGTGTAAAAGTGTTCCTATTTCTCCACATCCTCTCTAGCACCTGTTGTTTCCTGACTTTTTCATGATCGCCATTCTACCTGGTGTGAGATGGTATCTCATTGTGGTTTTGATTTGCATTTCTCTGACGGCCAGTGATGATGAGCATTTTTTCATGTGTTTTTTGGCTGCATAAATGTCTTCTTTTGAGAAGTGTCTGTTCATATCCTTTGCCCACTTTTTGATGGGGTTGTTTTTTCTTTTCTTGTAAATTTGTTTGAGTTCATTGTAGATTCTGGATATTAGCCCTTTGTCAGATGAGTAGATTGCAAAAATTTTCTCCCATTCTGTAGGTTGCCTGTTCACTCTGATGGTAGTTTCTTTTGCTGTGCAGAAGCTCTTTAGTTTAATTAGATCCCATTTGTCAATTTTGGCTTTTGTTGCCATTGCTTTTGGTGTTTTAGACATGAAGTCCTTGCCCATGCCTATGTCCTGAATGGTATTGCCTAGGTTTTCTTCTAGGGTTTTTATGGTTTTAGGTCTAACATGTAAGTCTTTAATCCATCTTGAATTAATTTTTGTATAAGGTGTAAGGAAGGGATCCAGTTTCAGCTTTCTATATATGGCTAGCCAGTTTTCCCAGCACCATTTATTAAATAGGGAATCCTTTCCCCATTGCTTGTTTTTTTCAGGTTTGTCAAAGATCAGATAGTTAGAGATATGCGGCATTATTTCTGAGGGCTCTGTTCTGTTCCATTGGTCTATATCTCTGTTTTGGTACCAGTACCATGCTGTTTTGGTTACTGTACCCTTGTAGTATAGTTTGAAGTCAGGTAGCATGATGCCTCCAGCTTTGTTCTTTTGGCTTAGGATTGACTTGGCGATGCGGGCTCTTTTTTGGTTCCATATGAACTTTTAAGTAGTTTTTTCCAATTCTGTGAAGAAAGTCATTGGTAGCTTGATGGGGATGGCATTGAATTTATAAATTACCTTGGGCAGTATGGAAGAGCTGTAACACTCTTACCCCTGCTACCCTGCTCCTCCTTCCAGGAGAACAAGAAGAGGAAGAGGAACATGACTGCAATCTGCTAACATCTTACTCTCCCCTAGGGAAGTTTTACAGGAAACTCCCATTGAGAATAAGCTGAATTAATGTGGTTCATGGCGGGTTCTTATTTAAGGGACAACCAGGGGCATTACAGGGCAGGATACGCCATCACTTCCGTAACAGACATAATTGAAAGTGCCCAACTCCAAGTAGTCAACTCAGCCCAGATGGCTGAATTAATAGCGTTAACTAGAGCTTGTAAATTAACTAAAGGAAAAGTGGCAAATATATGTACAGATAGCCAATATGCTTTCAGAGTGGACCATGATTTTGGCATGCTATGGTAACAGAGAGGATTTCTGACCTCATCGGGACAGCCCATATGAAATGGACACTAAGTCTCAGAGTTACTAGAAGCAATTCAGATACCAAAGCGACTTGCAATCATACAAATTCCTGGGCACTCATAGGATAACACTAAAGAAACAAAAGGAAATAATCTAGCTAATGCTGCAGCAAAGAATGCTGACCTAGGAAAGAAGTCCTGTCCTGTACAGGAATGTAACTTTCATCCTACAAATACCTTCACTAACATTCTTTTACAGTGTCAACAAGCATCTACCCGTCAAGAGAAACAAACCTGGCAGCCGGGCGCGGTGGCTCACGCCTGCAGTCCCAGCACTTTGGGAGGCCGAGGTGGGCAGATGACCTGAGGTCGGGAGTTCGAGACCAGCCTGACCAACATGGAGAAACCCTGTTTCTACTAAAAATACAAAATTAGCCGAGCGTGGTGGTGCATGCCTGTAATCCCAGCTACTCGGAACCCTGAGGCAGGAGAATCGCTTGAACCCGGGAAGGTGGAGGTTGCAGTGAGCCAAGATTGCGCCATCGCACTCCAGCCTGGGCAACAAGAGCAAAACTTCGTCACACACACACACACACACACACACACACACACACAGAAAGAAGAAAAGAAAGGAAGAAAGAAAAGAGAAACAAACCTGGCAGCAGAAGGGAAGCATGGAGGCATGCTCAACCCAAGTAAGGAATTATGGCTAGGGCCTAACAAAAAAACTGTAATTGCCATAGGTGCACAATTGCTTTTCCTTCCATTTATTCATGAAATGACTCACTGGGTCCCTGAAAAAATGGAATCATGGGGAAAACAATACTTTTGGAAACCATCCCCCATGGCAGCCCAAAATGTATACTCGATACTATATGCCCAGAACAGAACCCCGGCAAGCCGTTACATGGCTCCCAAGGTCATTTCCCTTTGCCAGTAGGACCTTTTGAAGTATGGCAGTTGGATTTTATCCAGATGCCGCCATCTCAAAATTTCAAATATGTGCTGGTCTTAGATTGCATATTTTCTCATTGGGTAGAAGCATTTCCTTGTCATAAGGCCACTGCCTTAACAGTAGGGAAAATTTTGTTAGAGAGAATCATTCCATTTGGGGAATTCCTTTTGAACTGCACAGTGATCGCAGGACTCATTTTACTGGATAAGTTATTCAATCCATTTGCAAAATCTGGCCCATAATACAACATTTCCATTCTGCCTACCATCCCCAATCCTCCGGGCTGGTGGAACGGACAAATGGCACAATAAAAACTCAATTAGCTAAGTTGATGAAGTCTTTAAACCTCCCTTGGCCAAAAACCCTCCCACTGGTCTTGCTTAATCTTAGATCCATTCTTTTTGGAAAACATTGTTTATTGCCCAATTAAATGATAACAGGGAGACCTGTGAGGCTGAATGAGGGCTCATACAGCCTTACTCACAGGGGAAATATTGCACTATTGCCAAGGGCTCCACAAAACCTTAACAAATAAAACAAAGCTGGTAACAGAATCTTTCCACAGTGAGCTCTCAGGGGCAGATGACCCCAAGACCATGGATTACAGCCAGGTGACTTTGTATATTGGAAAAGACACCAACTGAAGGATTCCCTACAACCCCACTGGAAAGGACCTTCTCAGGTGCTTTTTTTTTTTTTTTTTTTTTGAGACGGGGTCTGGCTCTGTTGCCCAGGTGCAGTGGCGCTATCTCGGCTCACTGCAAGCTCCGCCTCCCAGGTTCATGCCATTCTCCTGCCTCAGCCTCCCAAGTAGCTGGGACTATAGGCACCTGCCACCATGCCTGGCTAACTTTTTGTATTTTTAGTAGAGACAGGCTTTTGCCATGTTGGCCAGGCTGGTCTCGATCTCCTGACCTCGTGATCCGCCTGCCTCAGCCTCCCCTCAGGTGCTTTTAACCAAGTCTTGCACTGCAAAGTTAAAGGGAGTCACTTCTTGGATTCATATTTCACACCTAAAATGAGCACCTGGGCCAGGCACAGTGGCTCACGCCTGAAATCTCTGCACTTTGGGAGGCCGAGGTGGGCAGATCTGTGAATCAAGAGAACACGAGAGGCTCAGCAGGTATCTGGGGATACAAGGAAAGCCAACATGTTTCCAGAGATGCTGGATCAGGCCAGTCCTCATGAACTCTAAGATAACTCTCATTCTTAATTTTATTTCCCCACCCCCCAAATACCAGTATATGGGGCAATACAAAAGTGGTGAGAAAAGTTGATTTGTCCACTGTTAACAAGTCCTATGACAATTTAGACACTGAGGACCAGGCGTTCCTTGCATTTGATTTATACCTTCCTCAGGATGATATACCTGTAGCAATACATTGGCTGGAAGAGAGATTAAATTTATTGGATTCTGATATAGTGTTGGTCCTACAATCCTCAAATAAGATTTATCATAAGGTTCAAATGACCCTTGATAAGGAGGGTGAACACATTGTGAGTCTGACCAAAGAATATGATGATGCATGCAGCGGTTTTTTGGCTGGTTAGATTGTGGACTGCCCTCTGAACTCTACCTATAACCTTCTTGGATGCCTAATCTTTGCTATCTTTATGGTATGTATCACTGTATTAGCATTATATATCTCTTGTAAATGTTATGCCAGATACAGCAAAAGGAAGAAGGCACAATTAAAGACCCAGATCATGATAGCTCGCAAAATAGACATAATTCGGAATTTTTTTTAGACTAAACCCTAGGCCTGACTCCTGTAGCGGGGACTACAGGTAACTGCCACCACGCCCAGCTAATTTTTTCTTTTTTTGTATTTTTAGAAGAGACGGGGTTTCACCATGTTAGCCAGGCTGGTCTTGAACCCCTGACCTCAAGTGACCTGCCCGCCTTGGCCTCCCAAAGTGCTGGGATTACAGGCGTGAGCCACCAGGCCCAATCTTGATGACCTATCGTTTGCATAAAATGCATTGACATAAAATGCATCACTCTTGACAGAGCCTCCCTAGAGAGTAAAGCAAACAAGCATTGGTAACAGACACTGAGGCTGAAAATGACTTTTTAAAATGCATTTAAACAGGAGCACTTTCTTCAGCTAATCTCAATACTTGCCCTTAGGACAAAATGTAAATTAGAACAGCGGAAGCAATATTGGTTTGTAATAGTCTTTTCAGGGTAACTACAGGGTTTGCTGGGACTACTCGATATTTCAGACTGCTTTAGATAACAGAAAAACACATTGATTAAACCCTAACTTAATTTCTTTCAGATTTAGCAGGTATTATTCAATGAGGTTGCTAAAAGTTATTTTTATCCAGTCACATGAAATATTTATTCTGATTGTCAGAATAAATTGTCATCTTATTTCATCTTTAAAAATGTTTTTGTTTTCTACTTCCTATTTTTGAAATGTATTTGCCAGAAAAATTATTATTATTATTATTATTATTTTTTTTTTTTGAGACGGAGTCTCGCTCTGTCGCCCAGGCTGGAGTGCAGTGGCGCGATCTCGGCTCACTGCAAGCTCCGCCTCCCGGGTTCACGCCATTCTCCTGCCTCAGCCTCCCGAGTAGCTGGGACTACAGGCGCCCGCCACCACGCCCGGCTAATTTTTTGTATTTTTAGTAGAGGCGGGGTTTCACTGTGTTAGCCAGGATGGTCTCGATCTCCTGACCTCATGATCTGCCCGCCTCTGCCTCCCAAAGTGCTGGGATTACAGGCGTGAGCCACCGCGCCCGGCCGAAAAATTAAATTTTAACAATATTGTATATTTATTTTCTCTTCCCTGAAATGAAAATGTTTAATCCTGATGATGTCTTACAAAATTAATGTAATTATTCTGATTTTTATGCTCGATTCTTTTTTCTTTTTTTTTTTTTGAGACGGAGTTTTGCTCTTGTTGTCCAGGCTGGAGTGCAATGGCGTGATCTGAGCTCACCGCAACCTCCACCTCCCAGGTTCAAGCGATTCTCCTGCCCTTGCCTCGCAAGTCGCTGGGATTACAGGCATGCACCACCACGCCTGGCTAATTTTGTATTTTTAGTAGAGACAGAGTTTCTCCAAGTGTTAATTAAAAAATTCACACACACACATATTTACCCAAGAATACCATACATTTTATTATAATCCTTGCTTCACAGATAACTCATATTTCAGCTACATGATAATTGCACTATTAAAAATCAAGAGAAACAAATATTAATTTTTTCTTATATATAACGATAAAGTGAATATATTATTTTAATTTTATCTTAACTGTTTCTGATCATTTGTCTTATGAGTTGCATTCCATAATTTATCTCTGTCATTTAAAAAATAATATTTTTTGAATTACATATGAAGAGGTTTGTGTAATTGAAAAACAAAGTTGAGGGTTTTTTTTTTTTCCTCCCAAGAAATAAATCTGATTTGGCTCAATGGGTTGAAGTGGAGCACTAATTGTCAATTGGACATTTTTCAGAAATAGAATGCTCTAAAACTCTGCTGCTCCATGGTTTTGACAAAAATATATCTAAAGAAGGTTAACTTTTAAATTCTTATGATTTTAAAATCGTATGAAAAATGTCGTTTTTCCAGGCTGGGTGTGGTGGCTCACGCCTGTAAACCCAGCACTTTGGGAGGCCGAGGTGGGTGGATCACTTGAGGTCAGGAGTTTGACACCAGCCTGACCAAGATGGTGAAACCTCGTCTCTGCAAAACATACAAAAATTAGCCGGGCGTGGTGGCAGGTGCCTGTAGTCCCAACTACTCATGAGGCTGAGGCAGGAGAATGGCTTGAACCTGGGAGGTGGAGGTTGCAATGAGCCCAGATCATGCCACTGCACACCAGCTTGGGCAACAGAGCAAGACCCTGTCTCAAAAAAAAAAAAAAATTGTATTTCCAGGGGTATAATAAGATTAACGATAGTCAAGATTTTTCAGTTCTTTTTCAGGCTATTGGTTTAAACTCTGAGTGAAGGAGTAACAGGTCTTCATGGATAGTATTTGGTAGGTCGTGGGAAAGCCTTTTGGGTGCATTTCCCAGAAACTAAGAAACTGAATGACCCTAATGACTGGTGACTGAATTGTTTTGCACCTCCAATGTTTTCTAGTTCTTTGCAAACACATTGAAGACTTATTTCAAGTTATCATTAGTAATAGATTTTGTGGATCAATCACTGTGTGATTTTCTGTTTAGAACACAGGATTGGAAAGAATTGTGTGACATTTTCATTACAAAATTATTTCATTTCCCATTTATGTGAACGAGAATTCTCAGCCCAAACATCTATAAACAATAACTAATGAGACTAGAATTGGTGCTGAATCCTGCCTCATTCTGACATTGTCATATCCATCCATGGGTAGGTGAAATGAACACTAACTTAGCACAAACTGTATATCATCTTGATCAAGTGCGTACTAGTGGTAATTGATAATAATTCAAAATCCAGAAAACATTTTTAGCATGTAGGACCCAAAAGACACAGAAAATAGAATACATTAAAAATTTTTGACTTACATAAAACTTTTGCAAAAATGTGCGAGAGGTCAATCAATAAAATGTTTTCCAGCCTCAACATACATGATATTAGGATAAAAGTATGCATGATAAATGGAATGGAAATATTCGCTTCAAAGGGAAAAGAGATGAAAGCAAATATTTTCAATGCTAGAAAAGAGCCTGCGTACATAAGTTTGAAATGGATGAGATATCAAGCTATCATGATAGTTAGATTCCTTTGTGTATATACATTAAAATGTCAATACTTAAAACTTCCTGGCAAGTGGATCATTTGCAGCTATTTAAACTTATATGAAATTTAGATGCTAACCTAGAAATGTATCAAGAAATACATTTTGCAAATTACTTTCGAGAATGCATGAAGAAATGTGTTTGAAGATCACTGTACCACTCTACGAAGAGATTGTAAATTTTGAATGGGATACGGGACCATCTAATATATGCACAGAATGAGTGTGCCAATGGCAATTTGTATATTAACAAGAAATACTAATAAGGCCAGGCGCGGTGGCTCACACCTGTCATCCCAGCACTTTGGGAGGCCAAGGTGGGTGGATCACTTGAGGTCAGGAGTTGGAGACCAGCCTGGCCAGCATGGTGAAACCGCGTCTCTGCTAAAAATACAAAAATTAGCTGGGCATGGGGACGGGTGCCTGTAATCCCAGCTACTTGGGAGGCTGAGGCAGGAGAATCGCTTGAACCTGGGGGGTGGAGGTTACAATGAGCCAAGATTCTGTCACTGCACTCCAGTCTGGGTAACAGCATGAGACCTTGTCTCAAAATAATAATAATAATCAGAGTAGCTGATACCTAGAGTAATTGTCCTATGCCAAGTGCAATTCTCAGCATTTTACTTTAGTCCTCAAACAATGGCACCATGAAGGAGGAACTATAAAGGTCCCTATTTCACAGACGACAGAACTGAGACACAACAACACAGCTCACTGGTGACAAGGCTGGAAACGAGACCTGGCGTTAACCCCTTGGCTGTTTGATTAGTAATTATTCTTATTTTTTAAATAAAAAGTCATTCTGATGGCTTCTTCCAACACACGAATGGGCCCCTGGGCCACCAGGGTGTGGCTGCCCTGCTTTGCAGACCAGTGTTCTGGAGTTCCGGCTCTAAAAATGTGGTGTATGAGTCACCCAGCCTCAGAATCCCTTGGGGTATCTGTTAAAATGCAGGTGTCTGGGCCCTGCCATGGGCCTATAGAATCACAGTCTCTGGCGGATGGCACCAGAGTCTGCATTTTGTCAGCATCTGGGCTGGTTCTGATGTGCTTGAGGTTGCAGGGGGGCTGCTGAACAGGATGCACGCTCGCCTCTGGCACCTGCCCTCTGTCCACCCCGGCCCCGCCCCCTCTGTCCACCCTAGCATGAGCCCTCCGTCCACGTTTGGACACCTTCCTACCTCAGCCTCCATTCCATCTACTTTTGGCAAAAATCTCTTAAGAATCAAAAAACAAGAGTTTTATCCTCTCCGTATCCTCAGCCGGCAAGGTAGATAATTATCCCGTTATACAGATGAGAAAATGAGGATGACTTGCTGATGTCACACAGCTAGAGCAGAGCCTCCGGAGAGGAAACCTGTTGGTATCTTGATTTTAGCCCTGTGAGACCCAAGTTGAACTTCTAACCCAGAGACCTTCTAGCTTTGAGCACTACATTTATGGTCACTTTCTTTTTTTTTCTTTTTGAGATGGATTTTCCTTCTTTTCGCCCCGGCTGGAGTGCAATGGCGCAATCTCGGCTAACTGCAACCTCCGCCTCCCAGGTTCAAGCGATTGTCCCGTTTCAGCCTCCCGAGTACCTGAGATTACAGGCATCTGCCACCACTCCCAGCTAATTTTTGTATTTTCAGTAGACATGAGGTTTCACCATATTGGTCAGGTTGGTCTTGAACTCCTGAACTCAGGTGATCCACCCGCCTCGGCCTCCCAAAGTGCTGGGATTACAGGCGTGAGCCACGGCGCCCAGCCCCTGTGCATCTCTTTTGCCCTATGGCTGACTCTCAATCCTCCCCACCCGGTTGACAGTCATCTCTGCAACTCTCCCTCTTTTCCACTTGCAACTTCCAACCTCCCCAAGTGCTGAGCACTCCAAGTAGTCTTTCTAATCCTCTCCCTGCTTTCTCTTAGCTGTCCATTATGTAGATAAACTTAAATTTTCTGCTTACTTTATGTCACTTCCTACAGCCACAATAGGAAAGTCTGATGCCAACGTTGGCTACTCTCTTCATTACTGGGTTCTATTGACTCGCCTTTAACCGCTGAGCTTCCACTGGGAGTTATGTGCCTGTTTCTGACTTCTTCACTATATGGTGTCTCTAATCTCCATCCTCTGCAGCTTCTACTGCAGGGCCTCTGCCCTGGCTGTTCCCTCTACCTAGAAAGCTCTTCCACCAGATATCTGAATAGCTTACTCCTTCATGCCTTACGGGCTTTTGCTCAAGTATCATCCAATTTAAAGTTAAAATCACCCACCACTGCTGCATGCTCCTAATCCTAGGCATTTTTCCTAGGCATTAATTTTTCCTATGGCATTTACCACTATGTGGCATACTATATATTTTACTATTTACTTGTTTCTTGTAAAATGCATTAGGGAAAGGATATTTATTTTGTTTTTTAAATTTTTATTAATTTTTTTTTTTGAGACAGAGTCTCGCTCTGTCACCTAGACTGGAGTGCAGGGGCGTGATCTCACTGCAACCGTCGCCTCCCAGGTTCGAGAGATTCTCATGACTCGACCTCCCAAGCAGCTGGGATTACAGATGCCCACGATGATGCCCGACTAATTTTTGTATTTTTAGTAGAGATGGGAGTTTCACCATCTCTATCCTATGTGTGATACTGTCCTATCGTGTGATTTCATGTGTCATGTACACTAGATGCCAGATTTGTTAACAGAGGTCGATAGTGCTAAGACTTTCTATTACCGTGTTGCAGTGATGATGAAAAGGAAGAAGTATACCTGTTGTGTGTTCATAAGGGAAATATTTTTAGTGTTTCACAACTAAAATCCCTAAATCAATCTGGAGCAGAAAAAAAATCATCCATTTCTCCAGTTCAGAAAGATGCAGTATTTTGAGCACTTGTTAATGAAATTTCCAGAAACAGAAGGGATTGTTGCCATTTTTCTGATGTCCTGGAGGGTGTAACAAATGAGGAACTTTACCAATCAGCTTCAAGATGAGGAATTTAAGACATTTGGCATCATCACAAGTCACAGGTCATCAGAAAAAGACAGGTTTAGAAGACTCGTTACACACATACTCCCAGATGTGCAGGTTAAATTCCAGAAGCTGAATAATAACTGAAATATTTGTGCAAATGTATATGTCAACTTCCCAGTTCCAAATACCATTCCAGTTTTTAGAACCATAAAGTTCTTCCCAGTTATAAATTTTGCATAATTTAAATATTTTATATTTTCACGATTGTCCTAATTCTTTGACAGTAGGGGTCATTGTCTTAAGTTGTTGACAAGCGCCTCATAACGGGTATTCAAAAATTTCTTTCAAGTAAAATATTTATAAAGTTCACTTTATGCTTATAAACTGCTGCGTTGCCCTAGACCGCCCGCACAAGCCCTTGGAGCACAACTTGGTCAGCGCAGAATTTGGTTCCTATCAGCTTCCGTAGCGTCCCTAACGACTTCCGCCTCTGGCGGGCCGCAGTGGTGGAGGAACTTCCGGCAGCGGCAGCTCAAGTGGCCAAGGCAAGATGGTGAGTGACTAAGGGTTTCTTTCCGCTGGTCGTCGCGGTGCGATGGGGTCTCAGCAGCCTGAGGCGAGAGAAAGAGGCGGCTGCCCGAGGAACTGGGACAGCCCTCTTCTCCTTTTGCCGGCCTGATCTTCTCGGCGGGTGGAGGCTCCCAGAGACCGCGCTCATGTCCACCGCGGGCCGGGGCCGACCAACGGGCCTTGCCCGGGGATCCTGGGGCCGGGGCTCAGAGCAGAGAGAGGGTCTCCTGCGTGGTCTTGTGGGGCGGCAGAACGGATCAGGCCGCTGGCTTTGCTGCTCCGCCGACCAGGGCTTTGCTGATCGGCGCTGGGAGTTTCGGGGGCGCCTCCTCGAGTCACCGGGAAAAATGCTTTTTGAGTCGGGCAGGTGAAGGGTGCTGGAGAAGAGGGTGGGATTCATTCCACCTGAGGAGTTGAGCGCGGAGTCGTGGAAGGCCTTTCGGAGCTGGGG
The DNA here is from genome assembly GCF_000001405.40 of Homo sapiens. NCBI lineage: Eukaryota > Metazoa > Chordata > Mammalia > Primates > Hominidae > Homo > Homo sapiens. The sequence continues at coordinate 90,257,069 of NC_000014.9, forward strand.
GCATTTGAAGGAGGCCTTAAAGACGTTGTTATGACAGGCGGAGCTAAGACGGAAAGGGCCCGTGGTGCAGTAGTAATAATAAAAACAGCTAGCATTTATTCATCAATTCACTAAACAAGTATTTACTGAGCACTTGGTGTTTTGTTGTTGTTGTTAAACTTTTGGCTAGCTTCTGTTGTAGACACTGAGGATTGATTGAAGTCCCTGCCTTCATAGTGCGTACATTCTAGAGCAGAAGGCAGACAATCATCAGAAATATGTAATATGATGTCAGGGGTGGGGTGGTCATTGTTGTATGGTTATTGTATAGAAAGGGATAGCTTGGAGGAGTGGCTGCTTTTTATAGAGTCAGCGAAGGTAGCTCTGAGGAGGTGAAATTTGAGCGGACCGAAATTGAGGGAGTAACCCCTGCAGATGTCTGAGGGAAATGTGGTCAAGGCAGAAGATACAGCAAGTGCAAAGGACCTGAGATGGGAATGTTTAACCTGTATCATGAACGGCAAGAAGGCCAGATCTCATAGAGGTCTTTTTTATTTTAATTTTAATTTTTATTTTTTTGAGACGGAGTCTTGGTCTGTCGTCCAGGCTGGAGTGCAGTGGCGCGATCTCCGCCTCCCGGGTTCAAGCGATTCTCCTGCCTTAGCCTTCCAAGTAGCTGCGACTATAGGCGCCCGCCACTACGCCCGGCTAATTTTTGTATTTTTGTAGAGACGGCGTTTCACTCTGTTGGCCAGGCTGGTCCTGAACTCCTGACCTTATGATCCGCCCGCCTCGGCCTCCCAAAGTGTTGGGATTACAGGCGTGAGCCACCGCGCCCGGCCTCATAGAGGTCTTATACGGATTTCTGGGTAGTATTCTAAGCATGTACCAAGTACTTTTCCAGCATTTTCTCATTTATTACAACAGTTCCCTCGAGGTAATTACTACTGTCCTCATTTTGATAAGGAAGAAATGGAAACACAGTAAGTGGCTGTGCTGGAACACAAGCCCCATCGTTTTTTTTCTAGAACAGTAGAGAAACACCCAGGTTTTGGCATTCAGCAAACCTGAATGTGATTCCTGGCTCCATCTCTGACAAGCTTTGTGACAACAGGCAAGTCATTTAAGCTCTCTGGGCCTTGGTCTTCTTATCTGCAAATGAGGGGGTAATGATGGTACCAGTGTCATCGTGTTTGTAAGAATTAAGTGGGATAATACTTGGAGAATGTTTAGGACACTGCCTGGCATATAGTAGGGGTTCAGTAATTGATGTACTTGTTATTTAAGACTGAGAAACATGTAAAATGCCCAAGAGGTGAAGAAGTGTTGGTGTATTAATTTAGAAGTGCCTGTGTGGAGCTGATTTGAGGGAGCTGAGTGGGCCCTTCTAATCAGTAAGTTCACTCATCTTTATATTTGAAATGCCACCATTTCTGAGACATTGCTCAGTGTTAAGCATTGTCCTATAACTGTAGGGTCTCTTAAAATCAGGAATCCCACTGAGTTTATTAATACACTAAGTTCTTAACACCTTAAGGTGATGGAGCTTTTCAGATTGAGAAGAAAGACCTGCCCCAGAGCCCCCTGGCTTTAGGGGTAGGAATTGGATAAGGTGCTATTGGAAGGAAAGTCTTCTGGATCTTGGTGTGATCTAAGTAAGGGGTAAATGATTGGTAAACGATTTTTGAGTGTGTAAAATGACGTAGCTTTCATAGCCTGATTTTATGGAATACATTCTTGATAGCTTCAGTCCGGTAGTTTCCTATCAAGAGATGTGAAGCTCCATATTTTCCCCTCAAGAGGGGGGTGATCTTAAGACTCTCAGCCTCTTTAGTTGTATCTACTTCTCAATAGAGTTGTTCTTGATTCTAAGATGCAATCAATTGCCAGGTGCACCAGTAATCTATCGAACATCTTTTCAGGGAAAAAGAAATTCTGCCACACTAAATGCACACATTGACTGCAAGTATTACATCTTGGGTTCAGAAATGTTCAAATGAGGGAGAAATGTTACTCACAGGACATGTTATAGACTCACAGGACAGTATAAAGTTATTCTTTTGAAGTGATCATATTCTGAATTTACATCTGTGCCTGATTTTTCTCCTCCAGGGTCAAAGTCAGAGTGGTGGTCATGGTCCTGGAGGTGGCAAGAAGGATGACAAGGTAAATATGCCAGATTTGTCCTGTGATATGAGCAAATTGTGGAAAATGTCATGGGTCTCGGCTGAGAAGTTCTGTGGGGATTCATGAATTTTAAAAAGTAGAATGATCCAGTAGTTTTTAAACTAGCCTGTCCTACAGATACAATAAATATGCTTTTCATGCTTTAGAAAAGGTTATTGACCTAACCATCAGATAGGTATTTATGAGTTATTTATTTGTGTAAAAGCAATGACATTATAGAAGTATTAAAGTAAATTGCCTATAATTTTGGTGTCTAATAGCCTGAGGTATGAAGATTGTCTCAGGTTACCTAAACTTTTGGCATATAACTTGATTCTTAACCCTCTATACCTTATTGGAATAATATGGCTAATTGTCACTTATGTGTATGGTAAAACGATTACATTTATTTTCATTTGTTATTATTATTATTATTGAGACGGAGTCACCCAGGCTGGAGTGCAGTGGCATGATCTCGGCTCACTGCAACCTCCGCCTCCTGGGTTCAAGCAATTCTCCTGTCTCAGCCTCCCGAGTAGCTGGGATTACAGGTGCCTGCCACCACACCCGGCTAATTTTTGTATTTTTAGTAGAGATGGAGTTTCACCATGTTGGCCAAGCTGGTCTCAAACTCCTGACCTCAAGTGATCCTCCCGCCTCAGCCTCCCAAAATGCTGGGATTACATACGTGAGCCACCACACCCAGCCTACATTTACTTATTATAATCATATTTACTTATTAAAATTGCAGGAATGTGAAACAAGTCAGGTTTTTAATAACATCCTAAAAGATAAGGAAAATTGTACCACCTGAAAATAGATGATGGTGGTACAGAAATAAATGTGTGTTTTAATATGATTTTCATGTGATTTTTTTTTCCTGCTATTCTAACAACTCAAGGACAAGAAAAAGAAATATGAACCTCCTGTACCAACTAGAGTGGGGAAAAAGAAGAAGAAAACAAAGGGACCAGATGCTGCCAGCAAACTGCCACTGGGTAATGACATGGCTTCTCCTTGCCATCTTTCCAGTTCTTAGGATAAACCATCTCTGTGCATGTAGCTTAGAGTCTGAAAGGGGTAACAGGAAGTAGAGGGGCAACTGAAGCTCTAGCTTTGTGATTCATTTCTACCTCACTCTTGAGTGTGGCATTCCTCTAGGTTGGCATACAAGTTATCTTTTGTTTTAAAATACAGTATTATATGATTGTGTCTCACTTTAAGAAATGTCACCGTGGCGGGGTGCGGTGGTTCACGCCTGTAATCCCAGCACTTTGGGAGGCCGAGGCGGGCGGATCACAAGGTCAGGAGATTGAGACCATCCTGGCAAAACACGGTGAAACCCTGTCTCCACTAAAAATACAAAGAATTAGCTGGGCGTGGTGGCGGGTGCCTGTAGTCCCAGCTACTTGGGAGGCTGAGGCAGGAGAATGGCATGAACCCGGGAGGCGGAGCTTGCAGTGAGCTGAGATTGCACCACTGCAGTCCAGCCTGGGCGACAGAGCGAGACTCCGTCTCAAAAAAGAAAAAAAAACAAAAAAGTCACCATTTTTCTTTAACTGGCTCCTCTAGTGGATTGAAAGTATAGTTTTAACTCGAACCCAGGAGGCAGATTGCAGTGAGCCAAGATTGTGCCACTGCACTGTAGCCTGGATGACAGAGCAAGACTCTGTCTCAAAATAAATAAATAAAATAAAAGTATAGTTTTAAATGACAAAACCCAGGTTGAACTTTAGTAACTAAGAATCATGTTTATTTCATGAAATGAAATGCCACTGTATTGAAATTCAGATCATGCAAGCCTGAAGTTATAATAAAATTTTTCAATGGCTTCCTGCCGAACATAGAATAAAATTCATACCAAGTGACCTGACCCAGCCCACCTCTCCGACCTCAGCCCTGCCACTCCCCCTTGCTCATCGGTCACACTGCCTGCCTTATGTTTTTTTGACTTTTGTACATATCAGGGCCTTTGCCCTTACTCACTCCTCTGCTTAAAATGTTCCCCCAGTTCTTCTCATGGCTACTTGCTTCTCATCCTTTAGGCTTCAGCTCAAATACCTCCCCAAATGCTCATCTAAATATGCTCTTCCCTGCTTAGAAGAAAAAACTAAGAAGAAATACTTAAACTACTTTAAAAAATATTGTTCAGTTAATTGAAGGAAATCAGTAAAACCAGCCATTGGTCTACCATAATGAATTGGTATGGTATTGGTACAGAAAGAGGCCACCAGAACAGAGTAGGAAGTCCAAAACCAGTCATGTTACATGGATATTTAATATACATTGAAGGTGCCACTTCAGGTCTGTGGGGAATAGGGTGGGTTATTTAATATAAAAGGCATTTCCATCAGAGAAATGCAAATCAAAACTACAATGAGATACCATCTCACACCAGTTAGAATGGCAATTGGCAATCATTAAAAAGTCAGGAAACAACAGGTGCTGGAGAGGATGTGGAGAAATAGGAACACTTTTACACTGTTGGTGGGACTGTAAACTAGTTCAACCATTGTGGAAGACAGTGTGGCGATTCCTCAAGGATCTAGAACTAGAAATACCATTTGACCCAGCCATCCCATTACTGGGTATATACCCAAAGGAATATAAATCAAGCTGCTATAAAGACCCATGCACATGTATGTTTATTGCGGCACTATTCACAATAGCAAAGACTTGGAACCAACCCAAATGTCCATTAATAGGCTGGATGAAGAAAATGTGGCACATATACACCATGGAATACTATGCAGCCATAAAAAAGGATGAGTTCATGTCCTTTGTAGGGACATGGATGAAGCTGGAAACCATCATTCTGAGCAAGCTATTGTAAGGACAGAAAACCAAATGCTGCATGTTCTCACTCATAGGTGGGAATTGAACAATGAGAATACTTGGACACAGGGTGGGGAACATCACACACTGGGGCCTGTCGTGGGGTGGGGGGAGGGGGAGGGATAGCATTAGGAGATATACCTAATGTAAATGACGAGTTAATGAGTGCAGCACACCAACATGGCACATGTATGCATATGTAACAAACCTGCACGTCATGCACATGTACCCTAAAACTTAAAGTATAATAATAATAAAATTAAAAAAATATAAAAGGCATTTCAAAAGTTTTTGTCCAGAGAAAATGAAATTAGATTCTTGACTCTTGCCAAATGGAATACAGGTATACATGTGAAAATAAATAAATGAAAATTCAGAAATATATTTAACCTTAGGGAAGAAGACAGTTTTTGAAGTAACTTGGAAAACCCAGAAACCATAAGAGAAAAGGTTGACATATTTATCTGTAAAAATGATACAATTCCCAGCACTTTGGGAGGCTGAGGCAGGTGGATCACGAGGTCAGGAGATTGGGACCATCCTGGCTAACACGTTGAAACCCCGTCTCTGCTAAAAATCCAAAAAGTTAGCTGGGCGTGGTGGCACACACCTGTAATTCCAACTATTCGGGAGGCTGAGGCAGGAGAATCGCTTGAACCCAGGAGGCAGAGGTTGCAATGAGCTGAGATCGCGCCGCTGCACTCCAGCCTGGGCGACAGAGCAACAAGACTCCGTCTCAAAAAAAAAAAAAGACACAATTCTTACGTGGCTTGAGACTTCAAAGCCAAAAGAAACAATAATGTATGGAAAAAAAATATTTGCCATATATGTGATAAGCAGGGTTAATATCCCTGATATTTCAAAATTCTACAAATAGATGAGTATGTATATAGCCAGCATACAACAGTGTATACTGCCTGAGCAACATATGTAACTTTTTATTAGTACCTATGGGAAAAAATAAACCAGACCCAGGTATCTGATGGGTCAGTAGCTTTTTTCTTCTTTAAGTATACAGACTATTCAGCCAGGGTGTGTCATTTGGGGCTAGCTATTTGGTCATAAACCCCATCCCCATTTTGAAGGGCTTGATTATATAACAGCCACACTCCCCTTTCCATTTTGGCACCGGTTTACTTAGAGTTACCAAACTGAATTTTTCTGAAGCTATCGCCAACAAAAATGAGCGTATTTTAAAATCTTAATATTTTTTCCTTACTTGCAAACTTCAGGGTCCACATATAATGAAACTTTATATTTAAATTTCAGTGACACCTCACACTCAGTGCCGGTTAAAATTACTGAAGTTAGAGAGAATTAAAGACTATCTTCTCATGGAGGAAGAATTCATTAGAAATCAGGAACAAATGAAACCATTAGAAGAAAAGCAAGAGGTAAGTTGAAAAGTTACTATCATTTTCTTTTTTACAAATTGAATTCTATAAAATTGTCAACAAATAAATGAAATTCAAGTAGCTGAACCTGTCCAGGCTTTCATGAGTATTATTAGCTGCCTTTTACAAGCATCGGCTGCTTTGTAAATCTAGCGAACTATCAGGATCATCTACTTTGAGGTCTAGTCTGCTTTTTTCCCTTGGCATTTTCATATGTAGGAGGAAAGATCAAAAGTGGATGATCTGAGGGGGACCCCGATGTCAGTAGGAACCTTGGAAGAGATCATTGATGACAATCATGCCATCGTGTCTACATCTGTGGGCTCAGAACACTACGTCAGCATTCTTTCATTTGTAGACAAGGATCTGCTGGAACCTGGCTGCTCGGTCCTGCTCAACCACAAGGTGAGGTGATAGTCTTTTTCAGAAAGCCCACGGAAGTGCTTTCTCTTCTCACTTAGGTTCATCTTCCTGTCCCGTGGAAGTAGATCACCAAAGCACTCCTCAGGCAGAAGGATGCCATGACTGGCATTGCTTTGCTGTAAACAGATCCAGCAAACCTCACGTTCCTGTGTTAAACCTTGATGTTTCCTGTTAGGTGCATGCCGTGATAGGGGTGCTGATGGATGACACGGATCCCCTGGTCACAGTGATGAAGGTAGAAAAGGCCCCCCAGGAGACCTATGCAGATATTGGGGGGTTGGACAACCAAATTCAGGAAATTAAGGTATGATTGATTGGTAACCATCTCTGGGTTTCAGTTTTGGTTTCTGTTGTCCCATTTAGGATACTTTGCAGGTGTTTTGTATGTTTGCTTATTTATTAATCAAACCAGTAGCTGAGTCAGAGCTTGCCAGTTGTGGTATTTTTGTATTTGTTAATACTGAGTTAGGTGATAGAAATAACAGTCAGTTGTGTGATAGTTCCTGCAGCAGCTGCAGCTTCCTTCTTTTTAGTGTAATGTTGAATGCATTGTCTGTGTGAATATGTAATGTTTCTGATTATGTTGACTTCAGTTGTGTTTATCTGGAAGCCTCCAGTGCTTTGTGGAGATAGCATGTGTACTTGCACACATTTAGACAGCAGTGGGGTTGGAGCATAATCCCAGTGCCTTCAGCAGCCCTGGGGGCTGGACCATATGCAGGGCATATGGTCATTGAGGATGGCCGTCGGCTCTCTGCATGATCTTTCATAGGGAAGTCATTCCGAGCCATCACAGATCTCTGCTAGGGACCTCTGAGGCAGCTGAGAAATAGCTGTAATGTCCCTAGATGGGAACAGCCATCAGGAAGTCTTTCCTAGTCCTATCTGTAGTTTAATTGAAAAGGGTCAACTTGAGCTTTATTAAGTCTCTCTTGCTCAAGAAGAGCTCCAGGCTGACTTCTACTAGAAAGTAAAAGGGGAATTGGGTGTGGTTAGGGAGATGGAACGGGTGCGGGGAACTCAAGCAGGACAGGTGTCATCTTCAGTATGTCTTTGCTGCTAATAGAAATCAAGCACATTGTCTCTAAGAAGAGTAATTGAGATTTTTACTTATTTTTGTTGAAAGCAAGATATTGTCATGTTGCCAATTAGTAAATATGCTAATAATTTCAGTAAAGCCTTTCATTCATACTGTTTTTCATAGGAATCTGTGGAGCTTCCTCTCACCCATCCTGAATATTATGAAGAGATGGGTATAAAGCCTCCTAAGGGGGTCATTCTCTATGGTCCACCTGGCACAGGTATGCTCTGTTTTTGACACTTTCCAGGCACCCAGCTGGTCTCTTGAGCAGCAGCATTGGCTAGTTATAATTACTGAACTAATAAGAGAGGACACCACAATTCCTTAGTTTAAAACAGGGCTGCTCAACCTTGTCTGCATGTTGGAATCACCTTGGGAGCTTTAAAAATACTGATGGAAAAAAAAAAAAAAAGCCTGAGCAACTTGGTGAAACCCTGTCTCTATAAAAAATTAGCTGGGCGTGGCCGGGCGCAGTGGCTCACGCCTGTAATCCCAGTACTTTGGGAGGCAGAGGCGGGTGGATCATGAGGTCAGGAGTTCGAGACCAGCCTGGCCAATGTGGTGAAACCCCGTCTCTACTAAAAATACAAAAATTAGCCGGGTGTGGTGACGTGCGCCTGTAGTCCCGGCTACTCGGGAGGCTGAGGCAGGAGAATGGCATGAACCCGGGAGGCGGTGCTTGTAGTGAGCGGAGACAGCGCCACTGCACTCCAGCCTGGGTGACAGAGCGAGACTACATCTCAAAAAAAAAAAAAAAAAAAGATTAGGTGGGCGTGGTAGTGCATGCCTGTAGTCCCAGCTATCCAAGAGGCTGAGGTAGGAGGGTCACTTGAGCCCTGGAGGTTGAGGCTACAGTGAGTCATGATCACACCACTGCATTTCAGCCTGGGCAACAGAGTGAGACCCTGTCTGAAAAAAAGAAAAAAAAAACTGATGCCTGACCCTTCCTCAAAGATTTTGATCTATTCATCTGGAGTATGGCCAAGCCTAGGAGCCATAGTGGAGAAGTGCTACTTTAAAAGCTCTATTCTGAGCATGGTGGCTCATGCCTATAATCCTAGCACTGTGAGAGGTCAAGGCGGATGGATGACTTGAGGCCAGGAGTTCAAGACCAGCCCGGCCAACATGGTGAAACCCCATCTCTACTAAAAATACAAAACTAGCCAGGTGTGGTGACACACATCTGTAGTCCCAGCTACCTGGGAGGCTGAGGCAGGAAAACTGCTTGAACCTGAGAGTCTGAGGTTGCAGTGAGCTGAGATCGTGCCACTGCACTCCAGCCTGGGTGACAGAGCGAGACCATCTCCAAAAAAAAAAACAAAAAAAACCCACCCTATTCTGCAGTATCAGATTCATTTGGTAGAGCTCAGGACTTAGAAGTTCATTGCTGTGCAGATTCCAAAGGAAGCACAGTCATTTGAGAGAATTGACAGTGTTCCTAAGAAGATCCGTGCTGAGGGGTACCCACAATGGAGAGACGGAGACACCTGTACCCAGAGGCCGAGAGCTAGAAGAGATCCCTCTTCTACAGCCCCTCATCTTACAGCTTAGGAAATTATGTTTCAGAATGGCCGGTGACTAGCCCAAGGCCCCTGTGGGAGTTGAGCTAGTAACAGGGCTGGAGCTGGAACACAGGCCTCCTGACCCACAGCTGCAGGCCCCCTGTGGGGCTCTAGTACTAAAGGGGCTGCGGTACAGGGCTGGGAGGCAGGACTGGACAAACAAGTCTGTCAGAGGAGCGGGCAGCTTGTTCAGTGAGCCCTCTGACCGCAGAAGCAGCCCACTGGCTAGACTTGGCTGCTTCTGCACGATAACATCCTATCCACTGGAAAGGTCCTATTTGTTTTCTGTTCACCTTCCCTCATTGATGCTTTCAGGGAGCAGTCCAGCCTTTGCATCTGCTACTCTGCCTGTCTAAAAGCAACATCATTGCCACATGTTGCAAAGCTGAGCTTTGTGTCAGCCATCCCATTTCTGGAAAGTCTTCCCTGTCACACACCAGCTAGCCACCTCCACACTCCTCCCGTGCTGGCCCGAGGCTGCCAGCTCTGCCCCTAACTGCCTCTGTATCCTGAGGCACCTACCCAGCCCTTGTCAAGGTCCTCACTGACCACCAAAGGATCCCAGGTCTTCCAATTCAAAAATTCTCAAGTTGGGCACTCTTTGCTGACTCTTGTTTTTCTTTTCTTTTTTTTTTTTTTGAGACGGAGTCTTGCTCTGTCGCCCAGGCTGGAGTGCAATGGCGCGATCTTGGCTCACTGCAATCTCCGCCTCCCGGGTTCAAGCGATTCTCCTGCCTTAGCCTCTCGGGTTCAAGCAATTCTCCTGCCTCAGCCTCCCGAGTAGCTAGGATTACAGGCATGTGCTGGCTAATATTGTAACTTTTTTAATAGAGACGGGGTTTCTCCATGTTGGTCAGGCTGGTCTTGAACTTCTGACCTCAGGTGATCCTCCTGCCTCAGCCTCCCAAAGTGCTGGGATTACAGGCGTGAGCCACCGCGCCTGGCCAGCTGACTCTTGTTTTTAACCTGAAACAGAAATATCAGCAAGTAGAGCAGTATTGGAAATGATGTTTGAGCTCTTCCCTGAGATCAGTGGGAGGAACTGCCTCTCCCTTGGAAGGGCATGCCACAGCAGCTCTCACTGTGGCGTTCATCAAGAGCTGGTCCTGTCTCAGCTGTCTGAGCTGGCAGCAAGCCCACCCAGTAGCTACTTTTCTGGAGCAGTAGGCACTGCATGCCTGGAGCTCAGGAACACTTCGTGTATCTCCTTAGGGCCAAAGCTAGGATTCCCAGACCCTTTTTTCCAGCACTGATGGTTTCCTAGGAGTTTACTTTGGCTCTACAGCCCTGGGTTGGATGGGTCAGGTTAATGTATGCAACTTTGAAGGGGCCCAAGACAGACTCAACCAGAGAAAAAAATGAGATTTATTTCATTACTGGAATGAAGCAATTCTTCGTACAGGTAATTATAGTTCGCAGCTTTTCAGGGGAAACTGGGTCAAGGTTGGAAAATAACCAAGTAAAAAGTATTTTCTGACGTTATCATAAGTTCAGCAAAATAGCTAAGGATAATCCAAACATGTTAGTAGATTTTTCTAAATGTCCTCTTATCTACTTAGGAGAATGGAATGTCGTGACACTTGAATTGGTGCCATGCCTTAGCATGAGGGCCCGCCTGTTTTTGGTGTCCATTTAAGGTGGTAATGATACGAGTTTTTAAGTTAAAATGGCACTTAAGGTGTCTTTTTTTTTTTTATCTTTTTCATCCAAAATAGGTAAAACCTTGTTAGCCAAAGCAGTAGCAAACCAAACCTCAGCCACTTTCTTGAGAGTGGTTGGCTCTGAACTTATTCAGAAGTACCTAGGTGATGGGCCCAAACTCGTACGGGAATTGTTCCGAGTTGCTGAAGAACATGCACCGTCCATCGTGTTTATTGATGAAATTGACGCCATTGGGACAAAAAGGTAGACTTTCTCATACTTATTTTGCCTTGTTTAGTAGGGAACACCGCATAGCTCTTCTCTTGAGAATGAGCAATCTCAGGGGGCTCTCCCTATGGCCACAGTTCTTGCTGTGCGTGGCCTTCCATGCATGCTTTAGGCTCTGCTCTCCCAGGAGCCAGCTAACAACTGCCCAGTAACTGTGAACGTCTGGAGAGATTGGTCAGTTATGAATAACCATGTCTTGAGCACCCGCCCTGATCCAGGACCATCTGGACTCTAGGGACACAGTTGTGAGCACAAGTCTCTGCCCTGGAGGAGCTCACAGGTTGTAGGGATCAGATACCAAACATGGAAACAGAATAAATGATACAATTTCAGACACAGAAACTGCTATGAAAAAATATGATCTGTAACTTGGCTGATGGGAGCGTCTTAGTCCATTTGTGCTGCTAAACAAAATACCTTAGGACTGGTATTTGTATAAAGAATAGAAATGTATTTCCCACAGTTCTGGAGGCTGAGAAGCCCAAGATCAAGGCACTGGCATTGATGTCTAGTGAGGGCTGCTCTCTGCTTCCGAGATGGCACCTATTCTGCAGAGGAGACAAATGCTCAGGGGACAAACAAAAGAGCAAAAAGGGCCTACACTAGTTCCCTGCAGCATTTTTTATAAGGAATACATGCTGTATAAGGCCTTTTTCTCTTTTTAGAAGGAACTCATGCTGTATAAGGCTCTGCCTCATGCCTTTAGCCCTTTCCAAAAGGCCTCATCTCTTAGCCACACAGTAGGGATTAAGTTTCAACACATAAATTTGGGGAAATACATTCAGACCATGGCAAGGGGTGCTGAATTTATTTTTTCCGAGCATAATTGAGGGAGTGCCATGTGAGTTGAAACAGGAATGTTTGTTAAGGTGTTTTGTCACAATGAGGTCTTTGCTGTAATTCCCCTTGAGCAGGCGATCAGTTGAGTCTTCATTCCTTCCCTTTTTTTTTTTCCAAAGATATGACTCCAATTCTGGTGGTGAGAGAGAAATTCAGCGAACAATGTTGGAACTGCTGAACCAGTTGGATGGATTTGATTCTAGGGGAGATGTGAAAGTTATCATGGCCACAAACCGAATAGAAACTTTGGATCCAGCACTTATCAGACCAGGTTAAATTTGCTTTGGTTTCATCATGGAGATTAATGTGTTTATATATTTGTGTTTAAGTGTGCTTTGGGAGGCCTATAAAATGATACATAAAAAAGCAAATACTGCAGTGAAACTTAGGATAATTTACAAAAAAATAGGTCCTCTTGAGATGAGGGTTAAAACAGAGCATGATATGGTCTGTGCACCTTGGCCCTTTGAATTCCAGTCTTATGTCTTGTCTTTTCTTTTCCATAACATTCCCTTTTTAGCCTCAAGAACTTGCTGCTTTTTCTGGAAGAAATAATTCATGTGATGGTAGGATTTGTCCTTTTTACATTCAGGTAGCATCAGAAGAAACAGTGATTTGTTTGCTGTCTTTTGTAATGTTTTTAACACAATAGGTCTGCCCAGTTTCACTCAGGAATTGCTCCTTTCATTTATTTCTGAAGGTACCAAAGCAGAGAGAGTTTCTTTTAAATGAAGAGAATTCAAATGTAGAAATCTACAAACTACAAAAATATATGTTTACTTTTTAAAATTTAGACATCCTTCCCACAGAATTCTGTCCGACTGAAACTTCGTATGTAAGGAGATGGGCTGAGGCCTCTGAGCCATGGCCGAGCCTGGGTTTGGATGTTGGTGTGACTTCAAATCTCTTTGTACCTGCAGGCCGCATTGACAGGAAGATTGAGTTCCCCCTGCCTGATGAAAAGACGAAGAAGCGCATCTTTCAGATTCACACAAGCAGGATGACGCTGGCTGATGATGTAACCCTGGACGACCTGATCATGGCTAAAGATGACCTCTCTGGTGCTGACATCAAGGTGAGAGCCTAGCCGTGTCAGCTTATTTCTGGGAATGTGGCCGTCAATCAGGAAAGAGTCTATATGTGCTCTTGGGATGGTGGTTGGCCTGGACAGGTGGGTGTCTGTATTTTAATCATCATATTGGTTTACGATTACATCCAAATGGTATATGTGCTTGATATTGAAGTCATTCTTAATGCATCATTTTATGCAGTGAATGACGCTAAATCACCTGGAGCCACAAGGCTGAGTCGCTGGTACTAAGCCTTAGGCCCAGGTGACTTTCTCAAGGTGTGTCAAATGTAGCTGCTCAGTCCCAGGTCAGGGGAAGGGTATGTCCTGGGAGAACTCTCCCCAGAGCCGCAGAGTGGGGACCAAGCACCCGCTGCATTCATCTCCCAATCTGTGTTCTGGAAGGTTGTACCAGATTATACTTCTTGGTTTTATGACAAATGTACATGAGTTAGGACATTTCCTCCCAGCTGACCAGAATTTACAGCAAGGTCTGGCAGCGTTGAATATGGGTTCTACCTGCTTTTCCTGGAAAGAGCTGGGTTTTCGTTGGGCATAAATGCCATGGTTAGGTAGGGACAGCACAAGCAGTGCCTTTCCAGGCCAGCACCTGCCCTGAGCCCACGGATCATTGGCAGTTAGTCCTAGAGAACTAGATGTCTCTGTTGGCAAGTAAAATCTATCTTCTTTTTTAAAAATTGAAAGATCTTAAAATTTTAAGATAAGAACTTACTTTGACAATTTTCAAGCCTTCAAAAAAGTTGCAACAATAGCACAGTGATTTGCCAAGAGTTAACATTTTACCTGTTTGCTTTTTCTCTTTCTATACACAAAACTTTCTTTTCACCCGAACCATTTGAAGTAAATAACCTGATGGCCATCACCAAACAAACTTCTGTGCCAGGATTGTGTTTTTTGCCACATCTTGTTTTTGCCACAGTAATTACTGGCCAAAAGAAAAAGAAAACAATAACAGTAACCCACATAATATGTTTGTTTGCTGTCCTTCTCTATCTATTTCCTTCATTTCTCTTTCCTTTCTAAACAGATCAGGCCTAAAACAATAACAGTAACCCATGTAACATGGGTTATTGTTTTCTTTTACTTTGGGCCAGTAATTACTGAGAAATTAAATATATTGGAATAAATGCTATACTCTGTAGTATTATTCCATAGTATAGATACTGCCACTTACAGTATCTAACCAGAATACATGTTCTTTTATGACTATAAGTAAATGAAATAGACATATACTGTCAATTGCCTCTAAGTTTCAGGGCATAATTTTGTTTATTTCCTAGGAATATTATTCTCTTTAACAAAAGTGGTGTTGTACAAGCCACATAGCTTGTTAGAACCTGAGCCAAAACTAGAACCCACAGCCCTGACCCTTGGGTCAGTCTTAGTTACAGTAACTCCCAGTTTAAGCCACTTCACATCCTTTCAGAAAATAGGATGCTTAAAACATTTTTTTTAAAAATCAAATCTTTCCCAAATAAGCAATTTGTGTTTAGTCTAGGTGTCTCATGCTTTATTTCAGAACAGATTTTTTTTTTTTTTTTTTTGAGGTAGAGTTTCGCTCGTTGCTCAGGCTAGAGTGCAGTGGCGCGATCTCGGCTCACTGTAACCTCTGCCTCCCGGGTTCAAGCAATTCTCCTGCCTCAGCCTCCCGAGTAGCTAGGATTACAGGTGCCTGCCACCGTCCCTGGCTAACTTTTTGTATTTTTAGTAGAGATGGGGTTTCACCGTGTTGGCCAGGCTGGTCTTGAACTCCTGACCTTAGGCGATCCACCTGCCTCGGCCTCCCAGAGTGCTGGGATTACAGGTGTGAGCCACCGCGCCTGGCCTCAGAATAGGTTTTTTGGAATTCCTTGTTAGAATAAAAATGAGTATGTCACTTTCTGAACACACTCTTCTTTCTTACAGGCAATCTGTACAGAAGCTGGTCTGATGGCCTTAAGAGAACGTAGAATGAAAGTAACAAATGAAGACTTCAAAAAATCTAAAGAAAATGTTCTTTATAAGAAACAGGAAGGCACCCCTGAGGGGCTGTATCTCTAATGAACCATGGCTGTCATCAGGAAAATGGTTGGGAGATTTCTCAATCCCTGAAAGGGATGAGGTTGGGGGAGTTGCCCAGAGGAATCCCTGTTCCCACTGATTTTTATTAGCAAAACATCCTGTGTCTTTTGGAGTACGATGTGTAAGTGCCCATTGGGTGGCCTGTTGGTCACTGTGCAGCAGTCTGCTTCCCAATAAAGCGTGCTCTTTCACAAACACTTCCTGTTTCTGCAGTCTCCACACACACCTACCGCTCAACAGCAGCCTGTGGGTGGACCCAGCTACAGGGAAGCCTTTGGACAGGAACTCAGGCTGCGGTCCCAAGGAGTGTGGACCTCACTATGCGTTCGCCACATCACACCCCCAGAGCTGGCGTTCAACGGTAATTACAGTGGGAAATGGTCACTACCACAGAGCCAGGGATATTCGTTGTTTAAATAATAAAGGCTGCGTTAATGTGGCTATTGCTTCCAAAGGAAGTACAGCTTTCCTTTTTGGAAGTTTTGTGGACCATGCATGTTCTTAGCACTCTGAGGGCAGAAAATAACTACTGGTGTTCCCAAGAGACTGAGGATTCCTAGAGATATCTTGAAAGCCCTTCTGAGCCCTTGGGCTCAGAAATCTCATCCCTTTCAAGGTGTTCAGAAACATGTCAGAACTTCCCCTTCCCTTTCTCCGTCTATTTCCGTCATTTCTCTTTCTGAACAAATCAGGCCTAAAGCTATTAAGTGGGACAGATCAAGGTAAGCGTTCCCTTGACAGGTGGCCTGGTGTGGGTTGTAGGGCCCACACTGAATGAGGAGTGTGTATTAGTTTTCTGTTAATACTATAACAAGTTACCACAGGCTTTGTTTAAAAACAGCACAATTTGGCCAGGCACGGTGGCTCACGCCTGTAATCCCAGCACTTTGGGAAGCTGAGGCAGGCGGATCACAAGGTCAGAAGTTTGAGGCCAGCCTGGCCAACATGGTGAAACCCCATCTTTACTAAAAATACAAAAATTAGCTGTGCGTGGTGGCAGGTGCCTGTAGTCCCAGCTACTCAGGAGGCTGAGGCAGGACAATCGCTTGAACCCAGGAGGCGGAGGTTGCAGTGAGCCAAGATCCCGTCACTGCACTCCAGCCTGGGCGACAGAGCAAGACTCCGTCTCAAAAATAAATAAATAAATAAATAAAAACCACAATTTTATCTCAGTTCTGTAGGTCAGAAGTCCAACACGAGTGTCTCCAGGCTAAAGTCTTGCTGTTGGCAGGACCGTTCCCTCTGGCGTCTCTAAGGGAGAATCCGTTTCCTTGCTGAGGATTATTGTTGGCAGAATTTAATTTCTTGGAGTTGTGGGCCAGCTGAGGTCAGCATTTCCTTGCTGGCTGCCAGCTGAGGCCTTTGCCAGTCTGTGAAGGCCACCCTCCCTCCTGACTCGTGGCACTTCATTTTCCACCAGCAGCAGCAGGCCCAGTCCCTCTCTCCCACCGACCCTTCTTTCTGCCTGCCTTTTCTATTCTTATGGATCCTTGTGATTGCATTGGACCCATGCAGATGATCCAGGATAATTTCCCTGTTTTAAAGTTTACAATCTTCTTAATTTTTATCTGCAAAGTTCCTTTTGCCATGTAACATTCACACGTTCCAGGGCTTAGGGTGTGGCCATCTTTAGGGGCGCCACTCTGCCTACCACAGAGGACATCCACACGTGGGGGTGGCCCAGTGCAGGGTAAGGACGGGGTGCTTGTGGGGAGGGCGGGTGTCAGCCCAAGTAGGGTGTGGAGCTGTCCATGTGGAGGAACACCACAGCACGGGGACTCAGCATGGGCAGGGTGAGGCTGGCATCCGTGTGGGGTGTATGTGCAGGGCTGGGGTGGTCCGATAGGGGGAGTCAGTGTGGGCAGCCTGATGTGCAGTATGAGAGCCCAAGTGGGTGAGGAAGGCATCTGCAGGGACGGGGTGGTGGCAGGGGAGGGAGGCTGCTTATGTATGGAGGCAGTCAGGCAGGTAAACAGGACAGTGGGAGCCAGGTTTCTCTGAGGAGTTAGACACAGAAAGAAGAAAACAAGAACGACCTCTGTCCACTGGGAGCACCTGGGAACAGTGACACCCCAACTGCAGTGAGCACCCCTAGACCCAGACCTTTGCTGCTAAAAGTATTATTCTCCACTAAAAGGAGTGAGGGCTGATTCCGGGGCTAGGCAGGGAAAGGACAGGATGAACCCAAAGTCTGTTTTGCCAGAAAGCAAGGGAGTGCTCAAGGAATGATAAGGACATGTCCTAAGGACACCGAAGCCTATGTGAAGGGGCTTCCACTGGCCAAACTCGGGACAATCTGAGCATCCTAACAAACAGTTACTATTAATGGAATACAGTATAGCCCTTTAAATAGGGAACTACACACACACACACACACACACACACACACACACACACACACACACACACACCCCAATACATATGAATTGATCTGAAAGTTTGCTGAGGAAGGGGTATTTACAGATTTTGAGAGTCTGCCACAAAACACTGTTCAGTTAGAAAGGGAAAGTCACACTGGAGATGCCCAGCAGACACCGTCTTCACCAAGTGGTCAAATGCACATCATCAGTAATGGGCACTTTGAAAGTACGTGCCACCCAAGAGTGTCAGTGCTGTCACACTCCTGCCAAAGATGCTTAGCCTGAATCCAGTGCTGAGGAAACACCAGGCAAACACAAACTGAGGAACATTCTACAAATTCAGAACACTTCAAAAGTATCCACGTCTTGGAAGTCAAAAAGCTTCCAATCAGAAGGAGACCAAAGAGATGACAACCAAGTGCAGCTCCTGCTCCTGAACTGGATCCTTTTCCTAGAGGACATGACTGGGCCTGAGGACCTGCTAGGAGTACTGCGTCCATGCTGACTTCCTGTTCAGTGTCTGTATCGTGGGCGGGTAGCAGACTCTCAGCAACTGACTCACACGGTTCAGGAAACAAAATTCTTTGTAACGCACTTGCATCTTTTCCTAAGTTTGAGATTAAAAAAAACAAAAAACCCCAGCACATCAGTATTGCCTTTTCCTCATTGGTAATAGCTGAGCGTTTTCCTCTAGAGGGACAGTCTCCCTCATGTCAATTCTACAAAAGCAGCTAAAGCAAATGCCAGGGCCTAGAGTGTCAGGGTAGCGGGCTGAACTGCGCCCCACCCCAGCTGCTTCTCCAGTTTGCTTACTGACCAAAATGCTGAAATTACCGTTTCGGCAGCTGGTCACTGAGGCCTGCGGTGCCAAGTGCAGGGATGCAGGTATGAAGTGCTTGTGAAATAACAGAATTCCCACAGTAATTTCTTCCCTGGCTTCCTGCACTGGTGAGCCGGACAGGGAGAACCCCGTCTGCCTGCGGAAAACCCACTGGCTCTTTGGAGCCCTTCCTCAGTAGAACAATTTAAGGTGAACTCTCCCATCACTCCCTCTGCAGCAAGCCTATCTTCACTTTTCCAATGCAAAATGATATGTGTGCCTTACAAGTAGTAGCTGCCTCCTCCTACTGGGAACACAGCACAGAGGTGCCTCCTGGCCTCCTGCAGGCCCAGCAATCCTGTGCCAGAGGCATTGCCACTGCTTCATTCCAGGAAAGAACACTGTCCCAAACCCGAGGTGGGCCGACCCCTGTGGTCTGATGTGATCAGTGACTCCTTCGGGGAAATGACGAGCGTTCCTGATGAAACACATGAGCCACTGTTTGACTCCAGCTGGGAACCCCCTTCTCAGCCCTCCAAGCTGACGGTTAGTCTTGGGAGGCACGTAGTCATCTTTCAGAAGTTCATGTCAGCAATCTCAAACGGGCTGTTTTTTTTTTTTTTTTTTCGAGACGGAGTCTTGCTGTGTCGCCCAGGCTGGAGTGCAGTGGCGCGATCTTGGCTCACTGCAAGCTCTGCCTCCCAGGTTCACGCCATTCTCCTGCCTTAGCCTTCCGAGTAGCTGGGACTACAGGCGCCAGCCACCACGCCCGGCTAATTTTTTGTATTTTTAGTAGAGACGGGGGTTTCACCATGTTAGCCAGGATGGTCTCGATCTCCTGACCTCGTGATCCGTCCGCCTCGGCCTCCCAAAGTGCTGGGATTACAGACGTGAGCCACCGCGCCTGGCCTCAAATGGGCTTTTAAATAACAACAGTGATGCTCTTGACATCTTGTTTTCTGTAAAATGCCCTCAAGGAATCTTTGATTTGTTTTAAACCTCCTCCCATGCAGCAAGTAATGTGCTCGCAATCTGTTCGAGCAGCCGCTTTATCCTCTCGGGGGCTCACTGCCCACTGCTAAGAGCCATTCCTGGCTCTCAAGGGACAGGTTGCCACTGGGGTTTGGAGGGAACCAGCTGATCAGAGGCCACGCCCTTCTAAGTTCTGAACCAGATGAGAAGAGACATGAGTCAGATGGGGACTGAGGCGCCAGCTGCTGTCATGGGGAGCATGGTTTGGTCCTGGACTTCCTACTCCCTGCCCCCAATCAGGTCGGTGACATGTCTGGCTGATGTCTGCCCCACGCAGAGGACAAGGGTGGAGAAGGTCCCTCTTTGTGGGCAGCCAGGAACTCATGACAGTTCAAGCCAGTTAGCTCTCAGGGAGGGGGAGCAAGTCCACCTCGGAGTGGAGCTCTCAACTTCCTCAAGTTGAGGGTTGTTTCTGTGAAAAGGCATCAAGGGGAGCAGCTGACGACCTGTCTGTCGCTAAGGAACACCCGGTGGGCTTCTGCCTACAGCCACCTGTAGCTCAGGGACTGGGGACGAGCAGGAGAGGGCAGTAGTGGGGCTGGGCTGGCCAGTTTCCCACCGTGCCCTGGGAGGTGCTCTCGTGCGCTGCCCTGCCTGCTGCTGCCCGCTGCGTCCGTCAGTTGCCAGCCAAAATTATACACTGGCTTTTCTAAATGTGCTGAGGAGATACAAGTATACAGCAATTCTAAAGAGAGGAAAACAAAACAAAAAAAGCCAGAGAGAAGCTAGCCAGTCTAGAGCTCGGAGAAGATAAGAAAACCATTCCTTCCAGCCATATGTTAATAGTGAAAATCACTCAGCACTAAAAATCTCTTCGGAGGCAGAACAAGTCTGAAAAATGGATGTTGACATTTCATTCTGTTCACAGCCCTCGAATGCAACACCAGAACCAGGCCAGCCTTGGCCTTCATAGTGTAAGCAGCGTTGCTGCACAAGCGTGCCGGGCCCCTCATGCAGGCAGGGCTGGGGCTGGCGGTACAGCGTGCTCGGCTCCTAGACGGCTTGGGAGCAGGCTTCCCCCAGAGGCTGCCAGTGCCCCGGGCAGCCTTCCACACTCAAGTGGCCTGGGACCTGCTGAAGAGCGGGTTCTGACTCCACAGGCCTGAGTTTTTCAGCAGCCCCAGGGCACGCTGCCCCTCCAGCTCCAGGCGGAGGCATCGCCGCCGAGGTAAACTCAGGGAACTTGCCACACACTGCGTGCAGGCCAGAACACCAAGCGTTAACTGCGGGTCTCAACACAAGAGCAAAATCTCCTGCTCACCAGCCTGGGGAAGACATCCTAGTGCTGAAAAACCAGACCTTTATCTCAGAGAGGGCCTGGCAGGACCACCACGACACCAGCGGAGGGAACACATTCACCGTGCGGGGGCCAGTGCTGGCTGCGCACAGGGAGAGAATGAGCAAGGACGCTGCCACGCCTCAATCATCATCGGTTTAATGACCACGTGGCATGACTCTCTGGCTATGTACATATATACACATATTCACATATATAATATGTAAATAACTTTTGTGTCATTTACACACCCAAAAAGTGTGCAAGATGTGAGAGGCTGGCAGCCCACATTATTACTATCGAGAAAGAACATTTCAAAAGCCGAGTTCTCCTAACACACACGTTCTCTGCTCGCGCCTCCTAGCTCCGCAGGGTGGGCAACTTGGCCTCGCAGGCACAGCCCGTTTTCCCGCTGCTCTCTAATCCTCCAGCAGCAGCTCCAGCTCCTCCAGCGGCAGGCGCACCCGGAGCTCCTTCTCAGTCATCAGGTCCAGGATCTCCTGCATCTCATCGGGGAAATACTCCACGGCGTCCAGGTACAACACCTAGGGGGCAGGCAGGAAGGCCGCCCCACTCAGCCGCCACTTCCTGTCAGCCTGGAGGAGCTCAGGAAGCAAGGGCCAGGTTCCTGGTGACCCTGCCCTCCTGTCGCCCTCCACGGCCCCTGCTCCCCTTGGCTGAGACTTTCTTAACTCGGGCAGCACTGGGCATGTTCAGGAAGGACACTGAACTCGCAAAAGTGAGCAAACGCCAAGCGAGGCCTTCTCTTTTAAAAGGGGTCCAGGAATTGCTGGCCGTCGCCCTCAGTTTCACTTCTGAGTGTCACCTGACCTGGGCTCTCACAGCCAGGCTGGGACATGATCCCAACTCTTTCAGCATCTGGGCTGGACTCTGACCAAATGCTGGGAAACCAGCTACCCACGGCAACACTTCCATGAAGCACCAGCCCCAGGTAGGGCCAGGCTCTGACTCCACAGGGGACAGTTTCACCAGGAAAAGGCTCTGGATGTACCTTGGGACAGGGTATGGCGTCCATGAGCCGAGCATCCCCGGTGCCGCGGGGCAGGCCGGGAAGACACTAGCTGGACGGAGACCTGGCGGGAAGTTTTCGGGAAGCTGAAGACACCATGGCCTTTAACACTTACCTTTGCCCAAGGGCAATTCTGAAGTGCTTTGTAGAATACACCTTTGCTTCTTTCTTTATTTCCTAAGGAAACCTGAGGTGAGGGGGAGAAAATACAAACATGATTAGTTGACACAGAGAGGCTAAGGCTACACAAACGCCCCTGGATGACGGGCACAAGCCCTCAGCTGCAGTGAGCCCACCTGTGCAGAGGGCCTGGCACCGTCACGGTGGCTGTGGGACAGGGGCAGGTGCCAGGGAGCACTCTCAGAAGCCACTGCTGTGTTGGGGTTGTTTCCTCCCATTCAAATGGCCCCAGAGTGTCAATCCTGAACACTACTGACTTTTTAAAGTCTCAGATCTCCTCCTTTGCTGTAGGCTGTCACCTCTGGGTGTTAGTAACAGTGCTTGAAACCAAGGAGTGTCAGTGAGGTGAGGCTGAAGACATTATACAAATAGAGAAAATCTTCTACAATACTTATCTTAGAAAACATAGAGAAGACACTTGCTTTAATACTTGCCATTTTCTGAAAACTATCTTTTAGAGAAAAGAGATGGCCAGGACTGTGATCACTGACCTTACAAAAGGTGCAAGTTCCATCGGCAATCTCAGTATCTGTGTGGATATTCAGCACGTGTTCTCTCTAGATATAAAACCCTCCATCTCGACTCAGCCACACAGCCTCCTTCCCAGCCCAGTGTGGAAGGAGACCCAGCCTGGGACCTCCGCTGACAACAGCCCCTCTCAAGCCCTCCAAGGAATCACAGCCCACACGGGCAGCTCCACAGGTAGCTGTGCAGCCAGGAGTGGGCACAGGCAGGGCTTGTGGAGCTGAAGTCTCTGTTTCCACCCACCCCGTCCTGCAGGCTCCCCTCCCTCAGAAGGTTCTAGGGGACGCCAGCCCTGCCCAACCAAGCGGCCGGGGCACAGCATCCAGCCCGGGACCAGTGAGGGCTGCTGACCGGCTTCCCAGAAACCTGAACAGTGGCATCCAGGGACTCCACTCTCCAATTTACATCTCAGGAACTCCATCTACCAAGGATGGCCTCACTCCCTTTTCTATTTGTTTTTTGTTTGGTTTTTTTGGTTTTTTTTTTCACTGTCTATGTTGCCCAGGCTGGCCTTGAACTTCTGGGCTCAAGCAGTCCTCCCACCTCAGTCTCCCAAGTAGCCGGGACTCCATGGCCAGTCCTTCTCAACCGTTAACTCCCACAGTCACAGGGACGGAACTGTGATAACCTTGCTTCAGGCAAGGCCCAGTCTTTCCCCAGCCTCTGTGAGTGCCACGCACAGGGCCAGCTGTGAGGCTCGGAGGACTCCTGCGTGTCCTCCCTGGTGGAAGCCTCCAGTTCTGAGGCTGAGCCTCTGAATTTATAACCAAAGAGCCACTGAGCGCTGTCCTTCCTTCCCATGCTAACATACTTCAGTGTCCTTTCCTAAGATACTGACAAAATGTAACAACCATGCACAGCTAATCTCGGAACCCAACAAATCCAGGTACACAGCTGGCCAGCCTCCATCAGCGCTGGAGATGCCCTCACTGCACGGAGGTATGGAAGGGCTGGATGCCAGGTGAAAGCTTGGTGGGGACCACGTGTGGCTTCCGTCCATGATTTCATCTTCTGAGACGTGGCCTGCGTGTACCTTTGACCTCTGACTGGCGCAGTCTCGAGGGAGGGAAGAGTTCATGGGCGCTATCTGGCTCTCCTGGTCCTCCTTTCTCATCTTCTGAACTGACAACTGAGACCCCTCATGAAATTCCTAAGTCAGGACTGAAACATAACAGGGGGCAACTCTTCTTTGCTGGAGTTCCCATGGTACTGTGTCTGCACCCTATGGGATTGTGTCCAGGTAAACGTCTCCTCAGGTGGACTGGGAGCATCTCAGGTAACCAACAGGGTCTTTGCTGGGAACCTAAGAAAACAGCTAATGGAGGAGCAGAACTGCCGTGATGGGTGCCCGAGTGAGTGTGTGATTCGGCCAAGGGCAGTCTCCCAGAGGGAAGCAGGAATGGAGACTTCACACAGAGGCCACTTCCCTCACACGAAGCCCCAGGAACCGAATCTCATACAAACCATCTGAAGAACTCAGCCAACAAGATGCTGGCCGGACACGGTGGCTCACGCCTGTAATCCCAGCACTTTGGGAGGCTAAAGAGGGCAGACTGCTTGAGCTCAGTAGTTCGAGACCAGCCTGGGCAACATGGCAAAACGCTGTCTCTACAAAAATATAAAAATTAGCCCAGCACAGTGGTGCGCACCTGTGGTCCCAGCTAAGGTGTGGGGAATGCTTGAGCTCAGGAGGTTGAGGCTGCAGTGAGCTGAGACTGCGCCACTGCATTCCAGCCTGCATGACAGAGCAAGACTCTGTCTCAAAAAAACAAAAAATGCTTATGACTCAGACCTGAGCTGGGCCATAATAATTCTCCCCTGTGCGACCACGGGGGAGGCGAGTAACAGTGGCAGGCAGCTGCCCATTGGCTGCATCACTAACGTCCCAAGTGTTTGAGTCCTCCGTGTAGAGAAGCTATTTGGTGCTTTGTAATCACTTGTTTTGGCATTTGTCTACCTTCTTAGCAGACGTGTGCCACCTCCCCATGGGGGAAGCAACATCTCTAAAAAACGAGGAAGCTGAAGGTCTTAAGGCTTTTGCAAATTTTGATTCTCTTTTTTTATCTCCTTATAAACAAATGTGAGCAACTGTTAGCTTATACAATTTTTTATGTAACAAAACATAACCAACCTTGTCCAAACAAAAAAAGATGCATTTCTATAATGCTCCCTCCATGTGCTCCTGAGAGAAGACTGACACTCTGCTGAGAGGTTTATTGGTTTATCTCTGATAGAACTCAGGGGGATTCTTTTCCCTCCCACCAGCTCTTGTAAATGATGGCCTTTCAATATATACCAACTCCTGCCAGCTGTCAACAGGATGGAACAAATTATACTAGAGGGTAAAAGAAAATCTAATGATTCACAATTCAGAAATGCCACTGTTCCCTTTTTATTTAAGACTTCATCAATCCCATGAAATCAACTAACTGGCTTATATACTCATAGTTCCTTCTTTATTGTGTAGGTAGATGACCAAATTAAAGGATTTTAAGTATCTTGAAAAAACTGCAATTTTAGCTAAAACAACAAAACAATAAACAAGCCAGGCGCAGTGGCTCGCGCCCATGATCTGAACACTTTGGGAGGCTGAGGTGAATGGACTGCTTGAGCCCAGGAGTTCGAGGCTAGCCTGGACAATATGTGAGACACCATCTTTACAAAAAATAAAAAAAACAGCCAGGCATGGTCGTGCATGCCTGTAGTCCCAGCTACTCAGGAGGCTGACGTGAGAGGATTGCATGAGCCCAGGAGGTTGAGGCTGCAGTGAGTCGTGATAGTGCCATCGCACTCCAGCAGCCTGGGCAATAAGAAAGACCCTATCTCAAAAAAAAAAAACAAAAAAAACTTTGGCTGAGAGTGTTAATGTATATGCAAAACAGCGCATTTGAAAGTCTCTCCTAAAAATGAGGTTTTAACCTGCTAAATTCCAACATTAGTGGAAAATTTTAATTGCTGTTTGTCCAATTCCTTTCCCTCCCATATTCTCCGTGGCCAAGAATAAGCTTTAATTCCTTCAAACTTTTTTTTTTTGAGATGGAGTTTCACTCTTGTTGCCTAGACTGGAGTGCGGTGGCGCGATCTCGGCTCACCGCAACCTCCGCCTCCCGGGTTCAAGTGATTCTCCTGCCTTAGCCTCCCGAGTAGCTGGGATTACAGACATGTGCCACTACGCCCGGCTAATTTTGTATTTTTAGTAGAGACAGGGTTTCTCCATATTGGCCAGGCCGGTCTCGAACTCCCGAACTCCTTCAAACATTTTTACAGGGAAAAAAGTGCAAGCAAGCAAATAAGCTTGCATGCATGTTGCAAGAGTATATGTATGTGCATATGTATAAGCAAGCACGTATATGCACATGTACACAAAAAGGCACAATCGCACAACCAACCTCACAGCCCTCCTCCAGGGAGCCTTAGCCTTCCCCCCGGCCTGCGAGGCTCCCTTCTCCCGCCTCTTCAGGCACTCGCTACCTTCACCTTGCATGCTGGCCCTAATGTGATTTTTCACTGTGTTAACAAAGTGCTAGGAGCCTGCCCAGATGCCTCAGGAACTGCTAGGGGCAGTCTCTGCTCTAATTAGTCCTTAGTTCCAATACTACCTTTCCAAAAAGAGAGAAATTCTCTAAGGGGCCAGATCTTTTTTTCAAAGCCAATAAGCACTTTTTGTCTACAACCGAACCAAACTAGGCTCATGGAAGATTCTTAGTAAAAATATTGTACATTTGCACCTTACCCTGCCTCTACCTGTAAAAGACTGGGTAAGTTAAACTGGCAAATGTGCAAACTCCACCATTTTAAATGTAAAGATGGGTGGAATCTTTATGCTGGGAATATCAGGGAGCATCTGCTCTGCTCCCTCAGCTGAGCAGCCTGATGACAGGAGTGGAGGTTTCACTAAAACCCTGGGCTCCTGACTCTGCTGCCTCAAACTGTTGTCTCTACTAACAGCAGCATCCTGCCTGCAAGTTTCCAGCTCACACACGAGTCAAACCATAAGATCAGAGCTTCTGGGTCTGAAGAATAAATGTTAAGAGAAATGCATAAACTTTTGCAGGTTTTTTGTTTTTTTTTTTTTTGAGACAGAGTCTGGCTCTGTCGCCCAGGCTGGAGTACAGTGGCGCAATCTTGGCTCTCACTGCAGCCTCTGCCTCCTGGGTTCAAGCGATTCTTCTGCCTCAGCCTCCCGAGTAGCTGGGACTACAGGCACCTGCTACCACGCCCGGCTAATTTTTTGTATTTTTAGTAGAGATGGCGTTTCACCGTGTTAGCCAAGATGGTCTCAATCTCCTGACCTCGTGATCCGCCCACCTCGGCCTCCCAAAGTGCTGGGATTACAGGCATGAGCCACCACACTCAGACTTGGTAATTCATTTTTGATGCCAACTTCTGCCCCCAAGAATGTGCCCATTATTCCTGAGTGTGCCCATGAGCAGCTGTCCTGAGGTCACAGGTCCTGCCCAGCCCCTCAGGCCTTCAGTGCCTGGCTCCTTCCAGAGGTCAGAGAGACACACCCGATGAATTCTGGAATCAAAGACAGGCATGAGTGGGGGCCCAACAGATACGGATACTCGCTCTGTATCTCTTTACACTCCAGTTTTGTCATGTGTAACATGATCAAGTTTTGAGAATTTATCCTATGGAAATCTTCAGATATATACGTAAGATTTATGAGTAAGGAGGTCACTTTGTTTTTTTTCTATTTTTTTTTTTTTTTTGAGACAGGGTCTCACTCTGTTAACCAGGCAGGAGTGCAGTGGTGCGATCTCAGCTCACTGCAAACTCCGCCTGCAGCTCACTGCAACCTCCCTGGTTCAAGCGATTCTCCTGCCTGAGCCTCCCAAGTAGCTAGGATTACAGATGCCTGCCACCACATCCAGCTAATTTTTTTTGTATTTTTAGTAGTGACGGGGTTTCGCCATGTCGGCCAGGCTGGTCTCGAACTCCTGACCTCAGGTGATCCGGCTCCCTCAGCCTCCCAAAGTGCTGGGATCACAGGCATGAGCCACCACACCTGGCCAGGAAGATCACTTTTGATTTCCGAAACGTACAATATTCATTGAAGACCACTTGGATATGACTGAGTACCCCTGAACTAAAGCAAGAGGCCTCGAAGACTGTTTCTAAAAAAAAGTGCAACTTGGCAACAGATGTGTTACAATAAACGAGGCCCAGCCCAATGCCAGACCTTTAACCCAAGGCTGAGCCAATTCATAGACTCTATTAAGCCAAAGAGCCACCTTTCAGCTTGTACATTCACATTCACAAAATTGAACGGTGTCTCACCATATTTAATCTCTATGGTACTTTTAAATGAACACAAAGCTGCTTTAGAAATGTCGATTTTAGGCCGGGCGCAGTGGCTCACACCTGTAATCCCAGCACTTTCAGAGGATGAGACAGGCGGATCACTTGAGGTCAGGATTTCGAGACCAGTCTGGCCAACATGGCAAAATTCTATTTCTACTAAAAATGCAAAAATAAGCTGGACTCACGCTTGTAATCCCAGCTACTCAAGAGGCTAAGGCAGGAGAATTGCTTGAACCTGGGAGGCAGAGGTTGCAGTGAGCCGAGATCCCACTACTGCACTCCAGCCTGGGCAACAGAATGAGACCTTGTCTTAAAAAAAAAAAAAAAAAAAGGAAATGTTGATTTTTTTTTTCTTTTTTTTGAGACGGAGTCTCACTCTGTCGTTCAGGCTGGAGTAGAGTGGCATGACCTTGGCTCACTGCAGCCTCTGCCTCCCGCGTTCCAGCGATTCTCCTGCCTTAGCCTCCCAGGTGGCTGGGATTACAGGTGCATACCACCACACCCAGCTAATTTTTGTATTTTTAGTAGAGACGGGGTTTCGCCATGATGGCCAGGCTGGCCTCGAACTCCTGACCTCAGGTGATCTGCCTGCCTTGGCCTCCCAAAGTGCTGGGATTACAGGCATGAGCCACCATGCCCAGCCGGAAATGTTGATTTTAAAAATTACATTCTAGATTACATTTTTTTTTTAAGAGACAAGGTCTCATTTTGTCACCCAGGCCGGAGTGCAGTGGTGTGATCATAGCTCACTGCCACCTCAAACTCCTGGGCTCAAAGAATCCTCCTGCCTCAACCTCTGATGTAGATGGGACCAAAGGCTCACAGGCACCATGCCCAGCTAATGTTTTAATTTTTTTGTAGAGATGGGGTATCACCATCTTGATTAGGCTGGTCTCGAACTCCTGGGCTCAGACGATTTTCCCGCCTTGGCCTCCGAAAGTGCTGGGACTACAGGCCTGAACCACGGCACCCAACCTGAACCTTTTAATAACAAAACAATCAGGACCTAGAAATTCTTATGAGCAGAATAGCAAAGAATATAGGTCTCTTTCAAAGGAAAGCTCTTAGACCATTTTGCAAGTTACCGACTTAAGTCAACTCAGAGAAACCCACATTAAATCCTATTGCACTGAATAGCCCAGTAACTACTCAACTTCGTTCTACCAAATATTTCGAGAAGATGGACTACTTGCAACCTCTTCCCAAGTCCTGAGAGATCTGACATTATTCCATCAGGATTTCTTAGAGATTCACCAATGCCAAGAAGATGAGAGTGAAATATGGCCTCCCAGCTCTCCTGGGCAGGGGCTACTTCTCATTTCATAAATACCTTCTCATTTATGAAGGAAGAGGTAGAGCTCTGCATGAACACAAAACATCTCAATATTTTCTTACCAGAAAGTTCAAATACATCCTCCACAGCAAGGGGCACTGGCTGCCACTGTCGCTGCGCATGGCATTTTCAAACAGGGCTTGGATCCGATGCATTAAGCCGGTCTCAGGAATTGTGGCGTGGATCTCTCTACCGTCTAACCTGCAAGGCAAAGGCTCACGTGACTCTGACACAAGCTCTCTCATCCTACATCACAGAAGGAAGAGATGCCTGAGTGATGATAAGTGTCAGCAACAACCAGATCAGACAGACTCAGGGGAGAACTGTCCCTCAGGCGTAGAGCGCTGTGTATGGGGCTTCTCCAAGGCCAGGAGAAGGCACAGGCCAGAGTTCTGTGGTTTCCACACCACATCGAATCTGTCTTGAAGTCACACAAAAACCCACTCGCCTCTGTTTTCTAAAGAAAGCTACCCTTTGCTGGGCGCAATGGCTCATGCCTGTAATCCTAGCACTTCGGGAGGCCAAGGTGGGTAGATCACAAGGTCAGGAGTTGGAGACCAGACTGGCCAATATGGTGAAACCTTGTCTCTACTAAAAATACAAAAATTAGCTGGTGCCTGTAGTCCCAGCTACTCGGGAGGCTGAGGCAGGAGAATTGCTTGAACCCGGGAGGCGGAGGTTGCAGTGAGCTGAGATCACGCCACTGCATTCCAGCCTGGGCAACAGAGTGAGACTCCGTCTCAAAAAAAAAAAAAAAAAAAAAAAAAAAAAAGAGAAAGAAAGCTACCCTTTAATCAGCAGAATGCAAATTCTACTTTACAGGAAGAAAAGACCTTTTGATTTATAATAGAGAAAGCAAGGCTCACATAGAGTGAACAAAATCCCAATGGAAGAAATAAAAAACAAGTGAAATATTATTCAAAGACAATTTTGGCTTATAAGGTCAGAGTGAAGCAACAGCAAAGATTCTGGGAAAACAATGATGCCTAAGCTAATGTGTCCCCCAGATTAACATTTAACCTTTAGAGAGAAAATACTGGATCAGGCCGGACACTGTGGCTCCCTCCTATAATCCCAGCACTTTGGAAGGCTGAGACGGGTAGATCGCTTAAGCTCAGGAGATGGAGACCAGCCTGGGCACTATGGCAAAACCCCGTCTCTACAAAAAATAAAAAATAAAAAAATTAGCCAGGCGTGGTGGTGCCTGTAGTCCCAGCTACCGGGGAGACTGAGGTGGGAGGATCACTTGAGCCCAGGAGGTCAAGGCTGCAGTGAGCTGAGACTGCACCACTGCACTCCAGCCTGAGCGACAGAGTAAGACCCTGTCTCAAAAAATAAAAATAAAAAAAGAAAATATCGTATCAAAGATGGAATTTAAACATGACACTTCTGTCACTAGGAATGCTGACAGAAGCTCCCAGTCATTACACACTTTGTACCAAGCACTTACCTCACTGACCCCTCAGAGAGACCCTATGAAGTAGGTTTTTCATTCCCATTTGACAGAGAGGGAGCTATGAGAGGGGAAGTGGCCTGCTCGAGTTCACCCAGCCGAGAAGAGCTGGCACTGGAATCCAGAAAGCTGCCACCTGGCCCCGGTGCTCTTAGCCATCAGGCTTTCGTGACGGCTTCTCAGCATTCCCGTGATCTGACAGCCACCACCCATGCACACAGAAACAACATTCATACTCCCCAGAAGCACACCCAGGCGACAGCCACCAACCCCCCTCCTGAGAGGCGCCGCTACTTTGTGTCTCGCTTGCCTTTCAATCCGTTATCCTATGACACCTACAGCCCCACGGCAGGTGTTCTGGGCACCGTGCCATGTTCATCCCTGTCTTCCTGAGACCCAGCAAGGTCAGGGCAACACAGCAAGCATTCCATAAACATTTGCGGGGCACACGAACAGAACGGTCTGGAATTACCTCTGGACAGTTTCCACCAGTCTCTTCCTCAGTTTCTCAGCTTCAATTGCAAACAACCAAGGCTCCAAGGGTTTGGCAGACCTGGTGATTGTGTCAAAAAATCTCCTGGTTTTGCTGGCACTGTGGGACTTATTCTGAATCTGTACATAGGACCTCCAAAGAACCTGGTTGCCTGGATACAACTTTAAAGCCTGTGAGAGTGCCTCTCGCAGAGGGGCCAGCGGGTAAACACTCACTTTCATGTGGAATCTCAGCAGGCTCGTGTGCATCAGTGTGATGGCTTCGAGAACACTGGTCCAACTCTGGGAGCTGGCACTGTCCCCCTCGCCAGAGCCTTCTGGGAAAACAGAACTGTTCAGTTTTGCAAACACCTGTTCGTATATCTGCACAGCAGCATCAATCCCTATGGTCAAATACTGGAAGAGCATGAAGCATTTAGCCAGGCTAATTAGGCGGCTACAGGAATCGGTGGGAGCTGGATTGGAGACACAGCTGTCACCCAAACAGTCCTGCAGTGCGTGCTCATAAGCCTTTCGCGCTTTCAAAATGTGAACAGCCAACACCTGTCCAGTGTAGGGCCCATAGGGGCTGCTCTCAGTCAGCTTGGTTAATATGTGAACAGCTCGAGCTGTGGCAGCCCTTCTCACTTCTGGCGACAGCTCCACCTCCAGCTCAGCATAGAGCAGACTGAGCTCACAGAGGTCAGAGTCTTTCAGTTCTCTGCTTCCTGCCATGCCAAGTGCTGTGTCAAAAACTTTTCTGGCATCCTCCGTGTTGCCAAGCAACCACTCCAGATGTGCATACTGCTTCCACAGGCAAAAGTTGTTGCAGTTTTCTGGCTCCTTAAGGAGATTCTTGGCTAGTTTTTTGCAGTTCTTCCCTTGAGACTTTAATCTCTTCTTGTTTTTAGTGTGCAGGCACCAAATGACCTACAGGGAAAAAGAGAAGAATGACTGCAGGTGCTCTGTAATTAAGGCGTCCTCTGCTGCCAACTGTAGAAAGCACTGACAGGAAAAAAGGCGTCTACGCTTCCTCCCTTTATCACGGGTCTGGTAAACACTGAGGCTCTCTGAGCTGGAAAAGAAATAAGGATTTTTACCAGGGCCACAACTGCCCCCAAATTTATAATCCAGGGTTCCAGCTGAAATCTCTATAAACAAAGCTGATACCTACAAATGTTCTTCTCCAAAGAGATGTGGCCACAACATTTCAACACACTATTTCAATACAGCCTGGTGTGTGTAATCTGTAGTTGAAGCTTCAGAACTTGGGTGCTAAGAGAGCCAGTACTAACTGTGGCCAGCAGAGGACAGAACAGCTGATCCAGACTCATTTCTAGCAGAAACAGGAGGGTAAGTATTATCAGTAGCTTATCTATTATTTATTTTTGAGATGGAGTCTCACTCTGTCACCCAGGCTGGAGTGCAATGGTGCGATCTCAGTTCACGGCAACCTCTACCTTCCATGTTCAAGCGATTCTCCTGCCTCAGCCTCCTGGGCAGCTGGGATTACAGGCACACGCCACAACGCCCAGCTAATTTTTGCATTTTTAGTAGAGACGAGGTTTTGCCATGTTGGCCAGGTTGGTCTCGAACTCCTGACCTCAGGTGATCCGCCCGCCTCGGCCTCCCAAAGTGCTGGGATTACAGGCGTGAGCCACCGCGCCTGACGCTGATCTATTTTAATAAGCCCCTGAATGCTCTGACGCTGCTTTAAAACTATTTTGAGCACTCATTGTTCATGTAAGGACGGGGACCTGGTAGTGCAAGATAATACAATAAACAGCTCGAGAGTCACTGAGGTAGCCTGACTCGTTCCTGCCTTACTCCTCTTCACTGCGGACCCTCAGAAGGGCAAACACACACAAGGTGCCTTCA
Source organism: Homo sapiens (assembly GCF_000001405.40). Taxonomy (NCBI): domain Eukaryota; kingdom Metazoa; phylum Chordata; class Mammalia; order Primates; family Hominidae; genus Homo; species Homo sapiens. Next base: position 90,290,094 of record NC_000014.9, read on the forward strand.
GGGTCACTGGAGGAGGAGGTGCTGGGGCATAGTTCCAGGGAGAGCACTCGGAGGCTTACAATCCCGTTTATAAACACTGACATGAAATGAAAAGTCCCCAAACATGGGAGGACGAGTCTGGAATTACCTTTGCAATCTCATACTGTAACCAGGAGAAGCAGAGCTGGGACTTCTCTTTGCCTGAAAATAAAGGCATGACAAGGTGGAAGACATTGCGGATGAACTCCTCGCCCTCTCGGTTCTGACCCCTGGTCCAGCGAGGATAGCCCAACCTATCCATGCGGCCAACACAGCTAGCCCCAGAAAACAAAGGGTTGAAAAAAGTCAAGGGCTTTTCATCATAAAGTCCATTATCAAAGATGCTGTTCTCATCCATGGCCAGATAAAGACAGGAGGCTGGAGGAGTAAAGCCAGAAGGCACACCCAAGAACTGCAGGAAGGCCTCCACCAGCTGGAACTGAAGATCATGGCTGGAAAGTCTGATCAAAGATTGCCCAATATCATCAAACAACACCTGCAACAAAGACAAAATAAAGCGACCCATGTAACAAAACAAAACCCGCACATTTGTCACAATTCTCTTTATATGCATGTACTAATGGTTCAACATTATTCAAATTAAATCAATTTTAAACAGACAGGAGCTAAGCTCTCTGTTAGCACAAGCCAGAGGCCTTGCAAGGCAACCTGGACAGCTGGAGAATAACTGTTAGGCAGCCCTGTGGTGCCATTAACATTTCAACACATGGGAAAGCCTGAGGAGGAGAGAAGCCATGAACGGGTTTAAGCCAGAAGCTTTCAAAGTATCCTGATGGATTTGTAGAAAATCTAGAAACATGTTCACTTCTGAAAGCATACATAATTGCTTTTGTACTTTGATAACGCATGATGGTGAAAAATTTGTATTGTAAGATGGAAGATAAGAACTTTACTATTTGTGGTTTCCTTGTACAAAATTGCTCCAAGAAATGAAAAATATACTCAAAACTAGATAAACAGACAAAACTAGATAAACAGACTCAAGGTAAGAAGGAACCTACAGGAGCAATGGAGCACATTAAAAGCAATTATAAGAGCCTAACACTAACTGTAAATGTCTACAGCTGAGTTCATGTAATAATTTAAAAACATAAGGGCCAAGGAGGCCACCCTTTGTGTCCTGGTGCTGCTTATCTGATTGGTCTTTGTGGCTCTCAGCAAAGCGGAAATCATAACACAAGCACAATAAACTAGAGTATGTGGGACTCAATCAAAACCATCAATTAATCAGAAAGCTGCTCTTTATGTTAAAAATAAATTAGAAAGCTTTTCTCCCCCAGGCTTTGATTACAGAAAAAGCTAAATGGCAAGAAATCGCTTGCAGCAGCAGTCTGCTCCAGAAATCTGCTTCCAGGAGACTGCTGGGACTCTAAGCCTTGAGAAATGACTTCCAGAAGGGTGGCTGTGAACTCTACAAAATCCTCAGATACCAAAGAAAGATTCCACTCTTCTGCAGACATTCAGCTTCAGCGAGGCAAGAGGCCTCCCAGGTAAGTACCCTCTCCAAGACTTCCAGTGAGTTGAGGCTTCCCTAGAAGCTGGCCCCTTCTTCCTCCAGAGATCACCTCTGTCTCTATCCCCACTTCTCTGTGTCCTCACTCCAGTCTGGCCACCCCATTCCCCACTCCTCAAACGCTCCTGGCACTCTGGGGCCTTCACTTGTGCTGATCCCTCTGCCCAGAGCAGATGCTCCGTCATCAAACAAATATTCCTTCAACATCCAAGAGGATTCACCGAGTGCTCACCACAGGACAAATGCTGTTCTAGGCACTGACGTCAGAGCACTCAACAAAAGGGATAAACTCCTTGCCTTCAGGGCGCCTCGTTTGTAGAAAAGGTCACAGAGCTCCAAGACACAGAGTTGGTATCTGGTTAAACTGGATCAATTCCAGGTATCGAGACAGCATTTCTTCATTTTAATTTAAAACCTCCAGAGCTGCTGGCCACTAAACACAGAGCAGCATGTAACAAGTCACACGGTAACAGTAAATGAGATAACACAGATGAACTGCCTGGCACGCCACAGGTATTCAATAAACACTAGTTTCTTCTTCCGCAAGACACGCTGATGCCAACTGTCCAACATGGACCCTACGGCCAGTCCCTCTTGTCTTCTAGAGTCCAGTCTATCTGCTACAGCTTCACGGACCCAAGAGTGGGGTGGGGAAAGTGGACACAAGGAAAGAATCTAGGACAGTGATTCCGAGTTTTTTGAATAATCTGTATGTATCCCACAGGGCTCCACATGAAAAATTAACTGAATGACCTGGAAGACAATCTCCAGAGGGGTGACCACAAGGGCCCACCCACCTACTAGGGGACAGAAGCTCTCTGGTCAAGCACCTATATGCTCCCCCATCACCAGCAGCCAAGGAAATTCTACACTGATATCCAGCAGGAAGGAAGTTTCCACAGATGAGAACAGGAGCAGGTTAGCATCTCCTAAGCTAGCCAACTGCTAAGAGAGCTCCAGCGGCCTCCTTTCAGATAACCAAAGCGCATGGGAATGGAAAGCAGGCAGGGACCCCCTGGACAGCTTCCTGCCTGGGGCGGAGGATACATGCCTGTCTCTCGGGATCCTCACAGTCTTCCTCGGTTTGCTTCTTGGTCTTATCAGGGCGCCAGGGCCGCCAGTGCCTCTGGTCACGGGAACGCTCAGCAGCAAGCCAGATCTGCCACCTGGGCAGAGTCTTATCTTTTATTTCCTGGTCATCCTCTTCTGGTTCATCGTCATCCTCATCTAGACAAGAATGAGACTTCTTCACCTCATCAGCAAATAAAACCACCATCGCCACTCAATCAGCCTGCTATGTCAGGGACTGTTGGGCACCCGCAATGCCAAGATGTGTAAGAGCCATGCCAGTCTCCCAGGATACTCAGTGGCATTTAGGAACTCTTTGTAATCAATCAAGTCCTCAGGAAGCAAAGGAAGACAAGGTGATCAAATCAAATTATTTTTAATAGTATAGTGATTAAAATGGAAATGACACATACTCTAGAACAGTACTGTCCAACAGAACTCGCTGTGATGATGAAAATGCCCTACATACCTGCATTAACAGGGTAGCCACATGTGACTCACTGGGCACTTGAGATGTAGCTAGTAAAGGAACTGAATTCCTTTTTTTTTTTTCTGAGATGGAGTCTCGCTGTTGTCGCCCAGGCTGGAGTACAGTGGCACAATCTCTGCACACTGCAATCTCCGCCTCCCAGGTTCAAGCAATTCTCCTGCCTCAGCTTCCTGAGTAGCTGGGATTACAGGTATGTGCCACCATGCCTGGCTAATTTTTTGTATTTGGTAGAGATGGGGTTTCACCATGTTGGTCAGGCTGGTTTCGAACTCCTGATCTCAGGTGATGCACCTGCCTTGGCCTCCCAAAGTGCTGGGATTACGGGCATGAGTCACCAGGCCTGGCCTGAATTCTTAATTTTATTTAATTTTAAATAGCCACATGTGGCTAGAGGTTACTGTATTAGACAACACAGTTTTAGAATGCTAAATGACATTTGATGATGGCACTAGTTTAGATTTTCTTAAGTCATCCGAATTTTTAGCCAGGGACCGTATAATTAATTATGACCTATGCTCACTAGAACTTGCCTTTAAAAAAGCCAAATCAATATCCAATAATTTATTTCACTTTGTTTCCTAACTCTGAACATGTAGAAGGGAAGAGGAAGAAAGCCAGAGTTATCTGTAAAGTTCAAGGTTAAAAAATAAAGTATACAAAATGGTACAGCCACACAGGAAATCATTTTGGCAGTTTCTTACAAAACTAAACATGCACTTAGCATAACTGCACTCTTGGGCACTGATCCCAGATAAATGAAAACCTACGTTTACACAAAAACCTATATGCTAATACTCAGAAGCAGCTTCATGCATAATCGCCAACACCTGGAAACAATCCAAACATCCTTCAGTAGGTTGAACAGTTAAGCTGTGGTCCATTTACACAATGGAATACTACTCAGCAATCAACATGAACAAACCATTGATATATGCAACAATTTGTAGGTATCTCAGGGAAGTTATGCTAAGTTAAAAAAGCCAATCTCAAAAAGTTACACAAAACACAACTGTTCCCAGGGATGTGGACAAATCGGAAGCCTGGTGCCCTGCTGGTGGGAATGTAAAATGGTGCAGCTGCCGTCTGCTGTATGGAAAACAGCATGGCATACTAGACACAGGATTACCATATGAGGCGATTCCACTGCTGAATATCTACCCAGGAGAACTGAAAGCAGAGTCTCAAACAGATACTGTACACCCATGTTCATAGCAGCATTATTCACAATGGCCCAGAGGTGGAAGCAACCAAAATGTGCATTGACAAATGGATGGTATACACACATAGTGGAGAAGTGTTCGGCTTTAAAAAGGAAGGAAATCCTGGCGTGACATGGATGAACCCTGACGACACTACGCTAAGCGGAATCAGCCAGTCACAGGAGGTCAACTACTGTATGATTCCACATCCACCAGGTTCCTAACGTAGTCACATTCATAGAGACAGAAAGTAGAATGACTGCTGGGGCCTGGGGGGAGGGAGAAGTGAGGAATTTGTCTTTAATGGGTACAGACTTGGGGAAGATGAAAAAGTTGCAGAGGTCGATAGAGGTGATGGCTGCATGGCAGTGTGAATGTACTTAATGTCACTCAACTGTACACTTAAAAATGATCAATTTTATATTATATTTTACAACTAAAAAATTTTGTTAATGTTATATACCTTATGATTCCATTTATATAACCTTCATGAGATAACAGGAAAACAGAGAGAGAACAGATTAGTGGTTCCCATGAGTTAGGAGGGGGAAGGGGCAGACGTGGCTAAGAAAGGATACTGTGAGGGAGCCCTGCAGTGATGAAACAGTCTGATCTTGATTGTGGTAGTGATTACACAAAGCTACACACGTGACAGAAACTGCCTAGTACCATAGAAACACACACACCAATGAGTGCATGTAAAATGGTGAAATGTGAATGAACTGCAGACTGTACCAATGTCAGTTCCCTGGTTCTGACATTATACTGTGGTACTACCACTGGAAGGAACTGGATGAAGGGTGCACAAAACCTCTGGGTACATTTTTTCTACTTCTTGTGACTCTATACTATTTCAAAATAAAACATTTTTAAAAACTTAAAACACATAATATGTATACGTAGTATAATAATAATATATTGTGTATATTAGCATTATAGATCATATATATTAGCATAATGTATATATTAGCATTCTATTATTCCACCAATATTCTGCCTAAATGCTCTTCTGAGTTTCTCAAAGAAGAAAACTGAATGTATTTATCACCTTCTTCTAAAGATCTATGTTTAAAGTAATCCTTTAATCACCCTGAAAAACTCTTATAAGAGAAATTACCTTTGTGAGTCATACATCAGACTTAGATACCTGAATTTACTACATTAAGGACTCAAAAGATTACAGAGCTTTGGACACACATTCATGTATAACAACTACATACTAACAGAAAGTGAGGGCAAGAGAGAAGAAACATGCTATGATAAATGCTTGACTGCAGGATGAAATCAACTACCCTCTCAACGCTAACCTTTCAGGGTAAATAAGAGAAGTTAAAAATAAAATAAAAACAAAAATTGTTATCAATTAGGTTTGCTGGAATCAAGAAAATTTTCAGCCTTTCTTTTGACCCTTCTAGTTTTTTGGAGGACTTCCATTAAATTCATTAGAAAGAAATTCATAAATTCAGCAAGTTTCTCCATAATGGAAATGTGTGAGAAGCTTGCAGAGAATGTAAGTACCAACACAAGTCTCTAACTTGATGCTAAAAGTCAAGGTTTTGATATTCATTTGCATTCCCTTTTGGAGAAAACTAACTTTACACCTGATTTTAAGTGACCATTAGATATCTGGAAACTTATCAGAAGTAAAATTAGTCTGTGGACACTGCTATGAAAACTTTATTGTCACAGAAATGCAGAACACAGCAAACCGTGTAACAGATACTATGCATTGTAATGGGCTCGCTCTCTAACAAAAACCAAACAAAACCAAAAAACAAAAAAACTAAGCCTAAAAACACAGACCCATGCTAAGTCAGTCACTCAGAGAGGAGAGTTACTAATCAGACTTCTGTTTTTTTGGCCTTTGCTTATGCGGTCTTGCAGACTCAGTGGCTGAGTGCAATACCTACTTCCGTTTCATGCAGGCTGTTTTTCTTCATACATAAAACCACTGGTCAGCCTGATGAATAGTTCTCATTCTTTTTGGAAAAGAACACTCCAGGGAAATCTAAACAGCTGAGACTCTGACAGCCCCAAGTGAGGCATGATCACTGCCTGACAGCACTGCCCAGAGGAGAGTTACCCCAAAACACCTGAAGGGCCCCTCTCGCTTCTTAGTGGTAATAGAGATGCTCCCTGGCCCGGAGCTCTGAACTGTCGTGCAAGACAATACCTAATCCAAAGTTTTCATGGTGCAAATGAATAAACAAAGAAAGGTCACACCTGTGAGAAGAGGCTCACTGAGCCTAGGCAAGGAGTCAATCTCCTGAGTCCTTGTCCATCACTCTTTCCCTATAGAACTTTCAACGAAATCATCATCTGCCTGGCAGATCTCTCTCTATGCTGGAACTGCCTTTCGGGGAGTGAAGCAGTTCCTGAATGTCTTAGAGTTGTGCTGTCCAATACGTCACCATTAATATGTGGCTATCAAGCACTTGAAAAGTAGCTAGTCTGGGCTGGGTGCGGTGGCTCACATCGGAAATCCCAGCACTTTGGGAGGTAGAGGTGGGCGGATTACTTGAGGTCAGAGGTTCCAGACCAGCCTGGACCAATACAGTGAAACCTTGTCTCTACTAAAAATACAAAATTAGGAGGGCGTGGTGGTGCATACCTGTAATCCCAGCTACTTGGGAGGCTGAGGCACAAGAATCCCTTGAACCTGGGAGGCGGAGGTTGCAGTGAGCCAAGATCGAGCCACTACACTCCAGCCTGGGCAACAGACCAAGACTCTGTCTCAAAAAAAAAAAAAAGAAAAAAAAGAAAAGTAGCTAGTCTGAACTGAGATTTGCTAAAAGTGTAAAATACACACCAGATTTCAAAGAGTACTAAAAAAAGAATGCAAAATACCTAGTTAATAATTTTTTTTCTTTTTAAAGCATGCAATTGGCATCTGAATCTCTGGTTAATAATTTTAAAATACTAATTACATACTGAAATGTTTTGATATACTAGATTAAGTAAAATACACTATCAAAATTAACATCATCTGTTCCTTTTTACTTTTTTAATGTGGCCACTAGAAAATTTGAAATTACACAAGAGGCTCACATTATATTTCTATTGGGCAGCTCTGTATTAGAGTATAAATCTGGAAAGTATTTGGGGGTCATTTAGAGTGACAGTTATGTAAATGCTAGGTAATAATTACTTTATAATAGTCCTAAAAAGGTATTTTTCAAAGTATCTGTTGGTCTGTACACTGACAGGATAACAAAAAGACTGTCTGAAATACACACTAAAAAAGAATGGGGTCGGGCGTGGTGGCTCACACCTGTAATCCCAGCACTTTGGGAGGCTGAGGCAGGCAGATCGCTGGAGGTCAGGTGTTTGAGACCAGAGAGACCAGCCTGGCCAACATGGCGACCCTATCTCTACCAAAAATACAAAAATTAGCTGGGCATGGTGGCAGAAGCCTGTAATCCCAGCTACTCAGGAGCCTGACGCATGAGAATTGCTTGAACCCAGGAGGCAGAGGTTGCAGTGAGCTGAGATCCTGCCACTGCACTCCAGCCTGGGTGACAGAGCGAGATTCTGTCTCAAAAAAAAAAAAAAAAAAAGAATGAGGATTGGGGCAGTTATTAACAAGATTCCTTCTTCAGTTGCAGCCTATAAAAGGAAAAAGGGAAATTACAGAAACTTTCAAATCCTCAAAGCATTATGTACTGAAGGAATAAGTCCACTGCTTTAAAACTTCTAAGGGGAACCCATGACATCTACTTAACATTTTTGACATTTTGATGTTTGTGCAATATTCTGAAGCTACTGATAAATAGCTTAAGCAGATAAATAATCATGAGGATGTAAAAACAAATTCCAGAAGAAACAGAAGTACACGTCTTCAATGAGAGGTGACTTACCTGGGTTGATGACCACCCAGCCACCTCGTTCCTGCTGGTGCATCCACGCCTTCCAGCCTCGGGCTCCCTTCTCCCCAGCCCGGGGCTCTCCACTGTCCCAAAAGGGTTCAAAGAATTCCACCTGTTCAGATTTTAGAATGGACGTTAGACCTCACTTGTATAAAACTGCTGAGTCAGTGGGCAAAATCCGCGCTGGTGGATATAAGAGAAGCTTATGATCCTTGAAATCATGTTTGCCATCAGTCTTTGAAGTAGATACATGCTACACACCCCAAGATAGAAAAAAGATCTATCTAGCGTGGCAGGCAGCTTCCAAGATAGCCCCCATGACCCTACCTCTGCCTTGTGGTTTTCACACTCGCATGTGAGCTGGACCTAGTGATTCCAACACACAAAATATGGCAAAAGTGATGGGGGGTCACTCCCGGGATTAGGTTACAAAAAGACCAGCTGAGGTTCAGCAAGAAGGGTCTCCAGATGGGTAGGAAGGGAGTAGTTTCCTAGTTCTTATCCTGCCAGGCCAGTCTAACCAGGGACAGTGGCACTGCCAGTTCACCTAGTATCACTGGACCCCCGAGCTAATTCCTAAAGTCATGCCGCTTTCAAGATATTTTGAGAGGAAGGTTCCAACAAGACAGACCATGAGCTACGTGACACAACCATATCTTAAGTAACTATATATTCCTAACACCTGGCACAATACTTACTGCCTAGCAGGGACTCAATAAACGCTTGTTGGCACAGATCTGAACAAGGCAGGCGACCAGGGAGTAAAAAGGTCTGCATTTTTTATTTTTATTTTTGAGACAGAGTCTCGCTCTTGTTGCCCAGGCTGGAGTGCAGTGGTGTGATCTTGGCTCACTGCAACCTCCACCTCCCCGGGCTCAAGCAATTCTCCTACCTCAGCCTCCCGAGTAGCTGGGATTACAGGCATGAGCCACCACACCCAGCTAATTTTGTGTTTTTTTAGTAGAAACAGGGTTTCTCCACGTTGGTCAGGCTGGTCTCCAACTCCTGACCTCAGGTGCTCTGCCCACCTTAGCCTCCCAAAGTGCTGGGATTACAAGCCTAAACCACCGCGCCCAGCCTAAAGGTCTGCATTTTAAAGCCTGGCCCCATTAGCACCTCCCTCATTCATTCGAGCATTAGGTGTGTGGTAAGCAGCTCACTGGCAATAAATCTTTCCCTATGGAACAGAATGTGAACACAGCAATGAACAGAAACGTGATCATGTTATCAACTGGAAACAGGACTGTGAAAGTGAGCCAATAACCTACTCAGTGAAAGCTTTTGTAAGAAACCTTTTGAAGAGGACAAGCAGGCTTCCAGTGGGCACAGCATGGGCCATGAGCCACAGGATTATCTAGCCTGAGCCCTGGGCAATGCCACACACGCCTGGAGGAGTATTGCCTCCAGGAGAGTCACGTCAGGGCAGGGCAAACGTCCTGACACGTCAGTCATCCTCAGAAAGGGGAACCAGGACGACTACGCTCCCTCTTTAGAGGTCTGGCTCTTGTAAGAGTGAAGAAAGAAAGTTTACTTAAGAAAAAAAATTTTTTTTAAATAGTGTGATAAATGAGTATAATCTATTTGTTTATTCCACAGAAACGCAGACCAGTAATATCAGACCTGCCTGTGTTAAATCACGCTACTGTGTTCACGGTAACAACGTCTCTCAGTTATAAAAGCAATATGGAATATTAGTAAATAAGAAACTTTATTCCAAAGTTGTCATGTAAATGCTTTGGAATCACATGTGCTATTCGTGTTTAAAACCTCAAGCACGAGGATCGGGGTCTCCCAACACTTTAGAGCAGTGGTCTTCGATGGGTCACATTTGTAGGCAGAACCCTCCACCCATCACTCTGTTCTTATCACAGAGGGTCTTAGGAAAGGGGCAGGGGGAGGGGGTGAGAGAAATTCTGATCCTGACCCACAAGGTTCCTTAGAGTCAGCTGAGAATCACTTCTGTAGTACAGCCTATTCTTAAAATCTCACAGCATGTCTTAAAATTACTCTGTTATATGGTTTATTAATGATTGATTATAGCAATTTAACTGGTATAATTCTTTAATCCAATTTTTTCTAGAGGTAGCATCATGATAAAAATGGTCTTTACTGGCAATTCATGAAACTCCCACATGACGGAGGCCTTGGCCTCTCAAGAAACACTTTTGAATGTTCACCATAAACTCATATATTCTATTTATCTTCCACTAGACATCTTTACAGAGTAGAAAACTGAGTTTTATTTAGTGGAAAAAGGGAAAAGATACATTTTCTTATATACATAGCTCTATAAAAATTCTTTATTTCTTCACTTATCTTCATTTATCTCAAACATTGGCAATGCTCGCTTGTCATCTAAAGGATTAACCCTTCCCCAATAAGGATCACTGTTGACAAGGTATCTCTGTGTAATTTCATTTGCAACTCTAGCGAAGATTGTGGGTACTTAGAAGGTTAACTGAGGAAGTGATGCAAGACCCAAACTAGAATGTGTAAGGGTGGAAGAGAGTAATACAAGGTTTAAAATGGCATGACAACTGTTTCCCTGACTAGGGGAGCCAATCAGCATTTAAACAAAGGCAGAAAGGGGATGGGGGGGAGGAGGGGAGGGGAGGAGGAAGGGGAGGGGAAGGGGGCAGGGAAAGGAAAAGGAAAGGAGGAACACAGGCAGGCAGGCAGGCAGGCAGGGTGGGAGGGTGAGTCCTCAGAGAGCCTTTATGTTGTGAAGGAGGGGGAAGCTTCTTTACCTATCCACATCTCACCATTTTCATTACAAAACTTTCCTCAGATCACTGGACTATTTCTGAGAATTCCTCCTCAGCAGACTGATATAAAGGAGGATATGATATTTTAAAAACACTACCACACCACCTCTCATTATCCACACCACCTCTCATTATCCACACCTTCCCCCTCTCCCTCCAGAGAAAGAGCCAGGAAGAGAGAGATGAGGCGAGCAGAGCTGGGTACCTGTCCTTTGGTAGGCAGATCTTTCACGCTGTCGGGTTTGAAGAAGGTGAAGTCCACCATGGCCTGGAACAATGAGATGGCCTTCTCAGAGTGGCCAGCCTGCCGCAGAAAGTGGCACTGCTGAAGAAAGAGTGCTGCGAACAGGAGGGCAAAGGGGAAGAAGCCTGGTTGATACCGTTAAAGGGAAAGAACCTAACTTCTCAAAACAGGCAATTAACACATTGAGAACACCTTTCACCTGCAATCACTATTAATTTACAAAGCTGTGATACATGTCTTGATTTAAAGCGTCTCACACAGTATTATAATCCAAGTATGTTTGTTCTAATTTTTGTATGAAAGCATCACAGAACACAAATATTAACAACAAAAACTATATATAGTACATAAAAATAAGTCAAGAGGTTGGTCTGAATGCTATCAAATAATCACAGCTCATTATCACAAGAAAAATTATAGAAAAAGGATGGCGTAGCAGATTTTTATCAGAAAGCAAAGAGCTGTATTCAGTTGATCACTAGATGGCATTACTCACCAGCAACTTTCATCCTATGTTCAGAGTCGGCTGTAAACAAATCAAGGTTCCATGTCTGAACATTCCAGTTCATCTTACTTTTGGTACAATTCCAGCTACTAAATAACACTAAGCTATTTGTGTAGATCACATACAGTGACAAATTCAAGACTCTGTGTCAGTGTGATAAATGCTTATATTTTGAGAGCAATGTATTTCTATCTTTAGATGCCAACAGTAATTAATACTCAATAACAGGGGTTGTGATCAAATAAATGCCTGCTCTGTGCCGGACACTGAGCTAGACTCGCCATGGATTATCTCGTTTACTGTGCAACACAGTCCTGTAAAGCAGGTTTATAGTATTGTTGCTGATGGAGAAACTGGGGCTCAAAGAGGACCTGCCCAAGGACACAAGAGAGCCAGTGAAGGGCAAACCCTTCAGGATTCAAGGTCAAAAGTGATACTCTCTGGCTCTGCATAACATGCAGCCTCCAACATCTCATTACTGTCAAAATTAATGTTCCAGGTTCCTTCAGGACACACCAAAAATGTTAACAGCATAATAATACCCAAAACTTCTATTTATGCAGTGGTTCCCAGTCAGGGCATCTCACGGACATTACTGCCTGGGACCCTACAATTGGGTGAGACAGGTACATGCATCTCGACAGATAAGGCCACCGACTGCCAAAGCAGTTAAGAGACTTGCCTATGTTTACTTGGCTAATCAGCAGAACCTTGTCCAGTGATATCTTAACTCTACTGGCCCTATTGCCCCCACCTGCCCTGGGAGCTGGGGGCAAATTTGTTATCAAAAAGAGTCGTAATACTTTTTTAAAAAAATCAGTTCTATCAAACAATTTAGACTTTTTCTAGAATAAATCAAAAATAGATCTTCATTTTCAAGTAAAGCCAAAAGAAAGTCTAACTCCTCCCACGTAACTGGATCTGGTTATCTCCTTACCAAACATGGCCTCTTCCGTGCCAGGCAACGCAGGGTGAGATAAGATGCTGCCGTCCTTAACAGCAGACAAAGTGCTCAAGCATTTTCCATAAAGACTGTGAATTTTTGATATCGAAAAGGTACTAAACTGGCTCTGGCAAAATAAAAGGTATTTCTGCCAAAGGGCTGTATTATTGGGATGCAAAAATATCAGTTTCTGCCACTCTTTGACCAGAGTGGAGGGCTCCCAGAACTCTGTGCAGAGCTTCAGCTTGGCCAGTTTCAGATCCACACTGCTCTGGTTGCTCTCAATGGCCCGCTCCAGAATGGCCAGCTTCTTCTCCAGAATGAGCTTCAGGGACCTCTTTCGCTTTTCCTGCTCTCCTTCCTCGATGGCATACAGGCCAGGACTTTTCATGACCTCGTCCTCAACAACAAAAACACCAATTTACAAATGCAAATGGACCTGGGAGATCCTGAGTTTCAACAATGCTTACTGATTTTCTTACCACCCCCTAGGGACTTTCTTAAACCACCAGTTTGCCACTATTTCTTTTAAAGAAAACCTGGATCCTAAAGTGCTTGTGTCACCTGATATGTTTGATCTTGTATTTATCACTTAATTATCCACTCTCTGCCATTTTAAGCTTTGATTTCTGCATCAATGACTAGCATACAATGCCTTGAAAGTCTTTTCTGAAGAGCAGACCTTACCAATAAAAGGGCCAAATGTGGCACAAAATATGGTAATTGTATGAGTGGTTCAAAATTAGGGATTCAGACAAACCTACAAGTTTTCGAAAGAGAATGCATGGCTCTAACTGGGTAATACACTGAACAGCCCTCTCTCTTTCACAATTCCGTGAGCTCTGCCTGTTCTGTTTGTACTTCAGGAATGCCTCTCCCTACCTGGTGAACATCTCTTCTTTCAAGATTGTGTTGAACTTCACCTTCTCCTTGGTAGCTCTTTCTCCTCCCTCAACACAAGCCATTCCCTCACTCCACTCCCAAGTTATACATTACAGCATTTACTACCCCAGGGTGCACTTATTCTTCGCATGTCCATTTTCCTCATTGGACTTTGAGCGAGCTCAGGGCAAAGGCTCTATTCTAATAATCTTTGTATGCCCAGTGTCAAATTTCCTCATTTGCTCAAAAATTGCTGCACAGTCCATCAGTTTGCCCAAAATCAGGAATGTCCTTCTAAGGTAAGAGAATTGGGATGGCAACACATACCTGAAAAGCAACAAATGCCATCCACAGCTGCGTATCCCGAGGATTCTCCCGCACCCTCCTGTTAAACTCCTCCACCTTGGCCTTGAGAGCCGCACTCTCGCTGTCTGGCTGTGCGTCTGGCTGCTTTGATTCCTGCTCTGGAGGACCCTGTCCTTGTAGCCAATGTGTGGTTGACTGATCATAAATCCCCAGAGGATTCAACCAGGTTGTAACAGGAGCCGCATCTTCCAAGTCCTTCACTGGTATAAAGGAGATGGGCTCAGATGAGGGAGGTTCAGTTTTACTGCTAATGGCAACTCCATCGATGTTCATTAATCCCACACTCTTCTTAGTAAAATAGCGTTCAACCTGCTTGCGTGAATGCTTCTTCTCTGTGGAAGTCCCTTCCCAAGATATGCACTGCTTCTTAGGGTTAATGCCAAGGCAGGAGTCTCCTTTCCTCTTGTATCTGATATTAGAAAAAGAAAAAAAGTTACTGAGGGAATACGTGTACTACCTCTGAATGACTAAAGGCGCATTAGACCTAAACTCTCGTTATGCAGGTTCACTGCATATAACCAAATTCACCTCACCTTCAGATTGTTTCTATTTGGAGATACACAAGGACTAGTAATTAACTTTCTTTCTGCCTGGCTTGACTTCTTCCTATAACACTTCAACTCTTCTTTAACATCTCATGAATTTAAGATCATGCCTGTCTTCTAGATCTTAGTAATTTCTATTTTCCTGGAGCCTTGTAAAGAACTGTCACACACATTATGTCATTTGATCATCACAGCCATATGTGACAGGCAAGGCAAAAATTATCATCCCTTCTCTTAACTGTTCCTAAATAAGGACACTGAGGCCTGGGAACCTGGATCATCTGTTTCCTAGACCAGTCCTGTTTTCTCAATATTTTCCTGTGTCCCTACTTAAGAAGATAACATATAGGCCTAAGATTCTTTTTTTAATCCTGAAACAAAGTATGTCAAATGAAATTACATTTGGTTATTTTCTACTCTAGAGGAAAAGAGGTTGGGTTCTAAAACGCTTTTATGGAACATGTAGGCGTCCCCAGAGTTAACAAACACATGACTACTGAATATTTGCACAGGCAAAAGCTAAGGAAAATTGTACATTTTTCTGTATGTATGTTAGCAAACAATTCAATTTTAAAAACGGGCAAAAGATCTGAACTGAAATTCCACAAAAGAAGACATGAATAGCCAATAAGCACATAAAAAAAAAAACAACTCAACATCCTTAGTCAACAAGGACATGCAAATTAAAACCACAATGAGGTACCCCACACACCAACTAGAACAGTGTTAATATTTAAAAGGCTGACAACACCAAATGTTGGTGAGTAACCTGTGGAGTAACCAGGACTCTCATCCGCTGTCAGCGGGAATGTAAACTGGTATAATCACTTTGGGAAAAGATCTGGCTGTTTCTTAAAAAATTCAACACAGACCTAACCTATGACCCAGCAATTCTATTCCTACATATTTACCCAAGAAAAAGGAAAGCACATGTCTACACAAAGACATGAGCACAAATGCTCTCGGCAGCTTTATTCCTAACAGCCAAACACTGAAAGAGTCCACGTGTCCATCAATAGAAGATGGATAAGTAAACAGAGGTACAGCCATACAATGGAATACTACCAGCAGTAAAAAGGAGCTACTGGTAAGTGCCTTATGGACGGATGATCTCAAAAACATTACACTGAGTGAAAGAAGCCAGAAGCCAGATACAAAAGAGTACACACTGTATAATTCCACTTACATGCATTTTAGAACAGGTAAAAACGAATTGAGGGTGGAAACAAGTAAGAACGGTGATTGCCTCTGGGAGAATGGGGTACAGACTTACCAGAAAAGAGCACGAGGAAACTTCTGGCGGTCAGAGTAATATTTCACATTTTAACAGAGGTTCGGGTGAGAATGAAGCTTTGTGCATTACATTGCATGTAAATTTTCAATTAAAGGAATAAAACTAAATAAATATTGACCTCTAGTTAATAATACACATGCTGAAGTATTTAGGGGGTTGTTTATTGATCTGCAGTTTACTTTGAAATGCATCAAAAAAATAGGATGGGCTGATGGATGGACACATATGACAAAACAAGTACAATACAAACTTAATGGATACAAAGTTAATGGTAGATGTAGGGGGCAGTTATACGAGCATTCACTGTAAAAATCTTTCAACTTTTGCTGTATATTAAAATTTTTTCCTAATAAAACCGGAAATGCCGTGGGGAGAAAAAGGCAGGGGAGAACTGCCTTCATCTTCTGTCAGCTCCCAGGAAGCTCCGCTCCACTTCACCTTGGTTCAGGGCCGGGCTCTCTCCCTCACCTCTGTGGCTTCTCTGCGGTCAACAGGTCCCCTCTCTAAGTGCCTCTGCCCTCCTCACTGACCAAACACAGCAAATTCCACTGTAGGGGACTATTTTCTCACACAGACATAAATATTCTCTCTCAAACCTTTTATCTAGCCTCCCTCCCAATTCTTTCAGACTATCTCATGACAGTCTCTTGCCATTCCATTTATGAGTCAAAAACAACCTTAACAAAGGTGTGATGAGATAAAATAGCACTAATGTAGGCCGGGTGTGGTGGCTTATGCCTGTAATCCCAGCACTTTGGGAGGCTGAGGCGGGTGGATCACCAGAGGTCGGGAGTTTGAGATCGGTCTGGCTAACATGGTGAAACCCCGTCTCTACTAACTATACAAAATTAGCTGGGCGTGGTGGCACACGACTGTAATCCCAGCTACTTGGGAGGCTGAGGCAGGAGAATCACTTGAACCCAGGAGGCAGAGGTTGCAGTGAGCCGGGCTCAAGCCACTGCTCTCCAGCCTGGGCAACAGAGTGAGACTTGGTCTCAAAAAAAAAAAAAATAGCACTAATGTAGTTCTAAACAAGGCTGCCATTCCCTAAGGAACAAACTTTAAGTTAAAAAGCTAGTTTTGTTCTCCTTTATCCTCTTTTAATAGTATTGATTCCTCATTAGTCTCACAAAAAATATACAGTATTTTAGATATTCATAAAATCTCTTGAAAAATGTTTACTGTTTCCTGACTTTAAACTAACAGCTGCATTTTTATAACAAATTAGATGAAAATGATAAGGGAAGGGGAAAAATGTTACTGGCCTATATTACTATCTACTTTCAGACACTATATGTGTTTCAGTATGTATATATATGTGTGTGCACATACATCCTTTTTCAAAATAGTTGATATCACATAGTTTCAGGCCTGCCTTCCTACTTTAAAGCATCTCCTCATACCATTAATCTTAGAAAATATAATTTGTATTGACTTCAAACTGTTCCATTGTATGGATGTGCCATAATTTATTTAACCATTTCCCAATCATTAGACATTTAGGTTATATCCAATTTATCACTTAGCATGAGATCTTAATAATTATACAGGACCTAGGCTATAATTTAACACAATGTTTCCCTAAATGAAGGCACTTTTGCTATAAAATCCTTATCAAATAATCAACTAACGGCCAGGCGTGGTGGCTCACATCTGTAATCCCAGCACTTTGAGAGGCCGAGGTGGGTGGATCAATTAAGGCCAGGAATTTGACACCAGCCTGGCCAACATGGTGAAACCCCATCTCTACTAAAAATACAAAATTTAGCCAGGCTGCTCTTGAACTCCTGACCTCAAGCGATCCGCCCGCCTCAGCACTTTGGGAGGCCAAGGTGGGCGGATCACAAGGTCAGGAGATTGAGACCATACTGGCTAACACGGTGAAACCCCATCTCTACTAAAAATACAGGGATTACAGGTGTGAGCCACTGCACCCAACTACAGAAAAATTTGTAGGGTTTCCCTCTGTTACCCAGGATGCAATGATGCAATATAGCTCACTGCAGTTATGCAATATAGCTCACTGCAGCCTCAAAATCCTTCAGCAGTCCTCCCACTTCAGCCTCCTGAATAGCTGGGACTTCAGGCACATGCCACCACACTCAGCTTATTTTTTGTAGAGATGCAGCCTCACTATGTTGCTCAGCCTTGTCTTGAACCCCTGGCCTGAAGCGATCCTCCTGTCTTGACCTCCCAAAGTGCTGGGACTACAGGTGTGGGTCACTGCACTTGGCCAAAAATGTTTACATAAGTCCTTAGAAGAGTGTCTGCCATATAGTAAGGGTTAGATAAGTTTAAATTATTATTTTTATCAAAGTTGGCTCCTAAACATAAGCCAACTATTTTATCTGGTGTATAGCCAAAGAAATAACAATCTATTCCAAAAATGGAGAAAAAACTGACTGAGCTGAACTTCACCATCAGACAGTATATTAGTCTTAAGGAATTTTCCAAATATAGTTTGACTCTAATTTTCAAGTTATACACTAACTTTAGAACCTAACCCCTGCCTACCACAATACTCCCATACACAGTGTCACTGCGGGATGCTCACGGGAGTAGAGGATGTGCTACTCTATACTGAACCAAATCTGACTTCCCGGAACTTCCACTCATTAGTACTGGTTCTAACTTCACAAGTCACACAAAACATTGCCAATCCAGCCTCCAAGGGACAGTCCATCCAAGCTTAAAAGACAATGATTGGGGGTGGGAGGGAGGAAAAAAAGAAAAAAAGACAATGATCATATCCCTGCTTAAGGCCAAATGCCCATCTAGTCCTCACATGACAGTGCTGGTCAAATCCTAACCGTTCACCTTCATTTCAATGTTCTCGGCGTGTCAGTGTTCCTCCTAAAGTGTGAAAATTCAGTACCTGACACAAAATTGTTAACTGCAGAACCAGTTCAAACTACTTCAGCTTTGTCAATAACAGAACAATGAGTTGTTGTTCAGTTGCAGTGGACCCACAGCTCGCAAGTCACAAGCATGCACAGATGAATCAAGCGTGCCCAATTGGTGACCCCAAAGCCAGGGAACAAAAATGTCAACCGCACAGGGAACCAAGGTACCTAAACCAAGGAGCACGGACCAAATTAAGAAGTGAGGAGAGTTGCTGCAGTATGAATTTAAGAGCCAATAACCCACAGGCCGGGCGTGGTGGCTCATGCCTGTAATCCCAGCACTTTGGGAGGCTGGGATGGGCGGATCATGAGGTCAGGAGATTGAGAACATCCTGGCTAAAACGGTGAAACTCCATCTCTACTAAAAATACAAAAATACAAAAAAACTAGCCGGGCATTTACCTTCCCAGAGTCCATGCATGTGAGTTGGGTCGCACGCATTGGCCCAAGAGAAAAAAGAAAGAAAGAATAAAAGCTGGAGAGAGGGAAGCAAATGGAAGATACAAAGTGGGATGGAAGAATTAAATCCAAAGCGCCAGGCAATCAAGATGAATGCAGGCTGAATAAATTTGGGCGAATTTTAGTGGCATACGGGAAAAAAAAAAAAATTAGCCGGGCATGGTAGCACTCGCCTGTAGTCCCAGCTATTTAGGAGACTGAGGCAGCAGAATTGTTTGAACCTGGCAGGCGGAGGTTGCAGTGAGTCGAGATAGCATCACTGCACTCCAACCTGGGCGACAGAGCAAGACTCTGTCTCAAAAAAAAAAAAAAAAAAGAACCAAGAACCCTACACTGTCTGTCTCCATAACCCAATCAAATCACGCCTCAATGCACTTTCCTATCTCCCTCACAGTTACTCTCTTCCTATAAAACACACAGACTCCATCTGGGGGAGACAGATTCAAGTGCTGCCTCCTATTGACCTTGCAATAAAGCTGTTGCTTCTCTCAAAAGCTGGTGCCATAGTATTGACTTCTATGCACTTGAGGCATTAAGCCCATTGCTCAGTGACAGTATTCCCACTGTCCTCTGACCAGCTCAGACTGCCATGGGATCAACATCTTCCCAGACCTGGACATTAACAGTTATATAGCTACTAATCCAGGCAAGATTTGTCTTGTGTAAACTTTACCAAATGGCTAGGAAATAACAATGCCCTAAGCCCTTTAGCAGTGGTATCCTTGCAGTTTAGATTAATAAGGCTGTTTCCAATTACTCTCTCCCTAAGCCTGTGCCATTCATTAGCAGAAGCTCAAGAGCCACTCTTTGTTAGTACACTCCCCTCCTTTCACCTATTAATAAATACTAACCCTTTATATTTGCACACCAATTTCCAATTCCATATCAAATATTCTGATACTTGAGCGCAAGGCATGGCAGAAGTTACAATTTCCAATTTACAAATGAAGCAACAGAGGCTCAGACAGGTCAGGTGATTTGCCTGGGACTTTATTGCTAGTAAATGGCAAAGTCACAAAGAGAACCAGAGTCCTCTGTTTCCAAATCTAGAAAACGTCCTACCACACACCCTGTCTCATCTTTCTGCATGGGTGGTGAAAGAACATTTGAAATGTGAAGTCAAAGACACGCGGGTTCAAATCCCAACCTTGCTGCTGCCTGGCTGCATGATCTTGCGCAGTTACTTAACCTCTCTGCGATTCCTTTTCCTCATTTGTAAAATGAAGAGGGTTCTCCTCGTCCTCCTCACAGAGCAGCTGTGAGGATCAGACAGGCTAACTTAAGTGAAATAACGCACACAGCACCACAGCCACTACCTCATGTCCAATCTCTGTTTGTTGACTGCCCTTTTTTTTTTTTTTTTTGAGACAGAGTCTTGCTCTGTTGCCCAGCCTGGAGTGCAGTGGCACAATCTTGGCTCACTGCAACCTCCATCTCCCAGGTTCAAGCAATCATCCTGCCTCACTCCCCTAGCAGCTGGGATTACAGGCATGTGACAACATGCCCAGCTAATTTTTGTATTTTCAGTAGAGATGGGGTTTCACCACGTTGGCCAGGCTGGTCTTGAACTCCTGACCTCAAGTGATCCCAAAGTGCTGGGATGACAGGCGTGAGCCACCATGCCTAGCCCAGCTGCCCATCTTTTACTGGGAATCTACCACATCTGGGGTAGTACCCTGTGGTGGCATGGAAAACCAAGTAATACCTCAAGGAGCATTAAGATAACTCAAAAATATATGAATACATTGAAAATATAATAGTCATTTATACTCAACCATAAAGTTTCCATTGACAGTAGGTAGATTAAATATGTACTGAATAAAACAACTGTTATTAACTCATTGGGAAGGAAATTTTAGTTGGAATTGCTTATGTGGTGAGGTATAATGTCAGGATGAGTGACAATAGGATTAAAATTTGGAGATACAGCAAAGTAATGGAAATGGACATTTATTTCACAAAGTCATTAGTCTATAAAGAATAATAATCTTCAAGATCTCCTCTTGGCTTTATATTCTAAGATTGATGATTCTCTATCTTCAATTCTCATTATCTGTAAACTATCTGGGAACAGACTGTGTGTTATTGTTCTTTATGTTCCCCACGGTTTCTCACAAAGTACTAAATGTCTAAAGCAGGGGTATCAGATATGGTTTGGCTCTGTCCCCACCCAAATCTCATCTTGAATTGTAGTTCCCATAATCCCCACGTGTTGTGGGAGGGGCTTGGTGGGAGGTAATTGAATCATGGGGGCAGGTCTTTCCTGTGCTGTTCTCGTGACAGTGAGTGTCACGAGATCTGATGGTTTTATAAAGGGCAGTTCCCCTGGTTTTATAAAGAGCAGCCACCATGTAAGACGTGCCTTTGCTCCTTCTCCACCTTCCACCATGATTGCGAGGTCTCCTCAACCACGTGGAACTGTGAGTCCATTAAAATTCTTTTTCTTTATAATTTACCCAGTCTCAGGTATTTCTTCATAATAGTATGAAAATGGGCTAATACAGTATCCAATCTTTTGGTTTCCCTGGGCCCCACTGGATGAAGAACTGTCTTGGGCCACACATAAAATACACTAATACTAATGATAGCTGATGAGTTAAAAAAAAAAATCACAAAAAAAGTCATAATGTTTTAAGAAAGTTTACAAATTTGGGTTGGACAAGTTTGGTCTAAAGGGTTTAGTAAGTACTCAAATATTTTTGATTGCCAAATTAGAGGGGAAAAGTTCAAACTCATTACTAAAGCAAATATCATCTATTTTTATGATTATCTGATGGTGTATGCCAGAAACATTTTGAAAAAGTCCTTACCACTAAATGTCATTTTTTAAATGACAGATGTGGGGAGTGGATAAATGAAAGCTTTCCAACTTTAAAAAATGACATATAGGTTAGACCAAATGGTTACCAGATAGTCTGTCACAATTAATTATTACAAGGTACTTTTGGATTCATTTATTCAACTAATACTTATTGAACGCCTACTGTGCCAGGCACTATGCAAAGCACCAGGGATAAATAAGATTAATCTGACTTGACTTCAAGTGTTAAGCCTTCATTTTAGAATAGGAGATGAGACATGTGCCTGAACAATGCAATAAATAAAACCCAACAGAACTGATGAAAGAGAGAAACAGGCAGGCAGACAGTGCCAAGAGAGTTCCGAGGAGAAAAAAGTCACTTTCCTACAGTGAAAACTGGGGGAAAACAAGGTGACTACCTTGCTATATCCCCTCGGTAGAGAGACTTGTACTCCCAGTTCGCAGGATCTGGTTTCTTATCTGTTCTGAAGGTTTCTCCCGTCACAGCCTGAATGTCCTCAAGCCAAACAAAGCGATGTCCAGTATCAGCTGCAGCATTATTTCCTTGACTGTGGGACAAAGGAAGAAGAAGAAGGGAGAGGCACTTTAAAAAATCTTCCAGTGACGCAGGTGGCATTTTCAGCAATATGAGAGTTAAACACTTCAAACTCCACATGGCATCAAACACACCTAAGCACATTAAATGTACATGTGCCACAGAGATGGAAGAGGACTCTAGCTCTGGGCAAAGAGTTTTAAAAAATAAAGCAAAACCTGTCACCACTAAATGACACTCTACCAACAAAAGAAGTCTTCCTATCTCAAAAATTAACCTGAAGAATATAGGTATACAGCAGTTCTTTTAAAATATTTCATTTAGATTACTGTAACCTGAATTTCAAATATATTTATAAACAAGGTCTTTTCCTAAAAAGTATTCCTGCTCTGAGGCACCTTAGAGGGCTAGGCAGAGGGAACTCCCACACCTCCAAAGGTGACAACACCAATAATCAAGTGTGCTGCCCTAACTTCGCCTAACTTACTTGAAAGTGCCTAGATACTTATTCCAACTCAAAACTTCTCTAAAAAGCCATGGTTCTGAACTGCTCAGCCTCCAACATCACTTAGGCTTGGTCTCAGCCTCATTTTTTTTTTTTTTTTTTTTTTTTTGAGACGGAGTCTCGCTCTGTCACCCAGGCTGGAGTGCAGTGGCGCCATCTCCGCTCACTGCAAGCTCCGCCTCCCGGATTCACGCCATTCTCCTGCCTCAGCCTCCTGAGTAGCTGGGACTACAGGTGCCCACCACCACACCTGGCTAATTTTTTGTATTTTTGGTAGACATGGGGTTTCACCATGTTAGCCAGGGTGGTCTCGATCTCCTGACCTCATGATCCACCCGCCTCGGCCTGCCAAAGTGCTGGGATTACAGGTGTGAGCCACCGTGCCCGGCTCAGCCTCATTTTTATGGTCTGGACTCTGTATTCGCTGTTTTGCTTATACATCTGGACCTCGTAAATAAAGGGCAGAATCACGAGGCTCCCCTGAAGACAAGACCCTAATGTATCTCTCTGAACCAATGTGTAGGCTGGCAGACTTTCAGCTCAGATCCAAAAGGAACCACTCCCGGGGCGTTAAGTGAGAGGGAGGGAAGGTTTCTCTGGCATCTAACATCTTCTTCCTCTAAAGAAAATCAGTTCATAATGCTGCTGACACAAGAAGGTGACAAAGTAGTCAAAACAGCCATTAACTGTTGTTCCATCTCTGCTTTTCAGCTCTGCCCAGGTACAAATAAAGATTTTGGAGGCTTCTTAATTATTCTTGGCAGGGAATATAAGGGAATGGCATTTCAGGAACACTAAGTAGCTATTCAATAAATAGTTGTTGAATGATGAGCCTCAGGTTAATGTATGGAGATTTTAACACATTTCCCAACTGCAGAGGGCTTCCTGTCTACAAAAACCATAACGGGCAATGAAAAGATGGAGAGCCTACTGCAAACTGATTGATGCATTTGAGAAATAAATGGAAAGCCAACTGGGAGAAAAAAAGGAGAAGCCAGCTGCAGACCGCCCCTGAGGAGTCAACAGGCCCTTTCCTCTCCCCTCGGCGGTACTGAGCTAAGGAAGCAGGATATGGTAGTCTGGGCTGTGTGCAAGGAAGGAGCTGCCTCCACCTGAAGGTGAGGGAAAGCTCATCCCAGAAACTCAAGGTCAATTAGTAGCTGTGGCCTCTGGGGAAGTCATTTGTCATCACCCTGAAACAGAGTCTCATAGGGTCTGCTACCCTCACGAACCCACTTTCCTGACATCACAGAAAGACTCTCACAATTCACTAATATTGTAGTCCTTGTCTATGTGGAAATAAATAATTCTTCCAGGTCACCTTCTTGGGAAGAGAATACATAAGTTAATAACAAGACAGTAAAAGAGAAGGACAAGAACAATCTTAATAAGGATATTCTATAAAATATCAATAAACTTAAAAATGCTATCTGGATCATAAAACTATCAAGAGGCTGTAAAGATTCCCTGACATGATTAAGCATAGGCTGAAATTAACTATCCTTCAAGTTCTAAAGATAGTTCCTGTGTGGTTTCAGGAAATCCTTTAAAACTCATTTTCCCCAGCTATAAAAAAGGACAAGTAGCTAGAAGTTGAGTTTTGGGAAGACGTAACAATTAAAGTAGCTTGCTTTAAAGACACAGTAAAAGGTAAGGACACCAATAACATATTCATTCATTCATGTAACAAAAACAAATTCAGTGCTTACTCTGTAATGGGCCCTGTGCACCACGTGCTGTGGGAATATGGTGGTAAGCAAGACAGGCCTGATTCCTACCCTCAAAAATTCAGTCAAATTCAGAACCTTTTTGCCGGACTGCTTTATTTTTTCCTCTAAAGAGCAAGCTTGGGGGCTGGGTGCGGTGGCTCATGGCTGTAATCCCAGCACTTTGGGAGGCAGAGGCGGGTGGATTACCTGAGGTCAGGAGATCGGAGATCGAGACCAGCCTGGCCAACATGGAAAAACCCCGTCTCTACTAAAAACACAAAAATTAGCCGGGCGTGGTGGCACATGCCTGTAATCCTAGCTACTTGGGAGGCTGAGGCAGGAGACTTGCTTGAGCCCGGGAGGCAGAGGTTGCAGTGAGCCGAGATCGTGCCACTGTACTCCAGCCTGGCCGACAGAGCAATACTCTGTCTCAAAAAAAAAAAAAAAAAAAAAAAAAAAAAGCTTGGGTTACAAAAATTAGCTGGGTGTGGTGATGCATGCCTGTAGTCCCAGCTACTTGGGAGGCTGAGGCATGAGAATCGCTTGAACCCGGGAGGCGGAGGTTGCAGTGAGGCAAGATCGTACCACTGCACTCCAGCCTGGGTGATAGAATGAGACTCTGTCTAAAAAAAGGAAACAAAAATTCCTGAAGAGTTGCAAAAACCTCAACAGCACTATTTCTTTTTTAGAGATGTTCTAGACAGGTACCTAAGTTTTCTCCCTTCTAGACCATATGAGCAAATAAAGGAGAAAGTTAAATGAGCAATAATTCAGGTAGTTTCACCATATACCACCTGTCCCACCTACACGCAAATACCCCTCTACTTAGGAAGACATTCAACTAGGCACAGAGAAAAGGCTGTATTGAGCACCTATGCTGTGGCCATTCTGTAGAATGAATTGAACAATATGCTCAAGGTAGAAAGCAGAGTAGGCCACAGTGGCTCATGCCTGTAATCCCAGCACTTTGGGAGGCTGAGGCAGGTGGATCACCTGAGGTCAGGAGTTCAAGACCTGCCTGGCCAACATGGTGAAATGCCATCTCTACTAAAAATACAAAAAATTAGCCAGGCGTGGTGGCAGACGCCTGTAATCCCAGCTACTCGGGAGGCTGAGGCAGGACAATCGCCTGAACCCAGGAGGTAAAGGTTGTGGTGAGCTGAGATCGCACCACTGCACTCCAGCGTGGGCAACTGGAGTGAAACCCCGTCTCAAAAAAAAAAAAAAAAAAAAAAGAAAGAAAGCAGAGTAAAATATGGGAGAAATAAAGCCCCCAAGGAATGGAAACACTGTAATCATGAGCTGTTTTCCACTGCCTTCGACATAGTGGTCTTAAACAAATATGAAAAAGAAAAGGAAAAGGACAAATGTAACAATTATTTAAGTGCTACGTTAATCTTAAAGTGTGTGTGATCATGTATACACACAGGAGTTGATAGGAGTGACTGAATGAAAGATATATCAAGGCAGAGAAAGAAGATGTTTCTCCTACCCAGAGTGTGGAGACCCACGGCCCTCAGAGAGGGAACCGTTATCTATGTGATAACGGCACTGACTCACAGACCCACTGTGGCACATCTGCCATCTTTTGAAAATCCCAAAGACTTTTTGTCTAAAAGAGATTCACACAATCATTACTGTGTCTAAATAACATTTCTCAAATAAAATCGTGTCCCTAATTTTTCTCCTTCTCTTTTTTAAGCTGATATAATGGTAGAGCTCTCTTCCGACTGAGTGACTAAATGGTTATTCAAATATCTAATTTGCGGCAACAATTAAGGGAGAAAAACTCAAGACTTAAAATATCATAGGTGCTTGAGAACAGCAACCTACTTCGGTTCCTCAGATTCCTTTTTACTGCCTCCAACGCCTCTGGAAGGTTTGTCCTTTTCAGAATCGGTGTCTGTCTCAGACCTGCTGCTACTCGACGGCCCATGCTTCCTCTTTGTTTTCTTATGATGCTGATGCTTCCTTTTTTTCTTTTTCTCTTTCTTCTTTTTTCTACTTGTTTGTTTGAGCTTTTTGTTAGTGTCACTTTCATCTGAAGACTCTGATTTCAGATGACTCCTGTTTGGGAAAATCAACTTTAAAATTACTTTCTAAAAAGATGTAGGAAAAATAATACTATGTAAATAAGTCAACAAATATTTAAGATGGAACTATATAAATGTTCACACAGATTTACTATTTGCCCATATATTACACAGTAACTTACTGGATTACACCTCACCTGCAAGACTTAGGAATTGGATCTAAAATAATAACAGGTGAAGAAATTCCAATTTTAATAGTTTCTAAACCTATACTTTCTTATTTATACATCTTTAAATGAAAGTAACCTACCACTTAACAAATATAGTATTTTTAAGACATTATTAAAGGTTGGCTGGGTGTGGTTACTCATGCCTATAATCCTAGCACTTTGGGAGGCCAAGGCAAGAGGACTGCTGAAGGTGCTTGGGAGTTTGAGACAAGCCTGGGCAACGTAGCAAGACCTCATCTTTATTTTAAAAATAATAATAATAATTTTCAAAAAAAATCATTATAAAAAGGTTTATTTTCAGTGCCACATATTATGTCAACATGTTGTTAATAAAAAAACCAAAACATTTAATTGTGGTCCTTGTTTTTGGAGATGACAATGAGCTCTTCTTCCTCATTACTGAAATATCTAATATCTACCAACTTCCTCTCATACATCAACTCTTCTCAATTTCCAAAGGCTTCTTACACATTTAGAGTACCGGGTTTCACAACCTATTCACCCTATTAATGAAATCTAGTCTGTATTTGTAAGACAGCTTATTTCTCAGTTCAATGATCTAAAACAAAATTCTTTCACAGCTGAGGAGAGATGTGTGCCATCTTGCTTTCCCTGACGTTTTGATGCCATTTTTAATCTTATACAAGCTCCCTCTCTATTTTTACAAAAGGGTTGAAAATGTAACTAAAAAAATACCTGAATTATGATGTTCTAAAGGTTACTAATGAGGCTAGTAAAGTTACTCGAGAATCACAATGATGCCATTTCCCTCTTGGCCTAATTACAGGCACTAACTGTGTCATGTACTTGCCACTGCAAAGCAAAGAAAAAAAAAAGAATACAAGAGGTAAGGGAAAATAGTCAAAGATCACCTTATTACTTTAAGTAAGAGTTTTACATACCTCTTTTATTAGAGTTTTCTAAGGAGCTTCATTTCAGCTAAGCTATAGACAGTAAACTGACAAAAACGAAAACACATCTGTCAAACAAAAACTACCTTGTCAGCGGTAACCCTTCAGAAACATGGGCTGGAGCTGCTTCAGTTTGTTGGCTCAGGGACGTTATGGATCCAACACAAAAGCTTGGGTTGCTCAGCCAGTCTAACTCTGCACAGGCAAAAGGAGAAAAGATCAATGAAATTAGTTCAATATGATTCTAAAGCAGGAGATCTATCCATCTTATCAGCTGACATCCTAATT
Source organism: Homo sapiens (assembly GCF_000001405.40). Classification (NCBI taxonomy): domain Eukaryota; kingdom Metazoa; phylum Chordata; class Mammalia; order Primates; family Hominidae; genus Homo; species Homo sapiens. The sequence continues at coordinate 90,318,207 of NC_000014.9, forward strand.
CACAGCCAATGCCAGCCAGACGTTTTGAACAGTCAGTCCAAAGTCCACAGAAGCTGAACAGAATCCATGAAATTTTTATTTCACAGGGCATGGCTTTAATACCCTCTAAAATATTCTAGACCAAAATCCTTCCGTGATATCAAACTGCAGCTTAAGCAAAAGCCATGTAACAAGTACGGGCTAAAAGGCAACAAGGCATTTTGCATTCCATCCATCCACACTGTCTAATGAGTGTGAATGCTTCCAAAGCATTAGGTTTTTATGACCTCAAATTTGATTCAGACAATTCCTAAAAGTTAAAAGATCAAATCGGCTGGGTATGGTGGCTCATGCCTGTAATCCCAGCACTTTGGGAGGCTGAGGAGGGCAGATCACCTGAGGTCGGGAGTTTGACACCAGCCTGGCCAACACGGTGAAAAACCATCTCTACTAAAAATAAAAAAATTAGCCGGGTGTGGTAGCACACGCCTGTAATCCCAGCTACTCGGGAGGCTGAGGCAGGAGATTGCTTGAACCTGGGAGGCAGAGGTTGCAGTGAGCCGGTATCACGCCACTGCACTCCAGCATGGATGACAGAGTTAGACTCCATCTCAAACAAAACAAAACAAAACAAAAGCAAATCAAATCATGCATAAAAGCCCACCATGCTTAATATTATTACAGAAGATTAAGATCTTTTAAAAAATATTCCATGTTCTACCTTAGTACACTAACTTAACAAACTTTTCCTTATAATAGTACTCTTCTTTGGAAATAAAAACCTAAGATGTTAACTTTTAATGCTAAAATTATATAAATGTGAATACTGTGATGATTATCTCTAGGTGATTACATTAAATGTCTAAAGATTTTCTTCTTTCTGCTTACCCCTAATTTCTTACTTTTCTACAGTGAACGATTTCTAAATTACTTATTTTCTAACTTTTAGGAGTCTTAGCTGTGAAGGGAAGAAAAAAAACATGGGATGGCAGCAGCAAGGGAGCCCACGGGGGGTTTGTATTTTGTCCTGTTTTGTTTGGATGGGAGGCCAGAGCTTATTCATATCCTAAAGAGGAAGAACCCGTTAAATGGTTGAAGGTACAAAAGAGGAGGGTGACTGCATTTTTGAACAGTTTTATTGAGATATAATTTACATACCATAACTCAGCCATTAGTCATGTACAATTTAACAGATTTTTAGTATATTTACAGAGTTGTGTGGTCATCTTCATAACTTTAGAACATTTTCATCATCCCAAAACAAAACCTCAGACCTATTAGCAGTCCACTCCTATCACCCACCTCCTGTTTCCCTGCCCCGCCCACCTCACCCCTAGCCAAACACTAACCTGCTTTCTATCTCTCTAGATTTGCCTATTTTGGACATTTAATATAAATAAGCTCATATAATATACGTGGTCTTTTGTAACTTACCACAATGTTTTCAAGGTTCATCCATGCTGTAGTGTGTATCACTACCTCATTCGTTTTTATTGTCAAATATCTCATTTTATGGATTTACCACATTTTACCTGTCCATTAGTTGATGAACACTTGGGTTATTTCTTCTTTTTAGCTAATATGAATACTACTACTCTGAATATTCATGTACAAGTTTTCATATGGACACATTTTCATTTCTCCTGAGTGGATACCTAGGAGCGGAATTGCTGGGTGATATGGTAACTCATATTTAACATTTTGAGGAAATGCCAGATTGTTTTCCAAAGTAGCTGTACCATTTTAGATTCCCAATAACAATGTATAAGAATTCCAGTTTCTCCATATCCTTTTTTGTCATATTATCTTTTTTATTATAGTCACCCTAGTGGGTATGATGTGTCATCTTGCTGTAGTTTTGATTTCCATTTCCCTAATGACTAATGATGCTGAACATCTTTTCATGTGTTTATTAGCCATTCACAGATCTTCTTTGCAGAAGTTCTTTATTCTGGGTACTAGCTCCTTAAGTAACTGTATTAGTCCGTTCTCACACTGCTATAAAGAAATACCCAAGACTGGGTAATTTATAAAGGAAAGAGGTTTAATTGACTCGTAGTTCCACATAGCTGGGGAGGCCTCAGGAAACTTACAATCATGGTGGAAGGTGAAGAGGAAGCAAGGACCTTCTTGATGTGGTGGCAACAGAGGAAAGAGTAAAGAGCAAAGGGGGAAGAGCCCCTTATAAAACCATCAGATCTCATGAGAACTCACTCACTATCGTGAGAACAGCATGGGGCGAACTGCCCCCAGGATCCAATCACCTCCCACCAGTTCCTCCCTTGACACATGGGGATTATAGGGATTACAATTCAAGATGAGATTTGCAGGGGCACACAGAGCCAAACCATATCAGTATTTGCATCTTAGTATGGAGGAGATACCATAATGTATGCTTCCTGACAACAGGTACTGTTTTAATCACTGGCTTATAGTAAGTGTTCAACAAATACTTGTGAGAAAGAAGGAAAAGAGGAAGGAAGGAAAATCCCAAAGAAAGAAAGGCATATTAAACAGCACAGAAAAAAGGGAAAGAAGTGACAGGTTCCAACTTAAGTGCCTACAGCAGGCCAAACACCAGGCTAAGAACTTACATCCTTTTCATCTTTTAATCCTCACAACAAGGCTCTATGGGAGGTATTATGATCACCATTTTATAGAAGAGGAAACTAAGACTCAAAGGGGTTAAGTAATTAGTAATGTCATACCTAGTAAATGTTAAACAACTGCTCATGCAACCTTCTACTCTCTTTTTCCTTCTGAGGTTGGTTCCCTTCATTTGGGCCTAATTCCTGGCAAAAGATATGTGAAACTAGTTCCTGTTGCTCACTGAGATCAAAATTATTTCCACAAAAATCAGATTCTATCATGAAAAAGTGGAAAAAGATGGAACAAACAGTATTCAGGAAAAGATGCTCTCAAACAATTCCAGTATATTTCTATATAAATATTCTAGATAGTGATGACAGCTGGAAGAAAATGTAAAGAAATACAGACATCACAACATACAGTGTGTGACTCTTCAAAGTCCTTCAGAAGACACAAGAAAGGCTTTTTAAATTTGAGAGATGGGGTCTTGCTGTGTTGCCCAGGATGGCCTCAAACTCCTACACTCAAGCGATCCTCCTGCTTCAGCCTCCCAAGCAGCTGGGACTATAGGCGTGCCACCACTGTGCCAGGCTTTTGAGGATACAATTGAGGCTTTGCTGTATGGCACTACTGTGGGGGAAAAAAATTCAGAAAGAAAGAAAACTTGGCCAGTATATCTATTATACTAGCACTTTGGGAAGCTGAGAAGGGAGGACCACTGGAGCCCAGGAGTTCAAACGAGCCTGGGCAACATAAGCAAGACCCCAGCTCTATTAAAAAAAAAAAAAAAAAAAGAAAAGAAAAAAAGAAAGAAAGCTCTTGGGTTTTGAACATGAATCATCATGGATCCTCTGTGACCTTCATGCCAATCAAATGACCTCCTGTGGAGCAAAAGGTATTTTCATCTGACAAGAAGCTCTGTTTTGCTTTATTTTTTGATAGCATATTAGCAGTGCACATGCAGGGAATACTAGAAGTAATAATCACTGTATGGTAGGCTTGGAAAGATTTTGGAAGTCCTCTAGTCCATGGACTTCCAAACTTTTCTTAGCCAAGGAACTCACTTCAAACAGAATCTTCCACAGAAGTCCAACATGAAGAACAGAAAAGGCAGGGATGCTCTCTAGTTGGGAGTTCAGAGGGAGGGGCTGGGTCTGAGATGGCTCTTCAGAGCACAGCCTGGACACCACCTCCTCCCCTATAGACCAACAGCTGGAGGCCCAGCTGTGGCCAAGGGCAAGCATCTGAACCTGAATCTGTGACTCTTCATCCAGTTCTCTCCACCCCACGCCACGGAGCTTCTCTTCACTTCCTCAACTAAGGAGGCTGGTTCTCCTAAAGTCTCCCTGCAATTAGTACACGGGGCTCTTACGGCAATCTTCACATTGTAATCTCATTATCTTCCCACTATACTCTAAGCCAAGGGTCAAAAACTCAAATCCTTATAGGGACCAGATTAGTAATGACTACTGTGATACTACAGAAGTGGCAAAAGAAAAAATAAACACCAACTAGCTTACAACTCTTATATCCCAGTTTCTAGCTCCCTCCCCTCCTCCCACCTGTCACTTCCCAAACTCCATGAGGGCAGGGCCATGACTATTCACTACTGTATTCCCAACTCCTAGCACAGTGCCTTGGTACAAAGCAAATGGACTCAATAAATACCTGTTGAATAAATAAAATGAATGAGGATATGCACCATATCTTTGCATGTTTATACCCCCAACACCTAATCAAATGAACTGAAGAAATTAGAAATCTTCAAAAAAAAATCCATTATCTAGGTATAAAGTACAACTAGTGTAATTCTTCCTTTCTTCATTGTAAATGTATATTTAATCATTACATAAGTTAATGAATACCAACTACACACCCAGGCACAGGTCTAGGTACTGGGGGTATAGTGGGGAACAAGAAAGGTTCTGCTCACATGGAGTTTATAATTATAACCTTCACTGTCAAATAAAAACTTGCATTGTTAAATTCAATTTTAATTCAACAGAATTCTGGAGAGAGTTATCTGAGATGAAAAGATGCTTTATTAATCAGACTGCAAAGTCATTTTCAACAGTTACATCCTCACATAATTTACATACTTGATAGATATAAAATGTGTACATAGATAATTGTGCCAATACTAAGCAAGATGTAACATTTATAGAGAAGACCAGCAGCACACCAAATGCCTACGGTTTAAGAAAGAGAATCCCACTGGCTGACAAGGCTTTTGTCCTTGCAGGTTAGTAAATTACGAGTTGGAATGTGCCTGGAAATTAACACTCTGCCATACATTGTATTATGCATACACACCAAGAAATGTGGAAACATCAGGCAGAAAAACCACTTTAGAACTACCGCCTAACAAAAATAGGCAGGTGTCTGGTAGAAATGTAGCATGTATAAATTTTCAGGGTAATTTAACAGAAAATAATATAATGAATCATCGCTGAATAATTTAAGCTCAAATACTTTTTATGAACATTTATTATGTAACCCTATTTCTCTACCACTAGTAAAAATGCTTTAATTTAATTCTATTACACATAGAGGGAGGAAGGAATTGCCATGAAAAGATTTGAACTTTAAAATATATTTTTAACTATAATTGGATAAAATATCCAAGTTCTACATCCATTCCCCTTCTATTATAATGAAATAGCACTGATTACTAGTTTGTTTAAGTGAACTCAGAGGTAAGTGCTCCTCCTGAGATGGTAATTCAAAAAACATTTCTAGGGCCAAGTGTATAAATAAAGTAGTGTATATATTATGGAAGAAGATTTGTTCCTTTAAAATGAGTAAGTCTAACAAAGGATCTGGGAGTACAAACCTATTTATACAAAAAGCACCAGCAAACATGGCTGAGAACTGCATTTAAGATGATTATTACAGAGAACCTGAGCAAATTCAGCCCTTCCATGGAGTTAACCTACAATTTGAAGAGGCCCAGGAATTCCAAAGGTATTATATAAAGGACCAAAACCCAATGTTCTAATATCGTAGCATGGCTTATAACACAAGCTCTGTACGTAGAAGAACTTGTATTCAAACTGGCTGTTTCTTGGTTGTGCAACTCTGAACAAAATAATTTATCTGAGTCTCTTTTTTTTTATTCCGTAATTTTTTACTGACAGCCAAGTACTGGTCTAGGTGCTAGGAATGCACGATGAATAAGACAAACCCAACACTACCCTCATGGAGCTGCCCTACTAGCAGTCACTTCTATGCAACGTGACAAATGCAAAGAGAGAGAAAATAGGGAATAATGACAGCACGCTCTCTAATTCAAACAAGGTCTGGATCAGAGAAAGCTAACTGAGAAAATCTCTCAGCTAAGATCTAAAGGAGGAGGAGTGAAGGAAATATGCTCCTAGAAAGTGTTTGGGAAATAGACAGTGAGAAATAGGAGAAGCGATTGTGGCTTGGCCATTGGGACTGAGGGGAAATGGGGGCAAAATGAAGCAGGAGAGGTAGGGCCTTAAAAAACATGTTTGAGAGCTTGGCATTACCCTAAGAGCAATGGGCAGATGGTCATGTTTTGAATGAGAGTGACAAAATCAGATATACTATTTGAAAGATGAGCAGCAAAGAACAGCGTTTAAGAACACACATTTTAGGCCGGGCGGGGTGGCTCATGCCTGCAATCCCAGCACTTTGGGAGGCCGAGGTGGGCGGATCACTTGAGGTCAGGAGTTTGAGACTAGCCTGGCCAACATGGTGAAACCCCATCTCTACTAGAAATACAAAAATTAGCCAGGTGTGGTGGCGCACACCTGTAATCCCAGCTACTCGGGAGGCTGAGGGAGGAGAATCGTTTGAGCCCTGGAGGCAGAGGTTGCAGTGAGTGGAGACGCCACTGCACTCCAGCCTGGGTGACAGAGCAAGGCTCCGTCTCCAAAAAAAAAAAAAAAAAAAGAGCACACACTTTGAAGCTAAATTGTGTGAGTTCAAATCCTGACTCTGTGACTTACTAACCATGTGACCTTCAGAAGTTACTTACTGGTTCCCTCTGTGCGTACATTTGAACAGCACTAACTTCATAGAGTTGTTACGTGCATTCAATAAGTTAGTATTTGTAAGGCATTTAAACCAGTGAATGGCACATAGTGTTTTTAAATAAGGACATTTAAAAGTTCTTGCAACAGTGTGGAGAGTGGCTCAGGGAGCAATGGCAGGACTAACGGCGGGGACGCTATTTTAGGAGGCTGTTGTAGTAATCTAGGAGACGATGACGGCAAAAGTTAGGTAATGGTAGTGAGACTATGAAGAAACTAAGGACTTTCAGAGTTGTTTGGAAGGACTAAAGAATTGAATGGGTGGAAGTGGGGAGTCAAGGTACGTGTCTAAGTTTTGGTTTGGGTGAATGGTAGTGCCATTTTTTGATTTGTGGACACGGGAAGAAAAAGGTTTGGGGGAAAAAGATAATGTGTTTAGTTTCTTCCCCAAATATGGATAATATGTCTGCTTCATATAATATGAAGATTAAATAAACTAATATACCATCTTCCATTCCAAATCTGTCAAATATTTGATTCCCAAGCAACAATGTTCTAGGGTACACGATCCTAGTCAACAATCTGAGGGTAGGAAGAAAAGCTCCAGAACTGAAGGGGTCAGATGCTGGGCACTCTCTGCTGCTCCTGACACAATGGCTGCTCCTATTCTTGTTTCCTGAAAGAATGAATTTTACTAAACATAGTCCCACCAGACTCCTTACTGAATGTGATGCCTACTTAAATCCTGGCCTCTTTGCTTTTTTTTGTTCTGAGATGGAGTCTCACTATGTCAGCCAGGCTGGAGTGCAGTGGTGAGATCTCAGCTCACTGCAACCTCCACCTCCCAGGCTCAAGCAATCCTCCCACCTCAACCTCCCGAGTAGCTGGGACCACAGGAACACACTACCACACCTGGCTAGTTTTTGTTGTTATTATTAGAGTCAGGGTTTTGTCATGTTGCCCAGGCTGGTCTCAAACTCCTAAGCTCATGTGATCTGCCCGCCTTGGCCTCCCAAAGTGCTGAGATTTCAGGTGTAAGCCACTGTGCCCAGCCCTTGGCCTAACTTTTAATGGTAGCCAGAAAGAGGAGAACAGCACCCCTCTCACTCATTTTGGTATTGGCTGTCTTTCCTGTCCAGGAGTTTAACGTTTTTTTTAATTGAAACTCTGCACCCACTTCTTGCTAACACTATTTTACATTTTTATAACATTTTTTATACTGTAAGGCAAAAAGTACACTGCTTCTATTTATAACAGCCAAAGACTGGAAAGAGTCCAAATGTCCTTAATAGGGGACTGGTTGAATAAAGCATGTGACAGCCACACGATGGAGTTCTGTGCACTAGTAAAAAGAAATGAGGAAGATCTCTATAGAGTGTAGAGCGATCTCCAGGATCTAAGGTAAAATGCAGAATAGTATGCATTTAAGAAAGAGAGGGAGGCCGGGCGCGGTGGCTCACGCCTGTAATCCCAGCACTTTGGGAGGCCGAGGCGGGTGGATCATGAGGTCAGGAGATCGAGACCATCCTGGCTAACAAGGTGAAACCCCGTCTCTACTAAAAATACAAAAAATTAGCCGGGCGCGGTGGCGGGCGCCTGTAGTCCCAGCTACTCGGGAGGCTGAGGCAGGAGAATGGCGTGAACCCGGGAAGCGGAGCTTGCAGTGAGCCGAGATCGCGCCACTGCAGTCTGCAGTCCGGCCTGGGCGACAGAGCGAGACTCTGTCTCAAAAAAAAAAAAAAAAAAGAGAGAGGGAAAATGTAGTTGCTCTTATAGAAGGGAGGGAAAAAAAATGGGAGGATACCATGGGCTAATGAAAATGTTAGTCTGCAGGGGAAGGAAAGTGACAGGTTGGAGAAACAGAGATGGAAGGTTTTTCTCCTCTGAATATACCTGGTTTACAATCTCAACGTTAGGCTAAGCATTTTACATCATTATAAAACAAAATCAAATTAAAAAGAAAAACAATCCCTAAAAATGGAAAATATTTATATCACCATATATCAAACTGGTGGTAAAACCACACAGGGAATTGTTTCAAGTGATTTTCAAACTCAGTAAATTGACCGCATATCCACTGTGGGCCATGTCCTTAAAACAAATAGAACCATAAAAAAATCTGAAACTGTTAGTATTAGTCACATTAATACTGTTATTTTGAACAAATAAAGAAATTTAAAAATTAAATCAAAGAAGTAAAAGCTTCATAATCTTACATTTGGACTGGAAATACTAATACGAATTCATGATGTATTTTTCTCTTCCTGGTTCCATCCACTGAAAAAGTCTAGAAGTAATGACAACACAGTGGTGATGATACCCCTAACAACCCAGTGTGTGGTTTTCATATATCCATATCATTTTCCACTAAAAGAAACCAGGATTCCCTGGAGAAATGGCCAACTCCAGGCCACAAGAGAAAATGTAAGTGATGATTCCTGGACATCTCTTAGGACAGAAAGCAAGAAAGCTATTAAATAAAGATGATTGGGTCAGGCCCGGCATGATGGCTCATGCCTGTAATCCCAGCACTCTGGGAGGCCGTGGCGGGAGCACTGCTTGAGGCCAGGAGTTCAAGATCAGCTTGACCAATGTAGCAAGACTCTATCTCTAAAAAAATAAATGAATCAGCCAAGTGTGGTGGTGCACACTAGCAGTCCTAGCTACTCAGGAGGCTGAGACAGGCGGACTGCTTGATCCCAGGAATTGGAGATTGTAGTGAGCTGTGATTGCGCCACTACACTCCAACCTGGGCGACAGAGTGAAACCTCATTTCTAAAAAAAGAAAAAAAAAAAAAGCCTACCTGCAATGGATTGAAATATAAACATTAAAAATTCATGACTTCATAATGAAAACAAAAAACTTCACACCTCACTGGTCACCTCTAGAAGTTACTGGGACCCCCAACTCATTATTCTGAAACTAACGAAAGGAATGAATCAAGTATTTATCCCAGGCTAGGCGAGGTGGCTCACGCACTTTGGGAGGCCAAGGCAGGTGGATCGCTTGAGGTCAGGAGTTCGAGACTAGCCTGGCCAACATGGTGAAACTCTGTCTCTAGTAAAAATACAAAAATTAGCCAGGAGTAAGCTGGGCGCAGTGGCTCACACCTGTAATCCCAGCACTTTGGGAGGCAGAGGCGGGCGGATCATGAGGTCAGGAGATTGAGACCACTCTGGCTAACATGGTGAAACCCCCTATCTACTAAAAATATAAAAAATTAGCCAGGCGTGGTGGCAAGCGCCTGTAGTCCCAGCTACTCGGGAGGCTGAGGCAGGAAAATGGCGTGAACCCGGGAGGCGGAGCTTGCAGTGAGCCAAGATCACACAACTGCACTCCAGCCTAGGCGACAGAGAGATATTCTGTCTCAAAAAAAAAAAAAAATTAGCCAGGAGTGGTGGCGCATGCCTGTAGTCCCAGTTACTAGGGAGGCTGAGGCAGGAGAATCACTTGAACCCAAGAGGCGGAGGTTGCAGTGGGCCAGATCTCACCACTGCACTCCAGCCTGGGCGACAGCTAGACTCTGTCTCCAAAAAAAAAAAAAAAAAAAGAAAAAAGTATTTATCCTGTCTTTCCTGCCTAACTAAACTGTATTCAGGGTATCCCAATAGTTCTTCATAGAATAATTGATGTTAATAAATACAGGAGGAATGATATAATTAGAAAACAACCATTTTGCAACCTCAATGAAATAATAATGAACCTAAACAATAATCATAAATGGCTGCAAAAATCATTAGGTGTAAGGTTCATGGGCTGCTTCATATGGGATGAAACAGGTTGCAAACACATGAATCCACTGGTCAATCTTAACATCACTAAAACAGAGAACGTTAGACAGGGCATCCTCCTGAAATGATTCCATAGCAAGTGCATTGCTCCCCCAATGAGGTACTTTCAACAAAAAGATTAAATCTCAATCTAATTAATTGACTAGAGGTAAATACCAGTTTACAGGAAATACTGGAATACAGAAGCATGTTAAGTGACACTATGAGGATTTGGTGGGAAACATTTACAGGACAAATGACACGGTTTCCTCAACAGATCGATCACATGGAATGAAGGAGAGGAAGAAACCGATTTATACTGAAAGAGACCTAAGGCATATATCCACAAAATGCAATGTTGGCTGTATTTTGGAAATTGACTTGGACAATCCAACTGTAAAATCCCATTTTTGAAACATCTCGTGAAATTTGAACACTGACTGGTAAGTGAAAATGACCAGAAAAGAATTAAGGCTTTTTTCCATTACAAGAGATGATGCTGTGTTTATATTTTTTCAAAAGACAATACTTTATAAAACATACTTTTACACACATTTTCCTGATTGTAGATATCCAGAGGATGTCAAATAAATACTATTTAAGAGTAAGACTCCTCTGCAAAAGTTCGATTTCCCCCTCTCAAAATAAAAGGATAAAGCTTTGACATGTTATTAAAGATCACTATCCTCCATCACCACCAGCCCAACCATATTTCCCAAGGCTCCTCTTTATGCCACTACACCTCCAGACAAACTAGATGATTTGCAGTTCTCACACTTTTCTTCTGCAGGACTTGAAGGCCCTGGTATACACTTCCCCCATTTTATTTGTCCAAATCCTACTCTCTTGAAGATCCATCCAAAACTTAGCTCCTGGCTAGGCACAGTGGCTCACGCCTGTAATTCCAGAACTTTGGGAGGCTGAGGCAGGAGGATCACTTGAGCCCAGCAGTCTGAGATCAGCCTGGGCAACATAGCAAGACCCTGTCCCTACTTAAGAAAAAAAAAAGTAGGCTGGGTACGTTGGCTCACACCTGTAATCCCAGCACTTTGGGAGGCCGAGGTGGGCGGATTATCTAAGCTCAGGAGTTCAAGACCAGCCTGGCCAACATGGTGAAACCCCATTTCTACTAAAAATACAAAAAATTAGCCAGGTGTGGTGGTGCATGCCTGTAATCCAAGCTACTCGGGAGACTGAGGCACAAGAATCACTTGAAGCCAGGAGGCGGAGGTTGCAGTGAGCTGAGATTGTGCCACTGCACTCCAGCCTGGGTGACAGAGTGAGACTGCCTCAAAAAAAAAAAAAAAAAAAGTAAAAGAAAAAAATATTAGTTCCTACATAAAGCCTTCTTTGAACCTTCTATTAGAAGTAATTATTCCTGGGCTGGGTGTGGTGGCTCACAACTGTAATCCCAGCACTTTGGGAGGCTATGGTGGGCGAATCACTTAAAGTTAGGAGTTCGAGACCAGCCTGGCCAAAACAGTGAAACCCCATCTCTACTAACAATACAAAAATTAGCCGGGCATGGTGGTGAGTGCCTGTAGTCCCAGCTACTCGGGAGGCTGAGGCAGGAGAATCACTTGAACCCAGGAGGCGAAGGCTGCAGTGAGCCAAGATCGTACAATTACACTCCAGCTTGGGCGACAGAGCAAGACTTGGTCTCAAAAAAAAAAATAAATAAATAAATAAATAAAAAGAAGTAATTAATCCTGCAGTTCACCTATGGTATCTGTAATATCCCACCTTGTACTATACACTTCTTTTAGGTGCACTCATGCATTCCTGCAACACGTAATTATTAAGTAACTACTATCGATCTGTACATCCAGAAAATATTTATTGAACACCTATTATACTTTGGACCTGTGCTAGGGGCTAACTATGCTACAATGAATAGACAAACACTGCCCAACCTGATAGAGATTACAGTCTAGTAAGGGAAGACAACAATTTTACACAAGAAATTACTCACAATTATGAGAAATAGGACAAGCGCAGTGGCTCATGCCTGTAATCCTAGAACTTTGGGAGGCTCAGATAGAGAATCGCTTGAGCTCAGGAGTTCGAGACCAGCCTGGTCAACACAGTGAGACCTCGTCTCTACTAAATATTAAAAAAAATTAGCCAGGCCTGGTGGTGCACACCAGTAGTTCCAGCTATTCATGAGGCTGAGGCAGGAAGTTAAGCCCAGGAGTCTGAGGCGGCAGTGAGTTATGACAGTGCCACTGTACTCCAGCCTGGGCAACAGAGTGAGACCCTGTCTCAAAAAAAAAAAAAAAAATTAGGAGAAACGTTACAGAAAGTGTAGGAACTATATTAGAGGATATAACAGACAGGTAAGACTCAATTGCGCCCTGTCACATATGGCACATAATTTAGAATTACTTTTTTTTCTTTTTTTTTTAGAGACAAGGTCCCCCCACCCCAGGGCAGGATGCAGCGGCACGATCATGGCTCACTGCGGCCTCAAACTTCTGGGCTCAAGCAATCCTCCTACCTCAGCCTCCTGAGGAGCTGATACTATAGGTGTGCACCACCACGCCTGGCTTTTTTTTTAAGAGACAGGAGTCTCGCTATGTTGATCATGATGGTCATGAACTCCCGGGCTCAAACTATCCTTCCACCTACAGGTGTGGGCCACTGCTCCTGGCCAGGATTAATTACTTCTTAAATGAACTATGTACCCCAATTTTGAACAATGCAGCTCTGCTGGAAATGTCTGGGACTTAAGTAAAATGTGTAAAGCCATAACCTGATACACACTAGGCCCTCAAGAATAAATGTTAGTTATTTTCACTGGGTGCTGTGCCCCTCCAGAGAGAAACTGATTAGGTTTTGGATACTAATCCCCTAGCTCTAGGCCGCTAAGTAATACCAATCTAATAAGCATTTCAGAAATAAGTATAACAGGAAAGGAAGTAATATGTAATAAAAACATTCTGCATTTGCATCAAGGGTTTCCTCGAGATGTCGAGTATCATTATTCCCAATTTAAAGATGAAGTAACTGAGGCTCGAAAAGAAGAACAGGACCTAACAACATCGTACAGAAGTCCCAGCTCCAGGGCATCTGCTGGTCTTTCTCCACCCCTCCATAACTCTACAACCTTGGTCCAGAACAGGCCTCTGGGCCCCAGACCTCGGAGGGATTGAGCCTTTCCCAGAAGGCTTTGCAGCGCCGCGGAGAACTCTGGGATACAAATGGATACACAAATCCAAAGCAAAAGTCTAGACCTGGGCCCGAGAAACAGCCTCTTAAGCCCCCCAGGTGCCTTCTTCGGCTCGTTTGTGTGCTTACCTTTCCTGGAGCTCCCGCCATCGGGAGCCTCACTAAGCCCCGCAAAGGCTGGGAACAGCGCCATGACCACAGGCCGTACCTCCGTTCTTCTCTATAGGGATGGCGCCGGCGAGCGAGCGCCGGTCTGAGGACCCCTGCCGTCGCGGTGCACTCTGGGAAATGTGGTTTTCGCGGCGCTCTCTGGGGCTTGACCCCGAAGCGGGAGGGGCGGGGCCCAGAGAGGAGGGTCGTCAAGGGACTGGGGCGCGGCGGGGCAGGGAGAGGCAGGGCAAAGCAGGGTGGGGCGGGGCCAAGGGGGGCGGAGCGAGGAGTGACGGGTTCCTAGTGGTTGGGACCCTGTGAGAACCGGAACTGCGAAAACCGGAGAAGGGAATTGTTGACCGCGAAAGGGACTAAGGAAATTGGGATTCCAGTTCGACCCCTAAATTCACACCATCCTTGCTAACTGGGTCAACTTAAACGCTCTAAGCATTACTTTCCTTATCTGCAAAATATTGAGAAGATTAAATGAACATATTTATAAAGGGCCTAGCATTGAGTCCGGCCCATGAAAAGCACTTAATATGTGTTAGCTATTATGTGAATTACGACTGCAAGTTCGGCTCAAAGTCATGTGAGATATCCGAACTTCAATCAGGTTACCATATTAAATACCCCAGAACAAGGAAAAATGGAAAGTCCCATCAAGTTCAAGGGTCTTTGATAGTTAGGAAATACCTGTCTGTGAAGCATTCTTGACCCCGGTTCCTCCCACCCAAAATCTAATCACACTTGCTACCAGAAATATAGAGAGTAAAGGAACAACTTAGAAGACTTTGTACTACCAAGAAACAATTAGCCAAATCTAGAATATGGGAAATTATAGAAAACAACCGTGCTTCCTTAACATATCAAGGGCTTTAAGAGGGCAGGAGATTGTAATAGATACGAAGATCTTACAGACACATCAAGCAAATACAACATATTTGTGGCCTCATTATAATTCTGATTGGACAAACTGTAAAAAGACCTTTTTAAGATAGATGGAGAAATAAGAAGGTAGGCAGAGTACAAGCAATTCACAAGTAATTCTTGTGAATTCTGTTAGATGTACTAAAGTACTTATGTCACTGAGGTGACCCTTATTTATTTATTTTGAGACAAGGTCTCCTTCTGCCACCCAGGCTGGAGTGTAGTGGTACGATCTCTGCTCACTGCAGCTTCGAACTCCTCGATTCAAGCAATCCCCTCACCTCAGCCTCCCAAGTGGCTGGAACCACAGGCATACACCACCATGTCTGGCTTAATTTTTTTTTTTTTAATAGAGACAGGGTTTCACCATGTTGCCCAGGCTGGTCTCGAACTCCTGGGCTCAAGCGATCTGCCCCCCTCTGCCTCCCAAAGTGCTGGGTGCCTGTGCCTGAGCACCCCCCAACCCAGCCTGAGATTACTTTTTAAAGTTCTTATATATTAGAGATATATACTGAAATATTTGCAAGTGAAAATAGATAGGTAAATGAAGATATATTTATTGGGATCCTAGGGAGTTAAAGATCTTTAGTTAGGAAATACATTATAAACCAGAGATGCAAATGTAATCATCTAATCAAGGAATGGATGGACTCTGATGAAGTCTGCAGACCTGCATAAGAATTAGGTTCTATGAGTCCAAAATAGACACCCTTAATGCTTTGAAGTCCCTGGCAGAGTACTTACAAAAAGGAGCTTAGTATGACAATAGGGGCAGTAATTCCTGTATGTCTTCAACTTTAAATCTCAGGTTCTGCCAAAATCTTTGACTCTAAGTTACCTCAATTAATTGGGGCAGCATTTGTCTTTCTTAGCAGATCACTTCAGGTAACTGGGATGGAAATAGTCTATCCCAATGCCTCCTATCTTTCCACCCCAGAAAAGTAAGAATTAATATGGAAGTTTTAAGAAATTAAAACCATAATAATAATGTTTCTGTAATACAAAGGAATCTGGGTATACTAGGTATATTGTGTACTTACAAATGTATAAGAGAATGTTGCTCAAGAGACCCTCCTCATAAGAACAACTGAAAGTGTATAATCAAGTAACTGATACAGACTCCTGGTTTTAAGTTAAAATCTTTTTGTGTTTGTTTTGTTTTTGAGACAAGATCTCCTCTCTCGCCCAGGCTGGAGTGCAGTGGTGCGATCATGGCTCACTCCAGTCTCGACCATCTGCCTCAGCACCCCGAAGTGCTGGGATTATAGGTGTGAGCCACCATGGCCGGCAGTAAATTGAAATCTTAATGAGGTTTAAGCAGTTTCAGGATATCCAAGAGAATCTAAAGCTCGCCATATTTGTAAGTGTAATTGGTTAGCTTTATAAGAATAATGGGGTCCTATTGCAGGAGCATGAGGGAGGCTGAAGATTCCATTTCGAGGCAGCTCTGAGCTCACGAAATAGACACCATGAGCAAAGCTCACCCTCCCTAGTTGAAAAAAGCTTTTGGACAAGAAGTTAGAAGCCTTAGAATGAGTATAAATAATGGCTGTTCAACAATAATAATAACAATAGGAACAAACTACTGATACATACAACATGAATGAATCTCAAAATTGGTATGCTGGGTATAAAAAGCCAGGCACAAAGAGTGTTTACTGTGTTATTCTCTTTATACAAAATCCTAGAAAATACAAATTAATATATAGTGACAGAGAGTGGATCGGTGTTTCCCTTGCTCTGGGAACGAAGAGAGGGATATTCCACAGAGGGGTGTGGAGAATGTTTTGGGCTTGATGGAAATATTCTGACTCTTGTTTATGGTGGGGGTATCACAGGTGTGTAACTGACCAAGTTCTTAAAAGCTTAAGAACAAACAAGGGTTTTCAATTTGTTTTTAATACATTGGATGCCAATCTTTTAAACACTGTGTCTGCAAATTTTTTTCTGGAAAGAGTCACATAAAACATATGGTATTGGCTGGATGCAGTGGCTCACACCTGTAATCCCAGCACTTTAGGAGGCTGAGGCGGGTGGATCACTTGAGGTCAGGAGTTTGAGACCAGCCTAGCCAACATAGTGAAACCCCCGTCTCTACTAAAAATACGAAAATTAGCCGGGAGTGGTGGCAGGCACCTGTACTCCCAGCTACTCAGGAGGCTGAGGCAGGAGAATTGCTTGAACTTGGGAGGCAGAGGTTACAGTGAGCCAAGATCGTGCCACTGCACTCCAGCCTGGGCAACAGAGCATGACTCCACCTAAAAAAAAAAAAGACATGTGGTCGCAACCACACTGAAATTTGAATTTTATACAATTTTCACATGTCATAAAATGTTATTTGCCTATTTTTTCAACATTTATATACGTAAAAATCATTCTTAATGCATAGGTCATACCAATTGGCAGTGGGCTAACCTGACCTATTGCCGTAATTTTCTAGACCTATGCAAACTTTTTATTATTAGAGTCAACTAAAAGTAAACTTTTGAGTAGTCTTCTCTGCATTGAAAAACAATCGCAGAAAGAATAAAAACAACTCACTTTATTATTATTATTATTATTACTATTTCAATCTATAGGCTTTGGGTATTTCCAGTGCATATGGCAGGGATTTCTCAGAATAAACAAAGATGTTTTCAGATAATGATTTGGCTTTGTATATAGCTTGACTAAAGGAAGGGACTGAATTTCTCAACCACTTTTAAGTATCTCTCTTCTTTGTGGCAGAAATAACTCACTCTAGACTGTTAAGTTGCTGTTTTGCATCTATCTCATTCTCTGGGGTATTCTCATTAGCCTGTATTTGTCACAGATCTTGATCGCCTCTGGACCCTGACATGAGTGAATCTTTTCCCTGAAGATGGCAGGAAGGAAAAGGAAAAACAAAAACAAAAACAAAAACAAAAATCCTGCAGGAGAGAAATGTGAAAAGAGGCTTTGTTTTAGTTGCAGAGGAGTTGGATAAGAGTTTTGATCTTAATAAAGCAGGCAGCTAGTCTGTCCATAAAAAACAAACAAGAGGCTGGGTGCAGTGGCTCATGCCTGTAATGCCAACACTTTGGGAGGCCAAGGTGGGAGGATGAGGTGTTTGAGACCAGCCTGGGCAACAAAGTGAGATGCTGTTTCTACAGAAAAAGTTAAAAATTAGCCAGGCATAGTGGTGCATACCTGTGATCCCAGCTACTTGGGAGGCTGAGGCAGGGGGATTGCTTGAGCCCAGGAGATCAAGGCTGCAGTGAGCCATGATCGCACCATTGCACTCCAGCCTGGACAACAAAGCAAGACCCTGTCTCAAAAAAAGAAAAGAAAAGGAAAAAAAAAAAAGAACGGAAAAGAGGTGGGTATGAGTGAGAGCTAAAAACTATAGAAAACAACCTTTAGGTTATTCCAGAAGACATGATATGAACAAAAGGATCGGCAAGAGGCAGCTAGATACAAAATAGGTAGGTACTCAGTACTTGTTTGCTGGCAAAATACTGCATACATAATTCCCACTCACTTTTGGAAGAGGATATTATAGAAAAAGGAATAGGGGGCCAGCCATGGTGGCCCATGCCTATAATCCTAGCACTTTGGGAGGCTGAGGCAGGTGGATTGCTTGAGCCAAGAACTTCGAGACCAGCCTGGGCAACATAGTGAAACCTCGTCTCTATCATTTTTTAAGTAAAACTAAAAAAGGAAAAAGGAATAGGTAGTGAACATGTTTTATTTTGTTTAACTGGCAGGCTCCTTTCTGAATCCACAAGAAGTCCTATCAGTACAATGTGGTCTGGCTGTCCCAGCCCCATCTGACAGGTTAGGGTAAGTGCATGACCCAGCTCGGTCATGTCCTTAGTTGATAGGTGCTCAACCCAGCTCTGACCCAAGCCAGGCCAAGCAAAGTTCTTTTCCATGAATTTTGAAACTAGAACTGAAAAGGAAAAAGTTGTCTGTCTTTGTGTGTCTAGACTGCAAGATATAATAGTCCAGGAGCTGGTGGAGAAGCAGAGTAAACTGCCTGTAGAGAGAAGATAAAACCAGGAGTGAGCTGGACAGGACGGGCCCTGGGATTTTGGAACTCTAATTCTAATTCTCCCTGGAGCTCTGCTGCATTCCTATGCTTGGGTTCTAGGAAACCCAATATCAATATCATTATAATACATCTCACATTTCAGTAAACAAATTCTGCCACTTGCTACCAAGAGTCCTAAATGATACAAAATGAACAAGTGAATGAATAAATAAATGATACCATTTCCACACTCAAAGTCACAAACTCAGAACCTGAGGGTACTCCAATTATTAATAGTTCGAATGACAAATGACACTTTTAAAATGGTGTACTCAGAACATGTATAAACAAACTTCATTCACCTTAAGAGGGAAAGAATCCTCACTCACTGATCAAGAAAACTGGAGAAACGGGTCTATCAACTCCATCAATCTTTAGGAATTTTCTGGTAGTTCCTATGAAGTCAAACAAAAGAAAATGTGCCCTTTGGACAGAAATATCAGCAAGGAAATAAAAGAGCCTGAGCCACTTCACTGGTGTGATCTTTTTTCTGTTTTATTTTATTTTGTTTTGTTTTGGGGTGATGGGGGTCTCAGGTTGGAAATGTCTCAATATGTGGACACAATCCCAAGTAACAGATCTTCAGTCATAGCTAAACCAGCCTATTTATGCCTAACTCACAATTCACGCACTCCAGAACCTGCTAAAATACGTAAGGTTATGCAGAAATTAGAGAAGAATGACACCAATAACACTTAATAACTATACCGCCATCTAGAATAATCATTAAGAGAACCCTGCTTGGGTTTACTGTGCTATATGGAGGCTGGTGTATTCTGGGTGAGGACATTTTTAAGAGCCTTGGATAAGAGTGACTTTAACCAGAGTTTTAAAAGGTTAAATCAGTATTCTTGGGTAGCTCACTCTTAAACTAGCCCCTCTTCCCAAAGTGCTCTGAAACAATTTTCAGCTTTCGTTGTGATTATAGCTCTTCCAGAAAGTGATAGGTTTTATGTTATGTTGATAGTGAAAGAGATCAATGAAACAACACAAACCTCTTTTTAAAAAAATAATTAAAAAATAGGCAAATAGTTAAATCCCCACTGTTCAGGCTGCCTTTCTTTGACTAGAAAAATGACATTTTAAGAACTGGTTTGGTCCCAGTCTCCATTTAAAATCTCCTTTTTTGTTGTTGACTTTTGTCTCTCTGGCAATTCTCCTGGCTTGTGGGTGCCCATTTTTAAAGTGTGGCCAGAGGTATTGGCTGGTTCCTGTCTTCCGCCTTGTATTCCCATCTGCACCTCTCTTCATTGCCTCCTCTCATTGCCAAAAAGAGCAAAAGTGTGAATTTTTTCACCTGTAAATTTCCAGTTACAGGAGAAAGTATCCAAATTAAATTTGTTTTCACCTTTTGCCTATTTATTTAGGAATACAGAGAGGAACTATTCTCTCCTACCATTTTAAGCATGATACAAGAAAAGTTTTCAATACATGAAAGTATAAAAAAGATGGGGAATGATCACCCATGTTTCCATTACCCAAAGACAAATATTATTTTGGAGTTTGTTTTTATATTTTATTTTATTATTATTTTTTATTATTCAGACAGGTCTCCCTCTGTCTCCCAGGCTGGAAAGCAATGGTGAGATCACGGCTCACTGTAGCCTCAACCTCCTAGGCTCAAGGGATCTTCCTTCCTCAGACTCCTGTGTAGCTGGGACCACAGGCGCACATCATCACGCCAGCTAATTTTTTAATTTTTTATAGAGATGGGGTCTCATTTTGTTGCCCAGGCTTTGTTTTGTTTTTTTTTAGAGATGGATTCTTGCTGTGTTGCCCAAGCTGGAGTGTCATGGTACGATCATAGTGCATTGCAGCCTCAAACCCCTGGGTTCAAGCGATCCTCCTGCTTCAGCCTCCTGAGTAGTTGGGATTACAGGTCTTTCTTTCTTTTAGGTTTTTCCTGTGTCTTAGATTATGGATAATTTGTTTCATCATAGTTGTGATTGCTCTTTCTCTTCATGTTATACAAAAGCCTTTCTGTTTTATTACAAACCTCATAAACATGTAGTATTAGGTTGGTGCAAAAGTAAGTGCGGTTTTTGCCATTCCTTTCAATGAGGAATGGCATTGAAAGGATGTGTAATATTTCATTCAATAGATGGAATTACAACATACTTAACGACTCCCTGTAGCTAGATATTTAGCAAACCTCACCTCTTATGTCATCTCATCAATATTATCTATGAGTTCTCTAAACTGTGAACTGGCTGGTCAGGATTGTCAATCATAGGATTTGATTTTATTTTATTTTTTGGGATGGAGTCTTGCTCTGTCACCCAGGCTGAAGTGAAGTGGCATGATCTTGACTCACTGCAACTTCTGCTTCCCAGGTTTAAGTGATTCTCTTCCCTCAGCCTCCCAAGTAGCTGGGATTAGAGACACCCACCATCATGCCTGGCTAATCTGTATTTTTAGCAGAGATGAAGTTTCACCATGTTGGCCAGGCTGGTCTCGAACTCCTGACCTCAAGCGATCCACCTACCTCTGCCTCCCAAAGTGCTGGGATTACAGGCGTGAGCCACCATGCCCTGCCAACCATAGAATTTTAAGTTGTAGCTTGTCCACCAGCAGCCAAGAGGGACATTGGTGATGATGAACAGCCACTTCACTGGAGCATGAGGAATGAGGTGTGAAAAGAGGAACCAAGAGGGGCACAATGACACTTTCTAAAAAGACAAATACGGCCTGGTGCGGTGGCTCACGCCTGTAATCCCAGCACTTTGGGAGGCCGAGGCAGGAGGATCACCTGAGGTTGGGAGTTCGAGACCAGCCTGACCAACATGGTGAAACCCCATCTCTACTAAAAATACAAAAATTAGCTGAGCGTGGTGGCAGGCGCCTGTAATCCCAGCTACTGGGGAGGCTGAGGCAGGAGAATTGCTTGAACCCGGGAGGCGGAAGTTGCAGTGAGCCGAGATCATGCCACTGCACTCCAGCCTGGGGCAAGAAGAGTGAAACTCCATCTCAAAAAAAAAAAAACAAAAAAAAAAAACAAAAAAAAACCAGACAAATACAACTTCAGGTAATAAAGGCAAGGTTCTACTCAATGAGTATTCAGCAAAGGCCATATGCTAAGTGCCAAAGGTACATACGGGCATCTCAACCAACAAGTCTGCCTGAAGAGTTAAGTGCAAAGATGATCTATAAATGAACAAAGGATTACTACCAGCACTGCGGAGGTGGAGATTAACTCTGCCCCTTTGGAAGGCTCCAAGGAGATGGAGCTACTTACCTGGGTCTTACAAATGAGAAGTAGTTCCTGGGACAGACAAAGGAGAAAACAAACATAGGCAGAGAAAACAGCATGTGCAGAAGTCCCAGGTTATGAAACAGCAAGGTGTGTTCAAGGATCCTCAAGGGTTCTCTGGCTGCAATGTAATGGGAGAGGCTGGGGAGACTGCGAAGACTGTCTGGGATCAGGACGTGAAGAAATCTGATGTCATAGGTTGTTTAATAATTTGTCCCTGGTTCGGCTGGGTGTGGTGGCTCACGCCTGTAATCCCAGCACTTTGGGAGGCTAAGGCGGGGGAAATTACGAGGTCAGGAGATCGAGACCATCCTGGCTAACACGGTGAAACCCCATCTCTACTAAAAATACAAAAAATTAGCCGGGCGTGGTGGCGGGCACCTGTAGTCCCAGCTACTCGGGAGGCTGAGGCAGGAGAATGGCATGAACCCAGGAGGCGGAGGTTACAGTGAGCCGAGATCGCGCCACTGCACTCCAGCCTGGGCGACAGAGCGAGACTCTGTCTCAAAATAATAATAATAATAATAATAATAATAATAATAATAATAATAATAATGGTTCTTTCCGGGTGTTAAACTCTAAATCTTTGGAATTTCCCCAGTGATAGGATAGGAGTGACTTTGTTATTCATGGTGCGCCCCAGACTACACCTGAGTTTATGCTAACAAGATGACTCAGATGGGGGATGCCTGGAAAGACCAACTCTGTGATTAGAGAGGTGGGGCTTCTAGCCAGCCCCACCTCCAGGGAGTGAAGGTAGCTAGAGACTGAATTTGATCATATTTAATAATGAGCCAACAATTCAGTCCATCATTCCTATGTCATGGAACCCCAGTAAAACTCTAGACACAGGCTGAGCAAGCTTCCTGGTCGGTAAACACATCAGCATGCATCCTGATTCTCAGAGGGCACAGAAATTCCACATTCAGGACCCTCTCAGAACTGTCATTTTGCTGGTCTTGATCGATATCTTTTTTTTTTTTTTTTTTTTCGGGCAGAGTCTCTCTCTGTTGCCCAGGATGGAGTGCAGTGACACAATCTCTGCTCACTGCAACCTCTGCCTCCCAGGCTCAAGGGATTCTTGTGCCTCAGCCTCAAGTAGCTGGGATTACAACTGTGTGCCACTATGCCCGGCTATTGTTTGTATTTTTAGTAGAGATGGGGGTTTCACCATGTTGGTCTCGAACTCCTGGCCTCAAGTGATCCACCTGCCTTGGCCTCCCAAAGTGTTAGGATTACAGGCATGAGCCACCGCGCCCAGCCCTGATTTGTATCCTTTATAATAAAACTGTAATAGTAAATATAGCACTCTCCTGAGTTCAACAAGTCATTCTAGGGAATTATGGAACCCGAGGGTGTCATGGAAACTGCCAAATTTATTGCCACTTGAGCCACTGGGTGTGGTGGCTCACACTTGTAATCTCAGCACTTTGGGAGTTTGAGGCGGGAGGATCTCTTGAGCTCAGAAGAGTTCAAGACCAGCCTAAGAAACATGGTGAAACCCCATCTCTACAAAAAATACCAAAAATTAGCCACATGTCATGGCACATGCTTGTAGTCCCAGCTACTTGGGAGGGTGAGGTGATGATCAGGAAGAGCCCAGGAGGTCGAGGCTGCAGTGAGCTGAGATTGTGCCACTGCACTCCAGCCTGGGTGACAGAGCAAGACCCTGCCAAAAAAAAAAAAAAAGAAAAGAGAGAGAGAGAGAGAAAGAAAAAGAAGGAAGGAAGGAAGGGAGGGAGGGAGAGAAGGAAGGGAGAAGAAAAAAGAAAGAGTAGGTGGCCTGAGGACCTCTGGAACCTGCAGCTGGCATCTGAAGTCAGGGTGGTCTAGTTGGGAACTACGCCCTTGAATCTGTGGAGTCTGTGCTTACTCTGGGTGCCTCACATAAGAACTGCATTGCCGGCCGGGCTCGGTGGCTCAAGCCTGTAATCCCGTCACTTTGGGAGGCTGAGTTGGGTGGATCCCTTGAGATCAGGAGTTTGGACCAGCCTGGCCAACATGGCGAAACCCTGTCTCTACTAAAAATACAAAAATTAGCCAGGCTTGGTGGCACACGCCTGTAATCCCAGCTACTAGTGAGGCTGAGGCAGGGGAATTACTTGAACCCAGGAGGCGGAGGTGGCAGTGAGCCAAGATCAGGCCACTGCACTCCAGCCTGGGCAACAGATGGAGAGTCCGTCTCAAAAAAAAAAAAAAAAAAAAGAGTTGCATTGCAGTATTTCATAATGCATACACCTTATTTTGAGACGTTTTAAGTGAGGAAATATCAAATACTTGTGTCAGAAAAACCAATCTGCAGCAGTATAAAGAATGGATTAGACAGGGTAGAATATGAAGGGGGGTGTGTTGCAGATGGCTAGGAATCAGGATGATCAATAAACCAGGCCAACATACAGTGATCAGGAGTGAGACTGTTCTTTTTGAGTTAACTTTTAGGACAACAGTGTGTTTAAGAGAGTGAATTACAAACATCTCTGTGAAATACGTGTGTGCAGAGGCAGATGAAAGAGCAGCACCCCCAGGGGTTAGTTCTGCATGTGACCAGCCTGGCGTGGGACAGGAGGAACACAGCAGTTTATTGGCAACATATCGCTTTAGATTATTGGTGAGCTAAAGGATTTGGGTTTTTTTGTTTTTGTTTTTGTGTTTTGTTTTGTTTTTGAGACAGAGTGTCGCTCTGTTGCCAGGCTGGAGTGCGGTGGTACATCTCAGCTCACTGCAACCTCTGCCTCCCAGGTTCAAGCAATTCCCCTGCCTCAGTCTCCCAAGTAGCCAGGACTACAGGCATGCGCCACCACGCCTGGCTAATTTTTTTTTTTTTTTTTGTATTTTAGTAGAGACAGGGTTTCACCATGTTGGCCAGGATGGTCTTGATCTCCTGACCTCATGATCTACCCGCCTCGGCCTCCCAAAGTGCTGGAATTACAGGCGTGAGCCACCGTGCCCAGCTTGGATTTGGGTGTTTTAAAGATACGTTTTCCTTTTGAGTTTTTGGGAAGAATTTAAAGATACAAAATAATAAAACAGGCCAGATGCAGTGGCTCATGCCTATAATCCCAGCACTTTGGGAGGACAAGGTGGGCAGATCACTTGAGTCCAGGAGTTCGAGACCAGTTTGGGCAATGAGGCAAAACTCTGTCTCTACAAAAAATACAAAAATTACCCAGGTGTGGTGGTGCACCCCTGTGGTCCCAGCTACTTGGGAGGATTGAGCCGGGGAGGTTTGAGGTTGCAGTGAGCCAAGATCACACCACTGCACTCCAGCCTGGGTGACAGAGTAAGACCCTCTCTCAAAAAATAAATTAATAAATAATAATAATAATAAAATAAATGATAGAGTGCTCTCTCCCACCCCCAATTTAGCACATGCTAACATTTTCTTCACTTGTTCTATTTGTGCTTATTTGCTTTTTATTTAAATCAATGGCTCTCAACATGATGGTGTGGGGAGTGGGGGTGCTGTGGGGGGGAGTGGGGGCGGCGTGGGGGGGAGTGGGGGCGGCGTGGGGGGGAGTGGGGGCGGCGTGGGGGGTAGTGGGGACGCTGTGGGGGTAGTGGGGGCGCTGTGGGGGGGTAGTGGGGGGCGGTGTGGGGGGGTAGTGGGGGTTGGTGTGGGGGGGAGTGGGGGCGGTGTGGGGGGGAGTGGGGGCGGTGTGGAGGGGAGTGGGGGCGGTGTGGGGGGAGTGGGGGCGCTGTGGGGGGGAGTGGGGGCGGTGTGGGGGGGAGTGGGGGCAGTGTGGGGGGAACAATTTTATTTCCCAGGGGACATTTGGCAAAGGCTGGAGATACTTTTGGTTG
The DNA here is from genome assembly GCF_000001405.40 of Homo sapiens. Lineage (NCBI taxonomy): Eukaryota > Metazoa > Chordata > Mammalia > Primates > Hominidae > Homo > Homo sapiens. Next base: position 90,343,894 of record NC_000014.9, read on the forward strand.
TCACAATTTGGGGTGCTATTGGCATCTAGAGGGGAGAGGCCCGGGATGCTGCTGAACATCCTACAATGCCCAGGACTGCCCCAACCACAAAGAATTATCTGGCCTCAAATGTCAATAGTGCTGAGACTGAGAAACTCCAATTTAAATAAAATACATAAAATATTATAGATAAAATCGAAGTCCCTTTGTACCCCTCCCCAAACCTGAACACACTTCCATCCACTGTCTCCCCCAAAGCAACCACTATCATGAGTTAGTTCTAAGGACAGAGGGGTTTTGTGTATTCCAGCCAAATGGAATTCTGCAGATAAATCTACTTTTATAACTAGGGACAAAAACTCACTACATCAGCACATATTGGTATTGTACCTGATTGGTTTACCAACTAATTCAGTCCCAGGCATGACATCGCTTTCCCTTAGTGAAAAATCATCCCTATTTGCTTCTTATTTTGAAGGCGTTTTTGTATAGAAAGAATCAAAATTCAAGTCAGGGCCCTTAAATTCAAAGACCTCAGCAATGAAATGTTGCATGGTGGTGACAGTCATTTAGACGAAGCAACATTCCTAGTGCAGTTCTCCATCCTGCCTCATTAGAGATGCTTATGTCATGGACAGAACCTCCACAATGCAGCTTGATTGGCTTAAGCAGAAGACACAGATCTTTCCATGTTAGACTGAAAGGTGGCATCGAGGATGGAAATTCACCCCCTTATTTTTCACTATCCTCAAATGTTTAGCTAACGGATTCATCAGAACTAGTGAGAGCATAATGTCTTTCAACATCTCTCAGGAGTATCAAGCAGCTGATTGCAACTTTTCACATTCCCTCAGCATATGGGCTGTATAATCTACAGGGGATTCTGCAGAATATGCTGATAATGGTTTCCTCCTTGACCTTCAAGCTAATTATCAGCAGGGAATCTTTAATGCTTTAAAAATACATGTCGCTTATTTTGCTTGCAAGTCAGTGGTTTAATAAATGCCAGCGTATATGTTAAATTTTGTTAATGTTTAATATCTTTATCAGCCAAAGTGCATTAAAAATTAAAAGAAAATTAATTCCCACTTTCCCGTTTTTATGCTGTGGGGTAATGTTATTTTACATCGTGCTGTAGTGTTCTACAAATGGATGTTCAGTGCTTTGAATTAGTGAACTTGGTGATTTATTTACCACCTTGGGTGTTAGTCGTTACTTTTTCAATTACTGTAAACTTTATGCATCACAGCATGAGACTCTGAGAAAGCAGATAAACAGTGCTGGGGAGATTTTCTTTTAAATGGGATCACGTAATAAAGACAAAAGACTAAATTAGTATCTCTCATGTGCCAGCCAGCAACATTGGTTTCCATGTTTGTGAGCTTGTGAATAACCTTCCAGAAGTGAACCTTTCACAACCAGAATGCATGGGAAATCCTGGTCTTCTGCCTTTGAGTCACTGTACAAGTCATAGCAAGCCATCCTTATCCACACAGCTCAAAAGCAAGAATCTCTAGGATCCAGTGTATTAGCAAGAGGAAGCTGAGATTTTGACAGGACTGACATTGTGTCATATCATCCTACAAACCTTTCAAAGTGCCAGCAGTGATTGCTATGCTATGCACCAATACCTCAATGTGTCCATGCATTTGATTTCTTTTCCTATTTATTTTATTTATTTATTCATTTATTTATTGGAGATGGAGTCTCCCTCTGTCGCCCTGGCTGGAGTGCATTGGAGCCATCTCAGCTCATTGCAAGCTCCGCCTCCTGGGTTCACGCCATTCTCTTGCCTCAGCCTCCTGTATAGCTGGGACTACAGGCGCCTGCCACCATACCTGGCTAATTTTTTTGTATTTTTAATAGAGATGAGGTTTCACCGTGTTCAGCAGGATGGTCTCGAACTCCTGACCTCATGATCCACCCGCCTCAGCCTCCCAAAGTGCTGGGATTACAGGCGTGAGCCACCACACCCGGCCCTCCTATTTATTTTATATAGCCCTGACAAGATTCCTAGCACTGTCCTGGGCTCTAGGGGTTGAGAGCATATAACACCGAGATGACATGCCCCTGGGGGAGGTTTTAATCTCCTGGAAACCCTGTGTCATTACCAGGAGGGGCATGCCACTGGAACATGGTCCCTGCTGTAAAACTCACAGGGAGGTGAGGCTGAGGCAAAGAAAGGTTAGAGGAGGCCTCATTGGGCTGCTTCCAGAATCACTACTAGAGCAGTGGGGAGCGAGGAGGAGCCGTTGGCAAGGTGACAGAAGCCGCAAATGGGCTCAGTGGGAGTCCAAATTCAGCACCTGCAAGCCCTGCTGGCCTGACTGTGGTAAACACACAGCCACAGGGATTCCAAGTAGTCCCTGGACTGAAGGTTTCTTCCAGTCTGTTCAGCCCACTCTGCCTGGTGGTCCTAGACCTACAGGTATTTAAAATGTGCCAATAAAAAACAAAAGGAAAAAAATGTGCCACTTGAAAGGAAAGTGTTTCAGGACAGGTGTGGCGACTCATACCTTTAATCCCAGTGATTAGAGAGGCAAACCCAGCATTTTAGCTTGAGCCCAGGGGTTCAAGACCAGCCTGGGCAACATAACCCACTTGTCTTTCTTTTTTTTTTTTTTTTTTGAGACGGAGTTTCGCTCTTGTTGCCCAGGCTGGAGTGGAGTGGCACTATCTCAGCTCACTGCAACCTTTGCCTCCCAGGTTCAAGCAATTCTCCTGCCTCAGCCTCCTGAGTACTGGGATTACAGGTGCCCGCCACCACACCCAGCTCATTTTTGTATTTTTAGTAGAGACGGGGTTTCACCATGTTGGCCAGACTGATCTTGAACTCCTGGCCTCAGGTTATCCTCGTGCCTCAGCCTCCCAAAGTGCTGGGATTACAGGCATGAGCCAACACACCTGGCTTTTTTTTTTTAATAAGGGGAAAAAATTTATTAGGTCCAGAAATCAAAGATGACTTAGGGTAGAATTATGATTACATGCAGAATTGGATGGTTAGAAATGAAACCAATCTATTTAAGTCCAGCCTAAGGTTCTGATAGCCAATCAGTAGACACAATGAGAGTAGTAGTATTCCTAGAAACCCGGATAAATCTCCAACTTGCGTGAGTTTAATGAACCAGGTAGATTATTGTATATCTGCCCTTATCCCATTCTCAGTCAGATGAATTTTCTTGCTCATGAAGTCCACATTGAAAACAGCATGCTCAGAAATGGGAGTGAAACCCCCTTCTCTACAAAGAATTTAAAAGTCCCAACTACTCAGGAGGCTGAGGTGGGAGGATGGCTTGAGCCTGGGAGTTTGAGGCTTGAGCTCCTTCCCTGCGTCCTCCTTGACTTAAACCTCTCCCTTTGATGAGGCCTGTGTAAGATCCTCCAGGAACTCCTCACTCAGGACAGGTTCCCACCCAGCTGACCCTGGTTCCTCCAGCTGAGCAGAACCAAGGCAGGTTTGGATCATTTGCTTTTTTGGGGCCAAGGAGAAAAATCTTTGGCTTCAAGTCTTACTGTTGTGGACCCAGGAAATCTGAGACAGGTCTCAGTTAATTTAGAAAGTTTATTTTGTCAAGGTTGAGGATGCGCCTGTGACACAGCCTTGGGAAGTCCTGATGACATGTGCCCAAGGTGGTCGGGACACAGCTTGGCTTTTTTTTTTTTTCTTTTTGAGATGGAGTCTCGCTCTGTCACCCAGGCTGGAGTGCAGTGGCTCAGTCTCGGCTCACTGCAAGCTCCGCCTCCCGGGTTCACACCATTCTCCTGCCTCAGCCTCCTGAGTAGCTGGGACTACAGGCGCCCACCACCATGCCCGGCTAATTTTTTGTATTTTTAGTAGAGACGGGGTTTCACCGTGTTAGCCAGGATGGTCTCAATCTCCTGACCTCGTGATCCGCCCGCCTCGGCCTCCCAAAGTGCTGGGGAGCCACCGCGCCCGGCCTACTTGGCTTTATACATTTTAGGGAGACACGAGATATCAATCAGTATATGTAAGAAGTATATTGGCTCCATCTGGAAAGGCAGAACAACATGAAGCAAAGGCAGGAAACAGGGAGGGAGCTTCCAGGTCACAGATAGGTGAGACACAAATGGCTGCATTCTTTTGAGTTTCTGATTAGCCGTTTCAAAGGAGGCAATCAGATATGCATATGGCTGGGCATGGTGGCTCACACCTGTAATCCCAGCACTTTGGGAGGCCAAGGTGGGCAGATCACTTGAAGTCAGGAATTGGAGACCAGCCTGGCCAACATGGTGAAACCCCGTCTTTACCAAAAAATAGAAAAATTAGCTGGGCATGGTGGCGCAAGCCTGTAATCCCAGCTACTCAGGAGGCGGAGGCAGGAGAATCGCTCGAACCGGGAGGCGGAGGTTGCAGTGAGCTGAGATCGCACCACTGCACTCCAGACTGGGTGACAGAGCAAGACTCTTCATACATAAATAAACAAATGACAGACTTTGGGAGGTCAAAGACGAGGCATTCCTTGAGGCCAGGAGTTCGAGGCTGCAGTAAGCTATGACTGTGTCACTAGCCTGGGCAGCAGAGTGAGTATAAAATAAATAAATAAATAAAATAAATTAAAATAAAAAAATAAAATGAATAAATAAATAAAATAAAATAATTCCAGTTTTTGCAAGTTCTGGAGAGTGACAGTCTTTTAGGCCTATTATGCCATAACCATCCTAATGGGTTCCAAAGGCTATGTAGCCCTTGGGAAGTAAAGATTGCTTTTGGCCTCTGAAACTGACACAGAAAGTTATTTTAGCAAATAAACCTCTCTGCCCAGAAATACCAAAATAATGCATTCTAACGTGTCTACTTTCCGGGTTCTTCAGATAAGTGTAGGTTATATATAGTGAACAGAGGGTGTAGGTTCTGAGAGTCATGACTAGCATTCATATCTGGGGTTCATATGGCATGGTCAGTCCCAGCCTGGACCCATGCAGTGTTCTACGTGGCCTGTCCAAGGACCACCAGACCACCAGACCCTTCGGGAAGGTGGCAACGGCCTGGGAGGGAGACTGAGGGAAGATTCAGAGAGACCTCCCATCTCAGTGTCTGGAATAGGTGTGTCACTTTGCTCCCAGTCAGAACTGATGAATTCCCCAAATCCAAATGTCAGAGTTACGATTTCTTGAACAAGGTGGACGACAGCCCCAGATATTTTGGAAACTAACCATATTGTTTTCCCTTACCTCTCTTAGGAGAGCAGTTACCAAAGAGTTCCCATCTGAGTACAGGTTACAGGGTCAATAGACACTGATGCTCCAGCTGTCAAGGGAGTGATTTAGGCAGAGAATCTAGAACAGCAAAGAGACGTGCTATTTCGACTTCGACTCACACTGCCTCCATGCAGCAAAGAGGTTCTGGAAAGTGATTTTGAAAAGTTCAGAGATCTTGACATGTCTGTTCATCTTCAGCTTATTATAACTATAATTTTATTTTTTTTATTTTTATTTTTGAGACAGGGTTTCACTCTGTCACCCAGGCTGGAGTGCAGTGGTGCGATCTCAGCTCACTGCAGCTTCCGCCTCCCAAGTTCAAGCAATTCTTGTGCCTCAGCCTGAGTAGCTGGGATTACAGGCATGTGCCACCATGCCTGGCTAATTTTTGTATTTTTTGTGGAGACAAGTTTTCACCATGTTGGCCAGGCTGGTCTCGAACTCCTAGGCTCAAGTGATCCGCCCACTTCAGCCTCCCAAAGTGCTAGGATTACAGATGTGAGCCACTGTGTCCAGCCAAGCTTATTATAACTATAATTTTAAATTATCTGCTTCTATTCTGATCTTGACTCTTACAACTGAATTTGTAAGCTTTATAATGAATATTAGTGGAATAATTTACTTAGGAATTCACCTGGTGTCTATTTTTTTGTATGGTTTTAATGACAGTGATCCCAAACTCTTCTATGAATATTACCTGCACAAATATTGCCCCTATTATTTATTTTGGAAAATACTTGACTGCTTTCTGCTTTTGTGTTAATTCAGAGAGCTCATTCATTCTCAAAATGGAAACTGCGATTTAACCAAATGACTCAGATCTCTGCCCCCCGCCCCCCAACATGCTGCCAAAAGCACAGCTCCCGTCACACGTCCTGTTGCATGAAAATAAACTTGTTAAATTCTTTCCCAAACTACTTCCTCTTCCAAGTTTCCCTATTGATTTCCATCAGTTGCCCTGTGCAAATATACCTCTTTCCTTTGGGGATCTCAAATTCATTTATTTTCTTACCCACCAGGACTCATGAACCTCCCCAAATTACTTAGTACACGTATGCATATTTTTCTGGGGAGAAGACCCATCGCTTTCATGCTATTCTCAAGGAGCTCGTGGCTCTCTCCTCCTCCAAAAGGATCAAAATGATCTGCCATTTTAATCCATGCCATCATCACATAATACTAGTATTATTAAAATCAGCTGGGCGCGGTGGCTCACACCTGTAATCCCAGCACTTTGGGAGGCCGAGGCGGGCGGATCACTTGACGTCAGGGGTTCAAGACCAGCCTGGTCAACATGGTGAAACCCCCTCTCTACTAAAAATACAAAAAAAGGCCAGACGCAGTGGCTCACACCTGTAATCCTAGCACTTTGGGAGGCCCAGGCGGGCGGATACAAGGTCAGGAGATCGAGACCATCCTGGCTAACACGATGAAACCCCATTTCTACTAAAAATACAAAAAAATTAGCTGAGCATGTAGTCCTAGCTACTCGGGAGGCTGAGGCAGGAGAATGGTGTGGACCCGGGAGGCAGAGCTTGCAGTGAGCCGAGATCATGCCACTGCACTCCAGCCTGGGTAACAGAGCGAGACTTCATCTCAGAAAAAAAAAAAAAAAAAATAGCTGGGGATGGTGGTGCGCGCCTGTAATCCCAACTACTCAGGAGGCTGAGGCACGAGAATAGCTTGAACCCTGGAGGCGGAAATTGCAGTGAGTCTAGATCCTGCCACTGCACTCCAGCCTGAGCGACAGAGCAAAACCCCGTCTCAAAAAAACAAAAAACAAACAAACAAACAAACAAACAAAAAACAGCATCCTGACTAGGTCACTCCCATCTCCTCCTTCCAGCCCATTCGGGACGGGACGAGGACGCAACACCACTGCTTCAATCAATGGAATACAGGGGCTAGCCACTCCCACTCCTGTCTGTCTGAAACGTCTGCAGGAGTCTAAAGCCATACCATCCTGAACATGCCCGATCTCATCTGAAAGGTTTGCAGGAGTCAGGCCAGTCTACTCACCTTGGCGCCACCATTTCACCTCTATTCCTAATTCGTTTGCTGTTTTCTTCCCGAGAACCCCTCCCATACCCACTTCCCCACACCTATCCACACTTCAAGGCCCAGCCAAAGATGCTTCACAGACCAAGAGCAGCCCAGAGAGAGTTTAGTTTCAGACGACAGAATAACTGAGTGGGCATGTGGCTCCAGAGTATAAATATTTGGAAATGTTAATATGATATATATCATAATACATAATAATATTATTATAATAAATGTTAATATATATTAAACATTTGGAAATATCTGCACAGAGCTTAAACCCTTGTAAAAAGATGAGCTCTCCAAGGTAAATAAAAGCAGAAAGCAGTCAAGTGCTTATTCTCAATTTCTACCGCACTTAGGCGCCTAGCCCAGTGCTTAGGAGAGAGTAGCACTTGACATTTACAGAATAAATGTGGAATGTTATATTTAAAATAAAACATATGGAGGCCAGGCGCGATGGCCCACACCTGTAATCCCAGCACTTTGGGAGGCCGAGGCAGGTGGATCACCTGAGGTCGGGAGTTCGAGACCAGCCTGACCAACATGGAGAAACCCCATCTCTACTAAAAACACAAAATTAGCCAGGCGTGGTGGCATATGCCTGTAATCCCAGCTACTTGGGAGGCTGAGGTAGGAGAATCACTTGAACCCGGGAGGCAGAGGTTGCGGTGAGCCGCAATCGCACCCTGGCACTCCAGCCTGGGCGACAAGAGTGAAACTCCATCTCAATAAATAAATAAATAAATAAATAAATAAATAAATAAATAAATACAAACATATGGAGCTGGGCACACCTGTAGGTTCAGCTACTCAGGAGGTCAAGGTGAGAGGATGGCTTGACCCCAGGAGTTCAAGTCCAGACTGGGCAATGTAGCAAGACCTTGAACCTAAAATAAAAGTTAAAAAATAAAAATAAATGCCTAATTAACTTTTGAGAGGTGTTCAACTCCACTAGCCATCCTGAAAATTCAAATTTAAATAATACAATACCATGACCTAACCATCAGAATAGCTAAAATGAAAAGAAAAGAAAATGCCAGGCTGGGCGAGGTGGCTCACACCTGTAATCCCAGCATTTTGGGAGGCCAAGATGAGCGGATCACCTGAGATTAGGAGTTCGAAACCAGCCTGACCAACATGGTCTCTGCCAAAAAACACAAAACGAGCTGGGCGAGGTGATACCTTCCTATAGTCCCAGCTACCGGGGAGGCTGAGGTGGGAGAATCGCTTGAACCTGGGAGGCGGAAGTTGCAGTGAGCCAAGATCACACCACTGCACTCCAGCCTGGGTGACAGAGCAAAACTCTGTCTCAAAAAAAAAAAAAAAAGAAAGAAAGAAAGAAAGAAAATGCCCAGATTGATAAGGATAGGGAGTAATCTACACTCATGCACTGCAGGTGGGGATATAAACTGGTACAACTACTATGGAAAACTGCATGGCAGCCCCTACTAAGGCTGAACATATGTATATATATGACCCAGCAATTCCACTCATAAGGACATACAAGCCCCCTTCAAAAAAATAGCAAGACCTCAACTCTAAAAAATAAAATAAAACCCCTTCCTATCTAAAGGGGATTGGGAGTTTCACATGGTCAAAATTTGCCAGCAAAATGTGTCGAACAAAGTACTTTGTAAAAAGTAGATGAATTATTGCCCTAGTCCTTGCATTCAGAATGGTTTTTACAAAAGCATGGTAGTTGTTAAGCAACTGAAAGCAGTGCATTACATGTCAAATGACGTCTTTAATAGGTGTATAGTAAATACACACCTTTCTAGCAACATTTGTCATAGATATGATTACAAAGTCAATTTAAAGTGGAGGGAAAGAAAATACACTTTGAATTAATAATTAATAAATAGTCATCTCAGGCATTTATTAATTACTATTACAAATGTAACTAACCCCAGGCATAATTATTTAGGAGAGAATTCAGGTCTTCTCAGAACGCATTCTAAACTGATATTGTTGGTCTCTAAGGAGTAAATGTGTTCACAGCTAAGTTAGGTGTTCAATATTATGAATCAATATTAATTTTAAACTTGGGCTGAAGAGAGAAAAATGGGCTAGTGCACAGCTGCATAACCATTCTCTCGCCTGTTACTTATGCAGACAACTCCAAGTCACCCCAATTTTTTCTTTTTCTTTTCTTTTTTTTTTTTTTTGAGACGGAGTCTTGCTCTGTCGCCCAGGCTGGAGTGCAGTGGCACCATCTCGGCTCACTGCAAGCTCCACCTCCCAGGTTCATGCCATTCTCCTGCCTCAGCCTCCTGAGTAGCTGGGACCACAGGAGCCCACCACCATGCCCGGCTAATTTTTTTTTATTTTTATTTTTAGTAGAGACGGGGTTTCACCGTGTTAGCCAGGATAGTCTTGATCTCCTGACCTCGTGATCAGCCTGCCTCAGCCTCCCAAAGTGCTGGGATTACAGGCATGAGCCACCGCGCCTGGCCTTTTTTTTTTTTTTTTTTTTTCAAACAGAGTCTCACTCTGTTGCCCAGGCTGGCGTATAGTGGTGTGATCTTGGCTCACTGAAACCTCTGCCTCCTGGGTTCAAGAGATTCACCTGCCTCAGTCTTCTGAGTAGCTGGGATTACAGGCACGCATCACCACGCCTGGCTAATTTTTGTATTTTTATTAGAGACAGGGTTTTGCCATGTTGGCCAGGTTGGTCTTAAACTCCTAACTTCAAGTGATCCACCCGCCTTGGCCTACCAAAGTGCCGGGATTACAGATGTGAGCCACTGCGCCCAGCCCCAAGTTGCCTAATTAGGCGTTATTGAAATGGAAGACCAAGCAGGAAGCTGGTGGCTCAGAAGATGGGGCTTGTTCTTCATGTCCACGGTGCTCACTAGTAGAAGGTTCGGGCAAGTGCTTATCTTCATTGGAAGAGGATGATGGCTAATATCAAGACCAGAAAAGTTCAGTCACTTGCATAGGTCCCAGCCTCCAGGCACATAGCAATGTTAGACCACACCTCCACCTGACAATCTATGCCTTCCCCAATCTGCAGTGGTTCTGTGTCTCTAAGTTTCCTTCTGGACTTAAGCAGGCCCCTTTGAGCCTCCACACACAGAGGGCCTGCTAAAAACCTTTCCACTAAGCTCCTAAGAGCTCCAGAAACAAATCACTGGAGGCCGGCATGGTAGCTCACGCCTGTAATCCCAGCACTTTGGGAGGCCGAGGTGGGCAGATCACCTGAGGTCAGGGGTTCGAGACCAGCCTGGCCAACATGGCAAAACCCTGTCTCTACTAAAAATACAAAAATTAGCTGGGCACGATGGCACATCCCTGTAATCCCAGCTACTTGGGAGACTGAGGCAGGAGACTTGCTTGAACCCAGGAGGCGGAGGTTGCAGTGAGCCGAGATCGTGTCACTGCACTCCAGCCTGGGCGACGAGTGAGACTGTCTTAAAAAAAACATCACTAGAGCCCTCCACCGAACCCTCATCCTCAAGGCTGGCTGGCCACTGCATTCCACCAGTGCTCAGACCGCATGGCGCAGCTGCGCCCCAAGCCCACAGGAGAATTTCAAAACAGGAGAGCTCACAACAGCCACTGCCCCTGTGTACAATGTTACGGGAGATGACAAGGAGGTCTGGAAAATCTGAGATCTGAGCCACAGACCAGGCAGCTGGCTCATAGCCTGGCTCCTCCCAGTCCGGGGTAGGCTTCCCAGGATCCCAGTCCTTCCAGCTACTGGTGACGGTGGAAACACCACACAAAAGAGAGCTGGCTTTTCAGGAGGTGCAAGTAGGGTCCTTTAGGATAACGGTCCCTAATGGTCTCTAACCTTTTTGGCACCAGGGACTTGTTTTGTGGAAGACAATTTTTCCACGGATGGGGAGGGGAAAGGAGGAGGGGAGACTGAAGGGAAGGGATGGTTTGAGGATGAAACTGCTCCACTTCGTATCAGGCATTGGATTCTCATAAGGAGCCTGCAACCTAGATCCCTGGCATGCGCAGTTCCCAAAAGGGTTTGTGCTCCTTTGAGAATCGATGCCGCTACTGATTGGACAGGAGGTGGAGCTCAGGTGGTAATGCTCACCCGCCTGCCGCTCACTGGCCTGCTGTATGGCCCCGTTCCTAACAGGCCATGGACAGGTGCTGGTCCACAGCCTGGGGGTTGGGGACCCCTGCTTTAGGAGTTCTGAACACCTGAGTTTTTTAGTATTACTGGAAAGATATGATGCCAATACATTAGATTTTTTTCCTTATACAAATTGATCCTCCACCCTTGCCAGACCCTTCCTATTCATTTCCTTTGGAAACAGTCTACCTTATTGCCCCTACACTGTTACCCAGTTTTGTACTCAGGGATCCCAGTCTACTAGACCCCTTTGTCAAGCTCAGTGAGCACTGGCAAAGAATGGAAGGAAAGGGCCAGAGCTTCAGAGGTTTTATGATGTAACCAGTGGCCAAGGTCTGGGACGTGAAACTTGCCTGGGGTACCCATGACTTCAGGAAAGGCTTGAAGGTGGCTTGGCAGAGCACTCACCTCCATGCCGGTATGGCTCAGGACAGCCCTTCTGCTGATGAGCTCTGGGGAGGCCCTGTCCTTCCCTGCTCCCTCACCCTTTCATCCTTCCTCACTGGTGTAGGCAGATGGCCCAATTCGTCAGCAACCAAGGCAGAGACAATGGGCTGAGCTGACTCATTTAGGAACAGTAATTCTTCCCAAAGAAGATTCCCCATTCATTTAGACACTGAAGCAATTATTTGCGGGCTGACACTTGTAATTACTTTTTACTGCAGGTAGGTAACTGTTCCAAGCTAATAGGATTACTGGTTTCTGAAGGACTTTTGGAACAAGCAATTTTCAAATAGCACAGCATGTTCAATGAACTTTCCACCCAGGGCAAATTCCTTCCTCTGTGGCTCCTCATGACAGGCAAGGTGTGGATTCCTGGATAGGGGGCACTTTGGAACTGCAGGGGCATTTTTCTTCCATGCTCCTTTGTTTGTAAATGGGACCAGAGCAAATTATGCCTGGTGATATTTTATGGGCTTGCAGGTAATTATTCTAAAATTTTCAACTGTTCTGAAAGTTGGCATTAAATTATATCAACCAATCAATCTTCTTAGCAATAGCAGGGAAAATCATTTTCCCAGTTATGGTATCTCATGGTTACGCCTCCCTCTATATTACGCATTTCTGAGGGGAAGTTAAAAAAAAAATCCAGGCTGAATGTGATGGCTCATGCCTGTAATTCCAGCACTCTGGGAGGCTGAAGCAGGAGGATCACTTGAGCCCAGGAGTTTGAGACCTGCCTGGGCAACATGGTGAAACCCTATCTCAACAAAAGTACAACAGTTAGCCAGACGTGGTGGTGCACACCTGTAGTCCCAGCTACTCAGGAGGCCGAGGTGAGAGGATTGGCCTGAGCCCTGGAGGTCGAGGCTGCAGTGACCTGTGATTGTACCACTGCACTCCAGCCAGGGTAACAGAGTAAGACCCTGTCTAAAAAACAAAATCAGGAGGCCTTTTTGTCAAGGTTTTTTGTTTGTTTGTTTGTTTGTTTGAGACGGAGTCTCCCTCTGTCACCCAGGCTGGAGTACAGTGGTGCAATCTCAGCTCACCGTAGCCTCCACCTCCCAGGTTCAAGCGATTCTCTTGCCTTAGCCTCCTGAGTAGCTGGTACTACAGGTGTCAGCCACCATGCCCGGCTAATTTTTTTTTTTTTTTTTTTTTAGATGAAGTTTTGCTCTGTCGCCCAGGCTGGAGTGCAGTGGCGCAATCTTGGCTCACTGCAACCTCTGCCTCCCGGGTTCAAGCAATTCTCCTGCCTCAGCCTCCTGAGTAGCTAGGATTACAGGTGTGCACCACCAAGCCCAGTTAATTTTTGTGTTTTTAGTAGAGATGGAATTTGACCATGTTAGCCAGGCTGGCATTGAACTCCTGACCTCAAGTCATCTGCCCACCTTGGCCTCCCAAAGTGCTGGGATTATAGGCATGAGCCACTGCACCCAGCCTTAGTCAACATTTCTAACAAGATGATCAACTGTTGTAGACCGTAAATAATGATTTTGCAACAAGGTTCTCTATTTGATAAGAAAAAGTCCATTTGAATGCTTGTCAATATTTGACCCTATCAACTGGTTTGACATTTAGCAGTTTAAAAAGCACATCCACAGTCTGTTGGAATGACAGTTTCTCTTACTGAGAAGGTATTTGGTTGTTGTTGTTGTTATTCTTGCTTACTCAAACATTCCCAACTGCTCCACTGTCCATCCGCTAGTTAGACAAACTCTGAGGGGGTCATAACCATTCTCTTTGTTTGCAGGAACCATCCTGCCACCTGCCCTGAAGAGCCTGCAAAATGCAAAATTATATGGCCAGGAGAAGATTGGGAGAATTTAATCCTTGCACCTCAAGAAGGAACAGTTCTGCTTTTAAGTAGAAGAGGACAGTGAGTAGCTGAGAATCCAGGGAGCGTGAACCATGTAGACTGCTGATTTGGAGAGTAGTTTTTAGACTTCTAGACATAGTCGATGCCTAGAACTTGTAAAGAAATTCTATTATCAGTAATAGGTACTCTCGATTTGGTTTGCTGATATGCAAACTCATTCAAGTCTGGGATCTGCAGAGAAGGAATTGTAATCCCACAACAAATGTCATTTGCAGCCCTTAGAAATAAAAAAACCTCATGTATTGTTAGGAAAATTGAGAGTATGCTACAGAGCAATCTCCAAAGCCTGAAAAATGCTTAGCTGAAAATCTGATTTTATTTATTTACTTTTTTGAGATGGAGACTCACTCTGTCACCCAGGCTGGAAAGCAGTGGTGCAATCACAGCTCACTACAGCCTCAAACTCCTAGGCTCAAGCGATCCTCCTCAGCCTCTCCAGTAGCTAGGACCACAGGCACACGCCACTATGCCTGGCTAATATTTTTTAATTTTTTGTAGAGATGGAGTCTCACCATGTTGTCCAGGATGGTCTCAAACTTCTGGGCTCAAGCAATCCTCCCACCTTGGCCTCCCAAAGTCCTGGGATTACAGGCATGAGCCACCATGCCCAGCCTGTACAGGCAGGCACCTGTAATCCCAGCTACTCGGGAGGCTGAGGCAGGAGAATTGCTTGAACCCGGGAGGCAGAGGCTGCAGTGAAAACAGGTTTAAAATTTTCTTTTACTATTTAAAATTATAAAAACCTTTAGTATTACCACAACCTTTCAAGTCATTCTGATAGGGGCAACTAAAGTCATCCTCAATTGCGAGCCCCCAGCTCTACAATATCAGGGGCATAAAGTTTGCAAATTGAGAGCAAGTAAGTAAAAGTACAAGTTTGGAATCAGACAGAATTGGATTCAAATCACTCCCTAATACTTCGAACCTGTGTAGAATCATTATCTCCCTCATAAGGGTGGAGACAATGAGATCACACATGTGAAGTACTTAGTACTATGCCTTGTGCATAGTAAATGCTCAAACTGTGATCAACACATTACCCATACTGAAGAGTCATGCTTCCTCCATGACATTACCATTAACATTTCTGAATGAAGCGCACACCATTTGCTAGCCAAGCCTCCTTTATGGCAGATCTAACCTTCTGGGATTGAGAAAGTTTCAAAGGTACCCGTGACACCTACGCCATCATAAAAGGTCAGTCCAGTCACTGGTCCCAAAGGGTGGTCAGGCGGCCACTGCACCTGCATTACCAGCAGTGCTTGTTTAAAAAGCTGGTCCTGGCCAGGTGCAGTGGCTCACGCCTATAATCCCAACACTTTGGGAAGCCGAGGCAGGAGGATCACTTGAACCCAGGAGTTCAAGACCAGCCTGGTCAAGATGGCAAAGTCCTGTTTCTACTAAGAACACAAAAAATTAGCTGGGCATGGTGGCAGGCACCTGTAATCTCAGCTACTCGGGAGGCTGAGGCAGGAGAATTGCTTGCCTCGGCCTCCCAATGTGTTGGGATTATAGGAGTGAGCCATAGTTCCCAGCCTTCTTATGTATGTATTAGAATTCTTCATATATATGTATATAGGATGTTACGCAGATCTGACATATATTCCGCAAATATATTCTCACAGATTGTTTTGCATCATAAGTTTTTGCTTAAGTTGGAATTTATTGTCATGTGAAAGTTTTTGCAAATTCCTTTTAGTCAAACCAGCTTATTTTATTGTTTCTGCTTTTGGTGTCATGTTTAGAAAAGTCAAGGCCATCCCTAGAATATATAAATATTCATCAAAATTTTCTTCTAGTTCATTCTAGTTTCAATTCATACATTTAATTCTTTAATTAATCTGAAATTTTATGCTGATGTATGATGTAAAATAGAAATCAAACTTTTTTTTTTTTCTAAACACAAGCTGGCCAATTGTTTCAACTTATATTGTCAGGTAGAGACTTGGAAGACGTTAATTTCCACTAAAGCGAACTAAGATTCCAACATGTGCTGTATCCTCCTTCAAAGCCCAGAATCTTAGCTACCTGCTTTCTAGAGCACTATCTGTGCTCCTGGGCATCCAGGAAGAGGTGTCAGCAGCTCCTCCTAAGACACGTCTGCTTTTGCCACATTTCCAGACTTTCTTGGATCTCTGACCGAATGGATTCTGGCAGTAGTCATTGTCATGGTGCCCACTCAGTACCCAGCCCCTGGTCAGCTCCCTCGTCAGAAGCTTGGAAGATTTGTCAAAGCAGAACAGGGAGTTCCAGGGAAGCACAGGTTGGGGAAGTAGTGGAGGTAGAAGGGATGCCACAGATCTTTTCCCCAAAAAATCGAATACATATGCCTAGGATACCACTTCTGTGAACGTAACCTAAAGAAATACTTTCCCAGGCGGGGTGCGGTGGCTCACGCCCGTAATCCCAGCACTTTGGGAGGCCAAGACAGGCGAATCACGAGGTCAGGAGATCGAGACCATCTTGGCTAACACGGTGAAACCCCATCTCTACAAAAAATACAAAAAATTAGCTGGGCGTGGTGGCGGGCGCCTGTAGTCCCAGCTACTCGGGAGGCTGAGGCAGGAGAATGGCGTGAACCTGGGAGGCGGAGCTTGCAGTGAGTGGAGATCGCACCACTGCACTCCAGCCTGGGCGACAGAATGAGACTCCGTCTCAAAAAAAAAGAAAAACCAAAAAGAAATACTTTCCCATATGGACAAAGATGGAAGAGTAAAACTGTTCATTGCAACATTATTGTTAACAGCAAAACACATCAATAGAAAATTGGTTACATAATGATACATCTGTATTATGGAATACTTTGCAATGTTTGAAAAGAATAAAAGGGAGAGTAGAAGGGAGGAGGAAGATAAAGACTGCAAAAACATAGGAAAAGAAAACCAAGTCATAGAATATTATGTACAACATAAACTTGTTAATGTAAAAAAAACCTATAAATACGTAAATATATATACATATATATTCATGAATATATGTGTATGTATACACATACACATCCAAACATACATATTCATATATATTCAAAAATATAGAAGTATTTCAGAAAAGATATTGAAAGGATGGAAACCCCACTGAGAAAAGAGTGGATGGAGTTGATAGGGGAGTGCTAGAAAGAGAGATGACAGAGGTAGTTTTTTTGGGTTTGTTTTTTTTTTTTTAGCATATTACGCTAAATACTTCTGTATTTTAAAAATCTTTTTTTTTGTTTTTGTTTTTGTTTTTTGAGACGGAGTCTCACTCTGCTCACTCTATCACCCAGGTTGGAGTGAAGTGGTGGGATCTCAGCTCGGCTCACTGCAACCTCCACCTCCTGGGTTCAGGCGATTCTCCTGCCTCAGGCTCTTGAATAGCTGGGATTGCAGGTGCCCGCCACCATGCCCGACTAATTTTTTTGTTTTTTGTTTTTGAGATGGAGTTTTTCTCTTGTCGCCCAGGCTGGCGTGCAATGGCGCGATCTTGGCTCAATGCAAACTCTGCCTCCCATGTTCAAGCGATTCTCCTGCCTCAGCCTCCTGAGTAGCTGGGATTACAGGCGCCTGCCACCATACCCGGCTAATTTTTGTATTTTTGGTAGGGACGGGGTTTCACCATGTTGCCCAGGCTTTTCTCAAACTCCTGATCTCAGGTGATCCACCCGCCTCAGCCTCCCAAAGTGCTGGGATTACAGGCGTGAGCCTCCGTGCCCAGCCCAGTTTTTTTATTTTTAGTAGAGACGGGGTTTCACCATGATGGCCAGGCTGGTGTTGAACTCCTGACCTCAGGTGATCCACTCACCTTGGTCTCCCAAAGTGCTAGGATTACAAATGTGAGCCACTGTACCCTAAAAATCTTTTACAATAAAACATTTCAGGAAATGCATATGTAATTTCTTTTTTTTTTCTTTTGAGACAGAGTCTGATGCCCAGGTTGGAGTGCAGTGATACAATCACTGCCACCTCCACCTCTGGCATTCACGCAATTCTCCCACCTCAGCCTCTCAAGAAGCTGGGATTACAGGCGTGCACCACCATGCCCTGTTAATTTTTTTGTATTTTTTGGTAGACACTGGGTTTCACCATGTTGGCTAGGCTGGTCTAGAACTCCTGACCTCAAGTGATCCACCCAGCTAGGCCTCCCAAATTGTTGGGATTACAGGCGTGAGCCACCACACCCAGCCATAATTTCTTAAAAGACAAAAATTAAAAAGAAAGGTTTTCATGGAAACCCTAAGGCTATATACACCAGGATGAACTGGAGTGTTCCTGAGTTGGTCACCAACTGGGGCTCAGTCTTTCATTATCAGTAGCATTAGTAAGCCCAAGAAGGCTCAGCTGAAAGCCAGCCTACACAGGCATACCTGGGGCACAAAACTGGATGTAGAAAATGCAGAATGAAATACATTAGAACAGGAAAACACGAGAGAATGTCCAGAATGCCCATATCAAGGACCAATTTAATCTAGAATTCAAAAAACAAAAGGAGCCATAAATAGTGAATACAACAGGATGAATCATCTCCCAGATGGAGAAGACTCGATGGCCTTTGTTCTGGGTTGAACCTGGACTAATCCCTGCATGAAATAATCATATAACTTTTTTCCCACTGCCTCAGAAGGAAAAATAGAAGGGCAGCCTGGGCAACCTAGCAAGACCTCGTCTCTACAAAAAACAAAAAAAATTACCCGGGTGTGGTGGTGCACACCTGTGGTCCCAGGTACTGGGGTACTGGGGAGCAGGAGGATCCTTAAGCCCAGGACATTGAGACTGCAGTGAGCCATGATCGCATCACTGCACTCTAGCCTGGGGGACAGAAAAAGACCCTGTCTAAAAAACAAACAAACAAACAAACAAAAACAAAAAGAAGAAGAAGAGGAAGAAGAAGAGGAGGAGGAGGAAGAAGAAGAAGATGAGGACGAGGAGGAGGAAGAGGCGGAATGCCTTGAAGTGACTGAAAATTACAAAGTTTTTTTTTGTTTGTTTGTTTTTCTTTTTGTTTTTCTTTTAAAGTGGGAATGATCACCTATTTTGACACTTTGGCATGTCTCATGATTTACTCATCAGATTAGTCTTCATCTGTTTGGGCTGTTATAACACAATACCATAGACTGGGTGGCTTATAAACAACTGAAGTTCATTTCCCACAGTTCTGGAGGCGGGGAAGTCCAAGATCAAGGTGTCAGCATGTTCTGTGTCTAGTGAGGGCTCGTTTCCTGGTTCGTAGACAGCTATCTTCTGGCTGTGTCCTCACATAGCAGAAGGGGTGAAGGAGCTTTCCAGGGTCTCTAATGCCATCCAACCCTCATGACCTAATCCCTGTCCAAGGTCCCACCTCCTAATACCATCACACCGGGGCATTAGGATTTCAACACATGCATTTTGAGGGGACACGAACATTAAGTCTATAGCAATTACCAGAACTGACTTACTAAAGACCTGACCTTTGGATCCTCCTATATTCACAGCAGCTGCCAGATTAGACTCTAACAAACAGGGAAGTAAGAAGCCCCCTGTCCCAGCCTGCAGCATCAACCCAGTTCTAAGGCCCATTTGAGGCAGGAGGAGTGGGGGTCTCCCATCTAACACACTGGAAGCCTACTTTGCTTTGTCACACTGGAAAGCCAGGAGGGCAAGACGGTGGGCACAGTGATCCCCTACCTGTCAAGTGCCAGAGAGAGAGCACTCAAGTGACCCTGCTCCTCAGATGTTGACTTGTTGAGGGCAGAAGCACACAGGAGGTGGGAGGGAAGCAGAGAAGCAGTGGATCCTGAGGAAAACACTGCCAGCACCATCTTTAACAAATCCTCTCCTTGCAAATTTATTTCCCACTTCCTTTGTCTCTTTAACTCAGCTCAAACTTTCTCAGGGAATGTGTCCTGGACCCCCTGGCTGGGCCCAGGTGGTTAGATACACACAGCGCTGTTTCTCCTTCATAACATTTACCACAGTTATGACTTGACATTGCTGCATATAATTATTTGACAATATCAGAATCTCTCATGAGACTACAAACAGCAGGAACTGTGCCTTTCTTTAGCTCATCTTGGCATTCCTGTGCCTAGCCTAGTGCATGGCACATACTGGAGCTCTATAAATAGTTGCTGAATAAACGAAGGAGAGAGAGCAGTAGGAGGAGGCATCTTGGAGATGAGACTGGAGGCTAAGACCTTAAAAGAAGGCAGGATAAAAGAGAGTTTAACCTGATATAATTTCCAGAAGGGCCCTAGAATACATTTGCTGCCAGATGAATCTATCATTCCATAACTAGAAAAGTTTGAAATGTACATACTCCTGAGAGAGGTAAGACATTAACCTAAATTTGCATTTGCATATTAATAACACTTCCTTTCCAGAAAGCTTGCAGAGAGGTTATGCTGTGGAGAATACAAAATCAATACCCTGAGCCAGGCACGGCGGCTCACGCCTGTAATCCCAGCACCTCAGGAGGCCAAGGCAGGTGGATCACCTGAGGTCAGGAGTTCGAGACCAGTCTGACCAACATGGTGAAACCCTGTCTCTACTAAAATACAAAAAATTAGCCGGGTGTGGCTGCGGGTGCCTGTAATCCCAGCTACTCAGGAGGCTGAGGCAGGAGAATCTCTTGAACCCGGGAGGCAGAGGTTGCAGTGAGCCGAGATCACGCCACTGCACTCCAGCCTGGGCAACAAGAGTGAAACTCAGCCTCAATAATAAATAAATAAATAAATAAACAAATAAATAAATAAATAAATACCCTGAACATCTGAAGGTGGAAGCTGTGGCTTGATGACCATGGAGGAGGAAAAGTAAAGACCATGGTGAATGGTGTCAAAAACCATTCACCATTCTTATGTCATAGTTTTGCTAAGGGTCAGCTTACTGTTGGTCAGAAACAAACCACAGTTCACCCTGGTCAACAAGACCCCTTTGCAGTGCTGCATGGAATTCTAATGCAGTGCTGCATGGACGCTGGACAGGCACTGGCAGCCAGGGAGCCACTTCCTCTTTCAACTAAATGCATGCTAAGGGGTGGTGGAAGATATGCAGCTGGTATCCACCCAAAAGGAAGAATCATGCCCTTGAGTTCTGATCACAAGGCTCTTCTGCCGTAATTAAAATGGAATAATCTTCACCATCAACCAACCTCCAGATCCTACAAGGTACTGCCACCAAACATGGCTAGTTATCGAAGGATAGTCATCTCTTGGGGAAGATCAAACTCTAGAACCTAATAAAAGAAATGAACCTCACATCCTATTAAAAAAGGACTTCCTGGCCAGGCACAGTGGCTCATGCCTGTAATCCCAGCACTTTGGGAGGCGGAGGCAGAGGGCTCGCTTGAGCCCAGGAGTTTGAGACCAGCCTGGGCAACATGGTGAAACTCTGTCTCTACAAAAAAATATGAAAATTAACTGGGCATTATGGCATGTGCCTGTGATCCCAGCTGTTCCGGAGGCCGAGGTGGAAGGATCACCTGAGCCCCGGGAGGTCAAGGCTGCAGTGAGCCATGATTGTGCCACTGCCCTCCAGCCTGGGTGACAGAGAAAGACCCTGACTCAAAAAAAAATTTTTTAAAAAGAACTTGCTGAAGATTATACAAAAAGAAAAGAAACTTGAAATGGATAATTGCTTTTATTAAGCTACAGGAGTTGGATATTTTTCTCTCTCTACTATCAGGATGCCTTTAAGACACCAAGGTGGGAAACAGATTTTTCTGCGTAGCCCCAACTCAGGATATATTCCCATTAACAATGACTGGATACCCTAAAAATGCCCCCCATTCATACCCTCTGAAAGTGTTAAGGTTAACTGCATAAAAGATCATTTGAAGTTTACTAAAATCTTAGATTCTTAGAAGGGATCTCTGAGTACATCTGGATTATTTTTTATTATTAATAACAAAAAAATTCTATGGAAAACCAAGAGTGATCCTCAACTTATGCTTGAGTCTTCACAGAAATAGGATCTATACAAGATGAAATGGGCCAAAAAAAAAAAAAAAAGAAGGATCTGGTTTGCTTCTTTTCTACCCAACTTATTCCCTTATTCCATTATTAAGCAATTCTGCTTAACAAGCTTTTAAAATACATCTTATTACACAAGGTCCTATATAGCCAACTGGCTCAGTTTAAATGTACACTGGTACCTTGTTCTCCCAAAAGTAATTGCCTAAAGAAAAATATTTTAGTTGCATAATTAAGTAAAAGGCAAAAAAATGGCAATGATTTCATTTCTGGATTTATGGCCACTGGAACATTCCTGTGGTAGGACAGAAAGTAAACTGAACTTTGAAATTAAATAGATAGCTATACATTTATGTTTTGGCGTGTAAATTACACATTTGCAGTCCTTCACTGAAGCCCAGTTTCAGATTTATTTATTTGTTTTTTAGACAGGAGTCTCACTCTGTTACCCAGGTTGGAGTGTAGTGGCGCAATCTCGGTTCACTGCAGTCTCCGCCTCCTGGGTTCAAGTGATTCTCCTGCATAGCTGGGATTACAGGCACCCACCACCACTCCTGGCTAATTTTTGCATTTTTAGTAGAGACAGGGTTTTGCCACGTTGGCCAGGCTGGTCTGGAACTCCTGACCTCTGGTGGTCCTTCTGCCCCGGCCTCCCAAAGTGCTGGGATTACAGGCATGAGCCACTGCACTCGGCCCTATGTTTCAGAATTATTTTAAACCTTATCTTTTTTTATGTGAAACTTAGAGCCTCATAAAACACTATTTGTGAGGTATCTTTTCCATAGTGATTTATTCTTGTGAACAAAATTTCATTTCTATAAAATATATTGTTGGCAATTGGTATAGTCATTTAATTTTATGACAGTGTATTTTAGGAATAAATGCATTCCCCAAAGGGGCACTGACATATAATTAGCAATGGAAATGATGTCACTGCTGTAAGGAAATTCAAAGTGGCTAAGATTCCAGAGACCCCTGCAGAGGTCTATAGCCTATGGATTATTAAACACTGCTACCTGATTAAGGGGGGGACAAAAAGAACAAAAACAAATGTACATGATTTAGAAATTCTGAAACATGATTTGAGCAACTGGAAGTAGAAATGAAAAGCTTTCTCAAATATGCTTTAAGTAAACTATCAGAGTCAGCCTACAAAAGAATACTTTTTTTTTTTTTTTTTTTTTTTGTAGCCCAGAGGTCCTTTATTATTATTATTTTTTTTAACACCTATTATGCCATGAATTCACAGGGAATAGGTTCCAGCAGCTCAGGCTCCTTCCCACTGGTTCTCACAAAGTGTGCTTCTCTGGGTGGAGCAGGCTGGCGCTTTAGTTGAACCCAGGTACCTTTCTCTTTGGCTTCTTTCTTTTTCTGATCATTTTCCTTCACGCGTTTCAGGAAGCTATCTTGGCTCTTAGAGTGCTTAATGTGCTTAATACGCACATTAATTCTCTTGGCAAGAATCTTGCCCTTAACTTGTTTGTTTACAACAATGCCAACAGCATGCTGGGTAACACTGTAGACTCTTCCAGTTTTGCCATGGTAACACTTGTGGGGCATTCCTTTTTGAACAGTACCCATTCCCTTGACGTCTACAATATCAACTTTCTTATAGATTCGCATATATGTGGCCAAAGGAACAACTCCATGTTTTCTAAAAGGCCTAGAGAACATATATCGGGTGCCTCTCCTCTTTCCCTTTGTGTTCGTCATTTTGGCGAATTACTGGAACATGGCGGTTCCGGCCGAAAGGCAAAAGAATACTTTTTAACTTTGACCAGCAATTTAAAACTTTTAAAGTATTTATAAAAATCTTAAATATATAATCAGTTTATACAGAAAAATAGGCCAGGCGTGGTGGCTCATGCCTGTAACCCCAGCACTTTGGGAAGCTGAGATGGGAGGACTGCTTTAGCCCAGGAGTTTGAGACCAGCCTGGGCAGCATAGTGAGAGCCCCTCTCTACAAAACACTTAAAAATTAGCCAGGTGTGATGGCATGAGCCTATAGTCCCAGGTACTCCCAAAAATCATTAATAAGACTTGATCGGCTCAAGAGGAAATTCTAAAGAAAGGGGATCTGATAATTAAATCATGAGATGTGTCTTGGACCTCCTGGCATTAACCTTCTGGGAGGCAGCAGGAAGGAGGTAATCTCAGCCAATGTCTCTATTCAGCAAAAAAAAAAAAAAAAAAAAAATGGAGCCCAGAGAAGCTAAAATGGTTGGGGTAGAACTCCACAGTAGTTCTCTCTGATTGATATGGGCTGTCTATGTTTGATTCAGTTGTAGGAATCCATATCAATGAAAATTGGTTATGGCAGGAGCTTGCACTTGTCAGCCATGACCCACTATTGCCTTCTACTACACTATAATTACATTTCCACTCGAAAGAGATTAGGACCTCCACAAATACTGAAGTGTACTGAAAGTAAATTGAAAACCAGTGGGAAACAAAATGCAGTTTAAAAAGCGTCACAAAACCAGCAACCTTAAACAGAAGAATTACCATTTTGCCCCAGATAAAATCTCAGGATGCCCATCAGAAGCAATACTTTAAGTATTTCAGGGTCTCAAATTGTATTAGTGGGAAGGAGGCAAAACAATTCTATTTGGATTTGCACTGAACCAAAGTTAAATTAGAGACAAATTCCATAATTTAACTGGGAATCAGAGTCTTTTTCCCTTGTCTTTTATTTACTTTTTTTTTTTTGAGATAGGGTCTCACTCTGTCACTCAGGCTGGAGTGCAGTGCAGCAATCATGGCTCACTGCATCCACGACCTCCCAGGCTCAAGCGATCCTCCCACCTCAGCCTTCTGAGTAGCTGGGAGTACAGGCACACGCCACCATCCCTGTCTAATTTTTCATCTTTCGTAGAGACAGGGTTTCACTAGGTTGCCCAGCCTGGCCTCAAAACTCCTGGGCTCAAGCAATCCTCCCACCTTAGCCTCCCAAAGTGCTGAGATTACAGGTGTGAGCCATCGTGCCCAGCCTATTTACAGTATTTTTAAAGTTACAGCTTTGAAAGAGTTGAAAAGTGTTTTCACTACCTAACTCTACCCATGCTCATTGTGAACAGAAGTTCTGTGTTTTGGATCCTCTACGTGACAGAAGATAAATACTAAGTGCATCAGCGGGGGCGGGCGGGGTGGGGGGGTGGAAGAAGTGAATTCCATAAATGCTCACCCTAATGTTTTCTGCAACAGAAAATCATCTATTCTCATCTTCTTTTAGCTATATAAAAAGAAGAAAGGAAGACTGTTTCACAGTCGTGGATGAGTAGCTGATCACAGCTTTCATAAAATATGCATGCCAGCACTTCCGCACAATTATCTCGAAGAACCAGTCTCTTGTTCCAAACATTTCAACAGCAAAAGACCTACCTGTAGCCAGCTATTTAGAAAGTGAAGTGTTGCCTAGAAAATAATTATTGAAATCAATAAACAATTAAAATTGGGGGTGGGGAAGTTCTTAGATTTACCTGATTTTTTTCCTACAGATTTAAAGTTAAGAATTATCAAAGAAAATAAATTTCAAACTACTGTATAAACTCCTGTGGATACAAGCTACATGTACATAAGCAGGTATTCTCTTAATTTGTGTCAAAATTATCTCCTGACACTATCAGACATACCACCCTTTCTAGTAGTACCATTCAGGATCCATAAGATGGCAGGCCTAGATTTCACAGTAGTAATTATAAGTGTATACACACTGATTGCTTTGAAAAAAAAAATACATCATATTATCAGCAGCATGTGGCTGGTAACAATCTTAGGGGCATCTATCAAATTAAATTTGTAAATTGAAAAACACAGCAACTATTACCAGGTTAATGCATGCTATTAATTCATATTGAATCACAAAATATTATTGCCAGAAGAAAATTAACATCATCTACTTTAGTCCTGCCTATTTCTATGTAAAGAAACCAGAGTGCAGATACCAGAGCTTTGCCCAAGATCACATGACAAAGTGAGTAGCAGAGAGAGGACCAGAATCCTGGTCTCCTTCCTCCCAATCTGTATCAGTCCTATTGTTCCCAGTATTTCTTCAACTCCTCATGGTGGCATCAAAGTCCAAATGACTGCTCTGCTGTCGAGCCCTATCCTTGCAGTTTGCCACAGATTGCTGTTTCCTTGTCAAAGAGTCACTCATGAGTCACCACTAGGACAAGGATCTGGACTCCACATGGAAGCATGGAATTCCACAACTCTCTTCATAAACCAGTTGTGTGCATCTCAAACTGGGTGTGATGATGTGTGGGGTACTTGAAGTCACAGGATAAATAAGTACTATCTCCTTTGATGATTTTGGTGGTGGTGGGGGGCAACATCTTTTTAATTAGAAGGAACATAAAATGTGTATGAATGTCAAACATGAAATGCATAAAGGTTCAAAGTAATGTGTAGCTTTATGTAGGCTAGATCAGGCCACTGTGCAGGCCTGCAGCAGTACAGCTCTTCAGTCCTCTGTGCTATCAGGGACACTGTGGTGGAAAGCTTAGAGAAGTATCTCATTAAGAGGCTCCCTCCTTCAGTACATAACCTGGAGCGCACCTTGTCTTCCATGATGTATAGAATAAGCTCACCTTACACTTGTGTCTTGGAAAAATTGACACACTGCTATCCAAATACTATGTGGGTAGTCCTAAGGCATATTTAACTTCTATATGACAAGCATTACATTATAAACATTAAGATATTCACCAAATATCAACTATTATATATGATAAACATGTAACAGAGGTCACTGCTGGGCAGAATTCTTAGACAAACCCAACACAGTGGATGGAATTAATAAAAATAAGCCAAACTACAACTTTTTGTAAGCATTATGCTACAGAGAAATGTACAGAGATCCAAGAAGCAGGAGAGCTGGAGGATTTTTTATCACTCATCTAATGTGTCTTACTCTATTTTCTCCTATTTACTCATCTATAAAAAGGAGATTGGATTGGGTTAGAACAGGGGAAAAATTTAGAATTCTAAGTTGTTTTTTGCTCACCCTTTGCTCTAGCATTTCCTTGGGCATAATTTTTTAAGTGAATGTAACATAAGATAATTAGCACCTAAGCATTTGCCTGTGCATTTTGACAGTGATTAATTCAGTTTCTCGGAATATACTCACCTCCTTAAAAATTCTCGGTATATTGATTGGCTAGAAATCAGTAAATTAGTTAATGTCATGAAAAACAAAGAAAGACTGGGAAACAATTTCAGATTAAATGAGACTAGAGAAAGGACGTCTGAATGCAATACATGATCCAGGATTTCATTTTGCTATGAAGAACGTTATTGCCATTATCGACAACTGGCAAAATTCAAATGACCACTATAGAACAGGCAATATTAGACAATGGCGTTGTATCCATTTCCTGATTTTGATAATTGTACTATGGCTATGTAAAAGAATGACCTTGTTTCTGGAATTACACACTGACACATTTAGGGACAAAGGAGCATCATGTCCACCGAGAGAGAGAGACAGAGAGAGAGAGAGCGCAAGCCTAGATGCCAGTGTGGTAAATGTTAAATCTGGGAAATATGAGTGAAAAGTACATAGGTATTCTTTGTACTATTCTTGTAAATTTTCTGTAAGACTGAAATTATATTAAAATAAAAAATTAAAAGAAAAAATCTTAAAGACAACCTGTTTGATGGCTGCGTATAGAACTGCAATGGAAACCAGATGTAGAAAGATTAATAAAGAAGGCAAAATTACAGTTGAAGGGAATCTGATTTATTCATAACATATTTGCAATTTATGAGTTTAAGATAATAGACATACTATACTATACTGTGTCTTGTATAAAAGGATGCATCTGGTGAACACTCATCTAAAAATTCTTATTTGATAAATATTGTTATAATGTCACCCTGTAGTTTATTTCTTGGGGTTTAAAAAATTTATATATAATAACTATAATATGTCTTTATTTTTCTTTCATGTTCTTCTGTAGTAAATCTTTACCTATAACCAGTGTTATAACTTAAAATCTGTTCACAGACAACTCACGGGGAGACTTTCACTCAGAATCTATGTAAAAACATAACCAAAATGATTAAAGACAGCTTTTGACTACGAAAGAGAAAATATATATGTTGAATAAAAAAGCAATTTAAAGCAAATTATAAAAAACAAAATGAAATTTCAAAAATACTTTTACATTGAGTGCCATGGTGCACACCTATAATCCCAGCTACTTGCATCACTTGAGTCCAGGAGTTTGAGACCAACCTGAGTAATACAGTGTATTTGTCTGTTCTCGTGCTGCTAATAAAGACATACCCGAGACTGGGTAATTTATAAAGGAAACAGGTTCAATTGACTCAGAGTTCAGCATGGCTGGGGAGGCCTCAGGAAACTTACAATCGTGGTGGAAGGGGAAGCAAACACATCCTTCTTCACATGGCAGCAGCAAGGAGAAGTGCCCAGCAAAAGAGGGAAAAGCCCCTTGTAAAACCATCAGATCTCGTGAGAACTCACTATCACGAGAACAGCATTAGAGTAACTGCCCCCATAATTAACTTATCTCCTGCTGGGTCCCTTCCACCACACATGGTTATGGGAACTACAATTCAAGATGAGATTTGGGTGGGGACACATAGTGTCCCCATGTCACATAGTGAGACCCCCATCTCAAAAAAATAAAACATCATGTTATATCAACAAACGGTAAGATAAAACAAGACACTAGACAATAAATTCTGGTCTATACCTCACCTGCATGCATAGGTAGATTATCTGTTGTTCCCAGGATTTAGCACATAGAAATGACATTGTTTAATATTTTTTCATGATGATTTTCAAAGGGTAAATGATCTCCCATATGACTATTTAAAAACTATATTTATTTTTCAGTTGCTCAGTACATGTAAACTTTAAAAATTAGCTTTTTCTTCTGTAAATACTTGTTTCTGACTTACACATCTCAAAGTGAAAACACTTTTTTTTTTCTTTTCTTTTCTTTTATTGAGATGGAGTCTCGCTCTGTCACCCAGACTGGAGTGCAATGGTGTGATCTTGGCTCACTGCAACCTCCGCCTCCTGGATTCAAGCGATTCTCCTGCCTCAGCCTCCTGAGTAGCTGGGATTACAGGCTCCCACCGCCACACCCAGCTAATTTTTGTATTTTTAGTAGAGATGGGGTTTCACCATGTTGGTCAGGCTGGTCACGAACTCCTGATCTCTGATGATCCACCCGCCTCAGCCTCCCTCCCAAAGTGCTGGGATTACAGGCATGAGCCACTGTGCCTGGTCCAGTGTTTACCTTTTCATATAGTTAGCTGATAAAAAAGCTTTTGTGTATATACCCTGCATATCAAAATGGGGATAAATTAAAGTTAAACTGAGATGATTTTCATCCATATCTGAAACTCAAAAATCTTGATCAGTTGATAACAAATTTCACACAGCCCACTTATATCTACAAAGTGAAGAGTAACCGATCTACTCAGAGCGTGGCATCATCAGAATAAAACATTTTGAAAGTCCGTCCTTGAAGGACTAACACAAAAGTATGTTCTCATCTTTACACGAGGACTCTAGATTATTTTCCATGCTTTTGTGATGAAGTGCTGTTTTGTTATATAATTTTGACTTGGATTCTTCCCAATTATACTTGTTTATGTAATTTCAGGAGGAATACTGAACATCTGAGTTCTGGATGATACTATTATAGTAAACTAATAATTGCATAAGTTAAAAAAAAACCTGCATCAATTGCACCATTGCACTCCAGCCTTGGTGACAGAATAAATCCCATTTGTTTCTTTCTTTCTTTCTTTCTTTTTTTTTTTTTTTGAGACAGTTCTACTCTTGTTTGCCAGGCTGGAATGCAGTGGTGCAATCTTGGCTCACTGCAACCTCTGCCTCCTGGGTTCAAGCGATTCTCCTGACTCAGCCTCCCAAGTAGCTGGGATTACAGGCATGTGCCACCACGTCCGGCTAATTTTTGTATCTTCAGTAGAGACGGGGTTTCACCATGTTGGCCAGGCTGGTCTCAAACTCCTGAATTCAGGTAATCCACCTGCCTTGGCCTCCGAAAGTGCTGGGATTACAGGCATGAGCCACCAAGCCCGGCCCCCATTTCTTAAAAATATGAATTCATCCAGCCTGGTCAACATGGAGAAAGCCCGTCCCTACTAAAAATACAAAAATTAGCTGGGTGTGGTGGCGCATGCCTATAATCCCAGCTACTCGAGTGGCTGAGGCATGAGAATCCCTTGAACCCAGGAGGCGGAGGTTGCAGTGAGCCGAGGTCACGCCACTGCACCCCAGCCTGGGCGACACAGTGAGACTCTGTCTCGAAATAAAATAAATAAATAAGTAAATACATACACTACATACATGAAATACAAGCAACATTACAAAATAGACGTTCTCCTTATTTCATTTAACTGTTTTTTTCTCTCCAGCTATTTTAATTGATTCAAGATGTTCAACATATATTTATTTAGCAACTAGTACATGCCAGACATGGTTGTTAAGTATTGAGAATATAAGCAAGCAATATGTAATGAAAACCTGCATAAACAAAAACATGGTCTCTGGCTTCATCCTGGTTACAATCTAGTCCTGAGAACTTAAGTGCAGGAATGGGTTTTACAAGCTTGGAACCCCGCCGAGTGCCTTGCATACGCAAGAACCACAGTAACACTCACTGATAATACTGATGATGTCTGCACTGCCTATAGATCTTTCTTATTGGTAGAAGAGAGATTCTTCACGCTGTAATCAGATCTTTTTACCTTTGAAAATAGGCTTTGACCAGGCGCAGTGGCTCACGCCTGTAATCCCAGCACTTTGGGATGCCAGGGCGGGCGGATCACGAGGTCAGGAGCTAGAGACCATCCTGGCCAACATGGTGAAACCCCATCTCAACTAAAATACAAAAAATTAGCCTGGCATGGTGGTGCACACCTGTAGTCCCAGCTACTTGGGAGGCGGAGGCAGGGGAATTGCTTGAACCCGGGAGGCAGAGATTGCAGTGAGCTGAGATCGTGCCACTGCACTCCAGCCTGGCAACAGAGCGACACTCTGTCTCAAAAGAAAAAAAAAAAAAAAAGACTCCAGCCCAGCTGGGCCCAGTGGGTCACACCTTTAATCCCAGCACTTTGGGAGGCCGAGCAGGCAGATCACCTGAGGTCAGGAATTTGAGGCCAGCTTGGACAACGTGGTGAAAACCCATCTTTACTAAAAATACAAAAAAGTAGCCCGGCGTGGTGGCACACAACCGTAGTCCCAGCTACTTGGGAGGCTGAGGCAGGAGAATCACTTGAACCCGGGAGGCGGAGGGTGCAGTAGGCCGAGATCTGGCCACTGCACTCCAGCCTGGACAATAGAGCGAGATTACGTCTTAAAAAAAAAAAAGAAAAGACTTCATCCAGCAAGAAAGAAATCTGTCATACCGGATTCCTAAAAGTCAATTGGAATCTCATCCTTTTTAGTAATCTCAATAGCCTTGTCTTACTGAAATAATAAAAATTGCAACAGGTTTCCAGGCACAGGCAAGGAGCTGTGGACCTTTGTAAACATTTTTCAGTGTCCAGTAATCCCTTTGTTAGTTATTCACATGCAGAATAAATTCTCAAATAACAGCTCTTGCTCCCTCTCTGCACCATTTAACACACATATTTTACACAAATTAATTGATCTCATATACACAGCCTCAGGTTCTAGATGACAGGGCTTACTCTTCATCAGTCTTTTTTTTTTTTTTTTGAGACGGGGTTAGGCTCTGTCTCCAGGCTGGAGTGCCCTGCCGTGATCTTAGCTCACTGCAACCTCCACCTCCCGGGCTCAAGTGATCTTCCCACCTCAGCCTTCCAGGTAGCTGAGACCACAGGCGCCCACCACCATGCCCAGCTAATTTTTTTGAGTTTTTGGTAGAGATGGGGTTTCACCATGTTGCCCAGGCTGGTCTCAAACTCTTGAGCTCAAGTGATCTGCCTGTCTCAGCCTCCTAAAGTGTTGGGATTACAGGTGTGAGCCACCATGCCTGGCTTCATCAGTCTTTCTGTAATAAAAAATCCTTGTTTTTTTTTTTATACAGAGTCTCAGTCTGTCGTCCAGGCTGGAGTACAGTGGCATGATCTTGGCTCACTGCAATTTCCACCTCCCAGGTTCAAGCAATTCTCCTGTCTCAGCCTCCTGAGTAACTGGGACTATAGGCGCGAGCCACCAGGCCCAGATAATTTTTGTATTTTTAGTAGAGATGGGGTTTCACCATGCTGGCCAGGCTGGTCTCGAACTCCTGGCCTCAAGTGATCCGCCTGCCTTGGCCTCCCAAAGTTCTAGGATTACAGGTGTGAGCCATCATGCCCCACCCTTTCCATAATAAAACTTAGCAAATGCTGATGTGAATCAGAAACATCAGTACAAAGGAAAGAACACAAAAAACCCATTGGTAAGTGGTTCTGAAAATAACTCATACAATCACTGTTCTCTTTGATGAAAATATTTTTTCAAGATGATAAACAAGCACTGCAGATACCTACCATTGTGTTGCCTACAGTATTCAGTACAGTAACATACTGTGCAGGTTTGTAGTCTAGAAGCAATAGGTTATTCAGTATGGCCTAGGGGTATAGTAGTCTACACCACCTAGGTTTATGTAAACATACTCTATGATGTTCACACAACGATGTAACTGCCTAATGACACATTTCTCAGAACATGTTTCCACTGTTAAGTGATGCATGACTGTACGTTAATGTATGTGTGTTTTTCTGGGAGAAGGTTCCTATGACTTTCATTAAATTCTCAAAGGTGTTAATGATCCGAAAACTTCCTAAGAACTATGACCCCAAAAGAAAATAATCAGCACTCGTATTCTAAGGAAACTGGCACATAGAATGAATTCAATAAACATTGTGAAATGAAATCTGAGTAAATAACTTTTATGTAGAGTATCATTAAACTTTTTTAATGCTGCCATCAGAGATACATGATCAGTATGAAAGATAAATCAGAGAAAAGAGGAGAAAAATGACAAATCAAGATGGAGTGACTACTACATTCCGGACGATAGTGCAGGCGGTGGGAGGACTTTGTTAAGGTAATTTCTGCTTTTTAGGAACATATGATCTAATTGGAATGATAAAACATACAAAGTGGTGTAAGAATATTAGCAAAGGGAAAAAAGCAGTCAGTGTATTATACAATATATACTAGAATTTCTAAAGGTGATAGCCTCTGAGTGAGAAGTCTAGGTTTGAAGGAGTTTTTCACATATACAGGGTTTAATTGTGCTATCTGCAATAGGAAAAGACTGGAAGTATGAGGTATTGAATAGAAGGTATTGGAATAAATGAAGACTGCCCCTTCCTGCTCCTCTTTTTACAGGTTTCAGCTATCACGAAGAGAGCACCAGGGCAATGGGAAGCAATCCAGCGGTTTCTGAAGGGCGCACTCCCTGGCTCAACCTCCTTATGCTACTTTTGTGTTGGGGGGTTGGGGGCAGTTTGCTGACTTGACCAGAGGATAAGGAAATCACTCCTCCAGTGCCCTGAAATCATTACAGATTTTTATTTGTTTTTATTTTTATTTTTGGAGACGGAGTCTCGTTCTGTTGCCTAGGCCGGAGTGCAGTGGAGCAATCTTGGCTCACTGCAACCTCCGCCTCCTGCATTCAAGTGATCCTCCTGCTTCAGCCTCCCAAGTAGCTGGGACTACAGGCATGTGCCACCACGCCCAGTTATTTTTTTGTATTTTTAGTAGAGATGGGATTTCGCCATGTTGGCCAGGGTGGTCTTGAACTCCTGACCTCAGATGATCCACTCGCCTTGGCCTCCCAAAGTGCTGGGATTACAGGCATAAGCCACCCCGCACCTGGTCCCATTATAGATTTTGAAACAGGTATTAGCCCAAGAAAGATCTTTACCCAGAGGCAAATGCCTTGAAAAATTCCAGTTTATATTTGGGAAATGTCCCCAGTGGGAATATTTGAAAGCATAAAAGTACACCTCCAAGCCAGTGGTGCTGCCACTTCCTTCTGTGAGGCTTCTAAGAAGTTCCAGCAGAAGGCCAAATCCAACTGGTATCTAAACTCTTTCCCCATTTTGCTATTATGACTTTTCTTAAAGTGAGGCATATCTGCAGCAACATATTTTGCTTACTGGTATCTTATTTTTTTACTATAGAAAAGTATCTAGGAAATATGTGATGAGGCCATTACTGGGGGAAAAAAGCCCAGGAATTTAGTCCAACTATGGTGATATTTGTTGTTTTTTCATTCTTCACCTCAAATATAGAGTACAAAAATATTACCAGGCATAGTGGCTCATGCCTGAAATCCCAGCATTTTGGGTGGCCGAGGCGGGAGGACTGCTTGAGCCCAGGAGTTCCAGACCAACCTGGGAAACATAGTGAGACACTATCTCTACAAAATAATTAAAATCAAAAATTTTAATAATAATTAAAATTAAAAAATTAAAATAATTAGCCGGGCATAGTGGCTAATGCCTATAGTACTAGCTACTCAGGAGGCTGAGGTGGAAGGATAGCTTGAGCCCAGGAGTTTGTGGCTGCAGTAGCTATGATCATGCCACTGCACTCCAGCCCGTGCGACAGTCAGACCCTGTCTCTAAAAAAACAAGCAAAACAAAAATACTATCACTTACAAAAGTTATCATTTCTTACATCTTCTCCTTCCCTAAACCCACTGCAACCACTTTCAGATCATAATTAACTTAGGGGCTGAGTACTACAAACCAGAAAATGAGTTCAACTTCCAGCTCTGGATGAACCTGGACAAGTTATTTATCCTTTGTAAGCCTAAAGTTCCTTATTTGTGAAAAGGAGTAAATAACAAGGTTTTTGTGAGCAATAAATGAGATACTGCAAGTAAAAATATTGGATGGCATACTGTAAGTGCTCAATAAGTATTTGCTATTATTCTTATTACTGCCTTCACTAGTCTCCCTATCTATAGTCCTTTGTAAAATTCACCACGTGGCTGGGCGTGGTGGCTCATGCCTGTAATACCAGCGCTTTGGGAGGTCTAGGCCGGTGGATCAACTTGAGGCCAGGAGTTAGAGACCAGCCTGGTCAATGTGTTGAAATCTTGTCTCTACCAAAAATACGAAAAATTAGCTGGGTGTGGTAATGCACACCTGTAATCCCAGCTACTGGGAAGGCTGAGGCACAAAAATCGCTTGAACCTGGGAGGCAGAGGTTGCAATGAGCTGAGACCGCACCACTCCAGCCTGGGCGACAGAGCGTGACTCTGTCTCAAAAAAAAAAAAAAAAAAAAAAAGAAAAGAAAAAATTCACCTTGCACTTTGCTAACACATTTGGCTTTTTATTTTATTTTATTTTATTTTGAGACAGGGTCTTGCTCTGTCACGCAGGCTGGAATGTAGTGGCATGATCACAGGTCACTGCAGCCTCGACCTACCAGGCTTAAGTGAGCCTCTTGCCTTAGCTTCCTGTGTAGCTGGGTCCACAGGCATGCGCCACCACGCTCAGCTAATTTTTCTTTTCTTTTTCTTTTTTTTGGGAGGGGTATTTTTTGTAGAGAAGGGGTTTTGACATGTTGCCAAGGCTAGTCCCAAACCCATGGGCTCAAGCAATCCACCCACCTCCACCTCCCAAAGTACTGGCATTACAGACAGGCGTGAGCTGTGGCACCTGGCCATATTTGGTATTCTTTTATTTTTTCCCCCTTTTTCAACTCATTGCTTGCTAACACATTTGATATTCTTAAATCACCTTTGAGTTTTGTCAGTTTCTTTTCAAAACTCTTCAGTGGATTCCATGCATACAGGATAGTCTTATCTTCTTGCCTGGAATGTGTAGCCATTCCCTATCTGGCCTTAACAAACTTGATACCAGCTTGGTCGTTCATGATGCTCGTTAATAACAGACTAAACTTCTTCCCCTTCCCCAACACACCCTGCTCTTTCAGCCTCTTTGACTTTTTTCCTGGTGTTGTGTGTGTGGAATGCCTTCTCTATGTACATCCATATGGGGTGCTGAAGATGCCACCTTCCCCCACAAGGCTCTGATCCCTCTAGCAGAGCAAACTCTCTCTGGACTCCTGAAATACTTGTTATTTTCTCCTATCTTGAAAAAGTGTTATTTAGGTTCACATTATCTCCCAACCTAAAATATAAGTCCTTTAAAAACCAAGGTTCACGTTTGTTACATTTTTACATACTCATGGCCCAGGGTCACACTCACAATTGGTACAAATACCCATTATGAAAGTAGAACGTGGTAACAGAAGACAGTGAAATAAAGTGCTGAGGGAGCCCAGTGGAGGAAGAGTTTATTTCAGTTGCCTTCACATTTGAAGTAAACCTTTAAGGATATTAGAACTGTGTTGGGCAGAAAAGATGGAAATCGGCAATCTAGGCCAAGGGAGCGACATGAATAAAGGTGGAGAGAGAAATGCACAACTGAAGAACAATTTGTATGACTAAAATTTCGGTGGCAGGTTGTTAGGACTGAAAAGGCAGATTATGGAGGGCCCTGAAGGAGCTCCTAAATGCATTTGGACTCAATTTTGAGGCCATGGGAAGCTACTGAGGCTTTTGAGCAGGGAAATGACATAGTAAGATGTATGTTTTAGGAAAATGACTATCAGCTGGGCATACAATGGAACTAGGGATGAGACCATTAGTTTGCATGTATGTGTCCTTCCAAAATTCATATGTTAGAACTTAAACCCCAAGGTGATGGTATTAGGAACTAGGGCTTTTGGGGAAGTGATTAAGTCATAAAGGCTCCACCTTCGTGAGTGGGACTAATGGCCCTATAAGAGAGGCATCAGAGAGCTGCTTGGCCCTTCCAGCTCTTCACTCACGTGAGAACACAGCATTTATCCCCTTTCACCCGTCTGCCTTCTGCCACGTGAGGATGCTGCAGCAAGGTGCCATCCTGGAAGCAGAGACCAAGCCCTCACCAGACACCAAATATACCAGTGCCTTGATCTTCAACTTCCCAGCCTCCACAGCTGTGAGAAATAAATTTCTGTTGTTTATAAATTACCCAGCCTGTGGTATTTTGTTACAGTATCAGGAATGGACTAAGGCAAAGACCAATAGTTAGAGACTTTCACAATAGTCAGGAAGACAGTGACGGTATCTTGAACTACAGTGGTGGCAGTGAGAATGCAAAGAGGCAAGATGTGAAAGGAGACAGAGTGGAAAGAGAACTTCAATGGGGGGTGATGGAGAGGAAGCAGGTGTTCTCAACCTGGAGTCTACGGAGAGAACTTAGGAGGGGTCCATAAACTTGGACAGAAAAATAGAACATCTTTATTTTCATTAACCTCTAAGTTAAATGTAGCATGCCTTCAATTACGAATACAGGCAACACACCAACGGCACCGGACTTCATCAAATTGGCAAAGGGATCCATGGCATAAAAAATAATTTCTTCACTCTAAGGGCCTAAAAGTCTGGTAATGTCTTTACCAGAAACAAAGACTACAATTAAATAGGAAAACTTTAAAACATTAAAAATAAAAAAAAATTAAAAAAAAAAACCCAACAATGTGTGGGGACTGAGGGAAGGAAGAGTAGTAAAAATGGAAAAAGTTCTCAGTTTGACTTTGGATGTGTCGAGTTTCAGGTGGCAGCCCACCCTTATTTCATAAGAGGACATCTGATTTCTTATGTCCAGTCGCCTTCAGCTGCAGGGAACCTGAATCATCTCTATACAGTAGGAATCTGCATTTCTCATTCTGTTCCTCCTCCCATCTCTCAGCATTGAAAAGAGTCCAGGGGTGACCAACTGTCCTGGTTTGCCTGGGACAGAGGGGTTTTCCAGGACACATTCAATGCTAAAACCAGGAAAATCCAAGCAAACTACGATGAGCTCATCATCCTAAGCGCCCCTCAAATCTGGCACTGTATGCTAATAAGGCTATAATAATACTATCTACATTACAAAACTATGCTATTTAAGGTTTCTTTTAGATCTGAGTTTTGTCCATCTGTTCTTCCCATGAGATGGAAAATCCTGAAGGAAAATCTTCCTCTCATAAGGTCAGACTCAACAAATCCATTAGTAACTGCATATCATTATGTCAACAGTTCTACAATTTATACAGTTCTGGCACATTCACATATCATGCAATCCTCACAAGAACTCCATGAGGTAGCTTGGATTCTCTTCATATCACAGAAACCGAGTCTCTGCAAGATTTATTACTCCGCTTTACCTCACCCAGCAAGCAAAGTGGCCGGCTCCTAGCACTGCAGCTGTCAAAGAACACTGAGACACTGTGTGCTCTGTACAGAGACAAGAGTGGCTGTTGCTACACGGAGATTATGCAAAGCTGCAAGTTTCTTTCTATTGCCATGCCCAGGAACTCAGTGCTTTGACATTACACTGATTTACAATAATATGAAGTGTTAATTTTAAGCACAAGGTACCCTAAGGTAAGGTGTCGGCTGACCTAAGGGAAAAGGCAAAAAAGCCAATACATAAATGTCCAAAACCAGTAAGATTAAGCAAGAACAGCAATAATCTGCAAATCAAAATGTATGGCAAATGGTACAAAAACTATGCTCCCAGATGCAGCATCTAATCAGAAAATCTACACACGGTAGTGAGTATACCTGTATTAATCAATACAGAAAATCAACATGCCCGAGTGTGCCTGCATTGATCGATCCAGGAATCTTGGCCGGGGATGGAATGGTGAAAGCCAGGATAGATAAACCACGGTAGTAACGTACTACTAATGCTCCATACACTTAAGGGGCCTGGCCCTGCCAGGTTTATTGACCCTGCAATTCACCAGCTACCTCCTCCTGTCGCCATGGCAACACCCACACCCAAGCAGCTCCAGAATTCACCTTTGGATATCCAGAATTCACCTTTGGATATCCACAATCCACCGAATTTGCACCTACGCAGTTCAAATAAACCAACAAAAGATATCCCCACCCGCTAAACTGAGACAACCACGACCTTTTCCATTTCCCCGATCTCTAATTCATCCACGGAACATGTCTTTAATTTTTCACCCATATCCACTGAAGGGAGGGTGAGTCCTAAACAACGACCACTTTTGATACAGTAAGAGGTTTTTTCCTTTCCTCCCCCTCCCCCACTCTTTTTTTGCGGGGTTGGACATCAGAGACGAATGAAAACCGGATGCGCACACAAACAACATTTGCCTAAAAAAGACAAGTTAGTTGGTATGATCAAAATAATTTTCAGCCAACGTCTCGTGGCACGTCTGTCAGGCAAGCTGAGTTTTGCCTCTGCAGGCGACCGCCTCTGGAGCTGAGAAATAGTTTCCAGCGCGGCTGTTTGATTTACAGCTCTCAAAAGCAAAAACGCATTCTGTGCCGACGGGACCGCGCACAGCGTGAGCAACAACCATGACGTATTCGGGAGAGTTTTCCAGAACGGCTCTCCGGCTCCAGCAAGATGCCCAGGCAGCAAATCTCATTTCTGCTGGGAGAAATGGAATCAAATCGCACCCCACTGCCCGAGCCCACAGAACGCAAATCAAGCGGTTTCATTACAACGGTAGTTAAACCCTTCCTCAGACCCTGAGCTCTGCCCCGAGCCCCGGGGCCTCGCTTTCTACCCCCACCACATCCCTAGGACCTGGGAAAAACAAAACGACCCGCCGTAGAGGAAAAGGAAACCCCAAACAAAACTCGGGCGCAGAGCCTATTTCTACTGGCCAAAGAGCGCCGCCAAGACCCCTTCCGTCCGGGGCTGTCCGCGCTGCCACTAGTAAAGATGGCGGCCATAGGCGGAGCCGCTCACTCCGAAGGCCGCAGGCTACCCTGCCGGCCACGACCATTCACGCGGAGCCCTCCACGCCCTTCGCGGCTTGACGCATTGCAGGTGCAGCGCGACCAATCAGACGGCGCGGCTCTTTTCGGCCAACCACTGCAGGGTCGCGCCGGCCTATCAGAGCGTCCTTGTCAAACTGAACGAGGAAAGAAGCCTCAGCAGCGCCAACTAAGCAACCGGCTACAGACCGCGTTCCGGTGCGTGTGTGACGACACCGCCGTGTGCTCCTCCGCTGGGAGATATAGTGCCCTCGCCCTTGCCTCGCCCCGCCCGCGAGCGCTCCAAAGGCTTGGGCGTGCGGCTTGCTCTTCCTCTCCGCTTGACGGGCGGTGGTTCCCCCGAGACAGAAACTTGACTGAAAAATAATACCAAATACCCGTGCTGCGGCCCGTGGCCCTCCATAGGGCCACCTGAACTAGCCTCGCCTGTCCCCTTGCTCTTTGCCGTTCGTCCTTCGCGTTTTGTGAAAACAGTTGGCGCCGCAGAAATGAGATAAACGCCCCTGAGCTCGAAACCCGCACTCGAACTGCCACCGAGCCGACCCTTCCTGTTTTGGAACTCAGGGCCCGGCCACCCGAGAAGCACCCTCATGGGCACTTTGTTTCTACAAGGGCCCGTTTCCATTTCCTTCCTAAGGTTTCCTTATCCCCTGCGGCAGGAGGGGCCCGCTGGGCTCGGGTTTTCAGCTGCGTTGGAGCTGCAGAGGCTGCGGAGTGAACGCGGCCAGGAGCCCGCCTGGGAGCGCGCAGCGCTCTAGGAGCCGAGAGCCGCTGCTTGGCCCTCGCTGGCCGGGTAAACCGAGGGGAAGCTCCTGGCCTCCTTTCCCTTAAGCCCCTTATTGCTTCTGTGGGGAAGGCCCTCCTAGGTAGAGGCGAAGGACCGGGGAGATAACCTCTCCCATGGGCCACATCCGCTGCCATGGTCTGTGTCGTGCCAGAAGGTACCTCTCAGCCCTCAGTGCCGTGAAAAATCTGACACTCAAGAAGGTCGATTGACACGCCTAACGTCGCACAGCAATTTAGTAGCACAGCACAGAATAGAAGCTACCCAGGCTGGCTGTCTCCCAAGCCTGTGTTTCTCTACCACACACAGTAACACTGCGTCTTCCAGAGCTGAAGCTGTAGTCGTGAGATGGCTCAAGCATTTGGGGGAACTGGAAGGCAGACCTGGGAATGAAGAGAATTGTTTTCTTTGAGCAGAATTTTCAGTCAGTGGCCTACAGAAAAAGTAGAGAAGAAACATTACTTGGTTATTGTCACTGTTCCAAGAGGCTAGCTAAGAAAATTAAATCGTGTGGATTTCTTAAAACTGCTGTTTCGTGTAACCTCCAAACATCTATCTGTGACTTTGGCACAAGGTGGCTTGGATGTCTGATCTTTGTGATTGAACTATATTCACATCCTGTTTCTAAGATTGTGTTACTAATGGTTTTTCCTGAGGTTTTACAACCAGTAGTGGTGTCTGCGCTGTAGTCAAGTGAAGGTTCTTTGATCTAAGGCTATACTTGTCAGTTGCTGTTTATTGCTTCTTAAACTTTTA
Organism: Homo sapiens; assembly: GCF_000001405.40. Classification (NCBI taxonomy): domain Eukaryota; kingdom Metazoa; phylum Chordata; class Mammalia; order Primates; family Hominidae; genus Homo; species Homo sapiens. Next base: position 90,384,777 of record NC_000014.9, read on the forward strand.
CTCAAAGTCTTCTTCAAAAAGGAGAAAAGCTGTGGTTTTCTTTCTGTAGGCGGTTAGTAGTCATTCCCAAAGATGTTTGCCAAGTGAGCAAATATATTGGAACTTCCAAATGAGCATTTCACTGTAAAAATACCTGCCCCAAAAACAATACGACATGTTTCTTTTGCAATTTATATGGTATAGGAAACATGTTCTGTGACTTCTTTGTAGCAAGCCAGATCCTGATGTGAAAAAAGAGATCTAACTGTGCCAATAACAAATTGAGAATTCTTGAGTAAGTTCCTTTCCTGTGTTCTTGGGACCTCAGTTTTCTTTTTGTTTGTTTGTTTGAGACGGAGATTCGCTCTGTCGCCAGGCTGGAGTGCAGTGGCGCGATCTCGGCTCACTCCACCTCCACCTCCCAGGTTCAAGCGATTCTCCTGCCTCAGCCTCCCAAGTACCTGGGATTACAGGCATGTTTCACCATGTTGGTCAGGCTGGTCTTGAACTCCCAACCTCAGGTGATCCGCCCGCCTCAGCCTCCCAAAGTGCTGGAATTACAGGCGTGAGCCACCGCGCCTGACTGGGACCTCAGTTTTCTAGTATGTAGAATTTGAGGATTGGATTAGAGAATTTCCAGATTCCCTTCCAGCTCTAGTATATGATTCCACTGTGGAGAAATTGGACCATAACTTCATTATGTCATTATACTTAGGCTTATCTGTTTCTGTGTATAATGCTTGACATTGTACAAGTTGCTTATATGTTTATTTTTATATTCAGTCTTCCCAATATTTATTATACTTCCAGAGGAAAGGGTCCCAGTTTTACAGAGAAGTTAGGCTTACCAGGAAGCCTGAACTACATTTATCTAAATGTGAATTGGTGTGCCACAAAATATTCCTTGAGGCTTATTACTTCAATCCTAGTACATGTAAAACTTGCTTTTTAGTCGTCAGCAAATGAGCTCACTAAATTGTGAACTCCTTAAGGACAAGGCCTATTCGATTCATCATGATATTGTCTGTGCCTAGTGAATTTCCCTTACATTTCTAGATAAAGATTTACTGAAGGAATGAATGAACAGTAATTAGGACAATAGTAGAAGAATCTGGATTTGAAAGGGTCTTTGAGTCCCAAGAAAATCAATCAAAGGCCGGATGCAGTGGCTTACACCAGTAATCCCAGCACTTTGGGAGGCTAAGGTGGGCAGATCACTTGAGCCCAGGGGTTCGAGACCAGCTTGAGCAATATAGGGAGACCCTGTCTCTACAAAAAATAACAAAAATTAGCCGGGCGTGGTGGTGCGCACTTATGGTCCCAGCTAATTGGGAGCCTAAGGTGGCAGGATCACCAAAGGCCAGGAGTTTGAGGCTGCAGTGAGCTATGATCGCACCACTGCACTCCAGCCTGGGTGACAGAGTAGGACCCTGTCTCAAAAAAGAAATCAACCAATATTTATGGAGTATCTACAATGTAGAAGGTTCGGTTTCTTTTTTCAACACAATTTTTTTTTCCTCTGGTTGAGTTGTCTCCATTTTTTATTTTTAAATTAAAGAAATATCATTATGGAACACTAATGATCTTAAATATCAGGGCTTATCTCCAAGCTCTCCTTTGTATGTATTCTGTTACATTCTTTGAAGAATACAAGGATTTAGAAGAAAATGACTTTTAAAAAACCTATCTGACTCACTCAAACAAAATTGCTCACTTTCCTGATCTATTGTTGCTTTTCTGGTCTTTGGAAAGAGATGATGTCTTCTACCCGGCCTTGGATTTTTTTCTTTTTTGTCCTTCCTTTTTTTTTGGTGGGGGCAATTTTTGGAAGTAAATGTCACAATCGATCAGTCAATCTGAGTAGGCATGGTCTAGTCTGTCCTAAGTATTTTATATGAGTACCATTTGACAAAGTCAGAATTCTATAATGATTCTTAACATTTTTTTTTTTTTTTTTGAGATAGTCTCATTCTGTCACTCAGGCTGGAGTGCAGTGGCGTGATCTTGGCTCACTGCAATCTCTGCCTTCCGGGTTCAAGTGATTCTCGTGCCTCAGCCTCTGGAGTAGCTGGGACTACAGGCGTGTGCCACCACACCTAGCTAATTTTTGTATTTTTTGTAGAGATGGAGTTTCACCACGTTGGTCAGGCTGGTCTCGAACTCCTAGCCTCAAGTGATCCACCCGTCTTGGCCTCCCAAAGGGCTGTGATTACAGGCGTGAGCTGCCATGCCAGGCAGATTTTTAACACTTCTAAAAAGTTGTAACTCTTGAGACAAGTCCACTGTGACCTCAGATGTATATACATCCACATCTCTAAGAGTCTCCTGGTTACTAGGGAATTCCGCACAAGTTCCTCACAAAATTCACAAGCAAGAATATTTAGAATCATGAAATTCTAAATCTGGGAAGAACCAGAGAAAGTCCATCTGGTCTAACTTTTACATTTTCCAGATAAGAAAACTAAGTCCCGAGAAGGGACTAGTTAGGGAAAGAGCAGGCTTTTAGACTGCTCTTTCCTTTGACCTTTGAAAACATTTTAATCAAAGAACAATCATAATAAGGGGAGTAGAGGAATGTTATCATTCACAGGGCTTCCAAGTGACTGTGGAAAATCTTGGGAGGCTTTGCTTTGGACTTTGTTATCCATTTAGGGACTGGCTGTTCTGAATTGTTCTCTGTGCTAGGCCTTATCTAAACCGCTTGCCTTAAATCTTTGACCTTCATTTAAATTGCTGACACTTTCCCCTTGTGAAACTGTATCATAATTTCTTCTGTCTTCTTTAGGCTAGCAGCATTTCCCTTTCTTATTCCCAGAAGAGCTCAGAGAAGCTTATTTTTTTAGATGAGTGATGCATAAAAAGGAATGTGGCTGCACAATTCTAATTATTTCATAAAGTTCTGAGGTATTTTTAGGGTGTTGCAAAGTGCTAATAAAAAATAATCATATTCATGGACATACAGAGTGGAATAATAGACACTGGAGACTCCACAAAGTGGGAGGGCAGTGAGGGATGAGAAATTACCTGTTGGGTACATCGTATACTACTCAGGTGACAGTCACACTAAAAGCCCAGACTCCACCACTGTGCAATATATACATGTAACAAAAATGTACCCTTTAAATCTATAAAAAATAAATCCTTTCTAGCCCAGTTTGCTAAGGGTTTTTTTTTTCATGAAGAACATTTATAATAAACTCTTTGTTCTGCATAAAAAAGGAATAATGTTTATGTCTTTATTTCCCATTATGTGACTTTTAGGCTGCTTTCTAAAATTTTGATTTCTTTTCTTCAGGTGGTTAAAACAGTATGATTGGACTTGTTTAGAGCATGGTGCTCTTTCACAGAAAGAGAAACTTGTTCCAAGGCTTCAGCAGTATCCTAACCCCCTAACCCAGCTGGCCGTCTAGCAAATATTCACAGCATACAAGTTTCGAAAGTCAGAATGGCTCGGTGGGAGCCTATGGTGTCACCATACGGAACACAGTTTGAAATGTGTGCTCAAACCACGAAGTATTCCCATATGCAAAGGTTCCCACAGGTCTCAATTGAATCTGTATAAAAAATTAAAAAATAAAAATAAAGTTCCCACAGGTACAAAGCGCAGAATACCTTTTCTCAGTTCTTTCCCCTTCTTTAGGACTTGAAAATCAGAAATGCCTCTAGTAGAATCTCCGTGTCAGCAGACCATTTAAAATATGGCTCATATGTTTTGCTGCTATTCAGTTTTAAGGTCATTTCCTAAGTTTCAAACTTTGTGGGAAACAGGTGCAACTGTGAACCTTCGTGTGGCAGGGAAGAGCTGGAGCAGTGAAACATGAAACTACAAATCAGTTCTCTGAGTCACAAATCTCTTGGGCTGCTGTGGAAGACAGTGATGACTCAGCAGAATTGCATGGGACTGGTGGAGGGTGAGGCGGCTGAGGGCTCAGTGCCCTGAGTACCAACCTGTTGGGGGTGCTGCCAAATGATGGGAGACCGAGTTGGATCTTCCCACTGCTGAGCCCTTCCGCAGACTAAGTCAGACCCCCTGACCTGGGTTCTGAATGGATTTCTGACCCACCCATTGCCATTTAGCACAATGATATTTTAAATATTATACGCAACCACATCGTATATTTCCCTAGGGTTTGTTTATTACACTAATGTTACAGATGAGATAGCTGAGTCTGCCTGGCTAAGTGGCCAACGAATCAGCCATTTAACCTAGCAAATGAGATGCAGCAATATGGTCCTCTTCTTGGGAAAAAGCTATTTGCTTTGTCAAAACAATGAAAATAACAAAGCCTTGAGTAACCCTTCATCAAAATAAGACAAATTTTCTGTCTATGCTTTTTGGTTTATGAGAATGAGAATGAGAAGGAAGGTGACACACTGATACTCAGTTGTACAACTTGAAAACACTCCTGAAGGTACATCTTTTCAGTGGCCAAATGATTCAATCATCCCGTTGTGATGCCTGGAGTTGGTTTATTAGCCAATGACTCAGAGCCTCAACTTAGAATGAATAAAACTCAATAAGCATCTTCACTAGATTCAGATGGAGGTGGTTTTTCTGTTCAAAGACAACTTCCCTTTGACCATATTTTCTCCATTATAGGAAGCAGAGGATGGATCCAGTTATGTGAAAGTCTGAAGAAAATTGCCAAAGGATGGGTCAGCCAAGGTATACGCTTGCTCGTGACTGTAGAAGGATACAGGTTGGGATCAAAGCAGGGATAGTTCAGGATGTTCCTCAGGAGGTGTGGCCTCCCACCTTGCTTTCAGAATTAAAGCAAAGGACTTTCTTTTCCTTTTGTATTTTGAGAAATTCACTTTTAATATCCTCTTCAGTCCTGAGAGTGAATTGAGCTCAACACTAATCAATTAAATAGTTGACTGGTGTTTAATGAGTCAAATGCTATGCTGAGTTCAAAAAGTATATCTTGGCTTCTACTACTATCTGGTTGATGTTAGATATATGAAACGATAATATCAGGTAGAAAAGGACAAGAGGGGTAGGAATTCAGCGGAGAGGAAGTTCATTTGGAGTTGTGATAATCAGGAAAGTTTGAAACATGTTGCATTTAAACTGGGCATGAAGGACCCGTAGGATTTAGATAGGTGGTGAGGATATGGATAGGCATTTGGACACTAGGAATGGCATGGAAAAGGCAATGAGTTGAGAGGAGACAATGTATATTCAGGGGACAGAGACGATACTGATTTGTCTGAAGCAAAGAATGTATAGAATAACAAAGGATGGTAATGCTGAAAAAGTAGATTGGCAAACTGTTGAAAGGCATTGGGAGGCATTGAGGGTTTTTGAGCATGGGAGTGACATGATGAAACTGCTGGCAGCTGTGCATTGGATGGATCAGAAGGGGACAAGCTCATTGGGATAGACAAAGATCATGGATGTGCTATTAGAAATTTTGGGATCCTCAACATTCCTGATCCAGGCAAACACAGATACTTCCTTTTTTAAAATTTCTAGAATGGAGCTATCTGATGTAACTTATTGGAATGATGGAAATGTTCCATGCTGCCCAATATGGTAACCACTAGCCATATGGGCCTATTGAGCACTTGAAATGTGGCTATAAAGACTGAGGAACTCAATTTTAAATTTTAATTAAGTTTGATTTAAATAGCCACATGTGATTAGTGACTACTGGATTGGGCAGCACAGCTCTAGAAGGCAGGACAGAGGCTATTTATTGATTGAAAACCAAACCACACAGTTGCCAAATTAGATCTTAAGTCTGTTGGAATTGGTGGGGCCAATTCTTTAATATAACCCACAATCAGCATCAATTTACCTGATTTATCATTATGGTCTGGTTTTCCGTGTATCAAGACCTCAGCAACAGTACCCATTTGTGCCAATCACTGGTTCTGCTCTACAGGCAAACTGAGTCACCCCAAAACCCTGCCATTTCAGTTTATCGCTGTGGCCACATATCCCTCAACTGAATAGCTGTTAAATCATTTGTAAACTGCTAAATGTCTGTTGCTGCGTGGATAAGCTTTAGACCTGTTCTATGGTTTGACCTGCATTCTAGCACATATGTTGAAATATGAAGTTGCTGGTTATCGTTTGGATGCTAATTGAAGTTACTATTGCCCTTGCTTTCGGATTAATGAGGAAAATGATAGTTTAAGAATTTCCAGGCCTGGCTGGACACAGTGGCTCATGCCTGTAATCCTAGCAATTTGGGAGGCCGAGGCGGGTGGATCGCTTGAGCCCAGGAGTTAGAGACCAGTTTGGGCAACATAGCGAGACCCCATCTCTAAAAATAGTAATAATAATAATAAATTAATTAATTAAATTTAAAAAAAGAATCTCCAGGCCAGGCGTGGTGGCTCACTCCTGTAATCCCAGCACTTTGGGAGTCCAAGGCAAGAAGATTATTTGAGCCCGGGAGTTTGAGATTACAGTCAGCTATGATCATGCCATTGTACTCCAGCCTGGGGGACAGAGCGAGACCCTATCTCAGAAAACAAAAAAAGAAAGAAAAAACCCAGCTTGAAGTTAGTGTAAACAACTAAAGCACAAAACTATGATCTTATCCCACTGGACATTTTACTATCTGAATTCACTCACAGTACTTGGTCCCTAAGTCTGTGTAACCATTGCTGGCTGCCTTTGACTTAAGGGCTCAGTTGGTTAAAGCCCAAAGCTGAGGCTCAAGTCATGGGTCCAGTCTCATTAATGGCCAGTTATTTTGCTCTGTTCTTATTCTATATCCCGGACCCCACTTTCTGTGTTGCATATTTATGACGTTGGTCACGAGGGTGGCTTGACCAGAGAGGGAACAGAGGAAGGCAAATCCATCACCACAGCTACTAGCAAAACAAGCACAAATCCTGTGAATGGAGGATAAGATATGTTTTCTCCTATAAAAAGCAAAGTGTTTCAAAATAAAAAAAAAAAACAAGAATGAGGCACTCAAAGCTAGTGAATGGTGCTGTTTGGAAATACTGCACTTCAGACTACTGAGTATACTGGTGACCATCACAAGCTGGAACATACAACAGGACAGTTAGTCTGGCTATGAGTCATTTGAAATCATGGGACACTAGCCGGGTGCGGTGGCTCACGCCTGTAATCCCAGCACTTTGGGAGGCGGAGGCAGGCGGATCACGAGGTCAGGAGATTGAGACCATCCTGGCTAACACGGTGAAACCCCATCTCTACTGAAAATACAAAAAAATTAGCCAGGCATGGTGGCGGGTGCCTGTTGTCCCAGCTACTCAGGAGGCTGAGGCAGGAGAATGGCGTGAACCCGGCAGGCGGAGCTTGCAGTGAGGCCAAGATCGTGCCACTGTGCTCCAGCCTGGGCTACACAGCAAGACTCCGTCTCCAAAAAAAAAAAAAAAAAATCATGGGACACTAAACAGACGCCTTATATGCTAAAATGGATAATATTTTTCTCATGGTAAGTTGTCATGGCCTAACACTTGCTTATTATGTTCTGATGGTAACATATTTTCAAATTTAAATGTAATGTAAGAATGTTCCCTCTGCTCATTACCTATATGAGTCATTCATAAACATTATAACAACAAAAAAGATAATCACAAAATTTTAAATGGAAAAATAATGGAGTATTTTATTTATTGATAGAGATAACAAAACTTTTTGTAATAATCCTGAATAGAATTTAATGAAATGTAAATCCAAACACAAACAGCAAGAATCTGTTCTGGCAATTGGAGATGATTAGTGAAGCGGAGAATCCTGAATGGTGGATATTCATCTAAGTACTATTGGACCACGGGGTGGAGAAGGAGGGAGTCGAGGATGGTGAAGAGGTATTACTGACTCTCAAACCAACCAACCAACCAACCATATGTGTCTCTACCTCTCTCTCACACACACAATTGGATGTTTGACAGTGAGCAAGCCTCTTGACCTCTCTAGACCTCAGAGGCAAAATGAGAAGTGTCCTCCAGCTAGAAAGCATCACAAATTAAATGTTTTGCTTTAGGTTTTCTTCCCCAAACACTCCATATTCCTTATGTAAAAATAGAGCCATTACTACATTCCTATGATCGTATTTTAAATTATTGGGTAAGAAGTATCTCTTTATAAACCAAATTTTCATCTTAATCTTTGCCACTTCTGCCTCCTACCCCAAATTAAAATAAAAATAAATTCTACTACATTGCAGGAGATAGTTATAATGTAATGCTTAAGTGCTTGGGCTCTCAGCTAGATTTTTGGGTTCCACTTAAATTAGGCAAGTCACTGACTCGTTCAGTGCCTCAGTTCCTTTGTAAGAATAATGATACCTGTTTCACAGGATGGGTAGGAGGATGAAATAATACATTTAGCACAAGGCCTGGCCATAGTCAATGCTGAGTAATTATTTTTTATTTTTATTTTTTGAGACAGAGTCTTGTACTGTTGCCCAGGCTGGAGTGCAGTGGTGCGATCTCTGCTGACTGCAACATCTGCCTCCCAGGTTCAAGCGATTCTCCTGCCTTAGTCTTCTGAATAGCTGGGATTACAGGTGCCTGCCACCACGCCCAGCTTATTTTTTGTATTTTTAGTAGAGACAGGGTTTCACTATGTTGGCCAGGCTGGTCTTGAACTCCTGACCTCATGATCCACATGCCTCAGCCTCCCAAGGTGCTGGGATTACAGGTGTCAGCCACCATGCCGAGCAAGTAATTGTTATTTTTAAACTATTTCCATTTCTCCATTTGCATTCTCCATTTCTCCATCTTCAATATATGTATATGTGTGTATACATATATATGACAGAGGTTATATATGTATATGTTATAATCATATAACCTCAGACACAGGGTTTCACAGCTAGAAGGAATTTCTACATCAAGTACAAAACTCTTGTTACATCTGTGTCCTTTCTGTCAGATTCAGAGGGTTAGAGTGATTTGGTTAGTGACGGAAATGATACTTAAACATGAGATTCCTGGCTTGAGGCTGCATCGTTTTTACTTTTCTTCCATTTACTTTTATCTTATTTAAATAACTTCCTATAGAACAATTTCCTTTAAATATGAAATGTTCCATAGGTTTTTGGTTCTCAGTAAATTATGATATTACAATAATGCGGTTTATTCTCCTGATTGCTGATCTCTTCATAAATTAGGACGTGTATTCACTTAAAGCAGTCTATTTGATAATGAAAACCCAGTGATTTCTAAATAGGCAGTCAGAAGAATCTGCTTTATGAAACAGACAAACCCCTAACATTGGGCCTTTAAAATGTTCGGATATCAAGACCACGAATATATTATCTAAATTAGAGCCCCTGAGCAAGGACTCAAGCTCTATTTTATGCCCCATCCCTGACTCACAGTAAGATCCTGGGCAAGTCACTTGACCTTCTTATATTTCAGAGTGTCAAACTGTGAAAAGCATGTCCATAAAACTGTGCAAGCATGACCTCATTATAAACCCGATGAACTTGAAAGCAAAGATGTGCTTTGATACATTAAAGAATTACCAAAATAGAACTCTAGTTTGTAAAATATGAAGAATCAGGAAAATAAATTTTACTATACTAAGTAAAAGGATTCTGAAATGTACAGTTTTTAGCAAGTAAAGTCATAAAAAGTTTCAAAATGTTATATTTAGGTGAAATAAGGTTAATGACAGAGGAAAAATATTATTTTAGAGAATGCTTGGCTTTCAAAACCATAGATTGTAGCAACTTAACCAAAATAATCACAAGGAATGGAAGACTATCAGAAACGAGTAGATCCTTAATAATTAAACACATTTCTAGGCCATTATTTCCCCCTACTTATACAATGCATATCATGTTTTAAAATGTATTTCACTGGCTGGGAGCGGTGGCTCACACCTGTAATCCCAGCACTTTGGGAGGCCGAGGCAGGTGGATCACTTGAAGTCAGGAGTTCGAGACCAGCCTGGCCAACATGGTGAAACCCCATCTCTACTAAAAATACAAAAATTAGCCAGGCGTGGTGGCAGGCACCTGTACCTGTAATCCCAGCTACTCAGGGGGCTGAGGCAGGAGAATCGCTTGAACCCACAAGGCGAAGGTTGCAGTGAGCTGAGATTGCACCACTGCACTCCAGCCTGGGCAACAGAGTGAGGCTCTGTCTCAAAAAAAAAAGAAAAAATGTATTTCACTAACTACTATATGAAAAGCCCCAGAGAAAGAATACCAATACCCTTAGGAAAGAAGCAGTTTTAGTATTATTATTATTATTGGATGGAGTCTCGCTCTGTCACCAGGCTGGAATGCGATGGCGCTATCTTGGCTCACTGCAACCTCCGATGCCCTGGTTCAAGGGATTCTCCTGCCTCAGCCTACTGAAAGTAGCTGAGATTACAGGCACGCGCCACCACACCCAGCTAATTTTTGTATTTTTAGTAGAGACAAGGTTTCACTATGTTGGCCAGGATGGTCTCGATCTCCTGACCTTGTGATCCGCCTGCTTCGGCCTCCCCAAGTGCTGGGATTACAGGTGTGAGCCACCGCGCCCGGCCAAGATGCAGTTTTAATAAGGAGTTTGGCCATTTAGGCTTGTAACTGACTGGATTATTGCATATTCTTTAAAATTAATTTGTATTAGTCCCTTTTCTTCTATTTCCTTATCTCCAACTCTCGCATTAGTATGCACGCTTTATTCCTACTCAGGTTTTCCCCTATGAGCCCAGGAGTATTATTATTATTTTTTTGCAGGGATTAGGATCAGGTTTGTGAAGTGAATAGTGTCTTTCTAATCTGCAGAGGGAAGGCAGCATCCCCTGGCTTGCTGCTGCAGCCTCTCTTTAAATTAAACAGCAGGTTCACTCTTTCTGCGGCATTCCAGAAGGAACATCAGTAGGAACAGCTCCACAGATGCTGACGTCTTGTCTAAGGTTATCCCAAGAAGTCCTGTGGCATTTGCAATGTGCCTGTACATTTTTCCTTTTTTAAAAAACATATTCCTGCAGACTTTGTTGAAAGCAGAAACAAACACAAGCAAGCAAAGCCCTTTCTAGCACAGCATGTTAATCACACACTTTGCCATATTCTGTGAAACAGTAAGCAAATGATAACCTCCAACTGTTGCCCGGGCCCTGTAAAACAGAAGATCAAATTCTGTGTTCTGCCTTGGCAAGAAAAGAAACTGCAGCATTTTGTCTAGATTTTTACAAGTCCTGGGGTTCACATTACTGGCTGAAATTGTTCTTTCTCTACTTTACAGAAAAATGGAAAACACTAGTAAACTTAAAGATTTAAATATTATTTTAAAAGGAATATAATAAAAAATGGAAAACACTAGTATATTTAAAGATTTAAATAGTCTTTTAAAAGGAATATAATCAAAACTGTAGTTTAAAATACAATCTAGCTCCATAAGAGAGGCAATTGGCTGTGTGTTCCACTTGTAATGCAGAGGATTTGAAGCATCTATTTTTTCCCTTGTTTCTATGGATTTATGAATAAAGACTCTGACCCTTCTCAGGATCAGGAAAATTACGAAAAATTTAAAGCCTGGGTTTAAGGTCTGTAGAAGCTGCACAGGTACACTAATTTTAGTAAGACGGGCGCCAGGAAAAAGAACAAAATAGTAGGGGAGAAATATTCAGGCATCCTAAAAAATATTCAGTGGAAACGTAAAAACATTAAAGACTGATTAAACATCGCAGCATGACACAGATTTAGCAACTGAGCATAAATAATTTGACTCGGATACTGCTCCAAAATCCGAAGAGGACCAATTTCTTCCAGGAGGACAACTACCTCGTCCTCTGCAGACCCCTCTCCTCGGCAGCTGAAGGAGTGTGGCCAATCTGCCTCCACCTCCCCGCGGACCCCCTACTCTCAGGACCTCCTGCAGCACCCCAAACTGGAAGTGGCCGCTGCAGACCCAAGGACGAGGGGCACGCGGGAGCCGGCAGCCCTAGTGGAGCGGTTGGAGATGTTGAGGTGGGAGGGTCACCCAGGTGGGGTGAGGCTGGGGTAGGTAGCGGAGTGAACGGCTTCCGAAGCTCTGGGCCGCCCCCAGGTTGGACTAAGCAGGCGCTCTGTCTTCGCCCCCGCCCAGGGTGGGCGTCTCCTGAGGACTCCCCGCCACACCTGACCCGAGACCGCGCGCCCAGCCTAGAACGCTTCCCCGACCCAGCGTAGGGCCGCCGCGACTGGCGCGCAGGGGGCGGCGGGAGGCCTGGCGAACCCGGGGGCGGGACCAGGCGGGCAAGGCCCGGCTGCCGCAGCGCCGCTCTGCGCGAGGCGGCTCCGCCGCGGCGGAGGGATACGGCGCACCATATATATATCGCGGGGCGCAGACTCGCGCTCCGGCAGTGGTGCTGGGAGTGTCGTGGACGCCGTGCCGTTACTCGTAGTCAGGCGGCGGCGCAGGCGGCGGCGGCGGCATAGCGCACAGCGCGCCTTAGCAGCAGCAGCAGCAGCAGCGGCATCGGAGGTACCCCCGCCGTCGCAGCCCCCGCGCTGGTGCAGCCACCCTCGCTCCCTCTGCTCTTCCTCCCTTCGCTCGCACCATGGTAGGTCGGGAGTGGCAAATGCCGGCGTAGCAGCTGCCCGAGATTTCTTCCCAGATTTCTAGTTGTTTTGTTTGTTTTTTGTTTGTTTTTGGTTCTTGGAGGTTTTTCTTTTCTGAGTGTTACGCAGCAGCTGCGCTTAAAGGAGGTTGCATTTTGGATTTGCATCTCGGCGACCTCTGCCAGGGAGCTTCATTTATTGGTTCCCCTTGGAGCTGGACTTGGTCGTAGGCCGTCCACGGGCAGGGGCTCCGGCCGCAACTGCAGCGGGGGTTTCTGCATCCAATCCCCCTGCCCCCCGCCCAGCCCCGCACCCACTGCATCCACTAGCGCCGCACCCGGGCTGCCTGCAGCGCAGCGTTTCGGCCTGGGAGCCGGGCGGGGCCGGGCACTAGACCCCCCCCCCCGGCCCGCCCCTCCCCACCCCGCTTCTCCGCCGGCGCGAAGGTGGCAGGTCGGGCGGGCAGTGGAGAATGAATGGGCTGGAGCTGGCCGGTGGCGCACATTGTTCCGGCCGGGTGTTGAGGGGCGCAGTCAGCGCCCGCCACCTCCCCACTTTGGCCGGCCCTGCTGGGCGCCCTCCCTCGGTCGCTCTCCCCTCCTTCTTCCCGGGGGGCGCGGCGCGGGCGTGGGCTGGGAAGGAAGGAGCCGGGGAAGGGTGGGGTTGGGGGCAGGAAGGCGAGGGGTTGGGGGCGGAGAGGGCGGAAGCGGCGGCCGGGCCGCCCTGCGCCCGGGCGGGGCCCTGCGGTGTGGCCGTGGCTTGTTCCTGCCGCTTTCGCACCCTGCGGCCCCCCACCCAGTGCAGCAGTGCGGGCGGGCGTGAGCCTCGGTGCACCAGGAGGCACTTCCCGCGGGAGGCGCTGGGCTCGCGCTAATTGGGGCGGGGGGGGGGGGCGGCGGGGGAGGAGGGAACTGGCGCGCGGCTTGGTTTCCATTAGAGACGCAAAGTTTCTGCTCCGGGAGGAGGCGGCGGCGCCGCGGGCTCGTCGCCTGGGGGAGCAGAAGCGGGTGGGAGGTGCGGGTGGCCTTGGCCTCAGCCCTGGTGCGCGGGGGCCGGGGGTGGTGACCCTCCTGGCCGAGGAGGGGCGGCGTCCAGACGCCCGCTCGGGGGCCGCCTTCCCCCCCACGCCTGCCCCCGGGCACGCGCCCTGCCCGGTCCCTCGCCCCGCGCCACTTCCAGTCCGCAGAGAGATGCCCTCCACGTTTCTGCTTTCTCTGCAGCCTCTAGATTGCCAGATGCGACTGTGCGCCTCGCTGGGTGTGTTTTCCACAGCCCCTTCCTCCTCGGCGTGCAGGGCTGACATCACCGACTGCGTTTCTGGTTTGGCGGGTGGGGAGATGGTTCCCCGCAGGGTTCTGGTACACCTTTGCCCCCAGGGCTAGCGCCATTTGGGGGAGGAGGTTTTCGTTGTCGAGAAAGTTGGATGCTCCTGGTAACCCCTCTAACAAGAGAGTTCTGTAGCGAGGTGGGACTGTTCTCCCCATAAGGTGACAGTTTCTCTTGCGAGGTGTGGCAGCGCTTCCTGTTGTACAAGACAGATGTTGCCTTGGCGTTACGTAAATCATCGTGTCTCCGTCATTTAAAGAAAGCCAATTTTTAGTGATTGAGGTAGAAAGAAAGATCCGTTTATAATTTGTAAAAACAAATTTTCACCCAGAATCAATATATTGGAACACCATTCCTACTGTTAAAGTTTTCACTTAAGAGTATAAACTTCATCAGCTTTCTATTAGGACTTATTTTGTAATTGGCTTCTTAGGCATCCTTCTTTAAAAGAGAAATCCACGTTAGCTCTCCTTGAGGTCTCGAGTTCCCTCGGCTGGAGGCACAGGTTCAGTGGAGACCAAATAATGCAGGTGAATTACCTTCGTGGCCATTACTGCCTCCAACGAAGTGTGTTTATTAAGAACAGTTCTTATGTCATTCTTAAGGTAGGTAGGGTTAATACTCTCCAGCAAATTTAGTAGATACTCTTTGCCAGAAAAGAGAGGAGTATATATAGTTTGATAATTATTGTGTAGTTTTCTGTGTACTTAATTTTTGCAGTTTTGTAACACTTCATTTGTAAGATGGTACCATTTTTTCCTGGCTTCTGAATCATAGGATAGTTTGACCCAGGGCATTAGCCATTGTAATGGTAGGCTTTTAACAAATAACTGCCTAATTTAAAGGATTGGAAAGCATTTGTTACATGGAAATGAAGTTGGTGGCGTACCCAGTTGCTGTATCTTTATTTTTTCTACTTAATTATTTCTCATAAAATGGATATAAAAGCCTGTTAATCCAACCCAATGCCATTATGTAACGCCAGTTTGGAGATTTCGAGGGCCTGGAGCAGTGCGCAAGGTGCGCTGAAAGCCTGCCCCTGGATGAGATCCTTATCCTGGCTGTGATGGCAGTGGCAGTGGGCTGGGTCCCTTGTTGAGTGGAAAGGGGGACTGCGGTGTCCATGGTGCAGTAGGTGGCGCTCTTCTGTCTTAGAGCCTGCCGCCACTGCAGCTGGTGCCAAGGGGCCTTCTGCCACTAGAGGTGCCATTTTTCACATGATGAACTTAGCCTAGTTAGATCGCAGAGCAAGCTGTAAGCCATGGGCCCAGAAAAGAAAACTTGAAGTGAGCAGATGTTGTCACTTCCTTGTAATCCTTTGTTAAAATAGCATAAGGAGTTTTCTTTATTCTATTTACTTTCATTAAATGACCGTGCTACAGGTTTCAAAGGATTTTAAGATTGATTTTTGAAAGATCACAATATTAAAAGTATAACTGGAAAACCTATGTTGAAATCAACCAAACATGTCGTGGACTGAATGATAACCTTTTCTTTCTTCATATAGGCTGATCAGCTGACCGAAGAACAGATTGCTGGTAAGTTGACAACTCCAAGGAGTCCCCAGAAGGCCAGAACTAGGCACTGACTCAGTTTTGGTGACTCCTCTGTTCCTCCCCGCTACAGTCTGGGCAGTTTTCTAAGAATTTATTTAAATAAGAACAGTAAGCAGAAACACTGAGGTCAGATGTTATTCTTGCCAGTACTTTATAGATGAGGTGAAAGGAAGTAAAACTAAGGATGCCCACATGTTAAACTCTGGAGAATTTGACCATGTTTCACAATGTGCAAAGTTTGCGTATGATTAATTGTACTGAGCCTGCTACTCAGCGGTTTAGTTTACAATTCTTATGCCATGGGTCTTTCAGTAATCTGCCACGAAAGCTTGTGCTCGCTATCCTAAAATAAATGGAAATGGGTGAATATGAGTGTTAGGACCACTGTAGTAATTGGGAAGAAAGTTACATTAGTTAAACTCTGTTGCCCAGGCTGGTCTCTAACTCCTGGGCTCAAGCAATCCTCCTGCCTCAGCCTCCTGAGTAGCTGGGACTACAGGCATGTGCCACCACGTCTGGCAGATTTTAGCTTTTTAATATTCCTGGAGGACTTGTTTTGAGACTGTTTCTCGTTAGGAAACCAGGAATGCTTCTGAAATATTCTAAAAGTCATGTGGAGAGAGTTTACCTGGGAATGTACATTTCTAGTAACCATTTTATTTGTTATGAAACAAGGGATTCTTATGGCTTTAGAAATGTAACAGGAAGGGATTTGAAGGGGGCACATGGACCAATCTTGTCAGATTGGATTTAGTCCCTTGAACCTGGGAGGCAGGGGTTGTAGTGAGCTGAGATTGCACCACTGCACTCCAATCTCGGTGACAGAGCGAGACTCCATTGTTTAAAAAAAAAAAAAAAGATTGGATTTAGGACTAATTTAAGCATGTTCCAGCTTAGCCGCCTTGAAACCTTTGGGAATATTGTGGTGTGTGGCACTGTTTATTGGGAGCAGTGTTTGCTTTATGGGCTGCTGTATGAAGGCCAGTCCAACAGGACTATTGTGGTCATTATTTCAGTAGATAAAGACCAGACTTCTGATACGTTGCACAACTTGAATGGCTGGCTTTGGCAAGCCCCCGGCAAGTGTGTATTGTGACTGGGTTGGATAAAGACATTGATTCTAACGGGTCAACTTTTGTTTTCAGAATTCAAGGAAGCCTTCTCCCTATTTGATAAAGATGGCGATGGCACCATCACAACAAAGGAACTTGGAACTGTCATGAGGTCACTGGGTCAGAACCCAACAGAAGCTGAATTGCAGGATATGATCAATGAAGTGGATGCTGATGGTAAGAGCTTTAAAACCATGAATGAGGGCCATTGTTGTGTAATTCAAGTTCAGACATGTTACAGGATTGTCTTTCAGGTCCCCAGAGCAAAGCAAATGTGCAAAGATCCTTTCTGTGGTTGCCCCAGGGCCATTGACAATTAAAATAGAAGATGATGGGCCTTGCGTCCATCCTGCTTAGTGTCTAGAATGTTTTCTGCATGGGATCACTATTGTTTTCTTCCTGCTTGGTGCGACCTAGAGCTCAAATCTATTTTTTTTTTTTTTTTTGGAGACGGAGTCTCGCCCTGTCGCCCAGGCTGGAGTGGCACTGGCGCGATCTCGGCTCACTGCAACCTCTGCCTCTTGGGTTCCAGCGATTCTCCTGCGTCAGCCTTCTGAGTAGCTGGAATTACAGGCGTGTGTCGCCACGCCCAGTTAGTGTTTTGTATCTTTAGTAGAGATGGGGTTTCACCATGTTGGCCAGGCTGGTCTCAAACTCCTGACCTCGTGATCCGCCCTCCCCGGCCTCCCAAAGTGCTGGGATTACAGGCGTGAACCACTGCTCCTGGCCGAGCTCAAAGCTTTTATCAACTGGCCCATGAGTCTGCACTGAGTCTTGAGGGGGGAGGTGAAATTAAATAGCCATAGAAAGTGCTTTTTAACAAACTTACTGTGTTTAAAGAGGAGGAGGAACCCCCAGATGAAGTAGGTGACGAGCACTCTTAGAAGTTACCATAAAAGTGAGTACAGTGTGAGCTGTAGATGTGTTTGCTGCAGAGGAGCATGTGAGGTTTGGAGGCGGATGTGTGGTGACTCCAGGGGATAGATTTGCAGAACCTAACGGAAAGGGAAGCTGTAAGGTGCAGGGCCAGAGGGAACCAGCAGTAACCCTGATAGCGGTCTGTCATCTGTTCCTCTCGACTCTACAGCAGCGGACAACAGAACTTTGATTGCTGATTTCCATCAGTAAGCAGGCTTTGAAGCACACTTCCCCACCCCTAAAAAAAAACCACGTATTTTGGTAAATCCTATATATATTCTAATGTACTGTATGACAGTATAGAACATGATTTTTAAAAGATGAGTTGGGAGGAGAAAAGGATAAAAGAAAAAATAAAAGAAGCATTAAGAATAAACAATTCGGATCTAGATTTTACTTTCTAGATGATTGACTCGAGGGTGGTGTAGTAAAATCGCTTGTCTGGTCACAAACATTTGGCAGCAGAGCTTTTGATTAGGTTCTTTGACAAAGCCTTCAGCACGTTAGAGTGGTTTTCACTAATAGTGTTTTGGAAAGAAAAGGTTGTCCATAGTTCTCTAGTTTGCTAAGATGATCAGCTACCCAGGAACGTGGAGTAACTTCCTCTTGTTTGTGGGAGCCCCGGGAATCTGTGCCTGGGGAGGGGAGAAGTCTGTTAGGCTCTTGGATTGTGTGGAAGAAGGAGAAGTTGTGCCAGGCTACAGAATCCTGTGTTTGCACTGAGAAAACAGGATGGTACCTGACCTTCTCTGCATGGCTGTGAGATAGCTTAAAATAATTTCTTTTGTTTTTGATGAATATGAACAATATCTTAAAATTTTTGAGGCTAAAAAAGTCTTGAAGGGATCCCTGAGGTATTTTCTTTGAAAGGTACTGGTGAAAATGAGTAACTTAACCTAAGGGTTTTTCTTTCTAATTTTATTTCCATTTAGTTCAATGACACTGTTAGTCTGGAGTGCTTGTCTTTGGGGGTATTCATCTCTTAGTTTTAAAGAGGAGTTGTTTGGAGTACTGGCCGTAGAACAGATTGTTCTGACAGTTCCCTAAGTGTTACTAGTCTGAGCTGTGAGAATGCTCCTGAGCTTTTCCCTTAATGGGAAATAAAGATACTGAGTTGGAAGAAAACAGGTGGCTAACCATCATAGCGTGGCCAAGAAATGATCCTGGAGAAGACTTGGTAAGACTTCATGGCCCATGCATGGCATAACAGAATCAATGTTCCTCTCTCATAATCTTTTCTCCTCTGAAACACTTTATACACTTAACCTGCAGCTCAGTTCTAGGCCTTTTTTGTGTTACTGCTGTCACTAACCAAGGCAGAGTGAGACCTGAGTGATTTCCCTAACTCAGGGATGGCAGTCGGGGGCGCTTTCTTCCCTCGGAGTGGAAAGATTCAGCCTGCGGAGTGGTGTATGCTATTTTTCTCTTGAACTGTACAGCCCTTCATGACCCTTCCATGGGCTTGAATCCAGATGTGCAGTTTCCTTTGTATAATTAAATACTATCCTGGGCACTGATGATGAGTTTGAAATTATGTGAAATTGCCCTGTGAAGTGTTTGAACGTTTTAGACCTGCAGATGATTGAACCTAGTAAGATAGTCTGCCCCTTTGTCCTAGTACATGTTTACCGTTCCGTACAGTGGTTCTGAAATGATTACTGCAGAGCAGCGTTAATGGAGTGCTTACTTTACATGAGCTTTTTGTTTTTTAATTCGAGGTAATGGCACCATTGACTTCCCCGAATTTTTGACTATGATGGCTAGAAAAATGAAAGATACAGATAGTGAAGAAGAAATCCGTGAGGCATTCCGAGTCTTTGACAAGGTAATCCAGCATCTACATAGCAGATGGTACTTAAGTATGGCTTCTTCCGCTTTCACTTCTAAAAGCTATAATAATGTTATAGACAGAAGACTTAAATCTAACTGCCTGAGCCTCTGATCTCACTTTCAAAAATCCTCCTTATGGTAACCGTATCAGGGGAGGGTAGGCATAATAAATAGGAATTTTGGACCATGTTTCTTGACTGTTACTTTGAATTGTTGTGAGCTTTTGCAAATCCTGTTTTCTGCATTAGCTGTTTGCATGTATTTAGTAGGTTAGAGGTGGGAACTAGAGATCAGAGAATTGTTTATGGCAGCAGAGTTAGCAGTAACTTGAGAGGGCATAGCTAAGTCAAAGACCTACTTCCCCACACTACATCATTAGCAATAACAATTGCTGAATGTTCACAGGATGGCAATGGTTATATCAGTGCAGCAGAACTACGTCACGTCATGACAAACTTAGGAGAAAAACTAACAGATGAAGAAGTAGATGAAATGATCAGAGAAGCAGATATTGATGGAGACGGACAAGTCAACTATGAAGGTAAAACTAAATTCTCTGAGCTCAGTGTTTCATAGTCTTACCTTTAGATCTGTAAGCAAGCCAACTGCTTCACTAGACAGCCTTTGACTTTATTTTATGTACAGTAAAGATGTTGTGTTCATTAAAGCTGTTTTCAAAGATAACCAAAAGTTACTATTATATTTGTCTTTTCAGAATTCGTACAGATGATGACTGCAAAATGAAGACCTACTTTCAACTCCTTTTTCCCCCCTCTAGAAGAATCAAATTGAA
Organism: Homo sapiens; assembly: GCF_000001405.40. NCBI lineage: Eukaryota > Metazoa > Chordata > Mammalia > Primates > Hominidae > Homo > Homo sapiens. Next base: position 90,404,767 of record NC_000014.9, read on the forward strand.
TCTTTTACTTACCTCTTGCAAAAAAAAGAAAAAAGAAAAAAGTTCATTTATTCATTCTGTTTCTATATAGCAAAACTGAATGTCAAAAGTACCTTCTGTCCACACACACAAAATCTGCATGTATTGGTTGGTGGTCCTGTCCCCTAAAGATCAAGCTACACATCAGTTTTACAATATAAATACTTGTACTACCTTAATGATAAGGACTCCTTAAAGTTCCATTTGCTAATGATTAATACACTGTTTGGGCTGGCCAGTTTTTCATGCATGCAGCTTGACGATTGAGCACAGTCAGGCCTTTGTATTAAAAATGAAAAATGAAAAAACAAATTCAAAACCTATTCAAATGGGTTCTAGTTCAATTTGTTTAGTATAAATTGTCATAGCTGGTTTACTGAAAACAAACACATTTAAAATTGGTTTACCTCAGGATGACGTGCAGAAAAATGGGTGAAGGATAAACCGTTGAGACGTGGCCCCACTGGTAGGATGGTCCTCTTGTACTTCGTGTGCTCCGACCCATGGTGACGATGACACACCCTGGTGGCATGCCCGTGTATGTTGGTTTAGCGTTGTCTGCATTGTTCTAGAGTGAAACAGGTGTCAGGCTGTCACTGTTCACACAAATTTTTAATAAGAAACATTTACCAAGGGAGCATCTTTGGACTCTCTGTTTTTAAAACCTTCTGAACCATGACTTGGAGCCGGCAGAGTAGGCTGTGGCTGTGGACTTCAGCACAACCATCAACATTGCTGTTCAAAGAAATTACAGTTTACGTCCATTCCAAGTTGTAAATGCTAGTCTTTTTTTTTTTTTTTCCAATAAAAAGACCATTAACTTAAAGTGGTGTTAAATGCTTTGTAAAGCTGAGATCTAAATGGGGACAAGGCAGGTGGAGGGGAGGCCAGTGTACATGTAAATGCCCACAGCCCAGCATTGGGTTTCCCTCCCAAGGCCCCAGCACCAACCTCTGAGCCCAAGACCTTGCCTGAAAACAAGCAGATACCGATTGCTTCATCCTATTTATGGACATGTAGGTCTAGTTGCATTTTCACTGGGGGGAGGGGGGAAGGTGAATTATGGTAACTTTTAATGATCTATTCAGGCAGTAGAGCTCTTAAGGAAAAAAAAAAACCCACTTTCTCTCAAGCATGTATTTAGGGGTTGTTCTCAATTGTGCTGCTGATTACCTGTCTTATGTAACTACTTGAGACCATCTGCAAGAGACATGATTTAGTGTGTCTGTAATTCAATCTTCGCTGTGTGTGGTAGAAGCAGTAGTCACTTTTGTAAGCCAGTCTCTTCATGCCTAAAAGACACTACCAGTCACCTTTGATTCGCGACTTTTAATTTATGATTATACTTAGCCTCCTCCTCCTTTTTTTTTTTTTCCCAAGTTGACTTGACTTTGCTTTTTTCCCCCCAAGTAGAACTAATGCTAGCTTCCAGCTTGAAAGTAAAACTCCAGTGTGGAGTGAATTTTGTGTCTAATTATAAACCTGTAACCAAAACTCAGACATCTGGTACTGGTCTTTGCATTGAGATTGGTCCCTGTAAAACCCCCTTTAAAAGCATATTGCATTTAGTACAGAGCTCTTTTTTGAAATGAAGGCTGGAGATGTGCATTTTTCACGGTGTTAACTGGTTGTATCTTATTAGCAAGGAGATTGGGGTTTTGAGTGTTTGCGTGGGTGGTTTCAATTTGCCAGGGAACAGTGGCAGGCTGCTAGCAAGGCAGTGAGAAGCTCTTGGCAGCCAAATGGGTGCATTCAGGGCTGATTTATAGAGACCCTTGGCTTCTCCTTCTCCTACTCCCTGTCTTTCTGGCATTTTGTAGCTTGTTAGATTTTCTGCCAGAGGGGTGGGTCAGAGCAGTGGAGGGGAGACATCGCCCATGTGCTTCTGCTACTGGTCCTTGGGCTGGGTGGTTGGTAGAGGAGATGTTGACACTATGAGCTAAGGGTTGGCTTTTGTAATTACCTGAATCTGAAAGGAATGCCTAAGGTTACCTTGGGGTTTCTCTTCTGGTGAGATAGGGTTCCTGGTTTGAGTAAGTTAATGTCCTGGATATTTCTTGTGGCAGGGGGTGGTCAAAGAGCCTGATTGCTGACCCAGTCTCAGGCCTGTGGTCGATGACCTCTCGGTAGTTTCAAAGGGGGCTGGAGGGGGATATTTGACTTGTTTTTTCGAAATGTAGCCTTCTAACCCTCAAGTCTTTAGAAGCTGGGTGGACTCTTAGTGGTCCTGCAGCGTATCCTAAAAGACTACCTTTGAAACAGGATTCTTGTATGGCCAGGATCCTGTCTGGGAACCAGAAACCCTACACCCTCCCCCTCCAGGGAATGCTGAGTTCCAGTTTTGAGCAGAGGTGAGGCAGAATCCACTGTAGCCTTCCGCCCTGGTATTTGGGGGGATGACCAGCCCAGGCGTTGGGTGTTAGTCTGCATGAGTTTGTGAGAGGAAATAGCTGGGTGTCCTGGCAGTGCCCTTGAAGTTGGTTAGGACCTTCCTGTAAACTCTTGCCCCTACTTCTAACTACTCTATAAATATATACATATATTTATATATAAAGTGATTAGTTGAACTGGCATCCTGCTTTAGCCTGAGACTTGCCATAAGAAACTGCTGAGTACTTGGCAAACCCTTTCATAGTTTTGTTCTCCATCTGTTTGGGGTAGGTGTTGAGCGAGGCAAATGGATCTCGATATTTCAGATGGGCTTTTGATGCACTGTTGCCAAGGAAGGCTTTTTCTGATTTTTTGACAAATGAATTTTTGCACACTTTCATTGGTGTCTTTCGGCAACTTACACACATTGAAAATGAGCTATTGTACATATTTTTATATTCTCTTTATAAATGCATGTCTGATTGTACTTGTAACAATATTGTAATGAACGGCTGTGCAGTAGGCCCAGCGCTGCTGTGTCTCGTCAGAGGAATAGCTTACCACGAACCCCTCAGCATACTGGGAATCTCTTCCTGAACAACGAATGTAAATTTGGTCAAGTCTACTCTTCCGTTCATTCAATTATTTTAAGCATTTGAATTATTTATTGTATATCCTAAATATATTTCTCCTTTGGCAGTGACTAGATTTCCACTAATGTGTCTTAATCTATCCCTCCAGCTGGCAGTTACTGTTTTTTTAATCCCCTGAAGTTGTCCTGTAGGAGACAGAAATTCTTTGCTGTCTGTATCCCTTGGAGTAAGAAGGTAGTGGCATGGGTGGAGTGTGTGTTCTTTCTCCAAATCTATTATGATGTTTATTAAACACTTCTGTAGCAAAGATGGTGGTAGTTCTTTTGTTACTGAAGTTGCCCTTCACCATGGCTATTTGAAAAGGAGATGTACTTGGACGTTTCTGTAAATCTTGAGATAAACTGTTTGGAGATTTAACCACCTCTCTGATGGGGGACCAACTCTATGGAAATTGTAAATACGTTTTATTTATAAACCTGGCACTGTATTCAATAAACATTTCTGCAGCCTTTCATCTCTAACTGCGAACTGTGTAGGTTTCTAGCTTGCATAGCTTTCAATTCCTTTTGCTCTCAACAAGATAGACCTGCCCTCAGATGTAATTTCACTGGGTCTCTAGTACTGTGAGAGTGAGGGGCCAGAAATAACCGTAGACACATCCCACAACCGTCTTACCCTAGTTTTAAGTAGTTTGAGTGTTAATAGCTGACATTTTAACCTATTCTCTTAGCCTATTAACTTGTCCATGCTTGCTTTTTATGCGGAAAATTTACACCATAAGGATTAGTTTCCTTTTAACCCCAATCCAAGCCTCTTTAGGACTTGTATAAAGAAATACATTTTTTTCAATAAGATGGGAATTTTAGATGACAACCAAGATGATACCTTGGTTCATGTCAAGAGCGGGACAGCTGAGGAAAGTGGGGTGGGATGCAAGTACAATTTAGGACCTTGGCATTGAAGCCTTCCCCTTAGTCAACACTGGCCCAGACCCTGGTTCTTAGATGTAGCAGGAGAGGCTGCCTGCTTCTGCCCCCTTTGCTTCCAGAAAGGCCTTTTCCAGCTGCCTCGTGTGTTTCCCACTCTGCCCAGAAGGAGTGAGAGGGCTGAAAAGCGGGGCGGGATAAGGCCCTGCTTTCGACAGAAGGCTTGAGACACATCTCCAGAAAGCATTTAAAGAGCCCCTCCTGCACATAGGAGCTGGGACTATAAGGACATGGTCATCACCGTGGAGACGGCCCTCTGCTCTGAGGCTTTAGACCTGGCTTCTGGATTTGGTTCTGTCCCTCCAGCCTCAGGCAGGTTCTTTACCTTTCCCAGGCCTTGGTATCCTCCTTGGTAAGATCATATTGGACTTGGTACCTTCTGCCTGTGGCTTTCTAGGATTATGACCGACCTGGTTTGGCATCACTTTGTGTTTAGATAGATGAAATTGCAGCCTAAAGGATGGGAGGCAAAATTGTGTAGGAGTGCTGTGTCCTTTGAGATGACAAATGGGATTTAAAAATTCTCACCAGCTTCATGTTGGAGGTGGAGTGGAGGTTAAGCTTGCTATTAAGACGTGATGTAATATTGGAACCTGGGTCAGAGAAACTGATTGTTAAGTGACTTCCATTCTCCCAGGACGGAAATAGGAGGCTACCACTGGGCCTGTAAGGGATTCAGTCCAAGTGACATCATCTGGTTTTCAGCAGCTCCGGTTTAGAAAAACACACACACATTTCCGATTCAAGCTGAACTTTCCCGGGCACTGGGGGGCTGGAGCACCCAATGACTCAGGATGCCTTAGAAGGAAATAAAACATAAAGCTTTTTATAGCTTGGTGCTTCTCTCCCACTGCCCTCAACTCTCTGCCAAGGAGTGGGAGGAGTTAGCTCATGGACCAGAACTCCCATTAAAGCCCCTGAACTCTGATTAAATCAAGTGGCAGTTTTCCTCATGAGAATTATGTTCTTTGTGTCAGGAACCTTAGGAATGAGTGTGAATTGACACATTCAGATTGTGGGGTTTTTTTTTTCTCTTTTGAGGTGGGGTCTCATTCTCACTCAGGCTGGAGTGCAGTGGCACAATCACAGCTCACTGCAGCCTCCACCTCCCAGGTTCAAATGATCCTCCCACCTCAGCCCCCCCAGTAGCTGGGACTACAGGGATGTGCTGCTGTGCTCAGCTAATTTTTAAATTTTTTTATGCAGACGCGGTTTCACATGTTGCTTAGGCTGGTCTCAAACTCCTGGGCTCAACAAATCCTCCCACCTTGGCCTCCCAAAGTGTTGGGATTACAAGTGTGAGCCACTGTGCCTTGGCTCAGATAATTTTTTTTTTTTTTTTTTTTTTTTTTTGAGACAGAGTCTTGCTCTGTCACTCAGGCTGGAGTGCAGTGGTGTGATCTTGGCTCACTGCAACCTTCGCCTCCTGGGTTCAAGCAATTCTCCTGCCTCAGCCTCCTGAGTAGCTGGGACTACAGGCGCACACCACCACGTCTGGCTAATTTTTGTATTTTTAATAGAGACGGAGTTTCACTATGTTGGCGAGGCTGGTTTTGAACTCCTGACCTCAGGTCATCTGTCCGCCTTGGCCTCCCAAAGTGCTGGGATTATAGGCATGAGTCACTGTACCCAGCCCCAGATAGTCTTTTCAATATCATATCTTAGTTTTATTTTCAGTTTTACAAAGGCTAAAAGGAAAATCCAGAGTTTCCTCTAGCAATATAATTATTTGAACATTTTGTTACAACAAGATCTTTAGATCCTGGCTGTATGTAAGCATGTTTGCTTTTAAACTGATTTTTCATTTTGAGTCTTTGTATACCCTTCAAGTTGTGATTTTTTTTAAGTTACTGCATTTTTTAGCAAAAGATAGATTTTTTCCTGCATAGACATATCAGAATCAAGATTTGAGATAGATTGTTTTAAAAATGGAAAATAAGTAAAAAAGTAATTATAAAATCATATCTTAGTTAAAAGGAACAGGTCATATAGGTAAAACTTCCTCTGAGTGCAGGTATCCATATCTGGTGATTCTCAAACTTGGAATACTTCTAACACTGGACATCTAATCCTGTTTCCACAAGGCAGAACTTGGGCTTTCTCCCTTTCAATGACAAGAAGTTAATTAACAGCCCATTCCCATTTTTATTTTTATTTTTTTGAGATGGAGTCTTGCTCTGTCGCTCAGGCTGGAGTGCAGTGGCCTGATCTCCACTCACTGCAAGCTCCGCCTCCCAGGTTCACACCATTCTCCTGCCTCAGCCTCCCGAGTAGCTGGGACTACAGGCGCTCACCACCACACCCTGCTAATTTTTTGTATTTTTAGTAGAGACGGGGTTTCACCGTGTTAGCCAGGATGGTCTCAATCTCCTGACCTTGTGATCCACCCGCCTCAGCCTCCCCAAGTGCTGAGATTACAGGCATCAGCCACCGTGCCTGGCCAACCCATTCCCATTTTTACAAAAGCATTTTTCTGAATTTAATAGAAATGCTGTTGATTATTTAAAATTTGTGATGTCAAATGACCCATAACCTATAAACTATAGCTGAGACTCTGTATTTCCTTTTGGAATTTTTTTCTCACCATATGGATGCAGAGATAGGGTTTACAACATGGGGTCCCACTGTATGTGTAAGTTTTTTTTTTAATAAGCATACTATTCTTTAGTATGTACAATTACATGTTGTATATATACGAATATATTACAATCTTCTTACTCCTTATAACTTTTTCTCCTCACGATATAATTTATGTACCATAAAATTCACCTTTTAAAAATACACAATTTGGTGGTTTTTAGTATATTGACAGGGTTGTACAACCATCACCACTATATAATTTTAGAACACTTTCATCACCCTGAAAAACCCTGTACCCATTGGCAGTGATTCCCATCTTCCTTTCTGCCTCCTTCCCCCCATCCCCTAATCCCCGGAAACTACTATATTTTCTGTCTCCATGGATATGCCTATTCTAGACCCATATAAGTGAAATCATGTATTCATACTTTTTAAATCCTCTTTTTCCCTTTTTTTTTTTTTTTTTTTTTTCTGAGACGGAGTCTCTCTCTGTTACCCAGGCTAGAGTGCAGTAGCCCAATCTTGGCTCACTGCAACCTCCCCCTCCCCGGTTCAAGCGATTCTCCTGCCTCAGCCTCCCAAGTAGCTGGGATTACAGGTGCACACCACCACACCCGGCTAATTTTTGTATTTTTAGTAGAGATGGGGTTTTGCCATGTTAGCCAGGCTGGTCTTGAACTCTTACCTCAGGTGATCCACCTGTCTCGGTCTCCCAAAGTGCTGGGATTACAGGCACGAGCCACTGCACCCAGCTTCTTTTTTACTTTTTCTACTGAACATTTCTCCATCGCTTTACATTCTTGAATATAATTTTTAAGATCTGGCTGTATTAATACAGCATCATTTAGCTAACCAATACCCTAATAAAGGCCATTTGGCACATTCCCATTATTCTTTTCTTATTTCTCCAAGAAACATTCCATTTTAAGCTGCTTTAACTGTGAGCACATTCTTACTAGGCTGGAATCTGCTTCCTTTTAACCCCACCCATTGGTGCTATTGCAGCTTGTGGAGCTAACTCTAGACATCTAATCCTGTTTCCACAAGGCAGACCTTGGTCTTCCTCACTGTCATGGACCCCTCCCGACTTGTCAGGCTTAACATTTTGCTCCTTTTTTATTTTTTATTTTATTTTAATTAATTAATTAATTAATTAATTAGAGACAGAGTCTCACTCTGTCGCCCAGGTTGGAGTGCAGTGGCGCAATCGCCACTCACTGCAACCTCTGCCTCCTGGGTTCAAGTGATTCTCCTGCCTCAGCCTCCTGAGTAGCTGGGATTACAAGCGCCCGCCACCACGCCTGGCTAATTTTTTGTATTTTTAGTAGAGATGGGGTTTCACTATGTTGGCCAGGCTGGTCTTGAACTCCTGACCTCAGGTGATCCGCCTGCCTTGGCCTCCCAAAGTGCTGGGATTACAGGCGTGAGCCACTGCGCCTGGCTGGTTGTGTTTTCGTTAAGTGCACTGGTTTTGAGTTGGTTGCTCCTTCTTTTTTAAAACCACTCTTTGAGAGAAATCAACAAGATGTAGTGAAATTTACCCAGGCTGTGTATTCAAACATCTGTGTTCAAATCCTGGAATTACTGGCATGTGCCACCACACCCAGCTAATTTTTGTATTTTTAGTAGAGATGGGGTTTTGCCATGTTGGCCGGGCTGGTCTCGAACTCCTGGCCTCAAGTGATCTGCCTGCCTCTGCCTTCCAAAGTGTTGGGATTACAGGTATGAGCCACCATGCCTGGCCTACAACATATACCAACTTTAATATGTAAGAACTGATGCAGGCATAGCATGAAAATGCATCAAGTAAGAATTAACAATGGTAAGAATAAGAAATCCATTATTATAGAGATTTTAATATACTTCTGGTAATTGAGAAATCAACCAGACAATAGAAGATTTGAACCACAGAATTAACAAGTTTGATCTCTTGTATATACATAGAACATTAGACCCAGCAAGTAGAGAATGCACATTTGAAATATTAAATATTAATCAGCACTATTATTAATCACAAATTAATAAACAATATAACTATGTGGTTATAATATATAATTGTAAATACAAATATATAATTATATAAACAACAAATTAATGATATTAGTGTAATAAAGTTACTAACAAATATCAATTAAGAAGATATTAATTAAATAGATAATTAGGATTGACTACCTGTTAGATCATAGGGTAAATCTCAACAACTACTTTAAAAATCCTATCATATTGACCTAGAAAATAATTCCAAAAATACAACTTTAAAAATAACTGTTTAGAAAATTAAAATCCACTTCTAATAACACATGGGTAAGAAGAAATCATAACGAAAATCTAGAAAATATTTAGGATTGAATGAAAGAAAATTCTACATTTCAAAATGAGGTACAACTTAAGCAGTACTTAGAAATGTATAGCCTTGGCCGGGTGTGGCGGCTCATGCCTGTAATCCCAGCACTTTGGGAGGCCAAGGTGGGTGGATCACCTGAGGTCAGGAGTTCGAGACCAGCCTGGCCAACAAGGTGAAACCTTGTTTCTACTCAAAACACAAAAATTAGCTGGGTGTGGTGGCAGGCACCTGTAGTCCCAGCTACTCAGGAGGCTGAGGCATGAGAATCGCTTGAACCTGGGCAGTGGAGGTTGCAGTGATCTGAGATTGTGCCGCTGCTCTCCAGCCTGGGCAACAGAGCAAGACTCCATCTAAAAAAAAAAATTTATAGCCTTAAAATGCTTATAATGGAAAAGTAGAAAGGCTAAAAATAAATAAGCTAAGCATCCAACTTAGGCTAGCAAAAGAATAGAATAAGCTCAAAGAAAGTAGAAGGAAAGTATCAAGGATAACCACAGAAATTAATGAGAAACAAAACAAAGAAGATCGACACAGACAAAAAGTGGGCTCTTTTACAAAAAGCATGGCAGTTTGTCAAAAAAATTAAACATGGAATTACCATATGATCCAGCAATTCCAATTCTGGTTACAGACCCAAAAGAATTGAAAGCAGGGACTTAAATAGATATTTGTACACTTATATTCATAGCAACATTTTTCGAAATAGGCAAAGGTGGAAGCACCCAAATGTCCACTGACGGAAGGAAAGATAAAATATGGTACAGACATAGAAGAGAATATTATTCAGCCTTTAAAAGTAAGGGAATTCTGACACATGCTACAATGCGGATGAATCTTGAAGACAGGCTAAGTGAAATAAGCCAGGCACAACAAAACAAATACTGTATGATTCCATTTATATGAAGTACTTAGGGTAGTGAAATTCACACAGAAAGTAGAATGGATGGTTGCCACAGACAAGGGAATGAGGCGTTATTGTTTGATGGGTATAGAGTTTCAGTTTTGTAGAATGAAAAACTTCTGGGCCGGCTGCAGTGGCTCAAACCTGTAATCCCAGCACTTTGGGAGGCTGGGGTGGGTGGATCACCTGAGGTCAAGAGTTCAAGACCAGCCTGGCCAACACAGTGAAACCCTGTCTCTACTAGAAATACAAAAATTAGCCAAGCATGGTGGCACATGCCTGTAGTCCCAGCTACTTGGGAGGCTGAGGTGGGAGAATCGCTTGAACCCAGGAGGCAGAAGTTGCAGTGAGCCAAGATCACACCACTGCACACCAGTCTGGGTGACAAGAGACAAAAACAAAAACAAAAAAAAGCAAACTTGTGGAGATGGATGGTGGTGATGGCTGCACAACAGTGTGAATATACTTAATGTCACCGAGCTGTATACTTAACAATGGTTAAAATGATTAATTTTATATGTTTTACCACAATTTTTTTTAAAGTCAAGAAAGTGATGAGAACATTACAGAAACCTAATGTTATCCTGGAACCTGCTTATATTGCAGGCGATGTTTCATGTATCATTGATTATTTTCTCCTATTATTGCATTCACTCATATGCTGTTTAATTATTATAGCTTTAAAATAAAATCTAATTTCTGGTGTTTCAAGTGAAAAAAAGATTATTAGACAAACTTCAGGGAGTGCTGATTTTTTAAAAAATGGTTCTTTTTGTTTGTTTGTTTTAGAGACAGGGTCTTGTTCTGTCATCCAGGCTGGAGTGCAGTAGTGCAATCATAAACCAGAGATTTTTTTTTTAAGTGTATTATTAAAAAGTTGATGTGGCCAAGCGCAGTGGCTCATGCCTGTAATCCCAGCACGATGGGATGCTGATGTGGGAGAATAGCTTGAGGCCAGGAGTTTGAGACTAGCCTGGGCAATATAGCTACACCCCCTCTGTGTAAAAAAAAAAATAAGAAAAGAAAAGAAAAGATTGATGCTAGTAAATATGAAGATGCATAAAATGGACAATTTCCTAAATTTCCTAGAAAATGGACTCAAGTAGAAATCGAAAATTTAAAATAAACTGTTCAAGAAATTGAAGCAGTAGTTTAAAGTATATGTATTTGTGATGGATGCTTATAAAATGATGTTACTTTCCCACTGAATGAGGGAAATCTTTGTCCCATAATTTTTTTTTTTTTTTTTTTTTGATATGGAGTCTCACTGTGTCGCCCAGGCTGGAGTGCAGTGGCGCGATCTTGGCTTACCGCAACCTCCGCCTCCCAGGTTCAACCAATTCTCCCACCTCAGCCTCCCAAGTAGCTGGGATTACAGGCGCGTGCTAACACACCCAGCTATTTTTTTTTTTTTTGTATTTTTAGTAGAGACAGGGTTTTGCCATGTTGCCCAGACTGGTCTTGAATGCCTGGCCTCAAGTGATCCACCCACCTTGGCCTCCCAAAGGGCTGGGATTATAAGCATGAGCCACTGCACCTGGCCAACTGGGCCATTCTTTCTGCCATCCCCATCCAGGTGCCAGACATGTAAGCGAGGCCATTTTGGATCCTCTAGACGAGGTCATTCACCAGCTGAATAACACCAGGTAGCCTCAGTTGACCTACACAGAGTGGAAGAACCATCCAGCTGAACTCTGCTTGAATTCTTCACCCACAAAATCACGAGATAAAATAAAATAGTGGTTGTTTTAAGCTCCATACCATATGGAGTCCTCTGTTTTGAACTAATAGATAAAGCACTACTGAAAACAAAACAATTATCCCAGAGAATTTAAAAAAAATCACACTGTGACTTTTTACCTATTCTTGATAAATTCTTCCAGAAAAATAGAATTTAAAAAAAAGAGCTTATATTAAGACCAATTACCACACAAGAACAGAAGAAGGAAAAAAAATTACAGGCTGGTCTTATGTACATAGATGCAAAAATATACAAATCTAAATATTAAACTTAATTTAGCAGTGCATTAAATAAAACATATCATGACCATGTTGGTTTTCACCCAACCATTCAACGCTTATTTCAGTGGAAGAATTGAGTCCCATGAGGGGAAGAACAGGCTAACAACCAAGCCCATGGAAGGGCAGATGTCCTGTGGCTTCTTCGGCTTTTCTGGAACTGAGGACTCCCACTCCTCCATCAAGACTCTGTCTCTCTTGTCTCGTGCCTTGCCTTCCTTCCCATTTCCTGCAGTCTGGCTTTTCCCTACAGCAGGAAACGTGGCCAGCACGATTTCTAAGCTTTACGTCCTACAGCTTTAGCCAGGCAGAGATAATCTGGCTCAGTTCCAGTTGCAACACTTGTCATTTTTATTATTTTTTTAGAGATGAGGTCTCACTGTGTTGCTCTGGCTGGCCTCAAACTCCTGGGTTCAAGCACTCCTCCCACCTCAGCATCCCTAATAGCTGGGACTACAGGCGCACGCCCCCACACCTAGTTCCAGTTTCATTTTTGAGAAAGGATTCTGGTACAGTTTAGCTAAGCTGCCCACCCTTGGACCAATCAACTGTAACAGGAATTGGAGTCTAGAGAAAGGACTGTGTATCAGTTTTCCTCACGGGTTTGGGGGAGGTGGGGAGGTCAGCAAGTTGATGGCAGGGTTCGGTCCTGGAGGAATGGTCCTGGCTGGAGAGTCAAGGCAGAACCCAAGAGGCTTTAATGTAATGTTGTTCTGATTGTATTCTTATAGAGTCTAGCATATAGCAAAATTTAATACATTATAGCTTTTTTATTTTAAAATATTACAGTATAATTGCCTTTCTCCCTTGTTTTTTTGTTTTTTTGTTTTTTTTTTGAGATGGAGTCTCACTCTGTTGCCCAGGCTGGAGTCCAGTGGCAAGATCTCAGCTCACTGCGACCTCTGCCTCCCGGGTTCAAGCAATTCTCCTGCCTCAGCCTCCTGAGTAGCTGGGACTACAGGTATGTGCCACCACGCCCAGCTGATTTTTTGTGTTTTTAGTAGAGATGGGGTTTCACTGGGCTAGCCAGGATGGTCTTGATCTCCTGACCTCACGATCCACCCACCTCAGCCTCCCAAAGTGCTGGGATTACAGGCGTGAGCCACCATGCCTGGCCCATTGTTTTTATTTATTTGTTTGTTTATTTATTTTTTATAGAGGAGGGATCTCACTATGTTGCCCAGACTGGTCTCGAACTCCCGGGCTAAAGTGATCCTCCTGCCTCTGCCTCCCAAAATGCTGGGATTACAGGCGTGAGCCACTGTGCCCAGCCTCTCCCTTGTTTTTTTAAAAACTGTGACGAAATTCATATAAGATAAAATTAACCATTTTAAAGCGTACAATGCAATGGCATTTAGTACATTCAAAGTGCTGTACGACCACCACCTCTATCTAGTTCCAAAACATTTGCATCACCCAAAAGAAACCCCTGTGCTCATTACCGCTCGCTCCCCATTCCCCCTTCCTCCCAGCCCCTGGCAACCACCAATTTGTGTTCTGCCTCTATGGAATTACCTACTCGGAAAATTTCATATAAATGGAATCATACCATATGTGGTTTTTGTCTGGCTTTTTTCACTTAGCATGGTGTTTTCAAGGTTTATCCACATTGTAGCAGGTATCAGTATTTTGTTCCTCTTTATGGCTGAATAATATTCCACTGTCTGGACATACCACATTTTGTTTACCCATTCATCAGTTGACGGACATTTGGGTTGCTCCCATCTTTTGGTCTCCCTTGTTTTGGTCAGTGATACATGCATCTTAGCAGGTTTTCAGTGACCTAAGAAAATGCTGGCCCAGTGTGTGTGATGCTGCATATCACAAGTGAGAAGATAGCTTGTGCCCCACAGTCCCTGTGCCCATTTTGCTGCCTGTGGGGACAATGCTAAGAACCCAGTCACTGAGTCACTGATATCTGGGTTTGAGCCCTGGCTCTGCCACTTAGGCTCGCAGGACCTCACCTACTGAATGAATGAGTTGGGAGGCTCCATAGATGTCAGAAACCTTTGCAAGCTGGGAAGCTGAGCTGAGGTGCAGCTGCTGTTCATCCCCAGGCTGATTCAGAGTATAAAACCCCAGGCTTAGTGCAATCCAGGATGTTTGGGTTCAAACCTCAGCTCCTCTCTTTACTAGCTGAGTGATTTCGGCAGGTTGTCAGCTTCTCTGAGCTACTTTTCCTACCTGGGCCCCTGAGCCCTGCTGGGCAGGGAACCCCTTTCTCCTGCCTCCAAACTTCAGACTCCTTCCTCTGAAACCATGGAAGGGGACACCTTTTATTAAACTGCTGTGGTGAGATGAGTGACAGGCTCTCTAGTGAAGCTGGCCTGTATGAGCTTGAAGATGCAAACCTTCACATGGACATACACACATGTACATAGTCACAGGGCAATTGTCAAGATGTGTAACAACAGGGAGGGTCCCCTGTTCTTTCCACCAACCAGAACACTCTCTTGCTTTTGCTGGTGCAGGGTTGAGAGTTAACCCTTCAATTGGAGGCTCATGGGGGAGGTCCCAGGGGTCCAGGGAGGGAGCTGGGGCAGCAGGGGGCCCTCAGGGGGTGTTGAGGCCGGTGGCTTTTACCAGCAGGTAAGGAAGCTTTAGAATATTTTAAGGCTGTTATGGCCACGATGGTATGTATCAGACGAATGCCAGCATCGCACACCTGTGAACCCTTTCCCATGGATAGGCCCATACAAGGGCATGCGCCTTCCCACACGCACACACACACACATCCTGCCACACATCAGACTTCCTAGCTTCCTGCAGTTAGTTTTCCTCGAATGAGCCAAAGCTGGGCTGACTCAGGTGGCAAACTGCCAGGATGCTGATATTTCCCTCGGCTCTGGCCTGAGAAGCTTCAGGGAAAAACCCACTCACATCCTGAATCCTCACCTGCTCCAGGCGGGCCTGCAGGCCTCCTGGCCCGGGCGCCGGCGGCAAGAGCCTCAGTGACATCCTGCTCTTCCTGAATGCCAAGCATATTGGCAGGGAGAAAACCCTGCCACACCCAGGGTTTCTCCAGAGTCCTCCCAAGGAAGAGGTAGAATGAGGCTGGTTTTCTTAATGTTTGGAGCTGGAAAGTTATGCTGAGATAACTGGTCTAGGCTCCCACTTTTTTTTTTTTTTTTGGTAGAGACAGTGTCCAGCTATGTTGCCATGGCTGGTCTTGAACTCCTGGCCTCAGGTGATCCTCCCACTTGGCCTCTCGAAGTTCTGGGATGACAGGCATGAGCCACCACACCCAGCCCCAGGCTCCCACTTAATAGGTGAAGAATTTGGTCCCAAACAGAGACAGAGAACCAACCAAAGTCCCACTTGCAGAGGGTGGTAAGCCCAGGACTGAACCCCGGCCTCCCGATGCCCCAGCCAGCACCTTCCACCCAGCAAGCCACAAATGACTGGATTCCCCCATTCGGTGTTCTGATTGCCTCCTGGGCAGTCCCCCATGGACACAATGGCCTAATCGGCCAAGTTTTCTCTTCCAGTTCTGCCCCATGTCATTCTGGAGGCCTGTCTTTCTCAGCTCCCAACAGAACTTACCTCGCACGTGGTAACAGAACTTACCTCGCAGCGTCAAATAGGTCCACCTGTTCGGCCAGCTGATGAACATACTGATGCACTTTATTTTATTTTTCTGAGACAGAGTCTCGCTCTGTCACCCAGGCTGGAGTGCAGTGGTGCGATCTCAGCTCACTGCAGCCTCCGCCTCCCGGGTTCAAGTGATTCTCCTGCCTCAGCCTCCCAAGTAGCTGGGATTACAGGTGCCTGCCACCATGCCTGGCTTATTTTTGTATTTTTAGTAGAGATGGGGTTTCACCATGTTGGCCAAACTGGTCTCGAACTCTTGACCTCGAGTGATCTGCCCACCTTGGCCTCCCAAAGTGCTGAGATTACAGGTGTGAGCCACCATGCCCGGCCTGATGCCTTTTTTTTTTGAGACGGAGTCTTGCTCTTTCGCCCAGGCTGGAGTGCTGTGGCGCGATCTCTGCTCACTGCAAGCTCCACCTCCCGGGTTCACGCCATTCTCCTGCCTCAGCCTCCTGAGTAGCTGGGACTACAGGCATCTGCCACCACGCCTGGCTAATCTTTTGTATTTTTAGTAGAGATGGGGTTTCACCGTGTTAGCCAGGATGGTCTCGATCTCCTGACCTCGTGATCCGCCTCCCTCGGCCTCCCAAAGTGCTGGGATTACAGGTGTGAGCCACCGCGCCCAGCCGTGATGCATTTTAATTAATTTCCTCTCCTGGGTATTCGGGAGGCCTTCACCTGGTCAAAATCCATAGGCTCGGGATACCTCCCAAGAAGCGATTCTGATAAGTAGGGGCCTGTGGGATCTTCCATGCCCACACGGGCTGCAGCTGTATGCGCGTGGGCATGCCACATTGTGCGTTAGTTCCTTCGTTTGGTTATTCGACCCCATGCACCTTCCTTCCCAGGGCTATTACCTGTGGTTTTCTCCCTGTCCACTGCACAGCTCCATGCATTGTCCCCCAGACACACTCTGCCAGACCCCTGCTGGGCCTCTGCTCCAGATGCACCTTCAACCTGGGGTGCCTCCCTTCAGAATCAGCCAAGTTGCTGTTACAGACACAGAATTCCAGCCCCTGCCCCAGAGAGTCCCACTTGGTAAGTCCAAGGTTCACAGACAACACTGGTCCTTCCAGGCCCAGGTTCACTGTCATGTCCTCCAAGGAGCCAATCTCCCTCTTCAAACACTGCGATTGATGGACTCTCCCTGAAAAGGCATGGGTTACAGATGCTGTCTCAGCTCGACTGCTGACAGCTGGGGAGGTGTGTGTCCCCTCCCCACCACGGCGGGGGACTGCGACCTACTGAGGGGTGACAAAGCCTCAGAGGTCATCCCATCTACTCAAGCATTGTTCAGCACCTGCTCTGGGGATTCGTGGCATATCATCAGTCACTTTTCTCTGCGCTGCTGTGTCCTAGCATGGGGCCTGGCCTTGAGCAGATGAGGCCTGCATGAAACAGAGGGGCCTCCAGGCTGAATGCCTGAGAGCCCCTGACCCTAGGGCTGATGGATCCATGTGACAATCACTTTCATTTAGCAGAGAGTCCCCCCAGGAGCCTACAGCATGGAGGGGATATAGCTCAGTTGACAGTGATCATTTTCAAAGGTCAGTGTTGTCACAGTGGTGGGGACAAAACTCCTGGGAACAGAGGGAGGAGTACACAGGTGGACAGATGGACCAAGCCTTTGTCCCTGGGCTGCCAGGAGGTGTGCCGAGGTCTGCGGCACTCAGCCCTGAGTTCTGGGCCAAGGTCAAATATCCCAGGCCTCCCTCTGGCCTCTACCCCCTGCCCCAGCCTTTCTCCCTCCCTGGGACTTGGCATTTATTTATTTATTTATTTAGACAGAGTCTCACTCTGTTACCCAGGCTGGCTCAATCTCAGCTCCCTGCAACTTCTGCCTCCCGGGTTCAAGTGATTCTCATGCCTCAGCCTCCCGAGTAGCTAGAATTACAGGCACAGGCTACCACTCCCGGCTAATTTTTGTATTTTTTTTTTTCAGTAGAGATGGGGTTCCATCATGTTGGCCAGGCTGATCTTGAACTCCTGACCTCAGATAATTCACCCACCTCGGCCTCCTGAAGTGCTGGGATTACAGTTGTGGGCCACCACACCTGGCCACTGGGACTTGGCCTTCGAAAGCTTCCCCTTGAGCGAAGACAGAATATTCGTCCCCACCCTCTGCCCATCCTCTGGTGCAAACACAGTGTCTGAGCACGGAAGCCGTCTCTTCTCTACTAAGCGTCCTTCAGTGGCTCCCATTTTCATTCCTTCCTTTGAGAGCCCATGTGTCTTGGCCCCTGGCCTCCTTTGTGGCCTCTCTCCTACCCCTCTACCTGTCACACACTCTGCCTTGTTGCTTCTTGTGCTCACCAAATGTGCTCTTGCCTCAGGGCCTTTGCCCTTGTTGTTCCTTCGGTCTAGAACATTGTTCCTTCCAGAAGGCCAGATGGCTCCTTCTCCCCATCCTGTGGTCTCTGCTCATGCCCAGAAAGCAGCCACATTGTCTCGCCTGGACCCCGTCCCCCGTGCCTCTGGAGAGTTGGGGGGGGGGGTGTCTTTTTCGATGATGGCTGCTTAGACCTTCTTTTTTATTTTATTTTTAAATATTTATTTATTTATCTATTCTTTGAGACAGAGTCTTACTCTGTCACCCAGGCTGGAGTGCAGTGGCACGATCTCAGCTCATTGCAACCTCCACCTCCCGGGTTCAAGCAATTCTCCTGCCTCAGCCTCCTGAGTAGCTGGGTCTACAGGCATGTGCCATGATACCTGGCTAATTTTTGCATTTTTAGTAGAGACGGAGTTTCACCATGTTGGCCAGGCTGGTCTTGAACTCCTGACCTCAAGTGATCCACCTGCCTTGGCCTCCCAAAGTGCTGCTATTACAAGTGTGAGCCACCCTGCCTGGCCTGCTTAGACCTTTTAAAAATTATTTGCATTTAACCCAAATTTACTTCCGGCCACACCACCCATCAGTTCCTCCCTGGATTCTCTGGCTTGCTTCTAGATGCTAGGTCCAAACGACTCAGCCTGCCACCCTGGTCCACTAGCATTGGCCCGAGGTGTGTGTGGTGACAGGTGGGCATGGGCGCCTGGAGCCAAGCATCTTCCAGGCCCAGGCCTCTTGTTCCCAGTCCTCTCCCACCCAGTGCACTAGGCTGAGAGCGTCTCAGAGCCCAGGGCTGGTCCTATCGACCCATCCTCACAGAGCCCGGCGCAGGCCCCAGCTCTGAGCAGGCAAGTTGGATGCAGCAAGGCCCCAGCGCCCCCTCCCCGGCAGGAGTGTCCTGATTGTGAATAGGAGGGCTGGGGAGAGGTCTGGGACTCGCCAGGAGCGTAAGTTGTGGGGTAACTCAGCTCCTCCCATGGGCAGTGGGGAGCTGCTGGGCCCTGTGGAACTGGTTCTGCTCCGCCGCCCAGTCTCACCCCTGGCCGTTCCCTGCCCTGGCTCCACATCATCATGGGCGTCCCTGCCTCTGGCTTCCAGGCAGGGCTGGCCAAAGGGAGGCACCATGGGTGACTGAGGAGGGAGAGAGTGAGGCCAGGTGTTGATTGCCAAGTGGCAGCTGGGCTGTGCGTTAGCAATGGCTGTGTCCTTCAGTGAGGGTCCCAGCCTTTGTGGACAGCCCTTTCCTGCCGCTCTGGCTCAGGCCCACCCTTCGACCCCTTAAGGGCAGGGGCTGGTGCCTGTCTAGCCCTGGGGTGCTTCGACATTCTGTGTTGGTAGCCCTAACCCTGCCCATACCCTGTAGACAGCCCCAATCCCCCTGTCTGAGTGTGGCCCCTGTCGCCTGCCTGCCAGGACACTGGCAGTGTGTCCTGCCAATTTAGTGACATACCCACGAAACTGTATTTACGACATGGTGCATCAGGACGAGAGCTGACAGACACCATTTTGGAGAATGAGGGGAAGGGGCCAAAAGCAGAAAGCATCGTAAGTGGGACTCTGGGGACTCCAGCTGGCAAAATGGAGGCTCAACACCAGAACAGGCCCCTTTGGGAAGCGAGACCTCTGAGCATAGCAGTTTCCCAGATTCAGCTGGGGCCCTGGGGCTGAGGCTGCACAACCAGCTGAGGCCAGAGAACAGTGAGGGGGACCCCAGCCTGGCTCCCAGGAGGAAGAGCTCAAGGCTGCCCTTCACAGGCCCAGGCATTAGCGTGTCCAGGTGCGCAGACAGGCATCTCAGGAAGGCTGGGGCAGGGTGCCTGCTCCCACCCCGCCCCCGAACCCTGCAGCCTGAGACCTGGGCTTCTAGCAGGCACATGTGTTACTGGAAAGGGGTCCCGATTGAAGAGAGGGTTCTTGGATCTCATGCAAGAAAGATTTCAGAGTGAGTCCCTTGTGCAAAGTGAAAGCAAGTTTATGAAGAAAGTAAAGGAATAAAAGAATGGCTACTCCATAGACAGAGTAGCCCCCAGGGCTTCTGATTGCCTATTTTTATGGTAATTTTTTAAATTATATGCTAAACAAGGGGTGGATTATTCATGCTTCCTCTTTTTAGATCATATAGGGCAACTTCTTGATGTTGCCATGGCATTTGTAAACTCTCATGGCGCTGGTGGGAATGTAGCAGTGAGGAGGACCAGAAGTCACTCTCGTAATTGCCATCTTGGTTTTGGTGGGTTTTGGCCGGCTTATTTACCACAATCTGTTTTATCAGCAAGGTCTTTGTGACCTGCATCTTGTGCCGACCTCCTGTCTCATCCTGTGACTGAGAATGCCTTAACCTCCTGGGAATGCGGCCCAGTAGGTCTCAGCTTCATTTTACCCTGCCCGTATTTAAGATAGGGTTGCTCTGGTTCAAACACCTCTGACACGTGGACTCTTTGGAGCTCGATGGAATTGCCCTGAGCCTCAGGGAGACGTAGGAAGGGGAGTGAGGTCTACTTGAGGACTGTTCAGACTCCAGCTTTGCCCAGTCGGTGGTGAATCCTGGGGGGCAGCTCGTTACACTGGGGCTGCGGCTTGCCCCCTTCCCGTGCCTGGACTTTGATCCAAGCCTACTTAAGAAGCTGTGGAGAGCTGCCTTGGCCTCTCCAGAAAACTGGAGCGAACAAAGAAGCAAACTTACCAGTTACCATGGAAACCATCCAAAATTTAAAAGACTGAAACAACAGTTTAACGTTTCCAAAACCCTCCTGGTTTTTGTTTTTCTCTATTAAAAACAGACACACATACAAATCCCACCGTATCACATTAGTCTGATGAGACACTGGCCTGGAACGAGAGAAGGGTTCAGGATCTTAGGGGGCCATGCGGCTTATGGAATGCCTAGAATTAGTTTTAGGGATTTAAATCAAAACATGAATAACATTTAAAATGCAAAAATCTAAATCCTCGGGCTCCTCTGCAGATGAAACAAGGTAAAAGCTTTTTGCTGGATTAAAGGCAGCGATCATATGAGGGTGGGGAGGAGCTGGTGAAGCCAAATGGGCACTGGTGGAGGGAAGGCTGGGAGCCGAGGCCCTGCCCAAATCCCAGCTCTCGGCTCAGCCATCACTCCAGCCCCAGCTGGCCTGTTGCACTCTCTGTCTGCAGGGCCTGAGAGGTGAGGGGATATCCTCAGTGTTGCATGGGGTTGCTGTGGGTAAGTGGGGACTGAGCTCACTCACTCTTTGTGGAGGCCATCGGGTCACCGTCTAAATGCTGGGTCTGTACCAGGTATAGTGGCTCACGCCTATAATCCCAGCACTTTGGGAGGCCAAGGTGGCCAGATTGCTTGAGCCCAGGAGCTCGAGACCAGCCTGGGCAACATGGCAAACCGCATTGCTACAAAGAATATAAAAATTAGCTGGGCGTGGTGGTGCACGCCTGTAGTCCAGCTCCTCAGGAGGCTGAGGTGGGAGGATTGCTTGAGCCTGGGAGGTACAGATTGCAGTAAGCCAAGAGGTAGAATTTGCAGTGAGCCAACATAGTGCCACTGCACTCTAGCCTGGGTGACAGAGCGAAACCCTGTCTCTAAAATGAAATGAAATGAAATAAAATAAAATAAAGTAAAATAAAATAAATGCAGGGTCTGGCTGGGTGTGGTGGCTGAGGCCTGTAATCCCAGCTCTTTGGGAGGCTGAGGCAGGAGGATACGGACGCTGCCCTGGTGGGCCCCTTGCTGCCATTCCACACTGCTGGCGGGAGGAGCCCCAGGGTTTGCCCGCTGCCCTCTGCTTCTGGGAATGGTTTCCTTCACGTTCACAGGAAATCACCATCCTCCGGGCTCAACCACATGTTTGTATAGAACTTAATCCCTTCCCCAGTTCCAGGAGAGAGGCCTGATTTGCCATAGGGATTGGTTAAATGACAGGTAAGGATCCCAGTTGGGGCAAGTGACCTGCAATTAGATGCTGGCCTGGAGTTCTGTGAAAGAGACGCCTATCTTCCTCTGGCCTGGAACCTGGAAGTGTGATTTTGAGCCCTCCTGAGCCCACGAACGGGGAAACCTCCCTGGAGAAAGCAGCCTGTACTACCCAGCCCCACACCCAAATTCTTCAGTTATATGAGCCAATTCATTCTTTTTTTGGGCTGAAGCCAGTTTGAGTTGGTTTTATGATCATCCCCTCCTGAAAAAATTCTACTTGGGACAAACACTCAACCCTGGGCCTGGCTGGCATTCAAGGGTCTTGTCATCTCTCCCCTTCATTTTCTTTCCCTTCTTCCCACACTCCCACCGCTGCTCGGTGCTATTCCTTCACTCAGCACACGGATCCAGTCGGCCTCTTCCAAGCACTTGGCAGGAGTCCATCCACCAGACCGCTGCTGTCAGCACTCTCCCTGCCCGGAGTGCCTGCCCCACTTATTATCTACATACGGCTTCCTTAGCACTAAGTGCTACTCCTCTAAGTAGCTACTTACCTTCCAAGGCCTTCCTCCCTCGTCCAGTGAGACTTCCTTGCAAATCTCCCATGCATTGCCCTGGCTGCCCAAGTTTCTCGTCTGGCCTGGACGAAATACATCAGGTGGTACCAGAACCCTGATTATCATCCCTGATGTAGTTCAGCAGCTTCCCAGAACTTTTTTTGTGTGAGATAGAGTCTCTCTCTTTTGCTCAGGCTGGAGTGCAGTGGCGCAATCTCGGCTCACTGCAACCTCTGCCTCCTGTGTTCAAGTGATTCTCCTGCCTCAGCCTCCCGAGTAGCTGAGACCGTAGGCACCTGCCACCACGCCCGGCTAATTTTTTGCATTTTTAGTAGAGATAGTGTCTCACCATGTTGGCTAGGCTTGTCTGAAACTCCTGACCTCAAGTGATCGGCCCACTTCGGCCTCCCAAAGTGCTGGGATTACAGGTGTGAAATAGCTTCCTAGAACTTATTCTACGGAGCCATTCCGGCATGGGAGCTGTGCCTCAGGAGAGCTCTCCCCAGACCCTGGCCTCGCCCTGTTCAGAAAGGAGATGCAATGATCATTTCATACTCGTTTCCTCCTTTGGTCCCCACAACGACCCTGAGAGGTACAAGATTTCAATCTCACTTTAAGAAAAGGATCTTGAGGCCCAGAGCAGCCTAGTGACTTGTCCAGAGTCACACTTCCCTGCCCTTGTGAAAACAACGACCAGACCTGTGACCTCAAACCCAGGTGTTCTGATTCTACCCCACTGCGTTCCCTTGCTCTTTCGGCTGATGAGAGACAGATCTGAATGTGAGTGAGAGGCCCCAGGGGATGAGTGTGCATCGCTCCTTGGCTCTGCTGAGCCAAGGTGGCACCTGTCACCTCCTGGCCTGGCTGGTGTTCTTCCATCCTGGATCCGGCAGGCCAGCCTCATCCTGACCATGTTGAATCCCAGAGGCCTTGCCGGGGGGCCGTGCCTCTCCAGATGAACAACATAAATTCATGGAAATGTTTTCACAAGGGCGTTTTTCCTCTGCTGGCCTCCATTTCCTTGAAAAACACAGACTTGGAGGTAAACAGTCTTTGCTGTTGCAAGGGAGCAAATATAGACTTCCTTCCACATCCCCCACCCGGCAGCTCCGCTTCCTCCACCTTCCTTCCAGCCCCCTCCAAAGTCCCCAGGGAGGTCAGAGAGGGCGAGGCTCCAAGGATGGAGGGCGCCCCACAGTGGGGGGTGGCACCTGGAGCCCCGGATGCTTCTGTCTCACCAGAAGTTAGGGTCCCCAAGTACCTCCTGCCCGCTGACTCCCCCCACTCCCATCAGACTGGGTCTGATGCCCTGGAGAAGCAAAAGAGGGGGGCATTGCTGAAAGGAGGGGGTGTTGTCAGGCGAAAGTGGAGGCTCCATCCTAATGGGGGAAGATAATCTGTAGGCTTGAACTATGCTTTCTTCTTAATTCCAGACCCTGGAATTTGCTCATAAACAACACATCGTCAGCTCAATTCTTCAGCTTCTTGAAATTAAACACCCTGTTAGGAAGGATTTGAACGAACTCTCCTGACAGCACAGGGCAAAGTGAGAGGAATTACTTTGTCTATTTACTCTGTACACTTTATGCTTGCAAAATGCTCCAAAATGCATTTGATTTTGTCTCTGAGTTCCCCCACCCCGCCCCAAGATCCTTGTGGGGATGCATCCTTCTGGTAGTTCTTGGATACGGATTGGAGGAAAACAGTGGTGGAGTGACCCATCCTCAGCCACTTGCAAGATAGAGATCAACTTGATGGGTTTGCCTGGGCATATGGGATTATTGGTTGCAATTCTTCACTCCCTTGTGCTTGTATTATACACCCACATGCTTGCCACAGCCTCATGGGGCAGAGTAGATTTCCCTGCCCCACTGACATTGAGGTTGAGCATGTGACTTGCTTTGACCAATGGCAAGGAGACAGAAGGAACAGTGTACCAGTTCTCAGCCTGGGCCCCAGGAGACTGTGTGTTTCCACTTGTTCTTTGTTTGCTTTTTTTTTTTTTTTGAGATGGAGTCTCGCTCTCTTGCCCAGTCTGGAGTGCAGTGGTGCGATCTTGGCTCACTGCAACCTCTGCCTCCAGGGTTCAAGCAATTCTCCTGCCTCAGCCTCCTAAGTAGCTGGGATTACAGGTGTGTGCAACTACACCTGGCTAATTTTTGCATTTTTAGTAGAGACAGGGTTTCGCCCTGTTGGGGAGGCTGGTCTCGAACTCCTGACCTCAGGTGATCCATCTGTCTCAGCCTCCCAAAGTGCTGGGATTACAGGTGTGAGTGACTGCACCCAGCCTCCACTTGTTCTTTGCACTTCTGCCATCTCTGTAGCAACCATTTCCCCTGTAGCCCCTTTAGCCTGGGCCCCAGAGTGAGCACATAGCAGGCAGAGTCTTGCCCCAGTTGACCTGCAGACCCTCGAGTGAGGGTAAATGATGGCTGTTTAATTCTCTGAGTTTTGGGGTGGTTTGTTACACGGTATATCATGACAGTAGCTGACTGATACAAGTATGCAGTAGAAGTTCTGTAGATAGTAGGTGATTGATAAATGGCACCATTCCTGGCACACGTGTTACATCCAAATTTACAGAGCATCTGTTTGTTTTGTTTTGTGTGGCACTATGATATCTTAGGTGCTTGGGAAACAGGTAATAAAAATCAATAAAATAATAATAATAACCAACCTTTATTAAGCACTTACTGGTTTCCAGGCATTGTGTTGATCTAATTTCATTTCCCCAATATTCCTATGAAGAAACTGAGGAAACCGGGGCTTTGAGAGCGTAAATGGCCTATTCCAGATCATATGGCTGGAAAGACCCAGTCCCTGTTCTCAGGAAACTCACAGTCTGGCAAAGAGGGACATGTTAGTGGCAAACACTCGTGCATGCTTATTGTCCAAGTATGGATTCTGTAGCAAGGCAGCAAACGGCAGACTGGCAGTTTTGATAGAAAAGTCTGTTTCACTCCTATCTTCAGGCACAGCCCTTGGAGCTGAGGGCTGCTAGGAAGTCAGGGGACAGTGAGGTTACCATCTGGCACCAAATTGCATGAAGGCTAACATGCCAGGAAACCCATGGAGGCTGAGGAAATCCCTGCCTTCCGAGTTGTAAAAGCTTAAAACTGGGTTTCTGTAGTTCTGGGCCATCTCTCCCGCAGGCATGTTGTGTGATCTTGGGTCCATCCCTTGCCTTCTTTTGACCCTAATCTCCTCACCTGGAAAATAAGCTAGGGGATGCAATTGGGTGAGCTCTATGGCAACTTCTATTTCAGAGATGCTAGAGCCCTGGATCCCTGCTTTGGAAGGAAAATTCCTCCCTTTCTCTTTGCTGTTGTTATCTGCAAGAGGGGAGGAGTATGGAGTGAACATGTCCTTTCAGCAGTTTTTTTTTTTTTTTGAGACAGAGTTTTGCTCTGCTGCCTCAGACTCCCAAGTAGCTGGGATTACACCACGCCTGGCTAATTTTGGTATTTTTAGTAGGGACGGGGTTTCTCCATGTTGGTCAGGCTGGTCTTGAACTCCCAACCTCAGGTGATCCGCCCACTGTGGCCTCCCAAAGTGCTGAGATTACAGGCGTGAGCCACTGCGTCTGGTCGTTATTTTAGCACTTGTGTTCAAGGCAATATAAGCAGTGTGTCTTCATGTGCCTTCCTCATAATGTGATGTTTGTTTTGTTTGATTAGAGACCATATTTACTGTGGTCCTTTCTCCTGAAAACTGAACTGGCAATAAACGCTATGGAGCAGGATTTTAGCACTAGCATATGGGGTGTGTGTGTGTGTGTGTGTGTGTGTGTGTGTGTGTGTTGTGCGGGTGGTGGTGGTGTTCTGTGGGTTAAATTTAGCTTTCCAAAGCGAAAGATTACAACCATAACAATAGCTACCGTTCATTGAGCAACTATTATGAGCCAGGCACTTGCATTGTCTCAATCAATCCTCATAGTAGCCTTGAGAGGTGCCTGGTAGTAGGGTTTCTCCATTTTACATTAGGGGCCTGCCATAGTGCTTTCTCTTGCTCAAGATTTTCTCCCCTTAGCTTCTCTTGGGAGAGCAAGATGTTCCTCATAGCTATGTGATTGTGGACAAGTTCTGAAACTTCTCTGAGCCTCAGTTTATTTATCTATGCAATGGGCATCTGATGTCCTTCCTCACACTGTTTCACATTAAGTAATATAAAAAATCTGGGACATAGAAGACAATCAATAAAGGTGATCATTTTCTTTAATGCATAATAATTATGTACTTACTTGAAATAAATTAGTAAGTCATCTTCAGGTGAAATACTTCCAACTCCATCTTTTCCTAGAAATTTCTGTTCTGCTTTTACAATTATTTTGCTCAACTCAATTTAAACCACAGAACCCCAGAATGCCAGAGCTCATAATCACCCAGGGTCTCCCAGTCCAATTGGTTTTCATATTTTTCTGTTGTTTTTTTTTTTGGGGTGGTGGGGTGGGGTCCTAACCGGAGAACACCTTTTTCTAACTGAACCTTATGGGGAAGCCCAATGAATAAAGCATAGAGTAGGCCAGGTGCGGTGGCTCACACCTGTAATCCCAGCACTGTGGGAGGCCAAGGTGGGCGGATCACCTGAGGTCAGGAGCTCAAGACCAGCCTGACCAACATGGAGAAACCCTGTCTCTACTAAAAATACAAAAATTAGCCAGGCATGGTGGCTTATGCCTGTAATCCCAGCTACTCGGGAGGCTGAGGCAGGAGAATCGCCTGAACCTGGGAGCTGGAGGTTGCGGTGAGCAGAGATCACGCCACTGCACTCCAGCCTGGGCAACAAGAGCGAAACTCCACCTCAAAAAAACAAAACAAAAACAAACAAACAAAAGCATAGAGCAGCAGGACTGTTCTGGTTGAGGCAGGAAGGGTGGGTGGTGCACGGCTGGAGTCCTGAGCAATGGGGGTCTCTCCTCTCCAGAGTGGGGGCTCCTCAGTGCCCCTGAGGAGACTTGCCCCACACTCCTTACACTGCAGTTGTGACCCACTAGGGTCGTCATCATGAAATCAATTCAGAGGTCACCACCTAAACAGAATAAAATGAAAAACGCCAGTGTGCATCGCACATGGTAGGGGTGAGTGTTGGTATGTGTCAGTTCTGTTTCGGTTCCGTGGTACCCATGTGTTCACCGGACTGGGAAGTAAGCAGTTGTTTCGCATTGTGACTTGCCATCAAAAAGTTGGAAAATCACTGCCGTTCACTCTAATCCCCTCATTTCATGTTTGGGAAACAGAGCGCAGAGGAGGGAAGTGACCTGCCTGAGTTACAGCTGCAGCCAAGATAAGAACAAACGTCTCTGGCCTCCTTGCTCCATGTCTTCTTTTTGAGACAGAGTCTTGCTCTGTCACCCAGGCTGGAGTGCAGCGATGCGATCTTGGCTCACTGCAACCTCTGCCTCCCGGGTTCAAGCAATTCTCCTGCCTCAGCCTCCTGAGGAGCTGGGACTACAGGTAACTGCCACCACGCCCAGCTAATTTTTTCTTTTTTTGTATTTTTAGTAGAAATGGGGTTTCACCATATTGGCCAGGCTGGTCTCAGACAACTGACTTCAGGTGATCCTCCTGTCTCGGCCTCCCAAAGTGCTGGGATTACAGGCATGAGCCATCGCACCTGGCCCCCTTTTTTTTTTCTTTTGAGACAGTCTTATTTTGTCACCCAGGCTGTAGTAGTGCAGTGATGCGATCACAGCTCACTGCAGCCTTCACCTCCTGAGTTCAAGTGATCCTTTCACCTCAGCCTCCCAAGTAGCTGGGACCACAGGCACACACCACCATGCCCAGCTAATTTTTAAAAAAAATTTTGCAGACAAGCCTTTGTTCAAAGATAAGCCTTTGTCTTGAACTCCTGGGCTCAAGTGATCCTCCTGCCTCAGCCTCTCAAAGTGCTGAGATTGCAGGTGTGAGCCACTGTGCCCAGTGCTCCATATCTGCTTGAAGCACCACACAATGGAAGGGTTAACAGTTACTGAGCCTCAGCCTCAGGACGTGCCAGGCACTGCACTCAGTGCTTCAGATTGAGACCACCTTTGCAAAATTATGACTGAGACAGTGAAAGAGACCTAACTTAACTGAGTCCATCTTGCTTCTAACCTTCAAACCGTCCTTGTTTATTCCTGGGCATAGGTTGAACTAACTTTGGGAGAAACTTAGTTTATAGCTTATAGTTTAAACAAAGACGGTAACAGCCCTTTCTCAAAGCAGATCTCCTTCTTGCCTAGGGACTAGATTGCCTTTGTAGGACTAACATTAGCCACAAGATTAGGAATTATGGTTTAGGAGTCATGCAGCTGGAGGTTACAAGATACTGACCCTCCACAAATTGCTCCTAAGATCAGTGCTTGAGATATTTTGCAGACCTTGCATTTGATGGATCAGCTGTCACCACTCAAATCAATAAATTGGCTCACCTGATCTTGTGGCCCGCACCAGGAACTGACTTAGTATGAGAAGACAGCTTCGACTCCCTGTGATTTCCGCCTTGACCAATCAGCACCCCTGACTCACTGGCTTCCCCCCACCCACCAAGTTATTCTTAAAAACTCTGCTCCCCTAATGCTCAGGGACACTGATTTGAGTAATAACAAAACTCCGGTCTCCCGCACAGCTGGCTCTGCGTTAATTACTCTTTCTCTATTGCAATTCCCCTGTCTTGATAAATCGGCTCTGTCTAGGCAGTGGTCACAGTGAACCCCTTGGGTGGGTACAAGATAGGAAGTCATTTCATCCCCACCATGACTGTATCAGTCACCTAAGGCTGTATAACAAATGCCACAGACCGGTGGCTTAAAAACAGAAAGTTATTTTCTCATAGTTCTGGACGCTAGACTTTTAAGATCAAGGTGTCAGTAGGGTTGGTATCTCCTGAGGCCTCTCTCCTTGGCTTGCAGAATGGTCTTCTTCCCCCTGTGTCTTCACAAGGCCTTATCTTTGTGTCTGTGTCTTAATCTCCTCTTCTTTTTTTTTTTTTTTTTTTTTTTGAGACAGAGTCTTGCTCTGTCCCCCAGGCTGGAGTGCAGTGGCGCAATATCTGCTTACTGCAACCTCCACCTCCCGGGTTCAAGCGATTCTTCTGCCTCAGCCTTCCGAGTAGCTGGGACTACAAGCGCACACCACCGTGCCTGGCTAATTTTTGTATTTTTAGTAGAGATGGGGTTTCACCATATTGGCCAGGCTGGTCTCAAACTCCTCACCTCGTGATCCACCCACCTTGGCCTCCCAAAGTGCTGGGTTTACAGGCGTGAGCCACCACGCCCAGCCTAATCTCCTCTTCTAAGGACACCAGTCACACTGAATTAAGGCCACCCTAATGACCTCATTGTAACAAAATCTCCTCTGTAAAGACCCAATCTCCAAACACAATCGCATTCTGAGGTCCTAGGGGTTAGGGATTCCATGTAGAAATTTGGGGATGGGGATGTAATTCAGTCATAACAACCTAGCAGTAATAATACCACTGCTACTATCATCTTCATTGACAGGCGAGGATATTGAGGCACAGAGAGGGTAAGCTGCCAGGGCCCACGGGGAGGAAGAATCAGACCTGATCCAGACCTGGACATGTGGCTCTGAGCCTGTGCATCACTCACAGTGCCCTGCTGCCAGGAAATGAGGGGAACTCATGGGGAGCCCGTGGGCTGGATGGGGAGGTCAGACCAAGGAAGAAGGAACACTGCATTTCACCTGGCTAACGACTGCAAAGAGCCCAGATAGTGAGTGGGTTGGGGAGCTCAGAGGAAGGGGCAGCAGGGCGGTCCCCTCCCACCTTCCATGAAGACTTACTGCTCTCAGCCAGGCTTCTGCAGGACAGGGAGTGGCATGCCCAGGCTGGGGCTGGGGGTCCCCACTTGCTGCACCCCAGCATTCCCGGTCCTGTTCCAGAAACATTAGGGAAGGCAGGGAGCAAGGGGGGCCTATTAGGGGACAACCTTGAACCTCAAGTTCTATTGATATGAATTTGCAGCTTTACCCATGCAAATTACTCAACACGCACCTTCCCGGTGATCTCACTTGAGACACTGAGGTGGAAGGCAGTAGGCCTGCAGCAAAGAAATCGTGATTTGGTTTTTCTTTTTAATATTCATATTCTCAGCACAGCCCCTGCGACTCTTCTGTCCTGTCTTTGTCTCCTTCTTCATCACTGTCCCAGACTCTTGCTGTGTCTCCCTGGATGATCCAGTCTTTCCCTACGGGCTCTGTCTGTCTGTCTCTCTGCGTTACCATTTCTTCCTCTCTCTCTGCCTCTCCCTCCTTTTTTTTTTTTTTTTTTTTTTTTGACAGAGCCTTGCTCTGTCACCCAGGCTGGAGTGCACTGGCGTGATCTGGGTTCACTGCAACCTTCATCTCCCAGGTTCAAGCGATTCTTCTGCTTCAGCCTCCTGAGTAGCTGGGACCACCAGCGCCCACCACCATGCCTGGCTAATTGTAGTATTTTTAGTAGAGACGAAGTTTCGCCATGCTGGCCAGGCTGGTCTGGAACTCCTAACCTCAAGTGATTTGCCCGCCTCGGCCTCCCAAAGTGCTGGGATTGACAGGCGTGAGCCACCGCGCTGGCCTGCTTCTTCCTCCTTTGTTGCTAATAGGAGCAGAGCCTGGCTGCTCTGAATTCACAGTTGCCACCCCATTGCTAATTGTACCACTCAGACCGAGAGACCAAAATCACACTGGAAAACGCTTTCTTGTGCAAACTTCAGAGTGAGCCCCCCTTTCCCATTATTCTCCCCTACTCTTGCCCTAGGAACGGAAGGGGGCTGTTAGAAGCTGGTTTCTCTATGGGAAGCACTAACAGTGCCCTGGCAGCCACTGCGGGCCTTGAGTGTCAATTCCTGCCCTGGGGTCCATTCAATTCCAGAGGGAGCCAAAATATCCACACTGGGCAGGGCAGGGGATCGCCCTAACACTAAGACACAACACTGTTTCCCTGTAGCATTCACAGGGATCTTCCTAGTTGTGCTGTGAGGGAGGCCAATACTGTCCTCATTTTATAGGTTGGGAAACTGAGGGACAGAATGGCAAGCGAAGTGACTCGACAGAGGTCACACGGCCAGTTCACAGCAGTCAAGACTCAAATCCAGATCTTTTGACCCCAACTCCAGTGCTTCTTCCCTGAGACCTCTTGAGATGGAAACTTCAGGAAAATAAATGAACATTGGTGGAGAGAGACAAAGAGGAGGAGGATGCTTAGAATTCTGTTTCCTCGGCCGGGTGGTTCACACCTGTAATCCTGGCACTTTGGGATGCCAAGGTGGGCGGGTCACCTGAGGTCAGGAGTTTGATACCATCCTGGCCAACATGGAGAAACTCTGTCTCTACTAAAAATACAAAAGTTAGCTGGGCGTGGTGGTGCGTGCCTGTAATCCCAGCTACTCGGGAGGCTGAGGCAGGAGAATCGTGTGAACCTGGCGGGTGGAGGTTGCAGTGAGCCGAGACTGCACCACTGCACTCCAGCCTGGGCGACAGAGCGAGACTCCGTCTCAAAAGAAAAAAAGTCTGGGCCGGGCGCGGTGGCTCACGCCTATAATCCCAACACTTTGGGAGGCTGAGGCAGGCAGATTACCTGAGGTCAGGAGTTTGAGACCAGCCCAGCCAACATGGTGAAACCCCATCTCTACTAAAAATACAAAAATGAGCCAGGCATGGTGGTGGGTGCCTTTAATCCCAGCTACTCAGAAGGCTGAGGCAGGAGAATTGCTTGAACCCAGGAGGCAGATGTTGCTGTGAGCCAAGATCGAGCCATTGCACTCCAGCCTGGGCAACAAGAACAAGACTCTGTCTCAAAAAAAAAAAAAAAAAAAAAAGAATTCTGTTTCCCACATAGCCACCTCCTCTATTTCTTTGGGTTAACATGAAGAAAAGTAGCAGTGGCCTACTCCCAGAAGGGTGTAGGGTCCTCAAGGCAGGAGGGGCGGTGGAGCAGCTGGTGGGTGAAGCCCTCACACTGCCCCGAATCCCATGGGGCTGGGGCAGGGCCTGTGGGCTTGGAGAGAGCTGGAGCCAGCAAGCCAGATGGCCTGGCTGCAGGCGACTGTTTATTTCCCCTTTGGCATCGCAGGGATCCTAATCCAGTCTTTTTTTTTTTTTTTTTTTTTTTTTTTTTTTTTTTTTTTTTTTTTTTAGAGAAGTCTCTCTCTTGTCCCCCAGGCTTGAGCGCAATGGCTCAATCTCAGCTCACTGCAACCTCTGCCTCCCAGGTTCAAATGATTCTCCTGCCTCTGCCTCCCAAGTAGCTGGGATTAAGGCACCTGCCACCACGCCCGGCTAATTTTTGTATTTTTTTTTAGTAAAGACGGGGTTTCACCATGTTGGCCAGGCTGGTCTTGAACTCCTGACCTCAGGTGATCCACCCGCCTTGGCCTCCCAAAGTGCTGGTATTATAGGTGTGAGCCACCATGCCTGGCCGATCCTAATCCAGTCTTGATTAAAGGTTTTGGTCTGCTGCTGGGTGGGCAAAGGGGAGTGAAGGGAAATTAGAAAGAATGGTAAAGAGGGGGCAGCACCCTGGGCCCCCAAAGACACATGGTGGTAGTGTGGCAATGAGTGTGGACGCCCTAAAGAGGGTCTGGGAGACCCTCAACAGTTGGAGCTGTAGGGGCCTCTCTCTTCACTGTCAGCTCTGAAAGATCAGGCAGGGATTTTTATGTAGGGAGCTGAGGCTGGTGGGCTCAGTGGGTAACGGAGTGGGGTGGGAGGCACTAGTCCATTGCTATCCATTCTGGGGATCCACCTGTGGTTTAAGGAAGCAGCTCCACCTCATCCGGCCTCTCTCGCAGGCTGCCTAACTCCAGGTCTATCATTCTTGTTGCGCAGTACATAGCCTACACTCCTCTACGTGGCTGCCTTGTCTGGGAAGAAGAGGCACCTGATTTTGAGGCAAACACAGCCCAACTGATCTTTGCTCTGGAGCCTAAAGGCTGGTCTCGGTCCACTTTAGTGAAGAACTTATTTTCAGGTTGAACTAGCACATACTCAGCTCCTTTTATGTGCCAAGCTCACAGTAGGTGATCTTTCTTATCAGAACCTCCCGTCTCCCAGTGCAATTTCTGCTACTTTTTTTTTTTTTTTTTTAAACAATCTTGCTCTGTAGCCCAGGCTGGAGTGCAGTGGTGTGATCTTGGCTCACTGCACCCTCCACCTCCCAGGTTCAAGCAATTCTTGTGCCTCAGCCTCCCGAGTCACGGGAGGATTACAAGTGTGTGATTACAGCTGGGATTACAGGCATGTGCCACCACACCCAGCTAATTTTCGTACTTTTTGGTAGAGACAGGGTTTCAACCATGTTGGCCAGGCTGGTTTCCAACTCCTGATCTCAAGAGATCCACCTCCCTCAGCCTTCCAAAGTGCTGGGATTACAGGCATGAGCCACCGTACCTGGCCTCTGCTACATTTTTGAGTTGGAAAGAAATTTACTTGCTTTATTGATGGAATGACCATATTTATATTCTCAATGGCAGATGGTGCATTTACAAAATTTATGTCAGTTTTGCAGTCACGTCTGGCTTGCAATGTCCTCTCTTTGTCCCTTTGAGAATGGTTGGGACATTTGGATTGGTACCCAATACCCTCTGTGTGGCCCTGTTGATGTCCCTTCTCACCCTGGTGACTCCCTGGCTTCTAAGCAGTCACTCAAAGGGTCTCTGGGCCCTTGGCTTTTAGCCAGCCTAGGAGGAACCAATGATTCAAGGAGGTTCTCTAGCATTAGGGGCTAGGGCTAGGGCTGGAGACTTGGTGGGTACCCAAGTGAGAAAGTACCCCCAGCCCATCCCCACTCCTTTAAGGGAGATCTTGCCCTCTGAATTTCAGCTGAGATTTGGGACTCTCCTCCCTACTCATGTCTGCTTGCTGGAGTTGCCTATGAAGCTGGAAAGGCTGTGGGCCTTCTCATCAGAACTGGGTTCAGCTGTTGCTTTTCTTGCTTACTAGCTGTGGACCTTTGATAAGTTTCTTGCTGTCTGTTTTTGCATATGTGAAATGGGATTACAATGCATGCTATATTATAGCTTGAGGTTTACAGGAAGTAAAAAGCATCTTTTCACTAGGCACGGTGATTCATGCCTGTAATTCCAGCACTTTGGGAGGTTGAGGCGGGCGGGTCACTTGAGCTCAGGAGTCTGAGACCAGCCTGGGCAACATGGCAAGAATTTACATTTAAAAATTTTAAAAATTTGCCTCTACAAAAATTTAAAAAATTTACTGGGCGTGGTGGCGTGCGTGAGTGGTCCCAGCTACTGAGCCCAGGAGTTTGAGGCTGCAGTGAGTTGTGGTCATACCACTGCACTCCAGCCTGGGCAACAAAGTGAGACCCTTTCTCAAAAAAAAAAAAAGGTATCTTTTCCTTTCCTGAGTACCTACTGTTAACCTGGCCTGTGAGCACTTGGCATTTGTTAGGTCTTGTGACTTGTACCTGGCACAAAGTAGGTCCCCACTATTTGCTGAATGAATGAATGAATGAATGAATGGGTTGGTGTCATGAGTGTACAATCTAGGCAGTCATATCAGAAGGGACCTGCGCTTGGTTTAATGCTTTGTTTTCACCATCTTGAAATGTTTTAATAATTTTTGAATGAGGGGCTACACATTTTCATTTTGCTTTGGGCCCTGCAAATTATGTAGCCAGTCCTGCCTCTTCATCTTATCCAGTGGACCATATCTAATTCTACCACATCATACCCATTCTACAGATGCATAAACCGAAGCTTGGAGTGGTGAAATGCACAAAAGTACTCAACCTCTAAATTGCAGACCTGGGCCCAGACATGGACCTTCATAAATGGAGCCCATTTCACTGGGGTGGTGGCCGTGTTTCTGTGGGCTGCCTGGGCTGGGCCCGTGAGTGGACAGGTTACGGCTCAACAGACTCAGTGGCCTTTCCCCTCTGGCTCTTAGAGGCCAGGGACTTGGAGGATCTCACCAGTCTATCACAAAACTTTCAGTTTTTAACGAAGCAGTGAAAATGGCCTTCTGTCTGCCTCTTTGTTTCTTTCTTATTCTGGAAGACAAGTGAGAAGGAAATGGGAAAGAAACAAAGAAGAACAAATGTTATGGAAAGTTAGTGGCACCTCCCTCCTCAGCCTGAGCCAGGCCACAGGGACAAAGGCGAATGTCAGAGAAGAGCAGCACCCCCACCCCTAACCCCAGGCCTGGGGCCTCTGGGTGGCTGAGTGTCCACAGCTCTCTGACCAGTGCTGAAAATGAAAACTCAGGACAAGCTGATCCCCACTGCCCAGAACAAAGAGAGGCTGGTGCATCTTAGTCACTGCTAATTTCTGGCAAATTACTGGGCTCGGGAGCAGGACTGCTCGTAAAGTTCCTGGTTCACCAAGCTGGAGGCAATTTATTCAAAGGGAAATCAGGCTGCATCTGCTGAGGGAACGAGGAGACAAGGGAGCCTCTTGCACGCTTGTAATGTCTGAGCCAGATCTTAGATTCACCTGCAGCAGGCCCAGCCCTTTTCCCCAGCCTGGTTTTTATGCCTTTGGAGAGGTTTGCAGAAGGATGCTCAGAGGGCTGATGGGAGCTCGGGAGGGTGTGTGTGCGTTCTTTAAAAAATAATAAAGCCCTCGTCCACGCCTGAGGCTGAGCGCATCTGAAAGGAGTCGTGGGTGGGAGGAAATTGCAAATGTTTTTTTTTTCAGCCTGAGATGGAAGGCGTTGGAACTGGTTCCCAAGGAGAGGAAATGCCCTGTGGGCTCTTAATTCCAAGGTGGCTGGATTCACACACACACTGCAGGTGCTCAAGGCAAGAAGGGAGCATTGGGGTCCAGGAGGGCATACATCTTGGGGCTGGAACCCTTGGGAGGGTAGGGGGAGAGAGGGAAGAGGAGATGTCTTTGCCTTCTTAGGCCTCAGTTTGCCCCGCTGTAAAATGGGACATGGGAGGCTGGACTACAATGGTTCCTTTTAGTGTGGACATTCTGGATTCTGAACCTAGAGAAAAAGGACAGGTGAGAAGAGGAGGTTCTTCCTGAGCCCTAATATGTGGACAGCACTTCAGTTTACAAGACTCTTTAAATCCATCATCCATTTTTTTCTTTTTCATCATCATTATCATGGCAGACATACAGAAGAGGACATACACAAATGGAAAGTGTATGAATAACTGTAATTGTAATAATCATAAGGAAAACACCTGTGTAACCAACAACCCAGGTCAAGCTTGAATGATAGATGATACCAGCCTCCCCAGGTGGCCCTCCTCACTCACACTCCCTCTGTCTCCTGGGTACTCACTGCTTTACTTTCAGGAAAATCATTTCCTTTTCATTTTTTCAAATTTATTTTATTTTATTTTTTGTTTTGAGACAGAGTCTCACTTTGTCACCCAGGCTGGAGTGCAGTGGCGTAATCTCGGCTCATTGCAACCTTCGCCTCCCAGGTTTGAGTGATTCTCCTGCCTCAGCCTTCTGAGTAGCTGGGATTATAGGCATGCCACACTACGCCCAGATAATTTTTGTATTTTTAGTACAGACGGGGTTTTACCATATTGGCCAGGCTGGTCTCCAACTCTTGACCTCAAGTGATCCACCCGCCTTGGCCTCCCAAAGTGCTGGGATTACAGGTGTGAGTCACTGTGCCTGGCCCATTTCCTTTTTTAAAAATGATTTTGCTATGTATGCATCCTTAAATAATAAAGTTTAGTGTTGCCTATTCCTGAACTGTATATAAATGGACTCATATAATATGTGTTATTTGTGTTCAGCTTCTTTTACTCAAAGTCACGGTTGTGACATTTGGCTGTTACACAGATGAAAAAAATGAGGTCCCAGAGAAGATAAACGACACATCAAAGGTCACATAACTAGTCGTGGCAAAGCTGGACATGAGCCATGCCTTCTGCCCACTCCACTACCCAGAGTGACCAGCTGTTGGTGGTGACTTCCATTTCCAGCAATATGGTGGACTAGATAGCCTGAGAACAGGAGAGATGGTCCCTGTGGCTGAGCCGAGATCACAGGCCCCAGATGGGGAGCCTCTATCCCCTGTGCTTCATGGTAGGGTGCCATACCTGGAATCATCTCCCCACCGAGACAAAAAACATGGCAGGGAGGTAATTCCCCAAAAGGAAATGGGAGTGAATTAGAAAGGGGATGGATGCTGGACAGCCAAAAACAACATGTCCCTTTATTTGTCCTGTGCAAATGAAGGACAGTCATTTTTAATTTTTCCTGTCTCACTTCTTAATATACAAGTTAGGACAAAGTGTCAGAATCAACCCCTAAGAACATGTCAGGCATCCTCGTCTCTCAGATCAACAGTTAGCAAATGAAGCTGATGGAAACATTGATTTTCTGAATTTCTTCTCCAAGCTTTGAATTTTCTCCTCACTCTTGCTCATGAAGCTGACACAAAACTAACATAAAATCATGGCATTTTATGGCAGCTGGATGCCCGCAGGGCCAACTTTTCCAGCTTCTGCTTGGACAATTGTTCTTTCATGTTACCTCTGCCTTTGCCTGGACCCTCAACTTCATGCCAGAGACCTCCCCAGTCTTGAACAACACCTTGAAAAGCGCTATTAATCAAACAGCTTCCAACAGGGGCATAAAGTGGTTTCCTCATATCCTCTTAAGTGGAGCCCCTGGCAAGTCATTTACATCCTAGCATGCAGAGAGGGTCAGGTTTTCAGAAGAAATTAGCAGCTGGGATGAGATTTGTGGGGAGGGAGAGATTCTTGTCTGAAGAGGGGAGATAGGAAGGGAGAGGAAATGAATATCTGAACAAATTAGACTGGTAGAGCCTGGGGTGTGGGAATGGCAGCCTAGAAATCACAACACGGGGGTCCAAGTGTTTAGGGAGGGGGCAGGGTGGGCAGAATAATGGCTTGGCCCAGCCCCTGGGATAGGGCAGGTCCTCTAGGGTGCTCCTGACATAGCCTCTTCCAGGAGGGCACAGAGCTTTCTCCAGGGACCCCCCAGCCTCAGATGGAGCAGCAGGCACTGGACTGGATGTTGGGGAGCCCTGGAGACATGTGTGGCGCTGCTGTAAATATGCTCATGTCTTAGGTCATTTGAGGCTTACAACCACCCAGCACATTTTATTGGCATCATTATTTTATCTTGAAAGAGAACAGTGCTGTTCCCTTTTGCCAGGTGGGAAAATAGAGGCACAACGATGCTTGAAGCTGCGCCGTGGCAGAGCCAGGATGTGAAACTCTGGCCACCTGGCTTAATTTTTTTAAAAAGGTTAAAAAATGAGGGGATGGGACTGAGCAATATCCACGGTCCTTTCCCATTCCACCATCCGAGTGGCTGATGGTCTTGTCTATTGGCTTTCTTGCAGTCTAGGGTCACATAGGGCAATGAAACAAACCTTACAAAAAAACAAGCTGCTTTGTAAAAGATGAGCCTGTCAGGCTAACCCGATTTCCTTCCTTGAGATCATGAGATTATGAGAGAACAGCCAGGTGGCCTGTGGAGTGCGGATGTAAGCAAAGGGTCCCAGGAATCTCCCCTGCGTTTTGTGCCTCTCTGAACCAAGCATACGCTGCCTCCTACCTCTAATGCTGGGGGAGCTCACCCTACCTCTCCAGGACACACCACCCACTGCCCAGCCCACTGCCTGGCCAGCACACACCATCAGAAACACCAGTGAGAGGACTGAAGACAGGCCTCTGCCATCCTCTCGCCATTGAGCAATACCAGGTCTGCATAAGGTGGGGTCCACCCACACAGAGTCAAGTAACCCAATGCTTTCATTGGCCTGATTTAACCCTGGAGACTGCTTAAGCAGAAAAGCAAAGACAAGTCATAGAGGGTGGCACGGAAGAGCCGCCCGGTCATGCTGGAAACAAACAAGGCCCTGGGGTGAGAGAGAGAAAAAGGTGGCGCCAGCTCTGGGGTTAAGCTCTGAGTGTCAGGATTGAAGTTATGGTAGTGCTTGGAGCCCTTGGGCTTCCCCGTTCCCTGGAGAGATGACACTGTCAGCTTGGGAGGAGCCTGCCCAAGTCCACGTAGCTCATGGGAGGGTGGAGCGACAGTTCAGGCAGAATCTCTGGAACCAAGTCTAGTGCTCATTCCGCCTGCCTACATGCCTTCTCATCTGGTACCAGTGCAGGAAGCCATACCCTCTGCGACACTGGTTCCAGCACCCAGGAGGCCCCATCTGCAATGCCAGAAACAGGAGACTCAGAAACAGGAAAGTGAGCTTGTCCCATTTTGCAAGGGAACCTTCTGTGATGGTGACTCAACAGCAGCTGCATCCCCTGAGTTCTCAGAACTCCTCCATCCAGAAACAGAGTGCCCAGGAGTAGGACCGGCTTGGCAGCTCTCTGTGCCTCTCCAGGGCAGGGGGACACGCCTGGTCATGGCCTCAGGTGCCTCGGCTAGCAGGCCCCACCTTGGCAGCCTGTGTTGTGTCTCCTGGGAGTGGATGTTTCCTAAGTGCTCCACTCACTCTCCCAGTTCCCCTGACACAGTGACACAAATGGAATGCTCATTACACATGCATGACAGTGCTCATGACACAGGTGAGTTCATTTACATTTCACAATAACTCACTGAGGCTGATGGGGTATTGCACAATAGCATTTTACCAGTGAGGACTCTAAGGCATAGCAAGGCTAAGTGCCCTGCCTGTATTAGTTAAGCACAACTAGTAAGCGGCGAAGCCAGGATTGCAAACCCAGACAGCCTGGTTCTCAAGTCCATGACCCCAACAACTGCACTGTAAAGGAAATGAAGGAAATGAGCTTTCCCAGAGCGAGGTTCCCTCCTCCTTTCTCCTTTCTGTGGTAATTTCACTCACTCAGGACTGCTTGCTTGCTTTCCTTTCTTTCTTTCTTTCTCTTTCTTTCTTTCTTTCTTTCTTTCTTTCTTTCTTTCTTTCTTTCTTTCTTTCTTTCTTCCTTCCTTCCTTCCTTCCTTCCTTCCTTCCTTGGTTTTTTGTTTGTTTGTTTTGTTTTGAGCCAGGGTCTCTCTCTGTCACCTAGGCTGGAGTACAATAGGTCAAACACAGTCCATGGCAGCCTTGACCTCCTGGGCTCAAACAATCCTCTCACCTCAGTCTCCTGGGTAGCAGAGACCCACAGGTGTAAGTCACCACAATGGGCTTATCATTATTTTCTATTTTTTGTAGAGATGTGGTCTCCCTATGTTGCCCGGGCTGGTCTCGAACACTTGGGCTCAGATGATTCTCCCACCTCAGCCTCCCAAGGTGCTGGGATTACAGGGATGAGCCACCATGTTGGTCACCATTTCTTTTTAAGAAACCACCCCTCTTCCATCCCATGAGATCAGTGGGCGGGCACAGTGCTCAGGCTGGACCAATCAGACTCTCTGGGTGCCTGTCACTTAGGCTGAATGACAAAGAAGCCTGAAGTCCCCCTCCCAGTGGTGCCCTCCAAATCCGCACTTCTGACAAAGTTTTCTGAAACTGCCTTTGTTTCTTCAGCTTTTCTTTAACTTCTATAACCTATCCAGTTTGTTCCTAATAAATGGCACTTTTTTCCTCTGCTTGTGAGCCAAAATTAGGTTCTACAATTCAAGAACCCTATGGATACGACCATCACAGAAGTGATTTGCCTTTCATTTTGTATACTTGATTTATTTTTTAATTTTTAATTTTTGTGGGTACATAGTAGGTATATATATTTATGGATACATGAGATGTTTTGATACAGGCATGCAGGGCGTAACAATCACAGCATGGAAAATAGACTATCCATTCCCTCAAGTATTTATTATCCTTTGTGTTACAAACATCCAATTATACTCTTCTAGTTTTTGTTTTTGTTTTTTTTTAAGACAGAGTCTCACTGTGTCACCCAGGCTGGAGTGCAGTGGTGCGATCTCAGCCACCACAACCTCTGCCTCCCGGGTTCATGTGATTCTCGTGCCTCAGCCTCCTGAGTAGCTGGGATTACAGGCATGCACCACTATGCCTGGATAATTTTTGTTTTTTTAGTAGAGATGAGGTTGTACCATGTTGCCAGGCTGGTCTCGAACTCCTGACCTCAAGGGATACACCTGTCTCGGTCTCCCAAAGTGCTGGGATTACAGGCGTGAGCCACCATGCCCGGCCTCTTCTAGGTATTTTTAAATGTATAATTAAATTATTTTGACTATAATTACCTTGTTGTGTGGTCAAATACTAGGTCTTATTTATTCTATTTTTTTTGTACCCAACATTTCATATGCTCTAGTGGGCACCAAACATGTGTCCAAACAGGTCTAGATTCAAATGTAGATTCTGCCACTCATTAGCTGTTGTGATCTTGACGAAGCAACCTCACCTCTTCCAGCTTCAGATTCTTCATCTGAAAAATGAAGATACAACCTGGTTGTACCATTATAAGGAATATTCCAGGAAGAGAAAGAGCAGGTGCAGAGAAATAGAAGTACGAGAGTGTTTGCCTCAGGCCACAGTGGCAGGTTTCATGAATGGCTCCCACTCTTCAGCCCTCCCTCTGTGCACACCCTTTGCCATGTAACTTTGCAGTGCCCTCCTTATTGTAGGTGGGAGGTACTTCCCTACCTCTTGATTTTGAGATTTAACCTTAGCCACGTGTTTTGGTCAACGGGGTGATAGCAGATATGGCTCAAGCAGAGACTTGCAAAGGGCTTGCAGGACTGAGTTTCCTCTCTTGTGCCACTATCATTGCCTTCAGGTGGACATAGCCAGGATAGCCCACTGGTCCCAGCAGGAGGCGGGAGACGCATGGAACAGGGGCATCCCCAACTGACCCAGCCTAAGGCAGCTGATCACCTAGATCAAAGCTCATTAGAGATGAGGAGAACCAGTCAAGCTCAGCCTGAATCAGCCAACACCCAGCTGACTGACAGACATGTGAGGAATGAGGA
Organism: Homo sapiens; assembly: GCF_000001405.40. Classification (NCBI taxonomy): domain Eukaryota; kingdom Metazoa; phylum Chordata; class Mammalia; order Primates; family Hominidae; genus Homo; species Homo sapiens. Next base: position 90,446,754 of record NC_000014.9, read on the forward strand.
ATGATTGCTATTTTGAGCCACAGAGATTTGGGATAGTTCATTATGGAACAACTGCTAACAGGTACATAAATTGGTACCCAGAAGTGTGGTGCTGCCATAACAAAACTTAAAATATGCAGCACTGGTTTTTTAGGACTGGGTGGTAGGAATGAGTAAACTATTAGGGGAGGCAGGAAAAATAGCAAAGAAACTGCAATTGGAGGTGGAAGAAGAGGCAACCCCATTGTGTAATAGGGAATTATTAGCTAAAATTGTTGTCTTTAGTAACTTATTGGGAAATAAGTGTATCTAATGAACTCTTGGTCTTGGGCAAAGAGATTTCTAGGCAGAATACTGAAAGCATCCTTTGGCTTTTATGGTTGTGTTTGATAAGGTACTGCAAAAAAAAAGAGATGACTTCAGAAAATAACTGCCTAGTTTGAAAGCAGTATTAGAAAGAATATAGAAAAGGCCCAGTGTGGTGGCTCACACCTGTAATTCCAGAACTTTGAGAGGCAGAGGTGGGCAGATCACCTGAGGTCAGGAGATCAAGTCTAACCAACATGGCAAAACCTCATCTCTACTAAAAATACAAAAATTAGCTGGGCATGGCGGCGCTTGCCTGTAATCCCAGCTACTCGGGAGGCTGAGGCACGAGAATCGCTCGAACCCAGGAGGCAGAGGTGGCAGTGAGCTGAGATTGCACCACTGCACTCCAGCCTGGGCAACAGAGTGAGGCTCTGTCTCAGAAAAAAGGAATATAGAGAAGTTTGAATGTGTTCTGTTGATATGAGTTTTAGCACATGGGGTAGAACGGAATTCAAGATATAGGGAACCCATCAAATTTTTAGAGTGTTATGTTGGCAAAAGGACTCCCAGCCTGCATGAAAAAATACCAAGGCTGTTTAAAATGCAAAAAGACCTCTGGGTAGGAAGCAGTCTGAAAAGATTGCCTAAAGGATGTGTTTTACAATGCCTTCAGAAGTGACTAAGGAGGGTGATAGAAAAGGAAGAACATCGCAGAGGCTGGAGCAGGAGCCATGCAGAAAATGGAGATGAACCTCTCTCTGGATGGAAATCTGGGAGCTAATCAGGGAATATTACCTACCGCCAGGACAAAGGCAACTGGAAACATTTTCCTAGCAGGATTTCAGAATTGCTATGGACCAGTGACGGCTATGGGCCTCTGTTTCTTCCCCTGTTTGAGTGGCAATGTTTACTGCAGGTAAGGTGGATAACTTACCAACAGATCTCTGGATTACGAGGAGCTGCATCTGAACCTGATGAGACCATGAGAAAGTGGATTTTGGCTCGATGCCATTGGTTGCTTAGGGGTTGTTTTGGAGTCTTGTGATGGGAGAAAATGAATTTTGCATACTGGAAGGACCTGGATAGTTGGGGTCATGGGCATGGAGTGTGGTAGTTTGATGACATTAATGGACGCAATTCTTCACCTTTCCCTATAACTATGTCCTTTGCCATGTAACTTTGCAGTGCCCCCCTATGGTGGGCAGGAGGCAGTTCCTCACGCTTTGATTTAGCCTCAGTCATGTGACCTGCTTTGGCCAATGGGATGTTAACAAACATGACACAGCACTTGCATGATGGAGCTTGTCCCCTTGCACCTCTGACATCACCGTAAGAAGAATATGCTCAGGCTAGTGTCGTGATCTATGGAGCAGGACAAAAGCAGTAGAACCACCTCAAGCTGGCTAGCTGCAGACATATGCATGAGTCCATAAACCCCTGAAGAACCACCAAACCAACCCAGCGTAAGTCAGCCGACCCCCAGCCAATGCATAGACACATAAAAAACAAAAAATACATGACTGCTGGTTTAAGCAACGGAGTTTTTTTGTTTGTTTGTTGTTGTTTGTTTGTTTTCTTTTTTGAGACAGGGTTTCACTCTGTCGCCAAGGCTGGAGTGCAGTGACATGATCTCAGCTGACTGTAACCTCCACCTCCCGGGTTGAAGCGATTCTCGTGCCTCAGCCTCCTGAGTAGCTGGGATTACAGACGTGTGCCACCACACTTGGCTAATTTTTGTATTTTTAGTAGAGATGGGGTTTCACCATGTTGGCCAGGCTGCTCTTGAACTCCTGACCTCAAGTGATCCGCCCACCTAGGCCTCCCAAAGTGCTGGGATTACAGGTGTAAGCCACTGGTCCTGGCCTAAGCAACGGAGGTTTAAAGTGATTTTTAATGCAGCAGTTCTAACTAATATAGACACAAAGTGGAATTTTTCTCCACGTGAGGCTGCTAGCCACACACAAAGATGAAATGAACTCCTTTGTCGTGTAAGAATCTCTCCAACGCTGATCACTATAATAGTAACAAAAGCTGCCACTTATTGAACTCTCATTTTGGGCTCTGTGAGAAGTGCCACGTATATATTATCTCGTCAAATTCTTGCAACAGCCTTAAGAAGCGGGTATGATTATTTCCATTTTACAGATAAAAAAAAAAAAGCCCTAAGGCTCAGAGAGGTTAAGAAACAAAGCCAAGGTCACGTAGCGAATAAGTGGTAGAGTTTGGATTCAAGTACAGGCTGGTCTACCTCCCAAAGCTATGCCAGAGAGGTGGCACAGGCACTGTTGTTAATGGGGTTTCTTGGGAATAAGTGGCCCCATTCTTCAGGTCAAACTATGGGTCACACAGTACTTGTTGGTTTTGTTTTTCCAATATAATTTAATATAAGAAACTTACAGTATTCAATATAACAATTAAACACTTGCCCAGTCCAAGTCCCCTTTTCTCCCCGATGCCATTCCCTCTGTTTTGGAGAACTGAAAAGATGAGAAGGAGACACCAGGATAACACAGAGGTGGAACCTGCAGGAAGCAGCAGCCACCCTTACATCAGGGAACAAAGGGAAGTGTGGGAGTTATCAGAGCCTCACAGCTGGGAGGAAGACCCTGCAGAACAGGGGCCTTGTCTGGCATCTCTCAGGGGAAGCTCTTATTTTTTTCTTTTTTTTCGAGACAGAGTCTCACTCTGTTGCCCAGACTGGAGTGCAATGGCACGATCTCGGCTCACTGCAGCCTCTGCCTCCTAGGTTCAAGCGATTCTCCTGCCTCAGCCTCCCAAGTAGCTGGGACTACAGGTGTACACCACTATGCCTGGCTAATTTTTGTATTTTTAGTAGAGATGGAATTTCACCATGTTGGTCAGGCTGGTCTCGAACTCCTGACCTCAGATGATCCACCCACCTCGGCCTCCCAAAGTTTTGGAATTACAGGTGTGAGCCACTGTGCCTGGCCAGCTCTTATTTTTGACAGTGAACAATGCCAAGGACATCAAGGAACACAGCTGGCTGGTTGTGGGGGGTAGGGTGGACTGGAAATATCCAGTCTGGAACCCCACTTTTTCCACATGCAAAGAAGATGCCCAAGGAGAAGGAATGGCAAGAGGGAGAGAATGGGAGTTGGATCGGGCGTCGGAAGACAGTCAGGATTTGGATAATTGAAGACATCTGAAAGAAGAATTTGCTCATCCAAGGTCCTGGAGCTAGGATGGGGCAGGGCTGGGACTGAGCACAGACCCAGGTATGTGTGCTTCTCCCTCCAATACTGCGTTGTGGGGAACTCTGCCCTGGCACCTCCTGCCATGGCGCTGGGCATAGGCCTGTCCACCCTCTGACACAATGCCCATGGGCACCTGCAGCCCTGGGTGAAAGCCTCCTAGGGAGGGGCAGGTGACAGAGTGGTGTCCTGAGTTGGCAGAGTGTGGTGGTCACAGCTTGGGCTCTGCAGCCAGACGACCTGGGACCAAATCCTCACTGTGGTACCCACTAGCTGCATGACCTCAGGCAAGTCACTTAACCTCTTTTATTTTTAAACATTTTATTTTGAGAGAATTTTAGATCTACAAAAGAGTTGCAGCAAGAGTTCCCATATACTGTTTGCCCAGTGTCACCTAATGTTAGCATCTGACATTACCTAGTGCATTCATCAAAACTAAGAAATTAACATTGGTACACTGCTATTAACTCCACTCCAGACTTTATCCAGATGTCTCCAGTTTTTCCACCAATGTCCTTTTTCTGTTCTGGGATCTAATCCAGGATACCAGCTTGCATTTAGATGTCACCTCTCTTCAATATCCTCATCTATAACATGGGGAGGATGGTAATGACGGCATCAATCCCATGGTCCTGCTGTGAGGAGCAAGCGACTGCTCACAGATGTACTGCATTAGCTGGTGCCTGGCACAGAAAAGTGTTCCATTAACTAGAGGCCACGATCCTTATGCTTAAGCCCTGTGATATTGTCTCATGCCCTCTGAGAGCCTATCTTGGAATGTGAGCCCAGGCCTTGCCCACTCACTCAGGGCCTAGGTTATTTTGTGCCCCTCTGGCAGGCTGGGTGGGGTGTCAGCCAACCCAGCCACTATCACTGAGGCCCACAGGGGCACTCCCTCTCACCCTACAAACTGGCCAGGGGTCTGGGGCATTGGCTAAGGACCTGCTTTGGAATTAGGCAGTCCTGGATTCAAATCCTGCCCTCCCCAATTAGTCCCTCTGTGAACTCAGGCAAATCAATGAATTTCTCTGAGCCTCCATTGCCCCTGCCTCCCAGGGTGGCTAGAAGAGAGGGTGGTTGACAGTAGATGTCAGCCTCAGGCAGGGTACACAGCAGCCTCCCTATTTTCTGTAGCCCACTGCCATGCTTCCCAGGGCGAGCTCTCCCCATGCTGTTCTGCAGCTGGGCTCGCCAGGCTTGGTGCCTGCTCGCACTTATGTGTCCACATTTGGACATATGGCCTGGCTAATGGGGAACCCAGTCTGCCCAGTCTGCAGTTCCGTCTCCTCTCGCTTCCCTCCCCACCCCTTACTTGTCCCCAGCTGATGCTTCTGCAGAAAAGCCAAGCCAGGCCATCAGGACCCTCCCTGAAGGGCGGTCTAGGGTGGCACGGCCATATGCGCCACCATCCCGGTCTCCTCCCAGAGCCTCTCCAGCACCACCCTCGATTAGGGCTTCTGGTTGGCATCGTGACTTGGAAAGGAGGGACGCAGGCTGCCGGAGACCATGCTCTGCTGCTCATCTTCTCTCTGGGCTCCTGTCCCAGCTCCAGTGTCTCCTATTTCGGCTCTGCATCCTACCTTCCCACCCCCCTGGCATGCCCCAGTCCCCTCGGACCCTGAGCCTATGAAATCCTGACTACAAAAATGGTGAGTGTGTGGTAGCAAGTGTGTGAAGATTCAAAGCCTGCCTCTGTCACTTCCCAGTGGTGTGACCTTAGGCAAATCCCTTAACCTCCCTGTGCCTCATCTGTCAAATGGCAGTAAAGATTGTACCTACCTCAAAGGGTTATTGAGAGGAGTAAATTAATTAAGGCAAGATGCTTTTATTAACTGATCGCATTAACGTACAGTGCTTAGAACGATGCTGCAGAGCTGATGTTATCATTGTCATTAGCAGGGCTGATACTCAGAGAGGTGGTGGGCAGCTGGAAGAGGAACTTCTGGTTTTGGTTTCAGATAAAACCAGAGCTCTGGGCCTGTATCCTGGCTCCTTTACTTCCTAGCTGTGTGACTTTCGGTCAGTCACTCAAACACCCTTGATTTCCCTGGTTTCCTCATCTGTAAAATGGGGAGGAAAGCAATAACCACCTTGTAAGTTGTTGGGAGGGTTTGATGAGATGATGCGTGAAAGCGCCTAGCACAGAGCCAAGAACAACCCGCAGGCCCTCAGTGGATACTTGGTAGATGGCAGGAGGATGGGTGGAAGTCCCTGCCTTTGCCTGCAGCATGGGATTTCAGACCTTGGTTCTCATCCTCAGAAGGGGCTCCCCGAAGGCCTGGGCAGGGGAGGGCCCTGGTGTCTATGGGTTCCTGTCCCAGCTGCAGAGTTCCCCAACCGGAGCCCACAGGACCAGTCACATCCTGTTTCTCTTTTAGGCACCTTCTTTTGGGACCCAGCGCCCCAGATAGTATCCTGCTATTCATTTAGCTTATGGTGGGTGTAGGGTGGAATGTTTAGGTAAAACTTCACAAAGAGCTAGACTTCAGGTGGGCCTTGAAGAACAGTAAGTATGCCAACAGGTGGAGAGAAGGGGGCGGAGATGGTGTTTGCTGTACACTGGCTGCATTTGTGGATCCAGAGAAGGGCCTCTGCACATTTGTGCCCTTTGCAGTGAGGCTCTGCTGCTCCTCTCCACCTTCTGGATCTTGGGTGGCCTCAATACTTGCTTTAGCAGGGAGAAGTGCAGCAGAAGTGATGATGTGCCAGTCCTGAGCCTAAGCCACGAGAGGCCTTGCAGGCTGCAACTGCCACCTCAGTGTACTTAAGCCTGGGCTAGCTTCTTGGAGCATGAGAGGCCACACAGAGCAGAGCCAAGCCAGCCCAGGTGTCCCAGCTGAGGACCTGGACAAGTGGGAGAGCCCAATCTACACCCCAATCTGCCAGCTCACCACAGATGCAGACACATGAGTGAGACCAGCCAAGGTCAGAACTGCCCTGCTGAAGGAAGCACATGCTCTTAAGCCACTGGATTTGGTGGTTTATTGAGTATCACTGTGACCATAGGCAACCGAGACAGTGAAGGTAGAGAGAATGGAGAGGCAAACATGCAGAGGAGGGACAGTGTGGGAGTGCCTGGTGGGGGATGAGAAGCCCAGAATTTCTGATTCATACGGGCCTGATGGCAACCCCAAGTTCCCTCAAGCCAGGAGGTCTGAAGCCTGTGTGGCCAGTGACCTGCCCGCTGCCGAATGATGGATTAAGCGCATGTCTGATGTACCGAATTGGCCACCAGACTGCTGGTTGGATGTCTGCCAGGTTCCCTCACAAGCAGGCCTGCCTGATATGTTTTCTCAGCCTGTTTTTTCCTATTTGCCAGAGCCCAGGCCTTTGAAACTGCTATCACAAGGCTGCTTCCACTTCCCCCCGTGGATCCTGGTGGAAGTTTCTTGATGTTGAGCAAGAACTCCCAGAAACTCCTGGAACCTGCTTCTCAGCCATGCGCGCCGGCGCAGCCCTGCTGTGTGGCCTTAGGCGCCCCTCTCCTGCCCCCGGGCCTCCCTCCACTGCGTGACCGGCCACATGGCCATGGCTGCTGCTCTGTGCCTGTCTCCTCATCTGTGAAATGAGGATACAGTCATGGACCTCATGGCGGGGGTGCGGGGGGAGGATGGTGGTGGACGGAGGCGGGGCAGGGCCTTGGACTACTGTGTGCAGTTTGGATTCCTCCAGGCTTAAAATCGGCTTCCATCCCCAACTCTCCAGCTCCCCGTCTCCACCCAGGCCATTTGAACGATCTTGTTGAAAAGCACAGTGGTTTCCAAAGCAAATCCAAGTCTTGTGCGGCTCTGGGCTGAGGGTCCCACGCTTTTCACCCAGACCTATAATCATCACAGATGTTTAGAGGAGGTGGTAAGTACAGAGCTGCATGCTTTATTTCTGCTGACCCAGGCCCCCACCCTCCTCCCTCCTGGGTACCAGGCTGCCTCCCAGGCTAGCGGGGCTGGTGCCTCTGTCTCCTCCTAACACTCCTGAGATTTGCATCCCCGCAGACGCCAGGCGCGGCGCTGCCCCAGGAGGTGGGGTGTTTAGAACCCGCTCCCCGGGCTCGCCCAGGAGCTTTGTGTTTAGTAAAGGCAGCAGTCAGTTCCCTGGTAGGCTCAGGGAAGGACGACAGCTCCCGGCTCAGTCCTCAGCCTCCAACCCCCACTCTTCAATCTCCTTCCCAGACCAATGACCCCCTCTGCGGGAGAACCTGCGGCGAAAGGCAGAGCCCCAGAGCAGGGTCTGGAGTGGCAGGACCGGCAGCCAATGAAGGTGAAGGCCGAGCATTACATCATCACCGTGGTCTCCCATTGGTTTACATCCTGGGCTTCCTGACTCCGCCTCCCAGCCTTAACAATGGGCCTCTCTGCTCCCCAGGCTTCTGACCCTGGTGCCAGCTTTGCCCAGAAGGCCACAGTCGGGCAGAGTCCTGGGCTAGGCGGGAGCCCGAGGTCTGGGCTGAGCCACTAACTAGGGGTGAGGCATAGTGTTGCCAGGTGTCATCTTCCTCACCTGCAAGAGGAGAGGGTTCCAGCTGTTAATCTCGGGTTCTGCCGCAGTTCACCCACCACCACACACTCGCCCATGAACGTCCTCCTCGCAGACCCCGGGGACCCTGGCCGGCCAGGGGTCTGGTCTGCCATGGGCTCCCTTTCCTCCCCAGAGCCTGGCAGGAAGTGAACATATGGAATGATGGTTAATGTTAACTGATGTTTTCTAAAGAGCACACACTGGGCTAAGCCTTATACATTATTTTATTCGTGTCCTAAATATTAGCCCCCCACGCAGCCCTAATTGTTCAGAGACAAGCACTGACTCTGAGGCTGGGCCAGGTTGAGTGATGGCCAAGGCCACGGACCTGGTGAGGGGGACAGTCAGGATTCGAACCCAGGCGGCTGGCTCCAGAGCCCTTCAAACGATGCCATGGGAATGGATGGGGGTCACTAGCCTCCCTATTGTGACTCGTTTGAGCTCTTAGCCCGGCGTGTAGTCTGGCGGGAGCCGTCCCTGGATGGGGGTCACTAGCCTCCCCATTGTGACTCGTTTGAGCTCTTAGCCAGGCGTGTAGTCTGGCGGGAGCCGTCGCGGCTGGCTCGGCAGCTCCAGGCTATTCCGAGGAACAGTCTTCAGAGAGCCTGGGGTGCTGATGGGGAAAAGCTGTTGCTGAGATTTGACAAGTTTGGTCCTGAGATGTCAGAAAGGATTTCAGCTCTTCTGCCACCCCAAGGACGGTGGCGCGTAAATCACAGTGAGCTGGCTTATGTCAGGTCAACTGTGGAATTTGATCCTAGCGCATTGCTCCCTCCTCTTCCTTGCCTGCGTCTCTCCCTCTCTCAGCTCTAGTTTGAGATCAGCACAGATTCCCTGGGTGATTTTTGAGAAAACTGCCTCCTCTTTAGGACTTGGCATCCCCTAACCTGCATCAGGAAAGGGTGGCGACAGATACTCTCACACCCAGGGAGGCTGCAAGGCCCACCCTCTACCCTCCACCTGGGTTCTCTGGCGTCGAGACTTGTGCCCTACAGTTCTGGGCCGTTGGGGTGATGTCCCAGTGGGACCAGGGTGAGGGTGCAGGTATCTGAGGGAGTAGTAGGACCAGAACCTCTAACCTTAGGGAGGCTTCCTGGGAGCCAAGCTTGGTGACTTAGAATGTGAATGTCTGACCCATATCCCACTACCTTTTGGTGGGTGCTGCAGAGGACAATGGAGAGAGAGTCAACTCTGAAGAGTGGTCTTGTGGAAGAGGCAGCTGGCTGGTTCAGTGTGGCACTGGCAGCCTCCCTAAGGTTCCCAGGTAGAAGTTTCTGACAGGTAGATTTCAGCTGTGTTTAAGGAAGAACTTTGAAGTTGTCAGAATGAGCGGTCTTGTGATAGTGAGCTCCCTGTCTCCAGAGGCATGCAAGCAGGACACTTTCACATATGCATTCAAGATGACCTATGCAAGGCGTTGTGCTAAGTGCTAGGAGTGCAGAGGAGAACGAGACCCAGTGGGGAAACAGGCACTTGCAATGCTGCTGTGAGTGTGAGCAGAGGTCAGCGTGGGCATCTGGAGCACAGGGAGGGAGTCCTGAAGGCTGGGTTGAGGATGAGGATACAGCTCATTGCTGAGCCTTATGGTGAACCAGAAGTTTACCAGGCAGACAGGAGCTGGGGAGAGGGCTGGCATTCGTCCATTCAGGTTATGTTTTCTGAATTATATATAGAAGGACATGTTGCAGAAGAAATGCAAGTACAGTGAAGAATAAGACTGGGGAACTTTTACAATTCAGAGTGGCCTTCACTGTGGGCGGTCCGAATTGATCCCTGTATACAGGTGCTTCTGGGGTGACATTTTCCCTGCTCCATGGAGCTCCGGGAGGAGTGCGGACCAACCCCTTCTTTGCAGGCCTGTCTGTGGGGTGCCACTCCTCCTCCCACCTCCCCACTGCACAGACAGCCCATCAGTGTCCCTGAGCTGCTCCAGAAGGATGCAGCTCTGAGGAGGCTCTGGGAGCGGTGTATCCTAGCAACCTCTGAGGCTGGCATCTGCAGGGCTAGGCCCAGACTCAAGGCTCTTTCTAATTTGCCAGCCTTCCCTTAATGATAAGCTTTCCCACACGGATGTGGAGTGGGGAGGAAGAGGGGAGAAGTGGGCAGGAAGTGTTGCCTCCAACCCCATCACAGAGTAGGTCAAGCCTCGCCCACAATACTGCCGGGGATGGGGAAGGAGGGAGGGCACAGTGAGTCCGTTAACTGAATATGCCACTTGTCCATCACCGTGGCCGGTTTATCACCATTTAGAGGACAATGAATCCAGGCAGTGATCCACCAATGATAACTAACATCATAAAAAGATACATGGCCGGATATGATGTTCCTTCTGACGGAAGACCACAACACCTGCTGAAAAATCAAATCTGAATCGGATCAAGCCTCTAGAGGTAACTCCCAGCTATAGGAATTAGAGAACTGGGGGGCATGTTAATATGTCAAGGTGTTTAACCCTCACCACAGGGAGGCGGCCAGATTTCCTCTCAGGAAAAAAGTTACAGGTTTCATCAACAAAGTGGAAGGAAAAGGAATAAAAGAAAAAAAAAACAAAACATAAGGAGAATTTATAGATTAACAGAAGCTTAAGAGAAATATCAGCCAATTACAACATATGGACTTTGGATTCTGATTCTTGCGAACAAACTACACTACAGTGACAATAAAAATGAGACGTATTCATGAGACAATTGGGGAAATTTGAACACTGAATGGATACTTAACATCAAGGAATTGTTTTTAATTTTTGAGCAATGTGAAAATCGTGTTTGGGATTATGCTTTAAAAGAGTCCTAATTGTTGAGGGATTCATACAGAAACATTTATCGATGAATTAATGAGGCCAGGCACAGTGGCTCATGCTTGTAATCCCAGCACTTTGGGAGGCCGAGGCAGGCAGATCACCTGAGGCCAAGAATTAAAGACCAGCTTGGTCAACACGGCAAAACCTCATCTCTACCAAAAATACAAAAATTAGCCGGGCATGGTAGCACACTCCTGTAGTCCCAGCTACTCGGGAGGCCGAGGCATGAGAATTGCTTGAACCCGGATGAAGCCTGTTCCCAGCTACTCGGGAGGCTGAGGCATGAGAACTGCTTGAATCCAGATGGAGGAAGTTGCAGTGAGTGGAGATCGCGCCACTGCACTCCAGCCTGGGCGACAGAGCAAGACTGTCTCAAATAATAATAATAATAATAAAGATGTCTGGGATGTGCTTTAAAATAATTCATTGCAGAGAGAAGAAGGAAGTAAAAGTTTGGATGAAACAAGGTTTGCCCTGAGCTGATTGATCACTGTGGTAGCTGGGTGATGATGGGTGCATGGGGATCATGATACTACACTATTAATTTGAGTCTTACAAACTCGCGATTATTTCACCATTTTTGACTTTCAAAATGATTTAATGTGGTGCAAAGCAATCCTTTGGTGTACGCTGGAAATTTTTTCACAATAAAACATTCTTTTCAAGCAAAAGGTGAAGGGCAAACCTGCTTTTGCAGGAGGCTCTGCTCAGGAAAGAGGTACCCAAGACTCACACTAAAATCTGTAGGGCTGTCATTAAAAAAGCCAAAAATGACTCTCAGAGGCAGCTGTAACTTGCATGAATTATTTCTGTTCAGATAATAATAATAGTAATAGCAATAACGATGATAATAATAATAATTTACTGGTTGCTGTCAGCAAATGCTGAGCAACATGCCTGGATATGTTGGAACTGCAGAAGATGGCTTCATTAATGTCTTAGTTGCTCAATAAGGAACAATAAAAAGTTAAAGGAATCCAAACAAGCAGTAGACCAGGCATTGAATGGAAATTCTTCTTGCTTGCAGGAGGCAGCACCCAGGGTCATTCCTGGAGCATAAACGATCCCTGCAGAACATGGGCTAGAAGACCCCACAGTGGGGCAGAGGCAGGTCCTGGACTGGGATCCCAGCAGTGAGAAGACCTGGACATCAACCCTATTTCATTGTGCCTCTGCAAATCTCCCAACTTTTGGAGCTGTAGCTGCAAGCTCAGACTTGTGGTTTCCTGTACCTGGAGGAGGCCCAGGTCATTCTGTTAAGTCCCTTGTCTATTTCCTGCTTTTATCTGGATGCTGAGTTAATTATTTGATCCAACAATAAAACTAACAAGGTTTTATTTGTTTTTAATGTCTTCTCTTTGCTGAACGCTGTGCTGGGTGCTGTAGCTGACATGGTTTTTGTCTTAACAGCTCATGAATCAAATCCCAGCTCCACCTTTTATAGCTTTAGACAAGCATTTAACCACCACTTGGGCCTGTTTCCTTACCTGCAAAGTGGGGATAATGACAGTTAATAGCTACTTCATTGTGACTTTGTGAGGATTAAATAAGATACGGCAGATAAACTACTTAATAGGGTCTGGCACATTGTAAGCCTCAATAAATGGCAGCTACTTCTTGTATTATTATTATTGTATAAAACTATGAGTGTTTAACAATGAATATATAGTAAACTGTGATTCTGAGTGATGTATGATGTAAGATATCCTCCAGGACTGGTGTCACAGGGAAGTCTTGCACTAGACCTTGAAGGATAAGACTCAGAAACTGCTAGATGCCCCCCATTACTGACTATCCCCATTTCCTTTAATAACAAAGCTGAGACTACATTTCCTAGCCTCCCTTGCTGCTAGATATGGCCATGTGATTAACTTCTGGCCGAGGAAATGGATGCACAAGTGTTATGTGGAACTATTGGAAAGGCTGCTTAAAAGGAACTGGTTGAGTGGGAAAGAGAATCCCTTTGTCCCATTTCTTTCTACTGCTGGTCTGGAATCCTGATGTGATGGCTTGAGCCCCAGCATCCATGCTCGGGAGTGAGTTAAGGGTTTCTTAATAAGACCTTGCATATAAAAATATGCACCAGGGATGATGGAGCATGATGGAAGCCTGGGTTTCTGATGACAATGTGGAGTCACTATAATGTCCCTATCTCCTTACTTCATGTGGGTATGAGAGAAGTAAGCTATCTTGTTGAAGTCCCCCTTTTTGCTGTTAAATGCAGCCAAGCTTACTCTCAGGGATGGTATTGAAAATATTTAACAGCCAGAATGGCACGGGCACTGATGAGGAAGGGTTTAAGGTAGCAGAAGGCTTAGAACCACAGATATTTACCAACCAGTATGAAAGTATTTAAATATTTTAACAACCAGCTTAGTCATAGCAATACAAAACAGCTGAGAACCAGCTGAATACTAGCCCTGCCTAACCTTAACTAATACAATCCATAATATTTGGGAATAGCTAAAAAAAAAAAAAAAACCAAGAAGATGGCCATTCAGGCCATGGGTACAGCCTGAGTAAAGGTTTAGAGGGTGAAGGGAGCTCCATGAGTTGATGTACAATGAGAACTGGAAATCAACCTGACTTGGTGGGAAGGTTCTCTTGAGTGTGTGTATGTGAGTGTGTGTGGATTATAAGAGGGGCTGGAAGATATCATTGGAAATAACACCAAAGAGGTCAAATAAACCAGACTGTGGAAGCCTGTGAGGATTTAAGGCAATAAGGAGGATTTGTGGGCTTTTGGGTGAGTAAGAGAGCAGATGACCCCTGGGAGTGAGGAATCTCGGCTTTGCAGTGCCAGGCGGTTTTTCAGTTAGCACTGCAGTGTAGCACGCCATTCCTATTAGTCAAAGAAATCACAAGTCCACCCAGATTCAAGAGAGAGCAGGCATAGGTGCCGTCTCCCAATGCGAGGAGTGTCAAGGTTACATTGCAGCAAAGCTCATGGATGGAACTGCTGCAGCCATCCTTGGAAATGACAACCTGGCACAGGTGGTGTCCCTCCTCCCTGGCACCTGTCTTTTTTTTTTTTTTTTTTTTTTTGAGACAGAGTCTCCTCTGTCACCCAGAGTACAGTGGTGTGATCTCGGCTCACTGAAACCTCCGCCTCCTGGATTCAAGCGATTCTCGTGCCTCAGCCTCCCGAGTAGCTGGGATTACAGGCGTGTGCCACCACACCTGGCTAATTTTCCTATTTTTAGTAGAGATGGGGTTTTGCCGTGTTGGCCAGGCTGGTCTTGAACTCCAGGCCTCAAGTGATCCACCCACCTCGGCCTCCCAAAGTGCTGAGATTACAGGCATGAGCCACTGCGCCCCACCACCTGTCTTGTTAAGAAGTCCCTCAGAGTGGGTACCTTCTCTTTCTTAGCAGTTCCAGCCTGCTCAGAAGTATTAGGAGGCTCTCGCTATCTTCTAAATGGGATATGCAGTGTGCACTGAAATTATTTATGGAAACCAACTCTATCTTTGGTGGAAAATGTCCAAGAAAAAGCATAAGCACTGAAGTAATTAGCTAATATAATTGAAATGAAGGGAATAGTTCAGACTCTTTAAGTATGACTTGAAAATGAAGAGACATGCTTTTTTTTTTTTGAGACAGAGTCTTGCTCTGTCACCCAGGCTGGAGGGCAGTGGTGCGATCTGGGCTCACTGCAACCTCTGCCTCCCAGGTTCAAGCGATTCTCGTGCCTCATCCTCCCGAGTAGCTGGGACTACAGGCATGTACCACCATGCCCGGATCATTTTTTTGTATTTTTAGTAGAGACGGGGTTTCACCATATTGGCCAGGATAGTCTCGAACTCCAGAGCTCGTGATCCACCCGCCTTGGCCTCCCAAAGTGCTGGGATTACAGGCGTGAGCCACCGCACCCAGCTGAGACACGGATTTTTTTCAGTGAGAGGTGATATAATCCCCATCACTATCCCAAATGGGATATGGAGTCACTCAGTTAGCAAAATTTTCCCGAGTGTCCACTAGATGCCAAGCATCGTGCTAGGTCCAGGTTGAAGATGAAGGTGACCTGCCTCCTACCTGCAAGCTGCTGAAATGCAACGGAAATGACCAAAAAATGTGGACAGTGATGTGCTAAGTGCTCTGATGGAAGGCAAAAGGTAAGGCGTCTGGGAAGGTGGGAATGAATGGGCTCCAGGGAGCCACCTTGAGCTGAGTTTTGGAGAAGGAGACTAGTGTACCAGGAACTCAGGGGCAAAGCAGGGCAAGGACCTTCCAGGCAACCCTGGTAGTTTCCTGAGGCTGGATCTTCTCAACCACGGCTGAATGTTGATCTGTCACACAGGCCCAAAGGAGAGATGGAGAGAGACAGACAGACAGATACACACACAGACACACACACACACACACACACACACACACAGAGAGAGAGAGAGAGAGAGAGAGAGAGAGAGAGAGAGACTGTCTTTTATCATAGTCTTAAGATAAACAAGTCAGAAACACACCAGAGACCAATCATACAGCAACATGAGGACATTTCATGAAGGGGCAAGCAGCACCCCCAAATCTCCATAAGCCCAGAGAGAATCATCCAATCATATTTAGGGCAATTCTGGGCCATCTGCATTTAAAATGATCTCTTGGATCTATTGTTTGAATGAGGCACATTTTAAAGAACACTATATCTTAAAGGAAAGTCAATTATCCTTACTTAAGTTTACAAAGGACGTTTTATACATACACTTTCTTTTCTTTTTTCCCCTGCATCTTCTTAGAGCAAGAAAGGAATACACATATGCTTTTTATTTTATTTTATTTTATTTTATTTTATATTTATTTATTTATTTAGAGACAGACTCTCTCTCTGTTTCTCAGCCTGGAGTGCAGTGGCACAATCTCGGCTCACTGCAACCTTCATCTCCCAGGTTCAAGTGATTCTCCTGCCTCAGCCTCCTGAGTAGCTGGAACTACAGGGGCCCACCACCATGCCAGGCTAATTTTTTTCTTTTACTTTTTTTTTTTTTTTTTTTTTTGTATTTTTAGCAGAGACAGAGTTTCACCATGTTGGCCAGTCTGGTCTCGAACTCCTGACCTCAAGTGATTTGCCGGCCTTGGCCTCCCAAAGTGCTGAGATTACAGGCATGGGCCACTGTGCCCAGCCTGTTTTATATATTTTTAGATACAAGATCTTGCCATATTGCTCAGGCTGGTCTTGAACTCCTGAGCTCGAGTGATCTTCCCACCTTGGTAGGATCCCAAAGTGCTGAGATTACAGACATACACTTTAGTCTAATTTTCTTGACAGACCTGAGAGGCAGTTTATGCCCATTTTCCTGATAAGGCTCAGAAAGGTTGAGTGGCTTGTTCAAGGTCACTCCATTAAAATCAGAGATGGGACTCCAACCTAGTTCTTCAGAAATGTTTTACTTTATTGGATAATTCATTTCTGTGGAGCAGCTGATTCTTTTGTGCCAAATCAATGACAGGTGAATGAATTCAGGGTGACATTATGGAGAGGAGGAAGTAGTGTTCTTTCATCGTGTTGACCCCCTAGAGTCACTCTGGGCTTTGACAATCCGGTGGTAGGAAGAGGAAGAAAGAGTGTGGAGCATTCGAAGGGAGATTTTCTGGGCAAGGTCGGGTCATGATGCACATCCCATCAGCTCCCATTCTATGGTCAGGACTGTCATGTAGCCCCATTGCAAGGCCAGGGTGGCTGGGAAATAGAGTCCCCAATTAGCCAGGCACTTCTCAGCCACCATTTACACTAAGGAACAAGGCATGTGAGTGCTCAATGTTCCAATGCTCATCTCTGCTGCAAGACAACACTTTCTGAGTGCTTATGATCTACCAGGCAATGTTCTAAGAGCTCCACTTTTTTTTTTTTCTTTTTGGAGACAGGGTTTCACTGTCACCCAGGCTGGGGTGATTATAGCTCACTGCAGTCTCGAACTCCCAGGTTCAAGCCATCTTCCCATCTCAGCATCCCAAGTAGCTGGGACTGCAGGTGTGTGCCACCACCCCGGGATAATTATACAAATTTTTTTTTTGTAGAGATGGGATCTCCCTATGTTGCCCATGCTGGCCTCAAACTCCTGGCCTCAAGTGATCCTCCCTCCTCAGCCTCCCAAAGCACTAGGGTTACAGATGTGAGCCACTGTGTTAATGCATTTAATCCTCACAACACTCCCCTAGGTGGAGGTATTCCTGTGAGTCCCATTTTAGGATGAGGAGCCTAAGGCACCGAGAGTGGTTGAGAAACTGGACTCACACTGAGATCCCTGCTGGAACTAGGAGCCCGATGGGCCCCACCCCCTGCATTCCTCCATGATTTTTCCTCTGGATGCCTCCTGTCTCGGCCTCCTCCTCACCATTCCTTTAACCCTGTTCCAGGTCACACCGTTTCATGTCTCCTGCGTCCTCCTTTCCCTCAGCTTCTCCCCTTCCATCCACTTCCCACCATGCTGCCAGGGATCTTAATGAAAGTCAAGTGTGATCCTGTCCCTGCACCTTCTTACCAGCACCCATATGTAGCCTCAGGATCAAGTGCAGACTCCCTTCCTTGGCATCCTAGGCTGATGCCATTTGGCTCCAACCACGTCTTCCTCCTAATCTCTCACCACCCTGTGTGCACCAAATATGCCAGGCTGCAGTGCCTCTGAGCTTCTACCATCCTCACAAAGAGCCTAATTGTGAATCTAGGCCTTTGCAACGCTGTTCCTTCTTTCTAGAATGTTCTTCTCTTCTTGCATTTGCCAAATTCTCAGTTCCTGAAGACGACGCTCAGAAGCCGCCACCCTATGCCTCCCCTCTTGGCTTCCCCAGCCAGGTCCATCCCTCCCTCCTCTGTGCTCCTGGGATTGGAGTTTTCCTGCAGACGGAAGCCCTTCCCACATGGCCTTGTTGTTGGCTCTTTACTTGTGTATCTCCCTCCCCAGACCAGGAGCAATTTTAGATCAGGACAGATCTTACCCATTACCATGGGACCCAGAAGCGGGGCTGAGCCCTCACACTGGCATATCAGGAGGAGAGGGGCCTAGATTCCATGGCCTGCTCTGCCCCTGGCTAACTTTAGAGCCTGATCAGTGCCTCGCCTCTCAGTGAGAGGAGAGCATTTGTCCAGTCTGTGGTTTTGGACCCTGGGAACCTTGCAATTAATACTGATGGCCAAGAACCACCCCCAGGGATTCTGACTCAATTGCTCCCAGGCAATTCTAATATGAAGCCAGGGTTGAAAACCACTCTGAGTGCTTCCACCTCCTTGATGTGCACACAAGTCCCCTGGGCCTTGTCTAAGAGTCGTTTCTGGTGCAGTAGGTCTGGGGTGGGGCTGGCGTGTCTGCATTTCTCACAAGCTCCCAGGTGATGACAGTGCTGCTGGCCCACTGACCACCAGTGGAGTAGAAAGGACTTAGCCAATCTCTCCCATCCTTGGCCTGGCATTCAATGCCACTGAGATGGGAAGAGGAGACCTGGAGGCCTGCAGTTTAGGAAGGAGGGAAGGAGAGGTGGAGGGAAGTAGTGAGGCTGAGGATGTAGTCATACCTGAGCAGGGTGTGGGCAAGCAGCCACCCCCAGGGCGAGAGGCAGGAAGAGCAGCGTGGCCCCTGCCCTGTTCATTCACAAGCTCCCTGCTCCCTCCCAGCTGCTTAGGATTTCAGTCCTCATCAGGCCATCATTCCCATTCCAGCATCTGACTCTCATGATCCTGGCCCATGGGCCACATAATGACTTGTCTTTTGCAAGATCGATTTTGTTCTGTTATTTACTAATTGCTTAGTTATTATTTTGATGGACGGAACAAGGCACCCAGCCCTCTGGGCTCCTGTGAAACAAATTGACTTCTAGCCCACACCACTTGGATAGATAATAGATCCTCCCATTGGAAAGCCCAGGCAGGTGTATGAGGACTCCATGTTCCCTGTGTCCCTTGCTCCTGAGGACAGATCCTGTATTAGTCTGTTCTCACACTGCTAATAAAGACATACCCGAGACTAGGTAATTTATAAAGGAAAGAGGTTTAGTTGAGTCACAGTTCCGCATGCCTGGGGAGGCCTCAGGAAACTTACAATTATGGCAGAAGGGGAAGCAAACATGTCCTTCTTCACATGGTGGCATCAAGCAGAAGTGCCCAGCAAAAGGGGGAAAAGCCCCTTATAAAACCATCACATCTCATGAGAACTCACTATCACGAGAACAACAGCATAGGGGTAACCACCCCTATGATTCAATTACCTCCCACTGGGTCCCTCCCACGATATATGGGGATTATGGGAGCTACAACTCAAAATGAGATTTGGGTGAAAACACAGCCAAACCATATCCGACCCCCTTTGCCTTACATCAGGTGGGCTTTTGTGGAGTAGCTACCCCATCTGGTAACCTCTATAGCTGAGGTCAGAGCTCCTCCTTGGGGACCCTGATTGCTAAGGGGGCAGATGTCCTGAGCTCCAGCAGGGGAGAGAGAGGGAGACTGGCTCAGGAAAAGAGCTATCCAAGCCAGAGGGAAGCAGACAAATAGAGAAAAGGCCTATCCAAGGCCAGACCCTCCCCTGTCCCCGCCACAGTCTTATGGGGTCTTCATGTCTACTGGCATTATTATTGCCTCCACCGTCAGGCTCGGGGCTCCAGCAGCATCTGAATTTGATTCATCCCTGTTATCCCAGGATCCAGTGTAGGGCTTGATGGAGTTGATGAGGTCCTGTACATCCCACAGGAGAAGAATGACCAAGGGCTAGAATTCCAGTAGCTGTACCCAGCCTAGCATTTGCCACTCATCCACCACGCATGTGATGTGTTTGACTCTTGCTCCCAGTAGCTCACATTTATGACGCATGCTTCCTATGCTAGGTTATACTCTGGTGTGTTGTTTATTCATAGCCAGTATTTCCACTTGATGAGATCCTATGGGATTTTGCAACTTATGTAACAAACTCTTAGGGAGCATTTGCTGTGAGCTGAATACTTTTTTAGGTGTTTATCTAGTCCTCATAATGGTCCTATGAAGTAAGTATAATCATTATCCACATTTTATGGAAAGCTGAAGCACAGAGAGATGAAGTAAACCTGCCAGGAAGTGAGGAGGTGGGATTCAAACCCAGGCTCCCTGGCTCCTGAGCCTGTGCCATCGCCCTCAGCTAAGCTGCCTCTCCTGGGTTTTCTCATTTCCAACCATTCTCTCTTTTTTGGATGTTGTATGCCTGCCTTGATCATCATAAAGTAGTCTCCAAACTTTTTGATCATACACTCCATCAGTAAACATTTTGGAGCATGTTTTCCTCCAATATATGTATGGAATGCCTGCAAATTATATACAAGCACCACTGTCAGAAATTAATATCTCAAGGCTTGGTATGCATTTAGTGCAATGATGGAAATAAATCCACATTTCAAATAGTCCCCTTAAGAATCTCAAATTCGAGGGCAGGAAATTGTTCCAGATTTGTCACTGGTTTTATTTCATATTCTGTCATTTGCTTTATTTTTTTCTCCTGTGCTTAAGTAACTAGTACTGTCTTCACTTCGTAGGTCCTTTGCAGGAGTCCTTTTAAGTCATCTATCCAGTAGGTGAGGGCTGATTTAATGAAGAGTAGATACTTTGCAAACCCAGTTTCCTGGACAAACTTGAACTGCCTTACAGCACTAATGAAGGAAGCTCATTAACCCCTTCACACTATGGCCACCTGACCCAGGATTACCTCAATATCAATTCGTAAATGAAATATGAGTAAATCCTCATTTCTTTCCTCATTTTTACACAAAGATATGAATAAAAATTCTAATATTATCTTCCTGCCCCTGGAGTGCACAGGCCCCCAATTACAGACTATTTCTTTGTCCTTCTCATGTTTATTAGCATAATTTCTATGGGTTTCAGGGGTTGTTACATGTGATTCAAACATTTTCACACAGGTTAAACCCTTGGGTAACCAAACATTTTTAAATATCCACAGAAAATTATTTGATTAAATAAATACATGCTCAGGAACACAAACAATTCTCAGAAGCACTTTTATGTGCAGTGTTAAGTTCCAAACAAGTGATCCATGTTTAGCATTACACATGGTACAAATTCTAAGCTTGATTTTAACAGATTGAATAAACAAATGCTCCAAAGGGCTTAACGATTCCTTCAAGCAATTCCCACTTCCCTGTGGCTTGGTGGATCATTTACAAGGTAACAGGCCTGGGTCTTAGGTGAGCTTGGATGCTCGAGTGATCATCCGCTGGAGCAATCATGTGATTAGTGGGACCAGCTGGACTTGTATCTCCCAAATAAACATTTTAAGCAGAGAGATTTAATAGGGGAAGTGCCGAGTCTCAGAGAGACTAAAGCCCATACTGATAGTTAATGGTGGATTAACTCCCCAATGCATCCATGTGTTCTCATTGTTCAGCTCCCACTTATAAGTGAGAACATGGAGTATTTGGTTTTCTCTTCCTGTGTTAGTTTGCTGAGGATAATGGCTTCCGGCTCCATCCATGTCCCTGCAAAGGACATGATCTCGTTCCTTTTTATGGCTGCATAGTATTCCATGATACTACATTTTCTTTATCCAGTCTATCATGATGGGCATTTGGGTGGATTCCATATCTTTACTATTGTGAATTGTGCTGCAGTGAACATATGCGTGCATCTATCTTTGTAGTAGAATGACTTCTATTCCTTTGGGTATATGCCCAGTGATGGGATTGCTGGGTCAAATGGTATTTCTGCTTCTAGATCTTTGAGAATTTGCCACACTGTCTTCCACAATGGTTGAACTAATTTACACTCCCACTAACAGTGTACAAGTGTTCCTTTTTCTCTGCAACCTCACCAGCATCTGTTGTCTCTTGACTTTTTAATAGTCACCATTCTGACTGGTGTGAGATGATATCTTATTGTGCTTTTGATTTCATTTCTCTAATGATCAGTGACGTTGAGCTTTTTTCCATATGTTTATTGGCCACATGAATGTCTTCTTTTGCAAAATGTCTGTTCATGTCATTTCCCCACTTTTTAATGGGGTTGTTTGTTTTTTTCTTGTAAATTTGTTTGTGCCTTGTAGATTCTGGATATTAGACCTTTGTCAGATGGATAGATTGCAAAAATTTTCTCCCATTCTGTAGGTTGCCTGTTCACTCTGATGACAGTTTCTTTTGCTGTGCAGAAGCTCTTTAGTTTAATTAGATCACATTTGTCAATGTTTGCTTTTGTTGCAATTGCTTTTAGCATTTTTGTCATGAAATCTTTTTACCTATGTCCTGAATGGTATTGTCTAGATTTTCTTCTAAGGTTTTTATAGTTTTGGGTTTTACATATAAGTTTTTAATTAATCCATCTTGAGTTAATTTTTGTATAAGATGAAAGGAAGGGGTCCAGTTTCAATTTTCTGCATATGGCTAGCCAGATTTCCCAGCACTATTTATTACATAGGGAATCCTTTCTTTATTGCTTGTTTTTGTCAGGTTTGTTGAAGATCAGATGGTTGTAGGTGTGTGGTCTTATTTCTGAATTCTCTATTCTGTTCCGTTGGTCTATGTGTCTGTTTTTGTACCAGTACCATGCTGTTTTGGTTACTGTAGCCTTGCAGTATAGTTTGAAGTCTGGTAGTGTGATGCCTCCAGCTTCGTTCTTTTTTTTGCTTAGGATTGTCTTGGCTATTCAGGCTCTTTTTTGGTTCCATATGAATTTTAAAATAGTTTCTTCTAATTTTGTGAAGAATGTCAATGGTAGTTTAATGGGAATAGCATTGAATCTATAAATTACTTTCAGCACTATGGTTATTTTCATGATGTTGATTCTTCCTATCCATGAGCATGGAATGGTTTCCTATTTTTGTGTCCTCTCTGACTTCCTTGAGCAGTGGTTTGTAGTTCTCCTTGAAAAGACCCTTCATTTCCCTTGTTAGCTGTATTCCTAGGTATTTGATTCTCTTTGTAGCAATTGTGAATGGCAGTTCATTCATAATTTGCCTCTCTGCTTGCCTGTTGTTGGTGTATAGGAATGCTAGCCATTTTTACACATTGATTTTGTATCCTGACACTTTGCTGAAGTTGCTAGTCAGCTTAAGAAGCTTTTTGGCTGAGATAATGGGGTTTTCTAGATATAAGATCATGCCATCTGCAAACAAAGATAATTTGACTTCCTCTTTTCCTATTTGAGTACCTTTATTTATTTCTCTTGCCTGATTGCCCTGGCCAGAACTTCCAATACTATGTTGAATAGGAGTGGCGAGAGAGGGAATCCTTGTCTTGTGCCGGTTTTCAAGGGGAATGCTTTCAGCTTTTGCCCATTCAGTAAGATATTGTCTGTGGGTTTGTCGTATATGGCTCTTATAATTTTGAGATATATTCCTTCAATATCTAGTTTATTGAGCATTTTTAACATAAAGGGATGTTGAATTTTATCAAAGGCCTTTTCTGTGTCTATTGAGATAATCACGTGGTTTTGTCTTTAGTTCTGTTTATGTGATGAATTATATTTATTTATTTGCATATGTTGAACCAAACTTGTAACCTGGGGAGGAAGCCAATTTGATCTTGGTGGATAAGATTTTTTGATGTGCTGCTGGACTCAGTTTGCCAGTATTTTATTGAGGATTTTTGCATCGATGTTCATCATGGATATTGGCCTGAAGTTTTCTTTTTCTGTTGTATCTCTGCTGGGTTTTGGTATCAGGATGATGCTGGCCTCATAAAATGAGTTACAGAGGAGTCCCTCCTTTTCCATTGTTTGGAATAGTTTCAGTAAAAATGGTATCAGACTTTCTTTGTACCTCTGGTAGAATTCAGCTGTAAATCCATCTGATCCTGGGCTTTGTTTTTGGTTGGTAGGCTATTTATTACTGCCTCAATTTCAGAACTTGTTATTGGTCTATTCAGGGATTCAATTTCTTCCTGGTTCAGTCTTTGGAGGGTGTATGTGTCCATGAATTTATCAATTTCTTCTAGATTTTCTAGTTTATGTGCAGAGAGGTGTTCATAGTATTCTCTGATGGTTGTTTGTATTTCTGTGGGGTCAATGGTTATATCCCCCTTATCATTTCTGATTGTATCTGTTTGGTTCTTTTCCCTTTTCTTCCTTATTAGTCTAGCTAGTAGCAGTCTATCTATTTTATTAATTAAAAAAAACAGCTCCTGGATTTGTTGATTTTTTAAAGAGGTTTTTGTGTTTCTATCTCCTTCAGTTCCACTCTAATCTGGGTTATTTCTTGTCTTCTGCTAGCTTTGGTGTTTGTTTTTTCTTGGTTCTCTAATTCTTTTATTCGTGATGATAGGTTGTTGATTTCAGATTTTTCTAGCCTTTTTTTTTCTTTTGGACACAGGGTTTCTCTCTGTCACCAAGGCTGGAGTGCAGTGGTGCAATCTCGGCTCACCGCAACCTCAACTTCCCAGGCTCAAGCAATCCTCCCACTTCAGCCCCCCAAGTAGCTGGAACTACAGTCATGTGCTACCATGCCCAGCTATTTTTTTTTGTATTTTTTGTAGAGACAGGGTTTTGTCATGTTGCCAAGCTGGTCTCAAACTCCAGAGCTCAGGCAGTATGCCCACCTTGGCCTCCCAAAGTGCTGGGGTTACAGGTGTGAGCCACTGCATGTGGCCTCTTTCTAGCTTTTTGATGTGGGCATTTAGTGCTATAAATTTCCCTCTTAACACTGCTTTACCTGCATCCCAGAGATTCTGGTATGTTGTCTCTTTGTTCTCATTACTTTCAAAGAACTTCTTAATTTCTGCCTTAATTTCATTATTTACCTGGGAGTCATTCAGGAGCAGGTTGTTCAATTTCCATGTAGTTGTGTGGTTTTGAGTGAGTTTCTTAATCTTGAGTCCTAATTTGATTGTGCTGTGGTCTGAGAGACTGTTATGATTTCAGTTCTTTTGCACTAGGCGAGCACATTTTAAGCCTCTGCTCACTTCCTGGCCACTAATATGCCAATGTTACTTGGGCAAGCCCAAAGTCAATGAGTGGGAAGGTTTCTCCCTCCCACCATGAGGCTATAGCAAAAGTGGGAACAAGTCCCTTTTTCATTCATCATAAGCAGTGGTTTGAGTCCACAGGGACCAAATCCCCAGCTACCTGAATGGACCTGAACTTGTGGCTGCTCTCTGCCCAAAGGAGGGGGCTGGTCTCTGAAGAATTGCAGTTCTGCCTCTAACAAGGCCTTTTTTTAAAAAATATATTTTTGTTATGAAAATGTCCAAGCACACATTAGAGAGAGAGTAGTCTAAAGAACTCCCACACACTCATTACTTAGTTTTAACATTCTGTCATATTGCTTCATCTGTTAGTAATTAATATAATCATAACACTATCATTACCACTGATATTGACATTTAATCACTTGATACCATCTAATATGTTCAGTTTCCCCCAATTGTCTCAAGCCTTTTTACAGTTGTTTGTTTGAATTAGAATTCAAACAAGGTCTACACACTGCTTTTGGTTGACATGTCCCTTAAGACTCTTTCAATTTGTATCACTTGCCCCTCCTTCTGAAAATGCCATTTATTTGTTAAAGAAACTTGGTCATTCACACTGTGCAAGTTCCCACAGTCTGGATTTGGTGTTCAGCATGTTTCTCTCTCCTCCATTTTCCTGTAAACTGGAGGTTGATCTAACGACTTAAGTAGATTCTGGTGTAGTATTCCGGGGAATAATGGAGCCACAGGTGGTGCTGTGTACCTGAAGGCACCATATCAAAAGGTGCTCCAGCCCTAGAATCAGCCACTTCTCAAGGAACTCTGGATTCTTCTAGTGGGAAATGCTACTTAAAAATCACAATCAAGATGCTAAATATGTTTATTGCTACTGGGGTATTATCACTTCTAAGGCTATTCAGTATACAATGCAGTATATATATATATACACAATGCAGTATATATATGTATACACACAATGCAGTATATATATATATATATATATATATATATATATATATATATATATATATGGTTTAGAAAGAGGAAAATAAATCCTGAGTTATACTGATGAAATAAATCCTGAGTTATACTGACATTTCAAATTCAAAGTTCCTCTTGCCTAAAAATGGATCTAGCACTATGGGATGTTAACCGCTATTCTCTTTGGATTAATCTGCCTTGCACTCTTTGCTGACAGCTATGGGTGACAGGATTAGGCACGTACAGGATCATGGGATATGGGGAGCTTTTTCTCCCCAAAAGAGGGAAAATTGAGAGCTGATGAGACTGCTGGAAAAGATCCTTTTGCAACTGACAAGCAGCTGCCTGAACTTTTCAGTGTCACTGCAATGGGTGGGTCTTTATCTGGCCTTCCTGAGCTCTTGGCCTTCCCCATCCTGCCGCAGACAATGCTTTTTTCTCTCTCATTTCCCTTTCCTATCTTTTCTGTTTCTCAGGGCAACCATCCTGCCAGAGACCACATATGGAAAAATGTCCTTGGGAGCTTGACCTTGTAAACATGTGGTGGTACTTCCTCCTGGTCTCTGCTATCCAGGGACAGGAATTTTGGGGTTCATAGCTCCAAAAATTATCTTGAGTAGTTAAAAGTCTTCGAAAGCTCAATATTGGCTGTTCTAGACTCCTTCTGGGGAGAGCAATGGAAACTGCCCCAATGTCGTAACTCAGGAGTTAAGGCTTTGCCATTTTACAATGGTGGCTCATGTTCAATCCTGGCTTAGAGAGTGAGTCCTTTCTGGTTTGATATCTGTGTAACCTTGATCATTTGGTTATTCTCTTCCCCTCCAAAAACCATTTTGAATTTTTCTTTCTCTGAGCACAGAAATATTGGCTTTTTGGCCTGGCTAATGCTGGGCAATAAGAAATTTAAAAGGACTTTTTAAAAAGAACACTATGCACTATGGTGAAAAGTCAGCTTAATGAAAAGTGGATATTCACACTCTGACAGTCTGGGACTCCTTGGCAAAAACAGGAGACATCACAGACCCCGTTTTAGGAAAAAACTCAGTTTTCCTCATGAAACCCCAGGATTGAAAGCAGATAAATCCCTCTCAAAATCTAAGGCTCTGTTCTGTTTTGCATTGCATTATCTGATGGTTTTAACTTTTTGGAGTATCAGAAATTACTTTGTCTTATAAGAGAGATTTGATGTGTAATAATTAGGTAGGAAATATACTTTTGGGGCTAGCTAATGGCAGTTATGGGGGAATACTCAGCTCTGCACATTTGGATCAGAGAAGCATGCTCTTGGCCACCTAGCAAGTATGGAGACGTCCCTACCCCCCACTGAGAAATAAGACTCCCATGGGGATGGGCTGATTCCTCTTTTTGGAATTCAGGATCTGGTATAAAAATGGGACCCTTAATTTTGGGCGATCTGTTTTGCCTTCTAGCTGTGCCTGCTTATTAGGCCATAGAAACGATATGCTTTCCTGGCCCTGTTCCTCCAAGGGTTCCATTCTGAAGCCAGTAATCCAATTTAAAAAGTGACAGATGAAAAATCTTACAAGTACTAAATCTTCTTCTGTCTGTGTATTTATATGTGTTGTGTGTGTGATATGAAAGAGCTTTAATTAATTGGCTTAAAAAATAAGGGCTTAAATAAAATATTTTATCAGAGAAGTAAAAAGTGTAATGCCTTTTAGTTCATGTAACTTAAATAAGCTTTGGCAAATAAAGGCAGTTTTAAAGATTATTGGTAAAATAAAAATATCTTCAAAATTTAGACATTTCATTTAAATCAGGCAGGTCAGATACTAAGTTTTTCAAATGCTTTAAGGTCATAAAATGCTTCTTTGGCTTTTGAAAATTGTTCAATTTACCTAATTTGGGGCATTGGATTCTAGATAAGGCCTGGGAACATGTGGAGAGCCATGCCCCCTAGCTATGCTGAAAAGAGTCAGCCCTTATCTGCACTTCTGTCTGGTTCCTAGGTTCCACATCTAGTACATAATTAAAATCCCTTACTTACCAAGGTTTTTCAAAAATAAAAGTCGCTAAGAGTTAACATTGTAATATGTAATTGAGACACTGGAGAAACAGTTTTACAAGCAAGGTGTGTAAGAAAAGTGAAATGTGTTTTGGTAAAAGATTATAAGAAGGCATGAAAATGTAGATTTTTCTGCCTAGATTAAAGGGTTAAAGGGTTGTGTCAAGTTAGATAGGGTAAAGCTGAAGGTTTAAGCCAGTTTTGGAAGGCTTGTGAAAAACTAATGTTGTAAAAGAAATTCTGTGTGTGAACATATTGGCTAAAGTTAAAGGGGTATTATTCAGTTTTTTCATAAAGTGAGCATTGAAATAAAAGCACAGCAGGTTTTCTTTAGAGCACTGATCTGCTCTTCAACAAAAATTTGTAAAGGGTTATAAAAGATTTATGAGAATCTTACCTTATGGTCAAACTGATTAAACTGGATAGATTTGTCTATAAGGTTTTATTAAGAATTGGGTTAGCATCAATAATGCACTAATGCAAAGGTGAAATTGGGCTCATTTAGTATAAAAATCATACAGGAAGCATTGTCAAATATGAAATGATGTTTTGCTTTCTTCGGGCTGTATTCGTATAAATATGGTATTGGGATGTCTTCCAAAATTATGGAAAACTCCTATAATTTTAATATGACTTGGTGTATGATATCAATAACTATACTTATTATGTAAAATTGTTGTATGCCACAGAAGTAACAAAAATTTCTTTGTTAATTGTGGCTTTAATAGTGGCTGTCCTAAAACTTTTTGTCATCTGCTGACAATTGTCTTGTTTTTGTCCTCTTCAAAAGGTGGTTTTATAATCAGCTATAGGAATTTTACAGGTGCTCTTTAATGCATGTTTCTGATAACTTTGGAGATTGTGACACTAGAGTAAAGGAAAAAACTTTCAGGATTCCTGGAAAGCTAAAATGTTCATGAATATCAAGCGGAACGGAGTTAACTGCATGAACTGCATTAATAGAAGACTGAAGTAATCTTTTTGACTTTTTGCTTAAAATGTTCCTGATGCTTTGTTTTCTTTTTGAGTCAAGGAAACTTTTCTTTTGAGCCATTAACAGCTTTTAACAATTGAGAAAAGTATACTTCTGTGAACAAAATTTGGAGCATATTTGTTTCTCTCTACCTGATTTCTCAAAAATTTGGAAACTACTCGTTAGTATTCTTAATTTATGGCAGTATAGT
Organism: Homo sapiens; assembly: GCF_000001405.40. Taxonomy (NCBI): domain Eukaryota; kingdom Metazoa; phylum Chordata; class Mammalia; order Primates; family Hominidae; genus Homo; species Homo sapiens. The sequence goes on from NC_000014.9 coordinate 90,475,618, forward strand.
TATTTGCATAAGTGCAATAAGAATCTGTTTTCTTTTGTAACAGTACACAGTTGGAGAAACTGGTTATTTTACCAAGGCTTTGACTGGAATGGCATGCTTTCCTTTAGGGAATCAAAGTTGACTTGCAGAGCCAATAGAAGCCCTTTGGGAAAACTGGCCTCATATCTTGTCTCCACAGTCCCTGTACAGGGTTCCTGACCTGTGGTAAGTAAAAAATGTTAATTTCTGACAGGCCCAGAAGCCCCAAGTTATCTTGGGACTTCAAGACGAGAGGAATTTACCCAACTCATAGGTATTTGATGGTACAAATCCATGGCTGGGCTCAGCTTTAAAAAAAAAAAATAAGTCTTATCTGAGATTCCTTCCATGGAAGAAGATTCCATCAAAGCCAATTTTAAAAGCTTATGTAAAAAATTATTCTTGTTGCACTTTATACAAACAATCAGGCCAAGTATAATAAAGGAAATTGGTCTTACCATGATTTGTCTTTAGTAAAAATGGGAGACTGAAGAGAGAAAAAATTGTATTTCAAGAACTATGGTACACCTGTTAGATTCTAGTCTCATCAGTTGTTTTTGGGTTTTTTTTCCTGCAATTTAGACTGACCCTGCTTATTTCTGTGAACCAACCAGTGATCTCTGGCTACTGCTCAGAAGAAACAGAGGGGTGAGTAACATAAGAATCTGGAGCAATATTTTATTTCTGGGCACATTGGAATCAGCCTGTGACCCCATATCAGCTTGGTTCCAACAGCTGTCCAGTTCATAGAAAGCCTTCTAATTTAGTTTACTTGGAATAATTTTGCTTATTTTGCTTTACTGTTGTGAAATATGTTGCTGTTGTGCTCTTTGTGTAAGAATGCAGGATAAGCTTAATGAATGTTTTCTTAAATTGTACATTTATTAATCCAGATATCACCTTTCATTGGAGTTATGAATAGCCCTCATCATACTGATGATTTCTGACTGAGCTCGTCTCTACCTTGAATACAAGCGACCCTAATAGTTAGGCAGGAATATCATTGCCCCTATTCAGCCTAAAGAAGTTACAGAAGATGGATCTTTGTCTCTCTACAACCATTAGGATTAAGAGTTTTCTTATAAAAGGGAGGGAGGAAATATGTCAGAGTTGTTTGAACCAGAGTGACTCTATCTTGAATAGGGCTGGGTAAAATAAGGCTGAGACCTGCTGGGCTGCATTCCCAGTAAGTTAAGGCATTTTTAGTCACAGGATGAGATAGGAGGTCGGCACAAGATACAGGTAATCAAGACCTTGCTGATAAAACAGTTTACAGTAAAGAAGCCAGCTAAAACCCACCAAAACCAAGATGGCAACAGGTGGTTGTCCTCAATACCACACTCTCACCAGCACCATGACAGTTTACAAATACCATGGCAACATCAAGAATTTATCCTACATGGTTTAAAAAAGAGAGGAACCCTCAGTTCTGGGAATTGCCCATCCCTTTTCTGGAAAACTCATGAATAACCCACCCCTTGTTTAGTATATAATCAAGACATAACCATAAAAATGGGCTACTAGCAGCTCTAAGTGATCTGTCCACCTTGGCCTCCCAAAGTGCTGGGATTACAGGTGTGAGTCACCACGCTTTGCCTAGACACTGTTAAAATTGCATTTGAACTTCAAACAATGTGGGGACTAGGGATGCTGACCTCTGTAGAGTTGAAAATCCGAGTATAACTTTTGACTGCCCAAAAACCTAATCACTAATAGCCTACTGTTGATCAGAAGCCTTACTGATAACATAGTCAATTAATACATATTGTGGGTTTTATATGTGTTATATACTGTATTCTTACAATAAAGTAAGCTAGAGAAAAGAAATGTTACTAAGTAAATCATAAGGAAGAAAAATATATATTCAAGATTCATTAAGTGGAAGTGAATCACCATAAAGGTCTTCATCCTCATGTTGAGGATGCTTCTTCATGTTGAGTAGGCTGACAGGGAGGAGGAAGACAAGGGGTTCATCTTGTTGTTTCAAGAGTGTCAGAGGTAGAAGAGGTAGAGGAGGAGGAGGAAGAAGGGGCAGGAGAAGCGGGGACACTTGGTGTAACTTTATGTAAATATAATGTAATTTTTGTCTGAAATTTTTGCTTTTATATTTCTCTAAAAATGTCTCTATTTGGTACCAAGTCTTCTTCCACTGTTTGCTTTAGTCTCAGGGCTTCATATCATAGACAGGTCCATGTTGTAAAAGAAGTAAAAAACAGTGTTGAATAATCAGAACCCTTCGGTCAGATTGCCTAATGTCCATTGTTTTGTGGCACTGGCTCTTCTATGTCTTTTTCCTCATTGTCTGGCACTGGTTCAGAAGCACTCCTCTCCATCAAATCGTCTTCTGTTCATTCCTCTGTCTGTTAGCTTCTTTTTGTTGTTGTTTTCAGGTTTTTGGGAAAGATCTGATTTTAGTTGAAAAAGCAGAGGAAACCCCATACAGTGCCCTGTTTTAGGCTTTAGCCCTATCACTCTCATGAGCCTCAGTTTTACGAGGTGCAGACCCTAAGGTCCTTCCCACCCCCGCGAGACACCTGTTAGGGTGAGGTGAGAAATCAGCTGGGGGGAGCAGAGCCACTTATGGCCAAGTGGAATTGTTCCGAGGGGTTGGTTAGTAAGCAGGAGGGTGAAAGGGGAGAAGAAAACTACACACAGGGGTTGAGCACCTCCAGCGAAAGAAGGCAAGGCATACAAATCTCTTACCACTAGGGAAAGTATCCCAGTCCGAATCACATGGCACCAAAATATGTTACGGGTGGCGAATCCGTATCCATAGGAGTCTGCAGCAACCTCAATTCTTGCCTCCTCAGAGGAAAGAATTTGACTGAGGGGCATAAGGCAGAAGGAGAGACTGAGGCAAGTTTTAGAGCAGGAGTGAAAGTTTATTAAAAAGCTTTAGAGTGGAAATGAAAGGAAGGAAAGTACACTTGGAAAAGGATCAAGCAGACAACTTGAAAGGCAAGCTCCTGAATTTTTCCAAGATGCATATCTTGAAACTCTTCAACCCCTCTCACCCCCTACCACCTTTCTTACCATATTCACAATATCAATCATGATTTTCTTTTTTTTTTTTTCTTTTTCCTTTTTCAGACAGAGTCTTGCTCTGTCACCCAGGCTGGAGTGCACTAGTGTGATCTTGGCTCATTGCAACCTCCACCTCCCGGGTTCAAGTGATTCTCCCGCCTCAGCCTCCTCCTAGATAGCTGGGATTACAAGTGTGTATCACCATGCCCAGCTAATTTTCTTTGTATTTTGAGTAGAGATGGGGTTTTGCCATGTTGGTCAGGCCGGTCTCTAACTCCTGACCTCAAGTGATCTGCCTGCCTCGGCATTCCAAAGTGCTGGGATTACAGGTGTGAGCCACCGCACCTGGCCCATTCATGATTTTCTTGATTGGACCTGTTATAAATTCTATGAAGTCATGAAGTCATGCACAACATCTGAACACAGTTTTCTCCAGCAGGAATTTATTGTTTTAAGCACCGTGGCTTTCACAGCTTTTTCTATAATAACAATGGCATCTTCAATGGTGTAATCTTTCTAGACTTTCTTTTTTCTTTTTTTTTTTTTTTTTTGAGACGAAGTCTCGTTCTGTACCAGGCTAGAGTGCAGTGGCACAATTTCGGCTCACTGCAACCTCCGCCTCCTGGGTTCAGTCGATTCTCCTGCCTCAGCCACCCAAGTAGATGGGACTACAGGCGTGCGCAACCATGCCCAGCTAATTTTTGTATTCTTAGTAGAGACAGGGTTTCACCTTGTTGGCCAGGACGGTCTCGATCTCTTGACCTCGTGATCCGCCCACCTCGGCCTCGCAAAGTGCTGAGATTACAGGTGTGAGCCACTGCGCCCAGCCTCTTTCTAGACTTTCATAATGTTCTACCAGCTTTTTTTTCGGCATTGTTGGCAATCATTTCCATAGAGCACTGCATGTGATGAACCTTGAAGGTCCTTATGACTGCCTGATTTAGAGTCTGAACTAGAGATGTTGTGCTTGGGGGCAAGTAGAACACTTTGACTTCAGTATTGAACTGATGGGGTTCTGCATGGCCGGGGCATTGTCCAATATCAAATGTATGTTAAAAGGCAGTCTCTTACTGGCAAGGTACTTCCTAACTTCAGGGACAAAGCATCAATGGAACTAGTCCAGAAAAAGGGTTCTTGTTGTCCAGGCCTTCTTGTTCTACAACCAAGAGACTCGTAGCTGGTGTTTATCCTTTTCCTTCAAGGCCCAGGGGCTAGCAGCTTTATAGATAAGGGCAGTCCTGATCAGAAACCCAACTTATTTGCACAAACAGTAGACTTAACTTATCCCTTCCTGCCTTAAATCCCAGTGCTTGCTTCTTTTCCTTACCAATGTCCTTTCTGACTCCCCCCTCCCCCAGAATAGGGCACTTTTGTCTACATTTAAAACCTGTTCAGGCAGTTATCCTTTCTCCTCAATGATTTTCTTAATGGCACCTGGGAACTCTTCTGCTGCCTCTTGATCAGCAGAGGTTGCTTCTGTTATGCCGACATTTTTAAAGCCAAATATCTTTCTAAAATTATCAAACCATACTTTGCTGGGATTGTATTCTTCAGCTTTAGATCCTTTGCTTTCCTTTTTCTTTAAGTTGTCATATAACGACTTCACTTCTTCTCAAACTGTATTAGAGTTGACAGGTATACCTTTCTTCCAGCAATCCACACCTATATAAAAGCTGCATTTTCAACATGAGATAAAAAGTTATTTCACAAAAAATGCAGTTTTTATGCCTGCTGGTGTAGCTGCAGTGAAGCTTCACAATTTTCTCTTTATTTTTAATATTATTTAACTTTTGAGATGGGATCTCACTCTGTCTCCCTTGCTGGAGTGCAGTGGCACGACATGGTTCACTGCGGTCTCCACCTACCAGGCTCAAGTGATCCTCCTGCCTCAGCCTCCCAAGTAGCTGGGACTGTAGGTGTGCACCACCACACTTGGCTAATTTTTAAAATTTTTTGTAGAGACAGGGTCCCCCTATGTTACCTGTGCTGGTCTTGAACTTCTGGGCTCAAGCCCTCTTCCCGCCTCAGCCTCCCAAAGTGCTGGGATTACAGGCATGACCCACTGTAAACTGGACTCCTTTTCTTTTTCTTTTCTTTTCTTTTCTTTTTCAATGGTCCTTACACTGGATTAATTTATCTTGGAATGGTGGGTAACTGCAGCTACTTACCTCAATCTATGGTACATATCAAGCAACTCAACTTTTTCTTGTAATGTCATGACTTTTCTCGGCTTCTTCAAAGCACTTCCAGTATCACTAGTGGCACTTCATATGGAACCCATTGTGCTATTCAAGGTGTACAATATTGCACTAAACAATGAAAAAGATGCAAGAACTGAGAGATCACTTTGTACTGCAATATGCAATTTACTGGAGAGATGAACTGCTTGCAATATTTGAGCTCATTGCAATAGCAACAGGAGGTGGTGGCTATAAAATTATTACAGTAGTGCAGTGTGTACTATAGTTAATTTTATGCAGTTGTGATTTAATACTGCATCTTTACATTGTTTACATTTCTCTCAACTGCAAATGGCATCATATATGATCTGTTTTTGTGTACGTTTTGATAAATTTTAACTTTTTGTAATAGATTTGTATATCTTTTAGGGTAGTAAATGATAAAAAGATCTATCTACATATATTTTATGCATTCATGACAAACTTAATTTTTCTGCAAATAGAGAACATAGAGATTGGTGTTACCTCTTCCTCTCCAATTCTTCTGCCTCTTCTTGCTTTCTCTTGTCTAATTGCTTTGGCTAATATCTCCAGCATCATGTTCAACAGTCATGATGTGTTATTTTTTAATGTGCAGTTGGTTTTTGTTTGCTAGTACTTTATTTAAGATTTTTCTATCTGGGTTTATTTAAGATCTATCTGTGATCAAGTGAGGTTAGTGGGGCCTGTTTTTAAACCCTTCTCTGGTACCCACAGCCTATGTGTGGGTGACAGCATGAACTGCAAAGATTCTCATGAAATTCACCTTGCATGTTCTTCCTTCCACACTGGCCGCTGCCACCACCTTCAAAATCTACTCCTCTGTGCTTCCTTTTGCCTCACCCTCTGTTGGTCTTTCAGACTCCTACTTTCACCTTCATGTCTGCTTTCTGCTCTTTCCCCTTCCCGGGGAAGCTTATGATATCGGGAAAGTGAACAAGCCTTGGACCCACACAGACCAACCTGGTATTGAATCACAGCTCAGCCACTTGCCAGGTTTGAGGCTTTGGGCAGGTTGAAGAATCTTTTCAAGCCTCAGCTTTCTCATCTGTGAAATGGGAATGCTAACAATGCCTCACTTCACTGGGTTGCTGATAGGTGTAATATAATTTAAAAAGATAACACAGTGAACAGCTGTTTGTTAGAGCTGTTCACCAAGCTCAGTTCTTCTTCCTGGGCATAGGCTTAGATAACATTTCCCACCCTTCTTTGCAGATGGTGTGGGAGAAGCCTGCTGTGTGCTAGCCAGTGGAATGTGACCAGAATGATGTGTACCACTTTCTGGTAAGGCCTACAAAGAGCCTCTCTCATGAAATTTTCCACGTTCTTTTTCCTTTTGCTAGTTTGACACAGACAAGCAAGGTGAAGATGGTGGAGCCACAATGTGGAAGGAGGTTGGATCCCTGAATCACCACTGGGAAGAGAGTCACCTGCTAATCAAAAACATGGTTTTGGATTTTACCTGAAAACTTATAAACTTCTATCATATTTGACCCATTGTCCATTTCAGGGTTTGTTTGTTGTAGCAACAAACATTATCCTAATTAATACTGTGTTCAAGAAATGTGACTTCTTCCTCCCACTTTCCTCTTTCTCATCCCTCTTGACCCAGCTCAAAATGCCAGCTCCCTGGTAAGTCTTTCTCCCACCCCTTCAGGTAAAAGTCATCATGCAGTCTTTGGTGCTCTCAGAGCACTTAGTGCTAGCCCTTTCTCGATCACAAACTGGGTTGTGAATTCTTTGTTTACACATCTTTCTGGCCATCAGTGCAGTGAGGTGTCTGGTCCAGAGCCAGTTCTCAGAAGGGGTTAGTGGGCTGGATGAGGGATGAGTATGTCGTGTGCAGATGTATTAAGCACATGTTCTGCTTAAAAATTGATGTGTACAAAATCTCTGCAAAAGGGTGTAGCAGTAATACATTAACCATCTCTTCCAACCTTAAGTTCAAAGCGAACTCTCGACGTAGTTACAATGTTGGGTCACTGCCAGGGACAGCTCTTCGTAAAGGCTCCTGGAACAAATGACGTGGATTGTATTTCATGGGCCCTTTATTTCCTACCATGTTAGGTTCAAGTCTTGGCTCTGTCTGGAACTAGCTATGAGGCCTTTGGCGTGTTACCTCCCTGAGGGTTCATACAGTTGTGATCTGGTGGGGAGGGAGACCACTCCTTACCTCAGGTGGGCCTAGGGAGGCCAAGCTGCAGGGAGCTGAGGCTGGAGGAGGCAGCCCTGGAGAAGGGCTGGAGGAGGGCTTCTTTGAGGTTCCATGTGGCATTCATGTCCGCAGACCTCTGAAATGCCAGATTGTGGGCCTAGGCTTCAGCTCTCCCTGCTCAAGAGCTTGGCCCCAGCTATCAAGCTGCTCCAAACTCCTGGAAGGCAGGGCCACATCAAGACTTCCTAAGGCCCTGCATTCCAGAGAGATTCTGGTGCTCACCACCACCCCACAAGTCAGACAAAACTAAAACAATACTATAATGGAAATACCATAGTGCAACCGAGTTCTGATTTTTTTCATGATTATTACTTTGATAGTGCTTTTGCAACATTACATATCACTATCTTTCTAAAATATTTTCTTTTTCCTCATTTATTTTTTGGTGCCCCTGTTTGCTGTCATCTTCAGCACCTGCTGGGCCTCCTGTTGGAGAATCCAGGAGGCAAGTGATACCTGTCTTAAGGCACCTTGAAAATCTTGCATTCTTGGTATCCGTGGGAGCGGAGCCCAATTCCTGTCCGTGTGGGCAGGTGCTGATACCTCACTTGCACGTGGCTGGAAAGGAGCCAAGTCTCAGAGCTGCGGAGCCGCGGCACCTTTCCTGGGTTCCTGTGGTGCATGGAGGGGGCAGGAAGTCTTGCAAGCTGCTGTGTGTGTGGGGTGAGGGTGTGACAAAGGGCGCTGGGGATGGGGACAGGAGGGGAATGGAGAGGCTGAGCTGGGAGGAAAGCGAGCAGGGAGGGGCCTGTGGACAATGCCACTTGCGTCATCCCTTGGGCTCTGGGAGAGGCAGCAAAATGTGGAACAAGCCCAGGTGCTTCCTGGTGTAGGGGTCTCAGAGGGGTTGGCTGAGGCGGTGGCTTGGTGGGCTGGGGAGGTGGGGCTTGGCACTGGAGACAAAGAGCCCCTGGCTGGCCTCGGAATCTTTCTTCTTATGTCCCTATAGTGGCAGGGAAGCAGCATAGTTAAAAAACATGCACTTTAGAGCCAGATTGTCCAGATCCACATCTGAGCTCTGTGGTCACCAGCTCCACCACCTTCAGAAAACCACTGAACATTTCTGAGACACGAGTTGTTTCAAACTAGAAGGGTCAAAAAGGCCCCTCAGCCCAGCAACCTCATTTCACAGAGAATGCTGCTGAGGCCCCACTGGGGAAGGAGCTCTCCAGAAGCTCCAGCTAGGAGGAGGCAGAGCTGGAGCCTGAACCTAGGACCTCTGACTCCCGTCTGAGTACTTCATTCAGTCCATCATTGTGAATATTGGGCATAAACAATCTCCACCCACTGATTCTCCCCGTTTAACCATTCCCCCCAACCATCCATCTTGCATCCACAAATCACCAAATTCCTCCATTTCTCCATTCGTATAATCCACTCCTCTACCTGCCCATCTATGATCCATCCATCCATCCATCCATCCACCTTCCCATTCCTACCTCTCTCTATCCAGCTATTCCTTATTTACCCATCTGCCATCCATCTATCCATTTATGTATCCACCTATCCCTCCATCCAACCACTAACATGCCCAGCAACCCAGGAGAATGACTATTGGGTATATAACCAACAGCTTGCCATAGGATATGAGAATCTTTTTTTTTTTTTCCGATATGGAGTTTCGCTCTTGTTGGTCAGGCTGGAGTGCAATGGCGCAATCTCAGCTCACTGCAACCTCTGCCTCCCAGGTTCAAGCGACTCTCCCACCTCAGCCTCCCGAATAGCTGGGATTACAGGTGTGTGCCATCAACCCCGGCTAATTTTATATTTTTAGTCAAGATGGGGTTTCTCCATGTTGGTCAGGCTGGTCTTGAACTCCTGACCTCAGGTGATCCACCCGCCTCGGCCTCCCAAAGTTCTGGGATTACAAGCGTGAGCCACCGCGCCCGGCCGAGAATCTTCAGTTACTATATTTAAATCATTTTTTCTCGATTCAAATCAGTGTTTACTAATTTGCTATTAAGTTCATAGTGTTCTAAGCACTGCTGGGTAGGGGTCAGGATTCAGAAAGAAAACCCATTAAAACATAAAATATTGTTTTCTAAAGAAATGTGACTATTAACTGCAATTTGGGAATGTGGGTTGGATCTTGGACTAGGAAAATAAAAGAGCTATAAAGTACAGTATTGGGGCAATTGATTAAATTTTAATATGGACTGTGAAATAGATAATAGTATTTTGCTGGAATGTTTAATTTCCTGATTTTGATAACTGGGCTATGGTTATACAATAGTACGTTCTTTTTCTTAGGAAATTCCCACAGAAGTATTTAGGGATAAAAAGGCACTATATCTCCAAATTACTTGCAAATGATTTCAGAAAAAAGATATATTATATATATATATATGTACGTATAATACACACACTGCAATGTACAATGTAAAATGTATGTATATATTAAAATATATGATTATATAGTTATATATACATATATTTTATATGTATGTGTGTATATATACATATAGGTAGAGAGAGAGTGAGATGAAGAAAATGGTAAATTTTGGTAAATTTTGGTCCAAGATATAAGAGAGCTCCTTGTACTATTCTTGCAAATTTTCCACCCTTTGAAATTTTGTAAAATAAAAAGTCGGCCAGGTGTGCTGGCTCACGCCTGTAATCCCAACATTTTGGGAGGCTGAGGCAGGTGGATCATTTGAGGTCAGGAGTTCGAGACCTGCCTGGCTAACATGGTGAAACTCCGTCTCTACCAAAAATACAAAAAAATGTGTGGTGGCGGGTGCCTGTAATCCCAGCTACTCGGGAGGCTGAGGCAGGAGAATTACTTGATCTTGGGAGGCGGAGGTTGCAGTGAGCCGAGATCGTGCCACTGCACTCCAGTCTGGGCAACAGAGCGAGACTCCATCTCAAAATAAAAAAGTCAATCTCCCAAATCCCGAGTCCCTTTCCCAGGAGTTTAAAATTAGAGGAGACACGCCTGGCAAGCCCAAATGCCTCTGAAGGTAAAGAGGACAAGACATACTTATCTATGGTGTTTATGTCCCACCCCCGGCTCCAGCAAGGTACACAGTGAAGAACTAGAGGGGAGAGGGTGGGAGACAGACCATGGGAGTGGGGCTGGGGGTAGTTTGCAGGGTGGGCTGGCAAGAGCTGCAGTAGGCGTGGCAAAGGACCTTCTGAGAAGTCAGCTGAGGGTCAAGAATTCCACTGTTTTTCAAGAATCAGGAAAGGATTGAAATGTAATTTTAAGTTTCTTTTGGTTGCCAGACTATGAGTCTTTGAGTGCAAATTCATGCAAAGACTGGTCCATGTGGAGCCTTGCATTTTATTCAGGTTACAAATATATAGCTCTTCTCCATCAATTAGTACTATGACAAAGAGATCCTTGGGGAATGAGCTGGTCAGAGAAGCTCTGCCTCCAGCAGGAACTGGAAAACTATTGGAAGCAGAGATGTAAGTGACAGCTGGCTGGGCAGCGAGGAAGAGGAAGCCTTGTGAGTCCAGATGAGAAAGGGGAAAGGCATGGAGAAGATGAATATTTATGTGCACTGTCCTAGGCTCATATACATACCTTCGTGTCACTTAATCCACACAATATCCCTGCTAACTAATTATTATGAGCTCCATTTTACAGATAAGAAGACTGAGTCACAGAGAGATCCCCCAAGGTCATAATGCTAGTAAATAGCAGAACCAGGAATTGCATGATGCCAAAGACCGCAGTGCTATCCTGACTCAAGGAAGAACATGTCATGGGAAGATGGTAGGGAGAGGTGAGATAGGGATGAGCCCAAGGGAAGGCCTTGGATGCCAGAAGCAAGAGCCCAGACTTCACCAACATAGATTCTAAGAAAACTGCTAGCAGAGAAGGGAGCTGGTGGGCATGGAATGTTAAGAAGGCCAGGGGTCATAATCTCACCCAGCCACCGCAGCAGCTGTCACCAAGACACCCACCTCTCAGAGAGCCTTGCTTGCAGACCCCTTCATCTGATGGATTCTCCCGAGAGGTAGGAACTGCTTCCTTCTCTATGGCACCAGGCACATTTAGATTCAGAGAGGGATGTGAATTCCATGTGGGCAGGCTCCAGTTGTGACCTTGCCAGCTGCTGCTTCCTGTTCTCTCCTGATACAGGATGGGGGACAGCCCCGCCTCCTCCTTGCAGACTGGATGATAATTGAGCACACACCAGCTGCTCAGTGAGCCCAGCCTCCCTCTGCTTGGTGACTTGGACTGCAGCCTTGCCCACCTGGCCAGCTCGGAGCCCAGACCAGACCCTGCCCAGTGGGCAGAGGGCTGAGCTTGTGACACAGGGGCCCAGAGAAGGCCGAGGTCTGGCAGGAGGAGGGGAGCAGTGAGATCCAGAAAAGAACCACTTGGGATTTCAGCAAAGTAGAAGGATGATTTTCCCAACTGGGCCAGGGCTCTGTCTTCTTCTGTCTGTTAGAGGCAGATCATGATGAGGCCCTACAGAATGGCTGAGCCACAGGAGGGAAGAAGCCTGGGTCTCCAAAGGACCATGTAAAGGACAGCTGACCCCCACCCTCAATACCTACCCTGGGACTAGCGTGAGTGTGGGCAAGAAATGTGCTTCTGCTGCAGGGAGATGTTACCTGCGTGGGCCTGTTTGTTACAGCAGAATGCCTCCCCTAATACACAGTCTGTGTCATCATGGGGTCATGCAAATAGCACCCAGCTCCTGACTCAAAAAATAAGCCACCCGTTCGCTGTCATCTTGGACAGTTGCTTTGCTGAGACCCAATTTTCCCATCTGTGAGGAAAGAGGATCAGTTAGGTGATTTCCAAAAGTCCCTTCTGTTCTGTGATTCTGTTTTCTAAGAGGTGGACAGCAGTCTTTGGGAATAAAAACCCAGCCAAATATTAGACAAAATGTCTGACAGCATCCTGACTGATAAGATGGCCAAGTGGAAGCTTGCAGGCTGCAGGTGGAGATGGGTCACAGCAGGCTGAGTAATGACGCTTAAGGAGTATTGATTAGTATGGATCAATAACAGCCCAGCAAGGAAGTCTCTAGTGATGTGTCACAGGACTCTTTTATTTTACTATTTCCTAAGACAGGGTCTCATTCTGTCACCCAGGCTGTAGTGCAGTGGCACAATCATGGCTTACTGCCGCCTCAACCTCCTGGGCTCAAATGATCCTCCCACCTCAGCCTCCCAAGTAACTGAGATGACAGGCACAAGCCAACACACCTGGCAAATTTTTACAAATATTTTTGTAAAGACGGGGTCTCGCTGTGTTGCCCAGACTGGTCTCAAACTCCTAGGCTCAAGTGATCCTCCCACTTTGGCCTCCCAAAGTGCTGGGATTACAGATGTGAGCCACTGCTCCCGGTCCCACAGGGCTCTTTTAAGGTCAACAACTTGAACGAACCTACAGAAAAGAAGTTGAAATGTATACAAAACACAAAACAGAGAGGGCTAATGCACAAGTGGATGAGAGACCCATGATGAGAAGACCATGGTTCAAAATGGTCTTCATAAAGCAAGAGATTGGGACAAAGGTGACAAAGGCAAACAGAACCAAAGATGAATGCGAGTCCTGCAGAACTCAAGGGCTGGGAGAGCTTGTCTTGGCAACAGGCCTTAGCAGCAGGCTGTGCAAATGTGACCTGGGCATCTCTGCTGCCCACGTGGGTTCTTGGGAAGCCAGTACTGGGCCATGGCTACTGAAGCCCATGGCATTTGAAGCTGCACTGAGCAGTCACACATGGGGTCCAAGGAGGGGAAAGAAGGTTTCCATCCTAAATGGTCATCCCTGAGGTCCCATGTGCCACGGAGGGGACCACTGATGCTTTAGAACGAAAGTCAGAAATTTTCTGTAAAGGACCAAGTAGTAAACGTTTAAACTTTGGGCCATACAGGTTCTGTTTTAGCTGTTCCACTTGGCCTTTGTAGCTCAAAAGCAGCCACAGACAACAGTAAACAAATGCGTGTGGCTGTGCTCCAATAAAACTTTATTTACAAAAACAAGTGGTGGGCCAGATTTGGCCCTTGGGCTGTAGTTTGTTCTCCCAACTTTGGAAAAAAGGGCAGACATCAGGGTGGCGAGGGTTCTGGAGGTGGAGGCCAGTGTGGATGGGTAAAAGAACCAGGTGGGGCTCAGTGGGGAGAGGTAGGCATACCCCCTCAGTGGCCCCAGATGGAGAGCCATGTGGGGGAAAGTGAGAAGGGGGCTTATTTTCATCCATGCCAGGGAAGACCCCCATAAAACAACAAAGGAGTGATTCTGCATTATCCGAGGCTAGGGATGGGGGGACTGGGCCTGGTGATCTTCCACACCTTGGCCTCTGCCTCCTGGAATGGCCCTGTCTTCCCATCCTTCCCTGTCCCAGCACTGGGCTGGGACATTCTGCCTACATAGTGAGACATGAATAATACCCTGGAGGCACAGCCACAATCCCTTCAATGATGAGGCTCGAGGAATCAAGGAGGCATTTGTAAGGCTGGCTTGATGAGAGACTTCAGCAAGCCCTGAGGGGCTGGGGAGGCCTCTGGCTGCCGATTATCCTCCCTACCATATGGGTGATGGAAAGCTGGCTCTTCGGGTGGGAGGCCTGGCCCAGAGCTGGGCTCTCAGAGCCTGGTTTGTGCCTTGGGGTTCCCCTCTGGTCCAAATGGTAGTAGGCAGTAGGATGAATTAATTCCTCTGGTCCTTTCCAGCATAGGCATCCTGGGACCACGGAGCAGCCACCAACGACTACAGATGAAACACAAGCCTCTCCGGTCACTTTTTGCTGGCCGTTGGAAGGAGGCTGTTGAGTGGGAGTGGAACCTCCAGGTTTCCTGGGGCACTATTCTGGATCCCCTCATCTCAGCTCTGTGAGGTCATGGCTAAGCCTGAAACAGGTCCCAACTCATTCAATCTTGCCATAAACCTATGAAATGGGTGTCAGCCATGAGGCTTTGGTTGCAAATAACAGAAACCCCAACTTAACTGTCATATGGAAGCAGAGAAGCAACTGACTCTTTGCCAGAGGCTTATGTCATGACTCCAAGTAGTGAGGGGGTGGCTGTTCAGGTCAAAGGATTAGCAACAATGACTGGCTTAAACAACGAAAAACTGCATCTATGATCTTAGCAACAACATTCAGTAACATTAGGTATCACCAGGGAGGAGGACGCCACCTCCCTGGTGATAGCTGATTGGACCAGAGGGAAGCCCCAGTCCCAGGGCAGCCAATCAGCAGCCTGCAAGCAGCCAATGAGATGGCCTGGAGGGGGAGTTCTGCCCAATCACAATACCAATAAATAAGAGGTCCAGGCTGGATCTCTGTCTTGGAGATTTGAGCCGGAGATTTGAGCGAGAGATTTGGAAGAAATGTGGGGCAATCTGTAGAAGGAGCAGAAGACAAAAATCACACTGAAGGCAGTGAGTGGAGGAGCTTGTGCTGCAGGATACAGAAGCCAGGAGAGAGTGAGGCGCAGGCAGAGCCAGCCTGGCGAGGACTAAGCCATGTTTAAAGCCATGAATGGAAGGTTCTCTGTCCCCAGAAGTGAAGCAGGACTTTCCCAGTCCCCAGTTTGTTCTGGTCTTTAGAAGCTGGCGAGTGGCCAGCCATGAAGGCCATGCCAAGTGACTGGCATGGCTGAGTTGCTATCCTTATATGTGGCCTCCCATCTGCCCCTCGCCTTCACTGGAGAGGCAGCAAGGAGGGCATTGAAGCCTGAAATTCTGAAGAATTTTCTTGCAGGATTATGGTGTGGCGTAAGCCAGGCTTCTTGGGCCAGGTTCTCTCTCTACAGGGCATCTCTGGGGAATGTGTGAGTGCTGGGAGTGGTACCTAGGTCTCTAGGCCCCCTGGACTTTCCAGTGCCATCCCTAAACTGGGGAGTCTTTCCTGAGCCTGAATGAGAGTGCTTTGGTCGGCTAAGGCCAGGGAATCAGCCCCAAAGCAGTGTTTCGGGAGGAATGGGCTGCCAGCCTCATCCTCTGCCCTGGCCCAAACCAGGATTGTCAGTATGGGGTGTAGACAGAAGGAAGAGAGAGTGCGGAGGCCCAACGGGGTCTCCAGAGTATGGGCCACCTGTGCCTCTTTTCTGCCTCCCACCCTCACCTGCATTTCACTGGGGGCCCCTGAGTTTCTCAGACAACAGAGACCATCCAAATACCTTGTAACTGAGGGTGCAGTCATTGGAGTCCCATCAAACTCCCAAGTCCACCATCTACTGTGAGTCAGGCAAGTCACCTAACCTCCCTGAGCCTCCATTTTTTCATCAGTGAAATGGGAGTGATCATAGTGCCTCCTACACAGAGCAGGGGAATTCAATGAGTCCCCACTTGTGAAGCGCATGAACCTGTGCCTGGCACACGGCACATGTGGATTAGACACCTCCTGTAAGCAGGGGCTCAGGGAAGGGAGCCAGGAAAGAGGGATGTAGAGAAGACAGGGGGCAGAGAGAAACGTTAAAAGAAGAAGAAGGAGGGGAGAAGGGTGTGAAGAGGCCAGAGAGGAAATGGGTCTCCCTGGGGTGTTGGCCTTGACCTCTCAGGCCTGGCTCAGGTCTGACTTTCTTGTTCTTTCTTCCCCCATATAATCTCTCTCTGGAATGCTGAGAAATTCTGCTTCCACCCCCCAGCAGTTGCCATGGTGATGAAAACCTGGACCCAGTGGAAAGTTCTCTGTGCTCTTGGCAACAAGGCTGCAGCACCCTGCCTCCCCCCGCCTGCCTGTGCGTGGGCGGCCAGCTCCGGATGCTGCCAGGATTTGGGGCCAGCACGGCCTGTCTGCAAGACCCAGCCCTGCCCCCATAGAATCTAGGATGGGAGCTTCGGCATATCTGGTGCTGGGGGCTCCCAGAGAATATCTAGCCAGTCCCATTTTACGGATGGGGCACTGGGCCAGAGAGGATCGGTGGCTTGTCCAAAGCTGCACAGACCCCCTGGGGTCTCCCTCCTGGGCTCAGCTGTGATCAGGTGGGCACGGAGCACCCGGAAACATCGCAGACAGGGGACTAGCCACATGGCAGACCAGTCCCAGAAAGCAGGCCAGCTGCTGGAGCCAGGGAGATGCAGAAGACAAAGGGACTCCAGGAAGCTGGACACTGCCTTCCTCTTCTCTCCCAGACACAGTGGTGGGTGGGTGCGAAGGAGTGAATGCTTGTGTCCCTCTACAATTCACATGCAGAAGCCCCAGGCACTAGTGTGATGGTATTTGGGGTGGGGCCTTTGGGGGTGATTAGGGCATGAGGGAGGAGCCCTCACAGTGGAATTAGTGCTGTTGTGAGAAGAGACAGGAGAGATGATCCCTCTACCACGCGAGGGTGCCTGCAACCAGGGAGAAGGCCCTCCGCAGCCCGACCATGCTGGTACTCTGATCTTGCAGACTTTAGAGCTGCAATAAATCCATACTTATTGTCGAAGCTGCCTTGTGCACAGTAATGAGTTACAGCGTCCTGAGCTGACTCAGACAGTCAATTTGTGGGGGTGCTGAGTTTGCTCCACTCTCAGCAGCCCCAGCTCTCAGACTAAGTGGAAGGGCACAAGCCAGCCATTTTTTTTTTTTTTTTTTTGAGACAGAATCTCACTCTGTCGCCCAGGCTGGAGTGCAGTGGCATGATCTCAGCTCACTGCAGCCTCTGCCTCCTGGGTTCAAGTGATTCTCCTGCCTCAGCCTCCTGAGTAGCTGGGACTACAGGCGCAGGCCACCACGCCCAGCTAATTTTTTTTTTTTTTTTTTGAGACGGAGTCTTGCTCTGTCGCCCAGGCTGGAGTGCAGTGGCGCAATCTCGGCTCACTGCAAGCTCCGCCTCCCAGGTTCACGCTATTCTCCTGCCTCAGCCTCTCGAGTAGCTGGGACTACAGGCACCCGCCACTGCGCCCAGCTAATTTTTTGTATTTTTTAGTAGAGACGAGGTTTCACTGTGGTCTCAATCTCCTGACCTCATGATCTGCCCGCCTCGGCCTCCCAAAGTGCTGGGATTACAGGCGTGAGCCACCGCGCCCAGTCAATTTTTGTATTTTTAGTAGAGACGAGGTTTCAGCATGTTGGCCAGGATGGTATTGATCTCCTGACCTCGTGATCCACCCACCTCAGCCTCCCAAAGTGCTGGGATTACAGGTGTGAGCCACTGCTCCCAGCCAAGCCAGCCTTTAGCAACCTCCCTGCCAGGGTCCTGGGGGCCCCTATTTGTTTCCCCTCCTCTTTTTCCTCCTCCTCAGCAGGCTGAACGTTGGTCCTGAAGTTTGCTTCCAGCAGAGGCCAACGGCCTCCCTTTAAGGCTGGTAGGTCCTTAACCAGCTCTCTCCTGCCTTCTGCCCACCCAACTCCTTCTGTGTTATTTTTCTTTTATGTATCCCATGTGCTATGGTCTGAATGTTTCATGTTGCCCGGAAGTTTATATGTTGTCGTCTAATCCCCATTGTGATGGTATTAGGAGGTGGGAGCCTTGGGGAGGTGATTAGGTCATCAGGCCAGACCCTCATGAATGGGATCAGTACTCTTATAAAAGAGGCACTGAAGAGCTCCCTTACCTCTTCCACCATGTGAAGACACAGCAAGAAGACAGTTATCTGTGAGCCAGGAAACAGGCCCTCACCAGACACCAGAGCTGCCAGCACCTTGATTTTGGACTTTCCAGCCTCCAGAATTTCTGTTGTTTATAAACCACTTAGTTTATGATAGTTTACTATAGTAGTCTGAATGAACTAAGATACCATGTTTTCAAAACTTCTCTTTCTCTGTTTCTTCTTGAGTGAGGGACTCACTCTGTTGCCCAGGCTGGAGTGCAGTGGCACGATCATGGCTCACTATAGCCTCGACCTCCTGGACTCAGGGAATCTTCCAGTCTCAGCCTCCCGAGTAGCTGGGATCACAGGCGCACACCACCACAACTGGCTACTTTTTCATATTTTTGTAGAGATGGGGTTTTGCCATGTTGCTCAGGCTGGTCTTGAACTCCTGGGTTCAAGTAATCCACCTGCCTCGGCCTCCCAAAGTGCTGGGATTCTAGGCATGAACCACCACCCTGGCTGTCTCTTAAGCAAACAGCTATATTGAGTAACGACACACACAATAGCCCATTTTTGATCATCAAAGCCCCACAGAATCCAGGCTTTGCCTACCCCAGAGACACGGGACTCTTCAGGATCTTATATGGTCATGTGATGGATATGTGGGACAGTTTCATAAGCTGAACACTGTCACTAGTGCAGGGCCTACTGTCTGCATCCCTCAGAACCCTGCAGGTGAAGGTTCCCAAGATGACATCAATGGAATTTCCTGCAGGACCCACAGGCCCATATTGGGATGGGATGTGGGTCGTCCCAGGAGCTCTGGCCATGGATCAGACTGAGGCCAGACTGGGCCATATCATGCCTACCACAAACTTCCCATGGGACTCAACTGCTCAGACATTTTGGGAGTGTGACATGTCCTTGTGGTTCTTGCCAAGAATCCAGTTATTGGAAAGAAGGGGCCTCCCACCTTGTTTCTGATGATAAAACTTGGACAATGAAACTACTCACTGGGTGCCAAGGGCTTTCTCTTGTGCCATCTCAGTGGCCCCAGAAGCTGTGGCCCCCAAAATACAGACTAAACCCATGGGTTCTAATTTTTCATGGAAATTGGTGTTGGGACATTTCCCTAGAGATGTCTTCATTACACAGGAGCATCAGTTTGATCTAGAGATGGGAAGTGATGGCACAGGCAGGGGATGGCTA
This sequence comes from Homo sapiens, assembly GCF_000001405.40. Lineage (NCBI taxonomy): Eukaryota > Metazoa > Chordata > Mammalia > Primates > Hominidae > Homo > Homo sapiens. The sequence goes on from NC_000014.9 coordinate 90,494,732, forward strand.
CAGTGTCCAGAGCCCAGTTCCATCTCTGTCACTCCTGAACTATGTAATCATAGAAGAATCACATCACTCCCTCAGCCTCAGTCTCCAAATCTGTAAAATGGAGCTCAGATTATCAGCCACTATAATTCCTCCACCAGGTCATATACTCCTTTGGGCAAGGACTGTGCTCTTGTTCTCTTCTGTGTTTCCGACACAAAGGCTACCAGAATAGCCCTGGCTTAATCAAAGGGTAGGCACAGATTGTGAGAGAATTCTTTCCCCTAGACCATCCACCACAGATTCATTTCATTCATGAATTCATTTTTCTGTTCAACCAAAATTTAATGTCATTATCTATATGCTGGGGACACAAGAGTGAGGGAAACGAACTGAGAGCTTACAATTGACTGATAGGACCCAAAAGGTGGTCACTGCACACTGGAATGTGGGACATATAGGATGCTGCCCGAACACGAAGGAGGACACCTACCTCAGTTCTGCAGAGTCCAAGAAGACTTTCCCGAGAAGCTGACAACTCAGCTATGACCTCAAAGATAAGATGGCTTAATGTAAGCCAGAAAAGCAGGTTTAGAATTCCAGGAAGTGGAGAAGTAAAAGTATGACATGGAAAGGGACGGGGGAGGGAGAGGAGCCTCTGGGACCACACAATCCCCCCTTCCCCCGCCAACTGCTTTGCTAAGAAACCACCTCACTCACCCTGAGCAGGGACTAGTGAGGTTCAGGACCATGGAGAGCACCACAGTGATCTTACAGGCACCATTTTGCTCTTGCTAATTACCTAAAGGGCCCCGCTCGGGTTAAAGCCTGAGGAGACGAAGGACAGGGTCTGGGGGTGCGGAAACCACCAGGCTGGGGGCCAAGGAGGGAGAGTCCGGGGGCCAGCTAAGTCTGGGGAATCAACTGTCAGCTCTCAAACTGCATGAAGGCTGTAGTCACAGACCCAAGGGGAGCCTGGTGAGTCACACTTAGGCCTGGGAGCCCAGGAACCCTGCTGGGCACAAGGAAAACAGTGGGATGATGGAGACAAGTGGTTCTCTAAGGTCTTTGTTACCCAGACTGGAGTGCAGTGGTGTGAACATGGCTCACTGCAGCTTCGACCTCCCGGGCTGCAGTGATCCTCCTGCCTTAGCCTCCCAAGTATCTGGGACTACAGGCATGCACCACCATGCCTGGCTAGTTTTTGTATTTTTTGTAGAGTCGGGATTTTACCATGTTGGTCAGACTGGTCTGGAACTCCAGGACTCAAGCGATCCGCCCACCTCAGCCTCCCAAAGTGCTGGGATTCAGCAGCCCAGGGAACAGGCCCAGGGGATGAGCTGCTGCAGTGGGATCTGTGGTAGGGCTCCTTGTCTCCCAACCCTCAGCAAGAAGAGTCCTGATCCAACCCTGACCAGAGTCCAGCTGAGGCCTCCACACAGACCCCACTCCGGCCAGATGAAAGCCCCTGTCAAAGAAGGGGCAGGTTGGGGGAAAAGCAGAAAGAATGTCCCCCAATCCAAACTCCTGGACCCCCTCCAGGAGAGAAGGGTTCCCCCTCTTCTCTTCCTGGAAGAGAAGTGTTTATCCCCAGGCCCAGTGCACCAAGACCACCAGCAGAACCCACAGCCCTTCCTGGCAGAGTTGGCAGCTCTGAGGCACCACTGCTCCTGTAGCCTGTGGCCCCTCTCTCCTCCCCTCCCCTCCCCTCTCCTCCCCTCCCCTTTCCTCCTGTCCCCTTCCCCCCTTCTTTCCCTTCTGCTCCCCTCCACACCCCACATGTTATGCTCCCAGCTCTGGGGAGCCAGGCCCTCCCGTCTTGCCTCCTGGTCTTCTCTATTCTGCTGGTTCCAAACCATCCCCTGGCTCAGCCTGCCATCCCCCACCCTGCTCCTGCTGCGCACCCTCTGCCTCCTCATCCTCCCCTCCCCTATCTAGGCTAGGTGGACTCAGGCACCCCAGGCCCTCCTTAGCAAAGCCATCTCTCCTAGGTGCAGTGGTCCCACCTCCCAACCCCATCACTGCCCCCTACCCCATATTAACTGTAATTTTGTAAGAAGAATGACTTGTTGGTTTAATAAATCTCTAGTTATTGTAATATTGTAATGATAATTTAAAAAAACACACAAATTGTTGGGATTACAGGTATGAGCCACCACGCCTCGCCTGGTCTTTTTTCCTTTTTTTTTTTTTTGAGACAGAGTCTCGCTCTGTCACCCAGGCTGGAGTGCAGTGGCATGATCTCGGCTCACTGCAAGCTCCACCTCGGGGGTTCATGCCATTCTCCTGCCTCAGCCTCCCCAGTAGCTAGGACTACAGGCACCCACCACCAAGTCCGGCTAAGTTTTTTGTATTTTTAGTAGAGATGGTGTTTCACCGTGTTAGCCAGGATGGTCTCGATCTCCTGACCTCGTGATCTGCCCGCCTCGGCCTCCTAAAGTGCTGGGATTACAGGTGTGAGCCACTGCACTTGGCATCTTTTTTTCTTTTAGAGATGGGGTCTCACACTGTCACCCAGGCTGGAGTGCAGTGATGTCTTCATAGATAACTGCAGCCTCCAGTTCCTAGGCTCAAGCAGTCCTTCTGCGTCAGCCTCCTGAGTAACTGGGACTACAGGCACACACCACCACACCCGGCTAATTAAAACTTTTTTTATATAGAGACAGGATCTTGCTATGTTGCCCAGGCTGGCCTCAAACTCCTAGCCTCAAGCAATCCTCCTGCCTTGGCCTCCCAGCTAGTTCTCTACTTTTTAAAATCAGAAGCCCTTTGATAATCTGACGAATGGTAAATAATACATTTAGAAACTTATAATAAGGCCAGGCATGTTTTCTCATGCCTGTAATCCCAGCACATTGGGAGGTCTAGGCAGGTGGATCGCTTGAGCCCAGGAGTTTGAGACTAGCCTGGGCAATATGGCGAAACCCCATCTCTACTAAAAATACAAAATTTAGCCAGGCAAGGTGGCACATGCCTGCTGTTTCAGCTACTTGGGAGGCTGAGACAGGAGGATCACCTGAGCCTTGGAAGGTCAAGGTTTCAGTGAGCTGTGGTTGCACCACTGCACTCCAGCCTGTGCAACAGAGTGAGAAAGAAACTTAATAAGTAAGTAAATGTATGGTGTGGTATGTTAGAAATTGATAAACGCTGTGGGAAAAAAGGAAAACATTCTCCCCCTGAAAAACAAGTGACCTCTGGAATTATATGAACAAAGTTGGTTTTTAGCCCTCCTGAGCCCTCCATGGATACAGCTCAGAACCAGTGCCCCTCCAGGTTATGACCTTCTCTACATGGAGTGGGGAAGAGGGAAAGAGGGAATGGGCTGAGTCTGCCTGGACCCCCAAGCCAGGTGTGGGGGGACCTCTGCCCCGACCAGCTGCAAGGGGCATCCCCAGGCCCCTGGCTCCTGACTTGCAGCCCCTCCCTCACCACTGTATTTACCAATTGAGCAACTATACTGTATCAGTCACAAGATGATTAAGATGCTGAAGGTGATCAGGATGCTGGAGGTGATATTAGGATGCTGGAGGTGATATTAGGATGCTGGAGCTGATATTAGGATGCTGGAGGTGGTTAGGATGCTGGAGGTGGTTAAGATGCTGGAGGTGATATTAGAATGCTAGAGGTGGTTAGGATGCTGGAGGTGATATTAGGGTGCTGGAGGTGATATTAGGATGCTGGAGCTGATATTAAGATGCTGGAGGTGGTTAGGATGCTGGAGGTGGTTAGGATGCTGGAGGTGATATTAGAATGCTGGAGGTGGTTAGGATGCTGGAGGTGATATTAGAATGCTGGAGGTGGTTAGGATGCTGGAGCTGACATTAGGAAGCTGGAGGTGATTAGGATACTGGAAGTGATTAGGATGCATTGGTCAGCAGAAGTAAAGTTAATGCCCCCAGACAGCTCATATCCTAGTGGGTGCAGACAGATAATAATGAACACGGTAATTTAAATTATATAGCACATTCAAAGTGGTTAGTGCTCTGGGAAAAACAAAAAAAGCTTAGCAGGGTAAGGGGGTGGGGAGTGCGGGGATGGGCTTGGGTAATGTGTTTGGGGGTCAGGGGGCTGCAATTTTTTAAACAGAGGTCAGAGTGGGCCTCACTGAGAAAGCGACCCCTGAGCAAAGACTCAAAGGGGCTGAGGGGCTTGGTCATGCAGATGTGGGGGAACAGGGCTTCAGGCAGAGGGGACAGCCAGTGCAAAGGCCAGAGGAGGGGAATGTGGCTGGTGTGGAGGAGGACCCAGCACAGGAGGCGTGGTTGGAAGGAAGTGAGGGGGCAAGGGGACCAAGCCATGGGGAGCCCTCATACAGACTGGCTTCTGCTCAACGTCACAGCAGGGTTAGAGCAGAGGAAGAACATGATCTGACTTAGATTTAAAGGGCTCTTGTGGCGAGAATGGATTGTGGAGGAAAGGGGATTGGTTAGGAGGCTCTAGCAGTTACCCAGATGAGAGGTGACGGCTTGGACCAGGATGACGGCCAGGGCCGTGGAGAGACCAGTCAGACTTGGGATAGATTCCGAGGGTAGGGACAGCAGGATGTGTGGATGGATCAGAATGGAAGACAGAGGGGATTGAAGGATGACTTGGAAGTCTTGGCCTGAGCTACTGGAAGCATGGAGTTGCCATCCCCAGAGATGGGGAGACTGCAGAAAGGGCAGCCTGCGGGACAGAATGGGAGTTGGATTTGGATGTGTTGTCTGAGGTGCCCACTGGACATCCCAGGGAGACACTGAGGAGGGATTTGGAAACAGGATTCTGGATTTCACAGCCCAGAGTGGCTCAAATGGGACCCGCCCTTAGAAGGCCACCTGAACCCAAGGCCCGTCAGAGCTGGGACATTCTCCTCCACCACATTTGCATCACTGACTACGTGCATCCAGGGTGGGTCACCACTGTCTTCCCAGGCAGCTGAAAGAAGGATAGATACTGAGTGGAAGGATAGAAGGATAAAGAGTGGATGGATGGAGGGTTGGATGGATGGATGGATGGATAGAATGGGCATTAGACTGGAGGGAAGGAAGGATGGAAAAATGAAAGAAAGGAAGCAAGGAAAGGTGAATAAATAAAATAATAGTTGGAATCTATTAGTTTATTTGTGTGGCTGGACATCCCTGACTGAGGCGTTCTTCCTACACCAAAGGGACTTCTGTCCCACAGGCCTCAGGGCCACAAGGAGAAACACACAAGGAGAAATGTTGCAGCCTCAGAGAATGAGAGGCAGAGAGGAGATAGGAAGTTCCCAGTGCCTGTCTGGAATACTTGGTGAGACCAGGGGTCCCCAACACATCCAGGGCTTCCCAACAAATGCCCCCTTTCTCTTAAGCTGGCCCCAGGGGCTTCTGCTACTGCTACCAGAGACCCCTGCCCGGCCAAGCCACGTACAGACAGAGAAGCCATGAGGATTCCAAGAGATAATGCATCAAATGCTTCGCCCAGTGCCTGGTGCAGAGAAAGTGCTAGATGCAACGAGATAATCACCTGGACCCTGCAAGCATCCAGGAGGGTGCTGGTGGGGAAGGAGACCCTTGAGTTAAGTGCTAAGAGATGGTCAAGAGTTAACCCAAGAGGAAGAGATGGGGAAAGGAATTCCAAGAATTCCCCTCCAGCCCCCAGGTCCGCAAGCCATCTCGTCTTCATACTGAGCATGTCCAGCTCCTGCCAGCCCCTCTCCCATAGCCAGTGGTCCTGCCCTTCTTTAAAAGGTAGTGCCCGGGGCAGAATCTTGCGAGGGGACATAGCCCAGTATTGATGCCGCAGAGACTGGAGCTGTGTGACATTGGGCAAGGTACTGAACTCCTCTGTGCTTCACTTTCCTAGTCTACAGACAAGGGGTTGGTAACAGGACCTGCTTTGTTGACTTGTTGAAGATTAAGTGGGCTCATGCCTGCCTGGATCACGCTTGGAAAGACTCCAGACATGGTGGGCTCAGGGAATGTGAGCACAGTGGGGGCCTGGTGCAGGACTGGCCTCAGCTCCTGCTCACCTGAGCAAACCCTGGCAGGTCCACCTCAGCTCAAAAGCCTGGTCCAGTCCGTAAGCCCAGGCGGCTCTGCTTTATGGAGAAGGACATGGAGGCAGCTCAGAGTGGCCAAATAACACATCTCAGACCCCACTGCCGGCCCAGGGCAAACTCAGCCAGAGACCCAGCTCTCACTCAGCAGACGACCAGTGGCCAAGGAATCGAGTGAGGGTGTGGTTGGAACCTAAGCTGCAGCCGGAAGCAGAGGAGACAGCAGGACTGGGGGACTGGGGAGGAGAGAGGAGGCAGGTTCCGGCCGGAAGAGGGAGAACAACCACGTCCGGAAGGGCAGTGGAAGCTTCGGCCACAGACACCTGGCTGTCCCTTTGGGTCCCTCACAGTCCCCTCTTGCTTCGGCATTCAGTCCGGGGCTGCAGCAGAAAAGCCATTTGCTGAGTCACCCAGCAGCATGCACAGCCCGGAGCTTCCTCTGGCTATCAAGAGTCCCCACTCAGTTCCACTTCCCGGCCCTGCAGCCCCAGGGGCCTTGGCGGCTGCTCCCGACTGTCCACCTGCTGACTGCGCATCCCTGTGTAGGCCACTGCACCTCTGTAAGTCTCAGGCTCCGGAACTGTCCAGCAGGACTTGCTGTCACCAGGATGCAGGTCCCAGGAAGACAGGGATGCTGGTGACCTGTTTGCTGTGTATCCAGGGCCTACAGTGGAGTCAGGTACATGGTGTTCAGAAAGTGTTTGTCAAGTAAATGAAAGAATGAATGGGCCAGACGCAGTGGCTCATGCCTGTAATCCCAGAACTTTGGGAGGCCGAGGGAGGCAGATCACTTGAAGTCAGGAGTTCAAGACCAGCCTGGCCAATGGTGAAACCCTGTCTCTACTAAAAATACAAAAAAAAAAAAAAAAAATGAGATGTGGTGGTGGGCACCTGTAGTCCCAGCTACTTGGGAGGCTGAGGCAGAAGAATCACTTGAACCCAGGAGGTGGAGGTTGCAGTGAGTCAAGATTTCGCCATTGCATTCCAGCCTGGGCGACAGAGCGAGACTCCGTCTCAAAAAAAAAAAAAAAAAAAAAAGAAAGAAAGAAAGAAAGAATGAATGAATGAATGAATGAATGCCTAGCCTGCCTAGCCTTGGTCAGTACTGGAGACCAGGGGAGCTAACAAGCAGCAAAAGCCAGTGCTACAGATCTGTGTGCCCACTCTTCCGGGGTGCCCCCAGGCCCCAGACTCTCCTTAGCTGAGCCTAGACTCACCCTGCCCTCTGACCCCTGCTTCTCTTTCATGTTCCCAGCTCCAGCATCATCACCCCTGGCCACCCGCAGGACCCCCCTCAGTACCACCGCCCTCTTCCTGCCCATCACTTGCTCCTGCTGCCACCCACACCACTCTCCACTCTGCTCACTCTCCCTCTGAGCTCCAGCACCTTCACCAGTGCAAGTCATCTCCTCTCTTACCTCCCAGGGTGACCTTCCCCCTGCCTACAGTCACATTCCTCAGCCCTGAACATTCCTTCCTCCCCTCCCAGCCAGGGGGGCCTTTCTTCTAGGGCTCCCCTTGTCCTCAGGACAAAGTCCAAATTCTTCACGTGGCTCACAGAGACTGGGCTCTGGCTCTCCTCTCCAGCCCCCTCCTCTCCACCCTCTGTCCTGTTAGCACACAACGTGCTCTTCATCACCTCCCTGCTCTCCCATGCCTCTGTGCCTTTGCCCATTCCCTTCCTTCAGCCTGGAATGCCTTCCTTATCTGCATGATAAACATTCATTTCCCACCTCCCCCAAGAGCACCTCGGGAACCCATTATGACCACCTGAGGGCTGGCGACTCCACCCTAACTTGCATTACTTCTTGGAAACACATCTATTATATTGCATTTCTCAAGTTGTACCTTAAGTATTTGAAGTCTTTCTTCCCTATGAGATGTTTCTAGAATAGGCTTATGGTTTATTCAGATTGAAAAATTTGGACATGCATAAAATGTAAATATTTAAATATAACTAGTATCCAGTTCAAGCAGGTACTCATAAATATGTAATCAATGAATGTATGATGGGTAGAAAGGACGGGTGGACCAATGGAAGGAGGAAAGGAAGAATGATTGGCTAGATTGAATGATGGATGGATGGAAGTGAGGAAAAGGAAAGATGGATGGATGGTTGAATGGATATATATGGAAAGAGTATGAAAGAAAGAAAGGATAGTTGAATGGGAGGAAAGGAGGATAGATATTGAGTGGAAGGATAGAAGGATAAAGGATGCAAGGATGAATGGAGGGAAAGATTGACCATTAGAATGGAGGGAAGGAAGGATGGAAAAATGAAAGAAAGGAAGGAAGGGAAAAGGGTGAATAGATAAAAGAATAGCTGGATTCTATTAGTTGGATAGTTGGATTCTATTAATAGTGAGATAAATTAATGGAAGGATGAAAGGAAATAAAGGATGAAATGATGGATGGATGTTTGGATGGACTGATGGAAGAATGAAAGGCTGAAAGGAACAATGTAAGAGGTTAGAGAAGGAAGAATGGAAGGATGGGTGAATTAATGGCTGGATGCCTGGATTCATGGCTAGACGTGAGAGTTCTTATGCCCCTTCAGCTGGTCAGCTCCCTCAGAAGGCAGTCTGGAACTCCCAGGTGGCCCCTGCAGCCGGCCTCCATTGCCAGATCTGCTACATTTATCTTGTATATTTTGACTTTAGTCAATAAACAAGTAATCTATTTGTGGTTATTAAGGAAAACTAGAATGCTAGAGGCCAGTTAGCCTAATAGATTCAAGGTGGTTTCAGAGGACATGGGCTCAGCCTGTCGAGGTCATGTCCGGGTCCTGCGATACCTAACGAGCTCAGCTCAGCTAACTCCACCCAGAGCTCTGCATTCTGCTTTCCACTTCCCATCTCTCCCAGGAGGTTCGTTCAGAGCAAGGTCTGCCTGACCGCTAACCTAGGGAGAGATTTTTCATGGAACGCATGAGAAAGGGAAATGACCTCAACCAAGGGTTGAGGCTGGGGAGGCCTGGGCAGGGGCGGCTGCCTTTCCATACCGAATGTGACCCTGGGCACATTCTGGAGCAGGAAGAAGAGATCTGGCCCAGTGCCAGCACCCAGGCACCCTGCCAGGGCCATGACACAGAAAATGTTGGGCAGCATTGGTCTGGGTGCCCAGGGAACCCTTGGGGGAGGTGAGCAGGCAGGTCAGGCTGCCCTCATTGAACCCAGAACAGGGCCTGGGTGTGGAGGAGTCTGTGCCCTTGGTCCCTGGTGCCCTCACCTCCTCCCCCATGGTGAAGGTCCAATAGCTGAGCCTCTATGGTGTCCCCAGCCCTCTCCTCTCCTGGTAGCACTTTCTGCTCTCTTTCTTTTTTATCTATTTATCTATATCTGTCTATCGATGTATTTATTTTATTTTATTTTATTTGAGACACAGTCTTGCTCTGCCACCCAGGCTGGAGTGCAATGGCACGATCTTGGCTCACTGCAACCTCTGCTTCCAGGGTTCAAGCCATTCTCATGCCTCAGCCTCCTAAGTAGCTGGAACTACAAGCACACGCCACCACACCCGGCTGATTTTTATGTTTTTAGTAGAGGCGGTGTTTCACCGTGTTGGCCAAGCTGGTCTCGAACTCCTGACCTCAGGTGATCTGCCCACCTCAGCCTCCCAAAGTGCTGGGATTGCAGGCATGAGCCACTATACCTGGCCTATTTATTTATTTTAGAGACAGAGTCTTGCTCTGTCACCCAGGCTAGAGTGCAGTGGCACCATCATAGCTGAGTGCAGTCTCAAATTACTGGTCTTAAGCAATCCTCCTATCTCAGCCTCCCAAGTAGCTGGGTCTACAGGCATGCAGCATCATGCTTGGCTAATTTTTACATTTTTCATAGAGACAGGATCGCACTATGTCGCCCAGGGTGGTCTCCAACTTCTGGGCTCAAGCAATTCTCCCACCTTGGTCTCCCAAAGCGCTGAGATTACAGGCATGAGCCAACCGTTCCCGGCCCCCTGCTCTTTTTCTCAGCTCCTCACACACCAACTTCACTAATCAAGTTTCCAGAAGATGCTTGCACACCTGTGGTATCCACACACTGCCCCGCATCTCTGCATCCCAGGTGGGCGGCCATGACCCAGAAGATCCATGCCTGGGATCCCAGCCACTCCCTTCTCCAATGTCCTTCCATGCACAGTCCCCACGCTGGGACACCTGGCAGTCACTTCCCCTGGAACTTCCACCTTCACCCTCTCAGCGAGCCTTCCAGCAGCCCTGGGTGGGGGTCAAGCGGGGGGGCCTGGAGTTTCTATTACACAGACACGGACCCAGAACCAAAGGCAAGAGAGGTCAGAAGAGGCCACACAGTTTAGTGACCGAGGGATACAGATTCTGGAAGTTTCCATCGAAGAGAGGTAAAGACTTCCCTGTTTGGCCAGGCACAATGGCTCATGCCTGTAATCCCAGCATTTTGGGAGGCCCAGGCAGGCGGATCACCTGAGGTCGGGAGTTTGACACCAGCCTGACTAAAATAGAGAAACCCCATCTCTACTAAAAATACAAAAATTAGCCGGGCATGGTGGCACATGCCTGTAATCCCAGCTACTCGGGAGGCTGAGGCAGGAGAATCGCTTGAACCCGGAAGGTGGAGGTTGCAGTGAGCCAAGATCGTGCCATTGCACTCCAGCCTGGGCAAAAAGAACAAAACTCCATCTCAAAAAAAAAAAAAAAAAAAAAAAAAAGACTTCCCTGTTTTAGCCTCTCCATCTAAGTATGTGAGTCCTGCTGCCTGTTTTCTTTAAGTAAAACAAAGCAGATATTTTCAAACTGCAACTTAGTTTTTGTTTTCTCCGTTTCTTTCTGGAAAACAATTCAGAGATTGCCTTCCATGCTTCACGACCACAGAGACTGAGCAAACCTCTGCTTCGGAAAGTCGGGGGCAAGTCCAAGTTTCCCAGGGAGGCCGGCCCTGCCATGCGGGGTTGGGTTTTCTTGCCTTCTCTTGTGCAGAGTTGGCCAATCCCTGCCGCCAGGCCTCAGACACTCAGCCCTTTGTGGGCCTTGCACCCACTGCGGTTTTTAATGTTGTTATTTTTCAGAGTTAAAAATCTGCGGTTTTTAATTGCACCTGAGGATGCCCCCCTGCTCTGTTCCTAGCTGGTGTTCGACAGGCGGAACGGAAGGATTGAAGGTAAGATTCCAGGCCTTCTGTGTTGGGGTGGTCATTCACGAAAACACACAGCAATATGTATTTACGCAAGCAGAGACGTGTCATAGAAATCTTTATGGAGAACTAGGCATAAAGTCTAATTTTAAAACATGTGTTTGTATAAATTCATCTTTTTATTATTTATTTGTTTATTGACACGGGGTCTTGCTCCAGGCTAAAGTTCAGTGGCGTGATCATAGCTCACCACAGCCTCCAACTCCTGGGTTCAAGCGATCCTCTTGCCTCAGCCCCCTGAGTAGCTGGGACTACAGGTGCACACCACCACGCTTGGCTAATTTTTAAAAAATTGTTTTGGGCCAGGCACGGTAGCTCATGCCTGTAATCCCAGCACTTTGGAAGGCCGAGGCAGGTGGATCACGAGGTCAGGAGTGGGAGACCAGCCTGACCAACATGGTGAAACCCTGTCTCTACTAAAAATACCAAAATTAGCCGGGCATGGTGGTACGTGCCTGTAATCCCAGCTACTCAGGAGGCTGAGGCAGGAGAATCACTTGAACCCAGGAGGCAGAGGTTGCAGTGAGCTGAGATTGCGTCACCGCACTCCAGCCTGGGTGACAGAGTGAGACTCAATCTCCAAAAAAAAAAAATTTTTTTTTTTACACAGAGGATCTGGCTACATTGCCCAGGCTGGTCTCAAGCTCCTGGGCTCAAGCAATCCTTGTGCCTAGGTCTCCCAAAACACTGGGATTTACAGGCGTGAGCCACTGTGCTCAGCCTGAATTAATATTTGAATTGCACAAATTTATAGCAAATGTGTGAAAGTATTATACTTTGGGATTATTACTGCTCATCTTTAAGAGCCTGGCCTTCTGATAGGCCTCCTTGCCCCTTCCAATCTGCTTTCAGCAGCAGCTGAGTGATTGGGGTGAAACTTAAGGCACACACATTTAGGAGAGCATCAGAAAACTTCCTCTGTAAAGGGCCAGAGGGTAAATATTTTAAACTTTGCGAGTCATACAGTCTCCACTGTAGTAACTCAACTACTCTGCCAGTATAGCACAAAAGCGGCCAAGCACAACAGTAAATGAATGGGTGTGGCTGTGTTCCAATAAAACTTTATTTGCACAAAGAAGTGGTGGGCCAGATTTGGCCTTTGGGCTGTAGTTCGCCACCCCCTGGTTTAGAAAAAGGACACATATAAATGACCAAAATGGTGAGCGTTCAAGAGGTAGTGGCGCGTGTATATGGACTGAGGAAAGAACTGGGTGGGATTGGTTTAGTGTGAAGACTCAGAGAGTTAGGCATCCACCCCTAAAACACCAAGGGATGGTGACAGATCCATTCAATGGCCCCAGAGCCCAACTGTAATGCGGGGGACGTAGCAAAGAGACTTATGTTCATTCACGACAAGAAAGACCCGATAAGCAATGAAGGGGTGAGTCCCATATTCTTAGAGGCATGCAAGCAGAGGCTGGGGGTTGGGGAGAATTGTTCTTTTTTTTAAAAAAAATTATTTTTATTTTAAGTTCCGGGGTACATGTGCAGGATGTGCAGGTTTGTTACATGTTACATAGGTTAACGTGGGCCATGGTGGTGGGGGAGAACTGTTCTTATACATCCAGTCCTGCTCTTAGAGTGAGAGAGGTTCTCTGTTCCTGCTCAAAACTCTCCACAGTCCCTGCTTTGCTCAAGGCAGAGGCCAAAGTCCCCGCTAAGGCTGACCACCTGCCCGTCCTGGCCCCACTGCCTGACCGCCCTCACCTCGCACTCTCCTCCCTCTCTCAACTCCAGCTCTGCTGCTTCTGAGTTGTGGCCCAAGCCCCTGACATCCCCCACCTCAGTGCCTCTGCTCAGGCTATCCCTCTCCTGGAGTCTCATCCCCAGACGTCACCGCAGAGGGGACCAGACATGTGGGGAGAGGACCCTCTTGTCACTCAGCCCTCTCCCTGCCTGCCCTGGTCCTTGACTGCTTGTTCTCCTTAGCGCTCACCTCCACTTAACGCGCCATTGCATTTATTTATTTGCTCGATGGTCTGGCTTCCCCTACTAGAATGTCAGCTCCATGAGGCAGGGACTGGTGTCTGTGGTTCACGTCTGGATTCCCAGTGTTTAGTGCCTGGCTCACAGTAGGTTTGCAATAAATATTTACTAATATGGCGGTTGTCTTTTCCAGAGCTGACCACAATACCTCCCAAGCCACTGTGCTTCTTACAGCATGGCGCCAATACCCGTCCCTTTGAGAAGTGGAGTCTTTGTTCCCTTCCCTTGAGTTTTGGCAGGACTCTGACTATGTCAGAGGTAAATTTATGTGACTTCCGAGACTGGGTCATGAAAGACAACACCGGTTCTGCCCAGTTCCTTAGAATGAAGGAAGGCTGGCACCATGGTGTGAGGAAGCCGAAGCCACACAGAGGCTGCACGTGGATGCTCCAGCCAACTGCCCCAGCTGAGGCTCAGCCGCCAGACATGGGCATGAAGACATCTTCAGAACAACTCTGGCCCCAGCCGCCGTGATGGCAGGAGAGGCTCCCAGAGAGAACCAGCCAACCCCCAGGACTGTGGGACATAGTAACAAAATCTTGTTGGGGGTGATATTTTACCTAAAGAACAATGAACAAAAAATGCTGATGTGTCATTGGTGCCTCCAGTGTTCCTACCTCACTGTTCTGAGACCTCACTTTTCATACCTTCCCCCTCAGAGTATGCACTCCTGCTTCTGTGCATTTTCCGGGCCCTGCCTTCCTCTGGTGTTCTCTGGAAGCTTCTCCTGGTGGCAGGGGGTATTCTGCTCTCTCCTCTAGCATCTGCTGAGACTCCTTCTCCTGGGAGTTGACCTCTGCAGATGTTCCCAGGCTTTGGGGTGCGTGGGGACACCTCTCTTCTTAAGGTGCTTCCCTCCTTAGGGTGGCCAGAGCAGATGCCACCTGCACGGAGGCGGAGGCCCCCTTAGTCATGATCCTGATGAAGATTCCTTGCTTGGCCAAACTTTAGTCAGGCTTCTGAATCTTCTGCTACACCCGTCTGGGCACTTCCTTGTAAAACCCAGTTTTAGCAAAAGAACCTGTGAAGTCAGTTTAGGCAGACCCCCCATCCTAGATCGCTGATCACCGTGGAGACCTGAACGAACGGGGTTCCTCATTCTCCGCCACCCCCGGGCACTGTCCGATCACCCTGCCTGCAGCAAGAATCCTGTTCGGGCGGTTTTGTCAGATGTTTCCTCTCAGTGATTTTCCATCCGCCGACACCCGTTCTGCCTCCTCTGCTATAAATCCCCACCTGCCGGGCTGGTCTTTGAGGTTGAGCCAGTTCTCTCCCTCAGCAAGACCCTGGTGCAGTGGCCCCTATACCTATCATGACGGTCCTGAGCGAAGTCCTCCTTACCCTGCCTTAACCAGTGCCACCGAATACACCAGTCCTCAATACTGGCTGTCCTAGAAACTGTTGCCCACTCTGGGCTCCTGCTGCCACCTCCACCACCAAGAGGGGGAAACTGAGGCACGGTTTTGTCTTTAATTCCCAGCTGCCTCCATGAGACCTGGGAAAACTCACCCACCATCACGACCACTTCAGGCCTCTGAAGGGAAACATGAGCCCAGAGAGAGCAGAAAGTCCTTTCTCCCTCCTGGACCCCAGACACTCCTCTTTCATGGACCTTCTTTCCAAGATGACTGACAGCAGCCACTCCACTCAGCTCTCCCCTGAATCCCACCCCCACGCCCATTCAGGATGTGGTGCAGCTGGTCCCAGCATCATGATGCCCCAAGAGCCTGGCACTGGTATTTTCCTGAAAGTCTGGGCCAATTGATGTTACCGTCCATGACCACCCGGAGGCTTCTGCTTCCTTCCAATGCCCTCTGGCCACAGGTTGGGGCAAGCTCCTCCACTCACATTCTGTTTTTTTTTTGGTGTGATATCGGCTCACGGCAACCTCTGCCTCCTGGGTTCAAGCTATTCTCCTGCCTCAGTCTCCCGAGTAGCTGGGATTATAGGTGCCCACCACCACGCCTGGCTAATTTTTGTTTTAGAGACGGGGTTTCCATGTTGCCCAGGCTGGCCTTGAACTCCTGACGTCAGGTGATCCACCTGCCTCAACCTCCCAAAGTGCTGGGATTACAGGAGTGAGCCACTGTGCCCGGCCAGCACCCACATCCTTCAGGAGCCATGACAGAGGTGCAGAGAGGCAGGGCGGGGCTGGGGCTCAAAGCCCAGGCTCCAGGGCCAACCCAGGTTTGCACCCCAGCTTTGTGACCAAGGCCATATCTCTTCACCTCCCTGAGCCTCAGTTTCCTACTCTGAAAGGGGGATAATAGCACCCCTCCTGGGGCTGTTGTGAGGATCGAGGAGGTAACATGTAGAAGGTGCTTTGCCTGGTGCTTGGCACATAGTAGCAGACAACAAACAGTGACTGTCATTATTGCATGTGACACAGTCAGACAGCCAGGCAAGGCACGAGTGGCCCTGTGTTCCCATCTCTGGTGGCTCACCCAGCTCTACCGCCCCCTCCACCCCGCCTCACCTTTGGTGGCGCACAGCCCAGTTGTTCTCGTTAGACGATGCTGCTCTGCTCCCAATGTGTCACTCACGTGAGCCAGCACACACCTCATCCCTGCCCCCATCACTGTTTTGCTGGAAGAAACCCAGGAGCCAGGGCCTCAGAGCCAGCTCCCCCTGTGCCCGCCTTCTTGGTCATGCAAATCAGAGTGAGCTCTTCCCCTCTGCCTGGGCAGACTCCCGCTGACTCCCCCTTCATTCCTGTCCACTTCTCCCCAAACAAAACAGAAAGGAGGGCCCAGGAAAAGAAGGGGTATCAAAATCTGGCTTTTGAATCAGGCTCAGAATGAATCAAGGTTTGGCCCCTGGAAGCAACATGAACCCCCAGAGGCTTGCGAGGTGCTGCTCTGCCCCTTACTAGCTTTGTGGCCTTGGGCAAGTCCCTTTACCTCTTTGAGCTCCAGCTTTGTCACCTCTGACACAGGGACAGTAGTATAAGCCCTGGGGCACTGTACACTCCTGCCTGGCTCTGAGCTGAGCCATGTTGCCTCTCTGAGGCCACTTTGATTTGGTCTGTCCTGTTCCTGGGTCCATAATTCCTGCCGCCTGCCCTCCCACACAGAAGTCCGACAGGGTTACAGGCGTGAGCCCCTGCTCCCGGCTAGCACTTTGGGAGGCTGAGGCTGGTGGATCACCTGAGGTCAGGAGTTCAAGACCAGCCTAGTCAACACAGTGAAACACCGTCTCTATTAACAATATAAAAATTAGCTGGGCGTAGGGGCGCACACCTGTAATCCCAGCTACTTAGGAGGCTGAGGCAGGAGAATTGCTTGAACCTGGGAGGCGGAGGTTGCAGTGAGTCAAGATCGCACCACTGCACTCCAACCTGGGTGACAGAGCAAGACTCTGTCTCAAAAAAAAAAAAAATAAATAAAGGAAGAAAGAAGAGAGAGAGAGAGAGAGAAAAGAAAAGAAAAGAGAAAAAGAAATCCAGGGTGACGCATGTTCGGATCAGTGTGCCCTTCACCCTTTTGGCACCTTGATGGCCGGACCTTCCACTGTGTCCCCTGCAAGCACCTGTGCCCAGCACAGAGCCATACACAGAGAACCCCACCTGGGTCAGATTAGCAGAGGCTGATCAATTTTTGACGTCACACCTGCAGCAGGGCTGAGTGCCCAGGAGAAAAGGGTCTTAACAGCACCTTGAAGTGAGTTGCCAGGCTGGGCAGAGATCAGGGAAGGCCAAGGAGGAAGGCTGTGAGCCACCTGGCCTTCAGAGAACTCCCAGACAGTGGCCCAGGGACCAGTCCAGCCCAGATCACCTTAGGCAGTGACCCCTCTCCCAGAATCCAGGCACCCTAGAGGCACCTTAGCAGAAGAACTCTCTGAGGTCTGCAGGCTTGAGCTGTTTTGCTTTCTCCAAGACAGTTTCGTCCTGTAATGGTCGCCATTCTCATTGTCATCATCCCGTTACAGTATATTTGTTTTATTTGAGAAACGTATGTAATGATTATTTCTGGCACTATGCTAAGTGCTTAAAAAGTATGAATTCACTAACTGCCGCAACCCCATAAGGTGGGTACTATTTATGAACCCTGAGGCCCAGAGAGGTCGAGTAACGTGCTTGATGTCATGTGGCCGATGGATGGCCACGTGGGGCTCTCGGCTTCCTTCTGAGAGGCAGCTGCCAGGGATGGGACACACAGTTGCTCCAGGCCCATCTCCAGACACAGCACTGTCCCCTATGTTGTCCCCATGCTTCCTGGGGCCTTGTGAGCTTCAGATTATTCATCTGTAAATGAGGACAATAAGGCCAGCTCTGGGGGCCCAGGGCTGGGCCTGGGGGAGGGCTCAGCCCCACAGGGCCCTGCCCCCTCCTTGCTGTTCACCATCTGTCTGAGGCTCACTCAGAAGCTCCCACTGACACGATTTGATTCTGCCAGAGCAATGTGCTGAGGGGTAGATGCAGGGCCCGGTGGGAGCCCCAGACTGCAGGGTGAGCTTCCTCTGGGGGCAAACCCAGCCACGCCAACCCAGGTGAGGCAGCCTGTGTGCTCTTGCGTGCCCCTGACCTTCCCCTGCCAGGCTGGCAGCCAGAGCTGACTCTTTTAAAGAACACTGGGCCAGGATCACAGCCACCCCAGGCCGAACCCTGAGCTGTGGGTTGTTTGCCAGGACGAGGTGGCCCTGGGGCAAGGAGGCCTCCCCAGGATGGGCTGCCCCCACCGTGGAGGAAATCCACACAGCAGCTCGGTTCCCCCAAAGGATTCCCTGCCTGCAGTCCAGGCCACACCAAAGTACACAGAGCCCTTGTGTGCGGCAGGAGGAGAGGGTGGGACTCCAGCAGGAGAAGCTTCCCGCCTTTTGGAAGCCCCCAGGCACCTGCCCAGGGGTCATAGGGATTCTTGGAGATCACTTTCCAGTCCAGAAATGCCTCCACCCCAGCCCTTCCAAGCCCTCAGTGTGGGGAGAGGCAGAGCCCCAGCACAGCTCACCCCTCCCTTGGAGGAAGGGAGTCAGAGGGGGTGAGCACTGGCTAAAGGTCACGCAGGAGACCTGGCTGCCGGCTGCCTTGGGCTGGGCCTGTCACAGGAGCCTTCTTGCACACTAAGGGCCTCAAACATAAGCCTTTGACATTCTCTCCAAAGGAGGTTACAGACTCAGGCACAACCACGATGTCTGCAGGGCCAGAGGAAGTTTGTTTCACAGCCACCAGGGAGGGTCCCATCACTGGACGCACCTCCTATGGCTCCTAAACCTGGATGTGTCGGAAATAAATCCTGTATCTACTTGGTAGCTACCACTAGGCTATTGCCCCAGTGGGGGCTGAAAGTGGTAATTTGTTCACCATAAGCATTACAAACAATATTATGATTCTTATAACGTGATCTCCATGTGTCGGTAAGACATTAAGACCCTTAAAAAATGACCATGACTCAAGTTGTTCTCTGCCTCCAAGGGCCTGGTTCCAGAAAATTCTGGGTGGAGGTGAGCTGGGCAGCCTCCCTCTAACCTCCCCGGGGAATGGCCTGGGGACTTAGCCAAACGCTGACAACCAGTGTGTGAGGGACAGGTGGACGCTTCCCAAATCAGCTCTGTGCAGAGGACAGACCGCAGCTGTCAGGCCTATGTTGGCCTGACCCTCCCCTGTGACCTTGGGCCAGGGACCCCCTCCAGTGTCAGCGTCCCCATCAGAGCCTCAAGAGCTGAGCCAAGTGACCCTTCTGATGCTCCCTAGCCCTGCCACTCAGCTCCAGCTCAGCCCCAGGGAAGCCCCTCCACTGTGGGGACTCACCTGGAGCTACCTGGGGCATGAGCAGCTGAGGAAGGAAAGAAAATGCTCTTTAAGTTGTCATAACAGAGCGGGGCCTCCAGCACCTCCTGTTTACTGAAGGTGAGTAAATACAGCCGGGCCCTTAGCAACAGGCACAAAGGGGCCCTTGTGCCGCCCGCTGCTCGCTGCTCGCTGCTCCCTTGGCTCCCTCCCTGAGCTCAGCCCCAGCTGGGAGCTCTCTGAGAGGCAGGCTGGCCTGGCCCACAGCCCTGGCCTGACTGGGTGGGGAACGGGGCGGGTGCAAGGACTGCTGTGTGCCAGTCTCCAGGCGTGTCAGGGAGCCAGGCCTTTAGAGGGCCCTGTCCTCTGCAGGCAGAAAATTCCACCCCATTCTTCTGACCAGCAAACTGGGGTTCTGAGAGGCCCCTGATTTGAGTTTGTCACTCAGAGATGGAGCGGGTGAGCCTTAGACCAAGAAGCCCTGAGTTGGACGTCAGTCTCGGCCATGGGCGCTTTGGCGTGTTCTGTGTTACGAGTCCCAGTCTCTTCATTTCTAACAAGGGGCTCATGCATCACGCCTGGCTCACCTGGCTGCGTGCGCATCAAATCAGATGAGTGTGTGAGGACGTTCATTCTAAACTTTACAAGCTCTGAGCAAACAGAGGGAGTTATTATTGGGCCAAGCGGGCAGACCAGACATTAGAGTTGATGATAAATCGGTCGGGCCCCTGTCAAGCGCTAGGAGCTTCCAGAGCCCCCTTTTGAATGATGAGGTGTCACGCCTCCTGGAACCCCAGGTACTGGCAGCCGACTCCATGCCAGGCTGGGGAAATGGGGTGAGGATGGTGCAATCCCTGCCTAGAGGGCCTCCCTCTCTAAAACAAAGGGCTAGTTCCACGGTGTATGAAGCACTATAATTCATCAATAAACTGTGAAGGCCTCAGTTGAAAAATGAGAAAAAGACATGGCTAAGAAGTAACTCATGAAAGAATTAAGACTGGACACAGTGGCTCATGCCTGTAATTCCAGCTATTTGGGAGGCCGAGGTGGGAGGATCACGTGAGATCAGGAGTTCAAGACCAGCCTGGGCAACACAGTGAGACCACATCTCTACAAAAAAAAAATTTTTTAATAAAAACGGAAATAAGTGAGTTGGGCATGGCAGTGTGTGCCTGCAGTCTTGGCTACTCAGGCTGCTGAGGCAGGAGGACCACTTGAGCCCAGGAGTTCGAGGTTGCAGGTGCCACTGCACTCTAGCCTGGGTGACAGAGGGAGACTCCATCTCTTAAAAAAGAAAATGAATGCTTATCAACACTTAGAAAAAAACAAAAAATAGAAATCAACCTGATGAGTAACAAAAATGAAAATAAAAGCAACATTCAGATTTTCTGCACCCCCCCATTAGATTATTAAAAAGATTAGAAACATTTCCCCCAGCATGGGCAAGTTGGTTATGAAGGCTCTGCCCCTTACTAACTTTTTTTTTTTTTTTTTTGAGATGGAGTCTGGCTCTATCACCCAGGCCCGAGTGCAGTGGCGCGATCTCAGCTCACTGCAAGCTCTGCCTCCCGGGTTCACGCCATTCTCCTGCCTCAGCCTCCCGAGTAGCTGGGACTACAGGCGCCCGCCACCACGCCCGGCTAATTTTTTGTATTTTTAGTAGAGACAGGATTTCACCGTGTTACCCAGGATGGTCTCGATCTCCTGATCTTGTGATCTGCCCACCTTGGCCTCCCAAAGTGCTGGGATTACAGGCATGAGCCACCACGCCCAGCCACCCCTTACTAACTTTTGACCTCTAGCATAAACTCCATGCCTCACTTTACCTGTCTGTAAAATGGGCACTAACAGTACCCGCCTTGCAGGTTTGTTGGGAGGAGTAAATGAGTTACTGTGTATAAAGTGCTTCGAGGGATGCCAGGCGTGTAACTGGTATTTCATGCACTGTAGTTATTATTTTTATGATCACCATTGGTTCAAAGTATACATTGGACAATCTTGTCTTGTTTGTTAAAATAAAAAGTTGGAAATCATCTAAAGTCCTTTAACTGGGAACTAAAGAATTCGATTAGAATCTGTGGATCCCATGGAATACGTTCCCACAACTGGGTCAGCGAGCGCACGGGTGTTTGTATTGACACGGAAGGTTCTCCATGTCACATTGATGGATGAACAAGCAGCCACGCCAAAGAGATCCGGCTTCTGTGGAGTTGGAAACATGGATTTATTGGTGTGTATTTGCGCTGAGACACGGGCAGGGATGTTCTCCAGCTGTTAGCGGCGGCTTTCTAGGAATGAAGCATTTTAAGGCTTTTGTTTTCTTCTCTACACTTTTCTGGTTTTTAAAAAGTACAAGAAGTTTTTTTTTTTTGGTTAAAAAAAAAGTTTCCTAAAGCCATTTTCTTTTGTTTGAATTTCAAATGCAGTAAGTGCTGAACGGAAGCGCTGAGGCAGAAGTGACCAAAGAGGGAACAGTGAAATTTGGGCTTGTCAGTGGGGACGAGGTGGGGGAGGCAGAGTCAGTGTTGATGGGGTGGGAGGTGGGCTATGTGGCAGGAGGGCAGGGACTTTGAAGAGTCCAGGGCTTTGAGAGGGACAAGGGGGGCAGTTAGAAAAGCAAGTTGGCTGGGCGTGGTGGCTCACGCCTGTAATCCCAGCACTTTGGGAGGCTGAGGTGGGCAGATCACAAGGTCAGGAGTTCGAGACCAGCCTGGCCAATATAGTGAAACCCTATCTCTACCAAAAATACAAAAATTAGCTGGGTGTGGTGGCACATGCCTGTAATCCTAGCTACTCAGGAGGCTGAGGAAGGAGAATTGCTTGAACTCAGGAGGCGGAGGTTGCAGTGAGCCAAGATTGCGCCACTGCACTCCAGCCTGGGCGACAAAGGAAGACTCCGTCTCAAAGAAGAAAATTGAAAAGCAAGTTGAAGCAAAGTCACATCATTGGAAGGGCAGATGGAGGTTTTATCTGGAAGGTGCAGGGGAGTTCAAAAAAGTAAGATAAGATGTGGACTCTGATCTGGCCTCTGCCCTATTTTGGTTGTTCTCATTTGGGCCTCAGTGCTCTGGGCAGGAAAGTCTTGGAGCAGGGACACAGGCGGGAGCCTCCTGTCCATTTTCTGAGAGAGATAGGCCAGAGAAGGCAGCTGGATGCTTGAGTATGAAGAAAGCCCCCTGTTTAGGGCTTGTATCTCTCCAAGTCCAGCAGGGCCTCGGCCACCCTGAGAAGAGAGCCAGTCCCCATGTGTGTGCTGGGACTTGAAGAGCCTAAGAAAAGGGCTGGACCCTCCCAGGGCCAGCAGGCTCTCACTACCCCAGAGCCAAAGACCACAAGCCACTCTCCAGGGCCACGGGATGGCAGCCTGATGAGTCAGCGCAGTTACCTGATCAGGCAGCGTCGCGCCATGAGAGGTGATCTCATGCGCCAGTCTCCAGCCGCTCCTCGCTATTCCCCAGGCTCTGGGACGGTGGAGTTAGCTGACCAGGCAGAAGTTGGCTCCCTGGCAGCACGCTGGTGGTCCCAAGACGCCCTGTTAATATTTGGAGGCTGGATAGGTCCACGTGGTGGGGAGCTGTCCTGTGTATGGTGGGATTTTTAGCAGTGCCCCGGCTTCTACCCACTAGATGCCAGCAGTATCCCTTGGCAATTGTGACATTGCCAAATGGTCCCTGGGAGACACAATTACCCCCATTTGAGAACTTCAGCTCCATGGTGACCTGCATGGCCATCAGCCCCTCTCCAGGGCTGAACACTCCTCAGGGACAGGGTCTCCATGTCCCCAGCACCCCACACAGGCTCAGCATACGCAGGTGTGAACACCTGGGCTCTGGCCCTCCCTCACCAGAACCCCCTCCCTTCTTGCAAGGAGTGCAGCTGCAGCCAGAGAGGACACCCAGTCCCTGCCCCTGCCCCCAGCCCGCCCAGAGCGGAGATGAGCTGAAAACCCCACTGTGTCTCCCACCTCGCCCAACTCTGGGATCCAAGCGGCCAGGTTGCAAAGAACCAAATCCTTTGAGTGAAACAACCTTTAGTAACCTTTTCAGACAAACACGCCCTCCCCTCCCGCCACTTGCTGGAAGCCAAAGCTGCTGACACAGCCATGTGGGGACCTGTGGGGACTCCCTCTCCTTGAATCGCGGCACATGCACCCTTCACACCCAGCCACTCCCTGCCACCCGCTCTCTCAAAGGGAAGGGCCACCAGGATCTACTGCCACACTCTTTTTTTTTTCTTCGAGACAGGGCCTTGCTCTGTCACCCAGGCTGGAGTGCGGTGGTGTGATCACAGCCTTCCCAAGCCCCATTCTTAACACCCAAAAGCATTTATAAGAAGTTCAGTTCTCAGTGTTTAGGGAGACAGTGGGCGGGAGATCTGTCCAAAGGGTGCTGAGTCCTGCACTGCCCAAGTACGAGATTTGTTGGGGCTCCCCCAGCAAGTGTCCTGGGGCCATGCGCTGTCTGGAGGGGCTTCTGCTTCCATCTCTGACTCTGATCTGGAAGGGATTCCATCCCCTCCCTCTGCCAGTGCCTGGGACAGAGACAGCTTCTGCCGGAGATCTGCAGGGCCTAACATAAAGCAAGAAGCCGTGCTCGTTAGGCCGGCGGCCAGCACCGCAGAGCGCGCAGAAGGAAATAAACTTCCACTAGAAACTGCTGGCTGGGCAGGCAGGAAGGGTGCTCCAGGGAGCTTGGAGCTTTTGCAGGGTCAGGGACCCCAAACATCATGTGCACAGTGGCTAGTGCTCCAGCTCAGGAGAGCGTCCCCAGAATGCATGACCCGGACCAAGGCCCACAGGGCACACATGGCGTCAACAGGACCCTGGATAGAGGGCTTTCAGATAAAATCCAAACAGGGACGCATCTCCCAAAAAAGACCCGTGGTTGGTCCCGGACAGCCAAGCCCCGCCCTCAGCACTCAGCCAGGGCTGGTCCTCAAGCTGTGTTGACTGAAGGGCAGGCCGGATTAATGTCACTCCAGAAGGAACATGACAGCAAGCCCTTCTCAACAACCCATCTTCACAAATGCTCCATGAGGCAGTCATTCCCCGCACTAGGGACTCCCGGCTGGCTCCATGTGATGCCTGGGGAAGGTGAGCTACTGACTTCCTGTTGTCTTTCGTTAGAGGGGACTCCAGGCTACCCCATGACAGCGTCATCAGGCACTCGCAGGCAGATATGTTTTGGTGAGGGCTGGTGAAGGGTAGGACGGCCATGGGCATGCACCCATCCCATCCATGTGTCATGGCAGGAAGAAACAAAGGTTAAGAACCACAGCACTAGATGTCTGGGTTCGGGGACACGTGCCGTTGTGACCTGGATTCTGGTGCCTGGGGTGGGCACAACCAGGTACGTGCCTTGTTCCAGGAAGCTGTCTGCAGCAGGCCTGTTGCTGGCTGGGTTTGCACTGGAATTTGGGGTCCCCTCATCCCCCGCCAGGCGTTCACACCCCTGTGCCTTCTGTGTCTTCTGTCCCACACTGCCCCCTGGAGGAGGGATGAAGGATGGTGCTGAAGGGCACAAGCAGTAGACATTTTCATCCACCTTCACCTCCTCTTCCTGGCCAACAGAACGTTGATTTTGTTCAAGGCGGCAGAATGCCCAGCCCCAGGGACAAGTCTTGCTTCATTGCATAAGTCAGTGATGATGGCCCTGTACCCCTGTGCCAGGCCCTTTCTTTCCCAGCCTCCTTTGCAGCTAGGGGCCATTGACGCAATTTCAGGCAATGAAGTGTAAGGGAAAGTTTTTTGTGGGGGTGCTTCTGGGAGAGCTTTTGCTTCTTAACAAAAGGGAAGGGTGTGAAAGGAGAGTTCTCTTAGGTCCACCCTCACTTTCTTTCATGCTGGAGTGCAGACGTGGTGGCCGGTGCTGCAGCAGCCATCCTGCAACTATGTGGCACCAAGTTAACACAGAGGATGGTGGGCAGAGAGAGGGAAAGAACCTGGGTCCTTGATGACCTCACCAAGCAGCCAAGCCACCCGGAAACTGCCTATGCCCAGGGTCCTTGTGAAGTAACAATGGCTGTATTTGTGGTTTTGTTGAATTCTGTTACTTGCAGCCAAACACATCGGGGCAGCACTGAGGTGTGAGGTGCTGTGTGAGCATGGGTAAAGCACTTGGCACAATGCCCAGCCTATGGTAAATGCGCATCAATGGAGGCTATTATTACAATCACGTGCATCTATGAGTGTGCACGAGTTGCTAACTCGTGTGGGCACATATGGGTGAATATGGATGTGTGATGTGCAGGTGACCTCTGGTTCAAAATGTGATTCAAGTCCTGTCCTGTTACTTGGCCCAGGCACTGGGGCCACTCCCTCGACCTTGCTGAGATGCAGTTTCCTTAACTAAACGGGGAGGACAATGACTTACATGGGTCCAAGCTGGCAGCTGGCATTGCTAACCTCGCAATCACCCAGAGGTAGGACAAGAGTATTGGCTCCACCTGGCAGATGGGGAAACTGAGGCTTAGAGAGCGTAAGTGAAACGCCCACATTTAGAGCCAAGAAGTGGTGATGCTGAGACTTGAACCATGTGGCCTCACACAGAACCTGTGTGTGCAGGGCTGTATGTGAGTGTGTATATGTGCAGGAGTGTGTGTGCAGGAATGTGTGTGCGAGGGTGTGTGTGGAGTGCATGTGAACATGTGTTCAGGGGTCTGTGTGCAGGGAGTGTGCACATGAGAAGTCACTTAGGTCAGTGTGTATGAAACCCAAGCCATTCTGGACAAACCCTGATGACTCTGTCTAGAGGGAGGGTCTCTCCTTATTCCTCAGAGGAGCAGTTGGGCCTCCCTCACCCAAATCTTTACTGGCTCTCCCAGACTCCTGGGCTCCAGCAGGACTGTCTCTGTTGCAGTGGCTCTCTCTGGCTCTCCAGGGCCCTGGCGCTCCACAGTGGCTGACTCCTGATCCCTTTTCCAAAACAACATCCGCAGCAGCTCCCAAGGGGTGAGCCACCTCCCTCCTGTTTACCACTTGCGTGGCCCCCCGCCCTGCGGGGCTAGCTCCAGGCTGCCATCAGCAGCTGTGTTTTCCAGGCCCTGGCCCTTTCCCCTCCTGGCACCTTGGAGGCCCAGCTACAGGGCAGCTACTCTCAGGAGGGTTATCTTTTCCCTTGACACCAGGACCCACCAAGTCAAGGGGTACTTCCCAGGCTTCCCCAGTTGGGTCCAGCCTGGCAGGTGGGGAGGGGATGGTGCTGAGTGAGAGAGAAGGAAGGTGAAGGGAGTCAGAATCTCCTAGAGACAGTCCCAGGCTCCTTGCCCCACCCTCACCTCCTTCCTTGTCTGAGCAGATCTTTCAGGCTTCTCTGAAGACAGGGGTCCACTGGGACCTCAAGCTTGGGCCCAGAGGTTGTCCAGTCCCAGCTAACACACTGGGAGCCTCCTGTTCTCACTTCACCCTAACGGGCTCCTTTCTCCACCCTGTGCTCCTTGTCCTTACCTCCTCTTCTGCATCTGTGGTGAGAGACAGAGAGGTTCCACACCCCTTCCCCATTTGGAGCCTGAGGCAGCCCCACCTCCTGGGCCCATCTGTCCCCTCCAGACCCTAAGACACAAGCTTCACCTCCACGATTTTCTCACAGCAAACCTGCTGTCCTCTCCTACTGTCCTCCCCCAGGGAGTCTTTGATCCAGCTTGGGCCTTGAGCCAAAAAGTCATTAAAAGAAAGTACAGCCAAGGAGAGGAAAAAATTGCTCTTCTGATGGGAGAAAGCCAAAAGCTGTCACACGCCAGGGCCACTGGCTCTCACCCAGGAACTTGGGGGAGAACTTTCTGGGAGGTAGGGTGGGGGCCAGGGGCTGAGGCAGGAGGAGACGGTTATAGCAAAGGTCTTGGGGCCCAACAGACCGAGATGCAGCGACCAGCTTTGTTCTTGCTGAGACCTGGAGCAAGTGCCCAGCCTCTTGAGAGCCGTGACCTTGCAGGGTTGGGTGCCATGGAGACCTGGCATGCAGCGGGCCCCAGCTAGAAGGACCTCCTGAGGTCTCTGATGTTTTCCACAGCTCACAAAGGTGTTTGGGAGGGAACAGCACCAGCTGGAGCCTCTTACAGGACAGGAGACCGAGCAGAGGCCCCGGGAGGGTGACCTGTCCAACGTCACACAACAACTGGATGCCCTTGGCTCTGCCTGCATCCCCTGCAGTCCTGGCCTGTAGGAGACAGGACAGCCAGAGACATCGTCATTGGTGAGCCTCACCTTCTCAGCCCCCAGCTGGGGAAACTGAGGCCCAGAGTGGGAACTCCCATGGGCATGTGACCCGTGTAAGACGAACACGGGCAAGAAGGCACAGGTCCTGCTTCTCCCTGCCTCGCGCCCCTCTAAACCAAATAGCCGATGCTCACTGCACCAGGAACCTTGTACTTGAGGCTTTCAAGACATGATCAGATTTGATTTTTACAACAAACTAATCAATGAGGTAGGTGCCTTTATTACCCCTCATTTACAGATGAGTAAGGTGGGGCACAGAGAGGGCAAGTGACAGACTGAAAGTCACGCAGCAGATACACAGTGGAGCCGGACTTGAAACCCAGGGTGCGTGACTCCAGCACCCGTGGCTGTGGCCTCCAGTGGGGCCAGGAGAAGCTGACCTAGTCCTCCATTCTCTGCTCGCTCCCTGAAGGCCTGGGCCGGGAGGGGGAAGAATGTCCAGAACACCGCCTGCTGGGCTCCTTGTGCGGTGTGCCTGGTGCACAGTGGGTGCCTGCTGAACGTGGCACTGTGCTGAGTGAGGTGGGCTCAGCAATTGCGCTAGCACAGGGCGCTCGGGCTGAGACCCCTGTGGGAGAAACAGAGGCGGGGAGGGGCCTTCGGCTGGGCGGACACACTCAGGCGCTCACAACAGTGCATCACTATGGGCCACGCAAGTCAAGGGCAAACTCTTCACCCCCGCTCTTGCTGTAGGAAGAGCGCCAGCTCTGGGTTTCAAGCCCCTCTGCCTGAGTGGAAGGACATGTAGGGGCATCTGTGAGGATTTGAAAGGAGCAGAAGAGCGGACAGCACGAGGGGAGGCTCTGGTCAGGAAAACCAGCCAGGAGTAGTGGGAGGAGAAGCCGCGGGGGCTGCGGTCAGGAGTGGCTTCCTTCAGGCACTGGTCCTGGCCTGGCGTGGTGGTGACGACAGGGGAGACTCCTCCTCGTGCCGCGGCCTGGGCGCCTCCCCTTTCTCCTGGCTGCAGTCCTTCCCTGGCCTCTGGAGTGTGTACTCTGAGCGCCTACCCCATCACCTGTCCCCTGAGATCTCTCTAGGGAGCTGGATGTGCCTGGGGGGAGTGCCTTCTTTGGCCCCCACCCAATCCTGTCCCTTTTTGCAGTCACAGCAGCGCTCCACGCCACCCTCTGCCCTCCCCCTACCTTTCTGTGAAAACAGCTCTGGCCGGAGCACTCAAAGAGAGACCACGCCCCGCATGGGCACCACAGCGTGGGAGGGGGGAGCTGGTCCTTTGGCTTCCAGCCCTGAGCCTGTGGTGGTTGCCAGGGCAACAGCAGCCCAAGGGAGGCAGGCCTGACAGCATCGCAGGAGGCTGCCCAGCCCCTCCATCCCTCCCTGCTCCCAGGGAGGTGTAGCACCTGGGTGTGTGCACCGTGCGTGTCTGTGTGTACACACATGAACCTGCAGTCTGGATGCCACTGGCCCTGGGTTCCGCAGAGCTGGTCACCAATGGCCTCACTGATCAGAGAAGGGCGGGATGCCCGGGGCTGGGGGCTTAAAGCTCCCTCAAAGTTTTTGGGCGCGGTGACTCACGCCTGTAATCCCAGCACTTTGGGAGGCTGAGGCGGGTGGATCACGAGGTCAGGAGTTCCAGACCGGCCTGACCAACGTGGTGAAAGCCCATCTCTACTAAAAAAAAACCCAGAAATTAGCCAAGCATGGTGGTGCACACCTGTAATCCCAGCTACCAGTAGGCTGAGGCAGGAGAATCATTTGAACCCGGGAGGTGGAGGTTGCAGTGAGCCAAGATTGTGCCACTGCACTCCAGCCTGGGCGACAGAGTGAGACACTGTGTCAAAAAAAAAAAAAAAAGAGAGAGAGAGAGAAATGCAAGGTTCTGAGTCATTTCAAAATTATTTGAGTAGCTGGATTTTTCTTTCTTGGGCCACAGACATAAGAACTGGGCCCTCAGGTTTGGAAGAGCACCAACCGCACGGCAGGTGATCAGAACATGTGTCCTGACCCCTGCCCACAGGCATGGTGGTCCAGGCCTCAGCCACAGGCCACGCGGTGTTTTGGGGCCACCGCAGCAGTGGGCCGAGGCCTTTGCTTGTGGATGGACAGGGGGCTGTGCTGGGCCTCCAGAACCCACCATGCTCCCTGGAAACAAAGGAGGCCACGTGCAGGGTCTGACCTTTAGCTCCCCATAGGGAAAGGATGTGTCAGCAGAGTGTGAGCAGTGGAACCAACCTGAGCTGGCCACTGTTGGCCTTGGGAGTCCAGGCCTTGGGTCTCACCCTGCTGGTCCCAAGGCCTAGGTGGGGCAGGAAGGTGTCAGAGTTGTCCAGGACACCCGGACGGTTTGCCTGATTTTGCAAGGACAGAGGCTCAACTGAGAAGCAGGCACCCATCAACCCTCCCTCAGTAGTGTCTTTCCTGTCTCTGCTGGGCCTTGTTGACTGTGATCAATGACTTCCACTTCCCCGTTGGGGAAACTGAGGCACAGAGAAGTCATGCAGTGCCCTAGCAGCAGGGCTGAAATTCACTGGGGCTGTGGGCCCCGCCAGGAAGCCACTGGCCGCCCCACCATGCACTCCTGGCAGCCCGGCTCTCAGCGAAGTGGGAGATGGGGTGGGCTTGGCCGGAGCTAGGGAAGGGTCGCTGCAGCCCCGGCCCCACCCAGACAAGCCTCCACTTCCTGAGCTGGCCGCCAGGACAGGCTGGGCTCCCAAAATCCTTCCTAAAAAGGAATCAGGCTGTGGTGGCCCACACTATTTTTAGATAATTGTGTTGAAAAATCCCAAGGCACATGTAGCATCATGCATTTTTTTATTCAGGAAGAAAAAAGAAAGGGACCTCCCCACTCTTCTCCCCACAGCCACCGCCTGCCCAAAACAGGTCATGCCCCTGGAGTGGCCTCGCACCGTCCATCCCCGGAGGGGCAGTAGCCTGGGCCCTGCAGCTGCCCAGCCCTGGGGGTTAGGGCCTTGGGGTTTCTGGCTAGAAACAGGGCTCACCTCGGTCTCCTCCTAAGCCTGGAGCTCTCAGGTGGTGCAAGGCACACGGGGATCCCCCACATTGCAGGTGGGGAGACTGAGGCCAGGCTGTACTCATCTCCATTACGAGGCCTTTTTTTTTAAAAAAAAAAAACAAACAAAAAAACAAAAAACAGCCTTATGAAGATGTGATTGGCACGTAGTAAAGCGCAAGCATTTAAAGTATACAGTTCAATATGTCTTGACATTTGTATCTATCCATGAAGCCATCGCCACTATTAAGAGAGGGATCATATCCATCACCCTCAAAATGTCTTTATCATCTTTGAAACCCCTCCCTCTGGCCCCCCCTCCACCCCCAAGTCTCCTTGCCCCAGGCGCAATCACGGGTCTGCTTTCCCTCACTCTAGATTAGTCCACATTTTCTAGAGTTTTCTATAAATGGAATCACACAGCACGTTCTTTTTTGACTGGCTCCTTCAACTCGTCACCACTACCTGGAGATTCACCCATGTTGCTGCAGGCACCAAGCCCCTCATATGGACAGATCACAATTCGCTTCTCCTTTGATCTGTTGGTGGACATTTGGATTGTGATCAGTTTTTGGCTATTACAAATAAAGCTGCTATAAACATTTGCGGAGAAGTCTTTGTATTTGAGGGGACTGCAGGGAGGCCGGGCTGAGTCAGCGCCACTGCCGCTGCTGCGTGTCCCTTTCTGAGGCCTCGGACCGCACCGCTTTCGCCCTGCGGCCCGGCTCGGTAGCCTGATCAGTCGCGTTCCCGGCTGCGTCTCCGGTCACCGAACGGGACGGCGGGATGGCGGGGTCGATCTGTGCAGACGCTGCTAGTGGTTCCGCAGTCGTCGCTGGGTCAGCTGTTTCGAGCGGCGGATCTGCTCCTATAGATGTCCAGATTGTTAGACGGTGGGCTTCATCCGTCCTACCTCGCCCAACCCAGTTGACTAATATTTGGGTCGGTGGAGCCCGAATAATACAATAAGAATAAAACCCAACGACAAAGGCCCTCTCTAACCCGAGTACACCGGCCTCTGGCTTTGTGACAAGCACGTCACTGTTAGGCTAAGCAGAGACTTTGGAACCCCGGTTCTAAAGCTCTCAGAGTGGAAGAGTACCAGGACATGGGGGTGGGGGTTGGGGCAAAGCTTTGCTCCCTTAGAATAATACCAACGTACAGAGTTGCGATTGGTTAAAAAATAAAAAAAAATAAAAAAAATAAAAAAAAAAAAGAAGTCTTTGTATTTTATATTTGTACATATATTTCCTTTTCTCTGGGGTACATACTAAGAGAGGAATTCCTGGATAATTCTATGTCTAACTTTTTAAGAAACTGCCAAACTGTTTTCCAAAGTGGCTGTACCATTTTACATTCCCTCCAACAACGTATGAGGGTTCCAATTTCCCCACGTCCTCACAAACATTTGTTATTGTCTGTCTTTTTGATTATAGACATCCTAGTGGGTGTAAGGTGGTATCTCTTGGAGTTTTGACTTGCATTTCCCTAGTGAGTAATGATGTTGAACATTTCTTCATGTGCTTGTTGGCCTAGACCTTACTTTAAAAAAAAATAAACTATTAAGTTTGGGATAATTTTAGATTCACTGAAAAGTTTCAGAGATAACACAGGGAATTCCCATTTACCCTTCACTCAATTTCCCCTAATATAACCTTTATGTTACCTGGCACATTTGTGCCAACAATGGAACTGACAT
Organism: Homo sapiens; assembly: GCF_000001405.40. Classification (NCBI taxonomy): domain Eukaryota; kingdom Metazoa; phylum Chordata; class Mammalia; order Primates; family Hominidae; genus Homo; species Homo sapiens. The sequence goes on from NC_000014.9 coordinate 90,526,479, forward strand.
TGATAAATTACTAGTAACCAAACTCCAGACTTTATTTAGATGTCAGCAGCTTATAATACGAATGTGCCTGATATGGTTTGGCTGTGTCCCCACCCAAATCTCGTCTTGAATTGTAGTTCCCATAATCCCCACATGTCATGGGAGGGACCCGGTGCAAGGTAATTGAATCATGGGGGTGGCTACCCTCATGCTGTTCTCATGATAGTGAGTTCTCATGAGCTCTGATGGTTTTATAAGGGTTTTTCCCCCTCCTTTTGCACGGCACTTCTCCTTCCTGCTGCCATGTGAAGAAGGACATGTTTGCCTCCCCTTCCTCCATGATTGTAAGTTTCCTGAGGCCTCTCCAGCCATGCTGAACTGTGAGTCAATTAAACTCGTTTTCTTTATAAATTACCTAGTCTCGGGTATGTCTTTATTAGCTGCATGAGGACGTACTAATACGGTGCCTTTCATCCAGGACCCCGTACCACCTAATATTTAGCTATGTCTTCATGGGCTTCTCTGGTTTTCGTCAGTTTCTTAGACTTTTCTTTTTCATGCTCTTGGTAGTTTTGAGGGGTATTGGTCAGGTATTTTGTAGAAAGTTCATCGGTTTGGGTTTGTCTGATGTTTTCTCATGATTACACTGGAGTTATGGGTTTGGGGGAAGAAGACCACAGAGATGAGGTGCCCTGCTCACCCCATCATATCTGGGGGTACCTGGTATTCACACGACTCATCACTGGGAATGCTGACCTTCATTGACTGGTGAAGGTGATGTCCTGCCAGGTTTCTCTGTGGTAATGTTACTATTTTTCCTATTTCCACATCCTTCTCTCTGAATGCAAGTCACCAAGTCCAGCCCACACTCCAGTGATGAAGCTCCCCAAGCTTCACTTGACTCTGAGGATCTTCTACGCCAGGCACTTCACATTGATGTTTCACTTAACCCCACCCCTGTTACTGTCCCTCTGGTAGAAGTCCTAATAATCTCTAAACTTAGCAAATTCGCAGTTACAAAGGCTCAGGGATCACTTAGTCAAAACCTTCTTTACCATTTTTACAGACAAGGAAACTGAGATCCAGAGGGAGATGTGACTCACTTTTTTTTTTTTTTTTTGAGATGGAGTCTCACTCTGTCGCCCAGGTGGGAGTGCAATGGCGCCATCTCGGCTCACTGCAAGCTCTGCTTCCCGGGTTCATGCCATTCTCCTGCCTCAGCCTCCCGAGTAGCTGGGACTACAGGTGTCTGCCACCATGCCCAGCTAATTTTTTGTAGTTTTGGTAGAGATGGGCTTTCACCGTGTTAGCCAGGATGGTCTTGATCTCCTGACCTCATGATCCACCCACCTCAGCCTCCCAAAGTGCTGGGATTTCAGGCGTGAGCCACTGCGCCTGGCAGATGTGACTCACTTTATGATCACATCACAAGCTAAAGGAAAATGGCGAGCCAGGTGTGGCGGCTCACGCCTGTAATCCCAGCACTTTGGGAGGCTGAGGCGGGTGGATCACTTGGAAGGATGTCTTGATCCAGAGTAAAGGCTCCATAGGCATTTATTGGTTGACAAGGTTGGCATATGTTGTATGAATAAGAGCTTCCGTATGTGATAAGGTTTCTCTCTGTGGATGACATAGCCATGGGGTCGCCTGCTGCCTCCCGGTTACCCATACAAACCATGGAAACAGGAATGGGTGACAGCCCCACGCTCCCCTGCTGTGAGCCTCCAATCCCCTGGCTGGCTAAACAGCAGCACCAGCTCCTCCTTCTGTCCAGCCGGACAGAGAGCCTGGAGGAAGCTGGAGTCTGGGTTTCAGTGGCTACAGACAACCCTCCAAATGGTCAGTTAAGAACCAGGGCCACATTGTGAGTGGACACTTTCACACTCTGCAGGTGACCACGCAAAGTGGTAGAGCAACTTATTTTATTTTTGTCATTCTTTTGAGGCAGGGTCTTGCTGTGTCTCCCAGGCTGGGGTGCAGTGGCATAATCACTGCAGCCTTGACCTCCCACTTTGTTACCTGTTTCCGACGGTGTGACCCGAGTGCGCTTCGTTACCCGTTTCTGATGGCATGACCCGACTGCACTTTGTTACCTGTTTTGATGGTTGTTTCTGATGGCGTGACCCAACTGTGCCTCGTTACCCGTTTCCGATGGTGTGACCTGACTGTGCTTTGTTACCTGTTTCTGATGGTTGTTTCTGATGGTGTGACCCGACTGTGTTTTGTTACCTGTTTCCGATGGTGTGACCTGACTGCGCTTTGTTACCTGTTTCTGATGGTTGTTTCTGATGGTGTGACCCGACTGTGTTTTGTTACCTGTTTCTGATGGTTGTTTCTGGTGGTGTGACCCAACTGCACTTTGTTACCTGTTTCTGATGGTGTGACATGACTGCGCTTCGTTACCCATTTCCGATGGTGTGACCTGACTACGCTTTGTTACCTGTTTCTGGTGGTGTGACCCAACTGTGATTTGTTACCTGTTTCTGATGTTTGTTTCTGATGGTGTGACCTGACTGCTTTGTTACCTGTTTCCAATGGCGTGACCTGACTGAGCTTTGTTACCTGTTTCTGATGGTGTGACCTGACTGCTTTGTTACCTGTTTCCAATGGTGTGACCTGACTGCGCTTTGTTACCTGTTTCCGATGGTGTGACCTGACTGCTTTGTTACCTGTTTCCAATGGCGTGACCTGACTGCGCTTTGTTACCTGTTTCTGATGGCGTGACCTGACTGCGCTTTGTTACCTCTTTCCGATAGCGGGATCTGACTGCATTTTGCATTCATGGGGGCACCGTCTGGCAAGGTGAGCTTGTCAGGGAGAGGCCGTAGCCCTCACCACCGCTAATGACTGGCTACCACACAGAGGTTCCAGGCAGAGTCTAGCTACTGGAGCCAACCAGCGTGGCTTCGGCCAGTTAACAGACCACTTCTTGGAGTCATGAGGATTAACTCAGTGAGCCCATGGAAAATGCACAAACTAAGCCCTCAATAAATATAGCCTGATGAACTGCCATTCTGCCTATCCGAATTCTACCCTAAGATAGATAATCAGAGATGCTAGGAGAAAACATGAGCATGTGAGTGGCTAAGAGTATGGATTCTGGAGTCAGGCAACCTGGGTTCAAGGCCTGCTGTAGTATTACCCAAACTTGGGCAAGTTTGTTCATCTTCTGAAGAGAGCTTCATTTCTCACCTGGACCTGTATCCGTAATAACTGTATGCATATCATAGCACTGTCATGAGGATTAGATGAGTTAATACATGTCGAATGATTGGTGCATAATAAATGCTCAATAATTGTGAGCTGGCATTACCCATTCCATTGTATGTGGCATGACAATGTGAAACCACTTAAATCATTGACAATAAAGAAAGGGTTAAACAGTCTGCAGTGCATCCATGTGAGGGGAGGTTATGCTGTCTCTAAGTTATCTAGAAAGATTTTTACTGACAAGAGAATATTAAGTGAAAAGATCCATACGGTGTTATAGATAGTATGATTTCACTTCATTAAATATCTATACTTGGCTGGGCGCTGTGGCTCACGCCTGTAAGTAATCCCAGCACTTTGGGAGGCCGAGGTGGGCGGATCACGAGGTCAGGAGATCAAGACCATCCTGGCCAACACGGCGAAACCCCGTCTCTACTAAAAATGCAAAAAATTAGCCAGGCGTGGTGGCACGTGCCTGTAATCCTAGCTACTCGGGAGGCTGGGGCAGGAGAATCACTTGAACCCGGGAGGTGGAGGTTGCAGTGAGCCGAGATCGCACCACTGCACTCCAGCCTGGGCAATTGAGCGAGACTCCATCCCAAAAAACAAAAAAATCTATACTCATGGGAGAATGCTGCAAGACAACAGGCCAAAATGCTGAGAAGGTGAGCGCTAAATAGTGGAATTTAATGATCTTAGTCTTCGTATGTCTGAAATTGTCCCCAAGGTGACTATGGTAAGTGAAATGATGGTCCCAAAAGATGCCTGCATCCTACTTTCTGGAACCTGTGAAGATGGTCACTTACCTGGCAAAAGGGGCTGTGCAGATGCCATTTGATGAGGGATCTTCAGATGGGGAGAGTGTCTTGGATTATCCAGGTAAGACCAATGTAATCAGGAGGCTCTTACAAGGGAAAGAGGGAGACAGGAGGGTCAGAGGCAGAGAAGGAGGAGTCACAGAGATCGCTCTACAGCAGAGGTCGGAGTGATGCCACTGCCGGCAGTGAACATGGCCATGAGCCAAGCACACCCCTGAGAAACTGGAAAGGGCAAAGTTTGATGTCTTTCCTAGTACTTCCAGAAAGAACAGCCCTGCCGTCACCTTGCCTTTTGCCCCATGAGGCCCGTTTTAGACTTCTGACCCCCAGAACTACATGTAAGACAGGAAATGTGCGTTGTTTTATTGGGTGCAGTGTATACTGCTCGGGTGATGGGTGCACCAAAATCTCACAAATCACCACTAAAGAACTTACTCATGTAACCACTGTGTTCCCCAATAACCTATGAAAATAAAAAATTAAAATTCTATAGAATTTGAAGAACAAAATGTAAATCTGCATAAATCTCTGTTAATAGATACAGGATATAAAATGATATAATTTTAATATTAATAGCTGAAAATGTAAAGAGTTTTGTATTCAGTTGAAGTTGTTATGAGATTAAAATATATTGTTATAACTTAAAAAAGAAAGAAAAAATTGTATGCTGTTTTAAGCCACTATATTTGTGGCAATTTGTTGTAGCAGCAACAGGCAGCTGATACAGTGGGTGTAGGTTTTACGATCACAAAAGAAAAGAAAAAGCTGCTTGCTTAAACAAACAAACAAACAAACAAAAAAACAGCTGGGCACAGTGGCTCACGCCTGTAATCCCAGCACTTTGGGAGGCTGAGGCGGGCAGATCACCTGAAGCAGGAGTTCGAGACCAGCCTGACCTACATGGTGAAACTCTGTCTCTACTAAGCACAAAAAATCAAAAATACAAAACAAAAAAACAAACAAAAAAAAAACAAAAAACAAAAATCAGCTGGACGTGATGGCGCATGCCTGTAATCCCAGCCACTCGGGAGGCTGAGTCAGGAGAACAGCTTGAACCCAGGAGGCGGAGGTTGCAGTGAGTCGAGATTGTGCCATTGCGCTCCAGCCTGGACAACAAGAGCGAAACTCCTTCTCAAAAAAAAAAAAAAAAAAAAAAAAGCCGTGGGTGAACTGGCTTCATTTCTATACAGGAGCTCTGTCCATCTGCCAGTGCAGACAGGCACAGTCCAGATCCAAAGGACAAGCTGGCTCAAGATTTTGAAAGCAATGAAGTGAAATTTGAAGTTGAAATTTTTGAAGTGAAATTGTAAAGTTGAAAGCCAGAGAATCTGAAAACACTGGACTGAAAAGTCTCATTGTGTCTGAGCTCTGCCCCTTTCTTATTTAATTTTGTAGTTTTAAAAACTGCTACATAGGCCAGGCACACTGACTCACACCTGTTATCCCAGACCTTTAAGAGGCTGAGGGGACCAGATCACTTGAGACCAGGAGTTGGAGATCAGCCTAGGCAACATGGCAAAACTCTGTCTCTGAAAAAAATTAGTGGGGCTTGGCATCTGTAGTCCCAGCTACTCAGGAGGCTGAGGTGGGAGGATCACTTGAGCCTGGGAGGTGGAGGCTGCAGTGAACTGAGATCGTGCCACTGTACTCCAGCCTCGGTGACAGAGCAAGACCCCATCTCAAGTAGAACAAAAACAAACAAATAAAAACCAAAACTACATAAAACTATTTGTAAAACTATATAAAACTACATAAAAATATTTGTAAAAATTAACATAGTTACCTTTGGACAACATATTAAAGAAAGAAACTCTGGAGATAATTTAAAGTTGATCCCCTATTTGTACATTACAGGATGCTCTTCCCTCTTCACATGGTCTGGTCCTTGCTGGCAATGTGAGGATGGGCCAATGTGAGGATGGGCCAGCCCTTTTGCAAACTGGCTGGGCCTAGTCATCTGGTACAAAGTGGCAGAACCTGACGCTTTTGGGCTTCTGCTCACCATCCCTCTTAAAGGTGAAGAAGCCCAGTGTCCTCCAGGGTGGGCACCTTCTTGTCACTCAATGTCACTGTCTTACAGAGGTGTCCCCGACCAGCCAATCTAAAGTAACCCTCCCCCTGTCACTTCAAATTTGCTCTAATCATCTGCCAAGCTGGTAATTATCTTATTTGTTTACCCCTCTGTTTGGGGTCTGTCTTCCCAGTCCCCAATAAGACCACCAGCTCCCCAGCCCAGGTACCTGTGTCTGGCCAGGGGTCCTTGATACACCGTGGCTGAACACAGGCAGGAAGGCCTCACTGCCACCTGGGTGGGTGGAGGTTCAGGCTGGGCTGGGTGCTCAGGAAGCCTCCATGGGCTTGGGGAGGTCATTTTCCTGGTAGCTGTGCCTTCCTGGGTACTGCTGAATGGCAGGCTAAGCTCAGGCTGGAAACCCTGACCTCCTGCCATGCCCGGGGGAGGAGCCATGCAGGGGTAGGGCTGGGCTGTGCTCGGCCATGTGCTTGTGTTTTACACACCCTCTGAATCTTTACAACCACCTTGTTCTCCCCATTTCACAGATGAGGAAACCGAGGCTCAGAGAGGACTAGTGACTCACCTAAGGCTCCTAGGAGAGTAGGTGGCCAGGTCCCGATGCAGGCTCCAGCCCAGCAGGCCCACAACCCGAGCCCTTGGGCCACAGGCACCGCCTCAGGCAGTGGCGGATGGGAGCCTCCTGTGCTGTGACCAAGTGGGACAGGGATGCATGACCCTCCTCAGGCCTTGGCTGGACCCAGGGCCCGAGGATGACCCTGTGGGGTCAAGGAGGCAAAGACAAGAGTGGTGGCGGTCACAGAGGCCCCCAGCCATGCCCATGCTGACCAGGCCCCTCACCTCCTCCTCCATGCAGAGCGGGACTCGGACTCTGCCTCAGCTGCAGCTAGCTCTGCCCTTCCTGCCCTGCTTCAGGGACCCCTCAGCACGTCCCAGCAGCCACTCACCCCTCGCCTGAGGATAGAAGAAAGAAGGAAAGACTTTATGGTGCACCCCGGGGGCCCCATGCCCTGTCCAGGTTGACCTCTGTTAATATCCCCAAAAGCCCGTAAGGGAAGTTACTCCCCGACCATAGAGATGAGGAGACAGAGTGCTTCCCCATCAGAGGTGACACGGCCAGGCAGAACTGGGATTCCAGCCAGATCTGTGTGACCCACAGCCCAGTGGTCACCAGGAAACCCTATTGTCCTCAGGGGGTCAAGGGCCAAACAGCAGAAGATGAGGGAGACGAGGAGGGTGGTGGGGGCTGTGGGTGGCCCGGATGGTCAGCGGGAGCTGCTGGCTCCAGGCAGACCTGCAGAAGATCCCCCACCACCTTCCTGCCACCTCTCCATAGTCAGCCCCACTCAGGGCTTGAGTGTCCAGGAGGAGTCCTGCCTGCTGGCCTGGCCCTGAGGCCCTGTGTGGTGGTCCTGAGGGGCGGTAGCCCTCGTGTCCCCTACCTGGCACACACCACCTCTGACAGCTGCCTGCAGACTCACATCTCAGCCCAGAAGGCAGGCTGGGCAGAGGTGACTGTCCTCATCTGATTCTGAGTCCAGGGAGGGACAGTGGCACAGTGAGGATCACCCCCAGCAGGTGCAGAGCTGGAGTGGGTCCCCCACGGTGTGACCTTGAGGGGGGGCCTCAGCCTGGCCCCCAAAAGACCTTCAGGAGGAGCACATTCCTGTCTGAAATGGTGCAGGATGTCCTTTTTCTGTTCCTATCTGGCTGCAGCGTGGGCAGGGGCAGCAGGAAATGCATGACCACAAGTGTGGGAGGAATGTTAGTGGCGGGAACGGCCGCAGCCCTAAGGCTCAGCCCTGGGGCTCGGCCCATTTTCCTGTGTGGGGTCCTCAGGCCCAGTGCGGCTGCTACTGCCCGCCTCCCCCGGAGGACTCCGGCCAGGCCTCAAAGGCTTATGGTCAAGTGTGTGGCTGCTTCTGGAGTAGGCAGGATGGACAGGGCAAGCAGACGCTAGGGGAGGGATGGGAGCAGCCACCTGGTACAGTGCCCAAGACACAGTTTACAGAACTTCAATATGAGTGGTGTCCCCTCACTGGGCAATGCCCACCCTGTCGGCCTTGAGAGGTGGTGGGGGAGGAGCAGGAATGAGAAGGTGGCGATATGGAGAGAGGGGGCCGAGTGGCAGGGGCCGAGCGCTGGGAGGGTATGGGGGCATTGGAGGGAGACAGTGGCCAGAGTGGCTGACCCTGCCCTGAAATTCCTTCAGTAGGGCCGGGTCACCCATTCCAGCCTGGAGCCGGCTGTGCTGCAGGGACCTGGGCTGGGGCTGGGGCAGCAGGTGACAGGCTGGTGACAGGCCCAGCACGGACAGGGCAGACGTGGAGAACTCCAAGGATGATGGGGAGGGTGCCTGCAAAGGGGGGACTTCCTGCAGGCAGAGAGTCTGGGCCCGCAATGATGACTGTGTGGCCGCCGGGGAGATGCGTGGGGCCATCTGGAGGAGTCTGGGTTGCTCCATGTGATCACAGACACGCCCACCTGTGCACGAGCATGCACCTCCCCCAGGCCATGACCACAGGTAGGGGGCATGGAGGATAACGGGAGGCCTTGGTTCCCTCCTTTCCCCACCGAGGGAGGTCCCCACGCAGCCCTGAGGGTGAGCAGAGCCCTGGCCACAGCCCAGGGCCCAGGACCTGGAAGGAGGCAGAGAGACAGACAGACGAGCCCATGGATCCCAAATGGGGCTGGGGATGGGAAGTGGCCTGCCCCGGCCACACCTGCCCAGGCCCCCAGCCTGGCTCTGTCCTGAGATCCTCTTGGCTGAGTGGGGCGGCTCCTTCAAAGAAGGGCCTCCTCCCTCCTCTGCCTCCTCCTTCCCTTCCTGGTCCATTCGCCACCCCACCCTGCCCGAAGTTGGCTCCCTGCTCACTGAGGAGTGGGTGCCCCGTCCCCAGGGCTCCCTGGCTTGGGGGTACCCAGGCCTCTGCCTCCCTGCTGCTGCTGCTCTGGGGAACCACCAGGCCCCCAGCCAAGGCAGCCCCCCTCAGCTTCCCTCTCTCCTTCCTCACGCCTGCCCTGCTGGAAACACAAGGTGCTCAGCGAGGCCGCCTTCAACACTCAACACGGCCCCTTCCCCACCGGACTCCTAACCTGTGTTCTCAGCTCCCCTCTGCAGCTACGCTCTTGAAAGAGACTTCACCTTTTCCTCCCCCTTGAGCCCACTCCAACCTGGCTTGACCCCACCTTAGTCAGCTTGGGCTGCCGTAAGAAAACCGCCACAGACAGGTGGCTTCAACAATGAACTTAATTTCTCACAGTCCTGGAGGTTCAAAGAACAAAGCAAAGGTTCCAGCCCATCTGGGTTCCTGTGAGGCTCCCTCCTGGCTTGCGGGTGGCCGCCTTCTCCGTGTGTCCTGGCGTGGCTGAGCGTGAGCTCACTTGCACTTTAGAGTTTCTTCTGGTGAGGACGCCAATCCTACTGGGCCAGGGCCCCTCCTGATGACCTCACTTCACCTGAATTACTTCCTTAAGGGGCCTATCTCCAAATATAGTCACACAGGGGCGGGGGCTCCACCCTATGAATCTGGGGGAGCAAAACTGCATCCCCAGCATGGCTCTGGTCAAGGTCACTGCCAACCTGCACACCACCAGGCCCACGGTCAGCTCTCAGGCCACCCTGACGGGGTCTCCAGGCATTGAGAGAGCCCACCCACCTCCTCCAGGAAGCTCACCCTGCCTGCTCTCCGCCTCCCTTGCAGCTGCTCCTGCGCCTTCTTTCCTGATCTCTTCATTTCCCAGCCTGTAAACCCCGCCAGCCCCGGAGCTCAGCCCTGACCTCTTCCTCTTTGTCTATGCTTGTCCCGAAGTGGCCCCGTCAGGCCCATGGCTCCCAGCCCCGCATCCCTGACACCTCCCACACTCTCGCCTCATCTTGGGCTCTCGCCTGGGCTCCTGCCCAGCCAGCTGCCTCCCCCTCAGAGGCTCCACAGGCATTTTGTATTCAACCTGCCTGAAAGCAGACTCCTGCCTTCTCCTCTCCTCCCCAACCTATTCTTCCTGTTTCCTGGCCATCATCGCCATCCTTCCAGTAGCTCAGGACAAGACCCTCACCCTCATCCCTGGCGTCTCCCCTCCCTCACACCCAGCTCCATGTGTGAGCAACCCTCTTGGCTCTGTCTTCAGAATCTTCACAGTCCAGTGCCTCTCGCCACTTCCTCCACGCCCCTTGGTCTAAGCACCATGGTCGCTGTGTGACAGCAGGAGCCTGACAGCCTCCCAGCTCCCACGCTGCGGCCTGCAGAATAACGTGCTCCCCCTGCCCCTCAAAGACGTCCACATCCCGAGCCCTGGAACCTGTGACTATGTTGCCTTCCATGACAGATGGAGCGATGCAGATGTGATTGAACGAAGGCTCTCGAGGTGGGGCAATGGCCCTGGACTATCCAGGGGGCCCAGAGCAACCAGCAGAGTCCTTAGAGGGAGGCAGGAGGTCAAAGGCAGAAAGGTGACGCAGTGACGGAGCAGAGGAAGGAAAGGTGACGTGAGGTGGCCACGAGCCAAGGCCGCAGGAAGCCTCTAGCCGCTGGAGAAGACGGGGACACCCGTCCTCCTCCAGAGCCTGGGGAAGGAGCACAGCCCCACTGAAAGCTTGATTTGACTTCTGACCTCCAAAACAAAGAGAATAAATTTGTGTTAAGACGCTAAGTTTGCGGTCATTTAAAATTTTTAATTTATTTTATTTGTAGAGATAGGGTCTTGCTCTCTCATGCAGGCTGGACTGCGGTGGCGTGATCACTCACTGCAGCCTCAACCACCTGGGCTCAAGCAATCAGCCCATCTCAGCCTCCCAAGCAGCTGGGACTACAGGTGCACGCCACCAAACCTGGCTATTTTTTTTTTTTTGTAGAGATGGGGGGGGGGTCTCACCATGTTGCCCAGGCTGGTCTTGAACTCCTGGCCTCAGCTGATTCTCCTGCCTCAGCCTCCCTAAGTGCTGGGATTACAGGCAGGAGCCACCATGCCCAGCCAGTTTATGGTAATTTGCTGCAACCACAGGCAATTAATATACACTGTTAGCATGGTCCACGAGGCCGCACCTGTGTGGCCCCTGTTAAACTTCTGACCTCTTCTCATCCTTCACCACCTGACCATCCCCCTCCCCTCTGGGCCTTTGCACCTGCTGTTCCTGCTTCCTGAGATGTCCTCCTCCCAGGTTACCTGTCTTTCTTCAGCCAGATGTCACCTTCTTAGCGAGGCTTCCCTAGTCACCTTCTAAACAGCAGCCCTGCCACTCCCTACACCCCTTCCCTGGCTTCATCTTTCTCCATGCGTCACCCCACCTGCCATACTCCTCATCTGTCTGTTTCCTTCTACCAGAAGGTAGGTCCTAAGTGGATGCAGCATCTGTGTCACACATTGCTGTGCCCTCAGTGCCTGGAATAAGCATCTGGCATGTTGTGAGCATTCCATAGATATTTGTTGGATGAATGAATGAGTGAATGAATGAATGAAATTTCACAGATGGGGAGACTAAGACCAGGGAACAGGAACGCCTTGCCTAAGTTAGGGTCAGCACTAGTCCTGGAATCAAACGCGGCATCTCCTGCATCTCACTGTCCAAAAAATGCCTCCACTGGGCAGACCTGGGCACTTTTGAAATGTTTATCCCTCAGGCCTGTCTCAATCTTAGTTCTGCCAGGTAATTCCACAATGACCCCAGGCAGGTGTCCTGCCGTCTTAGTGTCTAGCGTCTGCGTCCTCATCTATTAATGGATGGACGGATGGATGGATGGATGGATGGATGGATGGATGGATGGATGGACGGACGGACGGACGGGTGGACGGATGAATGGATGGATGGATGGATGGACGGATGGATGAATGTCCTTAGTTGGGAAAGGCTCAGCAGGTCAGAAGACTAGGAAGAAGGCCAGAGCCATGAGAGGGCTTGGGGAAGGAGAGGCAGCCAGGCACACAGGGGGCTGGGACACAGAGTCTGGTTCCAGGCAAGGGCTTGAGAAGCCATCAGGGGTTTATAGAGAGAACCGACTCAATCCTCCCTTCTAAGAGGACTGTGCAGACATTGGACTGTGTGGGGCTGGGGCCAAGGTACTGGGGATGAAGTTGAATGGGAGAGATTTGAGATGCGATTTGGGTAGAAAAGACAAGATTTACTGGAAAACAGAATATGAGGTGGGTGAGTGGGATTAAGGTGGGGGACTGAGGAGTCTGGAAGAGTGCCCAAGGGGGGAGTACCAAGGACGGCAGGACTTTCCTGCATTTCTTAGGTACCTTTTAGGTAGAAGTGATGGAAACCCCTGTGCTTGCACTAAGCAAGATGGGAAACTGTATGGATTCCTATGATGGAAAAATCTCGGGCCGCAGTGCTCCAGCGGTGACCCGGGGCCCGGCTCTCTTTCCACCTCCTCATTCTCTTTTTCTGTGTTGGCATCATTCTCAGGCAGGCCACCCCATATAATGTCAAATGGCACCCACAGCCCCCCACTGGCATCCTATTAGGACATCAAACCCAGCAGAAAGAGGCTTTTTTTCTAATGTTTTCATAACAAAAGTCCCAGGGGTGCTTCTCATTGGCCAAGCATGGGTCACATGCCCAAACCCAAACCAGTCACTGATACTGGGGAGCTGGAGGGCTCTGGTTGTTAAGGCTGGGCCCATGTGTCCATCCTTGAGCCATGTGGGTGGAGAGTGGGGGTGGTTCCCTGAGGGAGATGAAGACAATGGAGAGGTGCCGGGCAGACACACAGGAGCCAGCCCCCGCGCCCTGCAGGGCTGATACGCACAGGAGTCTCTGAGGTGAGGGCCTGGCAGAGAAGGTCTGGTACAGCGCCTGCACCATCTGCCTTGGTGGCCCAGCCTCCTCCCTTCCTGGTCCTGATCCAGTGGGCCTTGCCCCACGCTCCCGCATGGGATGGCAGAGCCCAGCCCTGTGCCTCCAATCAGGGCAAGCTGCCACCACACTGAGTACCTGCCCCAGGTCCTACATTGCAAATTCCATGACTTATGACCACTCAAAGCCACAAGTGCTGCCTGGCAGGGTCAGTGCTGAGGCTGGGGCTCCTACCTACTGTCTCTCCCTCCTTGGCTGCCCCCTAGCCCGCCTGCCTCAGTGAGCCAGAGAGGTCGTGCCCAGTTTGAATGCAGTCCTCTAGGCTTCAGGGCACCTAAGTTCAGAGCTCAGCCCTCCATATTTCCCTGTGTCCTGGAAAGGTGGGGCCACCCTACAGCTGTCCCTGAGAGACTGCAGATACCTGCTCAGTTTCTCTCTGGTTCCGGATCTTGCTGTCTACTCTGTGGGATTCGGACTTTGGCTCAAACACCTCTACACCTTCTTCTCATGGTGGCAAGAGGGCTGCTGCAGTTCCAGCCTCACTTCTCAGCTTGAAAGGCAGCAGGAAAGAGCGACAGCCTTCTCTGTGGCTCCCGCTCTGACTGGACCGCTTTAGGTCACATGCTCACTCCTGACCCTCTGTGGCCCATGAGTGCAGGAGGCTGCTTGGGCAGGACTGAATTGCATGCTCCAATTCCAAAGCCCCATCGGGGGAGAGCTAAGGCGAATTCCCAAACCAAAACCAGGGCTGTTGCTGCAAAAAGGAGGCCTGGGTGCTGAGGACGCAGGAAACACGTCCCTACCTAGGGATCATCTTCAAATTATAAGTGAGGAGATGGCCGGGCATGGTGGCTCACACCAGCACTTTCGGAGGCTGAGGCGGGAGGGCTGCTTGAGTCCAGGAGTTCAGGACCAGCCTGGGTAACACAGTGAGATCCCGTCTCTACAAAAACAAACAAACAAAATTAGCCGGGCATGCTAGTGTGCGCCTGTGATCCCAGCTACTCAGGAGGCTGAGGTGGGAGGATCACCTGAACCTGGGAAGTCGAGGCTGCAGTGATCTGTGATCGCACCACTGAACTCCAGCCTGGGAAACAGAGTGAGACCCTGTCTCCAAAAAATAAAAATAAAATAAGTGGGGAAAGAGAGGCTGGGCTTTCTAGTGTCAAGGGCTGACATGTCCAGAGTGGGCCCCCAGGTACAGACAGCTCCCCACCCCAGGAACTAAGCCTTTCTCAGGTCTTTGAGCTTTTACGAATGACACAGGCTATGAGTCCATTTAAAAATCATTTTATTATTAACATCATCTTCCCATGTAGCCAAGTGTCTGTCATGTATAAGGAATGTCGGTAAATATTCCATTTGAAGCTTCTTTGTACATATTTCCCTCGATAAATAAACTCTGAATTCACATAAAAAAGTTAAACTTAAATAACTCATATTTCCTTCTCTTGTAACAGGCATATATTGGTAAAATATAAATATTCTCGGACTCAGGCTTTGTTCTAAGTGAGGACAGTAATTGATCACATGGTACAATTATTGACAGTAAAACCAAGAAATTGTCAGCTGGTGTCCTGGCATGGACTAGTGCTGAGGTGGGAGACAGGAAGTTCACATTTGGTTTCTGGGCCAAAGTGGGGCAGGAGGGGTGGTGGGGAGAAAAGGACAGTTGTTTTCTTTACAGCTCTGATAAAAATAATCTGTGCTGCCACTGAATTTTAACTTTGAATATATTCTTCTACATTTGCTGATTAATTCCATAATCATTTTACTGAAAACTCAGATGTCAACTAACAAAATATGGCACATGATCCATTTTGAACAATGTCAATAGGTTCAGAAACTACCATTGGGCTGGCAAAAAAAACAAGAGAAACGCACATGGCGAGAGCGATGATTCGGGGTTGGTTTGGTTGGTTCACTGTGGCCCACTGAACACTCGTCCCTGGCCTCAGTGTGGCAGATTCATCCCCTTGGGGCGATGGCACAAGCCCTGGTGCCCGGCAGGGCCTCTGAGGCCTGAGCGGCAGGTGAGGCTGGCAGGCGCCTGCTCAGAGCACGCGGGGGATGATGGTGAAGGGCACGGCGGGGCTGCTGGCCTCCAGCTCCAAGGCTGTCAGGAAGCACTCCGTAGCCGCCGCATCGTTGCCCTGAGCTTGGAGGACCTCGCCCAGCCCGTTCCAGACCTCGTGGGCTGTCGAGTTCACCTGCACCGCGTCCCGGAGGATCTTCTCCGCCAGACTGTAGCGGCCTAGCTGGTGAAGGATCAGGGCCTGGAGAGGTCAGAGAGAGAGAGAGACAGTCAGCCATGGAGGCTTCAGGAGCTCTGCATCCTACTTGTCCTCGAGTTTCCAGTCAGTTCCTCGGAGCCGGGAATATATCGCCATTGGGCTGGGCCCATAGTAAGTTCTCCAGTATTTCCTGTGTTCAGGGGCAACAGTCAAAATAGTCGCCAAGCTGACTAATATGAAATTGCCAATATTCAGCCATGTTTTGAATATAAAAATGGCAACTTCATATGGTTCATCTGAAAACTTAAGAACCATGAATGAACTAATTGGAAGTCCGCAGTCTGCACTGACCCAGCGCGGCGTCAGCATGGGATGGGACTATCATCCTTTTCTGTTTGTTTTTTGTTTTTGAGATGGAGTCTCGCTCTGTCATCCAGGCTGGAGTGCAGTGGCGCGATCTTGGCTCACTGCAAGCTCCGCCTCCCGGGTTCATGCCATTCTCCTGCCTCAGCCTCCCCAGTAGCTGGGACTACAGGCGCCCGCCACCACGCCCGGCTAATTTTTTGTATTTTTAGTAGAGACAGGGTTTCACCATGTTAGCCAGGATGGTCTCGATCTCCTGACCTCGTGATCTGCCCACCTCGGCCTCCCAAAGTGCTGGGATTACAGGCGTGAGCCACAGGGCCTGGCCTGTCGTCTTTTTTTTTTAAACTAAAGAAACCATTGGTGGAATTATACTATGAGAATGATGACGACAGTTTTTACATTGCTCACAGCCCCTTCCCCGACCAAGGCCCTGACCTCACTGTCTCTGCTTGCCCCAGGCTGTGCCCAGCTGTCATCTTCGTTTTCCTTGGTTGGGGTGTACCCGTGGGTCCCACCTATTTCATCATCATTGCGTTTCCAAGCTGCGCACCTCTATAAGCGATGCGTGTACTCGCTCATCCAATGGACACTCTCACTTTCTCAACCTCTCCCTCGGGGGAGAAACATGTAGGTCACATCCAATCTCTTTGCTGTTCCAAATCGCACAGACATGAACATCTTTCCAGAAAGCACCTCTTTGTTCTTTAGATCAGTGGATTTCCAATCTTTTTTGTATCCCTGAAAACCTTTGGTTAAATGAAATCTTACAGAGAACACCCACACAGTCTATGTATAAACAGACAAAAAGGAACAACTTGGTGGGGTGGGTGGGGTGGGGAGGGGAGTCCAGTGTCCCCCATGAGCTCCTTTTAGTGGCCCTGGGGGAGGATCAGTGGAACGGCCTTGACAACTATTTGGACATCCTCCCCTTAGGGCAAATCTCCCCAAACTAGGGTCTCTGGGTAAGAGGATATGACTCTCTTTAGCACTCCCCAAACATTTTGCAAATTTTATCCCCAAAGGTTGCCTCACTTTTTCAGCCATCAGCAGTTTCTGTGGTTGGTCACCTACCCCCTTCTATCATGACTCTATTTCTGCTAATGTCATACATGCAGAATGTCCCTCCTTGTTGAAATCTATATTTCTTTAATAACCATTGAGGTTAAATATTTCCCATGCTTTTGTTTAGGAGCCTTTCATAAGATTGCTATTCATCTGCTACCATAATTTCCCAGCTTATTATTTGACTTTTGAGATTCTTTTCTTTGAAAAGTTTTAAGTTGCAAAATTAAATTTATTGATCTTTGATTTTTTTGCCACTTCAAAACTTAGAAAGTTATCCTTTCAAAGAGCTGACACATGTTCAATTCCATTTATCTTAATTTTCCCTCTTTTAAGTAGTTGACTACTTTATCTTGGCAGAGTGATGGATTCCTCCTACTTTGCTAGACACAAACTAGCTCATCCTCCCTCCCCTCACTCTTGTAAGGCACTGCCTCCATCCTAGAGTGAATTATTACATGAATCAGGGGCCTTCCACTATTTTCCAACAAGCCACAATATCAAACTTCTGCATCAGCACCACAGTTTTCATTTCTGTTACTCCCAAAATCATGTTTTAATAGGTAGAGTCAGAGCTTTCCCTCACTGCTCCTTGCTTTTAGTATGTTTCTTGACAATCTTACCCTGTACTATTTTCGATGAATTTCAAAATCAGTTTCTTCATTCCCTTTAGAAGTCAAATTGCACTTGCATTACCTCTCTTGGAGAGTGTGGAGAAGCCTGACATCTTTACAATGTCTAGTCTTCCCACTGAGGAATGAGTTATGGCCCTCTGCTCTTTCAAATCTCATCTTAAATCTCCCAATAAAGCCTTGCCCTCGCTTTAGGCAGTGTGAGCATGTCACTCACGAGGCAACCCAGCCTGCTCACAGGCCCCAGCTTCACCAACAGGCAAGAGGGCAGCAGGGTAGCTGTCAGGAGCAGAACCAGCCAGTGTGATGGCAGGAATGTGCCTGCCTTGAAGTGGCATCCAAGAGCCTGAGAGACAACCTGGCTTCCATAAGCCCCCAACAGGGGAGCTGGGGTGTCCACCCAGGAGGAGCACGTGGTTGGGGTGACAGCCAAGGAGACCCATGGCCGAGGGCAGTGTGTGGCCCCTGTGGAGGCTCAGAGTGGAAGGTGGAGGAAGGAGACCCCCAGCTCTGGGAGGAAGAGGCAGTTTAGGGAGCTCTCCTGGGTGAGGAGGAGGCGGAGGCCACGCTGCCTCAGGTAGAGATGGCTGCCCTCCCCCGTCTGGGAACAGCAGGCTTCAGGGTCAGCTCTACCTTCTCAAGAACACAACAGAAATACCCGATGTTTCTTTTCTTATGAATATCCAAACATGTGTCCATGCTGGAGTTCCTGCATATGACCAGGTCCTTGGTGGCATCTGCCAGAGAAGGTTCCGGGGTGGCCAAACAGCCGAGGGTAGCTGGCCACTGCAGAGCCACACCTCATGACTCCTGGTGCCTGCCTGAAGGGCTTCTGGGTGTGGAGTCCAGCTGCGGGTGGCAAATAATCACGTCCATCTCCCAGGATGGTGCTCTGGACCACCTTGGACCTCCTTAAGAGGGAATCTGACAACTCCACATTCTCGCTTCCCAACCTCAAAGGCCAGCAGAACAAATGGTAGGCCACCTACCCAGGTTGCATTCAGTAGGACGCGAGGCTGAATGAGATCCTGCCCCCTTTCTTTGAGGGGAGGTTATCACCTGTGCTCACCCGAGAACGTTCCAACGTAACTATGAGGGAAGGGAGGTTTCTGGGTAGCGGCCCTGAGCAGCAGCCTGGAGAGATTATGGCAGGAGCTCGTCACACGCCTTCCTGGCATGGCTTTCTTGGTGCATCAAGATACTAAATACACACAACAGGTTTCTGAGTGGCTCTCCCAGCAGGGAGACACATGCTGCATGCTTCTGGCAAATAGGTGATGAGCAGTAAGCCACTGTGCTTACTTGTTGCAGGTGGAGAATATAATTCAGGTCCCACTAGGCTCTGCCACCGTAGCATCAGCCCCGTGCTGTTTTCTTCCTCCAAGTGGAGGGTTTTTCCCCACTGGGCACCACGCTAGGCACTGTAGCTAGCCCATCTCCTATTACTACTGCTTTAGATACAAGAAGACACAGTTCAGAAAGGCCACGTTCTTGCCCCAGGTCCCAGGGCCAATCAACATCGAGCTGCAGCCTTGCCCAGGTCTGCTTGGTCCTAAAGTGGCCCATGCTTCCCACCTGGTCCACATTGCCTCTGTCGCTTTAAGAGGCAAGCCCCGGGCCAGCAGAGGAGAGCTCAGTGGAGCTCTCTCAATGCGGGCCCCAGGGCACTCAGGCAATAACCCAGTTACATCCAAGCAACAGGAAAGGGGCGTCTGCCATGCTGTGTCTTCCCTTTCATTTCTCTGACCACTAACTGCTGATTTTATTGCTCCTTCCCATGTTATGATGGGGAAATTGCTCCTCTCCAAGGCACAGCTTCCCTCTGGCTCAGATCTGTGTCTTAGAGGCATCCTGTATATCTGCTCATGGACTGGAGGGCTCCTTGCCTCAGGACAGCTGTGATCTTGAGGCTTGGGAAGGCTGCCACAGCCAACCGACTGGGCCATTCTGTCCGCCAGAAAGTGGATGGGTGAGATGTGGAGACCAGGAGGACCAGGGCCTTGGCCCAGTGGGATGCAGAGGGCTCTGGTCTCGGCACCCTGCTGGAGTGGGGAGAACCCACCAGTCCCTTCCTGCTGGGATTTTTGTTTAGAAAGTGGCAGGCCACTAAATCTGGCCAACTGTGGGGGCTGCAGGGTATGGGACAGGGGCATGTCTAACTGCCCTCAAAAGTCCTGCAGAGAACCAACCCCGAGGGGCTAATCTGAGCCAGCACCCTCCGTGTTGGCCACTAAGAGCCTCTGCAGTGCTCTGGTGTTCTAGGGTTCTTGCTGGCTTGGAAATTTCCAGCCCATATACCTGGACTTGTAGTCCTAACGTAGGAACTGCCATTTTCAGATGACCTTGAAGCTTCCTGAGCAATCTGTTCAGTGGAATTAATTCCTAAAGCTGGAGCTGCTTAGGGAGACATCGCAGACTTGCCAGGGGCTGCCAGCTCAGGCTTGGCACAGGAATGAAAAATAGGCCTCTCCCCAGTGAGCCAGGAGCAGCTCAGAAATCAGCCCATGACGGGATCAACCAGAACAAGCTCCAGCTGCAGTCAGAGCCACTGCCTGGAGCCAGCACAGCTAGAGGACTGGCCAGAGGTGGGCAGGGACCTGGCTGTGTCTGGCTGTCAGGAGTGACACACCACCCAAGCCCCACAGTGCTGGCCAGGGACCTTCCTTCCTTTCCCTTCCCTTCCCTTCCCTGGGCTCCATGTGCTCTTCTGCACTGCAGCCCTCATGTCCTTTCCAATTCTAGGGGCCCGGCTTGCTCTCTCCTCCGGAGATCAAAGGCCTAACTCCTGAGGTTGGCATGGAGCTGTTGTCAGCACCAGCTGCGTCCAACCTTCCCTGGGTTCAGCCAGGCTTGTCTGTCAGCCAACGTGTTTCTGCAGGACGCAGCCCCAGCCCCCTCCTGCCTCCCAGCTGCTGTCGGTCAGCTTGGGGCCTTCCTGCTAGAGCCCTTGTCCATCTGCCTGAGGCCATAATGCACCCCATCCCTGCAGAGCCAAGCAGCCACACTGCCCCCAACCAGCAGCGCTGCCCAGCAGCACGCAGCTCCTGCTCCCAGCCATCAGCCTGCAGGAGGCAGATTCCAATGATGACATATTACCATATATTACCATATAACCTGCCACTCCCTGCCCCCATATCAAACCCAACAAAACCCACCGAGTGATTGCTTGGTGCTGGATAGAGTGGGTAAGCGCAGGCCTGCTCTCAAAGAGCTCGGGGTCCAGTGCAAATCACCAACAGCGCTAAGCATTAAGGTCTCATTCCATCCTCTCTCACCTCCAGGAGCCAGCGCTGCTGGGGCTTGAGTTTCACAGACCAGATGACCCGCCTACAGGTAGCTAGCGGCAGAGCTGAGGCCTGCAGCTGTGCTGCGTGTGCCCTTGATACTGGGCCCTCTCCCCTCCCCTGTGTGTGGAGAGGATGCGCACACAGACTTCCACCTTCCCCAGCACTGGTGTTCCTGCAGCCACTATGGGTTGGGAGCCGGCTGGGGCTGAGCTTCAGAGAGCTGGGAAATCACTGAGGAAGTAACTTATTAGTCCCTTTCTTCAGACATAGATGAAGGCTGCCTCCCAAGCTGGTAATTATCATAATCAGGTGTTTTGTACAAATAGGATCTTGATGATGCACCAAATTGGCAATAAGAGATTAAATTAAACCTGTTATTTCAAATGAGATAAAATGGACTTGGCCAGTTTCAGAGCAATTAGCATCTTCCTCGCTTTTGCCTTTAATTGCTGCCCAGGGGCTAAACACCTTGCCAGACCTCAAGGGCGCCTGTGCCAGAGCCCCGGAAGGCTCCTGTGTGCAAGGTTTCCTGCTGCAGCCTTGGTGTAGGAGGCCCTCAGCAGGGCCGGCCTGCACTATCCTCTGAGGCAGAAGCCTGCAGGACAGAAGCCACTTTGGAGGCTGGACACTGTGGCTCACGCCTGTAATCCCAGCAGTTTTGGAGGCTGAGGCAGATGGATCGCTTGAGCCTGGGAGTTCGAGACCGACCTGGGCAACATGGTGAAACTCCGTCGCCACTAAAAAAATACAAAAGTTAGCTGGGTGTGCTGGCGCACATTGTGATCCCAGCTACTTGGGAGGCTGAGGTGGGAGGATTGCTTGAGCCTGGGAGGCGGAGGTTGCAGTGAACTATCATTGTGCCACTGCACTCCATCCTGGGTGACAGAGATAAAAAAAAAAAGCTCTTTTGGGAGATTTTGGACATCCCCATGGCACTCTGCACAAAAGCCAAGTTAGCCCTTTGCTGGGTTCAAGAGCACATCACAGACCACTGCTTGTCCCTCTAACGGTACAGATACAGGGAGATAACGTCCCTGAAAGCATCCTTCCCAAGGAGAAGCCATTGCTGAAAAGAAGTCCTGTGGCCCAGCTCTGGGTGGGGGTCAGTTGGTCTACCTGGTTATTGCTTTTCCCCAGGCATAATGTTTTGGAAATCAAGCATTCAGCAGCAGGGATGGAGGTGAACCACTCCAAGTGCTCTCTACGCCAGGGCATGGCTGATGGGCAGGCTCCCCTGCCGGTAGTGCTCTCAGCTTCTCTGAGCAGCAGTGCAGTGTTAGTGCAGAGAGCAGTGAGCTGTCCCTCACCACATCACAGCCGGCCTGGATTCTGCAGAGCCTGCTGGGCCACTCCAGGGCCACTGATGGGTAGGAAGTCTAGTGTCAGGGATGGTACTGGAGCACTTAAAGATCTTTCTGTTCTGCTCCTGGGTCAGAAACTCCACCATTACCCTTTGCAGGGGGTAGAGGTGGGCATGGGTGGCTTAAGGCAGTGTTGTCAGGTGGCCTCTCCAAAAACACAAGTAAACCTGGGAGGACAAATTCATGGATCACCAGGCTCTATTAAGTGTGCATGTGCAAGCCATTATGATCAATGTAGTGTATGTTTTGCTGACTGCAAAGTGCTTTTGACACCATCTTGTGTGACAGGTGCCACATTAATTGAGGTGGCTTATCTCTAGCTCTGTTCCCCCACTAGGCTTTGCTGTGAGTGCCTGGAGGGCAGGGACTGGGTGAACCCCGGTCATCTCTGCACCTCCAGGCCTGACACTGGGCAGGTGGCCAGTAACTTGGGGCAGAATGAATAAATGAGCAGACCCAGAAACTTGATGAGAGCAGCATACTGTTTAAAGCTACCACAGACTGAGCGTGGGTCTGTCTGCCTGGTCCAGGGCCTGTGCTCTGACCCACCACAGCTTGCCATGGAGAGGGTGAAAGATTTTCTCAGCATCGGCTGGGTGCAGTGGCTCATGCCTGTAATCCTAGCACTTTGGGAGGCCGAGGTGGGTGGATCACAAGGTCAGGAGATCGAGACCATCCTGGCTAACACGGTGAAACCCTGTCTCTACTAAAAAATACAAAAAATTAGCTGGGCGTGGTGGCGGGCGCCTGTAGTCCCAGCTACTTGGCAGGCTGAGGCAGGAGAATGGTGTGAACCCAGGAGGTGGAGCTTGCAGTGAGCAGAAATCACACCACCGCACTACAGCCTGGGCAACAGAGCAAGACTCCGTCTCAAAAAAAAAAAAAAAAAGATTTTCTTAGCATCTGCAAGTCAGCCACCGCTCATTGCAGCTGGTGGAGGTCAAACCTCACTGGTGGAGTGGGACCCCTTCTCCTCCAGAGGGAGTGAGGCCCAAAGGCAAGGGTGGTGGGGGCTGAGGACCAGGATCAGTGGCTTTTCCCACGGCTCAGCGCCCACCTGAGCTGCTGGGGCCACCTGAGTCAAACGGGCACCACCACGACTTTTGAACAAAGTCATACAGCCTCCTCGTGGTGGGGTGTCAGGGACTGTGGTGGCAGCTTCTGGGGTGGAAAGCCCATCATCCCACCTTTGTCTCCCTTTGGGAAGATGACAGTGCTGCTGAGCTGGCTGTGGCCAGAGCTGCAGTTGTGCTGGCCACAGATGGCACACTGGGGGCTCAGGGTGTAGGTGAGGGGCCTGAAAGGTGCTACAGGCCCTGGCTGCTGCTGGTGGCTTCTGCATGGAGGGACCTGGCTGGCCACAGGGGAGGGGCACGTTGCTCTCTGGGACAGTGGAGTGTGGAGGTTGGGGGTGTGAGTCCTAGGCTCACCCCAGCAGACTGGGCTTGAATCCTAGCTCCACCGTTTACTTGGACAACATACTCTGAGTGTCAGATGCTTTATCTGCATAAGGGGGAGAAATACTAACCAAACGGGGGAGTTAGTTGGACTAACTCGTTTAGTAAGGACTAAATGAGGTCAGAGTTTGCAAGGCACTTAGCAGATCGCCCAGCATATTTGTACGCCTTCAGTGGGTGGCAGCTCTCAGCAATATTAGGATTATGGCTGTTCTCATTACCATTGTTAAACTAGAGATCATAAGACTGATGGAACAGACTCGCTGTGCAATAAGATACCAAATCATAAACCAGAACTAAGACCACGACAGGCAAGGGTTAAGTCACATATCCCTGAAAGAATACACCGCCTTCTAACTGCCACAAGGTTTTTCTTTTCTCTAGCAGCTAAACAAGCACTGGCCTCGAGATAAGCAATATTGAAACAATTGCAGCTCACCTACCCCAGACCCTAACTGAGCTCCCATTCCACAGGTTGCAACTGCAGCTTTGACGGGACAAGAGACCACCAACCACAGGCTGGTTCTGACTGGTTTAGTAAGAGGCTGAGCACTGTGTGTCTTCCTGCCCCTGCCTCATCTGTTGATGTATAGGACCGAACTGTAATGCACCTAAATGTTATGTCTCCACCCTAAAGTGAACATGGGATGCATGTAATTTGCGTATTTGCTTATCACACACATGCACACATCCCCCTTTTGTGAATATTCATAGCTCCTCCTATAACCTGTTGAATATGTATACTTGGCCAACCAGTTCCACATAAATCCCTGTTCCACCCTCCCCTCTCTCAAAGTGCTTGCTTTTGGTCTCTGCCTGAGGCTACATTTCCCAGCCAGTCAAGATGGCCACCCTGAAGGCTGCAATCCTTTGTAAGAAATGAAGTCTCTTCTGCAAATGTATGAACCTACTGATTCCTCAGTTGACACTATTAGTGACTCCGAGAGGAGGGGGGGCCCTTCCGTGATGCCAGTAGTTGGCTGACTCTTCACCTCCATCTCCCTCTTTAACAGCAAGGACCACCATGATTTGTCTTTGCATGTACGGCACCTGGAGTGGGCCTGGTACAGAAGAGGCTCTTGGGGAATGCTTGCTGGATAGATGGAGGGATGGAGGAGGGATGGTGTGGGATGCTGTGGGGTAGTAGGGAAGGAGAAGTCCCAAAGAAAGCTCTGGCCTCAGGTCACCCTTGTCTATGCTCCCAAGTCAGGCCAGCATACTCAGAGCCTCCTCTCCTTACAGAGCATTAGCATGATGGTCTCTGGGGGATGCGAGCACCCCCTGGGAGAAGATGCCCTGCTCCCAGCTGAGCCCAGTGGGCTGTATGGCTTCCCCTCAGGCTATTTGCTCGTACACCACAGATCTGACACTGCTCTCTAAGAAAATCCCAGAACCCACCCGCAGAGCCAACACTCTTACAGAGGAGAAAACAGAGGGCCAGAGAGGAGAACAGCCTTGCTGAAGGCCTTGACCCTGCTGGACACAGAGTGGGGCTAGACAGCAGGCTCCTGAAGGGCTGAGTCTGGAAAGCCTGGTGCAGGGCCTGGCCCAGGGCCAGCCTCCAAGTTTTAGACTCCGATTACAGTGTTCCAACTCTGCCCTTGACCCTAGCTGCTTTCTGCTTGTCCTGTCAGGGGCTATGTCCATGGTAGACCAGGCTTTCTGGAAGCCCACCAGGCCTCTAAGAGTGGGTTCCCTGACCTGAGGAAAATGAGGACCCCACAAGAGCTCCAGCCCCTTCCCATAAGCTGCAGCACAGTTGGTCTGGCCGTCTGCATTCGCTGAAATGTAGGCATGAAATGAGAAACACCAGCACATGTGAGTCACCACTTCTCGGGAATTTGAATTTTCCTTCTAGAGGATGCCATTGATCAGAGGGAAGCAGGGTGGCAGCGGTAGTGTTTTCAAAAATATTTTTCTTTTAAATCAAAATATAAATAGACTGCAAACCAGTACCACTCTGAGAAGCCCACAGGAGACTGGCTTTGAAAGGGTTTCCTTGGAGCAGCTCAGGAACACAGAGCTGAGGGCTGCCCTGCCTCCTTTCCTCCCGGGCGGCCCTTTCTTCTCTGGCAAGTGTCAGAGGCACTGTCAGTTTTGAGTACAAGCATTTTGTGGGTGCAGCTGAGGGGGCAGCCCTGAGCCCCACCCCGCTTTCCAACAATGCCTTGAAAAGGAACTGAAAACATGCGTGGGTGGGGTGGGGGCTGTGCCAGCTTTTCCACCTGGATTCTAGAAGCTCTGGGCGAGGCCTGGTCTCTATGGGGCTCTGTTTTGTGTTTCATTTCTGTTTGTTCTCAGTGCTTAGAAATGGCACCAGTTTGCCAGGGGGCCAAGTGTGTGTGTCTTGGCTAATGACACCAGCCAGAAGGCTGGCCTCCCCAGGCCAGAAGCTCCACAGGGGCCAGGTCCTGGTGTTCTGGCTGAGGGGAGGCATCCCCAGCCCCACAGCCCCACACCTCCTGCACACCTCTGCCCGTCAGAGCTCCACCGTGGGGTGGGACTCACACGCTGCCACTCACTCAGCCCCTCACCGGGCCAGTCAAGAGCAAGTTGAAGGACCTTCTGGGCACCAGGCAGGCCCACCTTCCTGTCAGCAGGTCACAAGTTCTGGGCAGGGGCAGGTGTGGGGCTGGTTTACTCATCTGGCCCATTTTACTCAGCACTGACCCAGTTTCCCCAAAGGCCAACCCTAGGTCTTCCTGACAGCCCGTGCCCATCTAAGCCTCATACACAGCAGGTGGCCGGAGCCTGCACAAGGCCCTCTCCCCAGTGACATGATGGCTGCTGCTGTCACCAGGTGGCCTCCAATCCTGCCCACCCCCAGGCTCTCAGGTGGGGATAGAACATTCGTGTGGCCACTTCACCTCCAGATCCACAAAGGCCGCTGACGTGCTGGTCCAGGAACCCACACAGAAGGGCAGTGCAGGAGGAGGGAAGGTACCTGCAGTGTGGCTCCTGGGGACATGCTGCCTTAAGAAGGGCGTCCTTCTGACAGAAGCCAGCTCAGATGAAGGAGGAGAGCTCCAGAAGATGTGAGCGGGAGCCTGGCCCCCAGGCCGGACACCTTTTCCCTTGGGCCTGGGGTCGAACACGGAAGGCAAATCTCCTCCAGTCCCCATGGCTGCCACCTCCCTGCTCAAATGTCAGAACCGAAACGGGGTGGCTGCTTCCTCACTCCCTTCAAGTTAGCCAAACAAACGCCCCCAGTTACCAGCAGCCAGTCCCAGTCAGACATAGGGGTGTGGAGCCCCAGAGAAAAGACTGAGGCCCAAAGAACCTCAGGAAGGGGAGTGATGCTTTTGTCTGGGGCAGGGACGGGGCCTGTGGTCTAGGCGCAGGCCAGATGCCCCCAGGGGGCTCTTCCTCAGGGAGTGTGCCGAGTATTCCAGGAGGGAGCAGGGGAGACCCCCAGCATGCCCTCTCAGAGCACTGGGGGGACCAAGGGCTGCAGCACAGCCAGAGGCAGCCCCAGGTGCAGCACCTCTGCTCACCCGGAACAGCTGATGGCGGCAGGGGCTGCGCTATCATGGGGCCCCTTTTCCAGGTCAGACATTTTATCTGGAGAAATGCACCTTCTGGGGTTTAGGCCTTTCCAGCATTGAACTCAACTCAGAAGGAAAAATACTCATTTTTTCAAAAAAACCTCTTATTTTTCTAAGCCAACTGCCAACCAGCTATGGAAGCAGAACTCCTCAGGGTTTGGGGGATGCCTGGGCCTCGGCTCTCCGATGCACAGCCCCTGCTGCTGTCCCTCATGGGCAGCACCCCCTCCAGGGACCAGGAGCTTGTGATTTCCCCGGGCAGCCCACACCATGAGAGGACAGTCTGAACTGTTGGTTAAATGTGGAGCCCTCATTGTCCTTTTCATCGAATCCCCACACTTTGAAGTTCTCTGAGTCTTCTGGAACCACGTGGAAAAGCCCCGTTCTCTTTCCACTTGATGGGCCTTCAGGATAGGAAGAAAGCTTCCAGAACAGCGCACGCTCCCTCTCTGGGGCCTTGGAGGCATGGCGGATTCAGACCTCCCGCCCACTCTCCCCACCTCCCTGAATTCTGCTGCTTAACATAGCTCCTCGAAGGAGACCTGGCTGTGGGTCCAGATGAAGGCTCCGTTAAGCCCCAGGAAAATATGAGCACGGCTTTGACTTTTGTCTTCTTTTTAAAGCGTCTGACTGGCAGAATCTCTTAAAGCTGCTTTCTTCCAGGATGATCTGGAATATTCTGGAGGAGCTTATTCTGCAATTAGCAGTGCAGAGTAATGGGCTGTCAGGCAGTAAACGCCAGCACCTAGGGTGCTGGCAGCCTGGCCAGAAGCCAAAGGGCTTGATCAGCCTTGCGTGAATCTCACAGACTTGGCCCCCCATTTCCCCTTGGCCTAATTTCTTTGAAACTGGGTGCTTCAGCATTGGTGCTGACATATCCACAGACTGTGGTGGCTTTTAGAGAACCGTTGCTGGCAATCGGTGGGACATCCGGAGACGGACCGCAGCCCATCTGCCAGCAGCTTCTGAGCCCCAAAGCCCCACAGTCCCCCACCCACTCTGCGGCAGGTGTCCAGAGGGTGGTCGGGGTTGCAGTGAGCAGGGCATTAGAGCATTCCCCAAAGGACCAGCCATCCTATTTGACAGGAGGGCAAACAGAAGCCCGGAGAGGGTAAGTGTCCTGCCAAGAGCACGGACGTGAGTAAGGAACAGCATCCGGGTGTTCGGGTTCCGGGGGTGGGGCTTTGTTCACTCTGCTCCAACCAAAGCCATTTCTAGTTCTTTCCTCCCCTCTACAAACACTCGTTGAGCGCCTGTGGGTGTTCTGGCACCAATGTCCTGGTGCTGTGCCAGGTGCGGGGAACTCAGTGGCACAGGCTGTCACTCGAGCCACGCTCTTGCCCTCGCTCAAGGCTCGGGACTGGAGGGGCTGGTTTGCTGTGGGTCCTGCCCCAGAGCCTCAGTCATTCATGTGTGTAGTCCCAGCATCTGCCACAGAGCAAGGCTTATTGGCAGGAGGATGAGGGAGGACATTTCAAAAGAGACAATATGATGCTCTCCCCACTTTGAACAAAGAAGAAGGCGGAAGCTCAGGGTCAGGGTGCTGGTTCATGGCCACACAGCTGAAGAGAAGGAGCTGAAACTTCAAATAGGATCTGATGTTTCTGCTCCAAAAGCTTCCTGTGAACAGAGGTCTCATTCTTCCTGGAGTGGATCGACTCTTAGTGATCACATCTGAATGATGTGGCGCAGGCTCCTAGCTCTCGGCAGCCCTGCCTGGGAGGTTGTAGTGGTGACAGGGTACCTCACTCCAGGTCAGGAGAAGGAGGGCAAGTACCTGGTTCAGTTACCAAGCCAGGTAGACGTCAGGTGTCAGAACCTAGGTTTTGTGAAGACCCGCTTAGGTCTCTTTGCTCCATGGCAGACTACTGAGATCTCTAGAGAGGGTAGCAGGCATTTAGGGACCAGGAAACACATTCCAACAGTCCTTCCCTGATGGTCAGCTGACCCTGGACCCCACGGCTCAGCACTCCCTACACCAACCTGGGGGAGAAGCTCCGAGGACATGAGAGTGACGCAGCCGACTTCCCTGCTGTTCTCTGTCAGTCTGCCTGGCACTGCAGGCCCTTCCTCTACCTGGCGGCTGCCAGATTCCGGGTGAGCCAGACCACGGGCTCTTGGGACCCAGGTGACATAAGAGGACCTAGGGAAGGGGGGGGTGTTTGATGGGGATGTCTCCCTCTGGGTGACCTGAAGAATGGCTGCCCTATCGCGTGCACGCTGAGGGGTGCAGGAGGGTAATCTAAAAAGCAGACCCTTCACAGTCTGGATTCTGCTGGGAGGACAGGATGGCATGGGGACAGCACGGCTCCCTTCCCTGCAACCTGCACCAGCGCCATTCTGCCGACTGTGTCTCCAGCCCAGCCGCCTAACCCAGAGTCCTTTTCCTTGCCCTTGGGATTAATGGTGTGGTGATTTTGCGAGTCAGGAAAGAGAGGGAGAAATGGCTGTGAGAACAGAAGGATGACTTGACCTCAACATCAGTCATCTCTCAGCTCCTCTCTGACTTCAGCTCTGGAGAGACCAAGGGAGGCATCTGCCTTCTCCTTGGAAAAGAGCACGAAGGCAAGCTGAGAGCTGCCTCTGCCTAGCCCTGGGAGTGGAATAACTTGGTCACACTTGTGTCCATGCACCTGGGTGCTGCTGCTGGTAGGGTCACCGGGGACCCGTCAGGGGAGGGTGATGGGGAATCCCGGTGCCCCGGGGTCCACATGAGCTCCCTGCCGGCTGCAGCCTAAGGCACAGCACTCAGAAATTCAGCAAACACACTCACAGGAGCGCCAGCGCAAGCACCTCCGGCGCGCCGCGTGGTGCACTGACCTAATTGAAAGTGTCAGGCCAGCAAGTCCCACGTAACATCAAAGGACAGTCAGCGAGAAAGGAAGGACAGGTCCACTGGCGGCAGCGCTGGCTGGGTGGGGGCCCCGTGGGGGCGGAGAGGAGACAGGAGGAAGCCTTGGGGTCCCCAGCAATATGTGGGGATGCCAGGCATCCCCCCTACCCTGAAGCCTGGGCAGTCCTTGGTAACATTCCAGAGTCTCCAGCCTCCCCTCCCCCATCTGCCGTTTAAATCACGTGCTTTGAGGCAGTGAGTTTTAGCTCAGAGGCTGGCTGGAACGTGGCGGTAGCTGTCAGCTCATAGGAGGGGGGAAGCTTGGGTCCTGCTGCTGGGGGGCCTGCTGCATGCCAGCCAGGGTCTTCTGTGGGTGCTAACACAGCCCCTCTTGCTGGTACTTTTCCACTGGTAATGGGCAAGAGACTCCTGTTCACTTATTTCTACATTTCCCTGGTTGACTTATTTATTTTTACCTATCTTCCCCAACAAGAAGTCAGGCAGAAACCAACAGCACAGAGCAGCCTGGAAGCTGGCACTCCCCCATGGCCCGACTGATCCTCGTGGTGGAAAGTTTAGTGCTAATCACCCCCTAAAGACCCCTCCTGCCCTCTGGGGAAGCCAGTGCCCCTGCACTTTGGGGAAGGTGGCACTGTGCCCCAGGCCATGTGCGCCAGGCCAGGGAGATGCAGGCATCAGGGATACTCTGAGGGAACTTGGCCCTGCTGCAGGCACAGGCTTCCCCTGGGGTCCTGGGACCACTGCCTCCACAGGGGAGAATAGCAGGCCCAGGCAGAGGCTGAGCTCCCCCAGAAGCCAGGGAACGGGGGGGACATGGGCAGGGCTATGACCCCAGGGCTCTGGCGAGGGAAGCGTCAGACCTGGAAGTGTTGGAGGGTCTCCATGGTCAGAAAGCCATTCCCATGCGGCCACTGCAGTGCTGCACGGGGAGGCTTCCTGGGAGCCCCACGGCCTGAGACAGGGGGTCCTAGAAACTCTGACCCCACTCTTTCCCAAAGACCCTGACAGAGCCCCATCTGCCCTCTGCTTCTACCTGTCCTCAGGTGGGGTGGGGCGGGGCTCATCCCTTTGCGAGGGCCTCACTGTACTCAGGGCTGATCTTTTATCACTGAACACTGGCAGCAAAGGCCTGTCCCCAGTTATCTCAGCGAGAGGGCTGAAGGTATGCTCCCCCTGCAGGAGAGCAGGGCTGGGAGAAGTCACGTGGGGCAGAGGGCCACGCTCCCACCCCTGCTGTGTGACCTCCATCAACTGCCACTTAGGCAGAGGCTTCTCTCTCAGCCTCAGTGTTCTAATCAAGAAAATGAAGCAGCAAATTCTAGGGTTTGATCTCCAGCTGAAAATTCTGGGGTTTGATGAAATCTTCCACCCAAGGAATATTTGTTGGAGCACCTACTATATCCTTAGTGTGTATCTGTTCTTCTAGGACTTGAGTGGCAGCAGCCAACGCAGCCAGGGAGGGCTTCCTGGAGGAGGGTCCTTGGCAACTCAGCCTGCAGGAGCAGAGGCCTGGCTGGAGTCTCCACCTCCAGCAGCAACACTGAGCTCAAACAAGATGGCAGCCCTGGAACCCCATTCCCTGCCTATGCTCGGGGGGAGAGGGGGAAGCGCCCCTGCTCTGGTGCTGCCTGGGGTGTGGGGACCACGGGCTCACTGAGCAGTGCAGCCCAACTTTCTCCCTGACTCTCTAAAGGCAGGCAGCGGAGTGGAGTGGTGACAGACGATGGGCTAGTGGGGAGTTCTGGAAGGCGACTGGATTTACAGGAAACTCTGGAAAGCTCAAAAATACCAATGGTGCAGAGGAGAAGAGCTGCCAGGCTCCTGAAGACAGGCGCTCATCGCTGCATCTCCTGACACCTGTGTGGTCCTGAGGACCCAGTAGACACTCAATAAGTGGTCCTTGGCTAAAAGTCACTGCAGTCCCCGGCACATTCTTGGTATACCGTCGGCACTCGATAGATGAGTATGGAAGGGGTATTATTTCCCAGCTGTGCTGCAGCCACGCCTGCCGTCCAGCCCAGGGTCCACTTGGGAAGGCCAGCCTCCGTGCCAGGGTGCCCCTCTGGCCTGGCATGGCTGCCTGGGTGGGGGATGGCAGGTGGTCCTCAGCAAGGCTGCCAGACCCTGGCCGTGAAGTCCACCTGGGGAGGTAAGCCCCGTCTAGATCTCCATGGAGAGTGCCGGCTACACAAACAGCTGCCAGGACGACCCCAGGCCAAAGTCCCAGCTTCAACACACAGGGGGCTGAGAGGATGGGCTCTGCTTTAGGGCTGCGCCCACCAAGCCCACCCCGGGCGCTGCTCTGCAGCAGCTGGAGAGGAAGTGTTTTTTCCACACCGCTGTGTGACACAAAGGCCGGATAGTTCACTACCTGCCACGGCGAGTCCGGTCATTTTGGTGAGTGGCTTCCCCCATCACTGCCAGGGTTTGGCATTCACTATTTTTCCATTTTTAAATAGGAACAAACATAAATGATAAAACACCTTCTGATGAAGGGAGGCCTGGAACTGATAGGCCTTGGAAAATTTTTTTCCACAAATAACAAGAGAATTCACAGCCCCAAAGGGCGGGGTCTCCCCGGCCAGCGCTCCTCTGCCCTGCCGGCCTCTGTTCACACTGCAGGGCGATTCTAGTGCATTAGCGCCGACAAACACTGGTTAGCAAGGAAAACAGAAACGGGCGGCTTGCCAGAAATGGGGACCTTCACTCCTGGAGTTTTTTACAAACTTTCTCCCCAGGGCCCCCAGGGCTTGGCCCCAAACTCAGGCCCAGGGCTGGAGCAGAGGTGACAGCAGACAGGCAGGGAACACTGTAGGGGAGCAACTGCCGCCTGGAAACTGCATAGGGGCGCGGAAATGATGCTTGGGTGACGGCAGAGACCCAGCCTGGCACCTTCTTTCTTCACACAACTGAGCTCTTATCAGTTACCACTTCAATATGGAATAATTCAGTATCAAGAATAGAGCCATTTCCTCAAAACCTCCAGTCAGCTGTGACGGGCAGGGCACAGTGATGTGACCGCTTACCCAGGCCGGGCAAACGCGGAGCTTGGAGGATCCACCCGGCCACCTGCCATGTATGGGTCAGTTAACAAGGAGCATCTCCAAGTCTCCTCAGAAGCCAGAAGCCCTTGCAGGGGTTCACAGAATGGGTCCAGGGGCAGGGGCTAAACAATGACTTGGAGGGAGACCAGGGAATTGGAAGAGTAAAAGCAACAGCACATATTGCTTCTGCAGTGCTCGCAGGAGTCTTTGCGAATGCAGTGGCGGTTCTGTGCCCAGGGGGCCACAGAGGTGGCTGCTTACAGCCAGAGGGCACTGGCGGGGCAGCTCTGGCTTCTCAGGAGCTGAGGAGATCAGCCTCCCTGCAACCCATCTGGGCACCCCTTGGCTCTCAGATTGGGACACTAGGTGGAAAAGTAGGCCCTTTCCTTCTCTAGAGAACGGGGAAGAGGCAGATCTGTTACGAGGCCCTAAAGCCCACCCTACATGGACTCGTGGTGGGAGCCTCTGTGCTACACACACAATTCTCACAACACACACGATTCTCACAACACACACGATTCTCACAGCCACTCTGTTTTGGGAGAAGGGAAGGCACAGAAGACTAACAGCTGCCGGGTACATCCTATATGCTGGGCAGGTGCTAAGAACCGTGTTGAACCTGTATGACAGTGCTGCTAGGTTGGAATTCACTTCTGTATTACAGAGGTTAAATCACACGGCCACATGGCCAAGGTCCTACAAACTGCCAGTGTATGGCAGAGCTAGAATTCAAACAAGGGGCTCTTTTGCTCCACAACGCGCGCTCCCCCACCGTGCTACCCTTCCTGCCACCATCCTGGGCAATTCCAGGGCTCGTTCCTTCCCCCTTGGCCCCTGTCCCTCTGGAATGGCAGAGAACCTCCATCAGATCTGTGCCACAAGCGCCATGTGCCCCAGGAGCCCCGGGTTAGGGCCATTTGGCACCGTTCTTCTCTGCCAATGTCCGGTGCTCTCCTGACTCTGCTCCCGTCTCCTGTGCCTGCCTTTCCCCCATCACAGTTCAAACCATCTGAGTCCAGTGGTGTCAGCAAACTGCCTCTCTGAAAGAGAAAAAGGCCTTGATTTGTGGCGCCTGCCAATTTCCGTGGTATAAACACTTCCACCATGGCCGATTCCAAGCTACCGAGGTGATGTCATTGTGGGTGGAGCCAGGGAGAGGTGAGAGGAAGGGACATACTGGCATCAGCTGCACTGCATGCAAGTGTGAACCAGCAGGACCTGCAAGAGGCACTGGCACTAGAGCAGAGACAACACAGAAGACACAGGTGACACTGGATGTCACAAAACACACTGATCCCATCATCCAAAGCACACTGTCGTCTTGATGGTTGAGGGGAGCAACACAAAAATACTATCCTTTTCAGTGTTGAGGATTCAGAAAGGGAAAGGAGATACATTTTCTTCTATCACAGAACAATGGAACGAGGAGAGGCTCAAAGCATCATTGAAACATCCTCAGAACACTTCCCACATCTAGAAAAATGAGAAGGCTCTGTCTCCTCCCATTCAGGCTCCAAACGGTGGCTCAGCAACACAGCCTTCTGAGCTTGATTTCCCTACAGCCAATTTCCTTGTAAACTGGGCTGTGTCCATGTCATACTTGCTGGTGGGTGTGTGGGCGTCTGAGTGGCAGTAAGGGTAGCTGGTGGGGGCTGCTGGCGGCAAGGAAGGTGAGATTCTAGCTGGCTTTCTTTGATCATTGCAAAGGCAGAAGCAGATTTGTCACCTTTGTGTAATATATCAGGCAGCAGGTAAAGAATTTAACAGCTTGTGGCAGTTCTAATTAGAGAGCCAATTATAACTCAATTGACCTGCCTTGCTTTGAAAGGCCTGGAAAAATGCATGTTGTCCTCAGGAAGAGGCAGATTTTGCTTCTAGTTTGTTCTGGGAGATCCCCGCAGGGATCGCTCACTTGCGCTTTGGTTCTGGCCCCATGCATCTGTGTGGTGCGGGGTGCCCTGATGTAGAGAATGAGAGAGAACCTGCAGGGACACTGATCCTGCAGTGGGCATGCTCCGCTCCTCTGTTTATGAAGAAAGACGCGGCATCACATCTCACTGGCTCCCCCGAGGGGCTGGGCCGGCAGCTTCTGCTTCACTCAGAAGGTCACTGGCCAGCATTCAACTGGATCTAATCAAGACTGAACTGGCAAGGGTGGACCCCAGGCATACTGTACATGTGTGCACGTGTGTGTGCATGTCCAAGATTCCCTTCAGGAGCAGTCACTGTTGTTATGGGCTTGGGGTCACCCACTGTCCCCTGAGGGATGGACACCTGGCAAGAGAATCAGGTTTCAAACAGGCATAAAGAGGGGACGCTTCACATTTCTCCTGAGAACCAAGGTGCGGCATTTGTTGTTAGACACCACTGAAGTCTCTCTGGCTCACACATGTGATCACATCTAATTTTCCCACAGCCCGGTGGGATGAACACCATCGTCCCCACATACAGAAAGAAAAACTGAGGCCCAGAGAATCGACATGACTTGCCCAAGGGCCCCAGCTCCTCCCTGTGGAAGCCGTTTCTAATTCAAGCCACTTCTGCTCCTGACACTTATCCAAGAGTGATTTTGCTGAGACCCTTCCTGTGCACGGTGGCTTGGTGGACATCATATAAACCATGGCAGGGAAGAGGGCTGGCTACAGCCCTAAGCTGAGAGCAGACTGGGGCTGTGGAAACAGGAGGGTTGGCGAGTCTGGCAAAGCCAGCCCCAAATGCTTGCTATAGCTGGGATTAGCAAGGTGGACTGAAAAAACGTATGAACATCAGAACCTACCTGTCCTCAGGAGCCTCATTTCCCTCCTGCTCCCCAAACGTGGGTGCTCCTTGGGTTCTGTCCTAGGCCCTTTCTCTTTCCTGCTCTCTGGAATTTATATCTCAGGCAGTCTTGTCTCCTCCCATAGCTTCGGGTACCATGTACCAGCTGCTGCTGCCCCCAAAACCATCGCCCCAGCCCGGCCATGCCCCAACCTCCAGACCTACCCTGGCTGGAAGAGGCAACCTTTCCAGGAAAAACCCCGGTCAGCCCACCTCCACACAGCCAACCAGACTTGCCATCACCCTTCGTTCAGTACCTTCCCCTCCCTCTGTGTCCCCTCATGTTCGTGAAGGCATCTTACCCAACCAGGCTCCTGAACCATGTGCCTGAGTCAGCCTCAAACCCTCTGGTTCCCTCACCAACCCTTGTGAAGTCTCCCTTTTCAATACTCCCACCTTGGACTGTCAACGTGTTATGACAAGCTGAGTCCAGACCTTAGTGTCTCTTACTTTTCACCTAACCTATCCTCCACAGCTTCCAGTGCAATCTCTCTAAAATGCAGACCTAATCACATTCACTCACTTGTTTAAACTGTATCTTGAAAAAGTTCCAACCTGCAGAAAAGCAGCTAACAAAATGGACATCTCTAGACCTACCACCTACATTTAACAACCATTCATCTTTTCTGTATCTGCTTCATCTGTTGGAGGCAAAGGCTAGTATTTTAAAGTAAATTGCAGGCACTGTGACATTTTACCCCTAAATACTTCAGGATGAATCTCTAAAAAATAAGGACATTTCCTTATATAACCATGTAACCATATCCCACCTAACAAAATGAACAGTACCTCCATTCCATCATCCACTAGCCTTTCCACACTCAAACTTGCCCGAATGTCCCATGCATAAGCCACCTCCAAAAGCTGGCTTATTGCCTATGTCAACTCCACCTGTCTTCCCACTTGTGGGAGAGTCTGCGCCTCTACTCGGCTGCCAGCACTTGGCCCACAAACCACGAGCACAGACCCGCACCTCCCTCCCCCAACCCCTGCCGCACCATACCCTGCACATCTGTCTATCAGAGTCTCCTTGACAACCCTTATCCTCACTTGTATATGTTAACATCTCTCCCTATAGCCTTTCAGTACCAGAGGGGAGGGACTAGGATAGAGTCATGTTAACATCCTCAGGTCCTAGTCCAGTATTGGACTCAAACTACATTATCTTACATGTATCATCCCATTTAATCCCTCCAACAATCCTAGGAGGCTGCTATGCTGAATCAATAACTGGTGACTGAGTAAACGTGATGCTTAAAGGTAAAGCTCGAAGGACACAGGCATGTCTCGGAGCTACCACAGGTGCAGCTCCAGGCCACTGTAATCAATCAAATGTCACAATCGAGCAAGTCCCAGGAACTTTTTGGTGTCCCAGTGCACCTAAAAGGTGTGTTTACACTACAGTGTGTCTATTAAGTGTGTAATACCATTATACCTAAAACAAGTGCATAACTTAATTACAAAACATCTTGTTGCTAAAAAATGTTAACAATCATGTGACCCTCAGCAAGTGATACGCTTTTTGCTGGTGGATGGTCTGGCCTCCATGTTGATGGCTGCTGACTGATCAGGGTGGTGGATGCTGGAAGGTGAGGCCCTGGGGCAGTTTCCTACAATAAGACAACAGTGGGTACAATAAGACTCACTGATGGACCCTTCCTTGGACAAAAGAGCTCTCTGTAGCATGTGATTCTGCTTAATAGCATTTTACCTACAGCAGAACTTCTTTCAAAGTTGGAGTCCATCCTCTCTAACCCTGCTGCTGCATTATCAATCAAGCTGATATAATATTCTAAATTCAACAATGTTCACAATGTCTTCACCAGGAGTAGATTCCATCTCACAAAAACACTTTGTTGCCTCATCCACAAGAAGCAATGCCTTATCCATTCAAGTTTTATGAGACTGCAGTAATTCAGTCACATCTCCGGGCTCCATTCTTGCTCTCTTGCTATTCCCACCACGTCTGCTGTTGTTTCCTCCAACAAAGTCTTGACCCCCTCAAAGTCATCCATGAGGGTCAGAATCAATTTCTTCCAACCTCCTGTTAATGTTGATATTTAGACCTCCTCCCATGAATCATGGATGATCTTAATGGCATCTAGAATGCTGTATCCTTTCTAGAAGGTTTTCAGTTTACTTTGCCCAGATCCATCAGAGGAATCACTATCTATGTCTAAATCGCTCCTTGATCCATGGGCTGTAAAGTGGATGCTGTGTTAGCAGGCATGAAGATAACAGTCATCTCCTTGTACAACTCCAGCAGAGCTCTTGGGTAACCAAGTACATTGTCACTGAACAATAATATTTTGAGAGGAATCTTTTTCTCTGAATAAGTGTCAACAGTGGGCATAAAATAGTCATTGAACCATGCTTTAAACAGGTGTGCCATCATCCAGGCTTTCTTGTTCCATTTACAGAGCACAGGCAGAGTCAATTTCGCATAATTCTTAAGGGCCCTAGGATTTTCAAAACGGTGAATGAACACTGGCTTCAACTCAAAGTCACCAATTGCATCAGCCCCTAACAAAAGAACCAGCATATCCATTGAAGCTTTGTAGCCAGGCACTGACTTCTCCTTTGTAGCTATGAAAGTCCTAGATGGCATCTTTTTCCAATAGGAGGCTGTTTCATCTACATTAAAAAACTGCTGGGCTGGGCACAGTGGTTCAGGCCTGTAATTTCAACACTTTTGAGAGGCAGAGTTGGGAGGATTGCTTGAAGCCAGGAATTTGAGACCAGCATGGGAAACATAGTGAGATCCCTATCTGCACAAAAAACTTAAAAAATTAGCGGGTTGTGGTGATACGTGCCTATAGCCCTAGCTACTTGGGAGGCTGAGGCAGGAGAATCACTTGAGCCCGGGAGTTCAAGGCTGCAGTGAGCTATGACTGCGCTGCTGCACTCCAGCTTGGGAGGCAGAGTGAGACCTCAAAAAATAAATAAATAAAAATAAAAATCTGTTGTTGACTATAGCCACCTTCTTAGCTGGATCTTCTGGATAACTTGCTGCAGCTTCTCTGTCTGCACTTGTTGCTTCACTTTGCACTTTTATGTTATGAGACAGCTTCTTAAACCTCATGAACTAACGTCTGCTAGCTTCCAACTTTTCTTCTGCAGATTCCTCACCTCTCTCAGCCTTCAGAGAACTGAAGAGAGCTGGGAACTTGCTCTGGATTAGGCTTTGGCTTAAGGGAATATTGTGGCTGGTCTGATCTTCTATCCAGACCACTCAAACTTTCTCCCTATCAGCAATAAGGCTGTTTCGCTTTCTTATCATTGGAGTATTCACTGGAATAGCACTTTTAATTTCCTTGAACAACTTTTCCTTTGTATTCGCAACTTGGCTAACTGGTGCAAGAGGCCTCACTTCTGGCCTGTCTCAGCTTTTGACATGCCTTCCTCACTAAGCTTAATCCTTTCTAGCTTTTTTTTTTTTTTTTTTTTTGAGACGGAGTCTTGCTCTGTTGCCAGGCTAGAGTGCTGTGGCGTGATCTCGGCTCACTGCAACCTCCAACTCCCTGGTTCAAGGGATTCTCCTGCCTCTGCCTCCCGAGTAGCTGGGATTACAGGCATGCGCCACCATGCCCGGCTAATTTTTGTATTTTTAGTAGAGATGGGGTTTCACTGTGTTGGCCAGGATGGTCTCGATCTCCTGACCCCGTGATCTGCCCGCCTCGGCCTCCCAATGTGCTGGGATTACAGGCATGAGCCACCGCGCCTGGCCAATCCTTTCTAGCTTTTGATTTAAAGTAAGAAACATGCCACTCTTCCTTTCACTTGAACACTCACAGGCCATTGTAAGGTTATTAATGATCCTCATTTCAATATTACTGTGTCTCAGGGAATAGGGAGGTCCAAGGAGAGGGAAAAAGATGGCGGAACAGCTGGTCAGTGTAGCAGTCAGGACCACATTTATTAAGTTTGCTGTCTTATATGGGTGTGGTTCATGGTGCCCCCAAACAATTACAATAGTAATATCAAAGATCACAACAGATGTAATAATAATAAAAGAATTTTAAAATATTGTGAGAATTTCCAAAGTGTGACACAGAGAAACACAGTGAGCATGTGCTGTTGGAAAAATGGCACTGATAGACCAGGCACGGTGGCTCATGCCTGTAATCCCAGCACTTTGGGAGGCTGAGGTGAGCAGATCACCTGAGCTCAGGAGTTTGAGACCAGCCTGGCCAATATGTGGAATCCCTGTCTCTACTAAAAATACAAAAACTAGCTGGGCATGGTGGCAGGTGCCCAGCTACTTGGGAGGCTGAGGCAGGAGAATCGCTTGAACCTGGGAGGCGGAGGTTGCAGTGAGCCAAGATCGCACCACTGTACTCCAGCATGGGGAACAAAAGTGAAACTCTATCTCCAAAAAAAAAAAAAGAAGGCACTGATAGATTTGCTCAATGCAAGGTTGCCACAAATCTTCAATTAGTAAAAAATGAGTATCTGCAAAGTGCAATAAGACAAAGGGCAATAAGACAAGGTGTGTCTGTGCCTGTACCCTCCTCCTTCACAAGCCCTTGGGGTGACTGACTAGTTGATGTTCTGAAAGACTCAAAAAAAGAAAAAAAAGAATGAAAACACTAACACCTGGAAAGGTATTTTAAGAGACAGTTGTTATATAAATACCACACAGATGAGAAAACGGAGGAAGCCAACTGGAGGAGGGAAGGGAGAGATCACGTGTCGTTCATCAGTGAACGTGGTGGGCAGTAAAGCAGGCAAGGCCCATGGGGTGGGGAATTTCCTACTGGGGCAAAGTGGTCTAGAGCCCTGGAACCCTGGCAGAGGCTCCCCTTTAGCTAAGGAGTTCTCTAAGGGCTTTTCCAAAGCTCTCAGTGACTTGGAGTGTTCTGGACATTGAGGCCCTCAGACCTTGGTTGGTTTGTTCCATTCTCTCCTTTCCCCAGGTGATTGCTGAGGCCTCCGGGAGCCAGGTAACAGGGAAGGCCACCTCCTGACCCCAGACTGGGCTTGCACCAAACGCTCTGGGTGGAGCCTCACACAATTGCACTCTCATTCCTTGGTCAGCTGCACTCATCAATTTGAAAGGGGAAGGCGGGGGCGGGGAGGGGTGGTCTCCAGGGCCAGGGCCCAGAGCAGGCATCCGTGGATCTGTGCAGGGGAGAGAGGCCTGCCTTGGCTCCAGGTCAGCACCCCGCAAGAGCCTGAGGGTTTTAGACTTGGTGATTCTTGGTAGATCTGTCTTCCTTCCTCCTAAGCAACCCCACCTTGGCAACATGAGTGCCAAAGGCTAACCTGGAAACTTCTCTGTATCCAAATGAGCTCGTCTATCGACGCTGAGGCTGGCAACTCAGGCACGTCCTGGGCTCAGGGCAGCTGTGAGTGCAGGCATGCCACACAGCAGGGAGAGACACATCTAGGCGGGTAAGGGGCAAGAAGAGACACAAAGACTTCTTTCTAGTGGAGAGCGAAAGAGAAAGGCGCCAAGCTCAGTGGATGCTGCATGACCACGAGACCTAGAGCTGGGGCTGTCTGAGCCTCGGAGAACAATGAGAAACTCCCCCCGTCCATCAGAGTGGAGACAAAGTTCTCTAGGGCAGCGTTAGCCCTGGAGGAGTTCAGAGAGCTGATCTCTTTTACCTCCATCCCCACCCCCATCTCAAGAAGGCAGGTGCTAGTCTCCCATTTTACAGATAGGAAGAGTGGACATGAAACCTTCAAAAGCGATGGAGTCAGGATTCCTGGTGGGTTGGCCACTCACTGCTCTGGACCCTTGGTGAGTCCCTTCCCCTGTCTGGCCTCCGCTTCCCCATCTGTAAAAGGGGGTGATTAGATTAGCGCATTTCAATGGGATTCTCAGTCTGCAGTGCCTCTAACTCTCTGGTGAGTGTCAGGTCCAAAGGTTTCCATCTGCAACCGGTCCGTTTTAGGGACTCAGCCTCGATGCTGGGAGAGACTTCTTACAGGATATTCTCCCTAGACCTTTGGGCTCAGTGATTTAAACTCGGTCTGAAGGTCCAGATCACACGTGGGGTTGACACGGCCCAAAGAGAG
This sequence comes from Homo sapiens, assembly GCF_000001405.40. NCBI lineage: Eukaryota > Metazoa > Chordata > Mammalia > Primates > Hominidae > Homo > Homo sapiens. The sequence goes on from NC_000014.9 coordinate 90,567,997, forward strand.
CCCCCGAGCCCTCAATGGGGAGTCTCTGGGACCAGCACCAAATGGTGGGAAAGCAATTCAGGCCCAAGATGACTTGGAAGCAGCAGGCCCAGTTGGCACAGAATGCCACATTCTGAGTGACAGCCATCCCCTCTGGCTGAGTTCAGAGGCAGGCGGTGTGGGGGATGGGGGTGGCTGAGGAATGAAAGGCAGCAGCAGGGCTAAAATCCAGGGAGGTGGGAAGTAAGGAGCGGGAATCGGGACCAGAATCTGAGAACACAGAACAACCCACAGAAGTGAAAACGAAAGGCCTGATTCAAGCTAGGGAGCAAAGCAGGAAGGAGGTGGAACCTCAATGTCAAATCACACTGAAATAACGGGGCAGAATTTCCAAGAATAAATGGTTCGGCTAGAGTATGTCAGATTTTAAATGATTTTAGATCATAATTACTAATGACAGACTGAACTGTACTGCCCGTAATTAGTCATCTAAGACTCCAAGACAGAAAACAGAAATAAACACAGCATTCATTTTTTCCTTAAGCTGAAGCAAAGGAATGCCTAGTGACAAAAGGCACCGCATGCTTGCATTTCAGAGCCTGCCCTGGGCCCATGAAGCTTCTGGGTCTGTGGCTTTAGTCCTCGGTGAGGACAGGGTGGCCTGGTGCCATGCCTCCCTGGCCAGCACTGAGAAAAATGCTGCAGTGGTAGGAGAAATCCAAGCACCAAGCAGAAAATGTCTGCAGAGACTATCCCTGTGCCAAATGATGTTGTTTTGAGCAGGAGGGTTGCTGGGGAGAGGTGGGCAAGTAACCAAACAGGAGTCATGTGGATGGACGGCAGAGGTTCTTATTCCCAGGGACATTCCTTTTACTCCAAGGAGGACACAGATGCTCAAGAAGGAGAAAATATTATAAGCTAAAAAAGTGCAGTTTCAAAAGGATGTGAGGAAATAGCTTACATCATAAGAAAACTTCCAGTTACCTGATTCTCACCTCACACCTGTTCCACCAGTACCTCCCCCCACTCAATCCTCTCCACTGGGTTTGCCCCTCTGATGGGATTTGACAGGCCCATCTTTAATTGGTTATTGCCATCGCTATCACCTGCAGCCTCAAAGACAAGGTGGCAGGCACTGCAAACCCAGTGAGACCCGCATGGTCTCCATATCTCCTCCCCAGAGGAGCCCGCCCTCCTTAAGGCAGTGGTGAAAGCCATGAAAAGGCCTCGGTGCTGTGGAAAGCAGGGGAGGCTGCTTTCATCTAGGTTTGGGGTAAGGGTGGAGGCAACAGAAGAAACTCCCTCTCCCCGGACCAGGATGGGAGGAAGATCCTGCCTTGTACCGACACTGTGATCACAATCTACAGAGGGAACCGCCATATGCAGGGCTGAGGCTGTGTCCCAAGTCACCATCCAGGGATGAGAGTGTGTCCCAACAGACGACTGGGGAGTGACTAATAGAAACTCCACTAGCTGAGAATTCATCTGACCTGAGGGAGGAGGGGCCTGATGTCTAGCCTAGAGGGCAAGCTCCTCTGTGGAGGAGGGCAAGAGAGCACAGGGGGTCTGGCCCAGGAAAAGTGCAAATCCTTATAAATCATCATTTTGGTTTCTGGTTGGGAACTCAGTCTGTCAAGAGTGTGATTAGTGTGAGTCTGTTTCTCAGAGGGGGATCTTGTCTGAGTGAACTGAGAGAACAGAAGGACCAGGCCTTGGAGTCCTGTGAAGCCAACAGACACCTGAGCCTAGACATGCCTGCACCTGGACACGCCTGCGCCTGGACATGCCTACACAGGGACATAACAGCCCTCAGGCAGGTGCCTGCCCCCTGAGCCTCTCTCAGCTGTGATTGCCCATGTGGACAGAGAGCAAGCAGCCAGGGACACACATGTGGCCAGGGGAGACTCTGCAGGCTCCAGCAGGGCACTGTTCCACAGTAGTCTCTGTCGAAGGATAGTGACGCCCATGCCTTCCAAATGGGATACAGAGTCTGACAAGGAAGAGTATGCCTGGGGTCAACAGGGCTGAGTGTATGAACTTGGGGGTGGTGGTGACTCCCTCCACCAAGGGCCCTCAAGCACAGGCTCTCCTCCAGCCTTTTCCCATGTTCAGGCCCGGAGTCAACACTGCAGATCAGCCTGGGGACCCGGCTGTACCCAGCACACTGAGTGAGAGCCCCACTTACAGCCTAGCAGGGCCTCCCTGAGGTCTGGCTTGTAATACACTGACATCCCACTGTGCTGGAGTGTTCCATTAATCAGCCTGACCAAGCCTCGTGATCTCATGTCAAATCACATGGCTGCATCATCCAATCCTGCCTCGAAGTCATTTCCCGCACTCATTTGGTCAGCAAAGGCTGTGCCAAGGCCAAGCCAGCAAACACTCAAAGCCTCTGCACCAAGGCAGGAGCCCTGGCTGGAGAGAAACAGCTGGTTCTGATGACCTCTGCTCAAAATCCAACACTTTCTATCTCCGCCTAGGAACAAATCACCCCAGGGGCCTCCACCAATGCACTCTCCCACCCTTTTCCACCTCAAAACCAGGGCCCTGGCTCTGCAGAAACAGGCAGCAAGTCACACTCAAAAGCGAAGCATCGTGCTCGCGGCCGACCACGCACCGAGATATATTCTCATTTCGGCTCCTCCAACCAGTGAAAGTCAGTCACGCTGGTGCAGAAAGGGAAGCTCCATGGGGCCAGGAGATGACTCACTCACTGTCAAACAGACGCAAAGGATCTCCCAGCCCAGGCGCGACCTGGATTACAGAGAATGACAGCGACACTCAGAGCTGATATTTGCGGAGTGTGAGGCACCCTGCTAACTCATTTAACCCGCACAGCAACACCACCGGGCACTGTTATTACTCCCATTTCACTGTCGAGAAAAATGGAAGCACAGAGAGATGAAGGGACTTATCTCGGGGTACGCAGTTAGTAAGCGACACAGCTGGGACTGGAACCCAGGCAGCTGGCGCCAGCACCGTGCTCCCGATCTTTCCACCGCCTGTCACTGAAGCTCTGGGTTCCTAAGGGACCACACCAACATACGATTTCACGACTTTCTTGTTCTGCTTCTGCTCCTAACTTACAGGTGACCTGGGGCAGGTGACCAACAGCAGGGTCCCCATCAGTAAACAAGAAAGTCCCCTCTCACTGTGTACTAGGAGAGCACACGCAGCAGACACGACATATGAGGCTTCAAAGTTCTTTGTAGAGAAAGGTAATCCTTAAGCCAAGTATCAATAATTGTTGAAAGGGCTTCACACAGCTATCGAAGAAGCTAAAACTATCAAGCAGCTATCGAAGAGTGTGTGTCACCAGACAGAAGACAGAGCAAAGATCGAAGATGAAGTGTCCAGTAGGAGGCATCCAGTAGGAGGCACTACTTTGTCCTCGGCACTGTGAGTTGGAACTGCAGTTATAGCGAGGAAAGGCAAGAGAGAAATGAGGGCCTGTGCACTTTTCAGGGTCCTCTCAACAAGCACATGGACGCATTGGAAGGCTGGGCACTAAATACTTCATAAGCCTTGCTCTAGAGGAAAAAAAAGTTATTCTCCTCAATTTGGAAAACATTTTTTAATTATGAAAGAAAGCAAAATACAATTAACAGATGAAAAGGCCTTCTCACTGGACTATCATGAAGTTTTGTTTCCTGCCAGTCATTCTTTCTATGTATGGAAAGAAAACTGATACTTCGGATGAAAGAGATCCACGTCTAAAGATGGCCATTTGAAAGCGGGAAGGGTATTTCAAGTCTATTTCATCAGCTTAATTGGGCCTGGGCCTTATCCAGAGGAACAGAAGGGTTCAAAAGATGTCTTCTGAAGACGTTTCTCCAAGGGAAAACTGCAGATGTGCCAATGCGTGAGCCTGTCCTGCCTGTCTGGATCCTGGGTAGCCCTCACTAGGCTGATGGATAAACTGGACAGACACACAGACACCGAGTGCCAGTTTCTGGAGGAGCCCCCTGGGAAGTTCATCATCTTCATGCTGAATCTCTCCTCCCACAGGGACACAAACTGGAAAACATGGTGCCAACTAAGAAAATAGGAGACAGCAATTTTTCCCAAATCTCAATGAACAGATGGACAATTTAAGAGACGAGAGAGAGAGAAAAACACCAGTGTTTTATAATTTAGCAATGCCAGGCAAGCCGAAGCTCACCTTTTTCCCTCGATTCCAGCCCTCTCTGCCATACTTCCAGCTCATCACGCATAATGGGATGAGATGTTTTCACACAGCAAACAAGCATGTAAACTGGAAGACAGTTTAAAGAAAGCTCCGACTTCAGGCCCCTCTTTGAACTTCAGAAGAGCCACCTTCTCAGAGTGGTGTCGTTAGTCAGCAGTGTCGTTAGTCAGCCTTTGGAGCTGTTAAAACAACTGAAAATGTAGTCATAATCCATAAGACATATCCACTGCACCTCACATCGTGGGGCCATCTCCCAAACCTACCATCAATCTGCCGCACCTTCGGGTATTTCATAAGAAAATGCATTTTTCAAACAGCTCGGCCAATCTCTGCAAGTCTTCTGCTACTAATGTAGTCCCTTGAAATAGAACGGCAGAGCCAGTCCTCAAGTTTTTATATTTGATGTTATTCCAGATTTCTGATGTTTCAGAGAACAGAAGATCATAGAGGAACTCCTCAAAGACAGCCTGTGTATGAAACCTTTAGCCTGCAGCCATCTTGATTGAACTAAGAGGTTTTCTTGTCTCACAATCCGTCCACAGAAGACAAAAGAGCACTTTTGGGCCCACCATGCCCGGAACAAAAAGCTTATTCTATTATTAGATTGACCCCTTATGGTAACCTGAAAAATGTGTTTTTCCACCAAGCAGCGCTCCTGATCCAAGCTCCCTGCCAAATGCTTCCCATGCTCCACTCCACTCCCAACCCACCACACCTAAGACCCCTCCAGATGAGGCACATGGCCCCCAGCGTACTCTTTGGGCCAACTGCCTCAGCCCAACCCCTAGCCACCGCCCGTCTCTCCTCCCCATCACTTTCCCCTTCTCCTTGGTGAGCTTCACCAGTGGTCTTTTATCACTACTTCCTTGGGGCGGGGGTTGGGGGGCAGTGCGTGAAACACAGCCCCTCTGCCATCTTCTCACAAAGGGCTGATGGCTTTCTGTCCCTTTCCAGGCCCTCAGCCTTGCCTTGGAAACTTCATTTAAGGGGATGGCCCCTTCATGCTTTTAATCTAGATTTCGTCACTTCTCAGCATTGGCTGTGAAATATAATGGCCTCCGTCCTAGCCTTGGGGAATGCTCATCCTGCAGGTGGACGCAGCAGTTCTCCTCCTTCCCCACTGCAGGGTGGGGGCTCCATCTCACTGCTGTCCCGATGCTCTTTCCATGGTTCTCAGTGCATGGTCCCTCTCCGGCTCACGGTCCCTCTCAGCTCACGGTCCCTCTCCGGCTCACAGGCCCTCTCCGGCTCACGGTCCCTCTCCGGCTCACGGTCCCTCTCAGCTCACGGTCCCTCTCCGGCTCACAGGCCCTCTCCGCCTCACGGTCCCTCTCAGCTCACGGTCCCTCTCCGGCTCACGGTCTCTCTCAGCTCACGGTCCCTCTCCGGCTCACGGTCCCTCTCCGGCTCACGGTCCCTCTCCGGCTCACGGTCCCTCTCAGCTCACGGTCCCTCTCTGGCTCATGGTCCCTTTCGGGCTCATGGTCCCTCTCTGGCTCACGGTCCCTCTCGGCCCACAGGCCTCTTCAAAGCGGCCTCACCCCACTTCACTCCACTTGCTGTCCACTCCGCCAAGCCCTGGCTGACCCCTGCCATCTGCTTCTGCTTCACACCTTTTCTCAACCTGTCAAAGGGACTGGAGGCGGACCCGAGCCTCCTGCTAATATTCTCCAGCACACATTTGTTCCCTAGCAATACTTCCCATCCTGGCCTTATCAGCTCCCCTCCACGCAACCTTCTTGGCTCCCTTCCATGTTCTTCTCTCTCCTGAAAGCCCTTGTTCCCTTCTTACTTTCCAACCTCACACTTGCCCTCAAAAGCCCAGGCTGACGTTATCAGAGGGCAACCAGATGTCAGTGTTTGCACAGCCTGTCCCTGTCCTGGTGATTTTGTCCTTGGCCTGGGAATGACTGTCCAGGGATGCTGGTTCTCTGCTCCTCTGTCCACCATGAGCCATGCTTCTCTCCTCTCCCCACCCCAGAACATGGAATAACTGCTTTGGAAAAAGTTGCTCTATGTTTCTTTAATTCATTTTGCATACTGGGAGCTAAAGGCTTTTTAACATAGCACACGAATAAATGTAAATTTATACACTTATGCAAAAATAATACAAAAATATGCCTTTAGATTTTCTGGAAAAAGTCTGGTCAGTCTATGAATTCCTCCCCTTGTCAACAACATTACTTGGCAACTCCTTATCCCTCTAGCATGCTGCTCCCGTAATACCTGCCCATCCTCAGCAATCTCTGCCTCCCTTGTCTTGTGCTAACTCATTATTGCTAATAAACACATGATTTCTCTGCTCCCTTCTCACTACACATGAATTTAGACACATACATGAAGGCTAAAGCTATTAGAAGATCGTCCGTTTCCTCTGGGGTTGAATTTACATTTCTCTTGTCAAGTCTGACCTCTGATTTACTGTTCATGAATACTAAAGTCACTCTTGCTTTTTAACAATACTAACAGGTTTGCATTTCTGCTTAAGCCATAGCCCTCCTGCAAGCTGCTGATCTGGCACCTGCTGCCACTTACAACTCCTGGCATAACTGTTCTCTGCCGTCACATCAGCCACCTGACCACCACCTGTGACACAGACAATGAGGCTTCCTTCTCCCTAACAGCCCCCACTGACTGCTTGTCCCCTGGCTCCTTGCCTTCCTCTCTGAGCATCAGGGCTGCTGCAAGCACACTTTCTACCCTCTCCCATGATCCACGACCTGTCTCCCAGTTGGCTCCTTCCCTTGGAGCCTCCGTAGTTGGCTCTTTGATGCTCCCTAGGGCTCTGTTCTTTAAACTCCTTCTAGTCTTGACCTTCTGACCCTGGCCTCCCTGGCCTCCCCCTCGCCGCTCTCCCTGTGTGCCAGGCAACTGTCAACGCTCAGCTCTGTTTCCGCCACTCTCCGCCACACAGGTCGGGGCCCTGCCTCCTCCCTGGGGCTTGACCTGGTAAGACAGCCTCTCATCTCCCTGCTGACACCTTCCTCTTAACTCAGGGGCTTGCAAACCAATCCACCTTCCGTGAGGGTAGAGACAGAACCTTTTGTGACTTAGCAAGAGATGTCAGTTCTTGGGTTTAATCTGTCTGCATGTTGTATTGGCGCGGTTATCCTCATTTATATAGCTGAGGAAAATGAGGCACCAAGAGGGTGAATAACCTGTCCAAGGCCCCACAGCGAATGGGGCCAGAGCTGTGATTCTAACCCAGGCCAGCCTGGCTCCAGGGCCTCCTCCTGGGCCTCTAGGGTATACGTGAAGACCCCCTTCCTCCCTTCCTCCATCGAAGGGCACAGAAACACAGCTTCCCTGTGTAGCTTGTAGGGAAGAGGACAGAGAGGGAGTGTGATGTCTCAGGGCTGAAGAGCCTGTGGGGTCCATGGGCTGCCCCTCCACAGGCACCAGAGGGTCCTGCAGCACCAGTGGGAGGGGGGCCTGCCCTTGGCTGCATGGGGCTCCCCCTGGCTGTGGGCTGGGCTCCTGGGGACAGGCTGGGGAGAACACAGGCCAGGTGCATCATTTAGAAAATCACCAAGAAGGCGTGCTCAAGCTACCTTCGGGAGCCACACTGATCAGTCACTGGGCAAAGTTTCTGACTGCGAGACTCTAAACTCCTCAAATCTGTAGTCTCGCTCTTCTCATCCTGCCTCCAATCTGGATGGTTTTTCAATATCTCAGGATCCACGGAGAGAGGTTTTAATAGTTTATTATGATGACCCCTCTCTACTGGCAAGATCTCCAAAGCAGCTCATGTCTCTGAGCCTAGTAAGGCTCAGTCATTGCCGATGGACCCAGCAGGCGGGGCTCACCATGGCCCTAGTCTCACTCACCAGCTCCCTCGTGCTGGGTCAACTGCTTGCTCCTTTCAGAAAGGAAAGTGCCTGGCATGTGTCAGGCATCTCAGGTGTCTTGAAAAGCTCCAAAGGTGAAACAGAAAACTCTCCCGGTGCGATTTTCCTATTTGATCTTTTGTCTCATGTGTTCCCCTTGGGGATGAACAAGAAATACTTCCCTGAATAATTCATAGTCCCCGAGATGGAAACATGCAGCCTCTTTTTAATAAAAAGGCTGGGACATGGCGGGGATTGTACGTCTTCTAGATGCTCTCAGCAAAAGCACAGAGATCTGACAAGCTCTTTACAAATTCCTCTTCTAATAGTGAGAAAAAAATTAAAAGCCATGTAGTATTTTTAATCAAACAGACTAACATTTGGATAATATGTAAAATTATTTATAAATCTGTTTGGGGCCACAGAAGACTCACAAAGGGAAGTTGGAAAAAATTAAGTAGCTGTAATTATGGTAAGGTTTGATTTCTTTTTAAAACTGAAAATGACTGTCTTCAGTTTCCTATTTCATGAGCACCTACTAGGTGCCAGGAACTCTGCTAAGATTATTATGTAAATCATTTCATTCTTTCTCACAACATCCCACTGGGGTAGGAGCCCAATTCACCTAAACACAACAAGGTGCCTAAAGGTTAAGTGACAAGTCCGAGCTTCCCCAGGAGTCAGGACCAGGGCTTAGTTCGAGTGCAGATGTAACTTGTAAGCAGACACTCTTTCCATGGGGCCTAATTCCCAGTGCATCAGCATTCTTCTGCTGGAAACCAGCAGTTAGTGCCCAGCCCCTTTCTACATTTTGCAACATTACTATGAGAAATGGCAAGATAATGAAGGCTTTGGGATGCTTTGGGGAACATTTTACTTATTAGTTACAAAACCACATCCTATTAGTCTTGGACAGACACAGCCTGTCTAGTCAAATGCCTTCATTTTGCAGAAAGGACACTGAGGTGCTGAGAGCTTAGGGGCCTTTCCTGAGGTTAAAGAGCAAGCAGCTGATGTCGCTGGGACCAGAACTGTGTCCTCAGACTCCCTGTCCAGTGCTCACTCTTCCATATCACACACCACCATCTGGTTATGGGTGCTAAGCCTCCACGGGTGCGGACACGAAGGGCCCTGAGCTTTATAATAAAAGGCTCTTCTTTCCTGCGGTTCATGACATCAGCGATGTCTACTGCTAAAAATGAAACAACAATTCAGAACCAAAGCCCAGCATGCAGGCCCAGGGAACGTGGCACGGCTTTTCACAAGCTCCTCAGACCCTGGTAACTTGTGAGTTTCAATTCAGACCCTCGCAGGAAGATGACAGAGGACTGCCGAGGCAGCTGCACTAACACACGTTCATAACGGACAGAACCCTCCTGAGCGAGCAGTGTCCCCACCTAACTGAAACCGACACGGCCAGGTGGCCGGCTCCAGGGTCTCTCAAGAATGATCCATGGCAAGGGGTGGGAGCAGCAGGGCAACCCCAGGCTTTTGGCCCAGGCTGTAGACGAAGGATGTGCACTCGTTGAGCGCCGCCACACCCCTGTGCAGTGTGGACACTAGGGTGACTCATCTGCCTCCCACCTCTCAGGGCAACATGGCCAGACACCCCCGCTGGTAGGATGCTCCCTCCCAGCCAATGGCCTCAGAGACATGCTGGAGTCTCAGGCTCCCTTAAGGCAAGAGAGTCTCCCAGTTTGTAAAGTGTTCTGACTGTCATCCTGAAGTCTCCCCGGGATGTGGAAACCCCCGAAGGTGGCTACTGCAAGCAGCACAGAGGCTGAGATGACAGTGACAATGCCCCACGGCCACAAGAATGTCTTTATCAAACCCAGAGCCACAGGGTGGCTTAGACTGCTGGCCAGGAGACCACAGCACCTAACAGGATGTCGGGTAGGGCTGCTGAGGCTATACACAGCCAACTCTGGGGGTGCCATTTGCATAAACTATGGTAGAAACGGTGCCCTCTGGCTTCAGGCCATGTGACAGCCTGGCAAGCTAACTGCATGGGGCCTTTGGAAGCAGAAGAGGGTGTGAGGGTCATGTGCTACCTGCCGCTTCCAAGGGCTGTCCCCATGCCAGAGTAGGGGCCACCGCCGGGCTCGTGGACTCACCAGTCGCTGCATGCTCTTCACGTGGGTGGGGCTGATGGCTAAGGCCTCTTCATACCACCGCCGCGCCTCGTCCATGCTTCCCCGGAGCTCAGCAATCTGGCCGCGCATGTAGAGGACATTGTGGGACATTGGGAAGAGGTTGGCAGCTTCTTGGGTACAGGCTGTGGCTTCTGCAGGCTTCCCGATGCCGATATAGACTTCAGCTGTGAGGAGACAGCAACGGCACATGCTTTCCTGGTGCCCCTCTGAGGCCCTGCGAGCAGCCACCACTCTGATGTTCGTGTTCCCTGCACGGGAGTCTGGCGGGGCGCAGAGCCAGCTGATCCCTGCTCCAAGTGGAAACAGCTGCCGCTGACAGTCCCTCCTGCCCACTCCTATATGGGGACTGGAGTCACTCGTGTTGTGGGCCTTGCAGGGCAGGCATAGGTCACCACCAGGCAGGGAGCAGTGAGGCCTGCCTGGTCCCTGCCCCAACCTCTGAGGGCACCCACCCTCAGGGCCCACCCGGGGCTCCTCAGTGTCTGGACAGAGGCTGGCCCGGTCCAACCCTTGGCTCTGACCCCCATAGAAAAAGGGCCAGAATGAACAAGGGCACAAGCAGACCAGAGGCACCCAGACCCTCAGAGGGCAACGGCTCTGCCCTCTGACCCACTCTCCTGATGCCAAGAAGTATGATGGGGCTGCAGGCTGCAGCTATCATGTTCACAGGCGTGATGCAAGATGGCTGCCCCGCCACACCTGGCCCCTGAGCTCACCTCTGACCAGGGGAAGTTGATGCACCCTGTAAACTCTTATCTGTGTCACAGTGACAAAGCCCTTTGACAAGCCAAGCTATCGCTTTTAAAACAAGCAGGAAAATGACCCTGCTACCGATCCAGGCCTCAACTCTCTCACCTCCATGTGGAGCCAAACCCCTCTGCAGCCCTGGCCTCCCTGAAGAGCCCTTTTGAGTGTTTCCAAGGGCGGCCTCCCTGCCTCCCAGGTGCACACTTGTCGAATATCCAGGGGGAACGTGTCAACTGGCCCCGAGGGCCTCTTCTCCTGAGGCCTTGCCAATTGAGGCACCACCATCTTTCTAGTCAGCTGGGCCTGAGGCTTCAGGGACATCTGAATCACCCCCCACCCCTCTCCAGGGCCAGCAGGGCCACATGGTCAAGTCTGCAGCCCAGAGCCTCACGCAGAGGCCGCCCGCTCTGTCGGGGCTCATGGACCCCTTCTCCCACCTGCAGGCCAGACCCTTCCTCAGCACTCTTGCCTTGACCACTGGCGTATCCTGCAGTAAAAGAGGTTTGCACCCCTATCTCCCAGTTATGTGTATGTTTGTATGAATTAATATCTTACATGTCATATGATCCACAACAGCACACAAAATAGAAAGTTAAAAGAACAAAAATAAAAAAAGAAAGTTTAGGCAAGTTGCGGTGGCTTGTGCCTGTAATCCTAGTACTTTGGGAGGCCGAGGCGGGCGGATAGCTTGAGGTCAGGAGTTCGAAACCAGCCTGGCCAACATGGGGAAACCCCGTCTCTACCAAAAATACAAAAAATTAGCCGGGCGTGGTGTTGCACACCTGTAATCCCAACTACTAGGGAGGCTGAGGCAAGAGAATCACTTGAACCTGGGAGGTGGAGGTTGCAGTGAGCCAAGATCATGCCAGCCTGGGTGACAGAGTGAGACTCCGTCTGAAAAACAAAACAAAACAAAAAACACCAAACAACAACAACAACGAAAAAAACAAGAAAGTTTTACTATTTTCTTTGTGCACCTTACCCTGTCATCCCCTGGAGCCCACTTTGGAAACTGCCTCAATTATGCAGAGACTCCCCTCCCTGCCTCCTGCCCTGGCCATGAGCCTGTCCTCCACAGCTGCTGCCAGGTTAACCCTGAGGCCAACCTCTGGGGCGGCAGCCACCTGCTCCGAAGCCCTCCTTCTTCCCTGGGGCCTGTGGCTTCCGCGCCTGCCCAACAGGCAGCCAGGCCGAGGCCCTGTGCTCTGATTTTCTGCACCCACCGGAATATGGGCTGTAAGCGACATGAGGGCAGGGATGGTGTCTGTGCTGCTCCCTGCTGCGTCCCCAGGGACTAGAACAGTGCCTGGCACATAGTCAGAGCTCACTGAATCGCTGAATGGATGAAAGGTAACTAACAACAGCAGTAGCTGACACTTATTAAACATGTGCTTTGTACCTAGAGGCCTTCTCAGTTCTCATTTTATCTACATGGTGATCCAGTAGGTACTATTATTTTATCCCCATTGTCCAAATGAGGAAACTGAGGTGCAGAAAGCGTGAACACCCTGCCCAAGTTCTCAGGGCAAACTGGAGGCAGAGCTGGGATTAGAACCCCAGCCACCTGGCTGGGAGCCTGTGCTTGCAGCCCCCACAGAGAACAGCATCTCCTCTGGCCCAGGGTGATATCCGACTCCTCTGCAGCCCTCGGGAGCTTGGCACACTGCCCTTATCTGCTTCCTACCGCCTCCCGGAACCCCCGGGCTCTGGCCTTGCTAGTGCTGCTTCTGCACACACAGTGGGTGTCCCTGTCTCCACACTTGTGTCAATTCTATGGCCTGTGCCTGTAAAGCCATCACTGCAGCCTCCTTCAGGGCCCAGATGGATCCCGCCATCCCAGGGAGCTCTCTGACCACCCGCCTCAGCTGAAAGGAAAGCCCAGCCTCTGCAGCTCCTGATAGCCAGGTCCCTGTAAGTATTTTTGTGAGGTCTTGGGTATGCCAGGGATAGCCCTGGCAGGCGCTGGGGCAGATCCATCTTTCTGGCTCCCAGCTTCAGGCCTGGGGGCGGGGAAATGGCTGGTGTGTATCTCATGGCTGTGGTTAGTGGCGATGCTGCTGACCTTTGACCTCAATCAGCCTGGCCGGTCCCTCCCTCGAACATCTCACTTTCCTGGTGATATTTGTACCAACGACTGACTCCCCAGGCCTTCTCTCCCCAAGAGAAGGCCCTGGAAGAAGCGGGCCTCGCCTGGCCCAGATGCACACAGTGCCTTCTGTCTGTACTTGTGCCTGCCAGTCCCTCCTCGCTAGAGATAACGGGGCCCAGGGGCTTGTGGAGGGGCATACTGGGTGACTCCTGCAGACACAGAAACTCGAGCAATTCCAGCACCATGCACTGAGCCCTGAAGGTGACCGCCCAGCCATGCCTGCCTCCTGGTCTCAGAAGACTCAACTCAGAAGGTAACTCCTGAACTTCTATACTCACAGGGGACTCTATAGGGACAAAGAAGACATTTCTCTGTCCTTTAGTTTGGACCAGGCAAAACCTCTCCCTTCTGGGAGACAAACACCCTCCTAATGACACCATCGGGCTGTCTGATGCCTTTCAGTAACACAATTCCCTCAACGCCCTCACCAAAGAGTCAAATGTGTGCCCACTGAGGTTTTGGTTCTCGAGTGCAGTGGCAACACAGGGGAGCAGGACAGAGCGTCCCTCTCATTGCACGCCTGGCTCCTGCCTCACTGCCAAGCTGGGAGTGAGTTCACTTCCAAGATCCCAGTCCTGGAGATGCTGTGGGCTGGTGAGGCCGCCCAGCCTCTCCCAGTTAGAGCATTATGAACAAAGGCTGACATAGGAGAGCAGGGATGAACATGTCCAGAACAAGAATCAATGTGGAGAAAGCCATAAATGCCAATAAGACTGTGTGCATGTCATTCCTGCTCTCCAGGGGTCCTCCATGAGACCAAATGTGATTCCAAGTATCTCACTGGTCGCCAAGCCTGCCTAAGCCTCAGGCCTGATGTTCTCGCTCCCTTCACGTGATGGGGAAATGGGAGACACAGACGGAACGAAGTCAGGATCATGACGGTAAGGGAAAGAATCCAGCCCCCATGGCACTTTTCAGTGCTGTGGAAGTTGCTGGAGGAAACCTATGGCTCTGATAAGGCCTGTGACCCTGACAGATGTGACAGCAAAATGCACGGCCTAGGGTTACTCCCAAATCCCTCCGTTTTCAGCTCAAAAGGAAAGACTGAAGGCATGATGTCCTGCAGTGATTTTCAAACCATTTTTGCCAGTGAAGGCTGTTTCTTCCAAAGGGATCTTACCCCAGGATACAAAAGACTCCTGAGAGTGGGCAGTGTGGCTCCCTCTTGTTTGCCCCCCTCTCTCTGCCTCTGAGGCGCCACTGGGAACACTAGGGTTTCCAATTTGCAAGCCACAGTGTCATGAGAACATGGAGAACTTGGTTCTTGGCCCTGCGCCTCATGTGTGGCCTTGGGCAAGTCAATCACCTTCTCTGGGCCTGTCCACCTGTCAGGTGGGGGGCCTGTGCCTAGCCCATAGCTCTCCCAGGGCAGTGGCAGGCATCAGACAACACAGGAGTGGCAGGGATCAAGACAAGGCCGTGCCAAGGGATCAACCCTAGGCTGAGCATTTTCCTGCCACATCCATCAGGAGCACAGGCCTTATACCAGTGCCACAGGTTTCCTCCAGCAACTTCCATTCACCAGAAAGCCTGGAGCCCAAAGCGAGTCACAAATGGTGAGGGTAAGTAACTCTCAGTCAAGCCTAAGCTCTCTTGGAGACCGCAGGGTGAGGAAGCTGAGGTGCAAAGAGACAACTGGACTCATTTGAGCCCCGCAGCTCTATTTTGCCAGGTCAGAGTATTTGGGGGATCCAGGTCTAGCCTTTCCATTTCACCATGGCCCCTTAAGACAATGACTCTGAATAGCCATTCCCTCTCTAAGAGGAAATTACACTTGCATGGGGCACAACGTCTTAGGCTCCAGGAATGAAGCTTTAGTGGTGGGGTTTCAGACACCAATCAGGTAGTTTGAGATGGAGTTGGAGATAAAAAGGAAAGGATTTCTAAGGTCTCCCACCACCCGTGAGATCACCCCAGGATGTAGCCTTCTTTGCCTAGGCATGTGGCTGGGCCTCTAGGACAGAACGAGGCCACAAGTATTGATTATGAACCTGCACTACTTGAAAAGCCTTCTTTCCTGGGAGTCCATAGCCCAAATAAGGACCACATATTCCACCCAACCTCCCCAGTAGCAGAGGTGGGGATTTGATCTCCATCTGCCTCCCTCATCTTCACTGGTTGGGAACTCAGGAAGAAAAGAATATCATTTATACTTTCCCAAAGCCCCTCACATAGAAACAGTATGGCTTTCTCGCTAAACTGTAGACAACTCCTAGCCACAGTCATTTCTGTATCCCTCAGCAGAGGATCTACAGGCTGGTCCCCTAGGACACAACTTAGTAGGTGCTCAAGAAAAGTCTGCAGATTACTGAATGCTGGGTGTGGGTCAGAGCAGGGCAGCCATTTCTGTGGCACAGATCAACAAGGACAGGTGAAGGCCAGGGAAGCAACAGCAAATGAAATCTCCCTTTCCTTTCACCAAGGAGTGAATTCAATTTAAAAAAATAAAGGGCCTTGTAAGCTTATTAAGAGATACAAGAACTGGTACCAAAGGAACAGCAGCACAGTGAAATGGGCTCTGGGAACTCAACGCCATCAGCTGCCAACAAGAACACACTTCAGCGCAAGGTCAGTGCTCCAGCTGCAGGGCAGGGTCTGGAAGGTCACTCTCTGAAGAGGTTCCAGGGACAGATATTCTGTCCTGGCCGCTGGTGGCTGACTGCCTCTCACCAAAGGCAAGGGGCGTGGATACTTCCTACCTTATTTTGAGAGCTCCATAAGCTCTGAATGTTCTCTTAGGAACCCTTGGTTTGTCCCTGCTATTGGGTTACTATGAAAAATGTGGATAAAATCTCCCCACCGTGTACAAAGCTTATTTGGCATGAACATAACCCAAATGCTTTTGCTTGGCATTTAAAATTCAAAATCAGGGCCCTGCCGCCTTTCCAACCTCCTCTTTTGCCTCAAATGCCTTTCAGCTTCACTCTGCCCAGGACCCCCCAGAAACCCAGGGCAAGCACTTTTCACCTTTCCATTCTTCCTCCACCCTGCGTGTGCTCTGGGACACCCCTCGACCTCATCTGCCCTGTCACAGTGAGCCGCAAGTGTGCCAACCCTCCTGCAGGGCTGGGTCAAGCCTGTTCCTTCCTCGCACCCTAACTCTGCCTTGCGCACAGAGGGCTTCCTGGAATGGTTTGTTGAACCAGACTGGAGACGTGATCCTAAAAGGGCAAGCTACTCTGTGAAGGTTTCTCTCTCAAGGTGAAGTGGTGTTCCTGGCTGGGGGACCTGGTGCTAGATGCACCCAGAACCTCACGCAGGTCTAGTTTCCTCGTTCATTCATTCATTCATTCATCAAATGCTTGTCAAGCCCCTGCTTCATGTCAGCTGCAAGGGGCTTGCCCTGGGCTTGGCTGTGCGGGGTGTGCACAGGCACTGGGCTGAGGAGGCTGACAACCAGCCTGGGCCCCACTGCAGGCTGTGTGCCTGGACAGGGCTGCACCAGCCTGGAGGAATGCAAGGAAGCCCTTTCCTTCTCACAAAGTTGTCCTCCACTAGCCAAGGCTGCTCTCTCTGGGGGCTTAGTCTATTCAGAAGGGACATCTTTCGGAAACGCACACAAAGGAGCAGTCTAGGCTGGAGGCAGCCCTCAGAACGGCCCCGAGATCTTCTACCTCACCTGCGCCTGGCAGAGAAACGTGACGGAAAGGACGCATGGCAGTAGGTACCTCCCGACCTCGCAGCTCAAGCCGGCAGCCTCCCTGACCCCTCCAAACCATGTCCTTTACCCCTGACCCTGCCTCCCTAAAGAGAGATGCTGTGGAGGGCAGAGGGGTCCCACCTGATCGCAGGGTGTCTGCTAGCACAGAGGGTGCTCCTGGAGCCCACCTTCTTTTTCACATAAAAATCAGCACAAGGGCCAAGCAGAAAGGGATCCTGTGTCCTGATGGGTCTCCTGTCACCCTTCCAAGCCCTCAAGGCCTAGAGAGGCCTTCAGCTCTGTCGGCTCTCACTGGACTTAGCCTTAATTCTTTCTTTGTCTGAGAAGGGTTAGCAAGTGGAAGGAGGCAGTGATTTTGTCTTCAAGTGCCGTCCTACCCTGAGCTTCCCTCGGCCAGGCCCCATGCTGGGATCTGAAGTCCCCAAATTGAGCACAGCCCAGGCTCTGGCCTCATTGAAGGCCCAGCCAAATGTCTTTGCCAGGGTCGGGCTGTGCAACTGCCATTAGTCTCTGAGTCTGCATCTGGCTGTGTCAGTTTGTCGAGAGGGATCCCTTCTCCAGGGGCTCCGTGGCACAGCAGGATGAGCTCCTCCTCCCCTAGCTGCAGCAGTGACAGGCGCTAGCCCTTCCTGGCCTCAGCCCCGCTGTTCTGACTCCTGACCCATCCCCTCCGCTGCCTTGACACATCATTCAGAGAGAAGTCAGAAGCCAGCCAAGTGGACCCCGAGCCTCTTCTGGCCACCAAACCAACAACTCATCTGTGTCCTCTGTTCCATCCACTCTGTGTCTCTTCTGACTTCGTCACTGAGAGCCCTCTGCCTGTGCCCTGGACCCCACCACACTCTTGCTGGAGGAATTCATTTCACCTCCACACATCCCCCCTCTCTTTTGGATGCCGAGGGCCTCATTTTTACCTGATCATCCCTGTGGGCAATCAACGTGCTCCAATGGGCTTCAGCCTCCTCAGTCCCTACGCAGCTCCGCACATCCAATCAACATGCTCCAACGGGTTTCAGCCCCCTTCAAGCCCCAGGCTCCCAATCACATCCCTCATTGCTGCTCCAGAGGGATTCTTCTTGCAAGAACTGTGCACCTTCTGTGCCTTAACTTCCTCACTTGCCATTTGCTCTGCAACCCACACCAGATGGCATCCATCTCCACCACGCCACTAAATCCAGTCTCGTTACCAACACTCCCATACATCAGGTCCAGCAAATGCTTTTGTCGCTACATTCCCAACCTCTCAGCGGCACTGCCCACCGGCCACATCCTCCTTAAAAATCGTTATTTTAGTAGTTGTTATGTGTTTGCTGTTATGTGGTTGTCCTAACTCTCTTCATTTAATAGAAGACATAGAGGCTCAGTGGGAGTGGGAATAGCTTGCCCAGGTATTACTGCTAGTGTGTGGCGGGGCCAGGGTTGTAACTGATGAGCCAGACCCAGGTTCTCGCCTTCACCGCATGGGCTCCTTCCTGCCCCCCTGGCTGCCGCGATGCCGTCTGCGCTGCTTTCCTCCCGCCTTGCCGACCACTCCCCTTCAGATGCTGTGGCTCTTCCTCTGCTCCTCAATCTTTTTTTCTTTTTTCAAGGTGGAGTTTCGCTCTTGTTGCTCAGGCTGGAGTGCAGTGGTGCGATCTCGGCTCATTGCAATCTCCACCTCCCAGGTTCAAGCGATTCTCCTGCCTCAGCCTCCCGAGTAGCTGGGATTACAGGTGCCTGCCACCACACCTGGCTACTTTTGTATTTTTAGTAGAGACGGGGTTTCACCATGTTGGCCAGGCTGGTCTTGAACTCCTGACCTCAGGTGATTGACCCGCCTCAGCCTTCCAAACTGCTGGGATTACAGGCATGAGCCACTGCACCCGGCTGTTCCCCAAGCTTTAAATGTGGAGGGGCTCAGTCTCAGTCTGGCCCTTTCACTTCTCCACCTACATTCTCTTCTTAGGCCGTCTTAGCACCTATCTTAGGCCTTTAAAGGGGGCTTTAAATCCCAACTCTTAAAGGTATGTTTCCAGCCCAGTTCTGAAATGTAGACCGGAACATCCAGCCGCCTGCCTGGCATCCTGACTTCCTTGTCCTCAGGCACCCGACACTTCCAAGCTCAAGTGGGACTCTGAAGTCTCTGCCTCCCTGACTCCAACTCATCAGTTCTTCCCCAGGCTTCCTCATTGCAGCAAATGGTGTCACCAGTCACCCACAGACTCAAGCCCCACACTCAGGTTTCCTTCTGTATTCCTCCTTTTCCTTCACCCCTCAACATCCAACCTACAACAAGTCCCATCAGTTCTGCCTCAGAAGGCATCTCAGGGTCCCCTCCTCTTCATCTCCATTGAGACCACAGACCAAGCTGCTGTCCTCTACCACCTGGACCAATGCTCCCAATTTCCTGCTCTGCCGGCGTCCACTTTGACTGCCTTCCATCCATTCTCCACATTTAGCTGGAGTGATTTTTTTTCCGGAGAGGGGTCTTGCTATGTTGCCCAGGCCGGACTCAGGCAATCCTCCCACCTCAGCCTCCTGAGTAGTGCCCAGCTTGGAGTGATCTTTTGAAAGTGGTCCTTTCATGCTCCTGCTTCAAGTCCCTCAGTAGCTTTCCAATGATTTTAGGATTAACTAAAATATCTTAACATGGCTGCCAGGGGTGCTGGCATGACTTGAGCCTGGGCCCTTCTCCTGGCTCCCCTTGGCTGCTTTACTGCTTACTCCTCAGGGTTCATGCCCCAGGGGCCAGTATTCCTCTAACACTCAGAGCTCAGGCTGCCCCCAGGTCTTCCCACATGCTGTTCTATGCCTCCATCGTCCCTGACCTGGTGCTAGTCACTGCTGAGGTCACTGCCCAAGTGTGTGCAGGCCCCCTCTGGCTCCCCTGGTTGGGGGAGGCCTTGTGTTATGAGGGGTCGCAGGGGCCTACAGTGCTCCCCCCAGCACTTGGCACAGGGAGTTAAGTGCTTCTGTCATTGTTCTGTTCCACATCTGCAAATGCCATGAAGGCCAGGAGCTGTGTCTGTCTTCATAACCATAGGACTCCAGTGCCTCGCTCCACTGTGGCAGGTGGAGATGCTGGACGATACTGTGTTGACAACTGAGTGCCTACTGTGGGTTGGAGCTAGGGTTCTGGGGCCACACTGCTTGGGTTTAGATTGTGGCTTTCTAACTCTTTAGCCACGTAACCTTCGGCAAGTGACCTGATAGCTGTGTCTCAGTTTCTTCACCTATGGAATGGGGTGAATACGGGTATTTATACCTCATAAGGTTATTATGAGGACTGAACAAATTAAGACATATTAAAGTCCTTGGAATAGCATCTGACACATCTACAGTGTGTGGTAAACGTTAGCTGGACGGGCTTGACCCTCAGGGACGTCGTGTTCCCTCTCACAGGCGCTCCCTGTACAGTGACTGCACACACCACCTGTCTGGGAACTGTCTTCATCTCGTCACGAATGGGGCAAGGCTACGGGATTACCCCTTGACCCTGCTGATGCAACCTCTGGTGCCTGGGAGGAGTCTGGGCAAAGGCGCCAGGCCAGGCCAGGCCAGGCCAGGGCCAAGGAATTTGTGAGAGTATTACAGCCTTAAATTTCCAGCAGAAATCAGAAAATCTGATCTTGCATATCTAAGAATAGCCGCTGGTTTCAACCATGAGAGGTGCCAAAGTGAAAGCTGTAATTATTAGTAAGTAACAAGCAGAAATTAACCACCTACCGCAAAGTCATTTTTAGCTGCCATCCCAAGGTGGAAATTGAAAAATGGGCACCAAGAAGCTGTTTGGTTTGGAAAAGACCCTGGCTCAGTGCTGAAGGGCTGTGGACATGCGAATTTCCAATGCCAGCAGTAAGGTGTGCACTCAAGGAAGATGAGGAATGGCTCCTGAGGAACCATGTCTTGAGGTGCCACATCCCATGCTCTAATGGGGCTCTCCTGACTTCTGCATAGTGAGACTGCAAAGGTGCTCACTTCTATCCAGCCTGGGCTCCCACATTGTAAAAATGGAGAAAATAACCTTTCTCTGACTTTCTTTACAGAATAGTATATAGACAAATGGCACTGGAACATACCTGGAACTTTTAGGAAAAGAAACCATAAACATGAATAGTTGCTTTCCAAATATCATGGGAGGCACAGATGCCGTAAGAAAAAATTGATAAATTTATTTTAAAAAACGGCAAAAGACAAACAAAAACTAAAAAAAAAAAAAAAAAAAACCCTTGGAAGATGTTTACAGCACCTATTTCAGAGACAAGGCAGATTTCTTTGACACACAATAAGTGCTTAGAAATAAAAAGGAAAAGCTCAGTATCTAAGAAGATAAATGGTCAAAAGCTACGGACAGAAAACTGAAATACCATTTTCTACTTGTCAGACTGGAAAGATCAAGGATTCTGAGAATTCATTGTGTTGGCAAGGGCGTGAGAAAGTGGACGTTAGCACATTGTTGACTGGAATGTAAACTGGTACAATTCTGTGGAAGGCAATGGACAAAACTTATCAAAATTAAAGAGTACACACCCCTTCATCCATCACTTCCACTGTTTAGAGTTTATCTTACAGATAAAAAAAAATACACAGTCAGCCCTCAGTATCCATGGGGAATTGGTTCTGGGACCTCCCTTGAATACCAAAATCCATGGATGTTCTAGTCCCTGATATGAAATGGTGCAGGATTTGCACATCCTCCTGTGTATTTTAAATTATCCTATGCACATCCTCCTGTGTGTTTTAAATCATCTCTAGATTACTTAAAATACCTAATACAATGTAAATGCTATTTAAATAGTTCTTATACTGTATTGTTTAGGGAATAATGACAAGAAGACAAAGTTTGTACTTGTTCAGTACAGACAGATTTTTTTCAGATATTTTTAATGCAAGGTTGGTTAAATCCGTGGGTGCAGAACCTGAGAATGTAAAGGGTAGACTGTGTATAGGGATACTTATTGAAGCATTATCTGTAATGGCAAAATACTAGAGTGGGGGAGCTCAAACCACATAAGGTAAAACCCGACAGTGCGGTGAAAGCTGTTTTCTTCTAAATTTACCTCTTAAAAGGCTATGTGAAGGTATGATATGATTCTACATCTTGACTCAAGCAAAATCGTTGCTTTGAAAGAGTCAACATGGCACAAATTGCCATAATAAGCTAAATGTTATCAGCTGAATTTAAGATTAAAATCTAAATGTTAATCAGTAGAGTATTGGTTAAATGATGGTCTAACCATACAGTAGACATACTCTGTAGCTGTGACAAAGTATAAGTCACCTTACAGGTGCTGATGTGCACTGACCTACCAGGTGGCACATTCAGGGGGTGGTGGGGGACAAAGTACAGCATGTGAGATTTCTGGAAGATGCACAGAACCGGTGACAGTGGTTGCCTGTGGTGGGGGTGACTGAGGCTCAGGGATAAGAGGGAGCCTTTTCACTTTGTGGCTTTTCAATTGTGTGCCATGGACCTATGGAAGGGAGCACCTATCATACAGAAAGTGGGGACCTGCTGTGGGCAAGCATCCCTCATCTCCTGGGCCTGTCCCCTTACAAAGCAGCTGGCGGCACAGGTGTCCTATTCACTATCTCCTTGTCATATACATGCACAGACAAGTGGCCTAGGGACCCTCTGCTACAATAGATTTCTCTGCTGGAAATCCAAGGTCATCTCCGAGTGACCTTTCCTGCAAGCCTCAAATCTGGGTCCACCTCCACTGTGGGCTCCCATCACGAGCTCCCACTGTACTCAGTTCACCAGAAAAAACCACCAGGAGAGAACAGGCCCACAAATGTCACTCAGACACCATGGCTTTGGGTGTCAGGCCTTGATCTAACTAATTTCTTCTAAAGCTTACAAAACTTATGGGCTCTGGCAGTATTGTGGGAGCTGATGATGGACACAGGAAACAGAGGTTACCTGGTTTCCATGAACTGCCAAAAAATTGAGTCACATTTATTTTGCCTCTCAGAGCAGTGGAGCTCAAATCACATAAGGTAAAATCTGGCAGTGCAGTGGAAACTGTCTTCTAAATTTTCCTCTTGAAGGACTATGTGAATATATGATACGATTCTAAATCTTGACTCAAGCAAAGTCATTGCTTTGAAACAGTCGATATGGCACAAATTCCAAAAAGATCCTAATTGACTTCATTCATTCGTCCTACACACAATGCTCACCGTATGCATACAGCACAGTCTGCTCAGGGTTTACAGGGTCGACAGTCACTTTCCATAGTTCAATTCCACCACCTTCTAGAATAGTAAAGCCACACCCATTTGCTAGGAAGGAGAACTTGACTCTGTCCTATGGGCCATGCAATGAGAAACGGATCTTGTGTGATTATATTAAAATTCAAGGACAGCTCCAAGAAGGCTGGGCACGGTGCCTCACACCTGTAATCCTAGCACTTTAGGAGGCTGAGGCAGGCAGATCACCTGAGGTCAGGAGTTCGAGACCAAGCCTGGCCAACATGGTGAAACCCTGTCTCTTCTAAAAATACAAAAATCAGTGGAGCATGGTGGCAGGCACCTGTAATCCCAGCTATTTGGGAGGCTGAGGCAGGAGAATTGCTTGAACCCAGCAGGCAGAGGTTGCAGTAAGCTGAGATCACACCGTTGTACTCCAGCCTGGGCCAAAGAGTGAGACTCCAACCCCCCGAAAAAATAAAATGAAAGGATAGCTCCAAGCTGAATCTTAACCATTAAGTTCTTCAATATTCTAATAATCAGCTACAAAATTTCCTCCCCAACAGTCACGGCAGGCCACGCAAAGTGGGGCAAAGTCTCTGGATAACTGAATTGGGGGCAGCAAGGCACCAGACAGAGCTCTCCTGGAATATGTTGACTTTCAGGTCATTAAGTTTTCTGAGAAACAAGCAAGAGAAGCACCACCTTCGAGGTCAGGGGGGCTAGTTCCACCCTGGAGGGATGGCCTTCAGCCCTTCTAGTGTTTTAGACTCCAGCTCTTCAGAAACCCAACTTTGAGACCAATTTAAAAGGCAACTCTGCCCCTACACCAGCCCCACAAGTTCAGGTTTACCTGGCCTGGACACTAAACCATACTCCTTCCCTTTCTGTTCTCTGTAGTTGTTGTTCATGGGGGTAACTGACTAGGACAGCCATCAGAGTTCTCAGCCAGGAACTGGACTTTTGCATAAGGGAGCTGTGGAGGAGGCGTTACTGCTACTCCTTGGCCCTCAGAGCCAGAATGTCTGGGACCTCTCTAAGCAAGAGGCCAAATGCTGCAGGCGTCTGCAGCAGAGAAGAACAACTGTGAATTCATGAATCACCCCTCTTTTGTACTTCTGCTTAGAAGAATATAATTTGTTAATTTACGGTAGTCATTATGGTGCAATTGAAGATGCCAACACAGAAAAGGCTGACTGAGCTGGGCTCTGCGGCATGCCAAGGCCAGGTAAATCCAAACATGTTTTCAATGCGAAGGCCTGCCAGTGGTGTCAAACAGGGTGGAATATCATACGATTAGCCTTGGCAAAAAAGGAGTCAACAGAGGGACAATTGGTGGATAATAAGCACCCTTCTCAGCCAAATGTGGGCTTTCACCACACACTGTAAGAGTCAAGCCTGAGAAGACCCAGGTAGGGCTATACAGATGAAGTGATGAAACCTGAGGAGGGGAATTACCTTTTATGTTGAAATATAAATATGTAAGTAAATCCACAGCCATTATTTCTTGGAAGCGCAGTGTAGTGGGATTCTCGTTATTAAAATGCCTGCACAGGCCAGGCGCGGTGGCTCACGCCTGTAATCCCAGCAATTTGGGAGGCCAAGGTGGACGGATCACCTGAGGTCAGGAGTTCGAGACCAGCCTGGCCAAGATGGTGAAACCCCGTCTCTACTAAAAACACAAAAATTAGCTGGGCGTGGTGGTGGGCGCCTGTAATTCCAGCTACTTGGGAGGCTGAGGCAGGAGAATCGCTTGAACCTGGGAGGCAGAGGTTGCAGTGAGCCGAGATTGCACCACTGCACTCCAGCCTGGGTGACAGAACAAGACTCTGTCTCAAAAAAAAAAAAAAGCCTGGACACTGCATTTATTTTTGGGCTTTTTAGTGGTGCAGAAGCATCGCTGAGCCAGCAGAGTGCCCTGGGAACTGGGGAAGGGGCACTCATGCCCCCCTTCCGGGCCAGTCTCCAGGTCAGAGGCTGTTGCTGTCTCTCTATGAAATTACAGAGAGAGCCATCAGAGAGGGGCAGAGGAGCATAGGATCATAGGGCACCAAACACACAGCCCCTTCCCTGGCTTTATAAAGACATCTGTGTCCTTAACACCTCCTGGCCCTCTCTCAGGGACTCCAAGAATTCACTGTCAAGATGTGCCAGGCATTGCACTCATCAACCCTGGGAGATGGGTGCTATTCCTAAGCCCATCATACAGAATTGGAAACTGAGGCTGAGCTAAATACTTTAACTCAAATCTACCCAGTTGGTACAGCTATGACTCCAAGTCACTCACAAAGACAGTCTCTACAGCACAGACCCTGCACCCCACATGGCAAACTCCCCAAGAATCCTTAGAGTCAATCCAGAAAACTTTCCTAGATGTCTGCTCTGTGCCAGGGCACCGAGGCAGGGGAGAGGGATCGGGGGATACAGAGTCACTTGCGGTTTGTGCAAAGTAGTAGTAACATTTTGGTGCATGGCCGTGAAGCTTTGATCTCTCCTAATGAGGGGTGTGGGCTAAACAGACAAGCGCCCAGGCTCTGGCACAGCAGCGGGTTGTGGGTGGGGCGGAGCCCAGGCTCTGGCACAGCAGCGGGTTGTGGGTGAGGCGGAGGGTACCTGCATGGAGCCAGATCTGTGCCAGCGTCATCCAGGGGTGCAGCGGGCCCTGCTTAGGGGCACTGCTCTGCAGAGACGAAGCCACTTCCGACAGTGCCTGCTCCACTCTTGAGGCTGCTACCGATGTGGCATGGACGGAGCCTGTGAGAGGTTTTTGAGAAGACTCTATCAGGAGCGAAAGAACAGACCCAACCAATCAACCCCTTCCCACACAGACAAGCGCGGAACACACACACCCCTTCCCCCATGATGTTTCTAAGATTTACTGTCCACAGAGAAACGCGGGCAATCACGGCCCGGGGCCTTAGTTTCCATCCTTGGGCTTTAGCTAATCTTTTTGTCAACAAACAGAGCACATGCCCCCTCCAGGAGCTCAGCCTAGCGGTGTGAGTGCTGGCAGATGGGGGGCCAGATACACAGCTGTGATGATACTGGCGTTTAAAAATCAAATAAATGAAGTGCTATAAGGGGACATTACAAAGCGCCCCTGTAAGGGCCTAAACCTAGAAACTTAATCAGGGTGGGGGGAGGAATATACTTGCCTCCTGGGGTAGCATTTGGAGTAGATGTACTGGCCATTCTCAAGACAAACCCAGCAACTTCCCGTTTCATTAGTGCAAGCCTGGCCTTGGAGAGGTGGACTACACCCTCGGTTTAGAACCATATTCTAAGGCATGACTTAAAAACTGCAGAAAAAAGCACACTTTTGCCCTGTGTATAAGCAGATGTCTATCCTTAAGGCTAGACTAGCAGGGGATGGGATGGAATGGGTTTGTAGCAAAGACTCCTGGGGTTCAGAATATGCACCTGCCTAATTATTCTGTAAAACCTGCTGTCCTGAAAGGCTAAGGAGAGGGGTCAACCAAGCATGTTCACTAGTCAAGGGTTGGGGGAGTGCACAAGTCAAAATGCAAAACTCATTTCTTTTCACGTTGACCTCTCGGAGGATCGGAGACCACCTCCTTAAACAGAGGCTTGCTTCCCATCTCTTTCCAACATTCACTCTTGGAGATGTGGTTTTAGAATCAAGAGCAGGATTCTCTTGATTTCAAGAGAGCAGTTGTTTCAAATTTGAAACTGTTAATATTTCTATTCACCTGCATCATTCTTAATGATCCATCAAACTTCATCAAAAAGTTTAGTATGGAGATAAACATACCAACATTGAGAGTGGTAACTACCAACTCATCATAAAGTTTAAAATAGTAATAATCTATAAAGATAAATGCGACTACAAAATAAATGGAGTTATATTCTTGGTAATACAAAATTGTGAGCATAAAAATAATTTCAGTTGCGCTTTGGAATGTACCCATCATCTATAAATTTAAAGAGTATTCACGGCAATAGATGCGCCATCCATATTATGTTTTGATTGCTCCAATATAATGGTAACATGGATGCTTCTAAATGCACCTGAATCCTTTGGTGAGGGGTTGGTGGATGGAAATCAGAGTGGGCCGACAGTGCCCACAAGGACGACCAAGAGGAGAGCAGCCTCTGGAAAGGTCTAACAAGTCCTGCTGCACAATACGGAACTCAGAGGCTGAGTTAAAAGAGTCTAGTGGCCGGGCGCGGTGGCTCACGCCTATAATCCCAGCACTTTGGGAGGCCGAGGCGGGCAGATCAGGAGGTCAGGAGATCGAGACCATCTTGGCTAACATGGTGAAACCCTGTCTCTACTAAAAATACAAAAAATTAGCCAGGCGCGGTGGCAGGTGCCTGTAATCCCAGCTACTCAGGAGGCTGAGGCAGGAGAATTGCTTGAACCCAGGAGGCAGAGCTTGCAGTGAGCCGAGGTCGCTCCATTGCACTCCAGCCTGGGTGACAGAGTGAGACTCTGTCTCAAAAAAATAAATAAATGCATAAATAAATAAATAATTAAAAAAGAGTCTAATTGATGGTATATGAAGGGGGAACCTAAGAAGTGTGCTAAGAATCTATCCTTGTTTAGACAAAGTATGTCTAACTACTATTTTTTAAAAATCTACATAGCAAAATGATTAAACTGCTGTCAAAATTTCTTATTTGTCACCTTTTTTATGGAAAGTAATATTTTGAACTTTGATAACAAGGACTTGATGTAGTTTCCCTGAGATTTTTAGTAGCAATGAAAGTTAAATAAATGAGTAATCTAGAGGCTGTTGTTGCCCTATTCCGCCATTACCAAGTTGGCTACCTTCTCATTGGCTTGAACAGTGGTTCTCAACCTTAACTTCACATCAAAATCATTCGGGATTTAAAAAATCATGATGTTATAGCTACATCCCAGACCGACCACATCACTCAGTCTAGGGGTGAGGACTGGCATCTTTGTTAATCACCCCAAGTGATTCCAATGTGCCGCTAAGACTGAGAACCACTCGCTTGGAGAGACCGGAAGCAAATGTTAACGAATATTTGGTCAAAAAAAGCCTGTACACGGGCCAGGCAGCCTGAGCTCTCCTGCTTCCCTGCAGCACAAGCGTCACCTGGGGAACAGAGTTCCAGGAAGATCTTGTTCTCTAGAACAGGGGTTCTTAGACTTTTTGGTCTCAGAATCTCTTCAGACTCTAAAAAAATCATTGAAGACCCTAAAGAGGTTGTTTATATGTTATGTCTATTGATATTCACATTAGAAGTAAAAACATGTTTTTTTTAACATGTTTTAACAGACATGTTTAAAATATTCACTTACTAATTCATTAAAAATAACAATAATAAATTATTGCTCTGGAAACATTCCACACATTTTCTACCAGGTTCTGTGAATCTTTTGCTACAAGAGTTTGTGACTTTTGGAGGGGCTAATTTTGGTTTTTGGATTAACTGTTTTGTTTGGTCCACAAATAAATAATCAGAACTACTGCCAAAGTTTCTTCTCTTTGTGGTATTTATACACAACTAAATCAATTAATTCCTAGCACAATATATTTTACTATGAATAAGGTCTGGCAGATGATGATGATGATGGCGATGATGATGACAGCAGTGGTGGTTGTCAGTTTTAGAGAACATACCATGTTTCAGGCACTGCAATTGGCACTTTATATGTACTAATCTTTAACCAGAACACAAACACTAGTCTGATTCCAAATCTGTCCTCTAAGTCCAGCTCTGATGCCACCTCCTACAGGAAGGCTGCTGTGAGCCTTCCATTTCTCCCTACAATAAGTGAGACTCTCTGGTCCTTGGTGCTTCTATGTGGTTGTCACTAACAATGCACAGACCACATGTTTTAAAGTTAATGTAACTATCTCCCTTATTAGACCGTGTGGGTCTAGAAGATGCGAACTACGTCCTCAGGGTAGGGATTTTCAGGGACTAACAATACCAGGCCCATACTAAGTATTAGGTAAATGAGTGTGCAGGGAATGAACGAGTGCTGTCAATAGACACTTCACTGTCTGAAATTCAGAAGAGGGCGGCCCCCTCTCTGGATGCACGTGTGCTCTACTCTTCCCCTCTAACAACAGCTCAGAGGCCAGAACATTCACCCACTCAAAGGACACTTCAGTGCAGTGCTCATCACTTCCAACAATCCAGACTAAAAATGACAGTGGTGAATAGTTCCAATTAAACATGGACGTTTCCCCTAACGTAAAATTAAAATATAGAGAAGGATAACAGGTTTATTAGAAATAATGTTTTTCTTCCTAGTCAATTTCTTGGTACACACATTTCACCAGGGCAGAGAGCCTTCATATTCTGAACCAGGGATAAATGTTAGGGCACTCACATAATAATAGCACATAACTAACAATAGTGAAATTATATAAGTTGGTATCTACTATTCCTGAAAATAACACAACAAATAAAAGTCTTCCATTGAATTAGTATTGGAAGGAGGGGGAAGGAAAAACATCACTTTAATCAGAATGGATACAGCTGGTTAAAAAACAAACCAAGCAGGCCAGGCGCGGTGGCTCATGCCTGTAACCCCAGCACCGTGGGAGGCTGAGGCAGGCGGATCACCTGAGGTCAGGAGTTTGAGACCAGCCTGGTCAACATAGTGAAACCCTGTCTCTACTAAAAATACAAAAAGTAGCGGGGCATGGTGGTGCACACCTGTAATCCCAGCTACTCAGGAGGCTGAGGCAGGAGAACTGCTTGAACCCCAGAGGTGGAGGTTGCAGTGAGCTGAGACTGCGCCATTGCACTCCAGCCTGGGCAACAAGAGTGAGATTCCATCTAAAAAAAAAAACAAAACAACAACAACAAAAAAAACCCTGTACTGTATTTTATTGTTTCATAGAACTGAAATGGTAAGTGACTATATAGACACTGGATTTTGACTTATATAGGTAAACAGCTGGAAACACTGGCTCTAACCAGCACATTTTTAAAGAACCCCTTTCTTTCTCACCACGGCAAACATGTTCCTGCATCGTACATCAGAATGAGAGCACTATTAACTTAAGGTGGAAATGGGCAAACTGAGGCTTGAAAAAGGAATCAGAAGTTAGAATATAGGACATATTTCCAATTTGAAATCCAAGGCTCTGCAGAAATAAGTTTCCAAATAATCAGGTTCAACAGGTAAGCCAGGGAGAGCACCTGGGCCATGGTGCATCTCTCATCTGCCACCCAGCTTCAAGAGGTCCCGCCACTGCCAGAGCCCACAGGACTGTGTGCTGCGCAGCGGCTGCCGTGCTCCGTCTAGGAGACAATGCGCCTCTCCCCGCAGTCACAGGACACAGGGGCTCTGAAAAGCCACTGCAAGACCCACTGTACCAAGGGCTGACGTAGGCAGGTGAGAGCTCGCTCTGAAATCTAGCACAGGTCTGTCGTCAAACGGCCCGAATGGTGCAAGGGCGTGTGACGTCCTGGAGCGGAGGCCATCTGCATTTCCACAAGCCAATGGCTTTCCTTGCCCTCCCACCTAGATCCTCAATCGAAAATGTTATCTTGGACACCTGATACAGAGGCAAAGTGCCACCTGAAGAACATTCTGAGCCAGGGTTTCCTTCTAGGCTCCTCTCTCCATCACCATGCATGGGGGTAAGGAGGGGGGAAGGCAGCCGAGGACCTAGAAACTGTGATGGGAAGGCATTTCCTCACGGGCCAAGAGGACCAGGAACCAAGAGGAACCAAGGCCACTGATCTCAGGGCACCATGAGTCCAAGCTCTGAACCCTTCCTGAGGTTTTCTGACCCGTGCTCCTATTGTACACTGAGGGCTGTTGAGAAACCCTGCCTGCCCCAAGTAGGACACTGGGACGGCTAGCTCATATTGCCTTTGCAGGTGAAGCTTTTCCAAAAATCCTTTTTCCAATGCACATGACACCTATGGTGAATTTCACATAGACCTCAGCTGTGGCAATCA
Organism: Homo sapiens; assembly: GCF_000001405.40. NCBI lineage: Eukaryota > Metazoa > Chordata > Mammalia > Primates > Hominidae > Homo > Homo sapiens. The sequence goes on from NC_000014.9 coordinate 90,598,790, forward strand.
CATGTGAGCCCTCTTCCACCAAAGTTCATCATCCAAAGGGATCCCAGCACCAATAATTCTGTTAAGAAAAGGCACAGGCTGGGCGTGGTGGCTCACGCCTGTAATCCCAGCACTTTGGGAGGCTGAGGCGGGTGGATCACTTGAGGTCAGGAGTCTGAGACCAGGCTGGCCAACATGGTGAAACCCTGTCTCTACTAAAAATACAAAAAAAATTAGCCGGGCCTGGTGGCGGGTGCCTGTAATCCCAGCTACTCGGGAGGCTGAGGCAGGAGAATCGGTTGAACCCAGGAGGTGGAGGTTGCAGTGAGCTGAGATGGCACTCCAGCCTGGGTGACAGAGCGAGATTCTGTCTCAAACAAAAAAAGAGAAGAAAAAGACAAAGGAAAAAGCATAACTGATAAATTAAGTGGCTTAGTTATGCTTCATATCCCTGTATTTGTCACACGCAAGTGTTGCCGAATAAATAGGATATATTATATTCCAGCTCTCCTTCTAACTGTCTGGTGGCCTCAGTTAAGTGGCTGCAGTCTGAAGGACCCCTCGCCTTCCCTCTCCCCTCACAGCACATAGAAGATGAGCTGGATCTCTCTCAGATGGAATCCTGCCCACCCGGTGACTTGGCGAGCATTCCAGTGCCAGGAACGACGGACAGCCACATTACATGACGTGTGAAAAACATCCTCTACCAAAAGATGTCAGCCGACCACCTCACATGAGGCTGGCAGGATTTGGGGCAGCTCCTTGCTTCCCAGCCCTGGAGAACCCACTCCATGCCTCATGAGTGTGAACATGGGGGAACGATGGCACGTGGCCACACCCCAAGCCCCGTCTCTGTTTGGCACCCACATTCTTTCTGCCTAATGCTGCAGCGGCAGACACCTGCCCTCCCCACATTTTTCTGACAAGTAGCTGAGCCACTGCAGTCGTGGGCATGCAGAAATCACCTGCTGCTAATGAATTTCTGCTGTACCTGTTTTCCCTTGACCCTGAAATGATTCCAAATTCTCTGTCAACTTATTCACAATTAAAATAATACGAAAAAGCAGCAGTTCCATCTCTTAAAGAACCTGAATATTAAGCAGCAATCTGAGTGACTCAGCATTCTGTGAGCTAGCTTTGCTTTAGAATTTTCATTTCTTAACAGGAAAAAAAAAATTCTGTTTCTCAAGATAGGGCTTGGAAATAAATCAGTCCAACACTGCAGACTGCTGGCAGCTCTGTGCCCTTCTGTCTCTGTGTGTCACCTGTGCTTGAAGAACCAGAATGTCCTGGGGGCTGAGGACGGGAGGAGGCGAAGGAGTTAGTGTTGACTGTCTCTTATTTCTTGAAGGGAGAGGAAGAGGCATGAGTGTCCACTCCCACTTCGGCCCTCAAAGCAGGCATATTTCTCCATACCTTTTAAAAAACATAACTGCTGTCCCCTCATCTCCCTGGTGCCCGGGAGTTAGGACAATTCCCATCTTTGCTGTAGGGTAGTCCTGCTTTCTGAGGAGGCGACTCCAGGTGGTGGCTCCTTGCACCGCGCTGTCACAGCTCTCCTCTCCATCTGCTGCTTCCCTGGGAGCTGCCCTCGCGCCTTGTGTCCCCCAGTGTGACAGCAGGGGCGGGGCCGCTGCCCACCCAGTCCCACCAACCATGAGGGCTCCTGCTGTGGGTTCCTCTGATAAATAAATCACCTTGGTCACCATTCTAGTAGACACTTCCATTTTTCACCAAGTGAAAAAAGGATTAAGACTCATAGCCCCAAGACGGGATCAGTTTCCCACTGACTTTAACATAATATCAAGCACCGTTTAAACCTGACAGCACACGTCTTGTCCTGAAAGGGGGAAGCTCTTTCCAGGGAAGGACCCCAGTAAGGCAGGGAGGGCCGGGGACATGTCATCACCGGTGGGCATGCGGGGCTAGCGCAGCATGCTGCTGGTGGGTGCTGGCAGGGCCAGGTGGTCACACAGAAAGCATGGAGGGAAGCCGTTCACACGCATGCAGGAAGGTGCCAGCTGTCAGAGCGAGCCGCTGCCGGTGGCTCTGCGCTAGAGACAGTACCTTCTGGAGGACTACATTGGGCAGATGCTTCCATCTCCACCTGAACCCTCCCTGATGCATATTCATGAGGCTGTGTCTTGGGGTGGAAGTGCCTTCTGCCTGGGGAAGGCTCTCTGAGCCTCCAAGTGCCTGACTGCCGGCGTCCTGGGGAAAGCCTCCCAGGTTGGGATGATATTCTAATGCTGGACACACTCCCCAACTTCTACCTGAGTGCCACTTACTGTTGGCTTGTCAGTCTCCTATCATTCCACTCAATCTTGTTTAAAGAAAGATACTACAGAACTAATTAAGGAGAATTATATTAAATTTAGTTTAATTAAAATAGCAAAAAAAGGTTCTATATTAGAGCTGAATTTTAAAAATCACCACCCCTCAAAAATGGTACAGTCATCACAGAGTGATGCTCCCATATATACCTAGATTTCTTTTAAAGCTACTTTATTCTATTAAGCAGGAACAGAGACTAAAACCGCCTAATTGACTAGTCACTTCCTGATCATGATATACATTCTTGAGTGTTAGAAAATGCAGCTCAATAAAATGCTTGCCATGATGGAAAGAGAAAAACATCACTACTGTCTTGAATTCCTTTCTCACTCTTATTTTATTTTAGAGGTATGTTCTTCATTAACGTGTTTACTCTCTTCTCCCGGTGAATTACTGCTAAAGAGAGCAGCAACTTCACTAGAATCAGTGATAGGAAAAATGGAGCCAAGAACTCAAGTCGGTAATCTTGATTTTAGCATGTTCTTGGAGAGGGGAATAAAACATCAGCACAGATTTTTCTCCAAAAAAACAACTGCTAGGGCACCTGCAGGGGAGCGCCCCGGGTCCTCTAAGAAGTGATGAGCAGCATGCAGAGAGCCCTGCTGCTTCGCTCCAATCCTGCTCAGCCACCTCCACTCTTCTGGTCCTAGCTGCCCAGGGTGTAACTCAGGGGGAAGGCACCTGACTCGCCCTTAAAACCAGGATCCATGGCTGCCAAATCATAAGGGCGGTGTACATAGAATAACTATGGAATTTACATTTTTACAGATGAGGAAATGAGGCCCAGGGCGATGCGGCGAGTTGCCGGGTGACTCCAGAGCTGGCCCTTGATGGTGAGAGGAACCTGGCAGGGAAATCTCTTTTATGAAGCACCTAATGTGTGATGACAGCACCAACACATACCTCTTTTCTATTATGGACTGCTTTTAGGCCAGAAATAAAGGCACATCTAGGTTGAGCTGGATTTCAGAGGGTGGAATCAACTCTTAAGGGTGAGGGGCAGTATTTGCCATAAGCTAAAGGCTCAGGTCATTCAAATGCACTGGATCCCCATATCCACCAGCATTTCCCCAAATGCAATCCATGAACACTGATTTCCTAGGGTGGAAAAAACGATTACATTAGTTTGGGAACACTGGGTCAAAGTGCGGGACTTCTCAGAACATTTAATGTGGTTAATGTGAACTATGAAGCACTAGGCAGGAGATGGACTGTCGTCCAAATATATTTGACCAAAGAGAATCAGTGGTCTAAGAAACATCCTTTGGCAGATGTGACAAGTCACTAATGACTTAAACACTGCCAAAAGCACTGTTAGGCTGGGCGTGATGGCTCACGCCTGTAATCCCAGCATTTTGGGAGGCGAGGTGGGAGGATCGCTTGAGCCCAGGAGTTGGAAACCAGCCTGGGCAACACAGTGAGGCCTCCTCTCTGCCAAAAATTAAAAAATTAGCTGGGTATGATGGCGTGTGCATGGTGTCCCAGCTGCTCAAGAGGCCAAGGTGGGAGGCTCACTTGAGCCCTGGGGTTCCAGGCTTCAGTGAGCTGTAATCGTGTCATTGCACTCCAGCCTGATCTACTAAGACCTTGTCTCAAAAAGAAAAAAAAAAAAAGCACTGATCCTACATCCAGGGAATTAAGCAATTCCTTTAAATTTTGGTAGATACATTTTTAAGTTTTATGATGTCTGCTTATTTTTAGAAAAATTAACAGTTAGAATTGCTCTCCTATGCAACAATAATGGTTGGATTAATTACAAAAATTTCAAGATCCAACTGGTTCCCTCTACCTAAAATTTACTGGCCACCCGCCTTGGGAAGACGGGGCATCTCATGCTTCCAATCAGTGCCAGGAGTGCTTCTCACCACCCACTGCACACCCAGAGTTGGCCTTTTTCCCTGCAATGCCTTCTTTTGTAGTCCTTCTCAGATCAATACTGCCTCCTCATATATAAACCCAAGCTGCGCTGAATGCATTAGGATCTCAGGAGGGATGGGCTCCAGGTGGCAGAGTGGGCAGGCAGGTGGCAGAGGGATGTCCACGTCATCTCAGCATTCTCAGCACTCAACAACCACAATGCACATTCCGTGGTGGGGGGAGTGTGATTCTGGAGGCCCTCGGAAGGATTAATAGATTGGTAAACTACTTACTAACTGAAAAAAGGGAAGGAAAACCATGAAAGTATGCTTCTGGAGAGTTGCCTTGGAACAACAGATCAAACCAAAAATTAAAACCAAGAAACAAAACATTTGAAAAATCAAAATTAAGACTAAAAAAGCGAACAGAGTTCTAATAACCTTCCAACTGTAAGTCTGGCTGTCTAGAATCATATTTCCATTCAAGAGTGGCACACATTTTTCCACTAACATTTTTTTTTTAAACAAAAGAAAGGCCAACTGGGCATTCCCCTATCCATTGAAATGTTCACCCAGCACATGAAAGCTGACCAATTCATGCAATGTATTTTGTTTCCAGAGCAGGAAATTCCAAAGGGAAGGGAAAAATAATCAAACAAGTGGGTTTTGGGTCTTTCCACACATTAACCCTAATCATGATTCCAGTGGTTTGTAGGGTTGGGCTAATTTTCCCTTCTATGAAGTCAAAGGTTTGGAGGGAGAAATTCATACAACTTCAGATCTTGACTATCTGCTTATCCTAACGGAAAAGTTGGGACTTAAAATCATTACAATTTTAATTAAGAAATTCTGCATTTGTCAGTATGTTTTCCCCCCTCTAACTAAATGCTGACTCTGTGGGAGGGGGTGGATTCTCGAGAGCTTCAGTCTTAGTTGAAACACCTGGTTACTGGCTAGACACTCCCTGAGGATGGAAAGATGACTTCAGCTTATTAAGAATAAACAACTGAGCACTGCCCGGGACATACTCCATTCAGCAGAAAGCCCAGTGGGTGCTCATCACCCCAGAAAGTCACTGATTAATCAGACATAAAGTGCCTCCCCTGAAGAGTCAGGACTGCAATCTTCAAAGGCTTACAGGATCACAGGGCTCACAAGATGCAACATGAAAAATACGGGCAGGTGGGTCTGTTGTGCAGAAAAGAGTGGACAGGGAAGTGGGAACATACCATGTTATTCTAGAATGGGAAGATCCCATTTTCAGACAATAAACTCATCAAAAGTCAATGTAAAGAATTTTTCTAGAAAAATCGAAGTTGGCAATTGCCAGTAGGCATTGTATTAAGAGAAAATGTCTATTTTAAGAAATGCATGAAAAACAACATACACGGTGTTTAAACAGTATCTTCATCTTCCATTTCATAAAACTGGGATTGCCATTAAAGCAAAATTCAGAACACTTAATATGCAGATAAGTACGGTCAGCGGGTTTCTCGGCGTGGATGGTTTATTTTGAATGGTAATCTAGTTTCTGCCCTGGCTTTGTGTGTGTGAGAGCTGAACAAAGCGGGTGAGCCATCAAAAGATATGCACATTAGAGATAGTGGTTCTTTCTGGCAGCAGTTCCCCTTAAGAGCTTTTGTTCAGCACATAACTGGGCATTTGGAACAAAGATGAGCCCTTATAAATCACAGATATAGAGATTAAATTTTCTAGCAGTGCTGGCAGTGAACATTAAATAAATGAGCAAAAGAAAACAAGGATGGGCTCCCCGGGTCAGATTCATATTTAGGTCCTATTTAAGGGTTTTACCAACCAGTGTTCATTTTCACACAGGGATCTTTCTTGTTGCTGTTCATGGACAGGTTCTGGAACTCCCTAAAGCCGACTTTCAAAATTTCCGTGTTATTTAAAAGCAAGATTAGACTAAAATACTATTCAATTTCTCTGCATAGTTTCACGACACAAACCCTACATTTTCCTTCACTGCAAATGGAAAACAGTTTACAGCACTGTTTCTCAAAATGTGGTCTAAAACCCACTGGCATTGGAATCATAGGGGAGCAATTTATAAATCCAGATTCCCAGGCCCCACCTCAGGCCTAATGAATATAAAGTTGGGGGTGGGGACCAGGGGATCCGCTGCTTTAAAGGTTTTCTGTGTGGTTTTAACGCATGGTAAAGTTTGAGAACCACATGCTGAAAGGGCTGTGGCCCTGATCTGTAGAATACGGCCTTGATGATTATACGCTGGTTGAATTCATTTCTAAATTGAAAACGGGAGTTTTTGCGCAAAATGTCGTAATTTGCCTTTTAATAGGATTTTTATGCATTTATATCAACTCCAGGAAAGCACGGAAGGACCCAAGGATTAGAGGCAATATTCTAGAAAAACTTCTATCCGTTCTGCCCAGAAGGTTTCCTTTACTTTGCAAAGAGGAAGTTGAGGCATGGGCTCCAATGCCTGCAATCTCAGGTTTCCTTCTGCCCCAAACAGCTTTTGGATTTTCAAATGAGCAAGATTTCTCTCTGACAAGTCTGATGAAGTTTCCTCTCCAGCTTATCAGTTAGGAAGATTATCAGAAGGTAAAACACGCAAATGAAGTAGGTCTCACAAGAAAGGAAAAACCATGTTTACAGAGAGAGGGTTCCCGGCGGGGACCTGCGTCACTGAATGAATGAGCTGCAGGGGGCCACACAAAGGTATCGGGTTTGGGAGAATGAAGATGAGAAGACACAAACAGGTGGAGAGGAGATTCGGTTCTTGAAAGAGGAGAGGAGGAGGAGGAGGAATCTGACACTAAAAAAGTGAAAGAGAAAAAAAGGGTGAAGGCAAAAAAAAAACTTTAGAAACACAAAGAAAAAAATAAACTCGCTTTTAATATACTCACATAAGCTGCAAAGAAAATGAGGTCATGTAATACACAATCATTCCTCTACCTGACAATAGAATACAAGTGCTTTTCGAAGAAAACAAATTTGTTTTTCCACTGGTTATTTAGTTGGTCCGCAACAACACCATGGAATAAAAATAACTCAAGATTTACCTGGGCACAGATTCAGCAGTGTGATCTGCTGAAAATAATACATCTTTAGCCTACAATATCCAGAACATTCTAGAGGAAGCAATTTGCTTTTCAACTGGAAAGGGTTAGGACTTGACTTTACATAGATTTGTTTTTTATGAGAAGCACTTATATACAGTTTACTTGAAAATAAGGTTTTCCAAGGTGCAGAGTACTGAGGTGCAACACTATGTCATGGTCCCAGCATTATGACAAGGGGGTGCTAAGCTTTCTGGGGTGGCCTATGGTTGGGGTGTGCTGGTTGGGCACTTTGGGAAAAAAGCCGGTATGGCTGCCTTCATGTCTTACAGCTGGAGAAACACATGGCAACGGGGAGACCACCGCCGCTGCAATTAGAAATTTTCCCAAACAAAGTGGATCAAACTTTCAAGTTAAAATACTTATTTTGCGTTGGATAGGTATTTGTTGATATCTATCAATTATTAAAGATAAATCCCCTTACCCCACATCCTGTTTTAAAGGCAAAGGAATAAAATATTTTTTTCATTCTCTATTTAAGGAACTACCAACTTATTCCAAAGAAAAGACAATGACTCAGAGCTTCAAAGTAAAGACTGTCACTCTATTTGAGTCCTCTTTCACTGGCTGGGACCTATGAGATGGCAGAGGTGGGAGGAAGGGACGCCCAAGGTGATACCTAAGGGGAAGTCATGTTCTATAAGGGGGGCTATTTTAGTTTGACATGTCTGTTTAATGAAACAAAATTCCACTCTATTAGCTACAGTGGACTTGGCCAGTTCAAAGCTTATGGACGTGGGTGACTCCTCATGTTATTCCACAGCTCTGCATATGGACAATTTCAGAGGTAGGAAACCGTATTCCAGTTAACCAACCACTTCCAAAATCATGAATACTGAGGCTGCACTGTATAAGGACCCAGGATATATAATAATAGTATTGTAGTTATATATTTTTAAGCTCTTATCAGTTACACATATATCCTGAAATTTTAACAGGCAAAATAGGATATTAGGGACTGGCCTTAAAATACTCTAGGAAAAGCAAGTGTGGGACAGGAGAGAGAGATCGAATGAGAATGCTGATTGCTAAAACTCACTGGTGGGTAACGGGAATATTAGTATCTCTGTTCTGGCATTTTAGAAATTTTTCCATAATAGAAATTAAAAAACAGAAAAAAAATAAATTTAGTTCTGGGGGAAAACAAAACAGATCCAAGAGGACTTGCGGCCTCACAAAGGAATCTGCCTGCACAGCGGGTGATCCTGGGCCTGTGCCCCAGGGTTGGCAGGATCTCGAAAGTGGAAGTTCACTGTGGCTGTGGCTGTGGCTGTGCACCCTCACGGATGCTAACACTGCAGGGCTCTGCTTGTGTCGGACGCCTGTGCCCTTTAAAGGGGACTTAGAAAAGCAGTTAAGTGTCGGGCATGACGCTGATAAGCTGCCACCCGCCAGGGCTGGGTTCTCCCAGGCCACATTTGATCTCAGGGTCACTTCTGTTTCACTGGGAACCATTCTGATCTCGGATAAGTTCCTTTTCTCTTTGCCTCTATAGCCCAGTCGCTTTTCTGGATGAGCAGTGTTGCAGCGGATGTTCAAAGTCAGCCAGGCTCTTTTAGCACATGAACTGAAAACTGTTCAAAGGCAAAGGGAGGAAAAATGACTGCGGTCATGCTGGATGGATAAGAATCCAGAATGTAAAATCCATGTGTCATGGAATACTATATGGCTGTAAACAAGAATAAGGCAATTCTCCACAGATGGGTATGGAGGCATCTTCAGATACACTGTGAAGTGCAAAATGGCAGGTGCTCAAAAGCATACACAGTGTGTGGTTGTTTATGTAAAGGGGCAGAGGAAAGATACATATGCTTGTTTGCATGAAAAAATACTGGAAGGGTAAACAAAAAGCTAATAAATACAGTTATTTTTAGGAACAAATAAGATGGATGGGCAGGGGTGGAAGCCAAACTTCTCTACAGCACCTTGTGAATTAGTTTTTAGCTTTTGAATTATGTAAATGTATTTCCTCTTCAAATCAAATCAAGGTGAGGGAATAAACAATCTGTGTTGTGGGTGGTTCGCAAGGCGGGCTCTCCACACAGGTGTGTGAATGACAGCATCTGCCCCTTCTTGACTGCACCATGAGCTGAACCATATGCAACTGGGCTTTATTAATCAAGATGGAGGCATTTTTCCCCATTTTTAGGCAAGCCTTCCCAACGTGTAAGTTTCTTTGATTGACACTGTCATTTCAGAATATTTTACCCTCGTTTACAAATATGATAAGGCCTCCTAAAATGGCCTTCCATTTTTCTGATTCCCTGGTCTCTTGGTTAAATTGTCGGCGTGCAAATCAGTATTTTGCAGCTGCCTGGTTGGGTCGGGGGTGGTGTAGGGCTGGTGGCAGGAGTCTCAGAAGGACTCGCGTGGATGACTCAACAATGAAACCGTCTGTGGCAGTGCCTGGGAGGCTGTGGCTTCCCTGTTGTTGAGGAAGGGCATAGGAGCCCGCGGTCCTGACTCCAAACACCTAGGCTCTCTGGAAGTGAATGGTGGCCCACCCGAGAGACTGGCTGCATCAGTACCACTAAGCAGAGGGGGAGGAGGAAGACCCGGGGGCCAGGCCCAACCCAGGGCAGTGACACCGCAGACTGTGTCACACAGGCACATCTTCCCTAAACACCATGGCATCTGAGAAAGCTGAATCTGAAGAGGGAGACTCTCAAGCACTCTAGGAAAAATGTCCCAATGGGCAACGGGAAGAATGAATAACAAGGACCTCATTTATTTTCTGACACTACCTGTTCTCAATGTGATGTGGCTTTAAAGTCTTGGGACCTCCAGGGAAATTAAGGTCCAGGCCAGCTGGAAGGAAAGGGGGTCTGAATTTAGTGTGGCTGTTCTCACAGGATACTTAGGAGGGAGAAAAGTGGGGAGACGGCGCTGGGTAGCCACAGCAGCTGTTTTGAATCAGCTGAAATTGCTGCTGGTGCTATAGTGAGTTTCACTTCCTTCTCTTCCCCATGTCCGAGCCTCACCTTGCAGTGGCTAGTCCTGACAGCCTGACCTCTTTCCTACAATGACGGGGCCTAAACAGGTCCCTCGGCAGGAGCTGGGATGATGCAGAACTCTGCTGTGCTATTCCAGCCAGGCTCTCTGCCTGGTGTGCAGTCTAAGCCCACCAATGACTGCTGAACTGTTTGGAGAGTGGTCAGGCCACTCCAGGGGGTGAGTTTCTCCATGGCTCAGTCCACATTTTAAGCAGCAGCTGCAAGCCAGATTAAACTGCACCAATTTACGATTTGTGCCGCTTCCAGTGCCCAAAAATCTTTTTACCCAGGAGCTGCAGGACTTTTGGATCTGATTTCTCAAGCTGACTTTAAATTTGGTACAAGGGAGCCTAGGGCAGAAATGCAGTCTGCAAGGCAGCTGTTGGGGTGGGCCAGGCTTGAACATCACATCTGGCTCCCAAAGGCCCTATCCCTTTTAGCCCACCTGGATAGGTTTTTCCCAGGACAAGCCCTGGCAGTGCAAGACTCAGAGCTGCTCTCAGGCTTTCTTTGGAAAGGTTCTGGCAGAGCTGGGATGTGGCACAAGGACAAGAAAATAACCTCGTGGTCCCTGTCATGCAGCCAGCCCATAAAAGACCAGGCATACCCAGATAGAAATTCAGTTGTACACGGTCCCCTGTGGGTGGGGGAGAAGGAACAGGAGCAGGTTCCAAATGATGCTCTAGAATGATTTTTGAGGCTCAAAGAAGAGCAAATTTATATGTTTTGTGAGTCTGTCGAGTCACCCAGATTACAACTGAATCATTGGTATGGGTTGAGCATCCCTAATCTGAAAACCCAAAATCTGAAATGCTCTAAAATCGAGATGTTTCTGAGTGTTAATACAACACAAGTGGAAAATTCCACACCTGATTTCATGTGATGGGCTGCAGTCAAAATGCAGTCAAAACTTTGTCTCATGAACAAAATTCTTTAAAATATTGTATAAAATTGCCTAAATTTAGGCTGTGTGTATAGGTGTATATGAAACAGAAATGGACTTTGTGTTTAGACTTGGGTCCAATCCCAGGATATCTCATTATGTTTATGCAAATATTCCCAAACCCAACACACTTCTGGTCCCGGGCATTTCGGGTAAGGGACACTTCACCTGTGTCACCACTGTGGGGTCTACTCCCCTGTAGTTAGGTGGACTCACTCCCCTGTACTTAGGCAAATGTGGAACACACACACGACGAGGTGTGCAGATTTGCTCATAGGCAGGAAGTGCCTCGGGCTTCCACATGGGGACAGTGGAACCCACCTGCCACCCTACGGGGTCTTGTGCTGGGTGTATGTGTGTTTATATGTGCAACTGATTAGAAAGTGAACCTTGCTTTCAGCAAGGTCTGAAACCCAAAGAGAGAGGGAGACACAGGGAAGCAGAGGGGAAACCTGATGGGGACAGAAACCACCTCATTTTAGTTTCAAATTTTAAGTTCCAAGAGCAAAGGGGGAAATAGATTTCAAAGAAAGCACTGGGCTGGGCAAATCATATGACCGTCCCCACTGTGAAGAAACACTTGAGAAAGACACTGGAGCAATGCACCTCGGTTGAGTGTTTAAACTATTTGTGCAAGAAATTTTTCCAACCCCAACCCGATCAGTCTCATCCCATGTCACTTGGTCCCAGGCCCCCACATTCTCCATTACACCATTTCGTCCCCTCTGGCTTTTTATTCTCACCTGTCTCGGGATCGCTGAAGTCTGGCAAAGTAATTGTATTAAGCTGTCGTCTGTCAGCAATGGTTCTATCTAAGAGGCTGCTCCCACGTCCAGAATCACTGCAAAACACAGCTACAAATGTCAGTCACCTGCAAGGTGGGAGGAGGGAAGGAAAGAGAGGCAACCAATACTGACTCCTGAAGGCCAATGAATACTTTCTGTGCATTTTTTACGTTCTTCAGCATCTTTCTTATGAAGGAGGCATCCTGCTTCCTGGCTTGGCCTGGGCTGCGATTCCTTTCAGTGTTCACTATCACAAACAGGGCATAAACCACACCCACAGACCCTGGCTAATTTTGGCCTCTTTTATGTCATTAGAAGACACAAAAATGAAAACTTGAAGCTTCATTTTCCATCCACCTTACAGGGGGAAACCGACTGGCATTAGCAACCTTAGAAAGTGAAGTCTTAGCAAGTGAGTCCATGAACACGCCATCCATGAAGAGTTGTCTTCATGAACCAATGCTCCACACCTGCGCTTCTAAAACCCAGGCTGCACGGAAAAATCACCCAGGACATCTCTAAACAACAGACGCCTAGGTCCCACTGTGAACCGAACAAATCAAAACTCCTGGGCTGATCGACATTTTTCACAGCTCCTCAGATGGTTCTAAGGTGCAGCTGCTGGATTCAAGAACCCCTGACCCCCTTTTCTGAGTGTGATCACAGTCATGCACTCATTCTGGGGTCCCCAGAATGTAGGCCTTTGTGCTACATCGTGTGGTTAACTTTCCTGCTGGTGTACGAGCCCTGTCTAGTGTTCCCAAGCTGGAGAAAGCTGGCTGATAGGGACACACAGGGACTGGGAGAGAACATGGCAGGGTTTTGGTGGCAGCCTCCATACCACCACTCCTACCAGCTTCCTGCACTGCCCATCTCTACTGAGTCCCCTCTCTAGCTTGTGCCTATAAAACAGGCTTGGCACTGTTCACCCGGTAAAGCCACACGGAAACCACAGCGGGCCTAACAGGGAGAGAAACTGTTAAGGGATCTCATCTAACATGGATTTCTTTTTTAAATTCTAGGAGGCTCGTAGGTAAACACTATTGCTTTATTCCTGTATCGTGATATCCTATCAAAGCAGCTCCAAAAAGAACCACGTCTGTCTCTTGAGGTTTGAATCTTCAATGCTTTTCTTTGAATCTATTTTCTTTTCCAATCTGGGGGCTTTAAGAGTGATTTTTTGTTGTGAAGAAGTTCAGATTCTACAATAAGGAGACACAATTTCCTTCCTTTATGCAGCTGTTGCTAAAGCAGTACAAACAAGATTTGGCATGAAACTTAATACAGTTTACAGGCTGCAATTTCCACGTCCAGCGATTTCTCTAACTACATTAGAGAAATCCACAGGAAGCAGAAGAAAACTTCCTTCAGGACAGACTATTTGTCAGCCTATACTTATTACATCATCCCAGACATGTTTTTTGGAAACTGCTCTTTCAATTGTTTCCATAACTGAGAAACAATACATGTCTGTGAACAGAAGACAACATAAAAGTACATGCAAATTTTCACTCATCACAACACTGAATATTTCTGGCGCAGGTCTGTCCAGGTAGCATTTTTCACATAAATACTACTAAGTACAAATTATCTGAATATTGCAATGCCCCTCCACTTAGGAGTTTTTCAGAAGATTTATCTCAAAATACAGTGAAACGATGACATATTATTCACCACCTTGGGGATTCCAAGACACACGATGAGGTATCGGCATTGCAAAGGAAGGATTTGCCTGGGTTTCTGGTGGTCCAAATCTGAGGTTTGTTTCAGACATTCTCATCTTCCAGGCCTCTCATCTCACCATGTTTTGGTGCTGTCACTAATGAGGAGGTCACTTTGGGCAAGACAGCTTTCCCTGTGCCTCACTGACTTCCCTGATCAGATGAAGATAAGGATTGTTGTCCTACACAGAACTGTGTGAGGATGACATAAGGTCACATAGATGGAGCACTCTGAAGACTTACAACTTCTAGGTACATGCCAGGTGTGTATAAAACCACATACCTACAACACACATCTGAGGTTAATATGGCCAGCCAATTCCTATAGCCAACTTATCCCTAGGCTTCTGGTGCAATTGTAGGAGGTATGGGGAAGCTGAGTTAAAATGTTAGAAACCCCAAACAAACCATCATCTGAATTTTGAACCTCACCCCCTGACAATGGCACAGGATCCACGTTCCCTCCACCAGCTGGGAAACAGCGTTCAGTTACATCCTTAGTGTGTCTGCCTTACTTCCTTTGGAAAACAGTGTGTACGCAACAATCAACTATTCAACATAGAGATGCTTTTGTTTCCACATTCAATGTTTTCTCTCTAAAAATATTAGGGCTGGGCACAATGGTTCATGCCTGTCATCTCAGCACTTTGGGAGGCTGAGGCAGGAGGATAGCTTGAGCTCAGGAGTTCAAGATCAGCCTGGGCAACATAGCAAGACTTCATCTTTATTAAAATAAAAAAATTAGCCAGGCTTGGCGGCATGCACCTGTGACCCCAGCTATCTGAGAGGCTGAGGCAAGAGGATGGCTTGAGCCTGGGAGACAGACTGTAGTGAGCTATGATCATGCCATGGCACTCCAGCCTGGGCGACAGAGCAAGACTGTCTCAAAAAAAAAAAATTAAAAATAATTAGGTATTTGTGACCGATTGAGAATTTTACTGGATGCTTGAAGCAATTTTTAGTTCTTCATTTACATGGTATAGAGTCTTTACCAATCAAGATTTACATTTGACTCCTAGAATACAGGACAAGGGGCAAGGAGAGGCCTTGAGCAACCCTGAGTCTCCCTAACTTGCTCACTCTGGACAGTCTCTCAGGCAAGCTGGAAAGTCACCTTCCTCTCTCCCTCTGGGACACATCTGCTCAGGCACTTCTGTGAACCACCCATTTCCTCCTCATAGCCCAGTCACCTCACCTCTTCTCTGCCGGGCCCTTAGGCTGCCAGGAGCACTTCCCAAGGAGGGAGGCAGGAAGGGAGAGAAAACCATTCCTGGTGAGTGTTGTAGTAGAGCGAAAGGAAACTGGAAGGACCCCAGATCCATGGTATGTAAGCGGGAGATGCCCACATGCGTAGATGCGCACATGCAGGGACTTCTATTCCCTATTATCACTGAATTGTCATGAGAGTTAAAGTTATACCGGCTATTAGAAGCCTCTCTTGGAAATCCTCTATCTTCCACAGAGGTTAAACACGAGAGGCTTGGTGGTGGTGGGGCGGGCTTGGAGTCAGAACCCTGGAGCTCTTGTCTCAGCTGAGCCTCTTCCCAGCTCCTGGAATAGTGCCTGGCACACAGTAAATATTGCACCTAAAAGAAGGGCCTCGGCTAGGAAACCAGAACAGGGGCAGATGAGAGAGGAACTTCTGTTTTTCTCCAGGTCTCTTAGGCCTGGATGATAAGAGTCAAGGTAAGCTCCCAATATCCCGGAGCCTCAGTTGTCTCATCAGTAAAATGGGTATGAGATCACACGACCTTGGCCCATTTTATGGAGCTGCTTCAAAGATAGAATGAGGACATGCTTTATAAAAAGAAAAGCTCCACCCAAATGCTGGTGACTGTAAGGATGAAATGGGATCTCTGACTCCTAACTGAGGTTAGAGCAAAGAAATGTGAATGTGAGTATGTGTGTGTTTAAATGCTGTTTGTTGGCAAGTAACTGAAACAGGACTTTGAATCACCTGGAGATGTCACCTCATGGGTACATGATGGAGATGGGTCTAGTAGCAGTGACAAGAGGGGGAAAGAATTGGTTAACAATAAAAAATGAAAAGAAACTGGTTGTCAGCTCAAGAGAGGCAGCATGCCAGTGTGGAGAGAGCATTGATGTTAGGCCTGGGGCTGAATCACTGTTCTGCTACATATTCAATTGGAAAAACTTGGGCAAGTTATTTAGCCACTTTTAGCTTCAATTTTATTTTCTGTAAAATGGAAGTAACGGTAGCTATCTTGCAAGGCTAATGTAGGGATTGAAGATAACACATCAGTGGCCTAGTACAGTGCTGGCATGGAGAAGTTTCAATAAACGTGGTTATTACCATCCCTGGCTGAAATGCTGTGAGATTCAGTTCAGGGAGCCTGCTGGGACCTTCTGGTGAGATTCTGGTCAGAATTCACACTGTCTTGAGTGGCTGGGTCAATATGCACAAGGACTGAGGGAGCCTTACACTTCACCCAGTGACAGAAGACAAAGCATGAGACAGATTTCTATCCTAAATGCAAGCAAAACTGCAGACCGAGAGAAATAGAATCCAGGCTTCTGAAATGACAAACACCTCGCCAAATGTAAGAGAATGCCACCCACCATTTTGCTCACAGCAAGAGACGCATCTCCAACTGCAGGTGGAACACTATTTGCAAGTTTTCCAATGCTCAGTTTAGTGACTAGCTCAGTGTAATTTTTTTCCCCCTTTAAGCAAAAATCGAGAAGAGGGAACGGGTTGCTGAGAATATGAAGCTAGGGTCTATTCTCAATTTGGCCACTCACTCCCTGCTACTGCCCACGTCTTCCTCATCTTACTGCCCTGGAGGCCTGTGCAGAGCCTGGGGTGGATCTGGAAGGGGGTGGGAAGACTGGGAAACTGGCAGATAGAGCAGGGGGCCCATTACAACCCAGCATGCTCAGAAGCAAGGAAGCCGGGAAGTCAGCACAGACCAGCTCCGGGGAGAAGCCAAATGCTGTCTGCCAAAATGCTTTCTGCTCAGTTTTCATTTTATTTTAAAGAAGCCATGATTCTTAGGCGCTTGTTCATGTAGTTCCACCTTCCTCTAAAACACTGTATGCCCTGATCCCAGCCTCTAGGCTGCTGGAGCCACTGCGGCCCCACTCGGGAGTGTTGCAAGGTGTGCTGTCCCCTGAAAGACACAGCCCTTCCTTCAGGCTTTATGCTGTTGCCAGGGTCACCTCTTACCGAGCAGGCTGGCGGGGATGACTACATTTACATAATGATAAGGGCTACAGGAGAAACATTTATTTCTATCCCAGAGAAAATCAAGTTAAAAAACCAGACAGGATGCTCCTTAATAAGGGCTGCTCAATTCACCACTCCTCCCTCCAGGCTTTGCGGGGAGCCGGAGGGGGAATTCTGAGTGACCACTGGGGCCTCTACCGCCCACCCCATCCGCCAGTCCCCACCAGACACTGCCTGGAGCCAGGGTCCTCCCCACTCTGGCCCTGAAGGAACCTTCAGGAAATGGAGGAAGTATGGACACAGCCCAGGCATTTGGTTAAGTATTTTTAAAAAGCTTTCCAATTCTGCTATTTTTTTCTCCTCACATTCAATATTCTTGGTTGCTAAGTGGGAGGGAATGTGGGGAGGTGGGAGAGGTGTGGGGAACTGAGGGGAAATTGGCAACACGAAGCTGATGGGTTTATTTTTTCATTTCTAAAGGGGGTACAGGCAAAGGAAAGCGCTCCGGCGCCGAGGCAACCTGCCTGGGCAGCATCTCCTGCTAGCTGGTTCGGAGGCAGACTCCCCCAAATCCTGAAGATTTCATAGGCCAGGAGTGGGGGCTTTCAGGGGAGATAAATATGGACAGTTTCTATTTTTGCTTCCAGACTTAGAAATGTAGAATTTTAAAAAAATTAAAATGATCTTTATTTTGAGAACATATCCACAAAAGGGAAGAGGCCAGTCTCATGATTACCTTTCACCAAGCGAAGGGCGGGTGCGCCCAGCAGCACAGCGCCGCGCCGCTGTTCCTGTGCTTGGGAAGGGGACTTCCAGCTGGGGGGGAGGTGGGGGCTGGGGCTGCCTGGCGGTGGGCAGGGCAGGGGCTGGACAGCTCATGGCTTTCCAGGCAGAGCTCTCTTCCTTCCAGGTGCACTGCCCGCAGGGCCTGGGGTCACGGGTCTGTCTATCAGTTTCCAGGGGGTCCATCCCCTTAACAGGGCCCTGACTTTGAACATTTTTTTTTAACTGCAGAAACATTTGTAAAACAATCTCACAGGGAACCCCATCTCTGTTCTGCTGCCTCCGTAGCCCTCCCTCCCTGCTGGTCTCTGCAGACCACGGCCACCAGCCCACTGCCCGCCTCACCCTTCGTACTCATTTATATTTTAGGTGACATATTTTTAGGCCCCTGACTCTTAAAAGCATGATATCAGCTGACCAGACACCTTACTAGGAAAGTAAAAAATACTCTGAGTATTGGAGCAGTTGTGTGAATTCACTTGAATCATTACATCCCTTCTCATTAAATGACTTCCTTCACTTAGTAATCTAAACATATGCAAGGGAAAACTGTGCAAGACTTGGAAATGGGCAAATAGGTGGGTGTCTGTCCGTGGAATGCTGGGGGTTGACCAGCAGACCTTCCCCGGGTTATCTGACTCTAAAGGGCAGGCACCGTTGACTCACTTCCCATTGACGGAGCTACTTTACAGCTCTGTAGGGGTAGAAATTAACCCGCGGAAAACTGATAATAAAGCAAGTGAATTTTGTTTGGGGGAGAGACAACTGATGTCACCCTGCAGTAAAGAACCCCAAACGATATCTTTCATCATCTTATAGGATGTTGTTTTTGTATCTACTTGCAAATCATTTCAGCATTCCTGCCTATGAGTATCTGTTCTTCAAACTCTTCTGTGAATAGGTCTTAACATTTTCCTGGTTCCTGCATTAGTTAATAAGGTAAATAAAATCTTTGACATGTGTTTGATAGTCGTATGCATCATGATTTTAACTTTTTCACAGTGATATTTTATGCCAATAGCCACTTCTCTTCTTAGTAGCATGCGGCCTGATGTCTGTGCAGGTCTTTTAAATATTGCTGCAGGAACCCCATCTGGACCACATAAATGACTGGTCTATACATAAATTACCAGAAAGATAAGACTGGTCAAAGGAGTTAGGTAAACGGGTGTTAGAGAGAAACTGGATAGAGATCCATTGTGAACTGAGTCCAGTGGGTCACTATGGCAGTGAAAGCAAAAGAAACCCAGGATCTGGAGGCTTCATCAGCCACTGGGAAAACAGCCCCTTAAACATGGAGTGTGAAGCTCCACTGCTATCATCTGCCACTTGTGGGGGCCTGGAGGTGCACAGGGGTGACAGAGTTAATGCCTGCTAAATGCCAATCAGAGAAGGCACTGATAGGCAGGGACCCATGCAAAAGCCACGCAAAGCAGGCCCTGCTGGCCTCTTACCTGGGGTTGGTGAGGTTGTAGCAGGATTTCCATATCTGCAGCATGTGCTTACAAGTCAGCAGTGCCTCGTCCGGGCCTCGGCAGAGTGACTGCAACTTCACTTTGGAAAACAGTAGTCTGCAGTGGGGAGACAAAGGGAGAAAACACCACGGCTCAAGCCACAGAGTCCCCATCCCAGCAAGACAAGTGGTGGGCTTAGACCCAGAAGCAGCTGTACTCATTTCAGAAAGGGAACATCCACATGTGTGGTCCAAGGAAAGCGGGATTCCAGAACTCCTGGCTCAAGGTGTTGCTTTGCACAAGTCTCACCACTAACGCAAATGCAAGCACGATGTGACTATTTGTGGTCAGGCTGAAAGCATTAGAGTGGCCAATTTTATTCAGAACACAGGGAATTTATTAAAAGCATGCTTTTTAGAACCAAACCAATTTATTTGTGAAACCTCAAAAACTCATTAAAAGCGAACCTTGGTTTATTTACAGAATTACACAGGAGATTTGACTCAGTTGATATAAATATCTACAGATAACCCTCCACAATGATGCTCACCGTCGTGTGAGCTTCGAAAGCCTGAACGGAAGTCCCATGAAGAAGGGCAGCCTCCGGCATAGGCCCTCAGCTCCTGTGTCTTCCCATTCCTGCTACTGAGGGCCTAGGGCTCGTTCCGCAATCACCTAGGTCTCTCTTCTGTATTTTTGTTACCATCAACTACTCCACCCTCCATCCAGACCTTCTGGGCACTAAGCTCAGAATGTTCTCTCTTTCGTGGCCCCACAGGGTAATGCCATTTCCAGATTCTACTTATGTTTCTCTGCCGACATCAGCCTAGGTACCTGTAGACATCAGCTCTCCTGGCCCCTGGACTTGTCACCACTATCCTAGTAAAAGTCCCAGTATGAGCCCAGCTTCCTTCCTGGTGTTCTTCCTGTCCCCTGACTTACCCGCTCTCACACATCTTATTATAAAGATCTCCAAAAATCATTCTTTTCCCCAAGACGGAGTCTTGCTCTGTCACCCAGGCTAGAGTGCAGTGGCACGGTCTTGGCTCACTGCAACCTCTACCTCCTAGGTTCAAGTGATTCTCCTGCCTCAGCCTCCTGAGTAGCTGGGATTACAGGCATCCGCCACCACGTCCGGCTAATTTTTGTATTTTTAGTAGAGGTGGGGTTTCACCATGTTGGCTAGACTGGTCTTGAGCTCCTGACCTCGTGATCCTCCCAAAGTGCTGGGATTATAGGCATGAGCCACCGCTCCCAGCCCCCAAAAATCATTTTTGTTCTCACCTCGAGAAACTACAATGATCCCTTACTTATACTGTCTGTAATAATAAGTCAAAATTCTGTATCTCATCGTTTAAGGCACTCCACCAACTAGCCACTCTTCTTTCACTGTCTCATCCGATTGGACCCTTTACTTCTGCCAATGTAATTCATAGGCCAAATGCTACTTTTCTGGCACAACTCTATGGCTACACATGCCACGTCCCCAACTTCAACTTCTACTCATGCACATCTTTCTTTAATTCTTCCCAAACCCAGCCAAAACCCCACTTAAATAAGTAAGTCTTCAAGTTTTAACCCCTTATCTTCTCTACTCAGTATGTGCCATATTAGCTGGCATTTGTTGTTAATAATAAAAAGAAGAAAAAGAGAGGGAGGAGCTCCTGCTGACCGAAGGCATCCCACGTGCCAGGCCTTGTGTTTGGCACTTCACACGCTGTCAATGTCCTTGGAAGAAGCTGTCAAGGCAGGTGGTGTCTAACACTCTTCAACAGATATGGAAACTGAAGCTCTGGTGCCCTTTGGTTGTTTTCTGGATGTGATTTTCTTCCTGAGGACAAGAGCCCTGACATCTCTCTCTGCCTCTCTGTAGCCTCACCTCCAGTTCCAAGAATTGTGCTCTGAGTTTGATGGGCCTTAAATCAGCATTTACTCACTGACTACTTTTTCTATAAAGCAAGGCATTTTAGAGATTTCAGCTGGACATCCAGGAGAATTCCTTCACCCTGCATGATGTGATGTCCTCATTCAAAGGTACCTTAGAGGAGGAAAGTCTCTTTTTCATGTGTGAGAGGTGGAATGAAAGTGGTCCTAACCCATCACTGCCCAAGCTCAGGATGGGTTCACACCAAGCGCCCCCAGCGACCCCTCCAAATGGAACATAGGAAGTCCAGGGCGGTGCGGTGCTCCCAGTGGGGCCACGGCTGCAGCCTCCCCATGCCTGGGCTTGCAGAAGCCTGGAATGATGGGACGAGGGCCAGGTAAAGGGAGGAATGTAGTCTCTGATCTACAAGCAGATGAGCATAAAGAGCGAGGCTAGATGTGAGAATAGGGCTCAGCTTCTGCTCAAAAACATCCCAAGAAGCGGAAATGCTTTGGAAGCCTTACCAAGACTGCCTAAATGGGATGGCAGCCGCTCAGGGTGCCTCTGTGGGGATTAAAGACACCAGAAGCTGGCTCCTGCTGAAGCCTGCCCGAGTCCAGAACAAGATGGGAGTACTTTTCCACCAGAATCTCTCACCAAACAGGGGTCAACTGGGAGAGTTGACAAAGGAAGGAGAAGCTGCCAAACAGGTCACCATTGGGTAGAGAGGGTGGTAAGGCATGAGTGCCAAGCAATTGCGGCAAGGGGAGGCCCCATGGAGGACTGTGGGGGGTCCAGGAAGCCGTGCACGTGCTGCACAGGCTGGAGCTCTCTGGGGGCCATGCCAAGAACTCCCCTCCAATGGCGCCTGCCCCCAGAGGAGGTGCCTGCCCCACAGCGGGCAGTGGGGTGCCTCTAATAGCAATGAACTGTGGTTCCTTTAACTGTACCCAAAGGACAGAATGCCAGAGTGCGTCTCTAAGCCTCAGCTTGGGGGAACAGTTTTGAGCAAGCCTTCTTGGCTGGAAAAAGAACTTCTAATTAACATAAAATAACAGCTTTCAAACACTTGACTCAGGATATGGAATTGAAAAGGTGTGGGCTTGCATTTCAGAGAACCAGACAGGAAGAACAATGGTAGAGTGGCTGAGCACAAACGATGGAAAAAAGCACTTGGAAGACCTCTCAAGAGGAACAGCATGAGAGAGGCTGGCAGAGAAAAGGAGCCAGGGACACAGCAGGGACAAAGAGGAAAGCCTGACAGCTGCTGCCTAGGTACGGCTGGGATGATGGGGCAGAGGCCACATGGGTTTGGCTGGGATGATGGGCAGAGGCCACACGGGTTCGGCTGGGACGATAGGCAGAAGCCACATGGGTTCGGCTGGGACGATAGGCAGAGGCCACGTGGGTATGGCTGGGACGATGGGCAGAAGCCACGCAGGTAGGCCACGTGGGTATAGCCAGAATGTTGAGCAGAGGCCACGGGGTACAGCCGGGACGATAGGCAGAGGCCACGCGGGTACAGCCGGGACGATGGGCAGAGGCCACGCGGGTACGGCCGGGACGATGGGCAGAGGCCACGCGGGTACGGCCGGGACGATGGGCAGAGGCCACGTGGGTACAGCCGGGATGATGGGCAGAAGCCACGTGGGTACGGCCGGGACAAGTGGCAGAAGCCATGCGGGTATGGCTGGAATTATAGGCAGAAGCCACGTGGGTACGGCTGGGATGATGGGCAGAAGCCACGTGGGTACGGCTGGGACAAGTGGCAGAAGCCATGCGAGTATGGCCGGAATGATAGGCAGAAGCCACACAGGTTCAGCTGGGACAATGGGCAGAAGCCACACAATTGTAGGCAGTACAATGGGCAGAAACACCTGCCCTGCCCGTCGCCAACACTCCTTGGGATGCCCAAGGGAAAGCAGGAACAGAGCGTGCTGCCTTTCCATCATTTCCTCAAACCTCAGCTTGTTTACAAGATACAAAACAATACTGAAAACAAGCAGTGATGCTCGTCA
The DNA here is from genome assembly GCF_000001405.40 of Homo sapiens. Lineage (NCBI taxonomy): Eukaryota > Metazoa > Chordata > Mammalia > Primates > Hominidae > Homo > Homo sapiens. The sequence goes on from NC_000014.9 coordinate 90,621,811, forward strand.
TCCTATTTGCTGAACCTGCTTACACACTTCAAGACTGTTCAAAAACATCTGGCTGGGTGTATGTTACATTAGCACAGAAACGAAGAGTACACAAACAATGATCAGCATTCATTTGCTACAGCTGATACCAAAAAGATATAGATTCGATGTGCTGAGGAAACCCTGAGGCAAAAAGAAAATTATGGAAAAACTTGGGAAAAGTTAACATTTAATACATTTCAATATGTCTAACTGTCAACACGATGAAGAGGGCAGAGGAGATGCAGGTGAGACTGTAAGCTAGCCACACAAAGTTCATGATTCTAATTTTTTTTTTTTTTTTTTTGAGACAGAGTCCCACTCTGTTGCCCAGGCTGGAGTGCGGTGGTGTGATCTTGGCTCACTGTCAACCTCCGCCTCCCAGGTTCAAGCAATTCTCCTGCCTCAGCCTCCCAAATAGCTGGGACCACAGGTGCATGCCACCACACTTGGCCAATTTTTGTATTTTTAGTAAAGACAGGGTTTCACCATGTTGGGCAGGCTGGCCTTGAACTCCTGACCTCAAGTGATCTACCTGCCTCGGCCTCCTGAAGTGCTGGGATTACAGGCATGAGCCACCGTGCCCAGCCATGAATCTAATTTAAAAAATTTATATATTAGCCAGGCATGGTGGCTTAAGCCTGTAATCCCAGCACTTTGGGAGCTGAGGTGGGTAGATCGCTTGAGCTCACAAGTTCAAGACCAGCCTGGGCAACATGGTGAAACCCTGTCTCTACAAAAAAATATAAAAATTAACCAGTTGTGGTAGCGTGCACCTGTAATCCCAGCTACTCGGGAGGCTGAGGTGGAAGGATTGCTTGAGTCCTAGAGGTCAAGGCTGCAGTGAGCTGAGATCATGCCACTACACCACTCTAGCCTGGGTGAAAGAGTGAGACCCTGCCCCCACTTCCCCCCAAAAGAATTATTTTGTTCACAGACTCATTAAAAACTTACAGAAAATTAATGAAGAAAAGAAGAACCTTGCTAAAATACCAATCTAACTCCATTACTGATGACCCAAATCTAGCATTTCATACAATGCCTTTGCGGTCTGGCTCCTGTCCACCCACATGCTTAGCTACCAAAGGATTTGTCCATTGCCCATCACCTACGCCCCCACTCGAGCCGTGGTCAGCTTCCCCCATGTGTCACTCTCCTCCATGACCCTGGGTGTTTGCACATGCTGTTCCCTCTGTTTGGAATATTCTTTCCATCCATTTCTGCCTTTTAAGCACCTACTCATCCTTCAAGATTCAGGTCAAATAGCAACTCCTCACTGAAGCCAGCCTTAAGTAATAGGAGTTAAACCTTCCAAATGGAAACATAATTATAAAAAACACGAGAGCTCACAACTGTGAAATCATAAGCTACAAGCCAGGAAACTTCTGCTTTGAAGACAAGCAAAATAATAACAATAATAACAGCAGCTGCCAGACACTTTAAATATTTAATTCCAGATTCTTAACGACAACCCTGCAAATGAGGCTGAGTTAAGTAATTTGCCCAAATTAACACCACTAGTTATTGGTAGAATGGAAATGTAAACCCAAATCCATGTGAATAAGAAACAGAGAAGGATGATTGAAAATCCCACCATACTACTGGCACTAATGAAGATAGCGGCACTAAAGAAGATCCATTGCCAAATATTTAAAACTCCAAAATGTGCAAAGCTCTGTGCTGGCTATGTTTAATACAAAGTGGTATAAAATACAGTCCCTTGCTTACAAAAAATTTACAATCCAATTGGAGAAAAAGACTTGACCACTACTATTGGGCAGGATTTCTAGTTTTGGGCCAGATGATGGCCCTGAAACTTGAGTAGGGCTGCAGGTGAGCAGGCGTTTGGGCTACCAGGGTGTTGCTCCTGGGATCTTTCATATACAGTTCTTTAAAGAACAATCACATTTGGCTGGGCGCTGTGGCTCACGCCTGTTGTCCCAGCACCTTGGGAGGCCAAGGCAGGCAGATCACTTGAGGTCAGGTGTTTGAGACCATCCTGACCAACATGGTGAAACCCCGTCTCTACTAAGAATACAAAAATTAGCCAGACGTAGTGGCACACATCTGTAGTACCAGCTACTCAGGAGGCTGAGGCAGAAGAATTGTTTGGACCCAGGAGGCGGAGGTTGCAGTGAACCAAGATGGCGCCACTGCACTCCAGCCTGAGCGACAGAGACAGACTCTGTCTCAAACAACAAAACAAAAACAAAACAAAACAAAACCCATGAGTGTGCCTGTATGCATATGCGTGTGCGTGTATATGTGTGCATGTGTGTGTGCGCGTGCGCGTGTGTGTGTTTTGTGACTTGTCTTTCATCTAAAAGTCTGGTGCACATAAAATCTGGTTTTTTGAAGGACCTCGTTAATCAAAGTTTTACTTTTCATTAAAACAAATAGAAATACTATTTTACTGTACTTCTGGAATATTTTAAGAATCTCAAGATAACTCTTGAAATAACAACTATGTTTGGATAGGGCAGGGCTTAGAAAGAAGACACAACTGCCCCTGGGGAAGCTCTGGGGCACGCGGCATTGTGACTGTCCAGTGTTCACCTCAGGAAATGAGTCAGAGCGGCACTTGTCAGGGCCATGCTCGGTGTCTCATGCCATTCCCCAGGAAGACTTCGCTGACTCGCTGGAAACTGCTCCCAACCACTGGACATGCACCTCTAGTACCTCACACCCTAGTTTAGTTTTAGCCTTGGCCCCACCCCAGTGAGTCCCAGACTTGGGCAGGGGCCAAAGATAGAGTGAAAAGGGCAGATATTTCTGAATTCTGAGCCGTCCGAAGAACTCTCGATGAAAATAAGTTAGAGAAGTTCAGAGAAATACTAAAGTAATAATTCCCTCCCATCTTCTGTGTCAGTATAAAAAATGTGCTGATTATATCAAGGAAGAAACACACATATTAATACACAAAACCTTCACTAATTAGGTGATCCGTGAATGCTGCAGTCTTAGTAACTGCTTTAGAGGTAACATCACGGGAACCTTGAACATTTCGTATCTTGTGCTGATCTGTGTTTGCGAGCTCCTGGGCTCTGCATGCCAGGGACCTGCTCTTTCTTTGTTTATCTACTGAATGCAGGCAGGAATGCAAAATGGCTGTGCAGAAAAGCATGCGGGATCTGCCCAAGCGGGGCAGCGGCTGAGGGGGCCCTGGATACCTTCCCCATCTCTTGCTGCCTCCTGTCCAGATCGGGGGAGCTGGAGTGAGGCTGGCTGTCAAATATCCGAAGGAAAGTGAGCATCTGTCACCAGGTAAGAGAAATAATGGATCAGGCTGAAGGGGGCAGGGGGCAAGTATGTTGAAATTTTAACTTGAGAAGGCTGTTTGGCAACTGGCCAATCAGAATGGTAAGAGAAGTCAAAAGAGATGTGCCAGTAGCATGTCGTGACCGGGAGAAGGCAGATGGGAATGTGAAACCAGAGAACTCGGCTGGGAACAGAGAGTCTGAGATCAGCCCAGTGCTGCCCAAGGAGAGGGATGTCATCGAATCCATCGACCCAGGCCCTCAGCAGGGAGGAGGGATTCCTTTCAGGTTCCCATGTGGCTGGAAGGAAACTGATCGCAATTCATTTTCACCACCATTTCTGAGGGCCCACCGTATGCTGCTCTTGGAGCCACTGCTCTCCTGGCTGGGTTTCCAAAGCACCCCAATCTCAGAAGGTGTTATATCTCTGCAAACAGCAGCCTCTGGTCCCAGGCTGAGTCACTGTCACTGAAAATCAATACCGTCACTGGCCCGACCTCCGCCAGGTGAGCCTATGATGCTGGGATGACAGCTGTGCACGTCCTGGAGCTGGGAGGCCTCAAATCACCCCGAGGCCCCTCTGGCAACAGCTGGAAGGGATGAGAAAGGATGGAACAGGTCATGTGACCATTCCCACTAGATACCAAATACTGCATGGGGCCTCCCAAAATGCACATCCTCAATAATGTCACGTGAATAATCGAATTCCTCAACGGTTACACAGGAAATAAACAATTCTTAGATCATCTGGCTTACCCAATTGCTGCATTGATGTGCTATTCATTGGGGTTCATTAGAAAACATATAGATGTTTCCAATTAACCCAAAGCTGGAAAAGGCCTTGAGGTCAAATAATACTTTGCTACTCAGAGTGTGTCCAGGGCAGGCAGCCTCAGAATCCCCTGGGAGCTTGCAAGAAATAGAAGAATCTCCAGGTTCTCCACTCACCTTAGACTTACTGAGTCAGAATCTGCATGTAACCAGATCACAAGGGGATTCATGCGCAAATTTAACGTCAAGAAGCACCGCTCTCATTCATAACTCTCCATCCTAACCTGCCATGGTCTGATTTTAAAAAGAAAAAAGACTTCCCAGGGAAGAGTTCTCACAGTCCCTGCACTTAGGAAATTCTGTGCTCATTTCATTCCAATAAGAACTGGGGGAGCATGTCTTGGAAGACATTTTTCAGGATGTATTTTGTTCTTAAATTCAGTGAGAATTCTGAACAACCATTTACATTAAGCCCCCAAAGGAAGGCCACCCCTGCCCGTGTCTTGAACAGAATGCTTCCTTCCTTCTGAAGGGATCCCCTGGATCACATTCTGAAGGTGCTCTAGCCCTGCCCGGGTCCTCCACACATCTCCAGTGAAGGAGCTGGGGAGTCCACAATGTACCCACTGAGGGGGTACCATTCATACTGTCACCCCCATAAAGGGCACCTGCTTGAGTCTGCAGAGCACTGAGTAACCATCCCTCTCCCATTGTGGGTTCCCCAGGGGCTGAGAACTCAAATGTCTTCCAAAACAGGCAAGTGCGATGACCAGAAGTTCAGCAAATTCAAACTTTTTTGAAACGTGCACTGGCCTGACACAACCCTGCTAGCAGATGCCAGCTTATGGGCTGCCAGCTGGAAACCGTGTCTATATGCTTTTCATCCATCAAACCTGAGTACCTGGTTTCTGTTACAAAACCCCAACCACATGCCAGCCCCGGTCAGTCCAGTCTGCCAACAGAACCAGTGACGGGGGGTTTAAAGAGCATGGATGACTCCTCTCCTAAGCGCGTCTTCTCTAGGAATGAAGCCCTGGCAAATCACTGGCCTGGGGAGCTTTTTGGCAAACTTCTGTCTGGGAGTTATTTAACCACCAAGGAAGTTCTAGAAACTTAACCACTTTTATTTATCTTGTTTTGTTTTGCTTGAGACAGGGTTTTGCTCTGTTGCCCAGGCTAAAGTGCAGTGGCTCGAGGGTCAAGACCCTCGACCTTCCAGGGCTTAAGAGATCCTCCCGTCTCAGCCTCCTGAGTGGCAGGGACTGCAGGCATGCGTCACCATGACTGGCTAATTAAAAAAAATTTTTTAGTAGATATGGGGGTCTCATTATGTTGCCCAGCCTGTTCTTGAACTCCCGGGCTCAAGAGATCCTCCTACCTCGGCCTCCCAAATTGCTGGGATTACAGGTGTGAGCCACTGCACCTGGCCCATGTGAACACATTTAATGTCTCCAGCTGCTGGAGAAGGGGTCGCAGCACACAAGGCTGGCACATCCGGGACACTCACAGGGCGTTCCTGCCACTCCAGTCTCACCCATCAGTGTGAGCGCAAGGCTGCATCATCCTAACCTAGACTCCCAGATCCACTGTCCTGGAAAAATCCAGGCCACATCTATTTAGCAAAATGAAGTTTCTCAGGGCCAAAGTATGATGAGGAGATACCTCGTTCTTCAGAACTTAGCAGCCCTTATCTTAGCTGGGAGGCTGTGGTGAGTGGCAGCGCTAGGGCCTGGGCCGTGGCCGTCCCGGGTGGTTTGGCTGCGCCTCTTGGTGTCCTAATCCTCCCTCTTCTTTATGACAGGCAGGAGCTCCTGTTAGAGCTCATATCAGTTACATTTTGCTTCTCATTTCAGTCAAAGTGTCAACAATCTGGAATACTCCCCCATCCTTCTAGCGGTATTTTTAGCACGAACAAACAACTGACATAGTTAGCTGGAATAAATCACCTCAAGAAACCCCAGTTTGGCTCATTTTTTGCTCCCACGTCAGCTATTAATCTCCACTCAGATTGGCATCCAGGAGCCGGCACCTAAGCTGGAGATGACCTGGTCAGGTGCAACTGAAAACACCTCTTGAACCTTACTGCCCGTGTTCCAAAGACCTCTCCAGTTCCTGTGAGTGACATTATAATGAAGGGAGCCATTTCATATAATGCCATCCGTGAAGCCAGAGAGTCTACACAGCCAGGGCTATTCCCGAAGGCTACCTGAGCGCATGGTGTTAGGGCTGGGGGCCTGCAAAGCAAGTGAGGGGCCCAAAACCCGCCCCCAGATTTGGAAAATGAATTGAACAAGTGCCTCTGGAACAGGAAGTGTCAAATAGCCATCTGCTAAGTACATACGTGAACAGGACATGTTTGAAAGCAAGTCTTCCTGTCAGACTACTCTGGCTCCTAAAATAAATACACTGTTCTCTCTGAACTGTGAAGCTTTTTGGTAATTTCTGACATTTGGGAAGCAAGTCCCGGGCCTCTTCTGTTCTGCCACCCTTCCTCTCCTAGAGGACCTTCTCTCTGGAGGATCTCTCGGTCTTTATTTCTGGCTGAGCCCCCAAGGCCCTGATTTCTCCACATGACCCAGTTTGAGGAGGGGAGCACAGTGAAGAAATGAGACATTGGGACCCAGTTCAGCAGACAACGGCAGATGCCAGAAGAATGGGAATCCCACCACCTAGACCTAGAAGGGGAAGGGCCTGGGCCACAGTGTGATATGGACTTGATCCATGAAGCTCTGTGATATAGAAATGGCGCCTTCTGCACAGTCAGGAGGGAACTAGGAAGGAAGGGGCCTGGCAGGGCACTGGGAAGCTCAAGCGGCTCTCCAGGACCAGAGGTGGATGATGTGTCTCTCTGGGCTCCAGGGCCACATGGGACCGCGCATCCTTGCATCAATCAGCTGCTCCTGTGAATCCTGGCCTGTTTTACATTTCCTGCCTTCTCTGCCTTCATTTCCTGTGTGTTTCCATGAGGGGCTGTTTGGTTTCGCATGGCTTGATTCCACTGTGCCAAGGGACACTGAAGGCAGCACTTTTGTCCATGCCTGGCCTAGAGCTCAGAAACAGACAGCCCTCCTCCCTGAAGGTGAGCGATTCTTCGGAGGCATAGCACGCTCCAGCGTGATTCTGCCTCCACATCTCACTGTGTGCTGCGTGAAGACTGGGATGGTGCCATCTCCGGCCTTGGCCCTCCTGAGCCTGGCACCATGCCTGGCTGAAAGCAGGCGCTCTCTACCCATGAACTGGGGGAGGTGTTCAAAGGACAGTGAATCTGATCATCTGAAGGTGGCTTATCAATTCTCCCCAGTTGTTTTCAGCTCAGGATCCCCACAAGAATACTTATAGGATAAATTTGGAGATTCTCTCATTTCTCTTCCCTGTTCTCAGGTTCCTTTTTTTTTCTTTTTTTTTAAATAGTAAACTTTCCTTACTTTAAAATGCAACCATTACAAATGAACTAGAATTCAATTGTGTTTGGAATATCTGATTTTTTTTCACAGCTGGCTGGGTAACCAGCAAGCACCTTATACCGCCCATTTGCAGAAAGTATGGCCATCATTTTATCAGACAGTGAAACTTGGCAGAGTAGAAATCAAAATGGATAACAGATGAAACACAGGCAGACACAAGCTTAGCTATGAACGAAGAGCTACCAGGCTACTCTGCACGGACAAAGTTTCAAGCATGCATTGCACAGACAGGTATTAATGTTTGTAGCAGGCAGCCCGGGGCCAGGTGCTGGGGAGCCAGAGGTTTCCAGGAAACACCTGCAAGAAGTCTCAAGAGGACACTCCCATACTCTGAATTGTTGAATGAGATATGGGGAGAACTTGGAGATCTTGGAAAGAAAAGCACAAAAATAAATAAACCTTCTGGATGCCATGACTCGCGGGGAGTGGCTTTGGTGTGGGCCTCACCATGGTGCCCCTCCTGGCCCAGCCTCGCCTCTCCCAGCTGCTCGGCTTTCTGAGCCCCCGGCGGTCAGCCAGTGCTCTCTCCTGTGGCTGACAGGGAGGCTGGGATGCCCTGAAGGCTGGTTCTCCAGCATCTTTGGAAAAAAAACTAGAAAAGGGAACTTCCCTGGAAAGGAAGCAGAATATCCCATGAGGATTTAAACTGGGGGACACCAGTCATATGCAAGCCTAGTACTGGTTGTGAAAATGGGGGGAGGGGTTTGGGCCAGCACCACTCCTAATCTCAGGACATGGCTGTCTCCAACCCCGGAGAAAGGAGGATCCTCTCATAAACAAACGTGGCTTCAAATACATTTTCCTGCCATTTCCCCTCTTCCAGTTCTTCTACTTTTGCCTCATAAACCAAATCTTCAGTTTCCAGACAATTTTTCATTGCATTTGGGGGATTTTGTCCCTCTTGACAAGCATCTATGTTTAGTGAAGGCAACAGCACAGAGCCAAAGCCTCACAGAAAGAGGACATCCATGCGCGTGGGGTGCTGGGAGGCTGCTTCCGTGGCTCAGCAAGTCCATCCCAGAAGAACATTGGCTCCGTGATGCAGAGCCGGAGAATCTCAAGAGCAGAAGGGTCCCTTGTCATCTACGAATGCTGGAAACCCTCCTGCAGCCACACATGTTAACAAAGGGAGCTCAGAAAGTTTCGTTTCTTTAAAATGTAGTAAAATATACGTAACATAAAATTTGCTAATGAGCTATTTTTAAGCGTACAGTTTAGTGGCATTGTGTACATTCACACTGTTGTGCAACCATCACCAGCCTCCATTTCCAGTACTCTATTCGTGTTGCAAAACTGAAACCGCACCCACTGAACAATAGCTTCCCATTCCCCCTCCCAGCCCTGGCAACCACCATTCTACTTTCTGTCTCTATGAGTTTGACTACTCCACGTACCTCATATGAGTAGAGTCACACATTATTTGTCCTTTTGTGACTGGCTTATTGCACTTAGCATAATGTCCTCAATTTTCATCTATGTTGGTACATCCATCAGAATGTCCTTCTATCTTGTTTTTTGTTTTTTTTTTTTTTGAGATGGAGTCTCACTCTATTGCCCAGGCTGGAGTGCAGTGGCATGATCTCGGCTCACTGCAAGCTCTGCCTCCTGGCTTCACGCCATTCTCCTGCCTCAGCCTCCCGAGTAGCTGGGATTACAGGCGCCTGCCACCACGCCCAGCTAATTTTTTGTATTTTTAGTAGAGACGGGGTTTCACTGTGTTAGCTAGGATGGTCTCGATCTCCTGACCTTGTGATCTGCCTGCCTTGGCCTCCCAAAGTGTTGGGATTACAGGCGTGAGCCACTGCACCCAGCCATGTCCTTCCTTCTTAAGGCTGAATAAAATATTCCATTATATGTGTAAACCTCATTTTGTTTAACCATTCATTCATTGATAGGCACTTGGCTTGTTCCCACCTTTTGGCTATTGAGAATTATGCTGCTGTGAACACGGGTGTATAGATCTGTTCAAGTCCCTGTTTTCAATTCTTTTGGGCAGACACCCAGAAGTGGGACTGCTGGATCACATGATAATTCTATTTTTAATGTTTTGAGGAACCACCATACTGTTTTCCATAGCGTCTGCACCAATTTTTTTTTTTTTTTTTTGAGACAGATTCTCGCTCTGTCACCCAGGCTGGAGTACAGTGGCATGGTCTCAACTCACTGAAACCTCCGCCTCCCAGGTTCAAGCGATTCTTCTGCCTTAGCCACCCGAGAAGCTGAGACTACAGGCACATGTTACCACACCCGGCTAATTTTTTATTTTTAGTAGAGACGGGGTTTCACTTTGTTGGCCAAGCTGGTCTCGAACTCCTGACTTTGTGATCTGCCCATCTCAGCCTCCCAAAGTGCTGGGATTACAGGCATGAGCCACCCTGCCCAGCCTGAGTCTGCACCATTTTATATTCCCACTAGCAATGCACAAGGGTTCCTATTTCTCTACATCCTTGTCAACACTTGTGACTTTGTTTTTTTGATAAAATCCATCCTACTGGGTATGAAGTGGTATCTCATTGTGGTTTTGATTTGCATTTCCCTAATGGTTAGTGATGTAGAGACTCTTTTCATGTGCTTATTGGCTATTTGTATATCTTCTTTGGAGAAACATCTATGCAACTCCTTTCCTTTGCCCATTTCCTAAAGGGGATGGGGTTTTGTTTCGTTTTGTTAGGGTTGTGGAAAGTTGATTTTAAATAAGCTACTGCACCACTAAGTCCCACTCCATTGTGACCCCTGTTGTCTTCCAGGCTGCCACCAACTCGCCTGTGTCCAAAGGCCTCCCTCCCTACTGGTATCCCTGGGGTGGTTACTGTGTGCTCACTCCTTCCAGACATCCTTCAGGTATCAGTGGATCATTTCTCTAGTTTAATGAGATGAACAGCCTCTTTCCTTGTGGTCTAACTTCTTATCAAATGCTAATTTAGTGGGCATGTTCATTGCTTCATCACTCAGCTCAGGCAAAAAATTTGCCCACAACCCCTGGTCAATTTAAATCACCAAAATTGTTTTAATCACTAAATCAAAACATTATTCAATATGATGTTTCAACTTAAACTGAACTTCTCTGAGAGTATGTGTGTGTGTGCCCGAGTGAAAAAGAAACATTAGTCTCACTTGCCAAGTAATGATTTAAAAAAAAATTATATGTATACTCCACTCAAGTAAAGAATGATTATAACTATGTTTCCTAGTTTTTTGATTCCAGGTTAACAGGGGAGATAGCATAAAACTCCTGCTCATCTGGGTTATAAGCTCTAATGGAGCAGAAACTGACTTGTTCACAGCAGTAATCCCCAACATCTAGCATGGCCCCTGGCATGTGGTAGAAACTCAATGCTTCAAAGTCAGTTCGTGGTTACGAGCACAGATGGCGAGGCCAGATTGCCTGGGTTGAAATCATGGCTCTGCCTTTTTCCAGGTGTATAATCTTGGACAAATTACTTAAATTCTCTGTGCCTCAGTTTCCTTATCTACAAAATGAAAATAATAACAAAACTACCCACCATAGATAGTTCTTGCAAGGATTAGTTAAAAATGTGTAAAGTGTTATTAAGAGTGCCTGTCACAATGCGGGGTATAAACATTAGTGGTTACTAATGCTGAAAGAATGACTGATTAAATGAATGAATGTTATATATGTTCACTTCTTCCCATACAGTTAGTTTCCACTGATGTAAAAAGAAATGTGACTGTCTGATAAAATCTGTGTTGACATGTATAAGAGCTGAGGCCACGGACAGAAGTGTTCTAGAAGACCTCTGTGCCTCCAATCAGGTGACTGAGGGTGTGTCTCAATATCATCTGATGTCTTATAGTTATGGGTCAGAGAAAACACTTCAAACACTTGTGCATACAGCATCATGATCACATACTTATATTAGTAATCTTGAGAGGTTTGCTTTGTGGTGACATCTGATGTTTTCTTAAGTGTGCTATTGATTTGATAACCTCTCTGGGAGCACATGAATAGGAGTGAGTATATGTTCTATTTAAATAGGAAACAATAAAAATTCAAATCAATTAAAAATCTATGGAAGAATTGCATAACCACAATTGTCTCAGGGCAAGAAAGTTAAATTCTGGCAGTGGCTTTCCTTAGCGGCCATTGTAAGGCTTGCTGAATGAGAATGCAACCTTTCAGTAACACTGAAGTTCTTAAATCCCACCATAAAAGTATGATACTATCTAATATATATTCCAAAGACAAAAAACAACAAACTGTCAGTTCTTAACCTGATATTTTTTTCTACAAATGAATTTCAACAGCAGAAACACAGTCTGAGGGCCTGATCAAAGCTCTCGACCAACAGTGCCTCATTGCCATTGGGAGAGACAATTATGTACTCCAAATATCACCTGTTACCTTCTACCTTTTTGGGCCAATGAGGAAAATTACTAAGTAAAATGTATTAATGAAGGGAAATTTCTACAAAGCTGTACTGCAAAAGATGAAAAATCAGGGCTCTTGTGGCAAATTTAATAGATAGTGAAACCACTGAATCCATCGGAATTCATGAACACCTTTCAGTATAAAAATGTGTACTTTGTTAATTTTTTTTTTTTTCGGGAGTGGGGACGGAGTCTTGCTCTGTGACCCAGGCTGGAGTGCAGTGGCGCGGTCTCAGCTCATTGCAACCTCCGCCTCCCAGGTTCAAGTGATTCTCCTGCTTCAGCTACTCCCGAGTAGCTGGGATTACAGGCATGCACCAACATGCCTGGATAATTTTTGTATTTTTAGCAGACAAGGGGTTTTGCCATGTTGTTCAGGCTGGTCTTAAACTCCTGACCTCAGGTGATCCACCTGCCTCGGCCTCCCAAAGTGCTGGGACTATAGGCATGAGCCACCGCGCCTGGCCCATTGTTAATTTTTCCCAAACTTACAGTGTGTCGAGATAATTATTACATAATCAGTTAACATTAACTTTTCATCCTTTTGTTTAGATATTTAATAGTTCAGGGGTTTAAAAAATAATTTTTCAACAAAAAGAAGGCAGATTAAGAGGAGCAACAAAACGACAAGACACATGAAAATGGCAGATGTGAATCCAGCCATAGCATTAATTATATTAAATGTGAATGGACCAAACACTTGAGACAGAAGGCAGAGGTTATCAGACTAAGTAAAAAAAAAAAGACCTATCTGCTATTTATTATATAAGAAGAGAGGGAGGCCGGGTGGGGTGGGTCAGGCCTGTAATCCCAGTATTGTGGGAGGCTGTGGCGGGTGAATCACCTGAGGTCAGGAGTTCAAGACCAGCCCGGCCAACATGGCAAAACCCCGTCTATACTAAAAATACAAAAATTAGCCAGGTGTGGTGACATGTGCCTGTAGTCCCACCTACTCGGGCGGTCGAGGCACAAGAATCGCTTGAACCCGAGAGGCAGAGGTTGCAGTGAGCTGAGATCATGCCACTGCACACCAGCCTGGGAGACAGAACAAGACTGTCTCAAAAAAACAAAACAAAACAAAAAAGAAGAGAAGTAATATATGAAGAAAGAATAGCTGGGAACTTCTTGGAAATGATAAATAATACAAACAATACCAATACAGTTTTAAACAGCCCAGTGAATACTGAACAGGATTCACCCCTAGATGTGTCATAGCAAAAGTGTACAATAGCAGTAACAACAGCAATTATAAGCAGCCAGAGAGAAAAGACAGAGGACGTTAAAATGAACTACAAGTAAACAAATAGTTGACTTCTTAACAACTACAAAAGGAGCAAGATCACTTGTGCTCCTTTTGTCATTGAGGAGTCAACTATTTGTGAGAAAATGTTTGAGCCTAGAATTGTACATCCAATTTGAAAAACTTCTTTGGACAGCAATGCCAAGTACACTTTTAGATACAGTCTAAGAAAGTCTGCCAGCAATAGACCCTCACTAAAATTTCTTGGGTAATCACTAAAGAAGAAGAGCTAAAAGAGAATGTTTCTTTTCCATATTAGCAGAGAAAAAATGTATCATAAAAATATAATCGATCTAAAAGAAAGCAGAAAAGGAGAGGATACGATATGGAACAAGAGGCAAGTCAAATAGAAAGCATAAATAGCATGGTAGACACAAATATAAATATGTCAGTATTTACAATAAATAGAAATGAACTAAATATTCCAGATACCATAAGCCTGGGTTTTAAAAAATTATCAGTATATATAGGCCGGGCGCAGTGGTTCACGCCTGTAATCCCAGCACTTTGGGAGGCCGAGGTGGGAGGATCATGAGATCAGGAGATCGAGACCATCCTGGCTAACACAGTGAAACCCCATCTCTACTAAAAATACAAAAAATTAGCCAGGTATGGTGGTGGACACCTGTAGTCCCAGCTACTTGGGAGGCTGAGGCAGGAGGATGGCGTGAACCCAGGAGGCAGAGCTTTCAGTGAGCCGAGATTGCGCCACTGCACTCCAGCCTGGGCGACAGAGTCAGACTCTGTCTCAAAAAAAAAAAAAAAAAATTATCTATATATAATAAGCAGAAGAGTACATCCAAAACGTATTTTAAAAATTCAAAAAGTGGCCGAGTGCGGTGGCTCACGTCTGTAATCCCAGCACTTTGGGAGGCCGAGGCAGGCAGATCTCTTGAGGTCAGGAGTTCGAGACCAGCCTGGCCAACATGGTGAAACCCCGTCTCTACTAAAAAATACAAAAATTAGCTGGGTGTGGTGGTGCGCACCTGTAATCCCAAGTACTCAGGAGGCTGAGGCAGGAGACTCACTTGAACCCAGGAGGCAGAGGTTGCAGTGAGCTGAGATTGTGCCTCTGCACTACAGCCTGGGCAACAGAGTGAGACTCCATCTCAAAAAAAAAAAAAAAGTTCAAAAAGAATGGAAAATGATAGTCCAAGTCTATATATGTGTATATGTATACATGTGTGTATACTCACACACATGCACACACATATATGTACAGATATATGGCTACACATATATATGTATGTGGCCATATGTATATCATACAAAATAGACTTTGAAGCAAAATGCCTTGTATCTTACAACATAATCATAAAAGGTTGAATGTACCATAATACACAGCAACTCTAAATTTATATGCAACTAATAGCACAGCTTTAAAATATAGAAAGGAAAAACTGCTATAACGATGTGGTAAAAAAAAAAAAAAAAAAAAGCCAATCCGCCATCCCAGTGGTAGATTTCAACATACCTCCTCTCAACAAATGATAAAGTAGAAAAAACCTCTATAAAAACAAAAAAGCTCTGATAGCATAATTAACAACTCAAACTAATAAAACATATAAAAATTTCCTCAACAAATGCAGAAAACATTCTTTTCAGGCACACATGGAATATTTACAAGAAGTAACCACTGGGCCACAAAATAAGTTCGACCAATTTCAAATGTATATATAGTCTTTAAACATAATTTAATGAAGTTAAAAGCTCATAACAAAAGATAAGTTGAAAAAACTCATATTTGACAATTGTAAAACACAGTTCAAAGACAACTAATGGATCAAAAAGAAAATAACAGAAATTTCAAAATATTTAGAATTATACAATAATAAAAATTTCAAATATTGAAACTTGTAGTTTACAGCTACAGCAGCATTTAGAGGAAAATTTTTAGTCTTAAATGCTTATGTCAGAAAATAAGGCAAAAAATGAATGAACACCCAACTAAGAGATTAAGAAAAAAAAAAAACCCAAAATACAACAAGACAGAACTTAGAGAAAACAGAAGATAGAAAATAATGAAAATGAGAACAGAAATTCATGAAAGAGAAAGTAAACCCACAAGTGAGTTGACAAAAAAGTTACTGGTTGTTTGAAAGGATCCATGTAACAGACAAGTATCTGGCAAGACTATTCAAGAAAAGAAATAAGGTGCATTAAACAATATTAGAATTGAAAAAAACTTAACCAACAAATGCCATATGAAAAATAAACATTATGAATTATCTTATGCCAATAAAATTTAAAATTTAGATGAAATGGACAAATCCTTACATATAATATAATTACAGCTTATACATTATACATAGCTTAATAAAAAAAAAGAAATAGAAGACCTGAATAGACTATAATTATTTTTAAAAAGCATCAGAAATCTTCCCACAGAGAAAAACCCCCCCCCAGCCCCACATGGTTTTACAGATGCATTCTACCAAAACTTAATATTCTCAGAACAAATAATTCCAAAACATGCAAAAAGAAAAAGTACTACTCCAACTCACTTTATGAGGCTGGGCTGACCTTGATGCCAAAATCTGGCAAGAACAGAAGGAGAAAGGAAAAGAATAGGCCTATTTTGCAAATGTACACAAACGCGAAGTTCTCTAAAAAATAAGTAAAGTGAATCCATAAAAAAGCTAATTTATCACAATCAAGTTGGGCTTATTCCAAGTATACAAGGTGAGTTTAACATTTAAAAATATAAATTAATATATAACATTCATAGATGAAAGGAATAAAGTCATATAATCATCTCAATAGATATAGAAAAGGCATTTGATAAAATCTGCTATCGTTTCATCATTAACAAAACAACTCTTAATAAACCAGGAAGAAGGAAACTTCTTTAATCTCTTAAATAGTACCTACAAACAAACCTGTAACAAGCACAATTCTTTTTTTCTGAGGCAGGGCCTCGCTCTGTTGCCCAGGCTGGAGTGTAGTGGTGCAGCCTTGACTTCCTGGGCTCAACTGATCCTCCCACGTCAGCCTTCTGAGTGGCTGGGACCACAGGTACACGCCATCACATCTGGCTACCCTTTTTTTTTTTTTATCTAGAGATGGGGTCTCACAATGTTGCCCAGGCTGGTCTTGAACTCCTGAGCTCAAGCGATCCTCCTGCCTTAGCCTCTCAAAGTGCTGGCATTACAGGCGTGGACCACTGCACCCAGCTAAATGTAATTCTTAATGGTAAAACATTGAAAGAATTTTCTCATTTAACTACTAGGTCCTAACTAGTACAGTAAGACAAGTTAAAAAAATGGAAAGATTAGAGAAAAAGAAACAATTTTAATCACCTCAGAAAAAAAGTCATTATGTATGTAGAAATTCCAAACTGAGTTATATATGTCATTAGACTTATTAAGAATTTAGCTGGGTCAAGAAGAATGTGCAAAAACCAGTTACCTTTCTATACCTTCGCAACAAGTACATAGTAAATTTGATTACAAAAATATTCTGTATACAATAGTGCATATAAAAGCATGAAAAATTTTTTCAGGTAACTAGAAATAAGTCTAGTAAAAAATGGGCAAAATATTTATTAAAAAATTATAAAAACATCCAAAAATACTTGTAAAGGCCTAAATAATTAGGGAGCTATAATGGCTATGGATTAGAAAACCTACTGTCATAAATATACAATTCTCCCCAAACTAAGCTATTAAATTAAACTAATTCCAAAATCTCCAGAAGTTTTCTGTGGAACTGGACGAGCTGATTTGAAAATTTATGTGAAAGTTCAAAGGCCCAAGACAAGCCATGGCAACCTAAAGAGCAGGATACAGAGAGGGACCCACCTTACATATAATGAAGCTATGACAGTGACAAGACAGTGGCAATCACATGGGACTGGCACGATGGCCAATGGAACAAAACAGGAAACTTAGAAACAACTGCGGACATTTGGTTGATGACAAAGGTGGAACTGTGGAGCAACAGGGCAAAGAATCTTTTCAGCGTTTGATGCTGGGACAATTGAATATCCTATGGGGAAAATCACATTGGCTGGCTCATACCATACACACATAAAACAGTCCATTCTAGGTGGGCCCTTAGGTTTCAGTGTGAAAGATAGCACAAGAGAGCTTTTAGAAGATGATTTAGGAGACTACCTTCATGATCTTGGAGAAGGGAAAGGTTTCTTCAACTAGACATAGAAAGTACTGTCCATAAAGGAAACGACTTCTACTTTCTATTACTTTAAAATTAAGAACTTCTGTTTATCAAAAGACATCATGAAGAGAAAGCAAAACAAAATCACAGCTTGGGAGAAGATTTCTGCAACACATATAACTAAGAAAAAGACTTGTAACCAAAATACATAAAGAAATATTATTAAGGAAAAGACCATCCAATAAAAAAGAAGGAATTTCACATACACTTCACAAAAGAGAAAAGGTGAATGACCAATAGACAAATAAAAAGATGTCCAAACTCATTAGTAATGAGGGATGCGCAACTTAAACTCACAAGGTGACATCATTAACCAGCAACCATTCTGCCAAAAATATGAAGTCGGGCAGCACCAAGTATTGGTGTATGGAACCACAGGGCTCTTGAGCGCTGCTGATGGGAGTGTAAACTAATACAACCCCTTTGAAAAACAGTTTGGAATTATTTGGTAAAGTTGAAGATACACAAATCCTACGACCTAACTATTTCACTCATAGAGAAATCCTTGAACGTGTGCACCAGGAGCCCTGTAAAGAAGATTTACAAGCACTGTTCATAATAGCTAAAACCTGAAAACAACCCACGTATCTATTCACAGTAGACTAAGTAAGGAAATCTTAGTGCATTTACACAATAAATACTATTCATTCATGCAAACCAAAGAGTCACTGCTGCGTGCAACAAGGAGGAGCCTCAGGAACGGGATGTTAAGCAATGAACGCAAGCAGCATAAGGACATATTCAGTCTGATTCCATTTTCTACCAAAAGTTTAAAACAGGCAAAACACAATTTTTATTATTTAGGAGTACACGCCGGGTGCGGTAGCTCAGGCCTGTAATCCCAGCACTTTGGGAGGCCGAGGCGCATGGATCGCTTGAGCTCAGGAGTTTGAGCCCAGCCTGGCCAACGTGGTGAAACCCCATCACTACAAAAAATACAAAAATGAGCTGGGTATGGTGGCACACGCCTGTGCTCCCAGCTACTCGGGAGGCTGAAGGATCCATTGAGCTGGGAGTTTGAGAATGCAGTGAGCTGTGACTGTACCACTGCACTCCAGCCTGGGTGACAGAGTGAGGCCCTGTCTCAAAACAAAAAAAAAAGAGAGAGAGAAAGAAAAAGCACAATATACATGGTATAGAAACATGAGAGAATGATTAACATAGAATTTAGAATGGTCATTAACCTGTCAGGTGACAGGCAAAAGGACAGGATACAGAGAAAAATCATTGGCAATATTACACGAAAAATCCATATACCTAGGAAATACATACACATGTTTAAGATACGTGTAAGTATATATGTATAAATAAATCTACACAGGAAATTCACAGGTAATATTAATGTTCTTTTTTCTAAACTACGAATAGGCAAACACATATGTTCATTGTATGATTTTAGATATATTTAATAAACATTCATTTGATTTTATTCCATATTTAAGAACAATTCTAAAGGATTCTAAAATACCATATTTGAACATACTTCAGTAGTATTGGTAGTAATAGTCATAGTAATATGAGTTTCTACCAATTATTACGTGATTACCAGGTACAATGCCTCAAATGCACCAGCTAAATCAATTCTGACCACAACTGTCTGAGATGGATATTTTATTATTCACATTTTGTAGATGAGGAAATGAGACTCAGAGAGATTTAGTGACTTGCTCAAGGTCACACAACTTAAAAGTGAAGGATCTGGAGTCCTAAACTCAACTTGTCCCATTGTAAGACTGCACTCTCAACCACTACAAAAAAAGCCTTCCTCGTTCCTTTCCTTCCATACTGGACTAACCCTATAACACTTCCAAAAATGCCTGCTTCTCCAGAGTAGTGAGCCTATTTTGGGGGTTCCCTGAAGAAAGAAT
This sequence comes from Homo sapiens, assembly GCF_000001405.40. NCBI lineage: Eukaryota > Metazoa > Chordata > Mammalia > Primates > Hominidae > Homo > Homo sapiens. Next base: position 90,641,054 of record NC_000014.9, read on the forward strand.
TCCTGATTCTCACAAATCCCTACGGTTAGAAACATCTTCTCAATTGTTGATTCTACTGTTGTCTCAGCCCTGCTTGGAGTGACAAAGTGGCTGAGATGGTACCTCTCAGCTTAGAACTTTTTGGACCCTGTTAAGCTTATTCAAAGTACTTAAACAGCAAGTTTTATCATTTCATGGTGACAGGAATGTAACGCTGGAGGGACCAGCTGCTCCTCCAAGGGCCTTCAGCTGTCTCCTCTACTAACTGCCCAACAGGTGGACAGAGCTGACCCTCACGGAGGGAAGGTTTCACCTCCATCAAGGCCTGACTACCCATCAGCTATGTCCTCCACTCCCAGGCTTCAGGGAGTCTACAGTTCTGCTGCAGACAAGCTTGTCACAAACAAACAGATAATACTACATGGCAGTTGCAACAAGTGCCCACTTAATCTTGTTTCGGTTGGTGTTGAAATGTTTTAGCCAGGTTGGGAAGAAACCATGGGATCCACTGATTACATCTGGCCCCAACTTTTAATAAAGTATTCTTGGGAAGAAGTTTCCCATCGCAAAGAAATACAAATATTTAAAAAGCAAACAAGTCACGGACTGCTCTCAGACCTGCTGCCATATGCTTTGCTTTTTTGAGCTTACGGCTTAACATTAAAATAACAGCCTTGCATTCCTCAAATATCTCCACTGCTGTTCCTTACTTCCACTACTTGAAAAGGCTGTCAGCTGCTGTCACTTGGAGGCATTACCATATTAGCCACCACTGTTTACTGCTTACCATGTGGTATGGCTATTAGTTTAATAAGCCTCCTCTTGGATGACACCCTAGGCTATGGAAGAAGGAACCATACCCTGGAGTCCAATGCCTAATGAAAGAGCTTGTGTGTGTGTGCGTGTGTGTGTGTGTGTGTGTGTGTGTGTTGGAGGGTGAGACACGGAATGAAGCTTTATAAATATTGATGAGAGACACTGAATTCAATTGCATCAGGTTGTACTTTACCGATGGTTAAAGGATCGAATATTTTTTAAAGTGCTTTAACCATTTTAAGGTTCCATGGGATAAACAGCTTGGGGTAAAATCCAGAAATATAGTTGGTGTACAAAAGAGCAAGTTTGAGATCTGCAAGAAGTAAAACACTGCAGCAAAGCTCTTTAATTCACTCTGCATAAATAGCTGAGCCTACAAAAGAAATCTCTAGTCAGAGGTTTCCTGGATTATAACAAGAATTCTCTCGATGGGAAGAAGTGCCCTTTTCACTTGAAGACAAAGAAATGTTTGTAATGGAAATGTGTGAACCAATTTTCCAAGGAGAGCTGCTGAAAAGCACTGATTAAAAACACAGCGAGGTGATGAGGCAGTGAAATAAAGCCAGAGCTGACCCACTTAAAGTTTGTGGCTGCACTTCCTTCTGAAAGTGAAGAGAGCAACCCTGGGCCACCTTCTACATTCTTTCCCTTCTCCCCAACCCCAAGCAGTCCCTGCCCCATTACTGACCCTGCAACTCTGTAGACAATCAGAACCTTCCAGCGTGCAGGAATGTTTACTATTTCTGGCCATTGTGTACTGGTTACTAAGCTACTGCCACTGAGGATGAAATGGTAACCCAGTAGCCCAAAAGACAAAGTCCTTCTCAACAAAGCCTAACCAACAGGCAATGGATTATAGTGATTCAGAGGAAAGATAAGAAGGTAGGTAGATGATTCTAGCATATGACAGTTTACAGTGATAGTTCTTAGGTTACGTATAATATTGATTGTTTAAGAACTTCCATTTCCTAGAGAATAAAACTAAGACACAGAGAGGGAAGCTATCTTGATCAAAATTGCCTAAAATAGGAGAATCACCGAGAGCTAGTGGAAGCCCTCAGTAACTCAGGACAAACAAGCTATAAAGCCCTGTTTCCCAGATTTCACCCACTGGAGTTCAACATCACTTCTGCCATATCCAAGTATATCTGGCAGAAGTTACTTAATATTTACTTAATATTTTTCTTTAAATTGACTTGGAAAATTCTTAATAGCCCCCTGAGCAATAATTTTCATCAAATCACTACATTCTAATGTACATTTAAGAATGTGTAACTAGGCTGGGCACAGTGGCTCATGCCTGTAATCCCAGCACTTTGGGAGACCAAGGAGGGCAGATCGTGAGGTCAGGAGTTCAAGGCCAGCCTGACCAACATGGTGAAACCCCGTCTCTACTAAAAATACAAAAAATTAGCTGGGTGTGGTGGCAGGCGCCTGTAGTCCCAGCTACTAGGGAAGCTGAGACAGGAAAATCGCTTGAACCCGGGAAGTGGAGGTTGCAGTGAGCCGAGACCATGCCACTGCACTACAGACTGGGCAACAGAGTGATATTCCGTCTCAAAAAAAAAAAGGAATGTATAACTATTAAAAATGTTCATCCACAGTCCATCTAAAATTGTCTCATGTGCTCCAATGGTACACATTGGGAAAGAGTGGATAAAGTATTTTAAAAAAATAAGGATGACCTTATGTTAGGATGACCTAACAGCCTAAGTTTTTTGTTTGTTTGTTTGTTTGTTTGTTTTTTGAGACGGAATCTCGCTCTGTCGCCCAGGCTGGAATGCAGTGCAGGGGTACAATCTCCACTGACTGCAACCTCTGCCTCCCAGGTTCAAGCAATTCTCCTCCCTCAGCCTCCCGAGGAGCTGGGATTACAGGCGCCCGCCACCACACCCAGCTACATTTTATATTTTCAGTAGAAACAGGGCTTCACCATATTGTCCAGGCTGGTCTCAAACTCCTGACCTCAGGTGATCCACCCACCTCGGCCTCCCAAAGTGCTGGGATTATAGATGTGAGCCACGGCGCCCAGCCCTAAGTTTGTTTTTAATATCAGGAAAAAATAACAGTAAAGGGGATTTTATATTATTGACTGCCAGGGTGTCCATGAGGGACTTAGACAGATTGGAAAGAAGGCAGGGGAAGAAGTAAATTTAATAACTTCTGAGTAAGGGAAAACCAAAGCCCAGGATCACTTACATGAAATTTTCTGGGTATTCACTCAGGGCCATGTCGATGATGTTCAGAGCGTCATGGTAATGCTTCTGTGCTGACAGCAGGAGGGCAAGGAGGTGCAGGGAGTTGGCATCGTCACCTTGAAGCTGAAGAGCTTGGCGGACATACCCCAGAGCCTCTGGGATCTGGTTTAAAACAAAACCAAAAAAGGTTTTACATACACACATGCACACGCACACACACACACACACACACACGCGCGAAAGAAGCCATCTTTTCAATGTCTGCTTCTCTTCAAATATTGAGTTGTTTCACATTGTGCCTCATTCACATTTTAAGCCAAATCTTTATGGCAGCCCCAGGATATTAACCACAAACATGAAAGCAGAAGCCACCTTCAAAAGACATTCTGACTGATAGAGTGATACAGGAGACCCTGTTTCTCTACGTAGCTGCCAATACTGCTCCAAGTCTTTCCCTTCTCCCTGAGTAAACACTTTCTCATTCTTTCCACAAAACTGATCTACTTTTGATTATGCCCAAGATGATTTTGCTCTAAGTGGAGACACATACAAAGTGTCAGAGATTTTTAGTGGAATTAAACTGCCTTAGCTGAACTGTTCTCATTTTTTCAAGTATTACTGAAATTAAAGTGCTTAATAAGTTACAAAACCTTTAACAGAGCTTTCCGAGTGATCAGAGGCCTGTGATTCTTTTCAGGTTCCTTTGTCTTGGACCTCCACTAGACATCAAGGAAACATGCCAAAAAAGTAAACAACAAAGGCCCCCACACCTTTCCAAACTACAACCCAAAATAAGTTGATCTGAGAAACAAATTGCAATGCCGCATGCAAAGCAGATGTGTCCAAATTCATGTAGGACCAGACACATCCTGAACCTTTCAGTGCAACAGCTGTTCAAGACTTTCTTCAAAATCATCCAAGCACAAGGGTTGATAAAATACACACAAAATGGGTATGTGACACCCTGGATTCCATGCAGGTTTGGCAGTAACCAGGGAGAATTAGAACCCGAAGCTAGATTTCGAAATAGAGCTCTGGACTGAAGCATTCTTGCACAACCATCCCACAGATGGCTTCCGGTCTCGCTCCAACTCCAGTCCTCTGTGGGGCCTCTTCTCAGCTCTCCTGCTTTTTCCCAAACCCTCAGTAACCTCCCTCCTTAGTAGAAGGCTATGACTTCTCTTTCCCAAACCAATTACTTTTCCTCAATGAACTTCTTTTCTTGATGGATTTAGGTTATAACTGCTGGCTGTGGAGGCTTTCTGCTTTGGAACCATAGAATCACAGCTCTCACAGTTGGAAGAGAGACCATTCACCCCAATCCTTCAGTTACAGGGAGGAAGCTGAAGTCCCGGGAGGTGAAATGGCTTGGGAAAGGTCACCCAGCTATTGAGTGTCTGACAAGAGAGTGATTCCTGTCCATCCTCTCCTCCTGGTCAAACCCCCTCCCCTGGGGAAGCAGGGAAACACTCCCTCGGAGCTCTGGTGTTCTGACACTACATGCCCACAAAGGCTGCTGCCACACCCACAAGGCTCCATTTACTCATCCTTCCCCAGGTGACAACCTACTATGTGAATAGCACTCAACCTGGTATTGATGGGTGGGTCGAAAGGCAAAGCATAGGCATGATGTTGATTTGCAGGGATGACCAGAGCAACCAGGGACAAACTGATACAGGGATCAAAACGATGTCTTTAAGGGATAGCTGCCTTGAAGGAATTCAAAGCTGGTTCCTTCATTTAGCGAGTATTCCTGAGTGCTGAACACATGTCAGGTGGCATTCCAAGTGCCAGGGTAAAGCAATGACAATGATGGGCATGGGTTCCTGGAACCTACAGTCCAGTGAGAAAGACAGATACTGAACAAGAAAGCTGGGCAAAAGGAAGAAGTGCAGGCTGCTACAGGAGCAAGGCTTCATGGAGGAGGCGAGAGAAGCTGTCAGCGTAGGGGAGAGATCAGATGGTCAATCAATGCCCACACCTGCTGCAGAAGCCCAGCTGTGAGCCACAGTCAGGTGACAGGACCTTTACAGGGAGGTATCCTGGTTTCCTTAGTCCCTAGGTTGCCAATGGAAGCCACTTCTCAATGCCATTCCCAAGCAACCAGGAAGACAGGTGCATACCTCAGCCCAGGCCTGCCAGGGGAATGGCATGTCTGGAGAGCTGACCTTTGAATCACCCTCCCAGTCAGCACTCAGGAATGTGCTGGGGTTACCACCAGTGTCTTGCACCTGGTGGGTGGCCAGGCATGTGGCCAACATCCCCAGAACAGCTGGGAGGGGATAGGAGGGTTTCGGGAATGGCAGAGGCAGCATCTAAAAGCTGCCTTTGGGAAGATGAAGGCCGACAAAACTTGCCCCTCCCGCAAGGAGATAGTGTTAAGTCCCCTTTTTCGAGTAGCCACGGTGTGTAACTGTTCATGTTTTCCACGTATTGTAAAGGACCTGGTTCTTTTGTCTCTGCCTGCTGGCATCTTCCTGCCAATCAATGACACCCTTATGACAACCAGACGCCAATCAGGGCTAAATCCCCACCATGCAGCTCAGCACTGGGTTCTGCTACCTGGTTCCTGTTGGCAAGGGACAGAGGCTCTTTGATGACTCCTGGGTTCAGGGTATATGCCATGTGCTGCTCCCCAGGTTGCCATCTGACCCTAGCTTGGGCCCTCCAGCTGTGTGGATTTAATGTCCAATAGCAGAGCCTGGAACTCCTGTGTCTTCACAGCTGATGCTCAAACCAACCAAAACACCAGGCTCTTTGCTGAAACCTCTGAGAAGGGTTCCTGGCTCCAGGTCAGCCTCAATGGAATAAAGGAAGATCACCTACCACTTCAAACTGAAGAGCTGAAGGAGTTGTATCAAGATACAGAGTGCAGCAAGTATAGGAAACATTAGAGAAACTGACCTGTCTGGAGATGGCAAGCTGCAGAGCCAGGTAGAAAGCTGCTTGGTGATCTGTGGGTGACAGGCTGTGGGCCCTGAAAAAGTATTTACGGCTATTAGTACATGGGAGAGGAGGCCATTTTTACTTTCCCTATCAAGCAAGTCTTCTCCACATTTGCATTCTTATACTAAGGGCCCGTATTTATTTAACTATGTAATGCTTCATTTAAACTCTTCTTCTTTGTCCACCTACACATGTAAACCATTTCCCTCTTACCACTGTATAAAGGTACAGAATAGGAGTGCATTTCTGTGTTTTGTCTAGCATCTAAAATGGCAGCTGAAGCTTGTCGGCTTTGCGGAGGGCCTCGAGGTGAAGAATCCATAGGCCCTGAGGTCTGATCTCCCCAGCAGATGGGTCTCTGTGTCGTGCTGGGACGCAGTGAAGCCATGTGTGCACTTGGCAAGGCGATGGCTGCTTTGGTTAAGTTTGGCTTGGCCTTCCTTAATGCTACTTTATCCAAATTTCTAGATTTCAGAGAAACCATATGAAAATCAAAGACCCAGCTTTGCTTATAAAATGAGGTTTGGGTTTTTGGTGAAAAAAGGGAAGAGAAAGGCACTCATTCAGTCTTTTGAAGCTTCTACAAAATTCCATGCCGTTCACTGATTTATTGCAGATAACTGTCGTGTAAGAGTGTGGTGAGACACTAGGCTCAGTTTTAAGAACTGGCCTTTGACGTCAGACAGGAAGGGACCATACTGGCCTCCTAGCTGATTGCAAACGTGGTCTTCTCTGCTTCTATGTGGAAGTCATTTGTATTTCAGCATAAGCAACTCAAAATTTGACTACATACTAGACATAATTCTGTGTTTAACTGCTGGGAAGAGAAAAACAAACTTCTACTTTCTTTAAAAGGCACCATGGAGCAGACTAATTAGGTGGGACCCAGATAGTAAACAAAACTTCATGCTGTTCTGTCAACATTCTGTGATTAAAGGAGGATCTTCTACCAGCAGAAAACAAATTCGAGATAAAAAAGAAAACCAAATCATTATGGATTCAACTGTGGCAAACAGGCCAAAGATGGCTTTCTACAATAATAAGGCCTTTTAATTGGACTGTCTGCTGCAGGGAAGGGAGCTAACAAACCTCCCAGGTGTTTGCCATCCAGAAAATATGCTAAATTCACTAATTTAGGTCATTGTTTATGCAAATGTAATAGCTCATATGCAGGTCCAGGGTGAGGCAAAGCTAATCTCTGTCCTTATATTAATCTTAGGAGCAAAGCACATAGACTTCCATTCCAGGGGACTCTTCACTTGGCCTCAAGACATAGCCTCAGGACTTTTCTTAGCTTAGTTGAAGAGGCTGAAGCTGATATTGCCTGTGTTACCCTTTTACATGTCTTATTTCTCTTTTTTTTTCTTTTTCTTTTTCAGACAGGGTCTTACTCTATCACCCAGGCTGGAGTGCAGTGGCATGATCACTGCTCATTGCAGCCTCAACCTCCCAGGGCCCAAGCGATCCTCCCATCTTAGCCTCCCAAGGTGCTGGGACCACAGGCGTGCTCCCCACGCCCAGCTAATTTATAGAATTTTTTGTAGACCCGGGGTTTCAACATGCTATCCAGGCTAGTCTGGAACTACTAGGCTCAAGTGATCCTCCCACTTTGGCATCCCAAAACCCTGGGATTACAGGCATAAGCCACCACGCCCAGCTACTAAATGGCTTATTTCTAAGGTCCACTCAGTATATAGCAGCTTTTATAATTTTACAAATATTGGCTTTCCATGAATTTGTACATCAAAGAATATTTTTCTTTGGTGTTTATAAAAGTGAGATTGAAAAATCATGGTTTCTCTCATAATTATTCAGGAAAAATAATACACAATTATGAAGAAATTTTTAGATTTATTTTATCTTCTTTCACAAATAATAAATTTACAGAACCCTCAAAAAGAACTTCTTAGAATTATAATTTTCTCAGTTCAATTCATATTCTTCACGAATAAATCAAGTCATGGTTGCCTCTATGCAATACCAACCAACTGAAAAGCTGGCAATGATCTGTTGAGTTGAGGGTGTACATAAAGATAGTTCTGGCTAAAGGCCCCATGCTGGCCTCATCAAATGATTTTTCTCTGTTAACCACAGCACCGTGAAAGGAACAAACCAGAAGTGCTAGAAATCTTGGTATTTCTGGAGTGCATTAGGGCAACATCTGAAGGATTTCCAACTTGGCTAATGATGCATATTCAACTGCCAAATTTCTAATGAGGCACAACTGAAACATATACATTTTAAAAACCTTATTTCTACAACTTGGCTAATGAATTCAACTGACCACTTCACCCTCTGAAGGAAATAAGGCAAATGCCAAACAAAACAAGAAAAAGCTCCCTGTGTTGATCTCAAGTAGATGCTAAAATACTTGCTTCCCGTGGAGCAACTTCAGCAGCTAAGCTTCCTGTGGGAAAGCCCCTTTGGTATGCCACAGGCAACTCGCCGGACAGAAATCCTCAGGCCAGGCAGATGAGAGAGAGGACATTAGTGATCAGAAAAATTGCAAGCCTTCTGAACTCTGTAAATGAATCTAAAGCAGCCTCATAAACTCCGTGCCCATAAACTGAACACCTGGCTAGACTGCTCAGAAATACCTAAAAGACCTAAAAATGTCACCACAAGGATGCTCACAAAATGCTTCCCTTATCAAAGCACCTCCACATAATTAATTCAGTTTCTCTCCCATGAAGAAGAACCCACTCATCCTTTTATCCACTTACCCACCCATCCACCCAGCCAACCACCCACCCATCCACCTATCCATCCATCCACCATCCAACCATCCACCTACCCATCCATCCACCATCCACCCATCCACATTATGCAATATCTATAATGTGATGCCAGGCCCTATGCTAACTTCTGGGGAGCATGGAGATGAATCATGCTAGTGCCTTTCCTTGATGAGCTCCCACCCCCGCCCCAGAGGGAGAGACCCAGAATGACCATCATCATCGTGCAGTGGGAGCAGTGCCCAGAGATAGGCATGCTGGGCTGCTACTGGAAAGCATCGGATGGGCTTCCCAGATCACCTGGCTAGAACCCAAGGATGTTGTGGCATCTAACCCAGGGCTCTCTTAGATTCCATTTCCAACATTCTCTAGAGCTGAACCAAGAATATAGAGAAGGCTGATCAATGCTGACCCTAGTCCATAAGACACATATCTTGTAACAATAGTAACTACAATTTGTGAAGTTATCGACTATTACGCTTCTTGTCCAAGAACAGCCAGCAAATGAGAGAAAGCCAGAACCTTGCTGCCTTGTTTAGCCAATTCTCCTTGAATTTCCCTTCAGTCCTGATTACAGGGGCCATGGGATTCGTGCATTAAGTTTTTTAAAAAGTGCAAACCCTGGTTAAATCTATTGCTCAGGAATCTCTCGTTAGTTACTCACACAGGGTGACCAACTTGTCCTGGTTTGTCCAGGATGTTCCTGATTTTAGCACTGCAAGTCCCATGTTCTGGGAAAACGCTCAGTCCTCAAGAGATTGGGATGGCTGATCACCCTATATGCACACATCATACCACACTTAAACTCAAGCTAGGACAGAAAGGGGAAAGCAAAGCAAGATCGTGTACCCTGTGCCACAATGAGTGATAAACAAACACCACCATGCCACCCCTGCCTCCTGGAGCACCAGGCTTTATGCATACTGTGGGCCATGCAATGAAAGGTGCTCTCAACTGTTTTCAGGATGGCTTTTCTCAGTAGGATGTGAGAGCCTGCAGAAGAAGCAAGTCATATCAATTCAGCATCTTCAGAAGCTTTGCAAACAATATTATGTTCTTCTTCACTATACTTTAGTACAGGGCAAATGAATTGGTTCAGCTGCCTGGGTTGAGCTTATGAGTGTAGGAACAGGTGAGGGTCTCACATTCAGATGCAGCCACCCAACCTGGATGTCTTCAAAAATCACCTCTTTGGATCCACTAGAGAACAAATATGTCTGAATTCTGGCAGTCATAATTAAGAGTTAACTTTCTTGTGCTATATCTGCAACCCCATCCCTTCCTGAATTGTGTTTTCTTTTTAAACAAAAAATGCAAAACATTAGTATAAACAGAATTGTGGGGAGAATATTTAAAACAAATAGTAGAGAAAGTACTTCTCATCAAAGTAGTTTTAAATTATCCATTTACATTTAAGAAGTAATACAAATCATTTTCACTTACTTAAAATCTTTCCCTTAAAGATTTTTGTTAGGACTGCAATTCACTAGAATAGTCCTAGTTAATGTGTACTTGAAATAAAATGAAAAACATTCTATATTTCACACAAATTCTAATTTAGGTTAGCCTTCTGCAATATCATCAGTTAGGTTAGCGGGATTTTATTACTCTTTATTCCCATATGAACTAATATTTTAAAAATCTCTTCGAATTTAAACTTAAGCAAAAGATGAACAAAAAAGAATTCAGGCCAATGGAGCAGCTGTTATATAACATGAAGTTATACTGGCAGCTCAAGGCAGACCACCACTGTGGCTGTTTTTAGAGAGCCAGTAAGATGTGCTGATTTAAGAAAAGTGAAACAGATGTAATGACCACTTTCTTAAGCATCCATGTGTGGGTTTTACAAACTAGGACTGGAGAATTTAAAACTCCAAATCATTTGAAATGGAAATGCTTTCCACACTCCGTGCTGAGGAACATCAACAAAAGCTTAGCACAGAGACAGGAGATCTGTTTGCAGATGTCAGTTGGTACTTTTTGTCAATACCCAGACTGGGGCTGGCAACCTGAAGTAGCTACCGGCAAGCCTGCTAGGAAACAGAAATGAGACGGAAGAGTTTCAGACTCACTGAAACCACTGATCATGATTTCATGAAAAAAGGCATACGGACACCATGATAAATCAGTAGGCAGCCCCAGTTCTAAGGAAAGAGTCTAACGAAGCTTGTCAGGTATTGGGAAGGCCTCATGAAATATTCGTAACTAAGTTTCTAATACAGTTCCAAGAAATCAGTGTAACTCAGATATATTTAAAGTGACAGGATCAATACCCATGCTGGATTTCACATCATGGGGCTATGCTTCCAGATGATTTCATTTTTGTGATTATACCTGTAACAAGAATAAAATGAGGGCAGTGTAGTATGGTGGGGCAGGAGAAACTGTGTTAGAGCCAGGAGACCCTGACTGCATACTGACTTCAACAGCTGCGGGACCGGCAGCTCCTGTAACTCCTGCGCCTCAGTCCCTGACCTGCAAGGGACATACTGCCTGTCCGTCTTCCTCACTTGTGTGTGGTAAGCAACAAATTAAATAAGGGATGTGAAGGCACGCTGTGACACTCGAGCATTTTATAATTGCAAGGCCTTCTCCTAATTTCCTGAGAGGCACAATGACAGAGAGAAGCACAAGGTGTTATGGAACAAGGTGGGGGCGGGGAGTTTGGGGCTGACTGTCTTCACTCAGTATTTCGGAGACTTCCTGAAATCGGCCTTCTCATTCCTTTATACAAAAACCTGCAGTTTGACATGTTTTTTTTAAAAAAAAAAAAAAGCTAGAAAAGAATAATCTCTTCTCTAGATGATGACAAATGTCTTTAATAAAGGACTCATCTCCCTTGGCATACAAAATACCTATCTTTTTTGAGCTGAAATCACTTTATTAGGAATGAATAAAATGTGCCCAAATGGATAAACAGATTAAGAGTGCAGATTGACACAGCAACAAGTGATACAGCAGGGTTTGTGTGCTGTGTGTTCGGTGCTCAGGACGAAAGACTCTCAGGGGTAAAACACTGTTTACATAATCTTTATAAATATCTCTTCTTTTTATACTCATCATACTTTGGTGTCATTATGTACAGCCGAGTGAAAAGATGAACTCCCACTCACCTCTGAAATGCAAGAAGCGCCTTTCTCTGTAGGACCTCCTGCATCCCTCGCAAAGAAGCTAAGAAAAGGGTTCAATTAGTCAGTGGCATGGGGGATCAGGGAATTTTGACAAATACAAAACCCATCACAAAACCTGTACATTCAACTGGATTAAAAGCAACAATGTCTGAGTGCCTACGTGCCCAGTCCTGCACCAGGCCCTGGAGAAGATAGGAAACAGAGCCCAGTCCTACCCCCAAGGTGCCTGCACTCATTAGGTGTGACTGTGGAACAATGCCAAGGGGACAGTGTGAGTTGGGTGGTCACTCTTGGTACTCCCAGGCATATGGGGGCCATTTGCAAAAGACCAGTTGGGAACTCCAGAAGGAGCACGACTGCCCTCTCAAGTGTAGGCATGTAACTCAGGGGAACGACAAGCTCTATGAAGATGGGGTGGGAGGGTTGCAAGCACCGGCAGTGTTGATTTTGACAGCCTTGCCTTCAGAGTTCCTTCTGCCACTGAGAAGCTGCAGTCCTGGGCCACCGACAGTAGCTTGCTGCCTTGAAAGGCCAGCTTGGTTCACACTGGGCAATGGCCAGGACCTTTAACACCTTCATGTGAACACAAGGAATGGAGTAGGCAAACCTAACACTGATCATGGAAAATGAGCTCAAAAGCATGAGGCCACCTCGCTGTGAATCAACACTTCCCCTGTGCAGAGCATGTGAGAAATGGCCCCTTAAACCTGGCTAGGAATGAAAAAGGTACTTTTTACTAGGGCAAGAGAAAAAGTCCTGGAGGAAACTGTTTATGGCTGGAACTGCAAGAGGCCATTACCTAACGCCTCCAACATGGCACCTCCCAGCCTGGCATGAGACTGAGAGCAGTGAAAGGCTGCCAGGGGGTCAATGTGGCTGGAGACCATGGCTAACTTAGAACAGCAGTGACACAGCTAGAGAGAACCTCAGAAAGGACCCAACTGACCCAAGAATGGAAAAGGAAGCCCCATAGGGTCAAGCAACTCTCCCAAAGTTGCAGGAGTAATGAGGGGTAGAGTCTGAAGAATTTACATGGGTTAATATGTGGCATTAAATTTGCCCCTCACTCAAAGTCTACTATGTCAAAAGCTATGTGCTGGGTATTGCCAATGTACCATGTGTATATGGAAAATTAGCAAGTAATCCATATTGAAAAGTAATTAATATGCACAACTTTCCCAGGACCTTTGATATTTTAGGGCAGAGGAAAGAATTTGGAGTAATTTGTAAAATAAATTACAACAAAACCATAAAGAAAAAATGAAGTATTACAAAAGCCAGGATAGTATTTCCTCGTAAGGGAGAGAAGGGAGTTTGTGATTGGGAGGGGCACACGGAGGGCTCCCCAGGGGGCTGGCAAGGTTCTAGCTCCTCAGCAGGGTAATGACTACAGGATATTTTGCCTTATACTAATTAAAATTCATTAAATTAACCATGTGTTTCTGGGATTTTTGTTTTGCATTTGTGTTATATTTAACAACAACATGATAAAAGAATAGTAACAGTTCAGGAAAAGTTTGTTAAATTTTCTGCAAATATCACTGAAAACTTAAGTATACAAGATTTTTTCTTAGCTAGAATCCCATCCATCAGAACTCTAAGCACATCCAAAAATCACTGCGCCCAAGACCCCTAGGTGTCTTGTGAGCTGCTGCACTGCACATGTACATATCTACAAATTAAAATGTGCAAATGGAGAAGGGGCATTTCCTGACCAGTCAAGGGAAGCTTCCTGGAAGTGTCTGGCCCTGACTCTTCCACATTCCTGTACCTAAGATCCAGCATCCCTTCACACAGGACAGCCCAGACCAAGTGGTGGGACAGGGGCAGGTGCAAGGCTAGGTGGATGAATCATCCCTCAAAGCGCAGTGAGGTGCCCAGTGTGCCACCAGCATAATGTACCTAAAAATGAGGCCTGGGAGCCCTGGCACAGGGCCTTCCTCCCTGCCCTCCCATTCTCCCATCAGACCAAGCAAAGAGGACAGCAGCACCAGGGGCCCCACCGGATGGCACACCAGAATGCCCCAGCTTCTGCACCCTCCTGAGACAGAAGGGGACTGTGGGAATCCCGCAGGGTAGACTTAGGTAGTCCAGCCCTGCAGCTCAGCAGCTGTGGGGGTGGGACGTCTCTCACCGTCAGTGGCCTGCAGACTGTACGTGAGCCCCAGAGCTAAGTAGCCTTTGGCCTTGAACTCTGACGTTTTCTCTCCCACATCAACGACAGTTTTGGCAAACTTTTCAGCCTCTTCCAACTGAAAAATGAGACAAGTTAAAAACAACAACAACCTGCAGAATTTCTAACATGAGTTCCCATAAGCGTCTGCTGCCAAAATTGGATTTCTGATGAGTCACTTTGAAAATGACTCTCAAATCTCCCAATCCCACTCTGGTGATTCTGTTTTCTTTCTTGAGCTCTCTAACAGTTCGCAGGATTCCTACCTTGCTTTTTCTCCTTAAAGTTTTTCTTACTGCTTATTTGCCTTCTTTTCCAAAGTTGCTTTCATATTTGGTGGGGGTCTATCTTTTTCATCTTTATTTTTTACTGACTGGTTCTATAATGAAGTTGTGCTAGGTATGCAGAAGTTGAACTGAATATATTTGTAAAGAATCAAGTTCTTGAAATGTTTTATGTTTGAGCCTTTCTTTCCCCCCCTACCCAGGATATAAAGAATCCATTTAGGCTTGGATTCTCTTTGCCATGAGCTGTTATAAATTTCAAAACTCCATCCACTTATTTTACAAACCACAACACATGTACCTTGTGCCAGCAGATTCCAATGAGAAAATGTGCACCTGTAAACTACACCCACAATAAGACCTGGTGCACAATTCATTAGAGGCAAAAAGAGTAAGATTTGTTCCATTGAAGTATGGCAAATGTTGATGATATTGAAGTTGGGTGATAAGACACTGGAGTTCATATACTCTTGAGTTTTGTGGTATTTGGAAATTTTAATAATAAAAATGCAAGAAAAAATATACAGAAAAGATTTGTTACTCTTATTTTTTTTAAAAAAAAGAGGTCTATTTAAGGCATTTCAAGATGTATATGTTACAGTAATAAATAAAGCCAGAGCTGGGAGGAGGGCAGTAGTCACTGCTGGGAACTGGCACGTTCCAAATGCAAAGGTTGTGTCCACTCCTCCGCCTGCCCACTCCTGGAACCGCCTGCACCATCCCCTTGCCTGCTCACAGCCCCAAACTGTCAAAACCCACGTGACCAAACTACACTTTCACAGCTGTGTGTTTCAGGTGAGAGCCTGTGCTTTCAAAACATCTTTTCTACATTTTCCCAAGCAAAATGGAACTAAAGTGGAACACTCTTCACTAGGCTTACTTTTCTCCTGCTGGGTGAGAATACATGGAAAAACCAAAGAGCAAGGATATAAGGGTGAACAACCTGAGTTTGTAAGATGCTTCGGTCTTTTTTGAGCAAATCCTTTTTATTGCTAATCTTGACATGAAGTTAAAGAAAAGAAATTAGAACCCTATCGTATGTGGCAATTATCTATACCACCATCTCGGCAATTAGACTGAGTTTTCTATTTTCTACTCAAATGATGTATTTTCTGAGGTACTAGAATTGTTACAAATCAGGGTATTGCCAAATTCAAATCTGAACAAGAATATTTGAAGAAAAACGCGTATGTGAAGGAATAGAAATGAAGACAGTTGAATTTAACATATGAGCTGAAATATAGGGTGACTCCTTGCTCTGTAGAAAGTCCCAGGCTCCCAGCCTAGGCAACAGAGTAAGACCCTGTCTCTACAAAAAAATTAAAAAATTAGCCGGGTGCAGTGGAGCACACCTGTAGTCCCAGCTACTCAGAAGGCTGAGGTGAAAGGATGACTCGAGCCCAAAAGGTTGAGGCTGCAGTGAGCTCTGATCGTGCACTCCAGCCTGGGTGACAGAGCAAGACCCTGTCTCAAAAACAAAAACAAAAGCAAAAACAAACCAGGTTCAGCCAGGGATGCTAATTCAGTGACGTGTCTCTTCTCAGTCCCACATTGCTTGAATAAAGCAAGATGTATGGGAGTATGAATTATAATTCTGTCTTATTATCATTATTCCTGAAGCACAATCCCATAGGAAAAAACCCCTGGAGTACCCCAGAGTACTCCTCAGTCCTTGGGGGAGTGGATGAGGCCTGAGGAGGCCAGGGGCCCAGGCCCAGGGTCCGTGGCTCTACACAGTCTTGTCTTTGTACAGCTGATGAATCACCCTCGCTTTCTCTCTGTGCCTCGACATGAAAAAAATGGGCAGTCCTGGCCCAGAGTCCTCTGCAGGAGCGGGGAGGGGGGCGCCCCTACTCACCCAGTGCAGGGAGCCCATGCAGAGCTTGGCAGCGAGGAGAGGGATGGTGGCATCGTCTGGCTTCAGGCGGATACACTCTTTCAGCACCTTCACGGCACGGGCAGACTTGGCAAGAGAAGATTATTTCCGTGAAACTCAAAGTGTTTGACAGAACCGAATACTACAGCCTTCTCAGAGGGGTTTTTGGTCAGGGTGACCTCCTCGTGGGCTTGTCCAACTTTAAGCCCAAGCAAGCGGGGGCCTGAGGTGCATGAAAACCAGAGCCTGCGGCTTCTGAGTGACTGGGGAGTACACTGGGTTAAAAGCCAGCAGGAATGCTTCTCTGGCGCCACCTGAATTTCATTCCATACTTGTGTAGCTATTGGAAAATTAAGAAAAACATAAAGATGGTGGAAGTTTGTTCTTATAAAAGGTAAATATCTAATTTAAGGCACAAAATACTGAATTTCTGAATTCACTTAGCTCAAATAATCTTCCATCTCAGGCTTCATTCGCTAAATGGCCCAAATTAGCAAGAAAAACAATAGCTACGACCTCTGTTGAGTGTATACACAGCAAGGAGCGTGCCTCTAAACACCTCTGGTGTAGCATCTCATTCTCCTGATAACACATCTATGGAGCAGGTGCTGTTCTTACTCCATTTTACCGAGGAAACTGAGCTGCTCAGTAACTTGCCTGGGTCACTCAGCTGGGAGAGCAGCATCAAGCTTCTATCCTGCCGTTGGACTCCCTCAGCCCACATTTTCATCCAGTATCATGCACTGCCTAATATAACACATTGCTCAA
This sequence comes from Homo sapiens, assembly GCF_000001405.40. Lineage (NCBI taxonomy): Eukaryota > Metazoa > Chordata > Mammalia > Primates > Hominidae > Homo > Homo sapiens. The sequence continues at coordinate 90,657,960 of NC_000014.9, forward strand.
GATAACCAACAGGTTTCCCCTCCAGGAATCAGCTTAACTCTCAGATGAGTGGAGGTGTCTGTGTAAAACATCAGCTCTAGTTTAAGCCATGTCCATGACACCTGATGAAGTCACAATGACTGGAAAAAGACAAATATTTCAGAATTTTTCTTCTCAGTGATAAGTCCATCTTGGCTCCCCAAACAATTAAATCTGATTGTTCACTGAGAACGGACCACGATAGTTTCTCAGAGTGGCTCGAAAGACTTCCACAAAGTCTATCATTCCGTGCAATTCCATGACATTCAACTCTTTGGCCTTAATAGGAAAGGCATAAAAAACTGCCCATCACAAAAGGGACTCACTTTTCCAGCAGCCATCAGGGACAGAGCAAACTGGTACCACAGGTGGAATTCCTCAAAGGCAAACTTCATGGCTCTTTCTAGGCACTGGTTGGGAAAGAAAAACAAATGCAGACATCTGAGAATCACTGGTGCCACAACTGCACAAGTGTGAGTTTGTATCTATGCACACTAAGGTAAGTCCCATAAAATCTGCTTCCCTTGAATGCTTAAAACATAATCCACCACCAAACGGCTCCTACGGAGTCCCCACACAGGATGATGCACCATGCCGGTGGCCAGGACAACCTACAACTGACCAGAGCTGTGACAATCCCTGCCCTCGAGTAGCTTTGTATCTGGCACAGGAAAAGAGGCAAATACACCAACAACACAAAGACAAAGACAAACTCAGGAGTGCCCCCAGGGCGAGAAACAGGACTGTGGTGAGGTGATCCCAGGAATCAGGAATGGCATCAGGGAGAATAGAAACTGAGCTGGGCCTTCCCCAGCCCAGCCCCACTATGAGACACCATCAAAGGCAGAAACCACAACTTCTTTATCTTCTCAGTACTGGTGCATTGCCTGCCGTGGTGAGTAATCTACAAACGGACTTCCCTCTCAGTCAGCGAGGAGCCTCTGGTCCCTGCACAGAGTGACATGATGACGTTAGAGCTTTAGGAAGATCGTGGGGGACTGGGGTGAGTGGGGTGAGGTGGAAGACCCTGATGGAGGCAGGCCAGGAACAAAGTGGATAGAATGGTCCAGGGGTTTCAGAATCAAGAAATGTGTCCGAGGTCAAATCAGCAAGGATGGGTCACCTGTGGAAGCATGCGGGGACTGGGGAGGCACAGGAGGTGCCCAGAGTTTCTGGCTTGCATACCTGGGGGAGAATCCATGCCACAGAAGGCCCTTGTGTATGCACGAGTGTGATTGTGTGTGTGTGTGTGTGAGAGAGAGAGAGTGTGTGGAGTGTGTGTGTGTGTGTTTGAGAGAGAGGGAGAGAAGGGGAGGTGTTTTTTTTTAGGAGAAAGGGAGAATGGGGAAGGAAGCTGTCATGAATGAGTTTAGCACGGGAAATACTGAGTTCAAGGCATCATGAGGTAATTTACCAAAGACATTCTGGGACCTCAAGAAAAAGATCTAACAGAAGACAAACATTTGAGAAAAGAGCTGAAGTTACTAGAAGAGATCAGATCAGTCCAGAAGAGTATTCAGAGGCAAGGCAGTGGGGCCAGACCATGGAAAGGGAGAGAAAAGGGATCTGGAAAGGAGGGCGAAGAAGGGATCTGGGTGGGAGGGCATGCAGCAGTGTCACAACACAGAGAGGGACCCGAGAAGGGGCCAATGGGGCCAGCGGCAACGGAGGCCAAGAAGCCACCACAATCAATCAGGTGACGAGCTCCGCACGTGTGGCTTTAGGGGACACGGGAGGAGAACACAGGCCATGGGGACCAATAAGCAAAGAAAAGATGGAGATGAGGTATGAAGGAAGGATGTGTGGGGTGAAGAAAGGTTATCTATGTGTTAATTTTTCATAGAGGCAACTCAAGCCTCTCGCTAACATGAGCAGAACCAGCATGCAGAGTGAAGACTCTGGGGAGATAAATTAGGTCCCAGAAGACTAGAGAGAGCCAGGTCCCCGGAACAAATGTATCCCTGCTGAGAGGCCTTCTCCTACAGAGGCAAGATCCTCCAGATAAGGAGGAGAGAATGGCAGGTGGTGTCGGGCCCAGCCAGTTTTCTCTGTAAAGATGGAATGAGGTGGGTGCTGGGAGGAAAAGAAAAGAATAATGGCAGGAGGTTTTAAAAAGAACAGAGGCGGCTGGGCGCAGTGGCTCACACCTGTAATCTCAGCACTAGGGAGGCTGAGGCAGGAGGATCACTTGAGGCCAGGAGTTCGAGACCAGCTAAGGCAACATAGCGAGACCCCTGTCTCTACAAAAAAAAATTAGTAAAAATTAGCTGGGTATGGTAGTGCACACCTGTAGTCCCAGTTACTCAGGAGGCTGAGGAGGGAGAATAGCTTGAGCCCAGGAGGCCGAGGCTGCAGCGAGCTGTGATCGTCGTACCACTGCATTCCAGCCTGGGCAACAGAGCAAGACCACCCTGTCTCAAAAAAAAAAAAAAAAAAAAAAAAAAGAAAAGAAAAGAAAAGAAAAAGAAAAACAATGCAAAAAATAGAAAAGGTTTAAACAACAACAAAATCCCCCTCCACCAAAGGGGAGAGAAGGCTCACAGCAGGGTCAGCTCAGAGACTGGTGCAACCACGCAGTGGAGCCTGCACCACTGTGTTGCCACCTTCTCTTGTGCTGCTAGGAGGCCAGTGCAGGAGCACAGGAAAATGATGGGATGTTCAGGATTCACGGACAGTGAAGGAAGGAGGGCAAGGAGCTGCAGTGAAGGTGACAAATGGGTAAAGGTAAAGTGAGGTGGTGGGAGAGGAGAGAAAAGAATTCTAGAATTTTAAATGATATATACAGAGGTCACACAGTAAATATCACGCTAGTTGGTTTACTGTGAAAAGCTGTTCTGACAAAAACATATTCTATTTAAAAGCAAAGTAATAAGCATTAACAAGCACCTAGTGCTTGGCGATGGCACAGGGTGGGCATCCGAAGACCTTGAGCAAGGTGAGCACGGGCAATGTGTTCAGCTCAGGGCTGGCTGCGGGCCTCATCCTACGCCATGGGACATCGGCAGGAGTGGCTGGGCGAGGCCTCCAGGAGAGTCCTTTAAAAGCAGGGCATTCTCTGCCAGCACACACTTTGCCCTCAGCCCTGCCCCTTCACAGCCGGAAGTAGGGTGGCCAGGAACACTGAGCAGAAAGAGAAAGCGCGTGGCCCTGATGCCATGAGGCGCTGCAGCTGCTGCACCAGCCTCTCACAGGCTTCTTGCAGGGGGAACCAAATAAATTCCTCTTTGGCTAAGCCACTGCATGCCGGTTTTGTTAATTACATCTGAATATACTCCTCACTAGTGCGGACACCAAGCAGCAGACCTGGAATCTGAACCTGAACCCAGGGCCCTCTTAGCTGCTTTGCTGTACTGAGGAAGGTGTCACTGTGCCTTTAAGGAGCACAGCGGGGAGGCAGAAATGAAAGCAGCATGCTGAGACCAAGTAGGCAAGACAGGGTGGCGGGAGAGACGTAACCCAGGTCTGGGAGGCATGGGCTGGGACTAAGTAGGGGAGGACAAGTGTGATGGAGGATGCTAAGCAGTGAAAAGCTAGCAATACCTAGAAACTGACTTGGGGATGGGGATGAGGGACGATGGAGGAGGAGGAGATGAGAATGATCACTGTGGCTGAAATAAGACACGGGAGCCGGTATGTGGAGAGATGGTAGATAATCAAAAATAAGGATTATTCTAACAGCCCTACTCAACCAATACATTGCAATAACACCACCAAGTACTTCAATATACTTAGTAAGTACTTAAACACTAAGTACTTAAACATTTATATGTTTAAATGGTTTTTTTGTCCTCCTTTTGCTAAGAGGAATGATAAATATCAACTGTTTTCCTGATCAACAAAAGGAGCTCTGCAGCTGAAACAGCCTGTTCTGAATCAAAAAGCTAGATGCTATAAATAAGTATGCACCCTTCTTTTCTTGCATGCCAAAGGCTAACAGCCTCATTAAACTCTGTGAAGCACATTCACCGGAGGTCTAATTGGTATAGAACTGCATTCCAGGTGCTACAGGAAAGAAAAACAGCCCCAGTCCTCATCAGGAGTAGAATCACGGGATCCTGTGGCTGGAGATCACTTGGGGAGCATCTAGTTGAAGCCCTCAAAGGAGAGGGCCCTTGTCATTCTGGCTGCCTGTTACTTCAAAACTCTTCTGATTTTGGCAGGGGGGACGAGCAGGCACTCCCAAGAAGAGAAGCGATAGGAATGTGGCACACGCGTGGCACGCAGACAGCCAATCACAGGCTCCTGCCAGCCTCTGAATCTGCAGGTAGGGAGGCAGGGAAGGGGCCTCTGGACCTCGTTCCAAGCAACCTGAGTGAGCTGGGACCTCCCAAATTGGGGCAGGGCCCTTGTCTCCCTGAATCTGTTCCAGTCTCTTCTTCAGCCTCTGGTGGAACTGGTGAGCTTAGCAGTGCAGATGGATAAGTTACTTTTCTGCTTAACAAGTCCGGTTCCGTCACCTACAGCCAAGGCCCCGAAGGTACGCCCATTCAAACACTTCAGGCTCCTCCTGTAACAACCCTTACCTTCCAGCCCCCAACAAGTTGTAGAGCTTCTGCCTGAGACCCCTTCAGAATAGGGAATACACAACCTGAATGGCAGCTAGAAATACAGTTTCAAGGTGCACAACAGATTGGGTGTGTGAATTCAGGCAAGCAATTAACCACTGTGTGCCTAGATTCCCCACTGTAAAATGGGAACTATGACAGTAATTAATGCAGAGAGTTACTAAGATTAAATTAGTTACTACATACAATGCCACAGGAAATAGCTCCTCAGAAACAGGCTAGTGAGTACTAAACAAAAGTTAGCTATTATTCCTTTTTAAAAATTTTAACATTCTTATATTAGGAATGGAAACACAACAAATTGTATCATACCTATCACTTTACCCAGATTCAATGTATGAAAACTCAAATTTACAATGCATTATATCAGAAATAAATATCTTTACAAAATATTTACAGAACTTTGTGAAATGTTTCCTCATTTTAGAAAAGGATTCAATCTGAGACCCTTGAGAAGAGGGCACAACTTTACAGAACTGGACCGGAATGTACGCTTATTCTTTATTACTTTAACAAGTGTGGTAACACTTACTCTGTAGCCAGGCACTATTTTAATTACTTTACAAGCATCGCCTCATCGGGTGACCCTAAGGACCCTGCAAAGTACAAGGCAGGTAGGCCCCTTTATCATCGTCCATTTGCAGGTGAGGAAACTGAGATGCAGAGTTGTTAAGGGGGTACGCGGGCCTCAGAGTTGGTGGTGGAGCCAGCTGGGAGTGAAGCGGTCTGCTTCCAGAGACTGAGCTCTTCACCACAACACTACTGCCTCTGAAACTTTAATTATATTGTGCCACTCACACTTCATTTATCAGGCCCACTCATGCTGCAGAAAGCAAAGGACAACTAAATAAAAGGCCCCTAAAAAGGCCACATGCTTCTTGAACTGTTTCAGAGACTCAGCGATATGGTTTTTTTTTTGCTGCTAATGGGGACCCTTGCTTGAGGCTACTAAGGACTGAGACCTTTCCAGCTAGTAGAAGTGTCAATCAACTTTACTGATCCCACGATATCCACCAGCACCACGGCAGCCAGTGGTGCCACGTCTCCAGCCCATCGCAAAGTTCTCAATCGACAAAGATTACATGAGTCCTGTGTTTCCTCTACAGGCAGCATCTCTCCCAGTTCCCTCCTAGTTTGGACCTCTTTCTCATAATGATAACAACCCACCTCCCCTAACAAGCCATGAGGGTGTCCTAAAGAGAGTTAGGAAATCTGGGTCAATTACAGATTAGCCCTCCACCCCAATTCAGAGGTGTGTGAGCTCTGGCATCACAGCCGATGGCGCTGCCTGCCAGTGGGCTCTTGGCATCTTATGAGATACAGTGACGGCACGCCGGCTTTGGAAAAGCACCCAGACAGCTTCAGATGCTCCTGAAATGCTGATGCCAAGCATGCTGCCTGGATATATAACATGTCCTCCCCTATGTTTCTGTAAACATGAAGATTACATAAACCCCTAAGCAGCTCAGGTCAACCATACCTCAACTACAAAAGGAGACTCCCTGCCAAAAAAATGCACCCATGGTAAAAAGGAATGTGGGTTGTCACTGGGGGCTTTTGCTATCCACAACCGTCGCCCCTTAGGCTGTTTGCTCATCCCAGTTATGTTTGCCTATCCCTTTTTAAGAACCCTACCGTATGTGTATGGGACAGAGTAAAAAACTGCAGTTTTAATGTTGTGGGGAGATGGAGAACATAAAATAAAAGCATTCACATTTTTTATTTTTTTAATATTTATTTATTTTGAGACAGGGTCTTGCTCTGTCACCCAGGCTGGAGTGTGGTAGCATAATCTTAGCTCAGTGCAAGCTCCGCCTCCTGGGATCAAGCGATTCGCCTGCCTCAGCCTCCGGAGTAGCTGGGATTACAGGTGCCCGCCACCAGGCCCAGCTAATTTTTTGTATTTTTAGTAGAGATGGGGTTTCACCATGTTGGTCAGGCTGGTCTTGGACTCCTGACCTCAGGCAATCCGCCCGCCTCGGCCTCCCAAAGTGCTGGGATTACAGGCTTGGGCCACCATACCCAGCTGCATTCACATTTTAATAATGGTTCCAGTGAAAAAGATGCATTGATGAAAACGGACTTTTCAGAAGATGGCAGGTGTTCTGTGCATGGGGGGCATATAAGAGAGTGCTTTAATCACTCAAGCCCAGCTCGCAGGGCGTGAGGACAAAAAGAGCAGTCACATGGTAAAGGCACTGGTTCTGGGGCCAGGCTGCCTAGGCTTAATCCAAGCTCCTCACTCCCAGCCATGGGGTTGTAATGGGGGTTAAATGCAGAAATACATGTGAAATGCTCAAAAGAGTGGCCCACAATGAAGGCTATCAATGGGTTGGCTTTTATGAAACAAAGCAAGAGTAGATCTTCAGGGTTCTGAAGGGCAGATGAAGGGGAGAATGAGAACCCCTGGGAATGAGGGTGGGCATGCCAGTGGATGGCAAAGGCAGTGTGAATAGGAGTCTTTGAGTGGCATGAGCTAGATTCTGGCCCCTTTTCCACTTGTGGAGTCCAGCAGAGGGATGGCAGTGTGGGCCTAGGAAGGGAAGTGGGGCCAGTCCAGGCTGCAGATCCCTGAGTCACCCACACAAAACAGCAGGTGACATCTCCAAATCACCTCCCTCACAAGAAAAGAAGATGGATTTGGCAGTGGTATTATTTCTACCAGGAAAGATAGGTCCATTCGCTGTAATCACATGACTGCCACCTCTCTAATCCCAGATAACATTCATTTAATACCATGAATATTTGGTAGAACAATAATTAGACTCTAAATGGCATCCTAATCATTTAAGTGCGAGTCAAAATGTCACTTGCGAAAACGTTTCCTTTTGGTAGCAAGAGCTTATGCCTTTCCAGTCTCTTTTTCCAGCTTTTCATAAATCAGCCATCTCTGAGGGGGCTCCAGGAATGAGAAGCTTTTCTGGCATCAGAAAGGGATTTAGCAATTACCTCCCTAGTACACAAAGCCCAGTTACACAAACTGGGTGCGCGGCAGCGACAGCTGTACAGTACCACAAGCACAGCAAAGCCAAAGTCTATTTTTGGAATTCAAGAGTAAGATTCTGCATCCAAATCCCACTGGGGAGGGGGCAGAAATAAAATAATCAGATACCCCTCAAATTTAGCCTGAAGTCTACGTCCAAAATTCATCACTATTAAAAGACAACAAATAGCATAGTGAACTGTCATCATTATTTACCTCATAGACAGGTCAGCCATATCCTAAAAGTTCTTATGACATAGATCCTTCAGTTCTTCAGGGAGACTTTCTCTTCCACATCGTGTATACTTCACGAGTCAGTTAATCAAATTCCTTGCAGTTGTGTAACTGATTGTTTTTAAACATGATATATACAAAATATTTCACTTTGTTAACTTTTAGCAATAAAAACCTCTGTAAGCTATTCAGACATTTTGGGCCATCACCTTATACCCACAGACTGACAGAATCACAGAGCAATTTGAGGCCTTTGAGATTATCTGATCCCATTCTTACTTTACAGATATCGAAACTAAGACCCAGAGAGGAGACAGGACCTCCCCAGGGCTGCACACAGTGGCAGACCTAGAGTCAGAGCCAACATCTCATGATCCTCAGTTCAGAGCTCTTACTCCTAAATTTTTTATTGTTGTTGTTAGATAGAGTTTTGCTCTTGTTGCCTAGGCTGGAGTGCAATGGCGTGATCTCGGCTCACTGCAACCTCCACCTCCTGGGTTCAAGTGATTCTCCTGCCTCAGCCTCCCAAATAGCTGGGATTACAGGCGTGCGCCACCACGCCTGGCTAATTTTGTATTTTTAGTAGAGACAGGGTTTCACTATGTTGACTGGGCTGGTCTCAACCTCCTGACCTCAGGTGATATGCCTGCCTTGGCCTCCCAAAGTGCTGGGATTACAGGTGTGAGCCACCACACTCGGCACTCCTAAATTAACTAAAAATGAAAGTACAAATTAAAATGGAGTTTGAGAGGTCTATCTACAGGAGCCTGGGTCCAGGAAAAGCTTCTAAAAGGCATATTTATGGGACTCTCAGCTACAAATAAAAGTCCCCCTCCTTGCCCCAAGTTTGGAGAAAACATAGACATCAAAGCTTGCTCAAGTTTTCTCTCCTTATGTTGGAAATAAAGCAAATGTATCCATGCCCCACCTCTTCCCATTTCTCTTTTTGCTTTAAAACAGCAATACTGCTCCAAGCAGGGAAGTCTCAGAGTTTTATTGCTTTGGCAAACACTTAAAGGATATCATTGCCTCTGGCCACAGTGAGAGGAGTAGAGTGGGTTGTTTTCAAAGGTCACAGATTTTATTATAGAATTTGAATGCTGGATGCGGTTTTCTGGCATGCTCTCCTCTCAACTCTACGAATCAAGTAGACCAAGCTTGCACATTGAGTAAGGGGTCTCCGGGGTCCTACTCAAATACTACTCCATCTGCTGCTTTGCCAATGTAGCTGTTCCTTGCAAAATGCAGTGAATTCACAAAATGGGCATTCCATTCCTCCTGTCTCCTCAATTGCCTCTCACCTTTTGGTCTTTTCAGTCTCTCTTCCCTGGCTTGGGGCACTGGGTTTTAACCCTTCAACCATGGCTGCCACTTAGCCCATGCCAGGACTAAGGGAGGAAGTAAGGAGTTGAGAGTGCGGCAGCCTGGGACATACCACGTACAAAATAGTTGCATGGTAAATGCTTGAATGAAGGCTGGACAGAGAATTGGGATCCATTCTTTTGGAGATCCTTTAAGGAGGGCCACAGCAAACATGGAGGCAGGGAGGAGTACTGGAGTTGCCAAGACTGGAGACAACGACATAGCAGAAAGGACAGAAGCAGGGTCGCTGAGCTATGGCCTGAGGGCCCATTATGACCTACTGCTTGCTTTTAGAGCCCAAAAGTTAAGAATTGCGTTTATAGCTGAACATACACCATCAATTTGGTGAGAGGGGGTATTAACTTTAAACCCAAATTAAGCAAAATGTTATCCCCTACCCCCGCAAACAACCCCATTCTTCTCATGCATGGATCTATATTACAAAAGTTGTACTCATTATATTTTGAGTTTCATTGATTAAAATTTTGCAGAAATTTGTTTTCTCTCGTTATACCTACATGCTATTCTTGGTTTTGTCTCTTAGCCTTTGAAGCCTAAAATATTTAGCATCTGACGCTTTAATTTGCTGACCCTTGTTCTAAAGGAACTGGGGGCACTTTAGGCTGAAGGAAAAAAGACAATATGACAACTGTCTTCAAAATTTGGTGGACTCAATAGGGAGAAGGAGCCATCCATTACCAGGGCATCTTTACTATGGAACATTCTCCCACCTGTGAAAAGAGGCAGATCTAGACACATGAATCTGGTACAATCTTCAGGATAGATCACCAGCTGGATAAAACATAGATTTTATGTCCTGTGGCATGCTACTTTTGCACTGAAGGGGAACACACACATATGCATAGTGGCCTGTGGATTCATAGTCAGTCTTTAGAAGAATACACAAGTAACTTCTTCTTCATGTTTCCCCTTGGCTCTGTTGTAATACTTCCCTTGTGCAAATATTACCTGCTCAAAATAGATAATAAGACCAACCAAAAAAAAAAAAAAAATTGGTAGACTGTCAGTGAGGTGGGGCTGGACTTGCCCTACTGCTCCAAAAAGACAGAATAGGTAGAAATTACAAGGAAACTCATTTTAGATCAATCCTTTCTAATAACCAAAGAGGAATCGAACAATATATATTACCCATCAATTGCTGTGCTAGCTACATTATAGCCATTATCTTATTGAGCTTCCTAACAGTCTCTGAGGTAGGAGCTCAGAGTAGCCAAGTATATTTCTCAAAGTCTCACAGCTAGGAAAGGGCAGAGCCAGAATTTGAACACAGATCTCCCTGACTCCAGGGCTGAATTTTTTTTACTGTACAATGGGTACTTCCCTATATAAGGGTCAAGGATCATCTGCCAGAGTTATTATTTCATACAAAGGAGATTTTTACATTAGAAAGCAGATTATTAATGCCACCAATAACAATAGTAACATGCACTTCTTGCAGTAACATACATTATCTCTTTAATCATCACAATAACATTCCAAGGTAGATCTTATTATTATCTATGTTTTCCATATAAGGGGACAGGTTCAGCGAGGTAATGGAATCTGTTCAAGTTCATATTCAGCATGTAAAGTAGCAGAACTGAGATTATCACACAGGTCTGATGTTAAACTATGAGGCATTGTTGAGACGGCAATGTCATCCAAAGTGATCTATAAATTCAATGCATCCCTATCAAAATTTCAACTTTTTTTTTTTTTTTTTTTTTTTTTTTGCAGTAATGGAAAAGCCAATCCTCAAACTCATATGGAATTGTAAGGGATCCAGAAACAAACTGGAAAAAGAACAAAGTTAAAGGACTCATACTTTCTGATTTCAAAGCTTACTACTAAGCTACAGAAATTAAAATAGTATGGTATTACATAAAGATACATATACAGACCAAAGGAACAGAATTAAGATTCCAGGAAAAAATTCATAAATTTATGGCCAATTGGTTTTTGATAAGGGTGCCAAGTCCATTGAATAGGGCAAAGAATAGTTTTTTCAACAAATGGTGCTAGGACAACTGGATTTCCACATGCAAAAGAATGGAGTTGGACTCCTACCTCACACCATATACAAAAAAACTATAAATGGACAAACAGCTCAAATATAAGAGCAAAATTGTAAAATCCTTAGAGGAAAACAAAGAATTAAACCTTCATGACCTTGGATTTGGCAATGGATTCTTAGTTATGACACCAAAGGCATAAGCAACAAAATAAAAAATAGATACACTGGACTTAATCAAGATTTAAAACTTTTGCACATCAAAAGACATTTCAAGAAAGTGAAGCTGGGCATGGTAGCTCATGCCTGTAATCCTAGCACTTTAGGAAGCCAAGACGGGAGGATCACTTGAGGCCAAGAGTCTGAGACCAGCCCAAGCTGATTTCTACAGTCTCGTCTCTACAAAAAAAAAAAAAAGCAGGTGTGGTATCTCTAAAAATATAGCTGACCAGAGTTTATTATTTAGACTTTAAAATTGGCAAAAGACTTGAATAGTAGTTTCACCAAAGAAGATATACAAATGGCCAATAAGCACATAAAAAGATGCTCAACATCATTAGTTATCAGGGAAAAGAAAATCAATCCCACAATGAGATATCACATCACACCTACCAGAATGTCTATATTAATAATAATTTAAAAATAACAAGTGCTGGTGAAGAAGTGGAGAAATTAGAAACCTGTGTATTGCTGGTAGGAATGTAAAAATGGTACAGTCACTGTGAAAAACAGTCTGGCAGTTCCTCAAAAAGTTAAACATAGAATTATCATATGACCAAGCAATTCCACTCCTAGGTGCAAACCCAAAAGAACTGAAAAAAGGAACTCGGAAAACATGCTGTGTCTTTATGTGCAAGTGTTGATGTTGGCTGGGGACAGGAGAAGGAAGGAAAGTCCAAGGACAGTATTCACTGCAGCATTATTCACAATAGCCAAAAGGTGGACACAACCCAGGTGTCCATTGACAGATGAAGGGATAAACAAAATGTAACATATACATACAATGGAATATTATTCAGTCATGAAAAGGAATGAAGTTCTGATTAATGCCATCAGATATATTGTTATAACATGGCTGAATCTTGAAAACATTAGGCTAAGTGAAGCAAGCCAGACATAAAAGAGCAAGTATTGCCTGATTCCTTTTATATGAGGTACCCAAAATAAGCAAATTCATAAAGACAAAAATTAGATTAGAGTTTACTAGGGTATCGGGAAGGAGAGAATGAAAAGTTATTGCTTGATGGGTACAGAATTTCTGTTTGGGATGATGGAAAAATGTGGAAATAGATAGTGATGATGGTTGCACAACATCGTGAATGTAATTAAATGCAACGGAATTTTACACTTTAAAAAGGTTAACATGGCATATTAAAAAAAAATTTTAAACAAAGAACTAAAACAAAACCATGAGGTATATACCTAGATTCCTTGTTTCTCTGAACTATGCTACCCTAAGAGTTTAAACCCCTTCCATTCCTCCCAAACGTGTTGGCATTTTCATTGAGGACCACGTTAAGAAAGCAATGCTTAATTCAAAAGAACATTTCCATAATGGTGAGAATGGAGATCCCAGGGGCCATGTCAGAGGCTGACATTCTTTGGGGCAGGGTGTCATGAAAAAATGGTAAAGATGGTTCCTATTGAGCCGACTCACAAAGCTGGACCAGAGCTGGGAACTGTCCAGGTGCTCTGCCCCAAGCCAGGCCCATCCCTTACTCTGCTGCCCATTTTCCACTCAATGACCTTTAACCTTTGGGCCTGCCTGGGGAAGATACACTCCTTGCACATCTAGGGACCTCTAAAACCAAAGGAAAGGGGGCAGGATGAGGGTGCACACTGGCTTTGAAGCACTGGTGCATTCAGCAAGTTGTTATGAACCACCTAGCATTAGCCAAACACCCTGCCTTGATTTCTCAGAAGTCTACGGATCCATTTGTGTCATGCCCACTGATACCTTCTAGAAACCTTGGCACGTAGCTCAAGGCTGGGTTTCTACAGTACAAGCAGGACTGCACGCAATGCTGAACTTTAAACAAATGGTGGGCCTGGCAAGCAGACGTTGTTAGATGTGCAATGCTTTTCACTGTGCTCCCTGATTAAATAAGCATTTAGGTTAGGGAGGTGTAAATGTCCTTTTGGTACAATCACTAGTCAGACAGTTCTACCCACAGAACTATGGTGTTGTTGAGATTTACCACAAACACATGAATATGAGTTCAACAGGAAAGATAAAAATACCATTCCTGTCTTTAAAGCTGCCTTGCCTATGGAGGGGGGACACACACAACCTTCTAAAAGGACCCCATAATATCCTGTCGAAATGGAGCCATTAATAGTCAAATTCAAGAGACAAACCTCCTTAGCAGCTTGGGTTCATTCTGAAAAACAGAGGAAGCGGTGCTTGCTGCTTTACTTTTAATAGCGCAGGTTGTCATGCCAACTAGTGCTGCTGTTTAAAATGAAGAGGAAAAAAAGAAGTGTTCCTTCCTACACAAACCTTTCAGCAGGGCTCACAATTAGTCTTTAAAAACACAAAAACTCACAGCACTGGAGATATGGTAAACATTGTGCTTCTATTTAAACCTGTCAGAATGAGGATGTGATAAACCTTTGGTCTGTGTCTCCTTTGTACAATGCTCTTTGGCCAGCATCTGGCTGAAAAGTCCATAAGGAAAGAAAGGCACGATGATGTGGTGCACACAGAGGCGGCCGGTCTTGAGATGGGAGAGCAGCCTTCCATCTTGAATAAGCATAAGAGAAAGGCCAGCTTCCTTGAGAAAGAGAGGCTCTGCTCCCACTTACCCCTGTGAGCACAGTTATTAAAAGGCTGGGTCTGCACAACGCTGCACAACACACCCACTGCACAAGGGTGCCAAGGACAGGAGAGAGAGGAACATGTGCTGGCAGTGGCAGCAGAGGCGCCCCCACCCTCTGTGGTGCCCGTGGGCCCAGGTCAGCCAAGGAGAGGAGCCAAGAAGCAGGAAGACATGCTGTGCCCTGACGTGTAAGTGTTAATGCTGGTTGGGGACAAGAGAAGGAAGGAAAGCACAAGGACAGGGTGAGAAGGAGTTAAGACCTCTTCTCTCTCTCACAATTGACTGATGGTTTTATGAACTCTTCTGTCCACAAAAGCTTCCACCCATGTAAAAGAAGATCTAGCAAGGTTTCTGAGGCAAAGAGGACTTACTCACACACGAGCCACACGGTGATATGTCTAGATCGCATCTTCAAGGGGCACATGTAAAGTCTGCCAACAGGTTGTGGTGCTGACAATCAGGCCCCACACTTTCTTTCCAAGCTCCTCTCCTCCCACTTCTCCATGAGAGCAAGCCCTGGGTTCCTGTTCCCTTGGGTCCAGTGCCTTCACAGCTCCGCAAGCTTAAGGATGAAGAGGGTCTCTCTCCTCCTAGACCACTTAATGCCTATCAGGCCTTGAAGAGCCAATTCATATATCCATTGTTCATAATCTCTTACTGGCACTCCCAACCTATAAACTCTGCTGCAATTGGCCTATTCCATTCACCTGCCAATTAACATGCTTTGCACTATTATGTATTCTCTAATTTGATTATCTTTTTGTTTGTTTCTATGTGGTCTCCCTAACTAGAATGGAAATTTCTTGAAGGCAAAAGATCTTTTTGTATCCTTTGTTGCTTCCCCTGTGCCTAGTAACTCCTGTATATACAGTGGTAGTAACTGCAGCAGCATACAGTTGCCTCTTAACGAGCTCTAAGTGCTGGGCTCTGTTCTGAGTACTTTACATGGATTAATGAATATGCATCTCCCAACTGTCTGAGATATACATGCACACAATTATTACCCCTATTTAACAGGAAAAGAAACTGATGCATAGGAGGTTAATGATGTGCCTAGGCTCACACGACTGGTACATAGCAGACCCAGAGCTCAAACCAAAGCTCTCTGACTCTAGAGCCTGTGACACACTATGTTGATGACCTGAGTTTGGGGTTGAGGAGGCAGAGATGGGTGAGGTGCCAGTGGAGGAGAGAAGAGAGATAGGGAATATCCACAATAAAATGTGCAAGATACTGTCCCATTCAACAAAACTTACATAATGCACAATTTATTCATAAAGACAGATGTAAAGATTGCCTCTAAAATGTCAATTAGTCAACTATCTCAGGAGAGCTGGATTCTAAGGCACTTTTCTTTCCTTTTCCATATTTTGCATGTATTGTTTGATTCTCCAAGGAGCATGCAGGACTATTGCATATGGCGAAAAGATAAACAGTGAAGTCAATTTCATTATGGGCGGAAAGGAAAACAAAACAAAAAGAGAAAAAAGAAGGAGCGCGGGTCTGTCGAATATTTCTGAACAGAAGGATGGCATGTCTATTCCTGTGTCTCAGAAAGATCGCCCTGCTGACAGTGGAGGAAATGAAGACAGGGAAATATAACATATCTCTAAGACAAATGATAAAAATGATAATTACTAACATTTATGGAGCTCAGAGAAAGGTAATATAGGAAGTTTAAAATCCAGTTATCCTCACAACAACACTGTTCATAGTAGCCAAAAGGTAGAAACAACCCACATTTCCATCAGCTAATGAATGGAAAAACAAATTGTGGTAGATCTGTACAACGGAATACTATTCAGCCATAAAAAGAAATATTGATCCATGTTATAATGTGGATAACCTTGAAAACATTATGCTATGTGAAAGAAGCCAGACACCAAAGCCCAAATATTGGCTATTTATATTTATATGAAATACCCCAAATCAGTATCCATAGAAAAAAAAAGCAGATTAATAGTTGACAGGAACTTGGTGGGAGTGAGGAATGGAGAGTGGCTGCTTAATGGGTATAGGGTTTCTTATAGGGTGAGGAAAAGGTTTTGCAATTTGAGGTGATGGTTGCACAGTGGTATGAACGTACTAAATGCCACTGAATTCTACACTTTAAAATGGTTAGGTTTGTTACGTGAATTGTACTTCAATTAAAAAAAAAATCCAGTTACTCTTTTAAATTAAAGTCCTGAGAAAATGGAAAGGCAGATGAGGAGGAAAAAAAAGTGGATTCAGAAAAACCCCAGTAAATGAGGAAGTAAGACAAGTGGGACACCCAGAGTAGGATGTGGCCTCGGACAGAGGGAGGGAGAGAGGGCCCACACTCAGCAAAGGGTGGACCTAACCCCTATCTTCAGTAACTGAGCTATCCAACCATGGGCCAGGCAGCCTTGAGATGCTGTGAGCTTTCATCTTTCTCCTACAACATCGACCGTTTTAGTCGGATGATCTGAGACAACACAGTTGGTGAATGCTCGCTCCAATTGCCTAAGTGGTAGGCACAGGCAAGGCTGAAGCCAAGTATCCAACCCCTAGATAAGGCATGCAGAGCTTGTGCTGGGCCCGCCCCCGTCAGCACATGGGCCACAGCTGCTTGTCACACCTGGCAGCTCCAGGCTGGGGGCAGCTTGTGAGCAGGGGCCACACCTTGCTCCTGGCTGTATCCCTGGCCTTAATCAGAGCCCCTGGCACAGAAGAGGTGATAGTACATACATGTGTTGAAGAAATAAACATCTTCCATTTCATATATTTCATCAGTTGGTTGAGATTTTTAGAAGATAAAACACAGATATGGTATAAAATTCAAAAGGCTCTGGGGGAGATACAGTAACAAATTTGCCTTTCTTCTACCCTCCTATTCCAGCTTCCCCGAGGCAACCTTTGGCACTGCACCACCTTTTGCAATGTGACTAGGGGAGTGAAGTTCTGACTTGCAAAGGTTCCCGCAACTACACTACCCAGTCATTTGGGAGGCAGGTGACCACCACGAGGTGGGAGCTACATATGATATCAAGACAGAAGTCATCTGGGTGAAAACAAGGTCCTAGTATTCTGTGCCAGGAGCAGGCACAGGCCCCGGAGCCACAGCTTGCAGAGGAAACCACCAGGGTGATGACCACCCCCTAGAACGTTCACAGAACAATGGGAAGCCCAGGGGCAGAGACCACCCAGCCAGTCAACAGGGCCAGACACCTCAAGCTCCTCACTCTTGTTTTGGACCTAGGAGATTTCGAGCTGGGGAAAGGCAACATTGCTACCCAATAGGATGGAAGTAGATGTGTGCGTACCACTGTCATCCTTGAACCTAGAGAGGTGATAATGTGTTTTGTCTGGAGGAACGAATTCACCTTAAAGGAATTCAACTGTGAGCTGGGTGGCATGGTCCCCAGTGACAGGCTTTGTGGTGGACACAGCTGACAGGAACTTAGGTGGTGGGGAGAAGGGGGGTCCAGGAAATCAAGGTACCGGGAGAGGTTCGATCCATTTAGTGATGAGCAACCTAGGCCAATCCTAAGCCTGGACTGAGTCCCGGGGCTGAGCCGCATGTGGTGGGGGCATCTGCACACACTGCTTTGTCAGGCCAGATTGTGAGGCTGAGTAACCACTGCCCTGTAGAGTCACCAAACCATGGACTAAAAAAAGATTCAAGCCACACAGGCTCATCTGTTTCCCCAAGGTTCCTGCCTAATGTGGCGATGCACTGGCAGGCTAGAGGGTGAGTCGGGCACTTATCTGATTTCAGCCAATCTGTTACTGTATTTCATTCCCTGTCCTCGTGCCCAGAGGCTGTTGCAATGGGTATAAATTTAGAAAGAGAAAGATAAATAACATGGAAAAGTTCCTTTTAAAAAATAGGGATTTTTTTTTCTCTATTTTGCTAAAGAAAAGATAAAGTGATCTTCTTGTTATTTATTTAGCCTTACCATGGTAGAATTTGATATTTTGGGCAGGAACCTAATAATGCATAACCATAGCCCAGGATGAACCAGCTTCTCCTGAAACTGTGAAAGAGGCAAGCCTCCATCCTAAGCGTTTCTTAGAAACTGAGGGAGTGAGAAGATGACAGTACCTTGCACAAGATCTGAAATCCACGAGGGTCCCTTCTGAACAAGCAAAAGACTCTGAAAGAAGACTGTCTCCTTTATATGAAACGGTCTATACCAGCTAACATAACACACTGTGCCTGAAATTGTCAGGCCACTGGCGATTTCACTGTACACATTGATACTTTAAAGGAAACCTGTTCTATGAGGAAATTAATATCACAGATGGGAGATTTTCAGTTGGTGGAAAGAGAAACTGCTTGAGAAATGTTTGCCTTCCCTCACACACAAACTCACAGCCTGGTGGGTTATGGAACTCTCATGGTAAAAGACTAGATCAATTCCACCACCTAATCATTTAGCCCAAGGCCCATTCTACAGGGGAGAAAACCAAAGTTAAGTGACTGGCCCAAGATCACATGGCTGCCACTAATAGAGGGGGGCCCAGGACCAGGTCTCACAGCGCTTCCCTGGGGTCACCGTGCAACTGCCACCCACCACCTGGATGTCAACCAGACTCAGCAGCTGTACCTCTGACAGCATCTCATACTGGCCTCTTCTTCCAAGAGCAATGGTGAGTAAGTCATAGACCACAGATGCACTCTGCAGACTGATGAGGCGGTCACTCTTGTGTTCAGGTATCCTGCTCAGCACAGCGTCCCGGTTGGCCTGAAAAAACATGGAATAGAGAAGCAGATGGAGAGAGAACCTAGTGCTGCATGGCGGGGAGTCCACCTAGGCCCTCCTGCCCCTACCAATTTGCGAAGGGAATGGAGACAAGGGTAGGAATGAGCAGAGGCCTGTCATCTTGGGTTATTTATTCAAAATCCCCTGGGCACCGCAGAACATGATATACGGGATGATCCAAACACTGAAGTCCTGGAAGTGTGAACCTAGAGGGCACCTGTACCTGTCGACAGGCATCTGGAGGAAGCCTTGGCAGCCGATACAAAGTTTTCCCTGGCCTCGGGTTCATAGCCAGCCTCATAGAAGACGCAGCTGCGCTCTAGAGCAGCCGAATCATCCATCAAGTGAGGCCCTGCTGCACCTCACTCGTGAATCCTGCTTCTGCTCTACATTAAAGAGTGGGAGAAAATTCCCAGCCCTGCATTTCCCAACACCCAATTGTGTCATCAAGTTCCATGAGTCCTACAGAGATATATCTTACTTTTCCTCTATCACCAAGCAACATTCAAATCCCTATATGACATCTTCACTGGAACAGAACACAAAGATGAGTTCAATCTTGTTTAAGGAAGCACAACACAGATATATAAGAGAAAACAAGAAGAAAGCAGATTTTTACTTTAAAAGATATTAACACAGAGGACTCAAGAGAACACCGTCAATTTTCTATGCTTAGCACAGAAATACATCAGGCACATTCAAACTTATTAATCTCATCTATCCAGAAATCAAATGCTCTTTACAGCAACTTGTTTCCATTACTTCTAAAATTTAATTTCTCTACAGATTCCTCCAAATATATCACATGTCTGAGACTCAACAGCTAGCTCATTTTCCTCTTTTCCCTAATAGGAAGTTCAGAATCAACAAAGTTAGATTTCGCCTGCCTTTTTCCCTCTGCTAATTAACAGAAGTCTGCAGATCCATCTGTCTGTAGGAGCAGAGAAAGGCCCCCCCAGTCTTTCCTGTGAAAGTGGTACATGAGGTTCCGGGGTCACTTGTCCCGGCAGGCTGACGTTGATCTTCCCCCTGACATTCAGAAAGGCCACACACACACCTTCCCTCTCACTAATGAGACAAAATGCATTTTCTTTGTGTGTGAGTCCAAGGCATTTACTTTTAGCCACCCATCAGTACTTACTCACTTTAAAACTCCTTGCTGTTAAATGTCAAAGACAAATAAGAATATATAAGACAGGCCACTTCCTACAAAGTGAGTCATCTCTTACGGAAACAAGCCTGCTTTTGAAGATTTCATTCTAAGTTTTTCTTGTTAGGAGTCCCTCTTGAGCCCAAAAAAAGCAGCTCTGAAGGAAACAGGGGCCTGTTGCAAATGGTCTCATTTTATTTATTTGCTATATATGTTCCATACTGAGACCAATGCCTGGAAGAGAACAAAACAAACATACTATTTATGAGAGACTTTCAAGTTATACTAAATGCATTCTTTTCATTTTTAGAGAAAGTATCAGTATCTTTTGATTAAAAAGGTACAATATAGAACCTCAAACAGACCCACAAATAATAAATATCCCAGAATATTGCCTCAGTGGTAGTTCTGCAAATCAAGTTCTTATAATCCCATTCTCCTAGGGGAAACTAATTTGATTTGTAGTTAGAAAACAGCACAATTCTAAATGATACCTTGTAGGTGGAGAAGCGACGGACAAATTCATGCTTCTGAATTAAAGTCAGTACCAACAAAGAACACAATTTTCTGACATCCAAAAAACACAGCAATTTTCATTTTGGTTTTGAAATTGAGCACATTCATTTTCTGTCTAAAAACTAAACAATCGAGAAGTCAAAGGATATGGAAAAAAGGCTTCCAAAGGCAATTTCATTTAGATTTCTACCTACATTTTCTGAAATGATTTACAGGAAGAACATAATCATTTTGGTTAGAAACCTCATCCTTCATATCCACTGATGACATCACTGGATTTCAACATCCCCTGAAGAGATTTTTCTGGCAATTACATACCATAGAGCCAAATCTGACTGTCTCAAAGGGATCTCAATGTTTGAGTATTATTAGTTTCTATCACTTCAATTAAGAAGCAGGAGAGTTGGAGATATCATTCCAAAGACATCTCCACTTAGTGCAAGCATTTTAGAGAGGTGGCCATGTTTTCCAAATTGCAGACTGGAACACATCATCTGACAGTGGAACATAATGTTTTCAATCAGAATTGTCCAGGTAATCTAAAATGTACAGTCATCATGCTTTCAGAACTTTTACACCATAACCAACCAAGTTTGCCCAAAGGGAACTACCTGCCAAGGACCCAACTTGGGATGAGGGAATGCTGACCAGGAGGCCAAGATGAGCTGGCTCCATGGATGACCCGGTGGGGAAGCCTGTGGAGACTCGTTCACTTGAATGCCACCTAGTGCCAGCCTGCTCACCTATGTGCTTCCCTGATTGCACCAAGGCAAGTAGAGAATGTAAATGACACCACCCTAAGTTATCAGCTGACTATCGGGCAACCTGCTTCCTTGAGAGGAAGTAAGCCCAATGACACCAAAGAGCCTCCAGATCAAAAGAGGTGGTAACTCAAGCAGACTTGCTCTTGTAAACATCAGTGGACCATTCAAAGTTTTAATCAAAGGCAAGAAAGCTGCCCTCTCATGAGTTCTGGCCTCTTCTGAACCCTCCTTCTCTCCGCGCATGTACGTTATTATGCTCAGACCCCATGTCTATACTCACCTGAGTCCATTTTATACCTCCCATTAAACAGTATGTGTGGGGAGGGCAAAAAGGGAAATGCCTTCTCTTGCTTTAGTTATGATTCCCTTCTCTCCCCTGGGCTGCCCCGGGGGTTGGCGGTAAGCGGTGACAACTATGGGGAGGGGGCAGTACAATCTCCTAGCAGGAACAGGAGACCACTGCGTGATGCACGCATTCCGCCTGCTCTAGGCCTCAGGTTCCTCATGTATAAAACGAGGGAAGGGGACGCGAGCCCTCAAGATCTTTTGATTCCAGGAGCCCACCCATTCTGCTCAGGTGCTCAGTATACATCACTTTTCTGCTGAGGAATTCACTATTACTACACACATGATCCTGAAGGTTTTAAGCCAGGGCCACAGCGCCTAGTGATAGATACACAGGGCAGAAACCCAATAAATGATGAGTGGTGAAATAGACCTAAAATTCTATATTCTGGCCAAATACTAAGAAAATGTTTCAAAGGAATCAGAGGGTCTGGCAAAAACTCCCTCACAATAGCAGTGACAAGTGAGCTCTCACGGCCTGGGACTTTACAGTGTCTGGCAAAGCCAGGAGCTGGAAGAGACAACAAGGGCAGGAGGATGAGAGTTTCATCAAGCTCCTGCTGTGAAGACCAGAGCTTTATAGATCCAACAAATGACTTATCCCAAAATTCTCGCCCACTCCAGGGCAAATTGAGAGGCTTATAAAGGTCACCCTTTGGGGGCCTCTTTCTCCTTTTAAGGTTCCTCCAGTGGTCATTTTAGCTGTGGTTTACCTAGATACAACTGCAATAATGTTCAGCCAATACTGGGTGGATGAATGAATGAACTAAGATACGTGCTTCAAGATAGAAGATAGAGAAGCTCCAAGCTCCAGGCTAACCAAGGGACATTGCTAGCTGGTCCAGGAATTAAGAAACAACCCTCTTTTTAAACCTCTACTGTTTTTTCCCATCCAGGTATACCCTCTAGAAAGTATTTTCTCTTAAGAAAAAGAGTCATGATACTGGCAGAATGGCTATATCAAAAAAGGGTCTACAGGGCCAGGGGAAAGAACGATGTAAAAACACATTCCACTTACCATTGATTCACTAATCAGCAATAACAACAGGGCTTCTTCCGTATTTTCTTGAGGACAAAAAATGCTGCAGTTGAAAGAAAACTGACTTTGATATATGGCAGTTTCAAAATATACAAATACAAGCAGAACTGAACACTAAAAGCTTCCAGAATTTTATATAATACCCATGAAAAATACTGTATAATTTGGACACTTGAATTAATTTGCCTATTTCTATGGTAATCTATGGAATTCATACATTTTAGCTATGCATTTTAGTGGTAGGCAGAAGGGTAAAGTAAAGCTGTAAAAACCAAGTTAAAAGCCCAAATAACATATGTACATATTACAGAGGCAGAATTTTAGATTTCAATAAATTGACATTATCTAAATAATACAAGCTTTCTCCTAAACCTATTAGAGAGGTATAAATTGCAGGCATTTCACTAAACAGTACTCTTCTTACCTCTTACCTGCTAACTGGCATATCTTATACTGTCGTTTAGATGAAATAAGAGATTAGAAGCAATTTTAGAGTTTGAATAATTTCTCTAATACTGTAAGAATTTAGTGAACTATCTTATTTAGACACATAAGTTTTATTATGGGGTAGCATGCAAGAGCTCTTATTAATCTATTTTATGGAATTTGGCTGAACTCCTAAATCTTGGATTAAAAGAAAGAGCTTTTTAAGCTCAATGTTGCTCAGGATTAGAGAATAATAAAAAGTCAGCAGAACCCCAATCTGTATTCTCTATAGCCTATTTTCTGTGTTGTGAGCAATTGCAGCATTTTTTCTCCTGTTCTAAAGCTCTAGAATCCTTTGAGCAGAATTGTGAATGTTATCACCAATTGGGTCAAACTCAATATTTTTTCATGAAATGGACGAAGAGAGTGCAATAAATAAAAATGAACTTGGTTTAAAAAAAACTCCTAGATATCTTGAAGATGACTAAAAACAACTAAGTTTATGTCTTCCCAGGGATAATATTACAATCATGTAATTGAAGGGATTTCCCCACACCCCCAATAAAAGGCAAAAAAAAAAAAGGATTTCCACATAATTACAAACATTTGTTTTCTTTGAAGTGCTGGCAATTTTTGTACTGCATCTTAGGATGATAAAGAGCAAGACAGGAGGAATGCAGCGCCTGGTATTCTCGTTACAATGCTGATACCGCTGGAGGTAAGGAAGCCACCTGCAGGATGGTTTCTATCATTCTTCTGAGGCTAAAATTTTATGAAAAGGCTGGCCTGAGAATGAGGAGCAAGATTCGGGGATGTGCAGTGACTTGCTTCAGAAGTCAGCTTGAGATGATCTGGGTTTTTCAGATGGGACACTTCTTTCCCCTTAGATTCTGGAATAGAGCCTAAAGGCTCTGAATTAAGTGTCTCCCAAACAACCACCTCAGTATGTTGTTGTTGTTGTTGTGTGTGTGTGTATGTGTGTGTGCATGTACATGCACACTCGTGCCCCACAATCATTTCCTGATATCCTGGCTTGTGGTTACATGCAATTGGGACCTTGCAAATAAAGCAGTAACATGAACCATTGTGTGTATGTGTGCACGCACACACCCATATGTGCACACCCATGCCCAGCAATCATTTCCTGATATCCTGGCTTGTGGTTACATGCAACTAGGATCTTGCAAATAAAGCAGTAACATGAATCATTTTTTTTTTCATGGCTAGCCGGTTCTGCATTATCCAGACCAATTGAAAAGACAGACAGCCTATGCTAATTGTGACTTAACAGCAGTCAATTCAGTCCATGGCTAATCTCCAAATTCTGTTTGAGCCATCCAGCCTGCTTAAATGCTAGTTTGTGTTATTTTTACCATAGTTGCTAACAAGTGGCACATTAACCGAATCCAGCTCCACTTCCTCTACCCTCCCTATTTGTGGCAGGCAAGGTGGGTACTCAGGAGCACTGCAAAGCTCCCAAGGCCAGCAGGAGCCGGGGGAGAAAAGGTAGTTTTAAGAGACATACCTAAACAACTACACATTAGAAGGCTCCCTCTCAATCATTATGAATTCTCTAGACCCATTTCCGGCCAATTCCTTCCCTCTTGTTTGCTCAGGGAAGCATGGATGGAGCTCAGGGTGAACGGGTCAAAACTGTTGGGGCCTTCCTTTTGTGGCCTTCTCCTCTTTGGGGCCCACGAGCCTCAGGGGGAGATACTGGGGTACCCAGGCCTCAGCCTTGAAGAGTGGGAAAACTGGGGCCCTAGATCCAGAGGAAGTTGCGTGAAGGGGAAGGTGGGGGACGAAAGGGGACAAGAAGAAAACAGGGCTCAGCAGGCATGAGGACAAGCTCCCAAGAGCTGGCAGGCTGGCAAAGGAGGCGGCAGTGGGGCAGCTGCTGCGCTGAGAATGGGAGGGTGCGTCCTCGTCCCAGCCATGCCACCAACTCACTGGGTGACCTTTAGGCAAACTGCCCATTTTCTTACTTTGGATGAATTTACCAACTCATTTTCTGATTCTACAGAAGACATAGGGAACAAGGGTGAGAATTCTCAGGTATAAGTAGTAATCATCATCTTGCCAGGGCTCCCACATAATAGCTTTTTCTTAAAAATTTCCTCCGAAAGGTAGAAACTTTACCTTAATGGTAGACACAATCATACAAAAGAAATTAATCCAACTTTACCCAACTGCATTTCATCTCTTCTGTCATCGTTAGCCATTATATAACTAATGACAAGTTGAGGTCTAAAGGTCACCGGCATCCCCTAAAATTCTCTATTTAGGTGCAGGGAGGGCCTTGAACACTGCCAACCCACGAGAAAGTTGATTTGTAAATAATGACAACATCAACTCTAAGGTCTAGTAATGGTTCCTTTATAATTTTAATATGTCTGGCTGAGATACTACCAGGAAATTCCTGGAGAAACACAGCCTCTGAACCACAGCCAGCCAGGTAAGAGCTGAGGCATGGAGGCCAAGAATGGCTGAAGTCCCACCCCGACCCCAAGTCACACTGTCTGCAAACATGCCAAGGCAGAATCTACTGTCGATCCCAGGTTTATGTGGATAAATGGGTATCAAAAAAGGAATAGGACTTAAATTGAAAATTAAGAGTGCATCTTGATTATTAGGGATCAGCTAGTCTGATGTAAGGACTATCGAGGCCTCACCACGCTTCCATTTTGTGTCAATTCATATAGGTCAAAAATCTCCCCATGACAAAGAAAGAAGGGTCCCTCACGCAGCCCAGTGCAGGTCCACTGGGCTACACTCTGCTGAGTGGGTCAGGTGAATCCCACATAGAACATCACCTTGCACAAGTGTTTCCATGTTCCTGCTGAGAGGACGGGCCTCTCCACAACTCCAAGGTGGGCTGTGTACACCAGAGGCAAGGAGATGACAGGCAGCCAACGGTGTAGCTGGTCGTTTACACAGCTTTGGTTCGGCCATCAAGAAGTCATCCTGACCCTTCAACATCCCTCTGCTTTCCATTTTATTTTATTTATTTATTTTTGCAAGCTCTTGAGGATTTATTGTGTCCACGGAAGGGCCTGGCCAGTGCCTGGCTCGGGATGTTCTGCCCTCCCCGGCCAAGACCCCTCCATTTTCCATTTTAAACAGCATTCCCATCCTTACCAAAAACTGGAAACCAGGAGGTTCAGATCTACACTCAATATTCCATGATAATTACCTTTTCCGCCGAGACCTACAAAGGAGTTTAGACAGTGCCTGGCACTCACTAGCATTCAATGAATCTTTTCATCATCTGCTTCTTGGAAGTATTATCCAATATTAACCAGTATCCACAATAGCTGTTTTTAATCTTCTGCTTTACTTTGTGTTAACTATCTAGTCTAATGTGCATTTAATTGTCGAAGCTACCTCAACTGCTTCTTACAAGAAGAAATACAATGAAAAAAAGTATGCCTGACTGACTGAAACACACACACATATATATATACACATTAAGAAACATGTAGATGCAGGGGGAAAAAAGAAACACGTACAAGACTCTTCACAGAAGCACTGTTCCTATTAGCCCCAAATGGGAAACAACTCAAACTCACAACACAAGCAGAATGGGTCAATATATTGGAGGACAGTCATAAAATGAAATACCTCGCAGCAATGAAAAACACTGCTACATGAAGAAATATGGGTGAATAGTTCAAATATAAAGTTAGACAAAAGAAGTTAAACATTAGAGAGTGCATATCGTATGATTCCATGTATATAAATTTCAAAAAGGGGCCAGACTAATTATTGTGACAGAAGTCAGGAGAGTGCTGCCCTGGATGGGGGTGGTGACTGGAAGAGGCCACGGGAGGGCGTGTAGGGCTCCAGTAGTGTCCTTTCCTGACCAAATGCTACTTACATGGATATGTTGATGAACTTGGTGGAAGTTCATCAAGTTTCATACTTTTGATTTATTTTTCTCTATGTATGGTGTGTATCCAAAAAAGCTTACTCTAAAAAATAAGTAAACTAAAGCTGATACAATTCTTCACAGAAACCACCCAGAAGGAAAGAAAGCAAGGAAGCCTATGACAGGTGATCCCTCTTCTCATTCCATCCAGGATTTTCTACATTGTATTTCCTTTCAAATTCAAGATGGGCAGAGTGAGCATCCTGTATGCATTTCACGTTCAGGTCTCTTTGACCTGGGGTGCAGCTTCCTGGCAGGGATTGTTTTTCAGTTATGTTCCATTACAACCAACTCTTCTGAATGGTCCTTGTGGTTTTCTGGAGCTAGAGGGATCTCTGCCATCTAAATTTTGCTTGACACTTATTATACTTCTCATAAGAGACTGTGGAGAAGGAGACTGTTAGCCAAAATGAGGTTTGCACATTATCTACGGATTCCCTTTCCCACCTCCAAACCAGCATAACTGAATGGTGAGAATGTGCTTTCTGCCAATGTGAATGGGTCAGAGTCCAGCCTTGGTAAGAAGGGAACCTCCAAACAAGAATAACTCCCACAGCTGTTCCTCTTTACTAATATTCTAAGAAGTAGAGCTCTGAACCCACAAAATTACAAAGCTAAAAACTGATGGTGATAAATGAAGGCATAGGATTCATGTGGAAATCGATGAAACAGAGAACAGAATCACAACAGAAAAAAGTCAAAACCCAAAGTTGGTTCCTCAAAAAGATCAACAAAATTGACAAAACTTTTAGTTAGACTGACTCTAAAAAAGAGAAAAACGACTTAAATTACTAAAATGAGAAATGAGAGAACATGACAACCAACCCTGTAGAAATACAAAAAAATTATAAAGGAATGCTATGAACAACTGTACGGAAGCAACTTAGGTAATTTACATGAAGCAGACACATTTCTAGAAAGATGCAAACTATTCAAACTGATTCAAGAAGAAATAGAAAATACAAATAGACCTAAAATAAGTAAAGAGATTGAATTAGCATTTAAAAAAAAACAAAAAAAACTTCCTACAAAGAAAGCCTAGGTCCAGGTGGCTTCACTGGTGAAGTCTACCAAAGATTTAAAGGATTAATACCAATTCTCCACAAACTCTTTCAAAAAGAAGAGGAGGGAATAGTCTCCAACTCATTTTATGAGGCCAATATTACTCTAATACCAAAACCAGACAAAGACATCATAAGAAAACTGCAGAATAGTATCCTTTATAAATATAGATGTAAAAATCTTTAACAAAATATCAGCAAATAGAACCCAGCAATAATAAA
This sequence comes from Homo sapiens, assembly GCF_000001405.40. Lineage (NCBI taxonomy): Eukaryota > Metazoa > Chordata > Mammalia > Primates > Hominidae > Homo > Homo sapiens. The sequence goes on from NC_000014.9 coordinate 90,686,130, forward strand.
AAGGAGTATATACCATGACTTGGACAGGGATGCAGGTTGGCTTAATGTGTGAAAATCAATTAATGTATACACCACAGCATTAGAATAAAGGGCAAAACCCACATTATCATTTCAATTGATGCAGAAAAAGCAGTTGACAAAATTCAACACCCATTAATAATAAAAATAACAAACTAGAAATAGGAAGCCCTTTACTTAACCTGATGAAGGGCATCTATAAAAGCCCACAGTGAACACCATACTCTGTGAAAGACTAGATAATTTCCCCCGCCTGAGATCAGGAATGAGACAAGGATATCCATGCTTGCCACTTCTATTTAACATTGTACTGGAAGTTCTAGCCAGGACAATTAAGGAAGAAAATAAAATAAAATGCATCTAGGTTAGAAAGGAAAAAGTAAAACCATCTATATTAGTATTAATAGATGACACAATCTTGATATAGAAAATCCTAAGGAATCCAAAAAAACTATTAGGACCAATAAACAAATTCAGCAAGGTTACAGTACACAAGATCAATTTACAAAATCTGTTGTATTTCCATATACTTGCAGTGAGCAATCCAAAAATGAAATTAAGAAAACAACTCTATTTATAATAGCATCAAAAAGAATAATGCATATTTGCATGCACACATGTGCACGCACGTGTGCACACACATTTAGGAATAAGCGTAACAAAAGAAATACAAGCTTTATATCCTGAAAAATACAAATCATTGTTGAAAGAAATTAAAGACAACCTAAATAGATGGAAAGATATCTCATGTTCATGGATCAGAAGACTTAATATTTTTAATATGGAACTATTCCTCAAATTGATCTACAAATTCAATGCAATTCCTATTAAAATCCCAGCTGCCTATTTTTTTTTTTTTTCAAAAATGGACAAGCTAAAATTCATATGGAAATGCAAGGGCTTGGGAGACAGGAAGGTGACAGCTAAGAGGTGCTGGGTTCATTTTGGGGGTAATAAAAATGTTCCAATCATGGCGATGGATGCACAACTAGGCAAGTATATTAAAAGCCACTGAATTGCACACCTTCAATGGATGAATTGTATAATATGTGAATTATGTTTCAATAAAACAGTTTTTTTAAAAGCTGATCACGTGTATCCATGTGAACTGAAACTTGTGACTCAGTAGACAGTGCTACTACGGGAATGCTCCCTTTAATGACTGCATTTTCTGGAGCTGTATTTTGCTTCTATAATTCTCCTTGTACACATGGGAAAGCTGACATTAGAAAAGTGACAAAATCTGAGTGGTTCAGGAAATGGAGAAATGGCCAGCACTGTGAGCTTCTCTGCCTTCAAGGGGTGAGGCCATACTGGATGGCACCCAAAGAGACACAGAGCTCTGGCCATGTGTCAAAGTGGACTGGGGGAAGAGGGTGAGAATGGAGGTCCTTAATGCACCTGGCACCTTGGTTATTAAGAAGCATCTAAAGCAGGGGAAAACTTTAGAGTCTATTTTTATGATATAAATATCACTTAAAAATGAACCCCAAACCTGCTTCACAATGAGGGGTCAGCATTTTAAAAATAAGAGCATTGAAAATTGCTAGAACAGATGTTCTATGAATCCAGATAAGGACTAAAGAGTAAACACATATTGTGAATTAAGCAAACTCATGGTTCAACAAGGCTGTAGAAAAGGGGGATGAAAACTAAATTACGATAAGCCGAGGGAAAAACCTAAGAATATGCTAACTCATCTGAATCCATGTAAGAAACACAAACTTGAACAAGAAGGTGACAAGAGAGAGAAATGCAAGGGTCAACTTAAGAGGATTATTAAGAGGTGGCAACCTTGAAGAAATGCCGACTCCTCTGAAAGTACAACAGTCATTTTCAGATGTTTGAAATCTTGATCTTCAGATGGAGAAAGCGTGTAGTCACGCCATCTCTATTAGTGCTTTCTCTGGGACTTCAGAAGCAGCCACCTCATCCTCTCAGCTGTTTTTCTAATTTGAAAACATGGAAAAGGTCTTCAATATTTATTCATGTGTGTTCCCCTTTCCTTCACACAGAGATTCTGAAAAGCCATCATGTCTTGTCCTTACAAGAACAGGCAAAGGCCAGAGTGGTGGCTCATGCCTGTAATCCCAACACTTTGGGAGGCCAAAGTGGGCAGATCACCTGAGGTCAGGAATTCAAGACCAGCCTGGCCAACATAGTGAAACCCTGTCTCTACTAAAAATACAAAAATTGTCCCAGCGTGGTGGCTCACACCTGTAATCCCAGCACTTTGGGAGGACAAGGCGGGTGGATCATGAGGTCAGGAGATCGAGACCATACTGGCCAACATGGTAAAACCCCGTCTCTACTAAAATACAAAAAATTAGCCAGGCATGGTGGCACGCACCTGTAGTCCCAGCTACTTGGGAGGCTGAGGCAGGGGAATCACTTGAACCCAGGAGGTGGAGGTTGCAGTGAGCCAACATCACGCCACTGCACTCCAGCCTGGTGACAGAGAGAGGCTCTGTCTCAAAAAAAAAAAAAAAAAAAAAAAAAAAAAAAAAAAAATTAGCTAGGTGTGGTGGTATGTGCCTGTAATCTCAGCTACTTGGGAGGCTGAGGCAGGAGAATCACTTGAACCTGGAAGGCAGAGGTTGCAGATTGCGCCACTGCACTCCAGCATGGACAAAAGAGCCTGACTCTATCTCAAAAAAATAAAAAATAAAAAAAATTTAAAAATTTAAAAGAGCAGGAAAATATGGGAATTCAAGACTTGAATGGGAGGCATTGAGAATGAGTCAACAACCATTCCAGCCTCCCAGCCCTTCTCCTTGTCTCTCCCTCCTCTGTCTGGCTTCCCCTGGCCTGGGGAAGGCTCATGCTAAGTCTATAGTGATTCTCTGGCCCATTATCCTCCAAGGTGATCAAGTCTCAAATTTAAAACTTAAAAAAGATAAAGAAGTTCTAAAGACACATCACCTTCCAATCACTTGCAAATATTAGATTCTCCTTCTTATATCTAGTTCCATTTAGAACAAGATTTTAAACAAAAGGATCAAGGAATTGCTGAAGAAAAGAAATGTTAGATGGGTGAGATCGATGTTAGATGTTAGATGGCTTACAGATAGCTTTATTTCTGATTGCTGTCTGATGCTGAGGTCTTATAATAAATGGAAAGAAAATTCCAAAAGCCAATAGTGATGGCTGCAAATGGCACCCAAGCACTGAGATGAGAGCATTCTCCTACTTAAAATGTCCCTGCTAGTGCACAGATATTTGCTGAAGTTACGAAAAGTAATGAGGAATCTCTACTAAACTGGAAAATGACACTTGTTCATTTGATTTTCTTTTAAGGAAAAAATCTACTCTTGTACTTCTCATCATCCTTGAATTTTCCCAAGTTTTCCTCCCAACCCATAACCTACAAGTGAGGACATCAACTTTCATACTTCTCTCCTGAGTAGACACGGGCTCTCCGAGTGAGAGTGTAGGTTTTTGTGTTTGCTCCTTTGCGGAGAGGATCGTCCAGAGGTGACTGGCACGGTGGATCCTCCAGAGGGTTCCAGTAGCTCTGCTCACACATACCCCGCAACAAGATCTCTGCCAGCTGCCTGGCTATTGTCTGGGAACATAAACGAGGAAAAGCATAGCCATGAATCTATCTTGTATTAGTCATTCATTCAGTCAGTCAATAAATATTTATATCATCACATTGTGCTAAGCACTACTGCAAGGCTCATAATTAAAAATTTTTCCTTTACGATGGTAATCATACCAGTTTATGACAAGAAAGAAAAGAAAATATGATTCACTAAGATGTTTGAACACTTAAAAGGTTCATGTACTTCAAATGCCACCCCACCTGTCACACTCTGGAATACTAAACATGTTTTATACCTGAAACAACTGAAACTTTTGGCTAAGCCCTTTCCCAAGAGCTCTTATAAATAACAGGTGAGCTGCAGATATTAGCATCACTAATGATGTGTGCTTAACCTCAAGCCTGGCAAAATGCTTGTACTCAGCTTAGATAACGCTATCCCTGAAAAAATTATCCTCACTGACAATCCGATGTCCACTGTAGACGTCTTCTTTCTTACATGTACCAATGGCAGGGCCTAATCATCCCACCCCCGAGGACTCAGCACCTGAGTGTCTACTCTCAGTGCATCCTGGGCTCCTGGCCCAGAGGTTTTCACTGGCCTTGTGCAATAGGGAAGGCAAAGTGGGAAATGGTTCCCGATCAAGAAAGACCTTTCTTTAAAGCTGGATGGGTATCCCCTTCTTCACAGTGAAAACCCAGAAACATCTGGATCCTGTCCTCCAAGTTAGATGCAGATTAATATGCTTCCCAAACTTCTGTAATTCCACTGCCTAAAACAGTACGATGTATAATATAATGTATGGGGGAAAAGAATGTGTGGTATGTACTAAGAAGTGTTTTGTTGACTGATGTATGTCAGTTCACTTAGCTTGTAATCTTCCAGTAACAAAGAAGAGGATAAGTAATTTAAAAAAAAATCCCTCTGAAAAGAGAAGCACTGCATCCCAGGGTAGTTCACTCTACCCATGATCAGCCAGAGGTGGCATCATAAACCAGCATGGTTTTCTACCAGGTTTTAGCATTCTTTGAAGATGCAGACAAAGACTGCTGATCTTCTGAGAAGGAGACTTTTTTAAAAAAATAAGTAAATGTTTCAGAAGAGGGCTTTGCTAAGCTTTCATCCATATGAAATCTCTTAAAACACCACAAGGAAAATTAAATCCAACCAAATCACTAACAGAGTGGTTTCTGATAACCACTGGGTAAAGGCAAATTTTCTTGATTATTCCCAAGTAAGACCCATTGGCATTAAATGTCTATAAAAATGTGAAATTAAATGCACTCTGATCATCCCCAACTGAGCAATCTGTAAAGATCTCATAAGAACACAATTTTCAGGACCTAAACAGCTCCTGAACTGGTTTCTTAAACCTTCCATTATAGTTTCATTTTGATCTCATTGCAGTCATATAAGCTAATGACTTTTGCTGGAAACTTCAACTGGCAAAAATAACTTCCACTCACTATAGCTGAGAAATAAGTGTTAAAAGGAAAAAAAATGAACGAGGAATTTCATTTTCTGAATACATTTGCCATGGAGGGATTTTAAAGTTGTAAAAATTTCTGCCCTAAACAGTTTGCTTGTTCACTACTAGATAGCTCATGCTAGGTCTCATTTTCTCTCAGGGTATTAACCTTCCTGAGAGATTTTTTAAACGTGGGGTTTTGATGTGATTGCATATTCTGAAGACATCACTTCACCAGTTCTCTACCTATTAAGAAGGCCATTTGGTTATGTCCACTGAAAGCTCAAATGAAGTTCAGAAAAAAACAATAAATATGAAATTACCAGCAAGATCACCAATATCTAGAATACTTTTTACTTTTTAAACTCAACCTACATTTAGCCTGTAGTTTAAATGCATCCAATTGTTGGTAACTATAAAATAAATTCAGGATCAAAGGAGAGAAAGGTGGGAAGTGGGCCTGAAATAAGACCTGGATGTTTATGTACAAATTTGGTCATTAAATGCCCTTTTTGTGTGTGTATGTGTTTTAAAACTTGTGATGAAATTCACATAACATAAAAGCCACCACTTTAATTATTTAAAGTGTACAATCCAACAGCATTCAGGACACTCACAATGTTGTGCAACCATTAGCACTATCTAGTTCCAGAACATTTTCATCACCCCAGAAGGAAACCCTATATCCTTTAGGCAATCACTCCCCACTTCCCCTCCCTCTCAGACTCTGGGAACAACCAACATGCTTTCTGGCTCCATGGATTTGCCTATTTTGGACATTTTATATAAATTAAAGTATGCGATATGGGTCTTTTTGTGACCAGCTTCCGTTACTTAGCATAAAGTTTTCAAGGTTCATCAGTATCATCGTGTATGTATCAGTACTTCATTCTTTTTTATGGCTGAATGATATTCCATTGCATCGATAAACCACATGCTGCTTATCCATTCTTCAGTTCTAGACATGTGTATTGCTTCCAACTTTTGGCTATCATAAATAGTGCTGCTACGAACATCCATGTACAAGTTTTTGTTTGAACATCTGTGGTTTTTTTTGTTTGTTTTGAAACAGGGTCTCACTCTGTCACCCAGGCTGGAGTGCAGTGGTGCAATCACACATAGCTCACTGCAGAACACCTGTTTTTAATTATTTGGAGTATATACCTAAGAGTGGAACTGTTGAAAATATACTTTCAAATCCTTCTCTGCTATGATCTCACACCAGATAGAGTTTACAAAGCAACTTTTCCATCTCATAAGAATATTATAAATTTGCAATTATCAGCTAATCTTAAAAAATCATAGTTTTTAAGGCTGATGGAAACACTGCTTATGAATGTCATTAGATGGAGAAACTTTCTAACGTCCAATGTAAATCAAGATACCAGTGAGAGTCAACAATATGAACAAATGCTCCATACTTAAGCAATTTTGAAAAACTGACTTTTTAAATGCGCTTTTAAAACAATTACGAAAACACTTGCCAATTCAGTCAGTTACTTTCATTGTGCTTCCAAATCTTGGAAGAAGCTGTTCATATTGACCAGTTGGGAAGTTTTATGAATACTGAGAAGAGGTAAATTTGAGAGAAAAGACAGCTGGCAACAACTTTTATCCATATTCTTGTAGGTTCTTTTGCCTTGAAGAATCCTAAAAATGGAAATATTTTGTTTGAACTTCTTAAGGCACCTATAAATCACATTGATATTTAAGTAAATTTTGAAGGCCAACTGAGCTCTTGGTGGTGGTGATGGCAGGGTGTGTGTGTGTGTGTGTGAAGTTGTCCATCCTGTCTCACCCCCATAATTCTAGGAAAGCCCAGCTTGGCCATCTGGCCCCATGAGTTGTACGTCCACCTCTTAAAACTCTGCAGACACCACAATGAAGTCATTTCCTATGACATGAATCTCTTAGCCATGCCCAACTGAATAATCTCCTACAGCATTTAAAGGATTCATGATAAAGAAAGGACAAAAGTATGGGCAATAAAAGATAAATTGCAATCTTACATGAGGTTGTTACATCAACTGTGACATGTGGCATTTGCTTAGTTTTAATAAGCACCAGTCCTCCACTCAAGCACCCACTGGCTATGGCTGTGTAGGGCAAGTTATAGAGGTCTACCTAATGAACGTCCCTAGATAGGAAAGTGAAAGGATTAAAAAAAGAAAAGAAAGAATTCAAGTCAACAGGAGAGTCAAATTGCTAACCAACCAGTTAATTTAACTATGTTGTATATTTTTCTTCCAAGTTTTATAGTCAATATAATTAGCCAAACAACTAGCAGCCCTCGGGATCCAATCTGCCTTATTCTGTCTGGGTTTGGTATGAATCATAAGCATACACCAACCCCTCAACACCCTGGCAGCCACGAGGGCCTACATTCTGCCTGCCTTAACAGGTGCAATTCTCAGGTTTCAGCAGAGAACGCTGCCAACAACACAGGAAAGGATGCTCAAAATCATTAGCCATCAAGGAAGTGCCAATCAAACCACAATGGAATATCACCACACTCCCACCAGGATGGTTACACCTAAAAAGATAATAACAACTGTTGTTGAGGGTGTGGAGAAATTGGAACCCTCATAACTGCTGGTGGGAATGTAATATGGTACAGCTGCTTTGGAAAACAGTCTGGCAGCACCTCAAATTGTTAAACACAGTTACCATATGACCCAGCAATTCCACTTCTAAGTATACAGCCAAGAGAAAGAACACATAAGTCCACACAAAAACTTGTACATGAATGTTCGTAGCAGCATTACTTGTACTTGCCCAAAAGTAGAAACAACCCAATGTCCATCAGCTGATGAATGGACAAATAAAATGTGATATATCCACACAATGGAATATTATTTGGCAATAAAAAGGAAAGAAATACTGATCATGCTGTGACCCAGAGGAAGCTTGAAAGCATTATGCTAAGTGAAGAAAGCCAATCACAAAAAGACTACAAATTAGTCAGGTGTGGTGATGCGCACCTGTAGTCCCAGCTACTCGGAGGCTGGGGCAGGAGGCAATGAGCCAAGATTGTGCGATTGCACTCCAACCTGGGCAACAGAGCGAGACTCTATCTCAAAACAAAAAAACAAAACCACGAATGGTATCATTCCAGTTATAGCAAATGCCCCAAATAGGCAAATCCATAGAAACAGAAAGTAAATTAGTGGTTGCCAGGGACTAGGGGGAGGGGAAAATGGGGATTGACTACTAACGAGTATAGAGTTTCTTTTGGGGGTGATTAAGATGTCCTGAAATTAAATATTAGTGATAGCTGGACAATTCTGTGAATATGCTAAAAACTTTAAATGAGTAAACTGCTATTTATATATTATAAATATATGTCACGTAAATATCCATTATGACACAGAAGTGAAAGGGCTTGCGCAAGTTCACAAGCCCAGTGACATATATGTATAATACATATATGTCACATATATTATAAATATATGTATAATATATGTCACATATATTTATAACACATATGTCACATATATTTATTATAAATATATGTATATTTTTATTTTATTATAAAATATATTTTATTTTATTATAAAATAGGTATATTTTATATACATTTTATTTTATATAAAATAAATAAATATACATATAAAATATGTATATTTTATATACATTTTATTATAAAACATGTATATTTTATATACATATATATGTCACACATACAATATATGTGACATATATGTACATAAATATATGTCACATATATTTATAACACATATATGTCACATATATTTATTATAAATATATGTATAATATGTCACATATATTTATTATAAATATATGTATAATATATGTCACATATATTTATAACACATATGCCACATATATTTATTATAAATATATGTATATTTTTTATTTTATTATAAAATATATTTTATTTTATTATAAAATATATTTTATTTTATTATAAAATATATTTTATTTTATTATAAAATAGGTATATTTTATATACATTTTATTTTATATAAAATAAATAAATATACATATAAAATATGTATATTTTATATACATTTTAGTATAAAACATGTATATTTTATATACATTTTATTATAAAACATGTATATTTTATATACATATATATGTCACACATACAATATATGTGACATATATGTACATAAATATATGTCACATATATTTATAACACATATATGTCACATATATTTATTATAAATATATGTATAATGCATATATGTCACATATATTTATAACACATATATGTCACATATATTTATAATACATAAATGTAAAAAAATATGAATGTAAATACCTATGAGACAAGTGCCCTGCTGGCCTCAATCAAGTCACTGTTCACACTTACCATTCGCAGGTTTTGAGTCGTTCTTGTTTCAACTGCTCTGAGAAGCTCTCTAAATCTTCCGACTCCTCTTGTCAAGTTCCTGTGTGGACACAGAATTTGACGGTTTTCATCTGGCATGTATTAATATTAAATATTTTATATGCACGTTTCAATGCATTTTGTCTGCATAAAAGCTGTTGGCTAGATTTTAAGCAAACGATTACTCTGCACATGCCTAGCCATCTTTGGTTAAATGAAACATTTGACCTAAGATTGATGGCCTTTTGTGTTTTCTAACCCCTAGCACATTTTCTCTAAAAAATAAAAATTTGAAAATCAGTTGAAGCCAACAAATTAAAAAGCAAGATACCTTAGAAGAGTCTGTGTTCAAACTCTCAATGGCTCTATAGAGTGGGACTGAAATCTATATTTTCATTTAAAAGGTGGGAGACAACACTGGGCAACAGGGCACAGGAATATGAGCAAGCACCGTGTGCAACATGGGTAAGGATAAAATATGAAGATGGAAGGCACAAAAAAACAGGAACTCCACCAAGCAACCACTCTGCATCTTTGAGAACATAAACTTATCAAACCCAGTAAATTCATCAAACCAACCCTCCTCCAAACCCCACACTGACGAAAAAGAAGCAAAGGGTCAGAGGCCCCTTCTGAGAGCGAGCATGTGACAACTGGAACCCGAGCTCCCTGAGTGTGAGCAGAGCACACCTCATCTCGCTGCCACTCACACCCCACAGGGACACATTTGGTGACATGTTTCATTAAGAGACAAATAATTATTTTGTAACATCCTGGTCAATATTTTCAAGCCCCACTTGTCCTCTCTGAAAGCTGCATCCAGCCTGCTGAGCTGGGAACGCTCCCCAGCTGGTCCCTTTACATTAAGCACGGCCACCACCTATGACATAACTCGGCGATATTTATAACCTGCTCATTAGAACATATCTCATCTTTCCAAAAAGCCACAGTGTGGGTCAGCCAGTGCAAACGTGTCAGCCAGCCTCTGCAGGCCGTGGCAGATGCTCTAGGTATTTGGCTCTCTTCTTGGACGACATTTTGAATCATGCAAAGATATTAAATCAAACTGAATGTGGGTTCTGTAAGTTACAAGCACTCATGAGGGCTATTAATTCGCATCTTATACCTACATGACATCCCAGGGCTCTCATGCACAAGAATGGCCCCAGAACTTTAAGATAATGATTTATTGGCATAGGTACATAAATACTCCCATAGTCCTCTCACCCACACATATCAGATGATATCAGATCAGAAGCTTGATGGTGGCATAAAAAGAGAAGCTGTGCTCAGGATGCCAAGCAGCACTAAAGGAAACCTAACAGAGACGTGAATAAAGATTAGGTAACAGGCCCTGGGACATGCAATCTACTCTGCTTTCTCCTTCATTTGTTTTTATGGGATCCATGTTCACAGGCAACAAAGTACATTTGCTTTGGACTGAAGCTCAGTTCTCTTAAGTAACACGGCGGGAAGGAAATAGCTACAGCTAAACAAAGGATGGGAATGGATATGGTAGTCTAACTTTGTTCCAGAATCACGGATTAAACTCCTACTGGGTACAGAAGGGATGGTACTTTGAATTGTATGAAATAAGCTGTGACTGAGGCAACATAAGTGGAGACCCTGGTTGAAGGGGCTGATTTACCAGGTAGAAATCAGGCCTGGAATAAGCAGGATCAAACCTAAATATTGTAACCCAGGGAAGCCTACAAATAGGAACTGGTCATTCAGAATGTTTCCAGTGTCCTAGGAAACAGAGTAAGCTACTTAGACAGTTACAGAAGCACAGAATTTTCCAGCTATAAATGATCCAACAGAATCTGGTCCGTTATGACACAGAAGTGAAGGGCCTGCTCAAGCTCACAGGCCCAGTGAGAGAGTGAGCTGGGAGCTTTCTACCGTACTCTGTTACCTTCCTGGGTACACATAAGCTCTAAAACAGAAGTGTAACTCTAGAGGAAGGAACAAAATATGAATCCAAGAGTTCAGGTCTATGTTTTGCATCATTAATATGCAAATTACTTCATATATTTATAACATAAATTCTGTGTGTCCCAGTGATGACAGCTAATAAGATACTCATTACTGGTCCAAAACTGGAAAGAAAATCCGTTGGCCCAGGTGAAGAAGTCCAGTGAATGCGGGTAATGCCCTGGGCTGCCGAAAGAGATCAATGACGGGTAGAGAAATTCAATTCCCCCGTTAAGGTGCAAGACGGTTTCTCCCATGCAGGACCGAGGCCCTCTGGTGGAGGAACGGAGGAAGTCTCCGCCCCGAAGGAGGCCAGGCAGGATGAGGCAACACCAGCCACTGGGTGCGTATTCCCAATTAAGCCTTTGAAGCAAATACAAGTTTTTCTCAAACTGTTTCCAGTTTATTCCTGGAGAGAGTTTAAGATTCAGAAGCAAATTCTTCCTCAATCTGGGAAGCATCTGCTTGTAAACAAAGAAGCCACAGTAACCACAGAGCTGAGAAGGCCTGAAGCTACAACCCATTGCAATGAATGCGGCACCCAGAAGGGTGCCCGCCCCACCACAGATCAATCGGACAGCAAGAAGAGGTGAAACAGGCACATCTTAAAGTGCCCAAATGTAAAAGCATGATTCCCAGGAAATCCTGTCTTCCAAACATGTTTAAATCACATAATCATAATTTTATTCAACTAATCGCTTCCACTGTTGCCATGAGAGCAGAAAAGGAAAAATGTTCAAGTACACGGATAATCAGAACAAAAAAAAGAGGAAGTTAACTTGCAAGAATTCTATTCCAAATGCTATGAGATAACCCAATTTGAGAGAGGCAAACAAAACCCACACGATTGCTTTCATATCTTCAAACTGTTAGTTAATTCTTAAAATGTTGAGATCAATTAAACATCTAAGAAGGAACTGTTGCTTAAAACTCCACTCAAAATGAAGATAAGAGAGCCAAGGAATCTCCCAATCTCCCTGTTTTGAGGGTTTCCACAAATCCCTGACATTAGGTCATTTATTCCATTTCAACACCCTTGCCTGAGAGAGTGCAATGATGTCAGAATTCATTATGGTAAACTATTCTCAAAACAAATGTTCCTGCCAGCATTCACTCAGCGGGCACTCTGGCAAGCTGTCAGAACTTGGGGTTCATCTCCTGCACTTTACTTCACAAGCTTCCTGAGCTGGGTGCATTTCCTTCCACTTGGAATCGTTCCCAACAGCTCGGCTGGGACCAAGGAGGAAAGGGCCTGCAGGTCCCCGGAGCACCAGCTGCTCGTTCCGCCTGACAGGCAAAGCTCTGCTTCCGCTCACCAACATCACTGTCCTCAGCCCATTATGGAGAGCTCAGGCCAGAGTCCCACAGCCTTGCTCTCATTCAAATCCTTGTTTTTCCACTGGCAGGAAAGCCTACCACTTTTCATGGGGACATAGTCTACTCTTCCCTTGACCTACTTCCATCTTTTCTTCTCTCCTATCTTTTCTATCTGGTTTTATCCTCCTCCTGCTGAACCTCCTTCCAGGGCTTGTCTGCTGATTCGCCAGCATTCAACCCTCCCTCTCGACCCTCTGTCCTGGCGATAGGTTCCAGTTCCCCCTTGGGCCCCATGGCAGCACCTTTCCAGGCTCTGAAATGTACATTCTAACGTACAAGCTTACCGCACCTGGTTTCGTCCTGTTCTATGACTCTGAACCACATTCTCGGCTCTTTAATATTGCCATCTGTCCCTCTGTGATCAAACCAAGGAGGAAATGTAAATGGGAAGAAGGCCAGAGCTCCAAAATCAAAATGGAAAACCAAGGCTAGAGAAATTTGGGGACATGAGAATCATTTCAGCTTGTAATGAGTGGCTACTTCAATAATAAGCTCAATACATTTTTGTTGTGTTGTTATTTCTCCTTTTATTTCTTGGGAGTAGGGTGGGAAAAGACAATTCTTCCCTTTAACTTGTCCTTCCAAATTATCTTCAGACCTCAAAATCTGACCTAGGCACCAATACACTTAAATTCAATATCACCTGTCATTGTCGTGGAAACTCAAAGTAGTAGTGTGAATAAAAGACTGGGTCAATTTCCTGGGTAATGAGGAAAAGGAGGCCTGCTAGAGTCTATTCAATATTTTTTTCTCTTATGTGGCTGAGAATCTTATAACTAAAGATCAAACACAATAAGTCAACCCAGTAGATCTCAAAGAGCAAAGAAACCGTCTGCCTTTCTCCATGTTTTCTTCTCACCAACCAGCACTCCTGAAATGCTGAAGCACTAGGTTACTTCCACAATGACTGAGCAATGTTTCTCAGCCAAGGCCAGGTTGGTCCCTGAGGACACACTGTTGAGCAGGGGACACCGTCCCTGCCTCAGGGAGCTTAGATGGCTTCACATCCCCACAAAAATGTAAGTGCCTCCAAGACAGAGGCCTTGGCTTTATTCACTGACATAACCCAAGCCTCTGAAACGGAGCCTGGCATACAGGAAGCACCCAATTAATATTTGTTGAATGAAAAAGAACCATCATGAGCCGAATGAACCAAGACAATGAGGGGATACATTTCCTACCCGTTTCTTTTCTCCTTCTTTCTCACTGAACACAGTTCAGCAGGCAGCAAAGCACTGCACTCTCTTAACTAGAACAGCCTAGTATGCCCTCGGGGGCTTTGCTTATAGCGTGGAGACCTGGGGGAGCAGTACTCCTACACCAGTGGCATGCCCAGCCTAGCAGTTTCTAGAGAGCTACGTGGATAATGGAGATTTTGAGGTTTTTTAAAGAAAAGTTCCAGGCATTTCAGGGAAACTTTCCTGCCCTTGTGCCTTCACACTTGCTCCTCTGTCTGCAGGGTCAAGACCCAGGGCTGAGGCCAGCCTAGATAGCACTTTATACCTTTCCATACTGATTTTCATTTGAGTTTATATCTGTTCACCAACCAAACTGCAATCATTGTGAAGGCAAAGGCCCCCTGTGTACCCACCACTCCTTGTCTCAACTGCCTTACAGGGCCAGCCAGTACCAGTGACGTTTAACAAGCTGGGCACCCCCAAAAGAAAGAAAAGAGTGAGCACCATCTTATATTCCCAGACCCCTTTCCCCATCTCCTTGCTGAAAAGAGTTATCTCAGTTACAAAGGGAACAACTAAAGCAGGTACTTGGTATACCATGAGATACATCCCATCATCATATACGTATACCCTTATGGTATGTATCTGCTTTTCCAGAGTTGTAAGTGTTGACAAAGACAATGTCATTCTGGATATTGTCAACACTTACAACTCCGGAAAAGCAGATACATACCATGTATCTTCTAGGTCCATCACTTTTAGTTCTCAGGCTTGAGAATTTACGTAACCCTTAGTATCATCTATCTTGAAAAAGGCTGAAATCAAAACCAGATACCCAGATCTGGAAAGTGGGAGAAGAACAGATACCCTTCACAGTCCAAAAGGACACTGTGGCCGGCTGTCAGGGAGCTGTTTTTCCCAGAATGGAGTCCAGCTTCCCCCTCTGTACATACTCTCCTCCTCATATCCAATGACACGCATTTGTGAAGACAGATGGCTTGCTGCAGTCAGGGGCCAGGGATCAAACCCACAACCTTGGCCTCGTTAGCGAAGGGCTCTCTCTTACCCATGGAGCAAGCCAGCTGCAGCCTGGATATAGTGACGGAGGGTGTGACAGCCATCCACGCCGAGATGAGAACAAGCAGGCGAGGCTTCCGGATGTCTCACCTCAAACCTTATGAGAGCTGTACTGGGCTTAACAACATTTTTTGGACTACCTCAGCAATTGAGGCTTCCTCGTGACAAAAGCAGAGTCAATTATACATTTGGTCAGCCGGCCAGGCAGCACACAGTACAGGGAGTAGGGACTACGGCCCAGGCAGTGTAAGTGGCACCAGACACATAAAGTCAAAGAAGTCACAGAGAGTGGCTTCTTGGAGTTCATACTTCAGGGGCCAGGACAGGAACACATAAACAAGTCCTTCCAACAGGCGTGCACAAGGCCTAAGAATGAAAAGTGGCCAGACTGCTCTGACAGCCCAGCCAGAAGAGCAACTCGCCTGCCCTTCACCTGTCCCCTCCACTCCCCTAAGCTCCGAGTCTCTGAGAAACAGGAAGTGTAGAAAGCCTTGCCCCATCTCACATCCTTCCTTTCAACCTCTGGGAATGAGTCAAAGAATATCAGTACTCATTCCAAAAGAAACGTATATATATATATATATATACACACACACAAATATATATTTCTCTCTCCATATATATCTGTGTGTGTGTGTATATATGTGTATATATGTATATGTGTGTGTGTGTGTATATATATATATATATATATATATGGAAAGAGAGAGAGAGAACACTCATACCTACTATGCACTAAGAAGTGAGGCACAGTGAACGCAATGGTAAGCCAGTCAGCAGACGTGAGTCCTCATGAACTTGTATTTTAATGATGTTCAGTTTAACCCTAATGGTATCCAAACACACTTGGACTCCTCAACCTAATAATACTTAAAACAAACCAATCCGAACTTATCTATCATATAAGGATTGTCCTTCACCCGGGAATCCATATGTTTATCTATATACCCGAATGTAAAGAGACAAAATAGAGTCATGGTTACAGACCCTGGAGCCGGACAGCATGAGTTCAAGTCCAAGCTTTGCCATTTATTAATTGTTGACCTTGGGCAAGTGCCTGTGCCACAGTTTCCTTATAAAATGGAAATAACAACTGTACCCACCTCATTTAACCATACCCACCTCACTGCTGTAAGAATTAAACTAGTCAGTAACAACTGTATTGCCCTCATTGGGTAACTGTACCCACCTCACTGTTGTAAGAATTAAACTAGTCAGTAACAACTGTACCCACCTCATTGAGTAACTGTACCCACCTCACTGTCGTAAGAATTAAACTAGTCAGTAACAACTGTATCCACCTCATTGATTTGTTGTAAGAATTAAACTAGTCAGTAAATGTAGGAAGTGCTTTTTAAGTATTTGCCATTATTACTTCTGTTAGCCTCAAAACTCTATCATTGTTTTAAAAAAAAAAAACTTTTGGAATTCTGGAATCTGTTTTCCAGTCAATTTATAGCATATGAAAATCTGCTTTACTTCTTTGAAGTCATTTAATTTTGAAGGAAAAAAGATATTCCCCAGTTTGATTCATTGATCCTCTTTGCTATTTACTGAAAGTCTACCATGTCCCAGGAACTCCCTATGTAATTCCCAGGTCTGGCTCACAATGACAAAAGACAACCCATGTCAGGTAAGAACAGTAAAAAACTTTCTCTGGGGCCTTGTGGTCACCCTCCTGGGAAATGATGTGACATCTCCTAAGAGTGCTGGTGCCCCTGACGGGGGCAGGGGAACAGTCTCCAGCCACGGCTTTGGGGTGGGGCACGGACAGATGACCGCGTGTCTGGCAGGTGTGAATCCTGACTGCTCCATCACACTTAGCACAGTGAGCGTGTGGAGACTGTTCTGAGTTCATCAAGAAGGGCCAGATCACACTAAAAAATTTGAACTCAAAAGTGAACCACTAAAGCTTTATGAGCCCATAACACAAAGCTGGAGAGGAAAGCTCGCCACTTCCACTGGGGAAGTGTCTGCTCCAGACCTGGCCAGAGCTGGAAGACAAGCATGAGGGCGGGGTCCCCGTCAGCCTGCTTCATAAGACGGGGCTCAATTAGCTGCACAGAACACTGATGGGCACAGGCCAACAATATTCGTTTTTAATAGTCCAGAAAAGTGCAGAAAAAAGACAATCTGGAAGGTAAAAATGTCCTGCTAACAAAATGACTTCATTCATCAATTCTGAGTGGCAAAGTCACATAGGAAAAGAACTTCTGGCCACCCTGTCCATCCCCTCGACTGGGCTATGGAGAGGAAAAAAAGGCAGAAAGGATGTCAAGGGGAGGAAAGTCCCTCCAAACGCACCACAAGCACTTGAGCTGGAAGTTCGAGTGTGAGGATAAGAGTGCAACGTTCACTTCCATTCAATTGACAGGAGAACTGCATTTCCAACACAACTCTGGCGACCACATTTCAAAGCTAGAACAGTGAGAAAAAAATCCAAGGGGATCATTTGAAAGAAAGGGAAAAAAAAAGACCATTACATGTGCAGGGGTCAGCAGTCCAAATGGCTGCAGAAGCCAAGCAGGTAGCAGAGGTGGGTGAAGACAGACTGTGGGACGACAGGCGTCGCAAGCCTACAGGCCTCCAGTTCAAAACCATAACATAGAAACTCAACAGGGAAGGGAGGCTCTTTGCCATTAAATTGGTAAATAAAAGCCTCTGATATTTTTCTTGGGGAAACAAAGCAGTGCTGCTCAGTTTGAGGCAGCACAGTGCCGATGGGATTGTCACACATTCTCAGGAGTGGGACCAGATAACCCGCTTGGGCCTGGGAAAGGCAAATCTGCTGGGGAGAGAAGACAAAAAGGGCAAAGGTTGAGGAGGCTCATGAGAAGAAGGACTGGAAGTGAGCATGGAATGTGAGCCATCTGGGAACATGGCAAGGGGAACAAGTACCAGATGCCAGGCATGCACTGAGATGGGGAAGGACTGGCCAACGGGCTTCACCTTGTCTCTTCCTCATCTGCAAAATAGGACTAACACCTACTTGCCATATGCAATGAGATGGCACCTGGAAAGCTTCTGACTCCATGCTCAAAAACACGTGAATCCTCCGCCTTTCCCCAACCAGCTGCTACGTCCCACCATCCGGCCCTTCATTCCACATACAAACATTTACTGGCTAAAAGCCAAAAGCAGCCACTGGTGTGATTGTGAACCTTTGGTTTAATAGAAAACAGTGCAGAATCTGAACCGGTTTCTACGATGTACTACACCAAACTCTTCTTCTCAATTGTAGCTTTATACATGAGGAAACACAGGCTTAGAAATAACAGGGAACATGCCCATGATCACACAGCCCACAGCAGAAGAGCTGGGATTTGAACTCAGGCCCTATCTGATGCCAGTGCTAAGGGAAGGTGAAGATGATCCCTGTCGTGCAGAAG
The DNA here is from genome assembly GCF_000001405.40 of Homo sapiens. Taxonomy (NCBI): domain Eukaryota; kingdom Metazoa; phylum Chordata; class Mammalia; order Primates; family Hominidae; genus Homo; species Homo sapiens. The sequence continues at coordinate 90,704,513 of NC_000014.9, forward strand.
CCTGCAGTCAAACTGGAAAATGTGACTACCTCCTATGACGCAAAACAAAGGCATCCCAGGGACAGGAGAGCAGCCTGGGAAGGCTCCCAGCGGCACAGGCCAGCTGAAGTCTCTGAACCTAGACACATCTGGCTGCAAAGAACGGGATGGGATCCCACTGGGAGTGGGTGACAAAGGGGTAGCAGAGAATTTATGCTGAGGCGTCTGAGCTTCACAGCAGAAACAGGACTCAGAAGAAAGATGGTGTCGGGGAAAAAGACTAACATTGATAAGATGGCGACAACACAGAAGACGCTCTGACCAGAAGTCAACCCTCTGAAGTCAGTTCTTTCATCGCACAGCACCTCATTTATTTGGCTTTCCCAGTCAGAGTTCACACTCACTCACTCCGACGCGAAGCTCAGGTTTACCTTGGCTCTATCTACAGAAAAGAAAAAGCTTTGCTAAGCACATCAGCAGAGCAAACATGATCTGTGAGGAGAATATTTAATTTGCTCAGGGGAATAAGCTATTTCAAGCCCCTCTAAGCCATCCAGAGGAGCTGCCATTTACTAACAAACCACTGACATGGTAATTAAAATTATTTCACTCTCTCATCAAGAAAGTCCCCACAAGAGACTGGGCTTCTTCAGGACAGAGACTGGGTCCCTCCCACTAGGATGGAGTATGATCCAGCTGCACACCTACTCATGTAGCTGTTGTGAGGATGAAAGGTCACAGTCACTGCCCAGGAAAGGTCAGCCATCATCTTCTTCTGAGATACCACTAACTGGTTCCATGCCATTCCCCAACTCATTATTCCAGATGATCTGCCAGCCAACCTAGTGACACAGGCAGGAATTCGTTACTCGCAACTGATAAGGAGGGAAACTGAGTCCCAGAGAGAGAAGAAGGGAGTCTGGCCCAACAGCTCTAGGAGGGGCTGAGCCAGGACCTGATTCCCACCCGGCCTCTGGGTTCCCAGGGCAGGGATTCCCTCCCCTGCCCTCTGCTGGGTACTGTTCTAGCCCATATTTCATTGACCCCCTCAATTCTTTCTTAATATTTTATTCGATAAAATATAGATACCGAAAGCCATATAAAACAATTGTATGGCGTAAGGGACTATTAGAAGGCACACACCATGTAACCACCACCAAAAAAAATAAAGACACCGCCATTCACCACATGCCAATGAACAGCCCCCTCCAACTAAAAGTAACAACTACCCTGACTTTTCTGGTTAATTGCTTTGTTCCTCACGTAGGCATCCCTACCCTATAGCCTTGTCCACTTTTTTTCACTTGACGATTCTTCAAAATCGCTCCTACTTTACACCTTCCCCACTACCTCTTTTTCTTACAACTTATCTGCTAGAGAAAACCTGAACTGTTCAGCCTATAGAGTTTCCCACTGGCTAGAAAACTGCACATTCATGCTACAGTTCAATACATGCCTCTGTTCTCTGTATTTCCTGCAATTTGGCAGCTAGATCCGCAGGCTTGATCAATTCAGGGTCGATCCCTTTGGCAAGACTTCAGCAGTGTTGTGCTCTTGTTCTGACATTAGCAGCCCTTGGTATTCAACACTTTCAGCATCAATCTCCCGGGAGTTACTAAGTGGTGACATTCTAATTCTCCCACTGCATTTTCATTTATTAGCTGGAATAATTTTTTTTTTTTTTTTTTTTGAGATGGAGTCTCGCTCTGTTGCCCAGGCTGGGTGCAGTGGCGCAATCTCGGCTCACTGCAAGCTCCACCTCCCGGGTTCACACCATTCTCCTGCCTCAGCCTCCTGAGTAGCTGGGACTACAGGCACCTGCCACCACACCTGGCTAATTTTTTTGTATTTTTAGTAGAGATGGGGTTTCACTGTGTTAACCAGGATGGTCTCGATCTCCTGACCTCATGATCCACCCGCCTCAGCCTCCCAAAGTGCTGGGATTACAGGGGTGAGCCACCACACCCAGCCCTGGAATAATTTTTATAAGATGTTTCATCTAATATTTGGCTTTCCAGTGGCTTAGTACACATAGTAAAATGTTTTATGTTTTCCATTTATTTGCTTAGTTTTCAAAATACTGAATTAGAACTCATGAACTTAAGCTCATTTGATTAGTCTATTGCAATTTTTACCCTTCTTGAAATTCAAACTATCCTATATTTGACCCGAGTCCTTTTAAAATGACCTAGGAATCTTTGATAGCTTCTTCGCTATACGGATGTAGGTAAAGGTGTTCCAGGCTCATCTTATACATTTCCTGCCCCAGAACTGGCATGAGGTTTCTTTTATTGAAAGCTGATACTTCAAGATCAAATCTAGGAGCTAGGGATGTTCACTGCTAATGGTTCGGTCACCTTAGCGAGAACTCTCTCTCTCACATATAAACACATACACACATACATGTACATATGTGTGTATATGCACATGCATATACATACACACACATACATAGACACAAATACCTCAGATTTCATACTGATATTTCCAATTTGATTATTCAAATTCAGGACTACAGTTTTTCCTAGACTACTTCTATCTTAAATCTGCTTTTTCCTTTCTTCCATAGCAAGAATATTCATTCTCAAGGACACAGGGGATGATGGAATTAGAACATTCCATAACTACTCAGTTGCTTTATTCCGTGTTATATGAGAAGTTTCAGAATAATACTAATAATACCACCATCAATTATTTTCATCATCTGTTATCAGTGATCTTTGATAATACCATAATTGTTTGGGGGTGCCACAAACCATGCCCACCTAAGATGGCAAACTTGATCAATAAATGTTGTATATGTGCCCCACTGACCAGCCATTTCCCCATCTCTCTCCCTTTCCTTGGTCTTCCCTATTCCCTGAGACATAATATTGAAATGAGGCCAATTAACAACCCTACAATGGCCTTTAAAGTTCAAGTGAAAGGAAGAATTGCACATCTCTTACTTTAAATCAAAAGCTGGAAATAATTAAGATTAGTGAGGAAGGTCTGCCAAAAGCCAAGATGGGCTGAAAGTGGGGCCTTTTGTACCAAACACTTAGTCAAGTTGAAAATGCAAAGGAAGACTGCTTGAAGAAAATTAAAAGTGCCTACTCCAGTCAACACACAAATGATAAAAATAATTTTTTAAAAAAAGCAAAAGAGCCTTATTGCTGATAGGGAAAAAGTCTGCATGGTCTGGATAGAAGATTAAAGCAGCCTCAACATTCCCTTAAACCAAAGCCTAATCTAGAGCAAGGCCCTAATTCTCTTCAATTCTTTGAAGGCTGAGAGAGGTGAAGAAGATGCAGAGGAAAAGTTTGAACCTGGCAGAGGCTGGTTTATGAGGTTGAAGGAAAGAAGCTGTTTCTATGATATAAAAGTGCAAGGTGGAAAGGTGTGGTGGCTCACGCCTGTAATCCCAGCACTTTGGGAGGCCGAGGCGGGCGGATCACGAGGTTAGGAGCTCGAGACCAGCCTGGCCAACATAGTGAAACCCCACATCTACTAAAAATACAAAAAATTAGCCAGGCGTGGTGATGGGTGCCTGTAATCCCAGCTACTCCAGAGGCTGAGGCAGGAGAACAGCTAGAACCCAGGAGGTGGAGGTTGCAGTGAGCCAAGGTCACACCACTGCACTCCAGCCCAGGCGACAGTGCGAGACTCCATCTCAAAAAAAAAAAAAAAAAAAAAAAAAGTGCAAGGTGAAGCAGCAAGTGTTGATATAGAAGCTACAGAAAGTTATCCAGAAGTTCTAGCTGAGGTCATTAATGAAGGTGCCTATAGTAAACAACAGATTTTCAATGTAGATGAAACAGCCTTCTATTGGAAGAAAATGTTATCTACGACTTTCGTAGCTACAGAGAAGTCAACGCCTGGCTACAAAGCTTCAAAGGACAGGCTGACTCTCTTGCAGGAGCTAATGCAACTGGTGACTTTGAGTTGAAACCAATGCTCATTTACCATTTTGAAAATCCTAGGGCCCTTAAGAATTATGCTAAATTGACTCTGCCTGTGCTCTGTAAATGGAACAATAAAGCCTGGATGAAAGCACATCTGTTTACAGCATGGTTCACTGAATATTTGAAGCCCACTGTTCAGATGCACTCAAAAGAAAGGATTCCTTTCCAGATATTACTGCTCATTGACAATGTACCTGGTCACCCAAGAGCTCTGATGGAGATGTATAAGGAGATAAAAGTTGTTTTCATGCCTGCTAACACAACATCCATTCTGTAGCCCAAGGGTCAAGGAGTAATTCTGACTTACTGTTTACCATAGATAGTGATTCCTCTGATGGATCTGGGAAAAGCAAATTGAAAACCTCTGGAAAGGAATCTACAATGAACTCAAACAAATTTACAAGAAAAAAACAAACAACCCCATCAAAAAGTGGGTGAAGGATATGAACAGACACTTCTCAAAAGAAGACATTTATGCAGCCAAAAAACACATGAAAAAATGCTCACCATCACTGGCCATCAGAGAAATGCAAATCAAAACCACAATGAGATACCATCTCACACCAGTTAGAATGGCGATCATTAAAAAGTCAGGAAACAACAGGTGCTGGAGAGGATGTGGAGAAATAGGAACACTTTTACACTGTTGGTGGGACTGTAAACTAGTTCAACCATTGTGGAAGTTGGTGTGGTGATTCCTCAGGGATCTAGAACTAGAAATACCATTTGACCCAGCCATCCCATTACCGGGTATATACCCAAAGGATTATAAATCATGCTGCTATAAAGACACATGCACACGTATGTTTATTGCGGCACTATTCACAATAGCAAAGACTTGGAACCAACCCAAATGTCCAACAATGATAGACTGGATTCAGAAAATGTGGCACATATACACCATGGAATACTATGCAGCCATAAAAAATGATGAGTTCATGTCCTTTGTAGGGACATGGATGAAGCTGGAAACCATCATTCTCAGCAAACTATCACAAGGACAAAAAACCAAACACCACACGTTCTCACTCATAGGTGGGAATTGAACAATGAGAACACATGGACACAGGAAGGGGAACATCACACACCGGGGACTGTTGTGGGGTGGGGGGAGGGGGGAGGGATAGCATTAGGAGATATACCTAATGCTAAATGACGAGTTAATGGGTGCAGCACACCAACATGGCACAAGTATACATATGTAACAAACCTGCACATTGTGCACATGTACCCTAAAACATAAAGTATAATAATAAAATAATAATAATAATTTCTCAACCTGAAAAAAAAGAATATTTATGAGCAATTACATAATTTGTATCTTAAAGAGTGGTATTATTTTATAATGCTTTTGTCATGGCATAAGTCTAGCATAATATTAATTGACATCAACCCTTATTTATATATAATTTATGTTTGAGGGCTCAAATCTAACCAGTGGCAAATCCAAGTTTATGTAAAAATTAAATCTCTTCTAATGAGTGCAATTTCATGTGCATTTTTATAGTTTCTCTTTCGTTAAAAAAAAAAAAACCTTATGTGCCAGAAAAAAAAAAAAAAGAAAAGAAATTGTATTTTCAGGCTGCTAACTGTCAATATTTTGGATAAACTTTTCTACTTGAAAAAAAAAAAAAAAGAAAACCTCTGGAAAGGATTCACCATTCTAGATACCACTAAGAACACTTGTGATTCATGGGAGGACATCCAAATATCAAGAAGAACTGGAGCTTGGAATAAATTGTTTCTAGCTCTCATGAATGACTTTGAGGGCTTCAAATCTTCAGTGGAGGAAGTAACTGCAGGCATGGTGATAATAGCAAGAGAACTAGAATTAGAAGTGGGGCCTGAAGATGTGACTGAACTGTGGCAATCTCATGATGAAACTTGAATGGATGAGGAATTGCTCTTACAGATATACAAAGAAATAAGTTTCTTGAAATGGAATCTACTCCTGGTGAAGATTCTGTGAACACTGTGGTAATAACAACAAAGGATTCAGAATAGTATATCAACTTAGTTGATAAGACAGCAGTAGGGTTTGAGAGGATTGATTCCAATTTTGAAAAAGTTCTACTGTGGGTAAAATGCTATGAAACAGCATTGCATGCTACAGAGAAATCTTTTATGAAAGGAAGAGTCCATCAATGTGGTACACTTCATTGTTGTCTTATTTTAAGAAATTGCCACAGCCACCCCAAACTTCAGCAACCACCACCCCATCAGTCAGCAGGTATTAACATCAAAGCAAAACCCTCTACCAGCAAAAAGATATGACTTGCTGAACGCTCAGACGACTGAGCATTTTTTAGCAATAAAGTATTTTTTAACTAAGGTATGTACTCTTTTCTGGACATAATGTTATTGCATACTTAACAGAATACAGTATAGTGTAAATATAACTTTTATATGTGCTGGGAAACCAAAAAATTCATGTGACTTGTTTTATTGACATTATTGTATGGTCTGAAACCAAACCTACAATATCTCTGAGGTAGGTATTCAAACTTCTGAAGAAAAAACAAAAACAACAACACCTTGTCAATCAAGAATTCTATATCCAGTAAAACTATCCTTCAAAAATGAGGAAAAAATAAAAACATTCCCACCTAAGCAAAAAGTGAGAGAATTCATTGTTAGTAGACCTGCCCAATACAAAATTTTAGGGAAGCCTTCAGATGACAAGCAAATGATATCAGAGGGTCATAGGAATATATAGGAATAAACTAATAAAAGCACCAGAGATGTAAATATGTGGGTAAATATAAAAGACTGTATAAATATTGTTTTATCTTTTCTTCTTTTAATATCTTTAAAAAATAACATTGTGTAAAGGGAAAATTAATATATTACATTGTTTTTATAACACAAAGAAGACGGGGGAAATGAAGCTATATTGGAGCAAAGTTGCTAGTACTGAAATTAAGTCAATACTAACTTGAAGTTGACTGTGATAGTTTAAAGATATATATTATAATCCATAGAGAAAACAGAATTATTTTTTCTCCCGATGGAGTCTCGCTCTGTTGCCCAGGCTGGAGTGCACTGGTGCAATATCAGCTCACTGCAACCTCTGCCTCGCTGGTTCAAGCAATTCTCATGCCTCAGCCCCCCAAGTAGCTGGGATTACAGGTGCCCACCACCATGCCCAGATAACTTTTGTATTCTTAGTGAAGACGGGGTTTTGCCATGTTGGCCAGGCTGGTCTCAAACTTCTGGCCTCAGGTGATCCACCCGCCTTTGCCCCCCAAAGTGCTGGGATTACAGGCGTGAGCCACTGTGCCCAGCTGAAAACAGAAAATTTTTTCCAAAAAAATGCAGTTAAAAATCAACAGAGGAATTTAAATGGTATACTAAAAAACTATTTTTTAACAACCATTAAAAAGGGTAGAAAGGAGGAATGAAGAATCAAAAAAGACATAAGACATACAGAAACAAAGGGCAAAAATAGTAGGTGTAAATCCAATCATATCAATAGTTACATTAAATGTGTATGTATACAATCCATTCAAAAGGCAAAAAGGTTTATACTAGATTAAAAAACCAAGATCCACCCATATGCTATGTATAAGAGATAGAGACACTTTAATTCAAAGACACAAATAGGTTGAAAATAAAAGGACAAAAAAATATATTATGTAAACAGTAACCATAAGAGAAGTAGTGTGGCTATATTAATACCTGGTAAGACAGACTTTAAATCAAAGAATATTACTAGAGACAAGAGGCATCTATCAAAAACCTACAGCTAACATCATACTTAATGGTGAAAGACTGAATGCTTTCTAAGATCAGGAATACAATAAGGATGTCTGCTCTTGCCACTTTTATTCAACATTGTACTGGAGATTCTCGACAATGCAATAAGGCAATAAATAGAAATAAAAGGGATCGAGATTGAACAGAAAAAAGTAAAATTGTTTATATTCACAGATGACATGATCCTATATGTAAAAATCCTAAGCAATCTATTACAAAATTATAAAAATTAATTCAAGAGATTAGTCAGTTTGCAGGATACAACATCCATATATAAAAATCAAAAGTTTTCAATAACAAAAAATAATTTGAAAATGAAATTAAGAAAGCAATTCACAATCACATGAAGTGAATGAAATACTTAGGAATGGATTTAACAGAAAATACAAAAGCTGAAAACTACAAAACATTTTTGAGAGAAATCAAAGAAGATCTAAATAAATGGAGAGAGGTTGGATTAGAATATTTGCTACTGTGAATCTGGCAATTCTGCCCAAATTGATCTAAAGATTCAGTACCACCTTTATCAAAACGCTGGCAGGCTTTTTTTTTTCTTTTTTGACAGAAATTGGCAAGCTGATTCTAAATTTTATGGGGGAATGTCAAAGCCTGAAAATAGCCAAAATAATTTTTAAAAAGAACTAAGTTGGAGGACTTATACTACCTAATTTCAAAACTTACTATAAAGCTACTATATTCAAGACAGTGTGGTATTGGCTTAAAGACAGACATACAGATCAATGAAACAAAATAGAGACTCCAGAAACAAACCTTTATGTTTATGTTAAATTATTTTTTTTTACTAACGTGTCAATGCAATCCAACGTGAAAAGAACAGACTTTTCAACAACTAAATGAGAAGACAACAATCCAATTGAAAACAGGGCAAAAGTTTTGAACAGACATTTCACCACAGAGGAATACTAAGAATACCTTTTTTTTGAGACGGAGACTCATTCTGTCACCCGGGCTGGAGTACAGTAGAGCAATCTCGGCTCACTGCATCCTCCACCTCCCAGGTTCAAGCAATTCTTGTGCCTCAGCCTCCCAAGTAGCTGAGACTACAAGTGCACACCACCATGCCCCACTAATTTTTGTATTTTTAGTAGAGACAGGGTTTCACCATTTTGGCCAGGCTGGTCTTAAACTCCTGACCTCAGGTGATCCGCTCACCTCAGCTTCCCAAAGTTCAGGGATTACAGGCATGAGCCACTGCGCCCAGCAAGAATGCTCAGAAGCACATGAAAATTTGCTGAACTTTGTTAATCATTAGAAAAATGTAAATTAATTAAAATCACAATGGGATACTACTGATACTACTACAAACTTACTAGAATGGCTCTAATTCAAAAAACTGACAATGCCAAGAGCTAAAGAGAAAAAAAGCTGGAGCTCTCATACATTGCCGGCAGGAACGTAAAATGGTACCATGGGATGGTTTCCTAAAAAGTGAAACACAAACTTACCATATGACCCATCAATCCCACTCCTATGAATCTACCCAAGGGAAGTGAAAACACATGTTTACAAAAAGATCAGCCCATGAATGTTCACAGCAGCTTCATTCATAATAGTCAAAAAGCAAGAACAATCCAAATGTCCATCAGTTGGTAAATAAATAAACAAAAATGTAGTATATCCATACAATGTAATAATAATGACAGCTCCACAATAAAAAGGAATGACCTGCTGATACATGCTACGATGGGAGTGAACCTCAACAACAGTATGCCAAGTGAAAGAAGTGAGACACAGGCCGGGTGCGGTGGCTCACGCCTGTAATCCCAGCACTTTGGGAGGTGGAGGCAGGCAGATCACCTGAGGTCGGGAGTTCGAGACCAGCCTGACTAACATGGAGAAACTTTGTCTCTATTAAAAACACAAAAAAATTAGCTGAGCGTGGTGGCACATGCCTATAATCCCAGCTACTTGGGAGGCTGAAGCAGGAGAATCACTTGAATCCAGGAGGCGGAGTTTGCAGTGAGCCGAGATCACGTCATCACACTCCAGCCTGGGCAACAAGAGCGAAACTCTGTCTCAAAAAAAGAAAAAAAAAGTGAGACACAATCAACTACGTATTCTATGATTACATTTATGCAAAATTTCTAGAAAAGGCGAATCTATAGACACAGAGCCACAGAGCAAATAAGTGGTTGCCTGGGGCAGGGGGTGGCAGAAGGAATTGACGAACAGGCACAAGGAACTTTTCGAGCTAAAGGGAATGTTCTGAAACTGAATTGTGAAGATGATTGCACAGCTGTATAAATTTTTTTTTTTTTTTTTAGAGATAGTCTCACTCTTGTCGCTCAGGCTGGAGTGCAATGGCGCAATCTTGGCTCACTGCAACCTCTACCTCCCGGGTTCAAGAGATTCTCCTGCCTCAGCCTCTCGAGTACTTGGGATTACAGGCGGCTGTCACCAAGCCTGGCTAATTTTTGTATTTTTAGTAGAGATGGGGTTTCACCATGCTGGCCAGGCTGGTCTTGAACTCCTGACATCAGGTGATCCACCCACCTCGGCCTCCCAAAGTGCTGAGATTATAGGCGTGAGCCACCATGCCCCGCCTATATACATTTATTAAAAACAACCAAATTGTATAATTATTATAGGGTTTTTAAATATGTGAATTATACACAAAGCTGCTTTTAAAAATATAGCAGCTTCCTCTATGACAATTCCTGGCTATCTCCCCCTCCCCAATTTTCATCTCTATTTTCTCATTCTTTCACCTCTTACATCACTTCTTGATCAATTTTCACTCTGCTCTCAGCAGTTTCTCTTGTAGCAGGGCCCAGTCCCAGAACAGAGCCCTAGTGAGTCAGTTTCAAGTCATCAGAAGGGCCTGACTGCTCTGGCCCCTTAGACCTTGCTGGGCAAAAATCCTCTCATTTTCAGCTGCTTATCTCAAATTGGCCAGACAAGCTTCCCAGTAAATAGTTGATGGCTATTTTAGGGTCTCCTGTTCCCAGACCCATCCGATGCCCTGTTGCACACAAATGCAAATAATATGCCAGCTGTGAAGCTGTTGGTAGTGTGTCCCCATCAGCTGGTATGTTGGGGCTCATGAGGATACTCTGCCACCTAGTCTAGCTCTAAATGTTGTTCCTGAGCTTTTGGGTCTGCTCTCTAGTCGCTGTGTCTTTTTTTACGTGGATATAGGAGAAGACCCAGAACTACGCTGCCACTGGTGCTGCCACCTTCTCAGATTTCTTAGCTGCAAATTCTTGCCTTTCCCTCTATGGGAGCTGGAAACCCTCTACTCTGTAGGGTTTGATTTATTTATTTATCAAACCCTTACATAGTACTTGCTATGTGTAATGATAATGTGTTCAAAGCACATTAAAATTACTCTCTAAATCAGCCTAATAATCCTATGAAGCAGGTCCTATTATTATCCCCAGTTACAGATGAAGAAACTGAAACAGAGAGAAAGTGAAGGGACTTGCCAAGGTCACACTGCTGGTCAACAGGAGACCAAGCATGTGAACCCAGGAGCAGGATCCAGAGTCAGTGCTGCACAACTCTGCCTCTCACGAGCACGTAAAGTGTATCTGGCCTTGTAGATTCAGCACTCAACCATGACCACCACCCCACCCACTTCTCCCAAGACCCCTGTCAGATGGTATGTTTTATCCCTCCTTCAAAGACCAAGTCCAAATGTTAATTCTTCTAAGAAACCTAATGAATTCACCCAAGTAGTTAACTACAATACTTCCGCCTTCCTCCTCTCCTTTCTCCTTCTCCCCCAGTACAGACCTTCATTATACTGCCTTTCACAGGGTGATATAATTATTTGTTGTGTTAAAGAAAAAATTATTCAATGATACTTGTTAAGGCAGAGTAAGGACTTTGTTCAGGTCCGTCACGATAGGCAGAGGGACCACTGCAACTGGGTCTTGCAGTGGGAGGGAAGGAGTGGCTAGACTCCAAGTACAGCCTAAACAGGTGAAGCTTTACAGCCAAGAAGGAGGGTGGGGGTCAGTGGGTGGAAAATCACTAAGAGGAAACATGAGGAGTAGGAAAGATTCTGGCTAAACCGATCTAACAGGATTCTTGCTGAAGACGGGCCAGGGTGATCAGATAGCAACTGGGGGATGGTAGTGGCTGAGGAACCCAATCAGACACTGAGGATGATCAGGTATTAGAGAATGGGGGATTCTGGCTAAAATGACTTCACAGATTCTTTTGCTAAAACTGGATTTTACATGGAAGTGTACAGATGGGCCTAGCAGAAGATTTCGAAGTGTGGCTAAAGTTTGGCCAAGCAAGGAATCTTTGTCCATTGACATCCTTGTCTTTCCCATAGCTCAGAGAATGCTTCTGTTCATCTTATATCCCCAGAGCTTACCCAGCAGGCTCTCAATAAACATTCATGGAATTGAGTAGGCAACAGTTTTTTGTTTGTTTTTGTGTGTGTGTATGTGTGTTTAATTTACTAGCTCAAAATGTACTTGAAAGCAGTATAATTGCATCTTTTAAAAAGATCTGTAATTCAGGTTTTACTAAGCCTGGCTAATGAGTTTTTCTGGGTATTCTTCAGAAAAAATATAGCTTTAGATTCTTCCTGGTATTTTAACTGCTTATTTCCAGGATGCAGGGATCACTGCTTCTGTTGCTAATTTGCCAGGGAGATTCAGAGGAGAACCAGCTACCACAACCATCAGTCAGCCAGAACAGAGAGACAGAAGACGCAAATTATGCCAGGGGGAGGCAGAAGGAGGAAGAGCTAGCAGAAAAAAAGATACAGCGTGTCCACACCAGACCTGGAGAACCATCACCAGAAGGCATTCACAAATAAAAAGTAAAAATTCAAACCCAAAATACAGAGGAAGGTGGAAAAAACAAATGTCAATTAAGAAATAATCCAGCCAGGCGTGGTGACTCACGCCTGTAATCCCAGCACTTTGGGAGGCCGAGGCAGGCAGATCACGAGGTCAGGTGATCGAGACCATCCTGGCTAACATGGTGAAACCCTGTCTCTACTAAAAATACAAAAAATTAGCCGGGCATGGTGGCGGGCGCCTGTAGTTCCAGCTACTCAGGAGGCTGAGGCAGGAGAATGGCGTGAACCCGGGAGGCGGAGCTTGCAGTGAGCTGAGATCGCACCCCTGCACCCCAGCCTGGGCAACAGAGAGGGACTCCATCTCAAAAAAAAAAAAAAAGAAAAGAAATAATCCGTGACTTTTCTAAACCCTGTAATTTAATGCAGGAATTTGCTATGAGAACATACAATCATATTACAGATTTCTTTATTGGTGGGCAGGTCTATGGCAGACATTGCCATACAAATATAAAGGTGGGTACTTTTAGAAAAATTTATATCCCCTCTCATTTTCAATAGAAGGCTCTAGTGTATCCTAAGAAAAGTCATAAATTATCCCAAGATGTCTCAGTCATTTTCTGGGCTTTAGCTCAATCTCTCTGCAATTTTCTCTAACAGTTGACTAAAAATATCACTGCAAAAAAAGAATAGAGAGGAAAAGGATGATTTTTTAAAAACAGGTAGGAAATATCCCTTGAAAAGAGCTAGGTCCCCACCCCCAGCCCACCTTCGTGTAAAATACTAATGCATTTGACACCTAAACCCGGGAAGGGAAAAGGCAGGTAGGTGATTGAGCTTTTGCTCTGGGCCAGAGCCAGAACAGGGGTGCATGCTTCCCCCTCCTCTCCTTCCCATCCACCCTGCTTCCCCAACAGATACATCTGGACCCCCTCTGTGATGCAGATGTCACTAAATTACCAAGACAGCTCCCCACAGTCTGACAGGCTCAGAGAGGGTGAAACTTGGCTTCCTTCTTGACCAGACAGGATATGAATTCCTTCTTCCCCACACTCATGTGTTATTTCAATGGTCTGCCCTTGAGGGGCGGCCTGCAGAGGCCACACTTAAACTCTCTTGTGGGCTTCTCTGTCCAGCTGCACCCCATGAGGTTTCAACTTGAAGAGCTACATATTTGAAGTCTTAAAAAAGTTCAAGTCTGGGAGGCTGTGGGAGCAAATGTTCTCAACAACTAAACCAGGGAAGATGATAGCTCCCTTTCCTGCTGCGGGAACTCTGGAATCCCATCCAGATGTGTGGGTTAGGCACCCTCCTCGGAAGGAGGCCTACAAGACCAAACTTCCACTGGGCTAGGATCTTCCCAGAAAAGACTCTTTCAGAGCCAGCTTGAGGCACTTAATAAAGCCACCGTTATTGTATTTCCCTCCAACCACAAAGACAGGGTAGAAAGCAGAGGTCTCTATGATCTTTCCAGAAAATGTGTTATTTCTTGCTAAGGTCAAGGAAATTGTTTGATGCCTGGCACTCACCATTCTCCTTTAACAGAATGAGATCATATCCAGGAAGACCTAGGTGGTCGTAGTGTATCTCCCGCTTTACCACAAAGAAACAAGAATAGGAGCCGTAAGTTCCATGAAGCCGGTCTGGGCTGTCCTATTCGGCCTTAGATCCCCAGCACCTAGCACAACGTGCACAGGTGTTACATCAACTACTTTTACAGACAATATGCAACTCTCAGATAGACATCTATGAGCCACAGCCGTCTCAGCTGAAAATGAAAAGTACATCCATTTATTCATTCATTCATGGATGCACAACTATACACCAGACACTGGGGCATACAGGTACAGATCTGTTCCCACGCAAAATTGACCAAAATTCCTGCCCAAGTGGAACTTAGGTTCTACTGATGGGAGACAACTGTAAACAAATTAAATAAGACAAAATACAAATGGGGGCAAAGGGTTAAATTCCTTCCCTCTTCTTTTGAGAATTTAACCTCAGGTTGGCCGGGCACAGTGGCTTGCGCCTGTAATCCCAGCACTTTGGGAGGTCCAGGTGGGCAGATCACTTGAGCCCAGGAGTTCGAGACCAGCCTGGGCAATGTGGTGAAACCCCGTCGCTACAAACAAACAAACAAACAAAAAAACAAAAATTAGCTGGGCCTGGTGGCACGCACCTGCAGTCCCAGCTATTTGAGGTTGACATGGGAGGATTGCTTAGCCCTGGGAGGTCAAGGCTGCAGTGGGCCGTGACTGCACCACTGCACTCCAGCTTGGGTGACAAAGCAAGACCCTGCCTCAAAAAAACAAACAAAAACAACAAAAATAACCTGAGGTTAACTTTCCAGTTTTGTTTCCCTAGAAAGCCTAAAAAGATAAAATGTCAATTATGTTACTAGGCAACACTTCCTATGATAAAAATGGCCCCTGATTGATAACTTGCAGCCAGACTGGGAGGAACTGTAAATACCTGATAGGAACACTGTGTCTTTGGGCTTCCCTGAGTGTGCTGATTCTTACAACTGAGCATATCCCTTGGAAGACCCTGAAGACGTGGGGCCTGAGATGTTAAGCCAGGGCAGATGGCAAACCTACCCAATGTGAGTCTCATTCCCTAGCACCTGAGCTGTCACTTGAGGTGAAAAGGAACAAACAGAGCAGCTCCTGGGTGGCTGTAGGGACTGCTGGGAGAACTCATGTGGAAAGAAGCCCCTGACCTTTCCCTGCTGGCAATTTGTGGTTCTGTCCTATATCTATCTAAGTAGATGGGTGTCAAGGGCAGCCTATGAAATTCTTGTGAGTTGGAATCTTTCACTAAACCTAACAAATTCCCTGGCTTATAGTGTATTTGATGCCAGTTAAATGCTAAGGAGTAAAATAAAGCAGAGAATAAAGGATGAGTTGGCTGGACAAGATGCCTTTGAGGATTCTTTTGGGTCTAAACCAAGCTTGTTCAACCTGTGGCCCACATGCGACCCAGGATGACTTTGAATGCTGCCCAACACAAATTCACAAACTTTCTTGAAACATTATGAGATTTATGCACAGACCTTTTTTTTTTTTTTAAGCTCATCAGCTTACATTCATGTTAGTGTATTTTACGTGTGGCCCAAGACAATTCTTCTTCCAATGTGGCCCAGGGAAGCCAAAAGACTGGACGCCCCTGACTAAACAATAAGATCACCACTCCCTTCACCCCACCTCACCTTTGCCAGTTAGCTCCTACTTTCCAATTCATCTTCAGGTTTCTGCTCAGTCACTTCCTCAGGAAAACCCCCCATGACCACCAATTGTAGGTTAATTTCATTTTAAAATGGACTCTCAGAAATGGGTACCTTTCCTCCTCAATGCTGTAACTATCTTAGGCTATAGTTATACATCCAAGAGTATAACGATCTGATTTCTCTCTGACAGCAAAAGCCTGTCTGGCTGCTCACCATTTTATCCCCAGCACCCAAAGAATGCCTGGCTCAGAGTGGAAGCTGATAAACACTGGTAGAACAAGTGAATGCCGTAACACATCATCTGAAACCAACAGCGGAGGGCAGTATCCCTCAGACCACATGGTGTGTTCCTGCAGTGTGTTCATTCACGATACTCCCATCCAGAGCATGAGCAAGAGCTGCTCTGAAAATACTGCCGTCTGATAAGGTCTTATATCAGCAATTCCCAGGGCATGAATCTCCCGTTATGTCAAGAGGTACCAGGAGATGCTACAAAAATTAACTCTGACTTTTAGACACGAAATTATATAACCATCTTTCTAAAAGAAAAGCTGCAGGTGAAAAGCTAAGGTAAGAAAAGAAAATAGTATTATCTTCCCCTTTCCTAAAGGCATAGCCCACTGGTAATTTACTTGTTTTTTCTTCTCCTGCTGGACTAGAAATTCCACAGGGACCATTTGCTGTCTCGACCCTAGTTCCTGACACGTAAATATTTGACAGATGAATAAATATGTGAATGGATAAACAAACAAGCACGGAATCTATTCCTCCACTCCTGCTCCCATTAAAACTGAAAACCACTACCCAAGACAAATGCTAACCAGTTCATCTGTCAAGGAATTCCAGTTTCTTGGTGGTGATTAAAGGAACTGTAGCCTGCCTTCCAAGAGGCAGCATATCACCGGTAAACCATGCAGGGAGGGGCCTTTGGGAGATACAATTAAATGCCAATCACTAACCTCCTCCCCGACTTTGGAAGCTTAGAATGACCCACCCCATTTTTCTGCTGAAACCAAGGAGAGATCAACACAAACGCACCCATCTTGCTGAATGCTGAGGAAGCTTTCTGACGGCATCAGATCTCTAACCCTCACTAAGTGCTAGCACTTGTGAAGTACACTGAAAGTAATTACCTGTCTCCACAATTCATCACTGAAAAGAGGGGTTTCGGAATTTCATAATTAAAATCGTTAGAGATTCTTTTGTTTCCACACTAAGGTTTTGATGGCATTAAGGGATGAGCAAGACCTAGCCCACATTTAAACAGAACAGATAAGATCGGGCTGATGCTTTTTATTCATACATAATTACGTCTAGACTTGCTTTATCTTTATTTTTTTAATTACGTGAGACCAATTAGAAGACGATAGACTAGCTTTTTAAGGTCCTTAATTTTCAAGTGTAATATATTGCTATGCTGCTCCTGACTCCATTTTCAAGAAGGTACTGACAGGGCATGGTCAGTATGGCCCAACTGATGAGAGGACTGAACTGGAAGACAGGAGCAAGAGGACAGGTCCCAGCTCTGCCCTAGTCAGTTGTGTGACCCTGAAGAAAATCATATTACCTTGCTAATCAACTGTTTCCCCAATGATACATAAACTCCATAAAGCCAGCGACTGGGTCTGACTCATTCACTTAGAACAGTATTTGGCACTAGTAAGTAACCTAGTAAGGGTCTCCATCAATGTTTGTTGAATAATTAGTGAACAGGATTTCTCTGAATCTCATGTATCAAGAGAAGTGATGGAAACAAATGCTCTCTAACAGCTGTTGGAGCTTCCGGATTTTCCGAATAGAAACTGCACCATCAGTTCAACTATTACGAAGATCTCCCTTCAAAGTGAAATGACTCATATGAAGAGCGTGGAACAGCGATCTAGGTGAGTCAAGTCTTCCAGACATGTGAGTGCCCAGGCGACATGTGGCATCCCCAAGTTGGCCTTAGCTGGCCAGGCTGCAGGAAGGCGCCCTATATCTCACGCTACTCCATCAACTTCCATTCTGAAGCTGTTAAAGCAGCTCTCACACAGACTCCCTCCTGGCTCTGTCCCTCCCGGCTCTATCCCTCCCTCCATCATCCCCACCTTCCTAGTATGGTTCCTGCTGAGGTTAAAATGTAGCCTGTGGCCAAAAACCAAGTAAAATGAACCTGATCCTACTAAAATGGGGGACGTGGCTCTGGTGGCACTAGATTCCTGGTGGCCAAATGAACTACCCTGTTCTTGACCCTTCCCAAAACCCCACCTTCCAGATCCAATGGCTTCTCCACACCTAGAGAATGAATTCCCTATTCCTTAGCCTGCTGTTTAATCTTCCACCATCATTCTGCCATCGGTCCTTCCAGCATGA
The DNA here is from genome assembly GCF_000001405.40 of Homo sapiens. Lineage (NCBI taxonomy): Eukaryota > Metazoa > Chordata > Mammalia > Primates > Hominidae > Homo > Homo sapiens. The sequence goes on from NC_000014.9 coordinate 90,722,550, forward strand.
ACTCCACCTTAGAAAAGAAAATGGAAGGGGAAGAACATTTCTAGGAAGTGGCCTGTATACAGAGCTGCAATTCATCCTGTATCATCTGCTCCTCAACTTCCCCTGTCCAGCTTCTGCTCTTACCACTCCACCAAGTTTGTTCAGGGTCACAGATGTCTTCCATGGTATCTGATCCAGGGGTCACAATTTGGTCTTCTTTATTAACATCTAAGCAGCATTCAGCACAGGTGACCACTTCCTCTTTCCTAGCACAGGTTCCCGTTTTGGCTTTCACAAGGACACACCCTCACGATTTCCCTTCCACCTCTGGCAGTTCCTTCACAGGATCCTCCTCCTTTACTCAACTTCCAACTCTTGCAGGTCTTCAGGCCAAGTCCTGGGCTGTCTTCTCTCTTTACTCTCTGCCCCTTCACTGATCTCATTCAATCCTGTGGCCTTAAATATAATCAATATGCTGAAATTCCCCATTTATAACTCAAGTCAAACCCGTCTTCTGGTCATGTTGACACTTCCACTTAGACATCTCACAGGCATCTTAAACCTAACATGCCAAAGGCAAATTCTTGATTTCTCCTTTTCCAGATCTGATCCTCTCCTTGTCTCCACGCATCTAACCAATGGTTCAAGGCTGAAACTGGGGAGTCATCTCTGGTTCCTCCATTTCCCTTACCCTCTGTCCCCCAAATCCAATCCACCAGCAGTCCTAACTCTAGTAGTTCTAACAGACATCTCAAATGCATCCACTTCTCTTGGTCTCTATACCCTTTGTTATCTCTAAGATACACATCTAATGTCTTCACCACCTAGTATCACCTACCCTTTGTCCTGGTGACTCAGGGACTTTTCTTTGGACAACCATCACTCTCCCACTATATGCTGCACAGTGGACCTTCCTTCTTCTGGGTAAGCCAGACTGAGACAGTTTGTGACCCTCCTCCTTCCAATGCTTCTACTACATTGGACTCCTTTCTGATTCTTGAACACTCCAAGCTCTTTCCCGGGTCAAGACCTCTGCACATTTTGCACCCACTCCTTGGAGCTCTCTTTCCCCTGTGCTTGACCTGGTTAGTTCCTTCTCACCCTGCAAGTCTTGGTCTCATCTCAATGTCACCTCCTCCGGAGACCTGGCCAGGCCACCCTATCTAAGCAGGGGCCTTCTGTTATTTGCTTTCACTGCACCCATTCACTTCCTAGCACCTATTCCAATTTGTAATTATATATGACCAGTACTTACATATTATCTGTCTCCCTCACTAGACTGTCTCCTCCCTGAGAGCCTGGACTATGTCTCTTATATTGGCCAACATATACTAGTACTGAGCACAGTACTTGGTACTTAGCAGAACTCAACAAATACTCGTTGAATAACTGACCAAACCCACTGCATGCCAGGTCCCATGCTGAAAGCTTTATAGGAACATCCCCAGATGTCTACAGAAACCATCACTCCAGCCAGACTGGTCTCATATCCTGTAGAATACACACAATACCGAGTACAGTTCTAACTCCACACTCTACCAACCACTGGAACGTCCCTCTGGTGCTTCCCCATCTGTAGGCATCTACACCATCTCAAGCCCACTTTTCCAAATCTTCACTCCCCTTTCCAAATCACATGGCCCTTCCAGCAGAGCAGTGCTCCTGTTTGCTTCTATGGCAACCTTGACTTCCCCAGTGATAACACATACAACTATCCTGAAATGGCTTATTTTAATTCCTAATTCTCCATGAGACTCAGTTCTCCATGAATTCTAGGAGGGCAGGGACTTTGTCTCTTCTCTTCACCACTCGTCCCCACAACCTAATGTAGGCCCTGTGATATGGTTTGGATGTGTGTCTCTACCCAAATCTCATATTGAAATGTAATCCCCAATGTCGGAAATGGGGCCTGGTAGGGGGTGACTGGACCGTAGGGGTGAATTTCTCATGAATGGTTTAGCACCATCACCCTTGGTACTCCTCATGATAACGAGTGAGTTCTCATGCGAACTGTTCGTTTAAAAGTATGTGGCACCCTGCCTCGCCCTCACTCTCTTGCTCCTGCTCTGGCCATGTGATGGCCCTGCTCCCCCTTTGCCTTCCATCATGATTGCAAATTTCTTGGGGCCTCCCCATAAGCCAAGCAGATGTCAGCATCATGCTTCCTGTAGAGCCTGTGGAACTGTAAGCCAATTAAACCTCTTTTCTTTATAAAATACCCGGTCTCAGGTATTTCTTTATAGCAATGAGAGAACGGGCTAACACAGCCCTGGCACGGATGGTACACAATGAATCCTCATTAACTGAATGAACAAATGACCCTACTCGAATGCATGAATAAATGGGCCTGGAATCTTCAGCTCATTTAAAGTGATCTGGTGTTCTTTCATTGTTTATGCTTTTACAGAACCATGTCATAACCTTTAAAGGTACTAATGTTTATGTCTTCATCTTTTTTCTTTTCTCTACCATCTGCCAGATGACAAGGCCCATTTCCTTTTCATCTCCGTATCTCTTGAAGAGGGTTGCATACAAAAAAGTGGTGGTTATTAAATGCTTACAGGAAACGTGTGTGAATTCTCTTATGTTCACTGCAGTGGACTCCTACTGTCAAAAGTAGTGTGCAGTTTTAAACGTGAACACTTGCTACCACTGCAAGAGGGAAGATGACCTCCAGAAGGCCAGAATGCAAAGGCTAAGTTGCTCAAGCACCAAGAGAGACAACTGCATCCAGCAAAGCATGCTCACGTCCTGGCGGGCGCCCTCACCATGATCACCTCCCCACAATCACATGGGATGTGGGAGCCTGTCTGCTGCTGCTGCTGTTGTATCTGAGACATAAGCCCAGGAAGCACCCTCCTCAGCAGCCCATAGGATACAGAAGGGCCTCTTGGACTCCTTTTCCTGCCTTCTAAGTCTAGGTTACACTGAGCAGGGCTAAACAATTGCAAAGAGATTATATGGGAAGATTGAAAGCTTTTTAAAGTAGATGCATAGTGGTGATGAGTGGTCTATTTGTTTGATTATAAAAACAGAGGTCCAAAAGCCCTTCCATACCACTTTATTCCCTGGCTTGGCTGCAAGTACCTGAGGGGAGCCCAAGGTCTGAACCATCCCTGCCTGACTTCCTGCTTTCTGAGTCAAGGCCTCCCATGCAGCACTCGGTGATGTAACCTAGAAAATGGTACAACCCCATGGGTGCATCTCCCGGCTGACAGTCATTTGCCTTTTGCATCAATTTATCTCCACCCCACCTGAATTAAAATCAATTCAAAGCCAGTGAAAACACACTACAATCCGTTTTGCCTACCCAGGACACCTGACACAGCTAACAAGAAGCAAGGTTACTTTAAATGTGCTTTGCTACCCTTTGTTTACAAAAGATGGGTAAATATTCCTAAAGCAACCTGCAGTAACTAATTGGCATCCCAGCTGGGCACAGTGGCACATGCCTATAATCCCAACACTTTGGGAGGCCAAGGCAGGAGGATCACTTGAGCCCAGGAGTTCGAGGCTGCAGTGAGCTAGGATCGTACCACTGCATTCCAGCCTGGGCCATAGAATAAGACCTTGACTCTACAAAGAGGTAAAAATCCAAAATTGATTGACATGCCCAAATCAAGCTTCTCTGGCAATTCTGGCGGCAATGACTCAAGTAGGGAGTAACATTATCTTCTCAGAAGGCCGAGGGGAACCCGAGGGTGAGGCCGTTTCTCTGCTGCTAGCTGGGCTGTGAAATGAATACCCAGTGCCACCGCGGTCAGACCAGTCAGTCCCACCTATTTTCTCTGAAAGTGATTAGAATGTTATCCAAGCCCATGGTTATGCACCTTGAGCAGCATTGCCTTAAGCCAGCGCCACTGTAAAGAAATGCCCTGCCTCCAAGCCCTGGCAATGTCCGGCTCGGTCATCTACTTCTCCACAAGCTCCCACTGCAACCAGGACGTGACCTGAATCTGGTCCCACTTTCAGCTGGTAAGTCAGCCAGGCGTCGTCACCATTGGAAGTCACAATTTACCTCCTGCTGTTTGCCTGACACCCCACCAGGTGCTTCCATGTGCATATTTTTATTTGCTCCTCACTACTGCTCTCCGAGGTGACTGATATTCACCCTACTACACAGATAAAGAACCTGAGACTCAGAGGAAGAAAGGGCTGGTTCCAAACCCAGCACCTGAGCTGCCCTCACACAAGCGCTTGCTTTGGCGAGGCGACTTGGAGCCCTCAGAGGCGGCAATCCTGGCCCTCTGAGGCTACTGTTCTGCTTTCACCCTCTGCGGAGCCTCAACAAGATGTTTTTTCAGCCTTAACAGGCTTGTTGCTGCCACCCAGAGGGATAAGAGAAATAGATGTGAAATGGATCTGGGTACATTCCAAGTCAGACCGCGCCCAGAGACTCGGGACTGGGAGGTGGAGGAAGTTACCGGCCTGGATGACAACTAGCTGTTCTCTCCTGCCTCATAAGGAAAGAGGGAGCCCAGGAAGGGAGGAACTAGGAAGGAAGGGAAGGAAAAGATGTGAAGGAGAAGAAAAAGAGGGGTGGGAGAGGGAAGAGGACGAGCCAGAAAGGGAGGCCGGGAGAGGAGGGCGAGGAGAAAGAGATGCTTTGTGACGCGCTGTAGATGAGACACGGGGGAAAGCCTTAGGAGAAATCACCCAACCAACAGAGGCTGGGAACTGTCTGTGGGCGATGTCCTGTCCGGGGTCAAGTGCTCCCTCACAGAGGGAGGGTGATGGACAGTCAATCCCTCCCATCGACTCCATCCACACCGAGCCACAGCGCTTCCCACACAGTGGCACAGTGGTGAAAGGACTGGAGCCCAAGGAACTGTGTGACTGCAGCAAGGCACATCCCCTGTGAGTCTAAATTTTTCTAAACAATAGGGGCAATACTGCTCACATTGCCCACTGCACATGGTGGAGCGGCAACGCTGTGAGGACCAGTGACCATGAAGGACAAGTGTTTAAGCCAAACTTAAAAGCAGCCCTTGGATCTAACACATCAGAAGGGGCTTAGGAACTGGTCCTGGCATCAGGTTTTCTGAAAGAGATGCCCAAGTCCACCAGTTCCGCAGTGACTTCTGGAAAAGATGGGAGAGTTCTAGAAGAATCAGATTCAAGACTATAATTCAGTGAGTCCTCAGGAATGACAGCTAAAAAGCTGAGTATACATTTAAGTATATTTCTAAAGAAAAACATTGTGTTTCATCAATTCCATCTCTTATTGCCAAACTCTAGTGTATTTTCCTACTACTGAAAATCAGTCAATCCTGTCCATTATATCCTTTCAGATACACAGAAGAAAACTGCAGAAGAGCAAAAGGAGTGAGACAACTGGGAGCAAGTACCTCACAAGGAAGCGTGGGAAGCTGCTGGTGCTTAGGGACAGCAGTTACCTCCATTCTGTCCCCGCTTGCTGTAGGCATCCAGTGACAAATGAGCCCTGGCTGTGGCCCTCAGGCCCTGCGTAGCCCACTGGTATGGGTCAAGCAGCCCTGACAGCACTTGGCATGTTCAAAACCTCCCAACGGTTTTTCTCCTTGGGGTATATTCTGTGGCCCCCAAACTGGCCCTCACCTCCACCTCCTAAAAGTAATTCCTCACTACTGTTGCACCGTCCCAGCCTTGAGCTAGTTGCACCAGCAGGGACTGCAGCTAACAGGGACCTTTGAGAGTACCTGGCCCAGGGCTGGGAGTGGTGGCTCATGCCGGTAATCCTAACACTTAGGGAGGCCAAGGCAGGCAGATCCCTTGAGCTCAGGAGTTCAAGACCAGCCTGGGCAACATAGCAAGACCTCGTCCCCCCCGCAAAAAAAAAAAAAAAAAAAAAAAAAAAGAATGAGAGTACCTGGCCCAATCCCATCACTGGTCTTTAGAGCCCAGAGAGAAGAGCAAGAGGACAAGAGAAGAGAAAAAGCTTCAAAGTTAAGCAGTCCCTTAAGGCTACATCAACAGGCATTTCCTTGAACTCGAATAAAGTAAAATAAAATGAGAAATGAGTCAGTAAGCAATCCATGGCATGTAATCCATCACCTAGTGCAAACCTCTCATTATTATTTTTTAGTTGGATTCCAGTGGGCAGCCAGTGTCTCAGGGCCCAGTAGTCTTCCTTTCTCCCCAAAGAACAGGCTTCAAAGATGCAAATAAATTACCCAACCCACTCTTATTAATCTCACACAAAACATTTTCAACTGAACGTATGGGTATGGTACCCCTGGGACCTCCAGGGGGATTAATTCCCGGGTCCGGACCTCCATATTAACACATACAGACACAGGTCAGAGAGAAGGAGGGCAAGGGCCGGGAGCTCCTCCGTGATGACCACCATTTATCGTGAAAAGGGAAAAGAAACATCACTAGAAAAATATTCCATGTTCCCTCTCTTCTCCTTCTATTTATAACAACAAAGAAAACAGAACTTCATCTTAGCTTAGGGGACGTGCACCGTTGCTCAAATGATCTCAATCAGTGGCAGATGAGATCGAATGCAAGAGCATCTTTGTGCCAAGGCCATTGAGCTGCTGCAAACCTTGGGGTGTGTGTCACAGCCTTTTGTAGGCCATGTGGACCTCAGCCAGAGGCCTCTGGACCAAAGCAGGCCTTCTCTCACAAGCAGTTTAATAGGACTTGAAAAATAGGCATTTATTTTCAACTAATGGGAAATGGACGCATGCGGCTCTGGGCCACCAGGCAGATGAAATCCCAATTTCAAGAGCCATGCCCCAAGGTTTGAAGCTCTTAAAAATGAAGAGGGAGCAACTCCATTGTTCATTTTTCCAGAGGCTGGGGCTTGGGTCCCCTCTGCCATTCAAAGCACTACTGGACTACTCTAGAGGAGGGGAACGGGCCTCTAGGGGCCTCCCATGCAAAGCCTACGGGGGTGCTACAGAGGAACCAGATACCTACTGTTGGTCTTCATGCACATCTATCCTGCAGCACAATGTCAAAACAAGGGATAACTGAAGAGATTTGGAACAGAATCAGCACATTTCTCACAAGAGCAACACAAAAAGGAAAACAAACATCAAATGCACTCGAGAGCTGTCCCTCCCGTTCATGTCCTTCAACCTTTCTTAAAAGCCTTTTCAAAGCCACACTCACTTTCATAAAAACTGGCTGAGATTTGGCAAATCCAATTCCCTGAATGATCAGCCACTGAAAGGGCGATGCTCCTGTGTGCCAGGATTTCCAATTCATTAACTTTTTCCTTAACAAATGGGGAGGCCGATGCAGAGCCATTCATGGAGGGAGGGCATGGGAAGGCATGGCTCCCATCAGGCCCACCCCACTGGTCTTGAGGCTGTGTACTTTTGACTTGGGTTCCCTCCCTCCCTTCTCCCACCTTCACATCTCATGGGAAAGCAAGAGAGCCAGGTAGAGAAGAGACAAAAACAGCCAATGTTCATTCTTTAAAAGAAAAAAAAAGTTCCAATGGTAGTTCATATTTAAAATTCCTTTATTATAATAACTAAACTGGAGACAGCATTGTAAGGCTTTCTACTTTCCTTCTTTAGGAAGTGGATTTAAAAAAATGAAGATGGCTTACCCATTTTTGAAATAGAGGACATGGGCTCTCTGAAGTCCTGTTTCTAGGAAAAAACCTAGTTCTTGATCGTGGGGAGCAGGGCCAGGCTTAGGGCTTCTGTTTTGAATATTAGAAAGTATTACCTAGAAGGGGAGAAAATTGGAAAACTAATCAGATGCACATCCAAGCCTACTTCCTTCAAACCCTATCTCTAAATGTACTGCTCGACCTAAAAAACCAACTTCCTCAGGCAAATATCAGTGCAGAGGCACAGGTGTAGAAGTGCAAGCATTAGAAAAGCAGAGAGAATGGTTCTACTAGACAGGAAGCAACAAGCAACCCAGGGGCACACAGGGCCCTCCTGGTACCGAAAGCTGAGGAGTCGGGGGTGCTGATGAGCAGGTGGTGCTGTAAGAAGCACTAGAGGCGGAGAGGCCCTGCTGAATGCCAGGATACTGACAGGAAGGCTGGGGACACGGAAGCGGGTCCTAGCAAAGGGCGGAAATAGTTGTGATCCACCAATGGCCGAGGTCACTCACAGGCAGACTGCAGCTGCAGCCCTGCATGAGCTTGATGAGCTCCAAGATGAGCTGATGAGTGCTGTGATCTGCACTAGCCCTGGAATCAACCAGAAAAAGGCAGACTCACCAGGCTCCAGAGCTGAGGGACATTGCAGCTTTGCAACCTGGTGAGGTTGGGCTGCGTGGCAGTCCTCTATTCTCAAAGGGAGAGCTGAGCAAAACACCCTCTCTCCCCAAACTTGACTTCTTAGCTTATCAACAGATAATGGGGTTTTTAAAGGTTTAATTTTTTAGCCCTGCACAAAAGACTGCCAACTAATCAGGAGGAAGACTTGCAAGTTGGGTTGGGTATACTGAAGTGTAAACATGTAGCTGCTACTCTTTTTTCTGAGACAGAGTCTCGCTCTGTCGCCCAGGCTGGAGTGCAGTGGCACAATCTCAGCTCACTGCACGCTCCGCCTCCCGGGTTCACGCCATTCTCCTGCCTCAGCCTCCCAAGTAGCTGGGACTACAGGTGCCCACCACCACACTTAGCTAATTTTTTTTTTTGTATTTTTAGTAGAGACGGGGGTTTCACCACGTTAGCCAGGATGGTCTCGATCTCCTGACCTTGTGATCTGCCTGCCTTGGCCTCCCAAAGTGCTGGGATTACAGGCGTGAGCCCCTGCGCCCGGCCTGCTGCTACTCTCTTTAAACTCACAAGTCAAAGCATTTCTCAGAGGAAAGCCTACTTGTGGCTCACATAAAAACCAATGTTCTCCAAACATGCCGTCCACATTTGCTGAAAGTCAGCAGCTCTTCAAAAGACCCAGTTGTTTGCCAAACCCCAAACATCCTAGAGGTCTTGAAACCTTAGTCTCCAAACAGAGTGGAAGTAATTATTAGTTCCCTAACCCACAAGCTTTGGGGAAAAGAAAGGTAGAAGGTACATGATAAACGAGACATCGAGGAATGAAACCCAGGTGGGCAACCCTTGCATGTGAACCGGATCCCAGCATCTTATAGAAATTGCCCAGCTCCGTCCTGACTTAGCCCTCAGCTCTGCACCCCTGACTCTCCGGGAGTTCCTCCTCTCTGGGAACCTCATTTCCACCCACTACAGGCTCCTCCTCCACTCATCCGTCAAGTGCCAGAGATGCACGCGGCACCATCGGAGCCACACTCCTTTCTCTCTTAGGTCTCTTGAGATGACCGCATCCATCCCTAAGAGCTTCAAAATCATCAGTATGCTGCCAACGCCCAAGTTTATAGCTGTAGTCAAGACTTTCTCTGTGAATTTCCAACTCACATATCCAACTGCTGCACTTGGAGGTCCAACACGGAAACTTTTAAAAATCATCCTTCATTTGCTTTTCAGCATAGTTTTAATTTTGACATGCCATGATTATTTTAAAGTAAAAAATTCAGTACAGCACAAAAAAGAAAATAAAAAAATCACCTCACAATTCCATCACACAAAAATAACCACAGTTAACATTTATTGAACGACAATCCAGATATCTTTGTGGACACATGTATCAAGCAGAGAAAGATAAAAATCATTTTACAAAAAAATGAGATCATGTTATATATGCTAGTTTTAAATTTAAATCATTATATTTAATTTAGTTAAATTTAACAGAAGGAACTAAAGTGTAACCAAAGTTACACTTTAGAAAGTTTGTCCCTCCTAATTATTTCTCAACTATGTCTGTGACTATCCATTTCTACTACCATTACATCATCCGAGCTGCCAGGACTTCCTGTTAGATTTCTACAACAGCCTCCTGAATGGAGTCTCCACGTCCTCTCTTGCTTCCCTATTTCCCTCACTCTCTATAAGCAGCCTGAATAATTTCTGTCACCCAAGCTGGAGGGCAGTGGCATGACCATGGCTCCCTGCAGCCTCAACCTCGCAGGCTCAAACGATCCTCCCACCTCAGCCTCCCAAGTAGCTGGGACTACAGGTGTGTGCCACCATACTCGGCTAATTCTTGTATTTTTTGTAGAGATGAGGTTTCACCATGCTGCCCAGGCTGGTCTTGAACTCCTGAGCTCAAGAAATCCAACTGCCTCGGCCTGCCAAAGTGCTGAGATTACAGGCATGAGCCACTGCGCCTGGCTCCTGAAAAATTTTTCATAATCCAGTCTGGATCATGAGCCACTGCGCCCGGCTCCTGAATAATTTTTCATAATCCAGTCTGGATCATGAGCCACTGCGCCCAGCTCCTGAATAATTTTTCATAATCCAATCTGGATTATGTTGCTCTTAAGCTCCTTTTCCTCTTTCTCATCTCTCAGATATCAGCTTGCTTCTGCTTCTTGCTTCCTCCGAAGGGCCTTTTCTAACAATCGGCATTAAGGAAGTCTGCCCTATTCGCCTGCCCACAGCATCCTTTCCTATTCCTTCATTACATTTGCCATTGTTATTTCTTCACTTGATTTCTGGCTGTCTCTCTCCACTGTGCTACAAATTCCACAAAGTCAGAGGCCACGCCTATTTTACTTACCCAGTGTCTAGTGCAGGATAAGCATTCAATATACATAGTAAATGAATAAACTTTCAAGGCCAATCATAAATGCAGAGAAAAGGCAACAGGAAAGTAACCCACTGTGTCTTAGGCACCATGTGGGTACATCGCTATCTCATGTATTCCTCCACAAAAACCCACCGAGATACACACCATTGTCCTCTCTTTACCAGAGGGGAAGCGGAGACTGCTCCACCAAGTGAGGTGCCCGAATCATGTGGCTTGAGAGCGGTGGAGCTGGTGCAGAAACCCAGATCCCCCTGACTCCACAGCCCGGCTCCTTCTCCTTCATCTGTGTCTGCTTGCAGAGCAAAGTCCAAAACACAAGGGCAGCCAGGAGGTGGCTTAAGGTTATAAATGGGAGAATGGGAAAGACGCAAGAGAAGCCTTGGAGGGACTAGCATAGCTCAGGGCTTACCCTGAAGTCTAAGCATCTTGAACTTAATCCCTTCCTCACAAAGAGCCTCCAACACATGGGCCTGGGCAGAAGCATTGTTTGGCAGTGCTGAAGCCACCACTTGTTCTGTGGATAAACACTTCCAGCGAGGAGACTGCCAACAAGCGTCCTTAACAAGCGCAGCTGGCTCTGGCAGAAGCAAGTACCCAATGACTGAGGAAGCACGGGGAAGGGGCTGAAGATTTTAGTCAAAAGACCGAGGCGCGAGGTCTGGTTCTGACACTGCTCACCCACCATTCGCGGACTTAGGACAACACCTCTGACCTCACAGACCTTCACTGCCCTCATCTATACAATGGGGATAATAATACCTACCTCACAAGGTTGGTTTGAATTGCAAATGAGAAACTTCACTTCATGAGCAAATACCATACATTATTATACAAATATTATAATCCTTAATGGAGTTATATTAACTGCATGAACAAATATTATACATTATTGTACAAATAGTATAATCCTTAATGGAGCTATATTAAAGAGTTACCTTTAAGTAGAAACAAAATAAAAATCTTTATTTCTTAACATCGTTTTATAAATTATGGCAATAAGGCATGAGACATATAAGATGGAAAATATTCGAAAGGAGGAAACAGGCCAGGCGTGGTGGCTCATGCTTGTAATCACAGCATTATGGGAGGCTGAGGTGGGTGGATTCCTCGAGCTCAGGAGTTCAAGACCAGCCTGGCCAACATGGCAAAACCCCGTCTCTACTAAAAATACAAAAACTTAGCCAGGTGTGGTGGCACGTGCCTGTAGACCCAGCTACTCAGTAGGCTGAGGCATGAGAATTGCTTGAACCTGGGAGGCGGAGAATGCAGTGAGCCAAGATTGCGCCACTGCACACCAGCCTGAGTGACAGAGTGAGACTCTGTCTCCCAAAAAAAAAAAAAAAGAAAGGAGGAAACAACGACAAAAATCATTCCACCTCATAGATCTATAGGCTGCAATGAGCTATGATCACTATCATGCTTTGAAAAGCATCAACTCTGTTTCTATAGAAGACTTCAGTATTATGGACAATAAACACCATCCTTGCCATCCTCGACACTGCTATCCTTGTCAGCCTTCAAGATGCTGCTCAGGCATCATCTCTTCCAGGAGACATCCCTGAACTCCCACACTGGCCCAAGGCCTTTTCTGGAGCTCTCAGAGTTCTCTGAGAATTCCCACCACAGCACTCCTCCTGGCTAAGGACCTGTGTCCTCATGAGCTTCTTTTTAAATTTTTATTTATTTTATTATTTATTTATTTATTTATTTTGGAGACGGAGTTTCTGTCGCCCAGGCTAGAGTACAGTGGCACGATCTCGGCTCACTGCAACCTCTGCCTCCCAGGTTCAAGTGATTCTCCTGCCTCAGCCTCCTGAGTAGCTGGGATTACAGGCATGCGCCACCACGCCCAGCTAATTTTTAAATTTTTAGTATAGACAAGATTTCACCATGTTGGCCAGGCTAGTCTTGAACTCCTGACCTCAGGTGATCCACCTGCCTCGGCCTCCCAAAGTGCTAGGATTACAGGTGTGAACCACTTAAGGGCAGGCTCTGTGACATACCCATTCTAGTGCCCCTGCAGTCAAACAGTATCCAGAACATGGAAGGCACTCAATACATGATTGTGCAAGTGAATTAAAACATCACAGGCACATTTATATGTTAAAATATAATTTCAAAAATGATCTAGGCCAGGCACGGTGGCTCACGCCTGTAATCCCAACACTTTGAGAGGCCAAGAAAGGTGGAATGCTTGAGACCAGGAGTTTGAGACCAGTCTGGGCAACATGGTGAGACCCTGGTCTCTACGAAAATGTTAAAAATTAGCCAGGTGTGGTGGTGTGTACCTGTAGTCCAAACTACTGGGGATGCTGAGGCGGAAGGATTGCTTAAGTCCAAGAGCTTGAGGTTGCAGTGAGCTATGATCACACCACTGCACTCCAGCCTGGGTGACAGAGTGAGACCTTGTCTCAAAAAAAAAAAAAAGATCCTATTCATAAAGCAATAAAAATAGAAAAGATCTGAGAATAAAACCACCTACTGGCCAGGTGCAGTGGCTCACGCCTGTAATCTCAGCACTTTGGAAGGCCAAGGTGGGTGGATCGCTTGAGGTCAGGAGTTCGAGACCAGCCTGGGCAACACAGCGAAACCTCATCACTTTTTTTAAATATTTTTTTTTTTTAAAAAACCTACTAAAGTCTATAGAACAAAAAAATCTTGACAAAATAGGAAGAGGGTCATAGATGACAGGAGACTAAATATAATTCTCCAAATTAATGTATGGAATTAAAAATTCAACCAAATCCCAAAAGGATTTTTCTTGAACTCAACAAAATTATTCTAAAATTTACCTGAAAGTATTAGAATGAGATAAGAACAAAGGATAACCTGAAAAATAAAAGTAATGAGTAGTTACTAATCATTTAAATGTTAAAACCTATCATAAAGAAGTGCCTATTAAACAGTGTCATGTTGGTACAACACAATTAAAAAGCCAGAATTTTATTGAATGACTAAAAATATATGACAGAAAATATGAAAAGGAAAGATCATCTTAAAGTAGCACTGAAATTTGGAAATTTGGGAAATTTTAATTGAGAAAAATTAATTTAGAGCTATATATATATATATATACCACAATGAACCCCAACTACATTTGGAAATTAAAAGTTTTTTGTATGTTTGTTTTTGTTTGTTTTTAAAGGTTTCTCTGTACATAGTGAAAAAATTTTTGTTTTCTGTTTTTTTAAAAAAAGGGGAGGAGGTCGGGTGCAGTGCCTGTAATCACAGCACTTTGGGAGGCCAAGGCAGGTGAATCACGTGGTCAGGAGTTCGAGAACAGCCTGGCCAACATGGTGAAACTCCGTCTCTACTAAAAATACAAAAAAATAACTGGGCGTAGTGGTGGGCACCTGTAATCCCAGCTACTTAGGAGGCTAAGGCAGGAGAATCACTTGAACCCAGGAGGCGGAGGTAGCCGTGAGCCAAGATCACTCCACTGCACTCCAGCCCTGGCAACAGAGTGAGACTCCGTCTCAGAAAAAAAAGGGGGGGTGGGTAGGAAATGAGGCCAGGCTTGGTGGCTTATGCATGTAATCACAGTACTTTGGGAGACTAAGGCAGGAGGATTGCTTGAAGCCAGGAGTTCAAGACCAGCCTGGGCAACAAAGTGAGAACCTGTCTACAAAAAATTTAAAAATAGGCCGGGCATAGTGGCATGCGGCTGTAGTCCCAGCTAACTGGGAGGCTGGGGCAGGAGGGACAGGAGGATCTCTTGAGCCCAGGAGTTTGAGGGTGCAACGAGCTATGATCACCCCACTACACTCCAGCCTGAGCAACAGAGCAAGACCATGTCTCTTAAAAAAAAAAAAAAAAAAAAAAGTATATATACGTATATACACACATACATATATATGGAAAATGGTTGAAAGTTATCAAATCCTAGGGAAGTTTATTCCAACATTCAAGCTTTAAAAACAGTAAAATAAAATATAATTAAAAAGATAATCAGATTCAACTATATACAGATTCAAAATTTATGAGCAACTTAAACATGGAAAATTACTGGTTAGGAAAATATTCAGAGCAAATATGATAAAGAGTTAACATACTTATGACATAGTTTATTCAAACTGTAAGAAAACAACACTTCCAAAAATTAGACAAAAAGGATAAGCAGACAAAAAAGGGTTAAACATAAAGTTACCACATGACCCAGAAATTCCACTGGTAAATATACTCAAGAAAACTGAAAACATATGTCTACACAGGAACCTGCATACAAATATTTATAGCAGCATCATTCACAATAGCCAAAAAGTAAAAGCAACCCAAATGCATATCAATTGGTGAATGGATAAATACCATGTAGCACATATCCACACAATGGCACAATTATTTAACAATGTAAAGAAACAAAGTACTGATATATGCTACTACATGAATGAATTTTCAGAACGTGATGCTATGCCAAAGAAGCCAGCCATAAAAGATCATATATTGTATGATTCTGTTTTTTTTTTTTTTTTTTTTTTTTTGAGATGGAGTCTCGCTCTGTCACCCAGGCTGGAGTGCAGTGGCACAATCTCAGCTCACTGCAACCTCCACCTGCCAGTTCAAGCAATTTTCCTGCCTCAGCCTCAGCCTCCCAAGTAGCTGGGACTGCAGGTGCACACCACCACGCCCGACCAATTTTTGTATTTTTAGTAGAGACGGGGTTTCACCATATTGGCCAGGCTGGTCTTGAACTCCTGACTTTGTGATCCACCCACCTCGGCCTCCCAAAGTGCTAGGATTATAGGCGTGAGCCACTGCACCCAATGTATGATTCTATTTCTATGAAATGTCCAGAATATGCAAATCTACAGAGACAGACAGCAGATTAATAGTTTCCTAGGGCTGGGGAGGCTGGCCATAAAATGGGGATTGACTGCTGAGTGCAAGGTTTCTTTCTGAGGTGATGAAAATCTAGAATTAAATATTGGTGATGGTTACTGAACTCTGGAAATATGTTAAAAACCACTGTACAATTTAAATGGGTGAATTGTATGGTAACAGTAATGCTATTTTTGAGAAAAGAAAATAGAAATATAACTAGTATATACTACTAGTAATAACTAGTATTAAAAAAATTTCAACCTCACTGGTAATCCAAAAAATGTGAACTAAACTTGCAAGGTACCATTTTCATCTAGCAATTTCGGCAAAATAACTTTTAAACAATAGCAGCCCTGTCAAGGTTGCAAAGAAACCACTACTCTCCCATACAGCCATAGGTAGAGAAAGTTAGTAGAGGCCGGGCACGGTGGCTCATGCCTATAATCCCAGCATTTTCGGAGGCCAAGCTCTCGAATCACCTGAGGTCAGGAGTTCAAGACCAGCCTAGCCAACATGATGAAACCCTGTCTCTACTAAAAATACAAAAATTAGCCAGGTGTGGTAGCAGGCACCTGTAATCCCAGCTACTCGAGGCTTAGGCAGGAGAATCACTTGAACCCGGGAGGCGGAGGTTGCAGTGTGCCAAGACTGCGCCATTGCACTCAAGTCTGGGAGACAAGAGCAAAACTCTGGCTCAAAAAAAAAAAAGAGGTTAGTATAACTTGTAGAAAGCAACTGGACACAATACAGAGTAACAAGAATAGTAAAAATATCCTCACTTCTGAGAATTTGTCCTTAGGAAATAATGTGAAGCAAGAGAAAAAGTAACCCAAAGGAAGTTGGCGTGGAAGCATTATTTACAACAGCTTATACACAACAATACGTTCATCGTATCGCAGAGGCCACACACGTGATACCAGCCTGGGCAACACAGAGAGACCTTGTTTCTACAAAAATAAAAAAATTAGTTGGGCATGGTGGTGCGTGCCTGTGGTCCCAGCTACTTGGGAGGCTGAGGTAAGAGGATCGCTTCGGCCTGCGAGGTTAAAGCTGCAGTGAGCCAAGATTGCACCACTGCACTCCAGCCTGGGCGACAGAGCAAAACCCTGCCTCAAAACACAACAAAAAAACACAGACAGGAAATATACAAAAATTAAAATAAGCACTTGCTCTTGCCTGGTATCCAGACTCTCCCAACTCAGTTTTCACTGCGTTGTAACCTCCTACTCCAGGCTCCCAGATAAAGGGCTCAAAGTCAGAAGTGCCTAGAGCAGAAGCACCTGCCTAGCCAGTCAGTTTCTGGACATCTCTTAAGGAAATATTACATCAAGCTATGAACTGTCCCCTTCTGGCTTTGGCCTGAGTGAAAAGGTAGGCCTGAAACGGGAAGGAAAGGAGGAATTGGCCTTTTCTTTATTGTCTCACATTTTAAAGTCAGAAGCACAATCACCTGGCCCTCTGGAGCCACAGCCCCACCTTTCTCAGCAGCAGCACTGAGTGCTTTTCCTAGGACACCTGGTTCCAGTTCAAGACCGGCAGTAACCTGCATCTAATCCAGTTTGGAATCCAACACCTCAGCGACATCACTGCAAATCCCTCCTGCCGGGAGAACATAATCCACTCAAGGCATGGCCAGGCTGCCAGTGAACAGCCCCTTCATGAACACGGGAAGTCTAGGTGGGGCACTGTAATATTTGGGGACCTGGTGTTTCTTCTAGAAACTTTAGCACTAAAACAGCCAATAAAATGTCATGGGTACCCCATAACTTAGCATTAACTTCTTTTCTAAAATAGGGTGTAGAGAAATGAACTGTCAGCAGAAGGTCAAGTTCCACCCTGGCTCTACTCCTGCTCAAGAGAGCCATAACCAGCTGGTTGGCTGATGCATGCAAAGGACAGAGACAGGATTATTTCATCTGCCAACAGCAGGGCTCATATTATGGTATCCAAGGGTGAAGTCATCTTTATTCCCATCACTGCACCACTAGAAGCTCCTTGCAGGGCGGATAACTTTATTTACTGTTGGCACAATGCCGTCATCTGAAGATAAACTAATCAAGGCCATCCTATGCCATTTCTATCTGCTCTAATGTAATTTATTTGGTTAAATTATTTTATATGCTCAATTTTAGGGGTAGTTTATCTGTTATTCCCCTTCGGAAAACAAACTATCAGAGACTATTCGTAGGTGTCCCTGTGACTCTGATATAACAAGGACAACATTAAACAAATATTTGATGCACATAGCTTTCATTTATTCCCATTTTCTTGGCCCCGCCTCTGGGTCTGGAACTAGAGGGCAGAGGAACACCTGGAAAGCTCCTAGGTACTGCCTGGCACATGCTGCTGCTCTCAGCAAGGGCCACTTCTCTAGCCCCAGAAAACCAGGCAAGTCAGGCAGAATGAGCACCGCCCCGGAAGCACACAGAAACAAACCAAGGTCAAACGACCAGGAGTGAACAGAGAAGTCCAGACACGGGGACACCAGGCAAAACGTTGTTCCACTGGCTTCAGCACAAGAAAGGGAAAAGCAAATTCTCCCGAAAAAGTTACTGCATAAACATTCCCCTGAAATTCTTTGACTTTTTTTTTTTTTTTTTTTTTTTTTGAGATGGAGTCTCACTCTGTTCCCCAGGCTAGAGTGCAGTGGTGCGATCTCGGCTCACTGCAACGTCCACCTCCCAGGTTCATGCGATTCTCCTGCCTCAGTCTCCCGAGTAGCTGGTATTACAGGCTCCTGCCACCATGCCTGGCTAATTTTTGTATTTTCAGTGGAGACGGGGTTTCACCTTGTTGGCCAGGCTGGTCTCGAACTCCTGACATCAGGTGATCCGCCCACCTCATCCTCCCAAAATGCTGGGATTACAGGTGTGAGCCACCACACCCGGCCTCTTTAACATTTTTAATGAAACAGTATGTTTATAATATTCCAGATTTTAACCTAAATATCTGAAATTGTCCGAGGTTAGGAAAGATTCCACAGCCAGGTGACACAGGAACAGATAAGGGCAAGAGAGCTGACATTTACTGCATGCTGACAATGTGCTGGGAGGCACATGAGTTAACCCACCTCACCTCACAGCAGCCTCATGGCAACTAGGACTGCGGTTTTACAGACGAGGATCCTGAGATACAGAGAGGCTGAGCAACTGCCCAAAGTCCCACAGCTAAAGGGGGCAAGGCCAGGGTCCCAACACTGGCAGTCACTCACCCGCAGTGCTCTGCAGCCTCCCACAGCTTCTGTCAGCTCCCTCGAGGGGAAGCCAGGTCAGTCCTCGTTCTGAAGTGTCACTGCCCTTCAGGAACCCAACAACTCAGAACATCCCAGAACATCACTGAACATCCCCACTACTAGAGAAACTCAGAGAACGGCACTCCCTCAGAAGCACAATTATGAAAAGTCACTGGTCACGACACTCCTAACTGTCTCCAAAAACCCTCCCCAAATTTTACTCTTGCTAGTGAATAAAGTTAAACGCCAGGACTAATAAATAAAAGGCCCACAGGCCCCAGCGAGCAGAAGTTTCTTCACTACAGAATGGCGGGGAAGTGACAGGGCACCATGGAGAGGCCACCTCTGCCCAGCGGAGCAAACAGGAACAGCGTGTGTGATTTCCTACCTGGCAGGGCTGATCCCAAAATAAAGCCCTATTTGCCTTGGATTGCTCAAGGCTTTGATCAGATTCCATCCCCTTTTCTGTTTTCAATTCAACATAATTCTTACTGAGTTCAAAATTAAGTCAATTAAGTTCAACATTTAAAAAAAGAAAAAGGCCAATCAAGTATCTCTTGCATAACACACAACTATCTTGCCACATAAAAACCTGCAAACTTTCCACCAAGCCCATTGGTCACCTAAGGAAGGTTATTCTCCTCGCTAGCCTTCTGCTTAATCAACAGTTAGTTTCTTGAGTACTTACTACAGTCAAAACAGATGTTGGGTTCATTCAATCTCTCTCATTGCTAATATCTCAGCTTGCTGAAATCTGGGGAGGTCCAAACTGGTTTTCCAAAAAAGAAAACGCCAGAGCCAGAAATTTGAAAATCAGAGCCAGAAATTTGAAAATCGTGTACCTACGCTGAGATTTAACCTTAGGCTAAAGAAGCTGCTTCCCAAATGCTACCAAAAGCTAAAGCTTACTTGGTCAAATAAAACATATTTATTGACTTTTTTTTTTAAGTGCAGTGGTACAATCATAGCTCACTGCAACCTCGAACTTCTGGGCTCAAGCAATCCTCCCACCTAAGCCTCCCAAGTAGCTGGGACTACAGGCACTTGCCACCATGCCTAGCTAGTTTCGTTTCATTTCGTTTCGTTCGCTTCTTTCTTTCTTCCTTTCTTTCTTTTTTTTCTTTTGTTTCTCTCTCTCTCCTTCCCTCCCTTCCTCCCTCCCTCCTTTCTCTTTCTCTTTCTCTCTCTCTCTCTTTCTCTCTTCCTTTCTTTCTTCATTTGTAGAGACAAGGTCTCACTCTGTTGACCAGGCTGATCTTAAACTTCTGGCCTCAGGTGATCCTCCTGTCTCGGCCTCTCAAAGTGCTGGGATTACAGGCATGAGCCATCACACCCAGCCTTATTGAGCACTTTCTCTAAGTAAGAGTGTGGAGAAATGTCATGCTTTTTCTTTGTTTGCAGCAGCCTGGGAGAATAAAGTGAGCCAGCACTAAGCTAGGTGTCGTGTGAGTGGAGTTCTAAAACTAGTTTTGGCCTAACTTTCTGTGTGCCTGGGCTCTCCCTTTCTAGACCTCAAGTTTCTTCTCAAAATCCAACATCTTATGATCACCATTTCCCCAAAATCAAAGAAAAGGATTTCTTTTAAATCCTACGACTATACAAGCCTCCTTGATGTTCCTGCTGAAGAACCCAGCACTGAATGGGGTGTTGTGAGTGAACATAACAGAAGTGTATTCAGATCTACCAATTCCTACATCACTACAGACACATGTAACACATGAGCCTCCTTTCTCCCAGCCGGGAGAAGACGGCTCCAAAGTGACAGGGCTGGACAACAGTGGAGAGTAAGCAGCAAGATAGGGCCCTAAGTGGCCAGGGCTGTGTAGTCAGCTGGAACAACTCAGATGGGATAAGCAGACTTCTCGACTGCCAAGCACGGTCCATCAAGGAGGCAGACAGTGGAAATAATGGAGGTTTTTAAAGGAGCCTGGATGATCATTCCTTTAAAGATCATATCGTAAATTCTGAATAACAACAACAAATTCTCTTCTCATAGCAACCTTCTGATAGAACATAATTCTGGCAAGACAGACATGTATCTTCCTGAATTCCCAGATATCTTAAACCATGGCTTATAATCCATTCTGGTTGAGGCCAGGTCAAATGTTATTCCCATCACTCTCTCCACCTCTCCTGCTGTGATTCTCACTCTAATCTCCCTGCCTCCTAAAAAGGCAATTCTGATGCATATCATATGCACCAACACATGACAATATGATTTATGAAAAAAAGTTACTTCCTGTCTGTTCATTTATAAAGTAACAAAAGCTAGGGAGACTTTGGCAGTCTCTCTCTATTCTAATCTTTACAAAAACAAGGAGCCCAGAAAATTGCTGGAAAACAAGACCTCCAATCATTTTCAAAGTCTCATAGGATTTCTAATCATTTCAAACACTCTTGTAGGGTACATCTCTGGGTCTGAAGGGGTCAATAGCAGTGTCCTTGGTGAGAACTCCAGGAAACACTGCCAGCAACAGCAACTGCTAGGAGCTATTGTTATTAATAAAAATAAGTGACATTTACCAAGAATCCAATATGTTCACGAATCTGGGCTAAGTGCCTTTATTCACAAGACCTTATGTAATCCTCACAAAAGCTTCATGAAGTAGGAACTATGATTATGTTCTTTTTATGGACGGAAAAAATCGAGGCTGAGAGGTGAAGAAACTTAGTAAAGAGTAGAACCCAAAGATGAGAATCTGAAACAGGCATGTTGCCTCCACCTCCCTGGCCCCATCCAGCCTCCAGCCTCCAACCTCCTCTGTCTGAGGCTGCGAGCTTAGAACCCCGAGCTCACTCGTTCTCTGCTCAGAGGCCCTCTTGTCAGCTGCTCGTTTCCATCACCCACACCACAGGCGAAGCACTGAAGGCTGAGACCATCCCTGATGGTCTCCGGGGATACCCGATGTACTCAGCTCGGTCTACTTCGGTCCACGTCCCCAGCACCTTTGCCATATCTGTCAAGGTAAGGCCTCCCAAGCCCCAGATGAACAGGTCTTGGCACAGAGTCCATACAAGTACAAATGAAGCTCAACCCATTTTATTAGGAAGACAGGGGTGGCTGGCCAGCTTCAGGGTGCTGAAGGTATGAACAGATGCACACTGTCATTTCTGCTCAGAGGATGCTAAAATGCTTCACAAACACTGAACCATCTATTTTTCTTTCTTTCTTTCTTTCTTTTTTTTATGAGATGGAGTTTTGCTCAATGGCCCAGGCTAGAGTGAAGTGGTGCAATCTTGGCTCACTGCAACCTCCATCTCCTGGGTTCAAGCAATTCTGCCTCAACCTCCCAAGTAGCTGATTATAGATGCCCGCCACCATGCCCAGCTAATTTTTGTATTTTAAGTAGAGATGGGGTTTCACCATGTTGGCCAGGCTGGTCTCAAACTCCTGACCTCAGAAGATCCACCTGCCTCAGCCTCCCAAAGTGCTAGGATTACAGGTGTGAGCCACCACGCTGGCCCAACCATCTATTTTTCATAAGCTACAGCAATCACTACCACACTCTCCTTAGCTTTAAGGAGTACAAGTAAAGCTTTGCACACAGAGACAGACAAGTTGAAAGCTTCCTAGAGATTAATCTCAGTTGTCCACTATCTGATTTGAGGGAAAAAGTTATCAGGAACAAACACGTGGTCCTCACTTACCCTTTCTATCTCTTGGAGATACAGGAGTGCGATGTCCCCTGCTTTCTCATAACAGGTGATGACATCCTGTTCCCGGTCCACATGGAGATTACTGGTAGAAGAAGAAATAGGCAGCTTCTCCAAACAAAGTCCTTAAAAAAATATCAGACACAAAAACTGAGTGAATTTTTTTTCATAAGGCTTCATTTTTAAATATTGCTCTAGAGGGCCAGAAGATGGCTGTAGAATATCATGTTGTTTGCAAATAGACAGTTTACTTCCTCCTTTTCAATCTGGATGCTTTTTATTTCTATTGATTGCCTTATTGCACTGGCAGGAATCTCCAGTACCATGCTGAATAGAAGGGGTGACAGCAACCGCCAGCTGTGGTGGCACCTACCTGTGATCCCAGCTACTTGGGAGGCTGAGGTAGGAGGATCACTTGAGCCCAGGAGTTTGAGACTGCAGTGAGCCATGACTGCACCACTGCACTCCAGCCTGGGCAATAGATGGAGACCCTGTCTCCCAAAAAAAAAAAAAAAAAAGAAGAAGAAGAAGAAGAAGTGGTGAGAATAAATATCCCTATCTTATTCCTGATATTAGGGAGAAAGCATTCAGTCAGAAAGCATTAAGTTTGAGATTATAAGTTTTTCTTAGACGCCCTTTACCAGGTTGAAGAAGGTGCCTTCTACACCAGTTTTGCTGAGAGTTTCTATTAAGAATCAATGTTGGATTTGCTCAAATCCTTTCTCCATGTTCATTGAGATAATCATATAGCTTTTTTGCTTTTAGTTTTTAAATGTGGTTACATCGACTGATCATCAAATGTTAAACCAACCTTCCTTTCCCAGCAAAAATACCACTTGGCCAGATGAATTATCCTTTTTTATATTTTTGGATTTGATTTGTTAAAATTTGCCTTCAATTTTTGTTTTTCTTTTTTTTTTTTTTGGAGATGTAGTCTCGCTCTGTCACCCAGGCTGGAGTGCAGCAGTGCGACCTCGGCTCACTGCAATGTCCACCTCCTGAGTTCAAGAGATTCTTCTGTCTCAGCCTCCCAGGTAGCTGGGACTACGGGCGCATTCCACCACACCTGGCCAATTTTTTTTTTTAGTAGAGATGGGGTTTCACCATGTTGGCCAGTCTGGTCTCGAACTCCTGACCTCAGGTGATCTGCCCGACTCAGCCTCCCAAAGTGCCGGGATTACAGGTGTGAGCCACTGTGCCTGGCCTCAAATTTTGTCATTTATGTTTCTGAGGAATATTTGCCTAAAGTTTCCTTCAAATGCCTCCATATCTGGTTTTGATATTAGGTAAATACCAACCTCATAAAATGAGAAATATTCCCTCTCTTTCGATTTTCTGAGAGTGTTTGTGTAGAGTTGATATTATTTTGTCCTTAAATGTTTGATAGAATTCACCAGTAAAGCCATCTGGACCTGGAGTTTTCTTTATGAGCAGCTTTTCAATTACAAATTCTATTTCTTCGATATAGGGTCATTCAGATTGTCTCTTTCTTCTTGAGTAAGCTTTAGTAGTTTATATCTTCCAAATAGTTTGTCCATTTCTTTTGAGTTGTCAAATTTATTGGTATAGAGCTGTCCATAATATTCTATAATCCTTTAGTACCTGTAGAATCTTTAGTAGATGGCACCTCTCTCATTCCTGATAATTGGCAATTTCTATCTTTTCTTCCTGATATCAGAGGTTTATCAATTTTACTGAAATTCTCAGTAAAGATTCCTTGATTTCATTGACTTTGGTTTCATTGATTTTTCTCTATCCTTCTTCTGTTTTCGATTTCATTTATTTCCACTCTGATCTTTATTATGTCCTTTCTTCTGAATACATTGGGCTTTATTTGCACTTCCTATTCTAGTTTCTTGAGGTGGAAATTATTAATTTTGGACCTTTTTATTTACTAATATAGGTATTTAGTGTCAGCAATTTCTCCGTAAGGTCTGCTTTAGCAGCATCCTACAAATTTTGATATTCAGTTCACAATATTTTCTAATTTAACTTTTGCTTTCTTCTTTAGAAGTGTATTATTTAGTTTCCAAATATTTGGGAGTTTTCCAAAGGTCTTTCTTTTACTGATTTCCAAGTTAATTCCATCATGATCTGTGCAGTAAAGGGCTGACTTAGAGCCTTGGGATGTTCAAACCCTGTACATTCCAAAGGAAGGACTGGCCCTTACCAGTTCCTGGGAGAAAAACTCTTAAGCCCTCAGAATATCCTACCTGACAAGTGTCTTTGTTTATTTGGAGCCTTGAGCCATACCAGATAGTTTATGCTAACAATGTTATTAATGGCAGAGGACTAGGGCCATGCTATATCAGTCTGATCTCTGCAGGGGCTGGAGACTGACTAAGGTCAGTAACATGGGTGCTCCATGCCTATGTGACTGACCCCTAACAAAATCCCTAGGCACCAAGGTAGCTCAGGTAATCTTCCTTGATTGGCAATATTTCAAAAGTACTGTCACACTCCGTTGCAGGGAGAATTAAGCACTGTCTATAGGACTCGACTGGGAGAAGAAAACCAGAAGCTTGAGCCTGGTCTCTCCTGAATTCTGCCCTATGTGCCTTTTTGCTTTTACTGATTGTAATCTGTATCCATTTGCTGTAATAAACTGTAACCATGAGTATAACAGCTTTTCTAAGCTATGGGAGTCTTTCCAGTATATCAATGCCTGATGGTAGTCTTCAGGACCTCTGACACAGTCCAGAGAACACACCCGAAGTCTCCTAATTTTGTTAAAACTTGTTTCTGACCCTGTATATGGTCAATCTTGGTAAATGTTACATTTGAAAAGAATGTGACTCTGTTGTTGTTGGGTGGAATGTCATATAAATGTCGATTAGGTCAAGTTGGTATATTGTGTTGTCCCAAGGCATCTATATCCTTACCAATCATCTGTCCACTTGTTTTATCATTTATTGAAACATGGATATTGCAATCCCCAAGCATAACTGTGCATTTGCCTATTTCTCCTTGAAGTGCTATCAGTTTTTGTTTCATGTATTTTAGAACTCTGTTATTAAGATCATAAACCTTTGGAATTGTTATATTCTTTTGATGGATTGACATCATTGCTCTAAAACCTGCTTCGTCTGATATTAATATAGATACTACAGCCTTGAATTGATTAGTGTTAGCATTTAAATTTTTTCATCCCTTTACTTTTAATCTTTACTTTTAATCATCCCTTTACTTTTAATCTATACTTTTAATCTATTGTGTCTTGGTATTTAAAGTGTATTTCTTGTAGACAACAGAGTTGAGTTTTGCTTATTTTTTCCAATCTGACAATCTCTAACTTTTAAATAGGGTATTTAAATCATTTATATTTAATGTAATTTTTTAAACAGATAGGTTTAAATCTACCACTTTGCTGTTTGTTTTTTATTTGTCCCATCTGTTCTATTTTTCCTTTTTCTCCTTTTTTTCTGTCATCTATTTGAGTATTTTTACATTTTATTTTACTTATTGGCTTAGTCACTAAAATTTTTATTTTCCATATCAGTGATTGCTTCAAGGTTTAATTTGGCATAGTCTACTTTGTTTTGTTTGTTTGGGACAGAGTCTCACTCTGTTGCCCAGGCTGGAGTACAGTGGCGCGATCTTGGCTCACTGCAACCTCCACCTCCTGGGTTCAAGCGATTCTCGTGCCTCAGCCTCCCAGTAGCTGGGACTACAGGTGCACACCACCACACATGGCTAATTTTTTTTTTTTAGTAGAGACAGGGTTTCACAATGTTGGCCAGTCTGGTCTCGAACTCCTGACCTCAAGTGATCTGCCCATGTTGGCCTCCCAAAGTGCTGGGATTACAGGCTTGAGCCACCATGCCCAGCTCCTACTTTAAATGATATTATACTACTTCACATATATATAGTATAAGACCTTTACAATTACATACTTCCATTTCTCCCCTCCCAGCCTTTATTATCTTATGTACATTTTACTTTTACACAGGTTAAAAACCTTACCCTATGTGGTTATTATTTTTGTTTAGTCATTTTTTTAACATTTAGATCATAAGGAAAAATTCTTGTATATTCACCAAATTATAATTTCCAGCTCTCTTTGTTCTCTTGTGTAAATTCATATTTCCTCCTGGTATCAACATTTCTTGTAGGGTAGTTCTGCTCCTGCTGATTTCTTTCAGCTACTATCTGCCTTGAAAATACTTAATTTAGCTCTAATTTTAGAGAGAAATTTCATGGAGTATGGAATTCAGGTTAACAGTTTGCTTTTTTCCCCCTCCATTACTCTCAAAGGTGCTGCTTCACCGTATTCTCACTTGCATGGTTTCTGACAATAATTCTGCTATCACCCTTACGTTTGTTCATTTGTATATAATATGTCTTTTTTCCTGGCTGCTTTTAAGATTTTATCTTTATCACTGGTTGTGAGTAATTTAGATTATGAAGTGCTTGGGCTTTGTTGAGCTTCCTGGAACTGATGGTTTATAGTTTCCATAAAATTTGAAAAACATCCAGCCATTTTATCTTCAAAAATGTTTATGTCACCCTCCTCCTTCCTTAGGGGACTTTACGCACATATTAGGCCATGTGAAGTTGTCCTACAGATCACTTATGGTCTTTCCACTTAAAATATAATAATTTTTCTTTTTTTTTTTTTTTTTTTTGAGACAGAGTTTCGCTCTTGTTGCCCAGGCTGAAGTGCAATGGCGCAATCTCAGCTCACTGCAACCTCCACCTCCCAGGTTCAAGTGATTCTCCTGCTTCAGCCTCCCGAGTAGCTGGGATTGCAGGCATGCACCACCACGCCTGGCTAATTTTGTATTTTTAGCAGAGATGGGGTTTCTCCATGTTGGTCAGGCTGGTCTCGAACTCCTGACCTCAGGCAATCCACCTGCCTCGGCCTCCCAAAGTGCTGGGATTACAGGCATGAGCCACCGCACCTGGCCAATAATAATAATTTTTCTTTCTTTCATTTTGGATAATTTCTATTGCTATGTCTTCAAGTTCACTAATCTTTTCTTTTGCAATGTCTAATCTGCCATTAATCACATCCAGTGTACTTTTCATATCAGACATGGTAGTTTTCATCTCTAGAAATTTGATGTAGGTCTATTTTTACCATCCACGTCTTTACTAAACTTTCTGAAATAAGGAATACGGTTCTAATAACTTTCAATGGCCCTCCAGCCTAGGTTCTCAATATTCATTTTCTTTCCAGTTAGCACCAATGTTGTTTATGCAATTGAAAATAATCAATAAGTAGCCTCTCTCTAGTGTGAACTGTTATAACCTCTTGACATTTTCATTGGAAGAGAATATAAATAAAATGAACAAATTCACCATTTGCCAGAATAGTTCCAAAGCTACTCAAAAGCAAATCGCAGATTTGGAAGCATTACCTTCCCAAATATGCTTTAAGTGCTCACTTGCGCAAAATTAAAACCACCAAAAACAACACAAAGAGATAGATCATTTCATAGTCTGCCTTCTGCTTATATGAAAAGCAAGAATACTGTGCAAGTTGATATCAGGGATTTAATATTTAAAAAACTAATTCCCCAGAGTATGTCAAAGGGTCAGGAAAAATTGAGTGTACTTTTAGGCATTTTGTACTGCTTCAGGCTGGACTCTGACCACTAATGCTCATGAAAATGACCAAGGCTCTCAGAGACCTGCCAAGCCAGTGAATCAAAGAAAGGCCAAATCCAGTTCAACATAATTTTACTATCATCTATATTTTATCATGTTCTTAAAATACTTGAAAACCAATCATCTAGGGCAGCAATCCACAGTCATGTATGGTCAGTAAGAAGATTCAAACCAGCTACACAACTTAATCCTCCACAGTGAGGAGAAACTAGTGTTTCCTGTGGGTTCATGTTCTAATTAGGCAGGTATGTGGACACTCAAAGTCTCAGCTGGCAAATTGATTCCTAGCAATAAGTCCATTCTTGAGCAGAAGGCCCTTTAAGGTATTAAATTAATTAAGTATTGTTCCTTTCCCTCTCCCACATGCTATGGCATTTATTCCATGTACACATTTATTCCATGGACACATCTCAGAGCAATGGCAGAGTCTTGATTTATCACAGTGAGTTTGTGCCTATGCAGCTCAGTTCCAGAAAATTTAGCTCTCTGTCAGAAGCTATTTACAGGCCCTCTGGACTGGTCTATAAATTTTCGAGTGTCCAGGATCATATCAACACTGTCTGAGAAGCAGAGTCCTGAGGTCATGGACAAAATTGGTCCCCATTAAAATGTCAGATGATGTACTGTCAATTTGGGAAGCTATCATCAATAATGTTTTTACTTATTTTCTTTTTTCCAGAGACATGCCTGACAAAAATAAGTGAAAAGCAGACTTGAAAAACAGTGGTATGACAGCAATGCCTAGTAAACATCTCAATAAGATCTACATCTCCAAAGTTAAAGTGATGTACAAAAAGGGTGGAAATTCAGTGCTTTCTCACCAACCATGACCAGCTGTAAAGCATGAGTGCTAAAAGTGGCTGACTGAGTTGTGTGATTTAAAGAACAATGAATTGCCACGCAACCCAAAATTTATCTCCCTGCCACACAAGAGCGCTCCCACAGATAAACTCACTTCTGAAATGCCCTTTCTAAGAAGAGTAACACCTTTTACTTTATTTTTAAGAGATAGGGTTTTACTCTGTCTACCAGGCTGCAGTACAGTGGCATAATCACAGCTCACTGCAGCCTTGAATTCCTGGGCTCAAAGCAATCCTCCCGCCTCAGCCTCCTGAGTAGCTGGGACTACAGGTGCATGCCACCACACCTTGCTAATTTCTTTTTATTTATTTTTTTATTTTTTATTTTTTATTTTTATTTTTTGTAGAGACAGTGTCTCACTGTGTTGTCCAAGCTGGTCTCAAACTCCTGACCTCAAGAGATGCTCCTGCCTTGGCCTCCCAAAGTGTTGGGATTATAGACATGAGCCACTGGCCCCAGCCTAGGTAACACATTTTAAATAAATTAATGATGATAAAATTATAATTACACTTGCTTTCAAACCCCTTCCATGTGCCTGTTTGGTCCTGTTCAATAGGTACTATTCTCCTCTCTATCTCGTGGGAAAAGAATAAGAGTCTCAGAAAAGTTAAGTGACTTGCCCAAGGTCCATGCAGGAGTCAGAAGTGGAAGCCCCTTATAAGGGAGCCCATTAGCTGGGGCCAATGCATCTGCTCTGGGTAATGT
Source organism: Homo sapiens (assembly GCF_000001405.40). Taxonomy (NCBI): domain Eukaryota; kingdom Metazoa; phylum Chordata; class Mammalia; order Primates; family Hominidae; genus Homo; species Homo sapiens. Next base: position 90,751,974 of record NC_000014.9, read on the forward strand.
CCTAGAGGGGCAACAAGGACTGCTGAGTGCACAGGGTGGAGTGTGGAAAGCAAAGGTGCTAGACAGAAGCCAGCAGACCAATGGGACATCACACGGGGAGGGGTGCTGGGCAGCTAGCTGAGTAGCAGGCTGAGGACCCTCTATACTTTTAAAAGCTCAAACATGCCCAGCCTCTGAACTGTTCTATGTAGATGTAACTAACAGAATATAGTATAACAAACCGGACTCTCCACTCCTTGCTTCCTTTCACATCAAGATTAAGGGTCAGGTGCAGTGGCTCATGCCTGTAATCTTAGCACTTTGGGAGGCCAAGGTGGGAGCATTGCTTGAGCCCAAGAGTTCGAGACCAGCCTGCCTAACATAGTGAGACCCCATCTCTACAAAAAATTTAATTTAAAAAAAGAAAGATTCAGGCTCAATACCTCTGACAGGGAGCTATTTTCTCTCCCCAAGGCCTGTAGATTCTCTGGAAGTTTGGCTGAGGACGTGGAGAAAGCTACACATCTCATTGCCTGAAAATTCAGTGATCACTGAGGGGTTAGCACCCCAAATTCTTTCAGGTCTGTCTAGATTTGAGATCCCTCAGCTAGGAGCCTTATCTGGGTATGTAAGACTTCAGTTTCAATAATAATAAAGGTTGATTTATCAAAGCCCTACTCAGCACCCAGCACTATGCCTGGGATATGACAGGCACTATTTCTAATTCCCACAGCCACCCTGAGAGGAAGGTGTTAACACCACCTTATAGATAAGACTGAATTAAGGGCTCCACAGCTAGTAAATGATAAAGCCAGGTTCCGACCCCTGGTCTATCTGACTACAAAGTGTTGCTCACAATCTCCTGTCTCACTGAGCTGTTGACAGCAGCCTATTCAGTGTTCAATAACAGCAATGACAACAAAAATGAATTTCAAATTGAAAAGGCAAGAAATCAAAGTCTAGAACTTTAGGGTGCTGATTTTCTTTCCTACCAAGAACTGCATCACCCTAGGCAATTCCCCAGATCGCTGGGCCTCCTATTCTTTGTCTGTGTCATGAAGAGTTGAACTACTGAGATACTGCCTTGAGCTGTACAAGTCTAAGAGACTAACAGCTAAAACAAATATTTTGATTTTTTTGAACTGCATTGAAATGGACAGGAAATTAATTTCTTATAAAGCTATGTAATGCAAGAAAAGACTATAAAATATAATGACATGAACTATGTACTATAACTCTAAGCACTGCTTCCTCATTTATCTCAACCACATCTCTGGAAGCCAGGCCTGGGACAGGTACACCCTGATGCTTTGCCATAACATGACCCACAGGGGTGTTTATAACTGAAAGTACCAGAAAGCCTTTATTATAATGGTAAGTTTCTGACAACCCAGCCCCATGGTATAGCCTTCAAAGGTGATAAGACAACGTCCAAGGGTCTCAATTTCCAAGGCTGAAAAGAGACTCAAGAAAAGAGATTCAAGAGACACAAAGCAAAGCCTTGGCAAGGGCAGCCCCGATGGCTGGTCTTGTGTTCTTGCCTCTATAAAGGCTGGGCTCCCACAGGTGTCAGATAGACTTAGCTCAATAGGAGGACAAGGCCCTGTGCAGGGGTGTAGAGGGGAGGAGAAGATGCCAATGGAAACCACCAAGTGCTGGGGGGAAGCAGAGGGACAGGGACGCCGGCCTGGATCCCCTGTGAGGTCCCTGTCAATCCAGAGCATCTATGATTTAGGAAAGTCTCTTGGCTGGGAGCCACAGTTGGTCCCTTCTGAGTGCTTTCCTGAATTGCTGTTTTCCTGCCAGAGACAGCATATCCTTCTTAGGAGGTGTGCTCACAGGTACACACACAAACACACACACATCCCTCATAAAAGAAGAGGATGCCAGCCTTGGATTAGACATTCCCCTGCTAGAGCAGATGGTCTTTCAATGTCCCTTCCAGCTCCACAATTCTGTGAGCAAATGAGATGCTAGCTCAACCTGAAATGCTCACTAACTGAGAGTTTGCAACTTGAATTTATGCTCTTTCAGTCTCTATTTAGTAACCCTATAATAGTAATAAAGATAACATGTATTGGGTGCTAGTTACATGTCAGATACTGTTCTCAGAGTTTGTGATAATTCATCTATAAATGCTATGAGGGAACCCTGTGTGAAAACCCTACGAGGGGGGATTTACTAAAATCTCCACATTGGAGATAAGGAAACTAGGGCTCTAGTCTGTCAAGTAACTCACCCAAGAGTGTACAACTGGTAAGTAAGTGGCAGAGCTAGGATTCCAACCCAGACAGCCTAACTCCTGAGTTCTCGTTCTCAGCCTCTACCTCACACTCTCGTCTCTATGATGTATCTGTCTTTATACGTAAAGCAGTACAGCAGAGTAGCTAAGACTGTGGGATCTGAAGCCAGACTCCTTGCTTTCTAATCCACAGCTGATTTTATATGCAAAAATGCTAAGTGTTTAGAACAGTGCCTGGCATATAGCAGACACACAGAAAACAGTAACTCTGATTATTATTATTTATTACCTCACTATTAGATTTAGGCAACAGTAGGCTGGAAAGTCTCCAAGTAGAAGAATTGTATTTGTTTATTATATTACTTTTGTATATATTAAATAACAGCTTGATTGAGATATTATTCACATACCATAAAATTCACCCATTAAAAGTGTACAGTTCGGTGGTTTTAGTATGTTCACATAGTCGCCACTAGCTAATTCCAGAACATTTTCATCACCCCTTGAAAAGCCCCATCTCTATCAGCAGTTCCTCCCTATTCTACCCTTCTCCCAGCCCCCGGGAACCGCCAATCTGCTTTCTGTCTGTCTGTATTTGCCTCTTCTGGATGGTTCACAGAAATGAAATTGTAAGGTATGTGATCTTTCATATGTGGCTTCTTTGACTTAGCATAATGTTTTCAAGATTCATAGCTGTTATAACAAATATCAGAACTTCATCCTTTTTTTTCAATTGAGGTGAAATTCACATAACATAAAATTAATCATTTTAAACTGATCACTTCAGTAGCATTTAGCACATTCACAGTTATTACACAACCATGCCCTCTGTCTAACTCAAAACCTTCCTTCCTTTCTATTGCCGAATAATATTCCATTATACGGATACACCACTTTCTATTTACGCATTCATCAGCTGATGAACAATGGGGCTGTCTCCACTTTGGGGATGTATGAAGAATGCTGCTATGAGCATTGAGGTATTGGCTCTTGTGTGGGCACACATTTCCACTTCTCTTAGATATACACCTAGGGACGGAATTAGACATATACCTAGGGTGGACCACGTGGTAACCTGTCTTGTTATATTATTTTTCATCTTTCTTCTAAAAATCACCTCTACTATGTAACTGCTGAACTGCTGGGTCAAATATTAAGAGTGACAATGCAGAGCTGGGCACAGTGGCTCATGCCTGTAACCCTAGTGTTCTGGGAGGTCAAGGCAAGAGGATTACTTGGGGCCAGGAGTTTGAGACCAGCCTGGGCAACATAGTGAGACCTCATCTTTAAAAGAAATAATAATTTTTTGTTTGTATTAGCTGTGCATGGTAGTGCACACATGTAGTCCCAGCTACTCAAGAGGCTGAGATGGGAGGATCACTTGAGCCCAGGAGTTCAAGATTACAGTGAGCCATGATCACGCCACTGCACTCCAGCCTGGGCAAAAGGGCAAGACCCTGTCACTAAAAAAAACAAAAAAACAAACAAACAAAAAAAAAAAACAAGAAAATGTCTGGGCTTCTGACAGACCTGGATGCAAACCCTTGCTTCTCCATTTACCAGCTCTGTGATTTGCAGCAAGCTGCTTAACATCACACAGACTCTGTTCCTCATCAAGCGAATGAGCAAAATAGCACTTGTTTCAACTGACTGTTAGAAGGCTCGGCCCAGTGCCTGGCATGCAGTAAATACTCAATAAGTACTCTTCTCATTATATGTCTTTCCTGGGACAATGATAATCCTCCTCAATTTGTTTTGAGGGGTAGCTGAAAAATGCAGAAAAGCATCAAGAAGACAATAACAACCACCCATATTCCCACCGTTCAAAATCAAACACAGTTCACATTTTGGCACAGAGCCACAACCTTACTAACACATGATGCCTTGTAATTTTGGTCTTGGTTCTAGTTTCCTTCCTAAGAAGAGGGGACTCATCACTGGTGTGATGAGTAAGTGTAGCCTCTGAGGTCCCCAACTATAGCAAGGAGTGAGAGCAGCCAGTGAACAGGAGTCCTGTGCTTGCTCCATTCCACAAATTCTCACTAGGCACCAACTGCGGGCAGCACTCTGGGCTAGGGGTGGGCTTCACAGAACAGGACTCTGCCCTTAAGAAATCTCTTTGTCCTTGAGAAATTTCACCTCTAGTGGAAGAGAAAGATGTTTTATTTTATTTTCTTCTTTTTTTTTTTGTTTTTTTTTTTTGTTTTTTTGTTTTTTTGAGACAGTTTCAGTCTTGTCACCTAGGCTGGAGTGCAATGGCGCGATCTCGGCTCACTGCAACTTCCGCCTTCTGGGTTCAAGCGATTCTCCTGCCTCAGCCTCCCGAGTAGCTGGGACTACAGGCGTGCGCCACCACACCCAGCTAATTTTTTGTATTTTTAGTAGAAACGGGGTTTCACCATGTTAGCCAGGCTGGTCTCAAACTCCTGACCTCAGGTGATCTGCCTGCCTCGGCCTCCCAAAGTGCTGGGATTACAGGTGTGAGCCACCGCGCCTGGCCGAGAAATGTTTTCAAAACAATGTTAAAAATGCAGTGACTGAGACAGACATGGTGTCACAGAAGAATTAAGAACAAGCACCTCAGCCAACCTGAACTAAAGCTCCAGCCCTCTGAGCTTCCTCTGGACTCTCTAAGTCCCTGCTTGCTTCCAAAAAGAGAACCAATGAGGAGCCGACTAACACAAGCAACATTAAATATGAATATGGGTCAGTGGCAATAAAAGGGTTCTTACTCTTCTTACACTCTCTAAATATAAACAGGAAGCTTTGACCAGCAACCTGAGATGAGCGGCCACATGCAATACACCCATCTAGCCGCCCACCATGAGCAGAATCCAGAATGGGAAGAGGCAGAAGAGATCATGGAGTCAGAGACAAACAGTTAGCAGAAGGCTTAACGTGGTGGATCTCCACCAGGCATGGCCCCACAGCGCCCCCTCACAACCCCTACTACCACATCTCTGGGTTTCCTACATAGGCAAAAGAAAGCACCCCGGAAAGCTCCCCTGAACCACCCCGTTCCCTCCACTCATGGACTTTTCTATAAAACTACTTGTTTCACTGCACCCGAAGTGATCTCAATGTTTCCAAAAATGAAAAGCAGTCCTGGCGCGGTGGCTCACATCTGTATTCCCAGCACTTTGGGAGGACAAGGTAGGAGTATCATTTGAGCCCAGGAGTTTGGGGCTGCAGGGAGCTATGATCGCACTACTGCACTCCAGCCTGGGTGACAGGGCAGGACCCTGTCTCTAAAAAAAGAAAGAAAGAAAAGAAAAGCAGATTCTCAAGGAAAAAAGATCGAGCTCTATCTTCTCTCCTGTCCTCTCTTTGCAAATGAGGAGATTCAAGCTCAGAGATGATTTGCCCAAGGTCACATGGGCAAATCCTGATCCAATGAGCTTACTACCACAGCAGGTCCACAGCAGTTGCCACACAGCTCCCAACAGACTGGAGACTTTTTCTGCCGGGGAAAAGGCAATGTCAGTGGTCACTTGTCTGTCCTACGGCTCTAGGATGACACCTAGAAGATCATGGTCATTAGCAAATATCCAATTCATAAAGACTGGGATTAGATCTCACTTGAAGACATGAATCTCTCAAGGAACACTCCAGGAAAATCCTCTTTGGGCTTTTATAGTCCTTATGACCAGGAATTTTCGGTCCACGAAAAATATGACGTACTTCAATTCCTGCTAAAGCAGGAAACGCACCTTTACATCCTTTCTCTTTGTAAATACCCACGCATTGAATGTTTAACGTATTAAATGCTGTCAGCTTCTACGAGAGTCTCTATAAATATGGTCTCAGAAAACAATAAAGGGGCACATCGGTGAAGGCTCAGCTGCTGCCTGCGAACAGCCAGGGCCTGTGAGTGTGAACGCCTCCCAGAGAGCTCGGCTTGGTGAGTCCCTAAGAAGGCTCACTAATGCGAGGTTAATCAAGAGAGTTGGCAAGTTTGCCTTTCTTCTCCATCCCTGAACTCGAGTTGAATCGCGGAATCAACCCAAGTACAGGGGCTTCAAATGGTCAGCCGGCCTTGGGGCACCACTGTCCCGGTGGCCGCGGCAGGAACCAGTCCTGCAGTCCTGCGGCGGCACCTGCGCGAGATGCAGGGCACTGGCTCCAGGACGGCGGGGCGGGGCGGGGCGGGGCGCGGCGGGGCGAGAGCGCAAGGAGGGGCGGGGCGAGACGGGGCAAGAGAGTGGGGCGGGGCGGGGTCGGGGACAGCAGTGAGCGGGGCGGGGCGAAACGCGAGGGGAGGGGAGATGGGCGGGGCGGGGCAGGGGGGGCACGGTCCCAAGGCCGACCCGGCCGAGGACGCCCGGAGCAGCTCCGCGCATGCGCAACTGTGGCGCGCGACTGCGCTAGAACGCGGCTCCCGCGACCCCTGGCGGCGGCTGCCGAGGGGCTGCGGGACGACCTTGGGCGGCAGCTAGCAGCGAGTCCTAGCTGATGTGGCCCTGAGTCAGCTTTTAGAGGTCCCAAGACTCGTTCACAGGCCGCTAAACGCAAACTAAGGCACCTCCCAGCACACCAGGATCGACGTGTCCTCCTTCAGTCCGGACTCGGCGGAATCTGCACCTGGGAGCCCCTCCCCAAATGACCTGCTAGCCGCAGTCCAGGAAGCAGGCACCCCTCACTCCCCTTCTCAAATGGGGGCTCTATTCCTGTCTCTAGCTCTGGAGTTGTTGTGAGGATAAAGGGAGGTAAGGGACAAGTGCTTAGAACAGTGTCTAGAAGGAATTATTTTAATGCTGTAGTCATTATTAATAATGTATTATATTTTTACAATTCCAGAACCTGGCACACAGTAGGCACTCAACAAACCGTTCCTCTGTCTGTCTTGAGAGACTGCGGTGGGCCCTGCAGGGCAGCTGCCTGCCTCTGCCTGGTTCGAGGAAGGCCCAGCCAGGCCGGCCCCAGCTTCCTTCCTGCTCTTCTGTCCCACTCCGACCCACTCCGGAGAGCCACGCTCTGAGCCGCACATGACTCTCTCCTTCTCCACAGAACAATCTGTGTTCTGCTCCCGCCCCCGAGAGAGTTCTGAGCTTTCCAAATATGGATGCTTTTTGCATTCCCAAAGCATCACGAACATTTGGGAGAAGAAAATGAACACCAGACATGGTTTGGAAACGATGGAAGCCAAGGGATGGGTGGTGACGGAACAAGCACCGTACTAGGAGTTTTAAAATATAAAACACGAGTCTGGCCTAGGTGATGTCTTACAACCTTACTAGCTTTGTAGCAGTCTAGGCCCCAAAGAGATCCTAGAAGTAAGCACCCAAACCCTAAGAATAAAAACTACAGCGGCCACCACCACACATTGCAGAGGCGAAAACTGCATTAAGGAGGCCCAGAGAGTCACCTGCTGTCAGAGGAAATGAGCAGTGGGAGGCAGTCCCTTGAGAGCCAAACAGCTTGAAAGTTGACAAATTGAGATGAACCAGCTCGTCGGTGAGTGTAGGCAGAAGAGGCATTAGACACAAGAGTATTTGTTTTTATATCAGGCCCAAACCAAAACCTATTCTGAAATGGAGTGGATCTCAGAATATACTGAGAAGTTTGCCCTTTTGCTTAGGCACCTTGTGTGTTATTCAGCTAGAGTTTATCTTCAATAGTGTGCCCCTGGATGCCAGGGCAAAATGTTAAAGAATGGCCCCGTCACAGGCACCCCTGTGCAGCAGGCACTGTTGTCCCTGGCGCACATGCAGGGAGATAAAGCAGGCAGCTTAGATATGACACAGCCTCAACACCCAACCCAGAATAAGCACTCACATATTTGCTGATTTAATGAATTAATTAATTATACAGTCTAGTTTGAGAGAGGCAAATGGCAGATGTGAAATAATTAAAATCTGAATGCCAAATTAGATGGTACTAGCTATAAATAGAGGTGGAATCAGAGGATGGAGAGATTGGTGTGGACAAACGGGGCTGGAGAGGTCTGTATGCAACAACGGGTGTCACCAAGGGCGGACTCAGCACAGGGAAGAGATGACTCCCAGATGGATGGAGAAGATAAACAGAGGTGGGGGGTTGGCCTGGCAGGGGTGAGGGCAGGTGGGCAAGGAGGCAGGCAGCCTGGAGCAGAGGATGGGTGGGACACAGCAGGACATGCAGCCAGCCTGCCAAGACTAGGACATATCCTCCACAGTCTGCAGAGGTGCATGCCATACCTAGACCTGCCAGGGTTAGCAGGAGGACTTGAACTCGAGATTCAAGCAATAAGGGAGAGGATGACTCTTTTTTCGAGATAATTAGCTCCTGATTATCTCAACATGATACATTTAAACCTCACACTGGCTTGTCCTGACACTCAGGCCACTATTTACACTCTTCACCACATTTTAACATCACCTTAACTGAGAATGTAAATCCGGCACAAATGTCCAAATGCTCATGTATTTCAGGCATTGTAAACCCCAGGGGAAAGCTCTGTGTCATCGGCATCCCTCCACCCCTTCACTAGCCCAGAGCCCTGGGGGGCATTGTGCTTATAGGTGGAGCTGTCTTGTTACTTGCTGGGGCCTTGCAGGGCCCAGCCTCTAGCCATGCCCTCCAAATGAGCTTCAGCCACTCCTGGGTTTTAACCAAGTCCTGCACCTATACGCAGACCTATTCCTGAATCCTGACCAACAAGCCAATAGCCTGGAAACCTATATGCTGAGCACTAGCCAAGAATTCCAATGTTTCCCCAGGATAGCACCCTCTTGTGGACAAAGAGATTCCACCATGTTCAACCAATCCAGTATCTTCCCTCTACCCTCCAAGGAAAATGGGCTCCTTCTCCTGAAATCGCCTTTGCAAAAATTGTAACAGTGAGAAAATTATGACAGTGAAAGAAATCTGATCTAACCAACCCCTATCTTGCCATTAACCCCCAAACTATGGTATTCCTGGGCTTAGGTCAAGCTAACTTTAGGAGATATTTAGTTTATAGTTTAAATGATAATAACACTTCCCCAAAACTCAACTGCCAATGAAGGACCACCAGGTTAGGAGGATGAGAGAAGCCTGAATTCTGCTAAGGCATAAGTGATTACCAGCCATTGTTCCAAAGGTCACAAGATTTGCAACTTCCCGAATTACTCCTGCAGATAACATCACTACTGTAGAACCTAAGATTGGCCTTTTGAGGTATCTCTTCAGGTTTTCACATTTCTGACAACCATCACCCCCACCAGATCCACCACAGGGCCATGCCTTGTGGCCCCACCCAGAAGCAGACTCAGCACATGAAGACCATTTTCCACACCCCTATGATTGCATCCCCAACAAATCAGCAGCACCCATTCCCTTGCCTGCCACACTATCCTTGAAAAACTCTAGCCTCCGAATTTTCAGAGATTGATTTGATTAATAACTCCATCACCCATGTGGCACAGCTAGCCTCATGTCAGTTAAACTCTTTATTGCAATGCCCTGGTCTCAGTGAGTTGGTTTTGTCTGTGCAGTGGGCAGGAAGAATGCAATGGGCGATTACACTCCTGCAGTCTTCACTTGGTTTGACAACATCATTACCTGCCCAGTGAGCTAAGCTAAAAATTTCACTGTCATCTGGATTCCTCCCTCAACCACCTTCCCATACCAACTCCCAACACACACAGCCTATCTCTCTGGCCTACTGCTTCTCTTTCAAATGACTCTGGATTCTCACTTGCCTGCCCCTGCCTTGGTTCAGCCCTTTGTACTTGGAATCTAGGCTTTTGCAATACCTCTGATATCTGTCAGGATACAGTTAGGATAATGAAAACATTCTAGTTCTTTCAAATAAAGGGAATTGAATGTATGGAATTGTCTGCATAGGAGATGAAAGAGATAAGAGGCCAAACAGGATGGTTTTGTACCCCAGAATTCTGAAATAGCAGGAAGCCACTAACATCCCTAGGACTGGAAAGAACATGGGGAGGAGGCAGAGTTAAGAGCCCAGAAGCTGGGGCCATAGAGAGCCAAAACCCAGAGGAAGCTCCCTAATGGGCACTAAAACTACAGAGAAAGGTTTCATCTGACAGGAGCTAGGACAACTGAAGAGACACCATTGCTGGCAAAGGTGCTGCCTGAGGCAGAGAGAAATACCCTGGCTTATCTGTCTCTTCCAATTTCCTACCAGTGCCTCTGCTTGACCAAACCCAGGCAGAAACCACTGACTTGGGCACCTGGGAAAAAGCCTGCAGAATTCAGCCCACTGAAATACAGAACAGAGAAAGGGCCCAAATCCAACTAACCCCCTTAACCAGTCTCCTTCGCTAGAATCTTTAATTCTTTCTAATCTATTCTCCACTCTGTGCCAGAAAGATCTTTCTTGCTTAAAAACTTAATTAAGTCATTCCTCCTGCTTAAAACTTGTCAGGGGCTGGCAGTTTCCTGGCAGAAAAAAATAGGACTTATCCACCAGGCTGATTTTGTCAATCAATTGCAAATATAGGAAGTATTGCTTCCCTTGACTATGACATGTATCGGGTTTGCTCTATAATATGAGATGGGCTCCTATTCAAAGTATTGCTGTAGAACAGAATAGAGACTACTCCTCAAAGCCATCACGCCTGAAACTGGGAAATAACTAAAGATAACTACTTTTGGATCAGGGCTGTTTGCCATGACCAAGAGGCTAAGGGCTCCAATGAAAACATACCATACAAAAGAACAGGGAGAGCAAGTAAAGGCTATTAAAATCTATTAAAACAACAGGGTAACTAGAGATTGAATTAGCAATCAAACAATGTCTACAAAGAAAAGCCCAGGGTCAGATGGCTTCCTTGGTGAACTGTACCAAATACTTAAAGAACTACCACCAATTCTTCACAAACTCCTCCAAAAAGCAGAAAAGGAGGGAACACTTCACAACTCATCCTATGACACCAGCGTAACATTGACACTAAAACCAAAGGCATCACAAGAATACCACCAATATCTATTATGAATATAGGTATTAAAATCCCCTACAAAATATTAGCATATGGAACCTAGCAATGCATTAAAAAATCATATACCATGACCAAATGGGATTTAATTCAGGAATGCAAGGTTGGTTTAATATATGAAAATCATTCAACGTAAAATGCAATATTTAAAAAATAAAGCACAAAAATTACACGAACAATGCAATAAAAAAATTAGACAGTGTCTAAACCCTATAATGATAAAAACACTCAACAAACTAGAAATAGAAAAGAGCTTCTTCAAGTTGATAAAGGCTATCTATGAAAACGCCACTGCTAACATCTTAGTGGTGAAAAACTGAAAGCTTTCCCCCTAAAATAAGGATGTCCACTCTGGTCATTTCTAATCAACATTGTACTGGAGATACTATCCAGCACAATTAGGCAATACAAAGCAACAAAGTCATCCAGATTGGAAAGGAAAATGTAAAATTATCTTTATTTGCAAATGCCATGATCTTACATATTTTAAAGCCCTAAAGAATCCACAAAAACAATATAATAGCTAATAAATGAGCTCAGCAGGGTTAAAGGATACAAGATTAATAAACAAAAATGAGCTGTATTTCTATACCTTAGTAATGAGCAATCTGAAATTTAAAAAATAGTTTCACTTATAATAACATAAAAAAGAACTCTTAGAATAAATTTAACAAAAGGAATGTAAGACTTGAATGCCAAAAAAATCTACAAAACATTTTTGAAAGAAATTAAAGAAGATATCCCATGTTCATGGATTGGAAGACCTGATATTGTTAAGAAAGCAATACTTCCCAAATCAATCTACAGATTCAACACAATCCCTACCAAGAATTATTTCTTACACTAATTTACAACCTGACCCTAAAATTTATATGAAATGTAAGCCAAAAAAATCTTGTAAAAGAAGAACAAAGTTAGAAAACACACTCCCCAAACTCAAAACTTACTACAAAGCTACAGTAATAAAGACAGTGTGGTACTGGCATAAGCACAGACATACAGACCAGTGGTACAGACAGAGAGTCCAGAAATAAACACTTACATATATGCTCAACTAATTTTCAACAAGGATGCCAAGACAATTCAATGGAGAAAGAACAGTATTTTCAAAAAATTGGGCTGAAACAACTGAAGATCCACATACAAAAAGAATGAAGTTGGATGCTGACCTCACAAAAATATACAAAAATTAACTCAAAATGGATCAGACACCTAAATTTAAGAGTAAAAACTATAAAACTCATAGAAGAAATCACAAGAGTAAATCTTCATAAACTTGACTAGGCAATGGTTTCTTAGATACAAAACCAAAACAACAAAAATAATAAAAGAAAAAAAAATGAACTGGACTTAATCAAAATGAAAAATGTTTGCATTTCAAAGGACATCACTTAGAAAGTGAAAGACAACCCACAAAATTGTAGAAAATATTTACAAACCATATATCTGTAAAAGAAATTATATTTAGGATATATAAAGAACTACTACAACTCAATAATGGAAAGACAAATAACCCAATTAAAAATGGGCAAAGAATCTGAATAGATATTTCTCCAAAGAAGATATACAAATGGCCAATAAGCACATGAAAAATTGCTTAATACCACTTATCATTAGGGAAATGCAAATAAAAACCACAATGAGATACCATTTCATACACTCTAGGATGGCTATAATCAAAAAGACAGATAACAACAAGTGTTGATGAGGATGTGAAGAAATTAGAACCTTCATGCAGGTGAGCTGCTTTGGAAAACAGCTTGCAGTTCCTCAAAAACTTACACTCAGAGTTACCATGTAATCCAATAATCCCACCCCTAAGTATACATCCAAGATAAATGAAAACCCAAAATGTTTTGGATGGGATTATGTTCACCAAAAAACCTGTACACAAATGTTCATAGCAGCATTATTAATAATAGTCAAATAATAGAAATAACCTGCTGTCCACCAACTGATGAATGGATTAACAAAATATGCAAAATGGTATATCCATACAATGTAATATTCAGTCACAAAAAGAAATGACACATGCAGCAACATATAAGGACCTTTAAAACTTTATGCTAAATGAAAAGAAGCCAGATACAAAAAGTCAAGTGCATGATTTCATTTATACAAAATTTCTAGACTAGGCAAATCTATAGAGACAGGGTATAGATTAGTGGTTGACTAGGGCTATAGAGTTGGGGTGGGGGTTCAGGAAATGGGAAGTGACTGCTAATGGGTAAAGGTTTCTTTTTTGGAGTAATAAAAATTTTCTGAAATTGATTGTGGTGATGGTTGCACAACTCTGAATATACTAAAACCCACTGAATTGTACACTTTAAAGGGTTGAATTGTATGGTATATGAGTTATATATCAATAAATCTGTTATTTAAAAAGCTATAAACAGAATTCCGGGAAGATGGTGGACTATGAAGCACCAGGAATCTATCTTCCCACATAGACAACTATTGTACTGGCACAATCTGTTCAATATAACTATTTTGGAACTCCAGGGTCTCTTGAAGGCTTACAATTTCCAGGGGAAAGCTTGATGGTAAATTGCAGTTAATTTCAGCTTTTAGCATAGTAGAAGCTGTGAACACATTCCTAGAGAAGCAAATATAAAGCTTGCAGGAGCTAGGGTGGGCAAAGAGCACCCTGTCCTCCAAATATTGGGTATCTGTGTTCTGATCACTGACTGCTGCTTCTGATCACAGGGGTGCAGAAAAGAGGCAGTAGCCATTGTTGCTGCACCTCCCTTCATTATTGCAAGCCACCCCACATACACCAACAGAAGTGACATCCAGAGGATTTAAAGGGCCAGTGCCCTTTCCCCCAGCCTCATTTTTCTCTTTCTCCCTTTTGAGGGCCAGACATTCAAGACTAGAGCATTCAAAGGCAACTACATACATGGGGAAAATTAGATGGTTGACCATGCATGCCCATGGAAAGGCACAGACTCAGAGAAGACCTAAGAAGACCTCAAATATATACCCCAGGCTGATCCTTGGCACAAAGACAGCCTACAACGTTTTTTTTTTTTTTTAATAAACAAAAACAGCAAACCCTGAGAATGGGGAGAATCCTATTTCCAGAGTTACCACATTATTAGATTCAAATGTCTATTTTTCAACAACATCAAAAAAAAATCAGAAGGCACACACACAAAAATGGAAAGAGCAGCCTATTCAGAGGAAAAGTATATATCAACTGAAACTGTCCTTGAAAAAGACCTGATGGCAGATCTACCAGACAAAGAAACACCCATTTTAAAGATGCTCAAGAGACTAAAGGAAGATGTGGTGAAAGTCAAGAAAATGATGTATGAACAAAATTGAAATGTCAAAAAGGACATAGAAAACCTAAAAAGAAGCCAATAAGAAATTCTGGACAGGAGGCCTACGTGCCACCTCTTGTACTGCCGCCATGTCTCTAGTGATCCCTGAAAAGTTCCAGCATATTTTGTGAGTACTCAACACCATCATCGATGGGCAGTGGAAAACAGCCTTTACCATCCCTGCCATTAAGGGTGTGGGCCAAAGATATGTTCATGTGGTGTTGAGGAAAGCAGACATTGACTGCACCAAGAGGGCGGGAGAACTCACTGAGGATGAGGTGGAACGTGTGATCACCATTATGCAGAATCCATGCCAGTACAAGATCCCAGACTGGTTCTTGAACACACAGAAGGATGTAAAGGATGGAAAATATAGCCAGGTCCTAGCCAATGGTCTGGACAACAAGCTCCATGAAGACCTGGAGCGACTGAAGAAGATTCGGGCCCATAGAGGGCTGTGCCACTCCTGGGGCCTTCATGTCCAAAGTCAGCACACCAAGACCACTGGCCGCCATGGCCGCACTGTGGGTGT
Organism: Homo sapiens; assembly: GCF_000001405.40. Taxonomy (NCBI): domain Eukaryota; kingdom Metazoa; phylum Chordata; class Mammalia; order Primates; family Hominidae; genus Homo; species Homo sapiens. Next base: position 90,766,974 of record NC_000014.9, read on the forward strand.
GTCCAAGAAGAAATAAGTCTGTAGGCCTTGTCTGTTAATAAATAGTTTATATACCAAAAAAAAAAAAAAAAAGAAAGAAAGGAAGAAAAGAAATTCTGGGCTGGGTGCAGTAGCTCACACCTGTAACTGCAGCACTTTGGGAGGCTGAGGCAGGAGCATCGCTTGAGCCCAGGAGCTCAAGGTTACAGTGAGCTGTGATAGTGCCACAGCGTTCAATCCTGGGTGACAGAGCAAGACCGTGTCTCAATAAAAAATAGAAGTGAAATTCTAGAGCTGAAAAAGTACAATAAGTGAAATGAAAAATTCACTAGAGGGCTTCAAAGGCAAACTTGAGCAGGCAGTAACCTTGAAGACAGGACAATAGAAATTATTGAGAATAAGTGCTATGGTTTGAATGTGTCCCATTAAAAGGATGTACTCAAGACTTAATCCCCATTGCAACAGTGTTGGGAGGTAGGGCCTAATGAGAGGTGACCATACCATGAAGACAGAGTGAGTGATTAATGCCATTATCTTGGGAGTAGATTCATTATAAGAGAGGAAGTCCAGCCCCCTTTTCCTTCTTTCTCTCACCCTCTCACCTTCCACCATGGGAAGATAAGGCAAGAAGACACTTGCCAGATGCTAGAACCTTCATATTGGCCTTCCTAGCCTCCAGGAATGTGAGAAATAAATTCTTTTCTTTATAAGCTACCCAGTTTCTTGTGTTATATGACAGCAGCACAAAAATAACTAAGACACTGAAGAACAAACAGAAAAAAAGATTGAAGAAAAGTGAACAGAGCCTAAGAAACATGTGGAACACCATCAAGAGAACTAACATATGTATTGTGGGAATTATAGAAGGAAAAGAGGGAGAGAAAGGAGCAGAGAGGATATTTGAAGAAATAGTGACTGAAAACTTTTGAAATTTGGTGAAAGATATTAAGTGAAAAGTACAATTATCATTTATTGTACTTTTTCAGCTCCAGAATATAAACATCCAAGAAGCTTAACAAACTCCAAATAAAAGGAACTGAGAAAGACCCATACCAAGGCACATTATAGTAAAACTTTTGAAGGACAAAGGGAGAATCTTAAAAGCAACAAGAAGCAACTTGTCACATACAAGGGATCCTCAATAAAATTATCAGCAGATTTCTCATCAGAAACATAAGAGGCCAGATTGCAATAGGCTGATATATTCAAAGTGCTGAAAGAAACAGACTCTTAACCAATGTATTAGTCCATTTTCACACTGCTATAAAGAACTTCCTTGAGCCTGTGTAATTTATAAAGGAAAGAGGATTAATTGACTCACAGTTCCACATAGCTGGGGAGACCTCAGGAGACTTACAATCATGGTGGAAGGGGATGCAGCCACCTTCTTTACAAGGCAGTGGGGGAGAGAGAGAGAGAGAGTGAAGGAGAAACTTCCAAACACTTACAAAACCATCAGATCACATGATAACTCACTCACTTTCAGGAGAACAGCATGGGGAAAACCGTACCCATGAACAAATCACCTCCCTCCCTTGATACATGGGGAATACAGATCCCTCCCTCAACACATGGGTATTACAATTTAAAATGAGATCTGAATGGGGACACAGAGCAAACCATATCAACCAAGAATCCCATATCTGCCAAAGCTATCCTTCAAAAGTGAGAGATAAATTAAGAAATTCCCAAGTAAACACAAAAGCTGAGGAGTTTTTTTACCACTAGAACTGCCCTGCAAGAAATGCTCACAGAAGCCACACAAGGTGAAATGAAAGGACACTAAGCAATAACTCTAAGCTATATAAAGAACTAAGGATCTCAATAAAAGTGAATACATTAGCAATTATAAAACTAGTATTATTGTAACAATAGTTTGTAACTCCACTTTTTATTATCTGCATGACTTAAGAGACTAATATATTTTTAAAATTATTACTCAAAAACTAGTATTATTATAACTTTGGCTTGTAATTCCATGCTTTGTTTCCTATATAATTTAAGAGACAATGCACTTAAAAGAATTATTAGCTTATGTTTTGGGGTATACAATGGGTAAAGATATAATTTTGTGACATCGGTAACAGAAAGGGGTGGGGATAGAGCTTTACAGGAATGGAGTCTTTGTATGTTAGTCAAGCTGGTATACATTTAAGTTAGAGTGTTAAACTTTAAGATATCAAATGGAATCTTCATGGTAACCACAAAGAAAATAGCTAGCAAATATACACAAAAGGAAATGAGAAATTTAAATATTTCGCTACAAAAAAAATCAACTAACAAAAGAAGACAATAATGCAGAAAGCAAGGGATAAAAAAGCTATAAGGCATGTAGAAAATATAGCAAATTACAGAAGTAAGTCCCTTATCAGTACCTACTTTAAATGGAAATGGATTAAACTCTCCAATCAAAAGATGGAGATTGACAGAATGGATTTAAAAAACATGATCCAACTATATGCCGTCTACAAGAAACTCTAGATCCACAGACATAAATACGTTGAAAGTGAAAGAATGGAAAAAGATATTCCGACTGGACAAAGTGGCTCACATTTCAGATCCTAGCACTCAGGGAGGCTGAGGTGGGAGGATTGCTTAAGCCCAGGAATTCAAGACCAGCCTGAGCAACACAGTAAGACTTCATCTCTACAAAATAAAATTTAAAAATTAGCCAGACATGGTGGCATGAGCCTTTAGTCCCAGCTACTCGGGAGGCTGAGGCAAGAGGATCACTTGAACTCAGGAGGTTGAGGCTGCAGTGAGCTGTAATCACACCACTGTGCTGCAGCCTGGATGACACAGCGAGACTCTGTCTCAAAACAAACAAACAAAAAGATATTCATGCAAATAGTAACCAAGAGAGCAGGGATGGCTATACTGATATCCAACAAAATAGACTTTAAATTAAAAAAGGCGTTGAGTGTGGTGGCATGCTTCTGTAATCTCAGCTATCCAGGGGGCTGAGGCAGGAGAGTCATTTGATACGAGGAGTTTGAGACCATCCTGGGCAACATAGTGAGACCCCATCTCTACAAAAAATAAAAAAATTAGTAGGGGTATGATGGTACACATCTGTAGTTCCAGCTACTCGGGAGGCTGAAGCAGGAGATCTCTTGAGCCCAGGAGTTCAAAGTTACAGTGAGCTATGATAGCACCACTGCAATCCAGCCTGGGCGACAGAATGAGACTCCATCTCTGAAAATAAGTAAACAAATAAGAGACAAAGAAGGATGTTATATATTAATAAAGAGTCAATACAGTAAGAAGATACAACAGTTATAAACATTTACACATGTAATTACAGACCATCAAAATACATGAAGCAAAAAATTCACACATTGAATTGAAGGGAGAAACAGAGAATTCTATAATAGTAGTTGGAAACTTCAATAACCCTCTCTTAAGAATGAATAGAACAACCAGGCCAGGCGCGGTGGCTCACGCCTGTAATCCCATCACTTTAGGAGGCTGAGGCGGGCAGATCACCTGAGGTCGGGAGTTCAAGACCAGCCTGACCAACATGGAGAAACCCCGTCCCTACTAAAAATACAAAATTAGCTGGGCGTGGTGGCGCATGCCTGTAATCCCAACTTGGGAGGCTGAGGCAGGAGAATCGCTTGAACCCAGGAGGCAGAGGTTGCGGTGAGCCGAGATCACGCCATTGCACTCCAGCCTGGGCAACAAGAGTGAAACTCCATCTCAAAAAAAAAAAAAAAGAACAACCAGACAGAAGTAAGGACATAGAGGACTTAAAACACAATAAACCAACTAGACCTAAGAGACATAAACAGTCACTCTACCCAATTTTCTTCTCAAGTATGCATGGGACATTTTCCAGGACAGACCATGTGTTAGGTCACAAATTGAGTCAAAACGTGGTACATGCACACAATAGAGTATTATTTTGCATGCAGACGAAAGAAAATTCTGACACATGTTACAACATGGATGAACCTTGAGGACATTATGTTAAGTGAAACGTAAGCCAATCACAAAAAGGCAAATACCACATGACTCCACTTATATGAGCTACCTAGAGTAGGCAAAATCAGACAGACAGAAAGTAGAATGGTGTCTTCCAGTGGCTGGGGGTGGGAGGGGAATGGGGAGTTATTGTTTCATGAGTTTTTAAAAGGGAAAGAGTTCTGGAGACGGATGGTGGTGACAGTTGCACAGCAATGTGAAGAATACATTTAATCTCACTGAACTGTGCACTTAAAAATAATGAAGATGGGAAATTTTGTTATACGTGTTTTACCAAAATAAAATAAACTGGGGAGAAAAGCTATAGAGTATATTTATAATATAAAAACTGAAATGACCTAGATGTTTCATGGGCAGCTATTACAAAAATATTCATAGGCCCGGCACCGTGGCTCACGTCTGTAATCCCAGCACTTTGAGAGGTCAAGGCGGGAGGCTCGCTTAAGCCCAGGAGTTCAAGACCAGCCTGGGCAACGTCCAAACCCCATCTCTACAAAAAATACAAAAATTAACCAGGTGTGGTGGCACATGCCTGTAGCCTCAGCTACTTGTGGGGGCTGAGGCAGGAGGATCTCTTGAGCCTGGTGCAGGGGATGGAGGTTGCAGTGAGCTGAGATTGCGCCACTGCACTCCAACCTGGGCGACAAAGCAAGACCCCGTCTCAAAAAAAGAAAAAAATCCATAAGGCACACCACCGTGCAGCCTTTACAAACTAAGTTTTCAAAAATATTTAATGACGTGGAAAAATAATTGTACACACATACACACACACAGAATGAAAAAAGAATATAAAATAGTATATAAAGCATAATCTCAATTGTATATAAAAATAGTAAATACATATAATGCGTGTGTGTGCACGTGTGTGTGTGTAACAGTGGTTAACCAGCTCAAGTAACAGTATGGTACCTGACTTTATTTATAAATATTTAAAAATAAATATTAAGTATATACATATATATGTATATATTTCTTTATTTTATATATAAATATATATTTATATGTATAAATTTTATATAAATATATAATTATATATATAATTTATGTATATATTTATAATATATATATTATAAATAAAGAAATATATATATATTTCTTTATTTTCCAAACAGCCTACACTCAATACACAGCTAAAGAATAAATGCTCATTTTTAAATCGAAGGGATTGCATTCAGTGTTGGCTGGAATGGGAGGAGGCTGGTTCCTCACACTACAGGAAGGAAAGCATACAGGTACCACCGTTCTGCAGGGCAATCTGGAAATACCTCCCTTCAACCCAGAAACTCAATTTCAGGAAACCTCTCCTAGGGAAATCATTAAGAACAGGCACAGAGACCAGGCTGACAGGGTACTCATCACAGCCTCGTGTATAACAGTGAAAAGCTGAAAACAACCTACATGTCCAAAAATAGAGGCTTTAGTTAAATAGATTATACTTCATCCATACTATGAAATGTTATACAGCTGCTTAAATGTTGCAGAAAGTTATATACTGTCATGGAAAGTGTTTACGATCTATAGTGAAGTAGAAAAAGCAGGTCACAAAGCAGTATATGTGGTATAATCCCACTTTTATATAAAAAAATTCACACATACAGGAGGTGTAGAGAAGATCTGGAAGGAAATGCACTGTAGTGTTAACAGCAACTGCCTTGAGTAGATGGGTAATGGATATCTTTATGTTCTTTTGATTAGTCATCATTTCTGAATTTTATATAAAACACATGTATTTTGTCTATATTAAGAACAATAAAGCCGGGTGCAGTGGCTCATGCCTGTAATCCCAGCACTTTGGGAGGCCAAGGCAGGAGGATCTCTTGAGTTCAGGAGTTCGGGACCAGCCTGGGCAACATGGCAAAACCTCATCTCTAGAAAAAATACCAAAAATTAGCTAGGCAGGATGGTGCATGCCTGTAGTCCCAGCTGAGGTGGGAAGATCGCTTGAGCCTGGGAGACAGAGGTTGCAGTGAGCCGAGATCACACCAGCCTGGCAACGGAGCGTGACCCTGTTTCAAAAAAGTAAATAAATAATAAATTTTTTAAAAGAACAATAAAATAAAATTGTGGGGGATGAAACAAGAGATCAATACTAGGGACAGCTAGAAGTATTGCTGGCTAGCTCAGCTAAGGAGCGTGGCAGGCAGGGCCTTCAGGGACAGGAGGGGCAAGGCCATCACAGCCACCTGCTGCTCCCAGCCTCAGCTGTCCATGAGATCTGACTATTCAAATCCCCTTCCACTGACCTTGGATTTATAAATTCAAAGCATCTTCCCATTTTGTCTTATTTAGTCTTCTCAGTACTCTTGTGAGAGTATTATTAGCTCTGTTTTGCAGATAAGAAAAGTCAGACTTAAATCACTCACAAATCACAGAACACAATCAAGGCTAAGCAGGTTATCTCACACCAGAATCGCATCAACCATATCCTCACTCACAATGAGTGATTATGCTCCCACTGACAGGCAGCTCAGTAAAGTGGAAAGAGTATGGATGCTGGAGTCCACAGGCCTTGCTTTGAATCCCATCTCAACTCTGAAAAGCAGCCTCTTAACCCCTCCGCAGGGAACGATAATACTAGGGTCCGGGATTGTTCTCAGGATAAGCACAATCACGCAGGTAAATCACCACGCACCATGCCAGACTCTCCATCAGCGCTCAATAAATGCTCAGGCACAGGGAACCCCTGCCTCTCCATGCAGCTGAGCTCTCTGGCAGCTGTGAGGTTAGAAATTGGCTTCTGTAAATGGGACTAACACTGAACTTCATGCAGTTTCCAGTGCCCGGCTCTGGTCCTGTCCCTGAGGCCAAAACAGACCGAGTCTTTCTTCCTCCAAGAGCCCTCCACACAGGTGAGGCCTGCTCCTCCACCCCTGGAGGCTGCTCTTCCCCCAAAAAGCCCCATTCCTTCAGTGTTGATCGGCCTCACACGGTCTGGTCCCAAGGTCACCTCTAGTCCACAGTGACCCTCTCACAGAGCAGTCACCTGGCTGCTCCCTGATTTTCCCTTCTCTTCTTCCCTGCAGGGGCCACCTCAAAGAAAAAAATAAAGAGCCCTGGACCTATATGATGAAAGGCTTCTATTCAGAGGAGCCACTGCTGTGGACATCTGTCATGGACACTGGACACTGCCCTACCTCTGATCCCCCTAATGGGACCAGCCCCTCTTCACCATGGTCACTGGATCAAGGATGAGAATGTGATCCAGTTGGGGCCAATAAGACACAACAAGAACCCGACCGAGATGTCTGAGGATCACACCCAGGACAATGACAGTCTGTAGCCGCTCCGCTCACCTGGGGCCTGAGATGGAAAGCAACAAGAGGGGAGGGGAAACAGAGAGGAAGAATCCATGTCTTTGAGCCCTGAAGCCAGCTGCCACTGAAGTCAGTTTAAACTGGGTTTTCTTTCACCTACAGCTGAAAAGGCCCTAATGCACAGATTTTGGCAGAAACTAGAAAATGGATCTGCAGCATGGCTTGGGCGGTCAGCGCTGCATACACCGTTTACCCCTCTGCATATGCCTAAGGCAGGAGCTTAGGCCCTGCCCTCAGAAAGCCCTGTGGGATGGAGTTGTCGAGGCTGACTTGGATTTGCACTGCCCCCTCCACCCCCTCTGTGAACAGAGCACACCTGCTCACTCCATCTGCCTGCCAAGCATCTGGCTGGAGCTGGGCAGAAGGGATGATGTGGGTAGCTTCTCCAGCTGCCCCTGACTTCTAGGTACTCCCCATCCTCCAACATCAGCAACAACTTTCCCTTCCCTAAGCCGCACTCCAGGCCTCTGATCTTCATGTGATCTTCCCCTAAAGAGTCCCCCGCTAGGCTGGGCGCGGTGGCTCACGCCTGTAATCCCAGCACTTTGGGAGGCCGAGGCGGGTGGATCATCTGAGGTCAAGAGTTTGAGACCAGCCTAGCCAACATGGTGAAACCCTGTCTCTACTAAGAATATAAAAACAATTAGCCAGGCGTGGTTGCACGCACCTGTAATCCCAGCTGCTTGGGAGGCTGAGGCAGGAGAATCACTTGAACGCGGGAGGCAGAAGTTACAGTGAGCCGAGATTGCGCCACTGCACTCCAGCCTGGGCAACAAGAGTGAAATTCTGTCTCAAAAAAAAAAAAAAAATTCTCCCCGTAAATGTAGGGATCCCAGGTCCCACTTCCTGATGGTCAAACCCTCTGCCTGACAAAGCAGATCCACTAAGGCACCAATGTATTCATGGAAAAAAGCCGGCCTCTCCCCTCTCCCCATAACCAGATGTTGTTACCTGGGGCATCTGAAGAGGCCAATCATTTGTGGTCAAACCCAAGGGATACATAAGAATAAAAATAACACATTTGTTGATCTGCCGGGCATTGTGCTAAGTGCTTTACATGTATTCACCCATTCCCTGCACAACCCTGTAAGGTAGATATTATTATTATCTCCATTTACAGATGAGAAAACAGACCCAGTGGGGTGAAAATAATTTGCCCAAGACCCTTTAGCTAGTAAGTGACAAAGCCAGAGGTCAAACCTGGACAGCCTGACCCCAAGCTTCATGCCCTTAACCACTGCATGGAAGAGCAATTTCCACCCCAGCAGCAGGGAGGAATGGAGAAGGTAAAGGAGCTCTGTAAACCGCCCGACATGGTGCTTTACACCTGGGCACCTCCTCCTGGGCACAGGAGGAGCCCAGCTCCTCCACCTGGGCACAGAGGTTACTCAGCTTGACGGAAAAATTTCCTGCCAAGAAACATCCCCACATCTTGGTCCTGGATTGTGTGACATAGGGCAAGTCCCTTCTCCTCTCTGGCACAGTCTCCCCTACTGGGAAATAAAATGTCTGCATGGGAGATGACTGTGCTGGTGGGAGATGACCGTGCTGGCCCCATTTGCTCTTCAGAGCCAGTCCTCTGCTTTGGTGCCATGCAATCTGGAAAAGAAGTTAATTCCCCTGCTGTTTCCAGGCCCCATTTTTAAAATTTCCGGTTTAAAAATTTTAAATTTTAAAATTTCCGGTTTAAAAATTTTATTTTACTAAAAAGGGAACTGTTCATTTTGTCTCTTTTATTAATTATGTTTCTGTTTATAAAGCAGAGATAGGTGCTTACTTTCCTCTGTGTATGCAGAAAAGAAGGCCACAGAAAATGCTGAGGAAGGCAAGTAGCCCTGTTATAGTAGGCAGTTAGTCAGGCATGAGCAGGGCAGGAGAGGGCCCCCCGTGACACACACACACACACACACACACACACACACACACGCCAGGAATGTCAGGTGACCATCAGGTGATGGTCAGGCAGTTGTTAACTGTTTCTCTAAAATAATAATTGGTAGCAGCCTGCATCAGGAAAAAGCAGCCTCCCAGCAGATAGAAGAAACTCGAAATTGGTGATCAGCAGCTTCCCAACTAGTTCTCAGGAGTTGGGCGAGGGGCTCAAGCATGCGCACTAAGGGGCAAAATGGCGGAGTGTAACTGGTAGATGACCTTCTTCTAGGAATGCTAGATTGGCAAGGGAAGGACGCCTTAAGTGAGCATGCGTACAACTCCAGTCATTTCTTACATAATTCTAATGTACTGTGCTACGACAACATCAAATATCATTGACTCTTCCCAGGGGGCTTCAGAGAAGACAGCAATATGAGCTGGAAGGACAGAACTTACAGGAGGAAACCCGGCAAAGGTGAGGCATTAAGGTAGAGGAACCAAGGGCAGGAGTACAAATCTAGGGTATTCTCGAGTGACCTGAATGTTTTCTCCCTGAAGAAACCTTACCCAGCCCAAGTGAGTTCCAGTCCATGTGCCAGTAGAAGAGAGCAATTAGGAACATGGGTGTCAGACTGAGACCCCATTCTGCCACTCAGAGGAGAGAACAAGGGCCCTAGAGCCAGTCTCTGAGGTCAAGTCCTGGCTCAACCACTTCCTAGCTGTAGGACCCTGGGCAAGTTTACCTAACCTCCCTGTGCCCCAGGTTTCTTTTCTGTAAAATGGAAAGAATAATGGTGTTTACCTCATAGGTGGTGGCAAAGACTGAATGAAGGCTGGGCATGGTGGCTCATGCCTTTAATCCCAATACTTTGGGAGGCCGAGGTGGGTGGATCACCTGAGATCAGGAGTTCGAGACCAGCCTGGCCAACATGGTGAAACCCTGTCTCTACTAAAAAAAAATACAAAAATTAGCCAGGTGTGATAGTGCACACCTGTAATCCCAACTACTTGTGAGGCTGAGGCAGAAGAATCACTTGAACCTGGGAAGCGGAGGTTGCAGTGGGCCGAGATTGTGCCATTGCACTCCAGCCTGGGCAATAGAGCGAGACTCCGTTTTTTTATTTTTATTTTTTTTTAAAAGAGTGAATGAGATACTGGGATAAAGGGCATCACACCTGGCACGCAGGAATCTCTCAGTACACCGTGGCCACTGCTACGCTTCTGCATAACCTCACCTCCTCTCATTTCTCTCTTCTGTAAATTTGGGGTTTGGAGAGTTAAAGAGACAGGAAATCCCCTAACATAGTGCTGGCCCATAGGAGGTTCTGGGAGCTGAACCATGCAGGCTTCCGATTCCCAATCAGCAAAGGCTAACGTTGGCTGGCCAGGGGAAGGGACTCTATCTGAAAACCCTGGCCAACTCAGACCTCAGGTCACCAGGGAAAAGTTGAGGTGACAAAGTGTGCAGGTCAATTGCACTGCCTAGAGCAGTGTGCACATAGCCTAGGGGAGGGACCAACATTCAGAGAACCCCCTGACAGCAGCCTCCCCTTAAAAATCCTGAGGGACCTTGGTGAAGAAAGAAGGGCCAAGAATATTCCTACACAGAGCTAGGACTGAGGGCCTCTTGAACTCCTCAGAGAGCAGGCCTGTCTCTGGGCATCTCCATGAATTGGGCCCGCAATTGCCCTGTTAGTACAAGTCACTTCTAGTCCCTCAGGGCCCACCCAACACTCAGCTTCAGCTGACATTTACGTTGCGCTCACTATGTGTCGGCACTGTAGAAGCATTTTATGTGTGCTATCTCATGCAGTCCTCGTGACAAGCCAATGAGAGCTTGATGGGCGGGGAAACAGGGGCAGAGAGAGGCTAAGGAACTTGCACAAGGCCCCAGAGCCAGCATGTGACACACTGAGTAGGACCCAGGCAGATGGTCAGGGCCGATGCTCATAACCGTCCCTCTACACTGTCTCTCACCTGGCCCACCAGGCTCTCCAGGGCCTGGAGCCCCCAGGCTGCTGGCCACTTCCTCTAGGCAGAAGTGACCCTTCCCTCTCCCAGTATACATGTGACTCTACCTGCACTCACAGAAGTCAGAAACTAGCCAGAGCCAGGTCTCCCGTGAGCCAGCAGGTGTCCCAAGAGCCAATGCCACAACCTCATGGGCGGGGTGACCACATATCACCCAGGGCCAGGCTCGGGGCCCAAGTTGCCTGTCCTCCTTGCCCACCTTTCATGGCAGCCAAAAGACTGAGCTGGCAGTGACACCTGTAGACAGCCTGCCTCCATTAAACTATCTCAGAACCAATCCTAGGACGTGGGCTCTGGGTACTGGGCAGGCCCCAAAGCCACCTCCCACCCCCAAATAGGAAGCCAACTCCTGGTACAACTCACCAGCCCCAGGGCAGTTGGGCAGGTGGAAATTGCCAGATGATGCTTTGCTGTGCTTCCAGAATGCTGTTGCTGGCCACACACACACACACACAGCTGCTGAGGCACGTGAGGTAGCTGGGTGAACACCAGGGAGGAAAGAGCGTGGCTGTGTGGCACAGACCCCAGCACTCCCCGTAGCTCAGACAGATGCAAACAAAGCCGAATGCTGTCAGGACCCCAGAGGCAGCCTCAAAGGGGCGTGCCCATTAAACTGCCAGAGTGCCCTGTCGAGAGCAAGGGCATTTTTTCCTAGCCCATGGGGACGTTTAGAAGATTAATTAGAGGAGCCTGGCAGTACTCAAGGGTCCCCAGGGAACTGGGTGAATATATCACCCCCTTCACAAAGCTCTTAACAAGTGTGCCCCGGGCTGGGTCTTTGTTCAACACTGCAGAAGACAACTAAGTCAGACAGGCTGGACCACCTGTAGCCCCCTCATCTCAGCCAGAAAGTGCTGGCAGCACTCAATGGCCAGCTCATGACTGTGCTGGAGGGACGCGCCACCCAGGGCCCTGGTCTCTGCCAGCCACAGTCAGTCACGGAACGTGGTTTGAACAGCAGATGGCCAGAAGGACAGGAGCCACTCCAGATAGTCCACTTCTTGCCATGGCCTTAAGAAGTCCCATTCAAAGTGTCCCTCTTCCTCTAGGAAGCCTTCCTGGCCCTGCTGGCCTGAAGTGACCTCTCCGTATTACCCATCCCTAGCTTTTACTATTTGCTGCCATGTTTGGGGTTGAGATTTTATTTTTTATTTTTTTAATTTTTTTGAGATGGAGTCTCGCTCTTGTCGCACAGGCTGGAGTGCAATGGCGCGATCTCAGCTCACTGCAACCTCTGCCTCCCGGGTTTCCAGCAATTCTCCTGCCTCAGCTTCCTGAGTAGCTGGGATTACAGGCACCTGCCACCACACCCGGCTAATTTTTGTACTTTTAGTAGAGACAGGGTTTCACCATGTTGGCCAGGCTGGTCTCGAACTCCTGACCTCAGGTGATCTGCCCGCCTTGGCCTCCAAAGTGCTGGGATTACAGGCGTGAGCTACCGCACCTGGTCGAGATTTTAAAATATCATTTATGCAGCATTTAGAATGTGCCAGGTACCACAATCAATGCTTTACATACATTATTTGACTTAATCCTCCTAAGAGCCCCATGAAGTGGGTGTGATTATGCCCATTACAGATTGAGGAAGCAGCAGCTTGGAACGGTCCGATCATCTGTGTGTCCTGTGCTTCCAGACTTTTTCTTCCCATGAGATTGCATTATCTCACACTAGAGTGCAAACTGCTTCATGGCAGTGAGATATTTACACGTTCTTCTTGTCCCTGAATAGGTACACAGTTAACTAAGAGAGGACTGATTGCTAGTGATTGCTGTGTGTCAACTGATTAGCCTTAATGAACCCAGAGGTGGCATTAATGAATAAAAACATCATCAGCCATGTGGCCAACTGACCATATGATATGAATCCCTACATGCTGTGCAGGATTTTAATTACCAAGAAAGGCCCCTGCTGAAGTTGCATACTACTTATCAAGAAACTTTGCTGAAGCTGGGCGCGGTGGCTCATGCCTGTAATCCCAGCACTTTGGGAGGCTGAGGTGGGCGGATCACCTGATGTCAGGAGTTCGAGACCAGCCTGACCAACATGGAGAAACCCCCTCTCTACTAAAAATACAAAATTAGCTGGGTGTGGTGGCGCATGCCTGTAATCCCAGCTACTCGGGAGGTTGAGGCAGGAGAATCACTTAAACCTGGGAGGCGGAGGTTGCGGTAAGCCAAGATCACACCATTGCACTCCAGCCTGGGCAACAAGAGCAAAACTCCATCTCAAAAAAAAAGAAAGAGAGAAAGAAACAGAGAAAGAAAGAAAGAAAGAAAGAGAGAGAGAGAGAAGGAAAGAAAAGAAAGAAAGAAAGAAAAAGAAAGAAAGAAAGAAAGGAAAGAAACTTTGCTGAAATGTTTTTCCTTCATCCCCTTCAGTGACAGCTGATGGCCACTGGCTTGGAGGGACAAATCCCTGCTGGGCTTAGCATGACCCAGCATGTGCTGCAGGGCGGCCCCAGCAGCCTTGCTGGGAACTGCCAGGTTCATCACCAGCCAAGGGCCAAGGGTCAAATAGGCAGCTCCGAAGAGGCGCTGCTGGCTCCAGGTCACGGGACACTGTGTTAGAAGGCACGGGCCTCACCTTTGGTAGCGTAGGCTTCTGCGATCACCCGCAGCCTGTAGGGCGGGACAGCTGTCAGTGGCAGATCGTCCAGGCCCACCCGGGCGTAAATGTTCAGAGCTTCTTTATAATCACCTTCCACATAATTCAACTTGGCCATGATCAGATTGGATTCTTGTAGGAATTCTGACTAGAAGCAAAAGGAGAGAAAGAAAAGCATTTTCCTACAATATCAGGCATGATGCTCCCTCAGAGTCTGGCCAGCTGCTGCCGTAAAACCCCACAGCTCCCCGCACAAGAGCTTGGACGTGAATGTTCTGAGCAGTGTTATCCACAATAGCCAAACAGTGGAAACAACCCAAATGTCCACCAAAATGTGGGCTAGCCATAAAATGGAATATTGCTCAGTTGTAGTAAAGAATGAAGTACTGTTATGCTACAACATAGACGAACCCTAAAAACATGATGCCAAGTGAAAAATCCAGTCACAAAAGGCCACATATTGTATGCTTCCACGTGTATGAAATGTCCAGGATAGTCAAGTCTAGAGTTAGAAAACAGATTAGTCTTGGCTAGGAATGGGAGGTGGCTGCTGGTGATAATGGGGTTTCTTTGGGAGGTGATGAAAATGTTCTAGAATTCATTGTGGTGATGGTTGCACAACTTCATGAATATACTAAAAATCACTGAAGTGGACACTCTGAATGGGTGAGTTGTATGGTATGTGAATCACACTTCAATAAAGCTGTTGCAAAAACCAAACCAAAACAAAACCCTGCGGCTCCCTTCATCAGGCCTGTGGCTGGGCTGGGCCGGCTGGGAAGGAAGGAATGCTTCATAAGTTAAACATACAAGCACCTGTCTCAGAAAAGGAAGCGGCCAGACATCCTGGTGGGTCTGGCCATGGCACTGGAGATGCACCACAACCCTGTAACCCAAATAACCAAGGAGAGCCTTCCCAAATGGATGTGAAGATCAGGACTTGCTTGCTTTCCAGGGCGAAGTTTCTCACTGAGCCATTGAAGTTTCTAAACTGAGGTGACCTGGTACCCTCCCTAGAGGCTAAGGGCTGGAAGTTCTCTGTGGGCCCCCCTTCCTCCCAGTCAGCAAGGCTGGCCTGGCCAGTCCCCCTCTCCCCAAAGCCTCATCATTGCCTTCCTCCCTGACCCGTCCTCCGGCACCTAGGGAAAGAACAGGCCACCCTGCCACCTATATAAGGAAACAGATTTATCTTCTGTGGCCAGACCTTCTCCTCAGAGCCCAAGCGGTTCAAAGCTGAGGTTTTTGCTTACAGAAGCACACCATGAAACCGCACTATTTATACTGTAACCTAGAGCTTTGATGAGTGGACAACACGGCCAGGTAGCCAGGTACAGCGTGTTACAGCAGCTATCTCAGCCAGCGTGGTCGGCTTCCAGGCATTTCTTGGAAGAGGGAGGGACATCAGGCAGCATTGGAAAGGATGGTGCAGTGGACAAGCAGGACTGATGGGAGCAAAAGTGTTTATGGGTGGCCCAAGGGAGAGGCACCAGAGGAATTAGAATTACATCTGGAGACAGAGAAATCAAAGCAGACTCAGAAAAGAGAAAAAAAGCATCCAGGCCGAGTGCGGTGGCTCACACCTATAATCCCAGCACTTTGGGAGGCCGAGGCAGGCAGATCACTTGACGCCAGAAGTTCGTGACCAGCCTGGCCAACATGGTGAAACCCCATCTCTACTAAAAATACAAAAATTAGTGGGGCATGGTGGTGCACACCTGTAATCCCAGCTACTCAGGAGGCTAAGGCACAAGAATCACTTGAACCCAGGAGGCGGAGGTTGCAGTGAGCCAAGATCACGCCATTGCACTCCAGCCTGGATGACAGAGCGAGACTCTGTCTCAAAAAAAAGCATCCACCACAGGGGTTCTCCACCCAGGTAGGGGACAGGCCAGGCTTGGGTATTTTGAAAACATTTCCTAGGACATTCTGGGAAGTCTACCCTCCTTCCCCAAGCTTCTAGCCTCTAAGAACCGTTGGATTAAAGGCGAATTGAAAGAGGAGGGGGAATGAGGAGTTAGCATTAATGGACACATCACAAGAGGTTCGCTCTGGGAAGATGCAAAGAGTCCTGGAGATGGAGGGTGGTGACGGCTGAGTGACAATGGTAATATACTTAACGCCACTACACTGTACACTTACAAAGAGCTATAATGTTAGGTTGTAAGTTATGTATATTTTACCAAAAGGGAAAAAAAAAAAGGTTAACAAAAGCAAACTGGAGAGCCAGGTGGAGAAAACGCTTGAAGAAAATTGCAAGCCTAGAGGCACAGCTTGGACACACTGGGAGAGCCTCCCTGGGCGAGTCCAGTCTCCACCCAAGTACAGGAAACAGCTTGGCCAGGGCGCCTCGGCTGCCTGGGCAGTGGGAGAACAGCCCCAACACAGTGTCAGGGGCCACCTTGCTCACAATAAGGACCATTTTCTTGCCTTGAATCACAAGCCAGATGTCCTGACTCCTAGTCCAGGACTCTTTCCATCCCACTACATGCCTGGCTGGCTCTGGTCTTCCCAGCCTCAATTCACTTAAGACAAGCTGGACTTAAGCTCAAGGAAAGAGAAAGTTTCACATTAGTTGGTGTGAGTAGGACAGCACACCCATGCAAAAGATGTACGGCTTTGGAACATTCTTTATAAGATGGAGGAAGGTGAAAAAGAGCAATGGGAGAAAAAAATTCTCTAGGTAGAACTAATAACATAGCAAGAAATGATGTGTATCTAGTGCTATACAGCTTTGAAAGAATTTCTCCATTTGAGCCTCAAAACAATCCTGGGTTAAGTAGGCCTGCAGCTGAGAAACATGAAGCTCAGAGAGGTTAAGTAACGTCCCAAGATCACACAGCTTATAAATCCAGAACTGGACTCAGACTCAAGCATTTTAACTTGAATTAAATTCAACAGCTGGGTGCAGTGGCTCAGGCCTGTAATCCCAGCACTTTCGGAGGCCGACGCAGGCAGATCACCTGAGGTCAGCAGTTCGAGACCAGCCTGGCCAACATGGTAAAACCACGTCTCTATTAAAAATACAAAAATTAGCCAGGTGTGGTGGCATGCGGCTGTAGTCACAGCTACTCAGGAGGCTGAGGCATAAGAATTGCTTGAACCTGGGAGGTGGAGGTTGCAGTGAGCCAAGATGGTGTCTGGATGACAGAACAACACTCTGTCTCAAAATAAATAAATAAATAAAAAATAAAATAAATTCAATGGGCTTACTACCACACTGCATTGTAGAGGATGGAAAGCAAAACCTATCAGCACCTGGTGAAATGAAAAGTGAATTTTTCAAGATGAAGTTGGGGGGCGGGTAGACGGGGGAAAGAAACAAGCCAGATCTCTCCCCTCACACCTCCCAGCAGGACACTTGAGTCTGGCTGGCCATCACTGTGAGCTGTGGCCCATGTGCCTGCTGTCCCTTCACTCTCTCCTGCTGATCAAGACCTACCACCTGTGTCCCCAGATCAAGACCTACCCCTGTGTCCACCTGTGTCATCATGTCATCGGTTAAGAACATATGAGATGAGGCCGGGAGCGGTGGCTCACGCCTGTAATCCCAGCACTTTGGGAGGCTGAGGTGGGCGGATCACGAGGTGAGGAGATTGAGACCATCCTGGCTAACACGGTGAAACCCTGTCTCTACTAAAAATACAAAAAATTAGCCGGGCGTGGTGGCGGGTGCCTGTAGTCCCAGCTAGTCAGGAGGCTGAGGCAGGAGAATGGCATGAGCGCGGGAGGCAGAGCTTGCAGTGAGCGAAGATCACGCCACTGCACTCTAGCCTGGGTGACAGAGCCAGACTCCATCTCGAAAAAAAAAAAACATATGAGATGGATGAGATGGAGATGGGGTTTCGCCATGTTGGCCAGGCTGGTATTGAACTCCTGGCCTCAAGTGATCTGCCACACACCAAAGTGTGGCATGGCCCTTACAGAGAAACTGAATGGGGAAAGAGAAGACCTGGTTTTTGAAGCCCAAATGCAGCAGGGAGTCTTTAAGTACCTGGGATCCCTATGCTGAGCTGACCTCTCCAGCCACCCCCTAGGGGCCTGGGGCAAGATCCCTGTGTTGAGATGACGCTCTCCAGCCACCTCCTAGCGGCCTGGAGCTGTGTCCCGTGCATACAACATACACAGAGACAATTTTGAAAGCAGCTCTCTATCAGGGTTTCCAGAAGCCTGTTGCTGCACAACTGACCAACACCAATACTAACTTACTCAAAGGTTGCCCAGGCCCTCCATTGCAGCAGGGCCAAGGAGGTGGCCAGATGACCAAGAGGAGGAACAGCTCAAATTGAAAGCTCACAGGCTTAGAACATGCAGGAGCCGGGAAGGTCCAAGCTCACCCCTTTAAGAGCCCACCCCATTCAAACCTAAAGAAACTGAGCTGCAGAGAGGCGAGTAACCTCCCCGGGGTCACACAGCAAGTCGGGAGCAGGCTGGAGTTTGCAGTACAGATATGAAATGTAAAGCCAAAGAAAGCATGGCTTCCCGGGGGGAAGCGTGCACACACAAACAAGAATAAAGACCAAAAATGGAGTCTCAGAGGATTCCGAGACAGGAAGAGAAGAAAAATGAGAAAGAAGTCATCAAAGTTAAAAGGAAACGGAAGTCAGAGCTCCAGAAGTTCACCAAAGACTGTCCTCAGTGGGAAATACATCCTGGGGAAGACAGGCAGCATGGAGCGGGCCACAGACAGCCATCTGAACTAGGGGAAGCATCTAGAGCCAGGGGAGTGTGAGCCACCTGGGAGGCAGAAGGGCAGGGCGGGAAGAGGAGATGACCCCCATGAAAAGCAAAAGGAACTGATGAGGAGTCCAAGAAGAAAGGAAGGAAAGCCACGTGAGAGGGAATGGAAACCTGGGTGTAATGAGACCGGAAAACAGAATGGACAGATAGGGGGCAGCACCTAAGATTCCTTGTGCCTGAGGGTGAGGGTTCTTGCTGAGACGTGGGGAAGTTCCTGGCCCCCTCCCAACTGTGACGCCAGGCCTGCTGGCACCAGTATGGAACCTCCCACAGCTCTGGGCCACAGTGGCTTCTTACATTGATGAGCAGGAAGCTGTGCGCTGAGCATCCTTCTGATTAACTTCTCTCTTTTCTAGAACTGCGTAACATGTCAGGTTAAGCTCTGGGTTATATCGGATAGCTTTAGTTCAAGCGTCTGAGAGATAAGTGGCATTGTGCAGATGACGTGTCATTGAAGACTCTCATCAGAGAGACCCTATTGGCCCAGAAGCCCCCACAGTGGTCAGCCAGCCTAGAGATTGGCACATCCACCCAACTGGGAGCTGGCCCGCTTCTAAGAAGACAAGCCCTGGCAGTGTGCAGGTGAGCTCCAAACGTCACCCGGCTCAACCCTGGGCACCCTTCTCAACCCCACACTGTCCAAAGGAAGTGTCGCCTCAGCCCAGAGGCCCATGGTACCTTAAGGTTCCCTCGGTCCAGGGCGGCGGTCAGATGCTTGCGGACCTCAGTCAGCTGGGGCTTGGGGCCTCGGGGACTGGCCCCCTGCCTCAGGGGGTGTTCCTTCAGGTACTGCTCCAGCTTCGACTCCCCGAGGAGAAGCTCTGCCATGTCATCTACAAAAACAAAGTGAGAACAAAGTGGGAGCAAGGAATGGCCTGCATGTAGGACCCCCTCACTCAAGGGACCCCAGAACCACCACCCTCCGAGGCTCCAGGCCCCCAGCAAGGTCCTTCTGGAACTTCATAGCCTTCATAGGGTCTAAGTGGGCACCACCTCATAGTGAATTCAGTTCATTTAAAGAATGTTCCAGTAGCATGTACTCAAATAGGTGTTGGCTCAAACACTCCATCATTTCTTTGCCAGTAGATACTTTTTTTTTTTGAGATGGAGTTTCGCTCTTGTTGCTCAGGCTGGAGTGCAATAGCACGATCTCGGCTCACCGCAACCTCCACCTCCCGGGTTCAAGCGATTCTCCTGCCTCAGCTTCCCGAGTAGCTGGGATTACAGGCACCTGCCATCACGCCCGACTACTTTTTTGTGTTTTTAGTAAAAACAGGGTTTCACCATGTTAGCCAGGCTGGTCTCAAACTCCTGACCTCAGGTGATCCGCCCACCTCGACCTCCAAAAGTGCTGGGATTACAGGCATGAGCCACTGCGCCTGGCTGCCGGTAGATACACATTAACGTGGAGAGAGTTCAAGTTCAGTAGGAAAAAAACAAAGGTGGCTTATGATGTGTTCATTATGATCTTTATAAAACACACACAAACCCCAGTGTTACGTATTTTCAAGAGTGGCGCGATGAAATCCCCAGCTCTGGTGCTGTATTCTATGCAGCTGGTGGAATGTCTGTACAGCCAGATCTTAAGATGAGTCTGTGTCAAAATGACCTGAACGCAAGTCTGTATTCTTGCAGAGTAACAGAGTGTTCGTCTGTTTCTGTCTAAAAGTCATAACTATACAGATATCTGGGAATGCTTGCATGAAGCTTTTACTCCCGAGAGCATACTACTACTTACGGTTATAACTTGTTGATGTCTATATTGGCTTAATTCAAATGAAAAGTTCACTCCAGGAGCAGCTCTTTGTAATCCACACCACCCCCCAGACTCTTCTGAATAAACCCAGAACAACTCATACACCAGCCTAAGCATGGTCTATTTTTCTGGGATGGGACAGAACATAATTGTATTAAAATATAAAATCAGTTTTAAAAGGTCTGGAAGGACATATCTTAAGGCCATGATAGTAGTTACAGCTGGGGTGCTGGGGAGGGGACCTCAACTGGGGTTGGTGGCAAAAATGGACTTTAGCTTTGTCTTTAACATCCTGGTCCTAAAAAGAAGACTAGATTTACCTATTATATATGCAATCTAAAATTAATTCAAAAAGTCATCAGCGAGGACCCCCCTAAGATTCTGGGTGGTAAGTCCACCAAAGGCCAAGAGCTAAAACAAAAGCCTTTTCCACATGTTCTGAGAAGTTGGCCCAAAACTGCTGAATCTATAGGTCTTAGCATGCTCTATCTATGTACTGGGAAGCCTAAAATAACCTTTTAGAGATGAGACCTAGAGTTCTGGGAGGAGCCAATTAACACGAAAACAGGGCTGAGTTCAGGTACTGAACTCAAGAACTCATTAGACATGCAAGAAGAAAAAGCAAGTCTGGCCAGCCATGGTGGTTTATGCCTGTAATCCCAACACTTTGGGAGGCTGAGGCAGGGGAATCACCTGAGGTCAGGAGTTTGAGACCAGCCTGGCCAATGTGGTGAAACCCGGTATCTACTAAAAATACAGGAAAACTAGCCAGGCATGGTGGTGTGCACCTGTAATCCCAGCTACTAGGGAGGCTGAGGCAAGAGAATCACTTGAACCCAGGAGTGGAAGTTGCAGTGAGCCGATATTGCATCACTGTACCCCAGCCTGGGCGACAGAGTGGGACTCTGACTCAAAAAAAAGAGGAAATCAGGCAAGGCCACAGCAGCATCCAATGCCAGAAGACAATGAAGTGGCGCATACAGAGTACACTGGGGTACAAAGTGCGACTCCAGTGCGTGGGGCCGGTCCAGACACCAGCCAGGCACCAAGGCAACAAGCAGCTTCCTCCCAGACACACAAGCCCTTCTCAAGAAATGAAACCCAGCTCATAAAGAAACCCAGGACTCAGGAACGAAGGACATGTAGGCAAAGGCCTGAGTGTTTCTTACAGAATACTAAATGCCCACAAGAATTAGAGCCACAGAACAAATATGAATGTCAGAAAGCAATACGTTGCAAAAACAATCATATATCCGAAATTGGGAGGAGCTTCGGAGTGTCATGCCTTTATCTTTCAAAACACTGTACCATGTGCTCTTAAAAAAAAAAATCAATCTAATCTTTTACTATTTTTCAAAAATTTGTTTAAATTTTAGTGAACTCTCAGGAAATAATGAAGAACCATTTATTTAGAGCTCAAAAATTCCTTTAGGCAGGGCGCAGTGGCTCACACCTGTAATCCCAGCACTTTGGGAGGCCAAGGTGGGCAGATCACGAGGTCAAGAGATTGAGATCAACCTGGCAAACATGGTGAAACTCTGTCTCTACTAAAAATACAAAAATTAGCTGTGCATGGTGGTGTGCACCTGTAATCCCAGCTACTTGGCAGGCTGAGGCAGGAGAATCGCTTGAACCCAGGAGGCAGAGGTTGCAGTGAGCCAAGATCATGCCACTGCACTCCAGCTTGGCAACAGAGTGAGACTCCATCTCAAAAAAAAAAAAATTCCTCTAAATTCATTTTCATTTTTTCCTTTTAATATTTATGAATAAACTTATTAATACTATAATAATAGACCAGTGCTGTTCAATAGAAATATATGCAAGCCACATACATAATTTAAAAATTTTGTTTTGTTTTGTTTTTCTTGAGACAGAGTTTCGCTCTTGTCGCCCAGGCTGGAGTGCAATGGCACAATCTCAGCTCACTGCAACCTTCGCCTGGGTTCAAGCAATTCTCCTGCCTCAGCCTCCAGAGTAGCTGGGATTACAGGCACCCACCACCATGCCCAGCTAATTTTGTATTTTTAGTAGAGACGGAGTTTCGCCATGTTGGCCAGGCTGGTCTTGAACTCCTGACCTCAGGTGATCCGCCTGACTTGGCCTCCCCAAGTGCTGGGATTACAGGCATGAGCCACTATACCCGGCCTTAATTTATAAATTTTAATAGCCATGTTAAAAAAGGAAAAGAAGGCAGGGCTCGGTGGCTCATGCCTATAATCTCAACACTTTAGGAGGCCTAGACAGGTGGATCACTTGAGCCCGAGAGTTTGAGACCAGCCTGGACAACATCGCAAGAAAAAAAAAGTGGAATTAATTTAAATAACATTTTATTTAACTAAATATAACCAAAATACTATCAGGTCAGCCGGGCGCGTGGCTCACAGCTGTAATCCCAGCACTTTTAGGAGGCCAGGGCAGGTGGATCATGAGGTCAGGAGATCAAGACCATCCTGGCTAACACGGTGAAACCCCGTCTCTACTAAAAATACAAAAAATTAGCCGGGCGTGGTGGTGGGTGTGTGTAGTCCCAGCTAGTCGGGAGGCTGAGGCAGGAGAATGGCGTGAACCTGGGGGGTGGAGCTTGCAGTAAGCGGAGATCGCGCCACTGCACTGCAGCCTGGGCAACAGAGCGAGACTCTGTCTCAAAAAAAAAAAAAAAAAATACTATCAGGTCAACATGCAATCATATTTTTAAAATATTAATGAGACCTTACATTCTTTTTTCATATTAAGTTTTCCAAATCTTGTGTGTATTTTACACTCACAGCACATGTCAGCTCTAACCTGTACATTTCAAGTGGTCAATAGCTACATGTAGCTAGGGGATATCATATTGGACAGCAATATGATCACTGTTTATAGAAGTCTGTCTAAATATCTACCTTTATATCTGTCTGTGTCCCTACAAAGATGTCTAAAATGATCATCACTTAGTGTAAACAATAGGAATTTCTGAATGATAAGATTTGGGATAATTTTTAAATTCTCATCTTTGTGGTTTAAATTATTTACATTGAGCAAAATTCTTTTATATCACTTTTAGAAAAAAAAAAAAGTAACTCTTCTTTAAAAACTGGAAGTATATATACCAGGATATTAATAGTGGTTACTTCTGAGTGGTAAGACTATCCATCTATGTAGAACTTCTTTTCTGTATATTTTTAAATTCCAAAAAACAAAATAAAATAGAACTTGGGATTCAGAGTCCTAGATTTAAACCCAAATTTGTCACTCGGTGACTTTGGCCCAATGATTTAACTTCATTGATTCTGGGAAGCAATTCCAAGAAAGCACCTCTTTCGGCCTGAGCGGAGGACTCCTCTCTCCCCACCCCTCCTCACGACCTCACCCCTCCTCGCCTCCCTGCCACAGGGACCCTGCATCTGAAAATGGCTCCTCTGGGCAGAATCTCCAAGCCAGGGAGCAGAAACAACGGGAGATCAGGACCCCTGCTACCTATTCTAGCTGTGGGGGCACATGACTTACCCTCTCAGAGCCACAATTCCATTTACAGACTGTGGGCTAGAGCTACTGAGTTCTCAGTGGGAAAACTCTATGGCCCAGAGTGAACACACCTCCCAGCTGGGCCTCAGAGGATGAGTAGGACCTGGGCTGGCAAAAAGCAGAGGGAAGGGCAAACCAGGCTGAAGGAACAGCACAACCAAAGCCACAGCACAGAGCCCAGGAAAGCGGAGAGAACCAAGTGGCAGGGGAATAGGATGTGGATAGAAAGCTGGAGAATCAAGCTGGGATCAGAATGCCCAGATGTCAATGCTTCCCGCTCCTGACCTCCCGACTCAGCACCCCCACCACAGGGAGACATCCAAAGCCCTCAGCAATGGAAAACAGGTCCTGGCCAAGTGTCACATGTGCCACCCCTTTGGAATGTTCTGGCATCCTGAGGACACCATTCACCGCTACTTAGTGAACACCTACGAATATTCCAAGCGCTGCAGACCTCTCCTCCAGGTGCCTCATCCCAAACCACCTCGAGCAGCCCCAGGAACCCTGAGCACCCTGGGTGTTCATCAGTCTGTCTGCCCCTTCTAGACTGTAAGGAGGAGGCCTAAAGGAAGAACCTGTGTGTTGTGCACAATATCTGGCACAGAGTCCATGCTCAATAAATGGTGAATTAATTAGATGATAGGGAAGGCATCTGCATCTTCCCCAGGGTTAGGGCGGTCATTGCCTGTGGCAGAGTCTGCTTGTTGTCCCAGAATATTCACTCTCCCTTTCTTCCTTTAGTATTAAAATTCCCATGTTTTATCAGAGCACGCGGCTGCCCAGTTAAAGACTACACATCCCAGGCTCCCTGATGGCGACATGCTGCCCCGTGACTACGTTATGACGATGGGATGGGAGCAGAGGTGTTGCACGCAGCTTCTGGGCTTGGCCTTTAGAGGGAATAGGCTTGCCCGCCAGTCCCTGTTCACCCTCCCCCATAGGCTGGACCTTGGCAGTGCTGATGGAAAATGGCACGCCCATCTGAGACCACAAGCTGGAAGCCACCTATTGAGGATGAGCAGAGCAGAGCAGCGCCACACAAGGCTTGCTAGATCCCCAACACCAGGAGCTGCCACCGAGCCCCCGACTGCTTATGTGAGAGTGAAACATGAACTTCTATCCTGATCTACTTTCTAAGTCACTGTGATCTTTGTTACAGGGGCCAAACTGGAATCTTAACCAGATCTCCCAAACAAGAAACCAGCTTCAGGCTGAGAACTCCTATCTGGAAACACCCCATCAACCTCAAGTCCTCAAGTTTACCGGTCTCCAAACAGAATTCCCAGAACCCAACTGAGGGCCTTTGCAGAATCCGCAGACCCTGCACTTCTCCTGCTGCTTTGGTTTTACATCCCAGGCTTGCCAAATTTTTATTTAAACAATGGGTTTCATAGTTGCAGAGAGGTGTAAAAACTGCTACCCAAGTGCTATGCGGATTCAGGGCCTTTGTGTTTCTCTGATCTCCTGATGCTGGGGGAATGCGCCAGAGTCGTGATGCCAAGATGTGGAGAGCGCTCAGTTCCATCAGCAGCAACTGGGGGCAGGGTGCGGTGGCTCACGCCTGTAATCTCAGCACTTTGGGAGGCCGAGGCAGGTGGATCGCTTGAGGTCAGGAGTTCAAGACCAGCTTGGCCAATATGCAGAAACCCTGTCCCTACTAAAAATACAAAAATTAGCCAGGCATGGTGGTGCACGCCTGTAATCCCAGCTACTCTGGAGGCTGAGGCAGGAGAATCACTTGAAACTGGGAAGCAGAGGTTGCAGTGAGCTGAGATTGTGCCACTGCACTCCAGCCTGGGCAGCAGAGCAAGACTCTGTCTCAACAACAACAACAACAAAAGCAGCAACTGGGAGAGCACGGTGCAGGAAAATGATCAACGGAGAAAAAAGTTTTTCCTCAGAATTAGGAGACACAGTCCCTTCCCTCACGACACCCCAGTCTCTCAAGACCATTCAACACAATACAGGCTCTAATGAAGATGTGTACAGTATTGGATGGGGGTGGGAGAGGAGACAAAGCTTGCACCAAGAATGTGATGCTACACATTTGCAAGATGGAAAATGTGGGGAAAAGAATTGCAGACAGAAGGAATAGAATATGCAAAGGTATGGCATGCCCTACTCGTTTGGGGAATTACAAGTCGTTTGTTAGAACCAAACCATGAAGTGCTGGGAGAGTGATATGGTTTGGCTCTGTGTCCCCACCTAAATCTCATCTCAAATTGTAATCCCCACCTGTCAAAGGAGGGACCTGGTAGGAGGTGATTGGATCATGAGGCAGTTCCCCCATGCTGTTCTCATGAGACTGTGTTCTCACGAGACCTGATGGTTTTATAAGTGGTGATTTCCCCTGTGCTTTTTCTCTCTCTCTTGTTTGCCGCCTTCTGAAGAAAGTCCTTGCTTCCCATTTACCTTCCACCATGACTGTGAGTTTCCTGAGACCTCCCCAGCCATGTGGAACTGTGAGTCAATTAAACCTCTTTCCTGGCCAGGCACAGTGGCTCATGCCTGTAATCCCAGCACTTTGGGAGGCCAAGGTGGGCGGATCACCTGAGGTCAGGAGTTCGAGACCAGCTTGGCCAACATGGCAAAACCCCGTCTCTACTAAAAATACAAAAATTAGCCAGGCGTGGTGGCAGGTGCCTGTAATCCCAGCTACTCAGGAGGCTGAGGCAGGAAGAATCGCTTGAACCCAAGAGGCGGAGGTTATAGTGAGCTGAGATTGTGCCATTGCACTCCAGCCTTGGCGAAAGAGCAAGACTCTGTCTCAAAAAAAAAAAAAAAGAATCTCTTTCCTTTATAAATTACCCAGTCTCAGGTATTTCTTTTGTTTGTTTGTTTGTTTTTTTCTTTTTTTCTTTTTTTTTTTTGAGATGGAGTTTTGCTCTTGTTGCCCAGGCTGGAGTGCAATGGCACGTCTTCTGCTCACCGCAACCTCCACCTCCTGGGTTCAAGCAATTCTCCTGCCTCAGCCTCCCGAGTAGCTGGGATTACAGGCATGCACCACTATGCCCAGCTAATTTTGTATTTTTAGTAGAGACAGGGTTTCTCCATGTTGGTCAGGCTGGTCTCGAACTCCCAACCTCAGGTGATCCGCCCGCCTCGGCCTCCCAAAGTGCTGGGATTATAGGCGTGAGCCACCGCGCCCGGCCTTGTTTGTTTTCTTCGAAACAGTCTCATTCTATCACCCAGGCTGGAGTGCAGTGGCACCACCTCGGCTCACTACAGCCTCCGCCTCCCAGGTTCAAGCAAGTCTCATGCCTCAGCCTCCTGAGTAGCTGGGATTACAGGCACGCGCCACCATACCTGGCTAGTTTTTGTATTTTTAGTAGAGACAGGGTTTCACCATGTTGGCCAGGCTGGTCTCAAACTCCTGGCCTCAAGTGATCCACCCACCTTGGCCTCCCAAAGTGCTGGGATTACAAGTGTGAGCCACTGCACCTGGCTGGGTATTTCTTTTTTTTTTTTTTTTTTTTTTTTTTGAGACGGAGTCTCGCTCTGTCACCAGGCCGGAGTGCTGGAGTGCAGTGGCGCAATCTCGGCTCACTGCAACCTCCACCTCCCGGGTTCAAGTGATTCTCCTACCTCAGCCTCCCGAGTAGCTGGGACTACAGGCGCCTGCCACCACACCCGGCTAATTTTTTGTATTTTCAGTAGAGATGGCGTTTCACCATGTTGGCCAGGATGGTCTCAATCTCTTCACCTCGTGATCCACCTGTCTCGGCCTCCCAAAGTGCTGGGATTATAGGCATGAGCCACCGCACCCAGCCCTGGCTGGGTATTTCTTTATAGCAGTGTGAGAATGGACTAATACAGAGAGAAAGGGGGAACCGTCAGGGGAGTTTCCTGCTAGGCAGGTAGGTATCGGCTCCTCAGTTCCAAAAGGAGCTGCCTGCTCTGAGCAGGGAAGTTACAATCTCATTTGAAATTGAGCATGGTGGCTGCAAAACAATTTCCGAAATTTTTCAAAAGTCCAGGCGCTAAGTTAATCTCCCAACAAATTATGTTTTCTTTGCTTCCCTCAAAAAAGGTGAATTCCCTGCCACTCACTCTCCCAATCAGGAGGGCAGAGATATTAAAAACATCAAGAGTCAGGCCAAAGAAATCATCCAGAGGCTGCATAGTTCAGTCCTAAATGATAGAGGGGCACTGGGTGGTGTGACCAACACTCCATGAGCACTGCCTGCCCTTGTCAGGGACCTCGTGGGCTCCCAATTCAGAACCCACTAGCAAGAAAAGACATCACCTAACCAGCATTTATTACCTAATAACGTGTCCAGCTGCAAGGTAGAACAGTGTGACAAGAGGGAAAAAAGGCACTCCAGGGCATACGAGAAAATTAATTCCAGATAGATTAAAGAATTAAATATAAAACAAGATCAAAACATTAAAGCTAGACTTTTACTTCCAGCCAAGAAAGAGTAATAGGGACCAAATTTACTCTCCTATCTGAGACTACCACAAAAACAAGACAAAAAAAAAATGTTTTCAAGACATTGGGCATCAGGCAACAAAGAACAGTGACCCGTGAGAGCTGGGTAACAAACAAGGTGAGCCCACTACGGCCTTGAGAGCTTCCAGGTGCAACACAGAAGCGGGGACCTTACACTCGAATTGTGCGCAGGAAAGGCTTAAATCCCCCATGTGCCTATGCACTCACCAGGCAGAGTGTGGCACACAGCTGGTCGTGGAGCAGCCGGACTGCAAAGTGGGGCCAGAAGTGCAGTTTACAGAAAGGAGAGGCCACAGCTAGTGCAATGCAGGGGAAAGAGCTTTGGCCTCTGGCAGCCCTGGGCTTAAATCCCACCTCCCTTGCTCGCTAGCCGTGTGGCACTGGGCAAGACACTTAACCTCTCTGAGCCTTAGTTTTCTCACTTGGGTATCATGAGGATTAGAGATAATATGTAACGCACATAGTCTGAAGTAAGTGGTGAATAAACATTAGCTACTGTTATTACCATCCATTTAGGATTGACTATTTCCCAGAATAGTTATGTTGGATCTTGTGGGGCCAGAAAGCTCTAGGAGACACAAGCTCCGTGTTCAACAGGCCTGCAATGTAGCAGGAGGATATGAATGCTGTGTGAGTCATTAATAGCCCAGCCATGCTGAGCTCATACGAAGTGCCATGCAGTATGGTGAGCAGTTTACCCGATCCTGATAGTCCTGGAAACAATACTAGGATGCTATTATCATCTCCATCTCACAAACAGGGAACCAGGCAGGAGAGGGGAGCAGCATCCCTAAGGCCACAGAGCTGGTTCATCCTGGAGCTGCGTTTGAACGCAGGCAGTCTCCCTACACTCTCTCCGGCACGCCATGCACAAACTATACCATCAGCCTCCAGAAGGGGCCCAGCTTCCCTCCCAACCAGCTGGGTGACCCCGGCCCACTTAACCCCTCTGGGGCAGAGGCTGGATGGATGGTTTTGAAGTCCCTCTCCTTCACTTGCTAGGATTCTCAGGGGACAGGGGTAAAGAGGGACTCAAGGGTACCCAGGGCTGGCTTCGCTTTTCTCTTGGGCATTATTTGGGGGTTAAGTGAGGCTGCAGTAACTAGCTCCCCAATGGCTTATATAGGGATAAAGCCTGAAGCCAAAGAGAGACCACTAGTGAGACCCTCACCAAGGAGATATGGGGAATGAGCCACCCTGCAGGGGGGTCCGTGCCCTGGCTCAGCACAACAGAGCCAGTCCCCTGAGCCCTGTGGCTGGCACAGTTCAATGCCCACAGGCACTTGGCCTCCTTGATCCCCCCCACCCGGGGAAGGTGGGGCTGTGGCCTTTGCCTCTGGAAGGGACTGCCCTTCCTCCTAGTTCCTCCTTTGCTGGATAAGCAGCTGACATGCAGAGATGTGATCAGATGAGGAAGAAAAAAAGACTCTTCTCTATTCCTGGGAGTACTTGACACCAACACAAAAAATTCTCAACAACTCAGTTTCTATGTCAATAGAGAAGTATTTAGATCTATTCAAACCATTCCTGCTGCAGCTGGCATCCAGGAGGAAGAAACACACCGCTATTCAGGGAGGAGTTGGCTCCTCAGTGTCCCCTTTGTTGCCCCAAAACACAGCCAGGTTCTCCATTTCTTTTTCTTTTTTTCTTTTTTTTTTTGAGACAGTCTCGCTCTGTCACCCAGGCTGGAGTGCAGTGGCACAATCTCAGCCCGTTGCAACCTGACTCCCAGGCTCAAGCAATTCTCCTGCCTCAGCCTCCCGAGTAGCTGGGATTACAGGCGCGCACCACCACACCAGGCTAATTTTTGTATTTTAGTAGAGACAATGTTTTCCCATGTTGGCCAAGCTGGTCTGGAACTCCTGGTGTCAAGTGATCTGCCCGCCTTGGCCTCCCAAAGTGCTGGGATTACAGGCACAAGCCAACTTGCCTGACCCAGGTTCTCCATTTCTTAAGGCTCAGAAGGCCAGGTGCAGTGGCTCACACCTGTAATCCCAGCACTTTGGGGGGCCAAGGTGGGTGGATCATGAGGTCAGGAGTTCAAGACCAGCCTGGCCAATATGGTAAAACCCCATCTCTACTAAAAAAAAATACAAAAATTATCTGGGTATGGTGGCACACACCTGTTAATCCCAGCTACTCGGGAGGCTAAGGCAGGAGAATCACTTGAACCTGGGAGGCAGAGGTTACAGTGAGCCGAGATGTCTCCACTGTACTCCAGCCTGGGCAACAGAGTGAGACTTAGTCTAAAGAAAAAAAAAGCCTCAGAATGACCAGAGTGAACTCCAGCTCCTCGTTTACTGGGCTTCCTGTAATCCCGGGTAACCCAGCATTTGCAGTATTTGTGATCCCCCTGCCTCCAGAGTGCTAACAGGAAAACAGACACTGCTGTGTCATGCTGGTGGGGGTATAAATTAGCATGAGTGTCTCCAGGGGGCAATGTAGCAATTTCTACAAAGCAACTGACATACTCCCATACCAGCTGACCCAGAAATTCCAGTTTTAAGTGGTTATCCCACAGATATATGCAATCTTCAGCACAAAGATGTACAGATAGGGATGTTTACTACATACAGCCCTACTGGTCATAGCAAAAGATACGAGACAACCTATAAGGTCCTTGACAGGATACCTGTTAACTGAGTTATGGTGCACCCCATGCAGCAGGACCGTGCACCCATAAACACATGGAGCAGATCTCCATACGACTCTGTGGTGGCCTGGCTGTACGAAAGGCCATGTCTTCACGTTTCCTGAATCCCATGCTCTGTGGCCTCTTGCACTGTCCCTGGGCTTGACCCCAGGGCTTGCTCTGACTGATGGAACAGTGGAAATGTTAATGCACGCAGAGGCTTAGAAAAGGGCTTACGCACTTTTTCCCTCTTGCTTCTCTGTGACCGCCACGAGAACGTGCCTAGGCCAGCCCATACCTAGCCCAGGCCAACCTGCTGAACGATAAAAGGCCACGTGGCGCAGAGCTGAGCTGTCTAGGCAAGACTCCATAAGCGTAAGAGAGCCCAGCCAAGAGCAGCAAAGTCACCGGGCTGACCCATAGCAGGCCACTGATGGATGAGCGAGCCCTGGCAAGCCCAGAATCATGAGAAATAATAAAAGGTGATTGCTTTAAGGCACTAAGCTTTGGGATGGTTTGTTATGCAGTAATAGCTGACAATCACAAAGATAGCTGAAAAAAGCAAGACACAAAAGAGGGTATATAGTCACTATTGTGTGTAAAAAACAATAGGCCGGACTAGGTGGCTCACACCTGTAATCCCAACACTCGCCTGAGGTCAAGAGTTCGAGACCAGCCTGGCCAACATGGCAAAACCCCGTTTCTACTAAAAATACAAAAGTTAGCTGGTATGGTGGCAGGTGCCTGTAATCCCAGCTACTGGGGAGGCTGAGGCAGGAGAATTGCTTGAACCTGGGAGGCAGAGGTTGCAATGAGCTGAGATCGTGCCACTACACTCCAGTCTGGGCGACAGAGTGAGACTCCATCTCAAAAAAAAAAAAAAAAAAAAAAACACGCAATAACATGTTTTCTTATAAATGTGCAGATATTCAGAATAATTCCTAAAGGAGCCCCTGGAAAGTCTAAAGAGTGGCTGTTCCTATGGAAGGGAGCAAGAGGACATGGACACGATGTAGGAGGCTGTTTTTCACCATATACCCTATAATTCGATTTTTACTACCATGTACATTCATTACCTACAAAAAACATGAACCAGATAATTTAAAAAGAAGAAAGATGACCCATGTCACTGTGTGCTCTTGGTCTAGAGTGGCTATTCTGGCCACCCCAGAGGGGTTCCCGTGGCTCAGTCCATCATCTCAGAGCCAAGGAAGGAGTTTTACATCTGCGATCACTACCGAGAGCCCATCTCCCACTCTCCCTGGGCCTCCAGCCTCACGCACCCGTGCTCCAGGTCCTCAGCATCTTTCCAAGGCCACGGCCATCTGACTCACCCAAGGGTGCTTGGACATGTCATGCCTCCCTCCCTTCTCCTGCCAATATCCCAGGCATCCTTTAAGACACATTTCAGGTCAGCTTGGAGCAGCTTCCCTTGCTCCCTCGGCCTGGGCCATCAGGGTCCTGGTGGCACTTTGCACATCACCCCCATTCATTCAGCACCTGCCAGCACCAAGGACTTACAGCTATGAACAGGACCTAGTGGGTCTCTACCCTCAAGGACCTTACACTCTAGACAGGGAAGACAAAGAGATAAACCAGAAAAGGGCCAGACAGTGGTAAGAGCTGTGCAGAGAAAAGAGGGTGACTGGGGCTACTGTGGACTAGGTGGTCAGATCAGGGAAAGACTCAAGGGCAGGGCATCCAAGACTTCAATGAGGAGATGGAGTCAGTCATGCCCAGATCTGAGCGAAGAGCATTCCAGGAGAGGGAGCAGCTCCTGGAAAGGCCCCGAGGTGTGAACAGAGCTGGTGTGTTCCAGGAACAGCAGGAAAGCCCGTGTGGCTGGGTGGAGGGAAGGGCGTTGGGGTGGAGATAGACAGCGGGGCAGGTAAGCACAGACTGTGGCAAGGGGTCTGGCATTCATGTGAAGTGCAATTGGGAGTCTGAAGGTTTTTAAGCAGGGAGATGAAATGCTCTGATTTAAGTTTTTTTTGTTTGTTTTTTTTTGAGACGGAGTCTCGCTCTGTCGCCCAGGCTGGAGTGCAGTGGCACGATCTCGGCTCACTGCAACCTCCGCCTCCTGGGGTCATGCCATTCTCCTGCCTCAGCCTCCCGAGTAGCTGGGACTACTACAGGCGCCCGCCACCACGCCCAGCTAATTTTTGGTATTTTTAGTAGAGTCAGGGTTTCACCGTGTTAGCCAGGATGGTCTCGATCTCCTGACCTCGTGATCCACCCGCCTTGTCCTCCCAAAATGCTGGGATTACAGGCGTGAGCCACCACGCCCGGCCTGATCTAAGTTTTTAAAAGATGCCTCTGTCAGCCCTGTGGAGAATGGACCCAGGGTGGGGCTGGAGGCAAGGCTACAAATGGTTAGGAGGTAGTAGTAGTCAGGTGAGACGTGATGGTGACTTGGGCAGGACGAGGTGAGAAATATGCAGAAAGAGAGAAATAGACTGAGTGGGGACATCATTTGAAGGTGAAAGATTAAACTGGAGGTGTGGCAGACAGAATAATGGCCCCCAGACATGTCCACATCCTCATCTCTGAAACCTGTGGACATGTTGTTTTACATGGCAAAAGGAACTTTGCAGATGTAATTAAGGATCTTGAGATAGGAGAATTATCCTGGATTATTTGGGTGGGCCCACTGGGTCCTTAGAAGAGGGAAGTTAGAAGGTCAGAGTCCGGCCAGGCGAGGTGGCTCACACCTGTAATCCCAGCACTTTGGGAGGCCGAGGCAGGCGGATCATGAGGTCAGGAGATCGAGACCATCCTGGCTAACACAGTGAAACCCTGTCTCTACTAAAAATACAAAAAATTAGCCGGGCACAGTGGCGGACGCCTGTAGTCCCAGCTACTCGGGAGGCTGAGGCAGGAGAATGGTGTGAACCTGGGAGGCGGAGCTTGCAGTGAGCCAAGATTGCGCCACTGCACTCCAGCCTGGATGACAGAGCAAGACTCCGTCTCAAAAAAAGGTCAGAGTCCAAGGAGATGTTAGGACAGAAGTAGGGAGAATGAATAGAGGACACTAAACCTCTGGCTTTAAAGAAGGAGGAAGGCAGCCAGGCACGATGGCTCACACCTATAATCCCAGAACTTTGGGAGGCTGAGGCAGGAGGATTGCTTGTGCCCAGGAGTTTGAGACCAGGCTATACGGTCCTTGAGAGGAGACCTGTTAACTGAGTTATGGTGCACGCATAGTGAGACCTTGTCTCTATACAAATTTTTAAAATTAGCTAGGCTTTGTGGTGGACGCCTGTAGTCCAAGCTACAGGGGAGGCTGAGGCAAGAGGATCGCTTGAGCCCGGGAGGTCGAGGCTGTAGTGAGCCATGATCACACCACTGCACTCCAGCTTGGGAGACAGAGCAAGACCCTATCAAAAAAAAAAAAAAAAAAAAAGATGGCACTATGCAGTGCCGGCAGCCTCTAGAAGCTGGAAAAGGCACAAACACAGGTCCTCCCCAAGAGTCCCCGGAAGGAACGCGAAACCACTGACACTTGAACTTCGCCCAGTGAGACCCATTTCTGACTCTGACCTCCAGAACGCTAAGAGAAGACATCTGTATTGTCTGAAGCTGGCAAATGAGCGATAATTTGTTACAGCAGCCACAGGAAATGAGCACACAGGATGAGGAAAGGAGAGGGTTGAAGATAAACCCTCGATTTGAGATAGCACAATGGAGCGGAGAGTGGAGCCATTTTACCATTTACTGAGGTGAGGAGGAATAAAACCAAGAGCTCTGTTTGGGCCAAGTGAAATGTGAGACAGCATTCAATATCCAAGTACAGAAATTAAGTCCAGATCAAAGCTGGAGGACTGAGCGGGAAGGACCTGGGAAGAGAAACCACGACCATGTCTGCTACCAAAACCAAGATTAGGAAGGGTTTCTGGAAAGAGGGGTATTTGAGTGCATTGAAAGCTGCTGGAGCGCCGGGCACGGTGGCTCACGCCTGTAATCCCAGCACTTTGGGAGGCCAAGGGGAAGGGGGTGGATCACCTGAGGTCAGGAGTTCGAGACCAGCCTGGCCAACATGGTGAAACCCCATCTCTACTAAAAGTACAAAAATTAGCCAGGTATGGTGGTGGGTGCCTGTAATCCCAGCTACTCAGGAGGCTGAGGCAGGAGAATCGCTTGAACCCTGGAGGTGGAGGTTGCAGTGAGCCAAGATCGTGCCATTGTACTCCAGCCTGGACAACAAGAGCGAAAACTCCATCTCAGGAAGGAAAAAAAAAAAAAAGAAAGAAAGAAAGCAGCTGGAACATCAAGTGTAAGATCACAGACTAGCCATTAGACCTGGCAGCACACGGGCCACATCAGAGGGCAGCCTCGACGTGAGGCATCTCAGGGGACTGCGGGGTACAAGCCTAACTCACTGGACTGAGGGTTTGCTAGGGAAGGGTTTGCAGGGGGCTGGGCCAGTCCTTAGACAGCGATGGGGGTTCAGGGAGCCTTTAGCAGGGAAGTCTAGGGTGCCTGTGCCCGTGCCTGCAGAAGGGAAGGGTCAGGAGAGAAGTGAAGGCTGTGGCAGCCCGGTCCTGAGAGGGTGAGAACGGAAGGGATTCTGAGCACAGGTGAAGGAGCCGCTGGCCTCTGAAGGGAGTGAGGGCTCCAAGCAGTGACAGAGGGCGCCAGCAGTGACAGAGGGGAAAGCTGGTCGAGTTAGTGGCATGAAACAAGGGAGTTTCCTAATTGCTTTTATTTCCTCAGTAAAGTATGAGGCAAGGTCATGAGCTAGGCATGAGAGGGTGGCTTTCAAAGGAAGGGAGGGAGGAGCACATGGAACAGACACTTTGGAGCATGGGAATCCGACCTACTGAAGAGCGGCGGTGCTCCTCCCGGTCTTTGGTCACCATTTGCAAGTAGTCAACAGGGTTGACGGGTACTCCCCAGGGACGCTGCTGCGCAGGTGCAGGCGTGGAGAGGCAGAGAGCCGGGTGTAACAGGGCAGGGACACTGTCAAGCAGCGGGGTTAGAAGAGAAGGGCACACACCTCTCCTAGAAAACATGGATAAGGCCGGGCACGGTGGCTCACGCCTGTAATCCCAGCACTTTGGGAGGCCGAAGCAGGCGGATCACCTAAGGTCAGAAGTTCGAGACCAACATGGTGAAACCCCATCTCTGCTAAAAAAAAAAAAAAATACAAAAAATTAGCTGGATGTGGTGGCACACACCTGTAATCCCAGCTACTGGGGAGGCTGAGGCAGGAGAATCGCTTGAAACCGGGAGGCAGAGGTTGCAGTGAGCTGAGATCACACCACTGCACTCCAGCCTGGGTGACAGAGCGAGACTCCGATGCAAAAAAAAAAAATATGAATGAGTTGACCCCATGTAAGCCATACCAGGTCACCCCTCCCCTCTAAACCCTCCAGTGGTTCCACTCTCCCCCCAAGTGAAGGCCAAAATCCTTGTAACTTACCACCTAGCCACTACCTCCATCTATCCCCTCATACTTATGTTCTAGCTGCAGTGCTTGGGCCATAGGAGGGGCTCCATAAATATTTCTGGAATCAACCAATCAATATATCTCCCCTTCACAGATGGAGCCCAACCAAGCAGGCTGGCCTCAGGAGACTCAGCTCCCCTGGGGTGCCTGGGACACAGTCTGGCCATGACTGTGGGCCAGAATTCGGACCTTCCCATTCCCACTGCAGGGCTCCTGCTGGTTCCTCCCGACTCCCATAACTCTCCTGGTTTAAACTGTGGCCCAGTTCAGAGGGCCTGGCTAGTTGGAACTCTTGACTGAAAAGCAAAGATGGCAAAAGGCAAAGATGAAGGGGCCCAGAAGAAGTTGGCAGAAACAATATTCTGGGAAAATCTTGGTAGTCAGAGACCAGGCTTCATGCCAAGCCTCCCCCCACATCTACACACACAGCGCAGAGGCTAGAAGAACAGGATGGGAGAGTAAAGTGTGGGAAGAGAAGACAATCCTTCCGCTACACTGGCAGAAGAGATGAGTACGCTGGTCACACACACACACACACACACACACAATTCCTAGAGAAGCCTGATACAAGAAAAGGTAACCTGAAAGTCACTAGCGTAGAGCT
The DNA here is from genome assembly GCF_000001405.40 of Homo sapiens. Classification (NCBI taxonomy): domain Eukaryota; kingdom Metazoa; phylum Chordata; class Mammalia; order Primates; family Hominidae; genus Homo; species Homo sapiens. Next base: position 90,803,894 of record NC_000014.9, read on the forward strand.
GGTTTGGCCTGTCCCCGGAGCCCAGCAGGGCAGGAAGTGACTCTACCAGGCAGGGGGATGTTATCAGGCCGGCCCAGAGGGCTTGGAAATGGCCTCTCAGGAAGCCAGCTCCACACAGGCAAGTTCAACACACTCGCAGAGAGCCAAAAGAAAGAGCTGTGGCCGGGCGTTGTGGCTCACGCCTGTAATCCCAGCACTTTGGAAGGCCGAAGCAGGCAGATCACGAGGTCAGGAGATCGAGACCATCCTGGCTAACACGGTGAAACCCCGTCTCTACTAAAAATACAAAAAATTAGCCGGGCGTGGTGGGGGCGCCTGTAGTCCCAGCTACTCGGGAGGCTGAGGCAGGAGAATGGCGTGAACCCGGGAGGCGGAGCTTGCAGTGAGCCAAGATCACCACTGCACTCCAGCCTGGGTGACACAGCGAGACTCCGTCTCAAAAAAAAAAAAAGAAAAGAAAAGAAAAGAAAGAGCTGAAGCCTCGAGGCTGCAGGTCTGTGGGTGGACAAGTGGCACTGAGTCCTGGCCTGGTGGTGTGGAGAGGCCCCCAGGACGCTGAGAGGAGTGTCCAGAGCAAATGAGATCTGGGCCGGGCCTGAGGGACTTCTCCAAGTGTGGCAGGAGTTTCCCAGGTGTGATTCCAGGCGGAAAGGAGGCTCAGCACGGTTGTGAGTGCGGTGGAGCAGAGGCTAGGAAGGGATGCCACAGGCTGCAAGCCAGCTGCAAAGGGTCTCAGAGACCACCTCCCCAGGCCTCAGGGCCTGAGACTCAGTGGCGAGTCACCTCCCTTGGCCTGGTAGGCAGCATTTACTGCGGGTCCCAGGGCTTGGCACCTGGTCGACTGGACACTCGCTGGGGCTAGCTCACTTCAGAGAAAACACTGCTTCCTGTTAGGCTTCGGGCCTGCAAGGGCCAGGGGGGTAGTTCCTCAAGGGAACCAGGCCTCACAGCAAAAGGGCTGAGCCCATCTGCATTTGCGGAGAGATGAGGACCACAGAGGGGCGGTGGAGGGGACCTGAACCCCTCTCTGGGGAAGGCTGCTCAGCAAGTGTCCACCATGCAGGTCCACAAAAGCCACAGGGAGGGAAGGTCATGGGCATTCCGTCAGCCCCGCCAGCAAGCCAGGACTCACCCGGAGCCCCAGGCAGGCAGGGCTACACAGCCACCCTGGAGATGACACCAACAGTCTTCGGCGTGGGACCAGGTCTCGGGTGGACGCCCACAGCCACTCCCAGTCCTGAGCACGTGCCCAGGTCTGCTAAGAGTTACAGGTGCATCTCAGACATCAGTCCAGGGCCTCGGGCCAGTGGCTGGCACACAGTAGGTGTTCAGTAAGAGCTCGATGAGTAATGAATCTAAGTAAACTCCTCAAGGGCAGAGGCCAAGGTGTCTTGTTCTGTCACCCAGGGTAGTGTGCAGTGGCGCGATCTCGGCTCACTGCAACCTCTACCTCCCGGGTTCAGGCAATTCTCCTGTTCTCCTGCCTCAGCCTCCCGCGTAGCTGCGATTACAGGCGTGTACCACAATGCCCGGCTAATTTTTTTGTACTTTTAGTAGAGACAGAGTTTCACCATGTTGGCCGGGCTGGTCTCGAAATCCTCACCTCAGGGGATCTACCCACCGTGGCCTCCCAAACTGCTGGGATTGCAGGCATGAGCCACCGCGCCCGGCCTAAACCTCACCTCTATCTGCAAGGTTGGAACAGGGGTAAGGAGGGATTCAAGGGTACCCAGAGCTGGCTTCGCTTTTCCCTCGGGCATTATTTGGGGTTTAAGTGAGGCTGCAATAACCAGCTCCCAACGACTTGTATACAGAGATAAAGCCTGAAGCCGAATAGAGACCACTAGTGAGACTCTCATCAAAGAGATATGGGGAATTAGCCGCCCTGCAGGGGGTCCGTGCCCTGCCTCAGCTCATCAGAGTCACTCCTGTGAGCCCTGCGGCGGGCACAGCTCAATGCCCAGGGGCACTTGGCCTCCTTGATCCCCCGGGGAAGGTGGGGCTGTGGCCTTTGCCTCTGGAAGGGACTGCCCTTCCTCCTGGTTCCTCCCATGCAGGATAAGCAGCTGACATGCAAAGATTTGATCAGATGAGAAAGAAAAAACTTAAGAGTTTCTTCTCTGTTCCTGGAAGTACTTGACACGAACACAAAAAAAAGTCAACAATTCCGTTTCATTGAATAATTAATTGAGCACCAACTGTATGCCAGACACTGTTACTGGTGGTTGGGATACAGCAATGAACAAAACCAGCAAAAAGCCTCGCCCTCCCGGGGCTGAGAGTCTAGTGGTCACATTCCTGTCTGCATCCCCGCTACACATACAGCACCCCCACATTCTGTGCTGGGCTCGCCAAAGCACTGAATGAACGGCTGGAGGAGGAGGACTGTGGAGTCTGGCAGCCGTGGGCTGAAGCCCGTGTTCTGCACTGCCTCGTTCTGTGACCCAGCCAACACCGCGCTGCTTCAGCTTTGGGCCTGAGTCACAATCAGTACAACCAGAACCCCACCTCCCCGCTGCAGGGCTTGCTACATCCACTATCACTGCTGCTGTTATCAGCCCACCTGCCCCCTGCACCCTTTGCAAAGAAACCGAGCATCTGAACCTTTCCATCCTACTTCCACACACAAGACTCCTGACTCAGTCAGGCTGCTTTCAAATAATGCTGGTGCCGGAAACTGCACTGTCTCATTTACTCCACAAAATAACCTTGCAGATAAAGGTGAGGCTTAGGCCAGGCACAGTGACTCAAACCTGTAATCCCAGCACTTTGGGAGGCCAAAGTGGGCAGATCACTTGAGCCCAGGAGTTCGAGACCAGCCTGGGTAACATGGTGAAACCTCATCTCTACAAAAAATACAAAAATCAGCTGGGCATAGTGGTGCTTGCCTGTAATCCCAGCTACTCGGGAGGCTGCGGTGGGAGGATTGCTTGAGCCTGCGAGGTTGAGGCTGCACTGAGCCGTGATCACACCACTGCACTCCAGCCTGAGCGACAGAGTGACACCCTATCTCAAAAACAAAAAGAGTGAGGCTCAGAGAAGTTAAGTCACTCACTCACTTGAGGCCAGACAAGCAGGAAGTGACAGAACCGAGATCTGAACCCAGGTCTAACAGGGCAAAGCCCACTGCTTTCTCCTGCCCGGGGTTCCTTTCCCCTTTGCTAAAATACCTCTATCTACCTGAAAGACTACCGTTCCACTTGCCCAGGACTGAGGGAGCTTCTGGGACTCAGGACTTTGGATGCTACAACCAGAAAAGTCTCAGGCCAACCAGGACGAGTTGGTCACCCTCACGCCACCACCCTGCCCAAGATCCTCCTCCTGGTGCCCTGCCAGGCCCTGCTTACCCACTCACTGCCACTGAGTCTGACCTCTCCAGGCTCCCAGCTGCACCCTCTGTGCTTGTAAGCAATGCTGTCATTGCTGTCCTCAGGCTACAGGGTCACATTCTGTCTCCCACTCGGACAACCACGTCTAAAGTCTGGTCCTAGAACTCCGGGCACCATAATCACTTGGGGCCCTGGGATCCTGCTTCCTGAGTCCCTAAACCACTAAGACCTCCTGAAGCAGAAGCTCAGGCCCAGCCTGCCCATCTGAGTTGCTAACTAGCCCCCAGGGGACCCTGCTGCCCAGAGGTTGAGCGACAATCCTGAACTGTAAGTTTCCCTGCCTGGTGACCTGCTCACTCTATTTCTTCTGATGCCCCTCTGATACCTGGTGCTGTGCCCACACATAGTAGGTGCACATTAAATGCTAACCATTGTGGTTCAGAGCAAAGGCTCCCACACTTGCCTACTCAAACTAACTGAGGCTGTTTACAAATGTAGATTTCCAGCTTCTACCTTGGGCCGAGAGAATCACCACCCTCAGCCAAGATGTCTGGTAATCTATAAACTACACTTAGTTTAGTATTTGGCTCAAAGCATGCTGCATACCTGCAACACTGGGAGCTTAAGAATGCAGAACCCCAGCTCCACCCTAGACCTACTATATCAGTATCTCTGGGAGTGGGGCTTTGCAATCTGGATTCTAACAAGCTGTCTAGAAGTGATTCTTTGATCCAATCAGTTTAGAAAAACATTAGTGTAATAGAAGAACAGTGAAACTAGTTGGAAGTGGGCTAGAATCCAGTTCAATTAACGGCTCTAGCCTCAGTCTACTCAAGCCCTGAATGAGAATTACCCCTGACATCATTCGCTTGTTGTGATGATTAACTGAGATCTGTGTAAAAGTTCATAGCCAGAATCTGGCACACAAGAGAGACGCAAGAGGCTGGGCACAGTGGCTCACGCCTGTAATCCCAGCACTTTGGGAGGCCGAGGGAAGAAGATCACTTGAGCCCAGGAGTTCGAGACCAGAGTGGGCAACATAGGGAAACCCGTCTCTACAGAAAAAATGAAGAGAGAGAGAGAGAAAGACAGAGAGAGACCCAAGAAATGCAGTTCATTCTTCTTCCCTGCTAGCACTATTTTAACACTCATCAAGTCAGGACAGCTACAGTTTCAGATGATCATGTGATGTGTACAAGGTGGCTTGGAGGGCAAATGCAGAAGATTCTGACTCCAGGCCTGGTGGCCTCTAAAAGGACCAGACCAGATCTGCTCTACATGGTTCTGGTGCTGCCACCACTAGCCACACTTGATGAGCAGGGACAGACAAATCCCATGGGTGGAAGGGCTGCAGCCACTCCATTAGCTTTCCTGTGGCTGTGGCCGTCTTTCATATTTTATATGGCACCCATTTGACCTATCTCTGGGTCAGACATCCGCTCATCCTTGTCTTGGTGGCTGATGGGAATGCTTTTGAGGTCTCAGAAAACCTCATCCCTCTTCCTGGGCTTCCCAGGTGGGAGACACTGGCTTTCACGCATGTCAAAGGCCTGCAACCCGCCACCATCTACCAAGCATGAGGTCATTCAGAGGGGCAGGAATCCACCCACGTGTGGCCAACGTGAATAAGAACCAAAGGCCATTCCTGCGTGCCCAGGGCACAGCTGGCCGGGCAGCTGGGGTGCAGGGATGCTCTGGGTAAGTAAGAGGTGTACCAGTTAGAACGCCTTCAGCAGCCAGTAACGACCAAACGCCTGACTCAGTGTGGCTTCAACAAGAAGGAATTTATTCTCTCACATAACAGGAAGTCCAGAGAAGGGCTGCTCCAGGCCCAATTGCCATCAGCAGCCTGGTGATATAATCGAGTGAGATTCTTCTTGTCTCTCTGCACCGCCACCCTCCTTGGGTCTGCCTTACTCCTGGGTCAGGTGCCCTCATGGCCATAAGATGGCCACAGCTCCAGGCCTCAAAGATATGAACGATTTCCAGGGGAAAAAGAGAGACTACTTCTTCCCTTTTAAGCATGGATGTCACCCTTAAGCAAAAGGAAATCTTTCCCAGAAGCCCCTCCACTGAGCAAATGTTCCCTGACGTCTCATTGGTCAGAACTAATTCACATGCTTGCACTTCAGCCAATCACAAGCAAGGGAGTGTATCTACTGGGGCCAGGGCCCCTACAGTGAAGCACACAGCACCACTGCTGACAGCTGAACAAAACTGGGCCCAATCAAGGAGGAAAATGGGTGGGAGTCCGAGCTGGAAGACAGCGGTGGAGAATGCTGGATTGACAACCAGGGAACCTCTGGCTGGCCCTGACTCACAAGACCCCACCAACCCCAAGGGCAAACACTTGTCCTTGCAGGACGCCATTTCTCAGGGCCAGAGTCATCACGTAATATTGATGTAACTTGGCCCTCGCTTCCATTTTGGAAAACCCTCGGCCTGACTTCCTTACTTACACCTGTTCCAACTGCTCATGAAAGCCGAGCCAATTCAACACAGCATGTGCTGTGAGCCCAACTCCATGTCATGGGGCCAGAAAGGTAGAATTGGCCCTCTAGAAGCTGACCATTTGGTAAGAAGACAAGGCACATGCCAAAATCGGTGGAGTAGGGGAGGGAAACAGCCCTGAGCTGGGAGATGGGAGTGGATAACACCCACCACCACCAGCAACAGAAAACAGCTGGTAGCTAGTGAAGGCTCACTCTATGCAGGCACTAAGAAGCACTTTTAGGTATTTTGGTTTTTTCTTCATTTGATCCTTACAACCTCCCTATAAGTTTGGCACTATTATTACAGGTTCATAATACCTTACCTACAGTTTCTGAAATCCAGGACTCTCTAAAAACCAAAAGTTGTTTTTTGTTGTTAATCATTTATGGGATGGCAGAAACCTCAACTGAACCCATGTGAGGCTATTTATAGTCTATTTCTCCCTTTTGCAGTGACTGCTCATATGCTTTGATGCAGAAATACTGACCCATTTTATTACAAAATGCCGCCCCAGACCCCATTGGGAATGTCACATAATGCCCAGTAAACATAACATGTTTCAAAAAATTCTGCATTCTGAAATACATCTGGCCCCAAGGGCTTCCGAAAAAGGGTTTTGGATGTTGTGTCACCAAAGGGGGCTTTGCAAGTTGAAGGTTACCCCCCATAGGAAGCAGGTGAGCCATGCTTTGAAATCAAGCAACCCAACTCCAAGCCAGGGCTCTTACCCACTGTGCTTGCTTCTGCCACTTGCTGGTTGGTGGCTTTAAGGAAGACATCTCCCTCTCTGGCACTGTTTTGTCATCTATAAGAGGTTGGACTACATCAATGGGTTTCAAGCTTCTTTGTTTTAAAAGTGTATTAGCCCTTCCTTCAAAGGAAACCTTAAGGAAAAGTGTAACTGCTCCAGCGAGTGAGGCCTGCTCACCCAACCACCAGAGCCCTAAAGCATGTTCCCAGAGGGGTTCCTTGACAGCACAGTTTGAAAACTGCTACACAGCATAATCTGTAAGGTCTTCTCTGGTTCTAACATTGTATGATTGTCTTCTGTAAGGCAAACAGCCTTTTCTGTGATGAAAGGACAGCTGGGAGAAACTTGAACCAGACCTTGACAGATGGGTAGGCTTTTGATCTGCAGAGAGGATTCCAGAGTCAAATAGCGTGAGCAAAGGTGCACAGACAATAAGCAAGGTGTGTGGGAGGGTCCAGGAGGCCAAAGTAGCCGAGGGAAGTCGGGGGAATGAAGGCAGTGCAGCAGGTGACATAAGGACATGCTGGAAAGGTTGGCCAGACCAAGCAGATGGATGAGGCTGAGGACGAGCTGCACAGCCCCAGCCCCACTGTGCACAGCCACAAGAAATCCAAATCCTTCTGCCCTGACTACCATGGCCACGAGCCCCAATCCCAGCTCAGTGCCATCAATCAGTCACTGTCAAATAAATGAGTCTTCTGAATCCAAAAATCAGGACATATGGTCTGCCACAAAGGTGTGGTCTTCTGATGACAAGAGGACAGAGTGTTTGAAAGCAGGAAGACTGGCCCAGAAAGGCCATAATAGTGGGTCACCAGAGATCTCACTGGTGTCCTTCCCCACATTCTGGGAGGAGTTGGGCTCCCAGGAGTCTGTGATGCCCCAGGTATGTCCAAAGAAGCCACCTCTAAACAACAGGGGCTGCCTCACCCCACAGCAGTGACTCTCAGTTAAACCTCAGTCCTGTTTCCAGAGAAGACCCTCAGGCCAGCCAGGGAGGACCATAGTCCACCCCGACTCCTCTTCTTCACAGGAGGGTGTGCATGACCAGGTGTCGTCTAGGAGCCCAGGACCCTGCACCCTCCACCAAGGGGAAGCCACATCACTGTGGATGCCCGTGCTTAAAACAACACAGATCTCCACATCCTCTTCTTCATGGCCTGAAAACATTTGCTTACCAAACTATGCCCCAGAAATACTCTTTGTTTCAGGCACCATTTCCCTACCTACCCGTCACCACGAGGTAATTAAAATGTCTCAAAATCTTATAGGATCCGACAGGCAATGATCTCCTAAGGGAGAAGCTACCATTTGGGGCCTAATCTTTCTAAGTGAACTCAGTCGCCGAGCTTGCCTAAGAAGATTAACAGGCTGGGGAAGGCGGGAAGCCACACTGCCTCAGAAAAGGGAGCAGCCGTCCGTCAGGACAGTCGCAGACCTCCAATGTGCCTGTTTGTCATTGCAATAGGTGGGAGTCTTGACCGGGCACTAGCTCAACTGTGTCATTTCTTGGTCCCCCACTCTCTTTTTTCCCTGCCAGGCTGACAGCTGGGACCTGGCCTACCTTGCCCAGGGTCACAAGGGGTCAGCTGCAGGGAACCAACCCCATTATGACCATGTGCCCTGGCTGACAGGTACCATCCCACTGAATCCTCACACGTGCCCTGAGAGTGGGCATTCTGAGCTGGCTGAGCAGGGAGGAAAGGCAGGCTCCGAGAGGCTAAGAACCTGGCTGGAGATCACCTAGCCACTACAGGTAAGGTCCAAATTTTAGACCCGGTGCCAGGTCACTGCACTTTCACACACAGTGGTGACCTCATCATTGGGAGGCTGGAGGGTGACATTCTGTAGAGAGAGGACAGCTGGGCCTGTCCTCCCAGAGACCAGGACCGACCTGTGAGCCCACATGAAGCTGATGTGCAGCTCTGTCTTTATCCCTGAGCGCTCAGGCTGCTGCCTCAGCTCCAAGCCAGGGCACCTCAGGCTTCTCTGAGTCCCCCAAACCCCTGGACACCTTGCTGAGATGTGGATTCTAACCCTGCACGTCTGAAGCCGGCCCAAGAATCCGCATTTCTCACAGGTTCCCGGTGGTGCCCCTGCCACTCATCCCCAGGCCACACTTCAGCCCACGAGGGCCTAGGCTTCCGGGGGACTGTCTCCCACCCCCACCCTTAACTTAGGTGACCATTCTCTCAGTGGGACTCACCCGGGTCTGGTGCACAGCTAGGTTCCACCACATTTGGGTTTTTTGAGATGGTGCAATGAAAATGGTGACTACGGTAGGGTACGAGGAAGAAGACAGACCTCTGGGTTCACTTTTCAACTTGGCATTTGTCCTTTTCTTCCTTATCCACCTCTTGGCAAAACATCTAAACCAATTCATCTCAAAGGAGCCAGGCTGGGGCAGTACACTCTGAAAGTGTCCACTATTTAGAGTCCTTAACGGGGAGGGGCTGCCACGCTTCCTTCCCGTAAGGAGCTAATGCTGCTGGGTGGGGAAGCCCACTACAAGTGGGAGCTTTGGGAAGGAGGGATTCCTCTGCTCAGAACTCTCCCATAGCCCTGTCTCACTCACAGGAAAGCCAAAGCCTTACCCTCGGCCTATCAGGCCCCGCCACTTTCTACCCATGAAGTTCCCTCCCTAGAACATGCTTCTCCACCTCCTTAGGTCTCATCTCAGATGTTGCCTTCTTGGGGACACCTTTCAGGGCCACCCTATTTAAACTAGTAGTTCCTGCAACCCCCACTCCCAGCCCACTCCAAAGCACCTATTCACCTTCCCCTTTTTCTCTTTGATAGCACTGACCACCATCTGACACCCTGTAAACTTTACCTAATGATTATATTGATTATCTGTCTCCCTGCCCCTTTCCTACTGGGATGTGAGTTTCATAAGGGCTGAGATTTTTGCCATTTTTGTCTGTTTTGTTTACCAGTGTATTTCCAGTGCCTAAAACAGTGGCTAGCACAGAGCAGGTACTCAATCTTTGTGGAAGGAAGGAAGGAATGAGTGGCTGGCCCTGAGAGACATTAGCTACTTTAACCCTCATAACAACCCCTGCAAGGTAAGTCATTTAAATCCCGTTCTAAAATGAGAAAACTGAGGCTCAGAGTGGTTAAGTGATTTGGCCAATGTCACAAAGTCAAGAAGTGGCCAAGGTCACAAGAATCAGTCCCCCATCTGGCTGGCTCCAAACACTGTATTCTTTTTTTTTTTTTTTCGCCTGTGGTTGTTTTCATGGTAACTGTCTTAGTGTGACAAACGTGACATTCACTTGCTTTCCTTATTCTAAGCAGAAGATGCTTTAACTTCAGGATTTTGCAAAATCTGCCCAGAACTTGTGCTCATGCACCCGAGAATCTATGGGGGAGCCGGTGCCCCCAAAAGCCAGGAAGAAGTCCCTCTACCAGCCCGAGAGTGGGAAGGCCTCACCAGTCAAACGGAGGGAAGGCCCCTCTTGCAAACACCAAAGGAGAGCCACAATCATTCTAGTTTAGTTTCATCTTTTTCTTGGCTTCATCGTTTTATTTTCCTGAGCACTCACTCTGTCTGATCTTTTCAAGTCCGGGTAACTTTTTGCCATCAATGGCTACCACTCACCATGTGAGTCTCTAGGACAAAAATCTATGTCCCATGAGTTTCCCCAAACTGAACTTGCACACAGACCCATGGACCACAGTGCCCCCGCAAACCCCGATCCCCAAGCCCCACTCATGACTGCATCTTAGGACATTGGGAGCAGCCCCTGGGAAGAGAGCTAAGCCTTTCGGGGGCCATGAAGGTGAATAGGAAGGGCCCAGGCCACCAAAAACCCATCTACCCTCTCATTCCAGGGACCATCATAGCTTGAGTCCCCCTTCATCTGCCTGTCATTCTCAATCACATTAACTCATCTGTTTTGTTTCAATCACTTCTCACTATCTGAAGCTGTGCTGTTTATTTATTTCCATATTTGCTTATCACCTGCCTCCTGAGAGCAGGGTGAGGGCATAAGGGCAGGGGCTTGGTCAGTGCTGTTCACCACTGTTCTGTGACTGGCACAGGTGGGCACGCAAATATTGGGTGAATGAATAAGCAAAGACAGCAGGAAACAAGTGGATTCAGAAGAAAAAAGACCAGGAGGCTCACAAATAAACCCATTTAATCCTAAAATCAACCTGCACAGAAGGTGTCATTATGCCTACACCGCTGGGAAGCCACAAAGTAGACCCAGGACTGTGCAACTCCGAGAGGAAAAGAGAAAATGCTGCAGGTAAGCGGAGAAGCAGGTGAGCCCGACACGGAGGGCAAAGGCAAGCTGCCTCTGGGGCCCAGGGCACTGAACACCATCTCCTCAAAGGCTGACATAACTGAGAAGGGTCCACATTTTCCACCAAGTGGAGCCCGTGTAGGGTCGGTGCTATCTCCATGCCCCTGACACACCATGGCACCTGCGTTCACCCAGAAGGTACCTGCCCACAGCATGCATCCATCATTGAGAGTGCGCAAAACCAAGTTCTAATTTCCAGGCACTAATACCATAGGACACAAACATAAACCACCCTCCAGGAGGACACCTGACATCCCTCTCCTTTCTGGGTAGTCTGAAGTGAGAAGGTTGAAAATAGTGCAGATGTCCTTTCTTAGAGCAGCCCCGCCATCCATTCATTCACTCTTTCATTCATTTGTTCAGCCAACATGTGCTCACTGGGCCTGGGGAAGCCCAGGATGAAATGAGACAAACCCTCTGCCCTCTGGCCACGGTGTGCTGGTGCCTGCGCTTTAGGCGGGTACTAAAAGACAAGCAAATATTAAAGATACTCGCTTCCAAAACAAATAAGGCCACGTGGAGCTGTGCACTGGAATGGGATTCTGGATGCAATTTTATTTGATTGGGTACAAGAACCAATCCAGTTAAAGGGGTCATGAACCAACTCCAGGCACCAGGCTCCTACTCAGAGGCTGCCTCAGACCCCCTTCTGGCCCAGGCACCAACCCCTCACCCACCCAACTCCATCTCCCGACATTCTTCAACCACATTCCCATCTCGCTCCACAATATTCTCCCTCCAGGTCCCCCTGACTCTATTTCTCCTCTATTCCCAACCCTGACCTCTCTAGGTCGGCAGCCTTGATGCTACTTCTCCGAACGCCAGGACGCACATCCCAGCCTGCTTTCTACCACCACCCCACACACCTCGAGTCTGCGCTTCCACCCAGAACCCCTTAAACACCATATGTTTACAAACCAGATTCCCCAGGGGTCTATGTACAACACCCCATTCTCAAGACCCCATAAACACATCCTGATTCCCTGAGCACACCATACACACACTGTGGACTTCACCCATGTCCTGAGGGACCCCCTCACCCCATCACCTCCAACTTCTTGGAAGCCCCAGGCCGGCCCCTGACCTCCTGTGGTCCCAGTGGAGCAGCGGACTCGCTGAGACCCCCGGACACCCCAGACTCCGCAGAAGCCCGCCCTGCACGCTTGAACCCCAGGCGCCGGGACAGCCCCTGGCGCCCCCCCGGGCCCCCACACCGCGTGACTCCGGGGCACCCGGGCTCCCCCAGGCCCCGGTCCCGCGCACATCCCCTGGGCCGCAGCTCCCTCGCGGCCCGGCCGCGCCCCTGCCCGCGCCCCGCGCCCGGCCGCGCCTCGGGGGCCCGTTCCCGCGGAGGCCGCGGCGCCCCCCGCAGCCCAGGCCGGCGCGCCCGGAGCGTACCGTTGGCGATGAGCTTGGCCGACAGCTGCTTGACGAGCTCAGGGATCCGCTCCCACTGGCACTCGGAGCGGCAGCGCTCGATCTCCGTCTCCAGCCGCGAGCCTGCCTTCTTGGTCGCCATCGCGGCCTGGCCGGGCCCGGCCGCCCGCCCCGCAGGCCCCACCGCCGCCGCCGCGGCGCCCCCTCGCCGCCTCCCGCCGCCGCCGCGGGCTCGGGCTCCGGCTCCCGGCTCCGCGGCGTAACGGGAGCGCCGGCTGGGGAAGGGGCGGGGAGGCGGGCGGCGGCGGCGGGCGCGGCGGGGCCCCGGGCGCCGCGAGGAGCGGCCCCTGCCGGCCAGGGCCGGAGCCGCAGCACTGACCGGGGCCGGAGCCAGGGCTGGGGCAGGGGCGGGGGCTAGGGCGGGAGACAGGGGCCCGAGGGAGGAAAGGCGGGGTGGGCATGGAGGACAGGGAGAGGGACTGGGGGTGTCTGGGGCGGGGTGAAGACCGAGGGGAAGTGGGGATGGGGGTGGGGGAGCGGGGTAGGAGAGAGATCTGACCAAGGGCGGGTGAGGGGTCTGGTGGGGTAGGGGTCTGGGCAGGATGAAGGGGAGGGAGAGGATCGGGAGGGAGCTAGCGACAGCCTGGGAGCGGGTTGGATCCCCAGGAGTAGGGCCAAGAAAGGGCAGTGACCCTGGGGAAGGTCACCGCCCGGTGGGACCAGTGAGCCAGGTGTGAGGGGTGGGGGGAGGCCTGCCCGAGTTTGTCCTGCCATCTCAGGTGGCCAGCGGTTCCCTGGGGCCCGGTTGGCCTGTGCCCCTTAGCAGATGCCCCTCTGCCCCGCAGCCTTAGCCCCTACCCAGCCAGAGGTGGACGGAGACTCCTCCATCCCAGGCAAGGCACAGCACCTGCCAGGGGTGCCCTAGATGGCTGAGCGGAGCCAGGCAGGGGCTGCCACTCTCACACGCCAGCTCTCGGACCCCCTGAGGGGAAGGCACAGTCACTGGTGGGGCCTCCTGTCTTGGCCACCTAGACTGAGACCTAGGGAGGTGTCCCTCTGTGTTCTCTCAGTGAATCAACTGTCTAGTGATCACCTACTATGTGCTGGGCGCTGCTTTAGGTGCCAGAGATAGAATTGTGAGCTAAAAAAACAAAATTCCTGGCTTGAGAGAGCTTACATTCCAGTTTGGGGGAAAAATAAGCAAAATAAAATAGTAAACTAGACTGTAAAAATGGCTATTTGAAGAAACAGGGAAGGGTTCAGTGAGGAACATAAAGAGTTGGGACAGGCGGGTGGCTCATGCCTGTAATCCCAGCTACTCAGGAGGCTGAGGCAGGATGATTGCTTGAGCCCAGAAGGTGGAGGCTGCAGTGAGCAGTGAACGCACTTCAGCCTGAGCAAGTGTTGCCATTTAAAATGGAGCAGTCAGGGATGGCCTCACGGAGGTGGCATTAGACTTGAAGAAACTAAGGGGGAGCCATGAGGATATCTCTGGGGGAGGAGTATCCCAGGCAGAGAACACCACAAGTGCGAAGGCTCTGGGGTTAGAGCACACTGGGTGGGATGGAGAAATGGCAGAGGCCAGAGGGGCTGGGTGGAGCGAAGGAGAGGGGCCGAGGCAGGAGATGAACTCTGAGAGGTTGGGGGGAGTTCTGTGTAGTGCCTGGTGGGCCATTATAAGACCTTGGCTTTTGGCTGGGCACGGTGGCTCACGCCTGTAATCCCAGCACTTTGGGAGGCCGAGGTGGGCGGATCACGAGGTCAGAAGATCGAGACCGTCCTAGCTAACATGGTGAAACCCGTCTCTACTAAAAATATTTTTAAAAATTAGCCGGGCGTGGTGGCAGGCGCCTGTAGTCCCAGCTGCTGGGGAGGCTGAGGCAGGAGAATGGTGTGAACCCGGGAGGCGGAGTTTGCAGTGAGCTGAGATGGCAGCACTGCACTCCAGCCTGGGCAACAGAGAGAGACTCCGTCTCAAAAAAAAAAAAAAAAACTTTGACTTTTACTCTGGTGACATGGAGCAGCCCTGCAGGGCTTTTCACGGAAGAGTGGCATGATCAGACCTACACTTTGGACTATCACTGTGACTGCAGTGTTGAGAATACTGCCAGGGAAATAGCTGTGGTGGTGGCAGTGTTGGATTCTGGGTCCTGCATTTGAGAGTGAAGCGGTCAGTCTGGAAGGTTCCGTAGCCCGCCCGCAGTCACAAGGAGGCACTGAGGGGTCGTCGTCATTCCTTCTGGGTGCCCTTACTCCAACTTTCCAAGAGCAGTCACACGCAGGTTCTTATCCCCACCACAACTCCCCCACCACCGGAGTTGATGAAGAACACACACTGTGGACCTCAGTTTACCAATGAGGAGGCTGAATCACAGACATTTAAGAGAGGTGAGGAGGAAAGATAAGGAGATGTGTTCTGATGTGACCAGTATCACTTTCAGGTGCCTCAGGGACTGCCAAGGTGATGGAAGTTGAGCTGACAGGCCCTGGACACTGTGAACAGCCCAGGGAAAGGGGAACTAGAACGTTAGAGTTTCAACAGGGGACCCTTTAGTGCCCTGGCCCTTAGCTCCCACCAAGAGGGAGCAGGAAGGGAAGGAGAAGAAATCTCCACAGGAGATGTTTCCTCTCTCCTGACACCCTCCTGTTCTCCCAACTCCAGTCTGCCTCTCCAGATTTGCTGGGAATGTTCTCCATCTGGACCAGGAGACAGATTCCTGTGCCTTCTTTCAGACACGGGCCAAAGGTTACTGGGCAGCCTTGCTCAACATCTGACAGACCTTGTGTGACAGCACTTGCCATCTCCCTCTGGGAAGGGGCAGGGTCTTAATCATGACTAACGCATACACTGCCTCAGTTGCCACACTGGAAGGTAAATGATGAGGGCCACCTGTCTGCCTCCCTACCTGATAAGGTGGCTTCATGAGGACGGATGCTGCCTGGGCCATGGCATTTAACATCCCCAGGCCTCCATTTCTTGGCTGTGATACCTCCCCCTGGAGCTCGTTGAGGAGGAAATGAGGAAATACAGGTAGGGCACAGAGAACAGTGCCAGCATGCCAGGCTCTGTGGCTCACGCCTGTAATCCCAGCAGTTTGGGTGGATCACGAGGTCAGAAGATCGAGACCTTTCTGGCTAACATGGTGAAACCCTGTCTCTACTAAAAATACAAAAAAATTAGCCGGGCATGGTGGTGGGCACCTGTAGTCCCAGCTACTCGGGAGGCTGAGGCAGGAGAATCGCTTGAACCCATGAGGTAGAGGTTGCATCTCCATCATGCCACTGCACTCCAGCCTGGGTGACAGAGCAAGACTCCATCTCAAAAAAAAAAACAGTGCCAGTGCACCAATAGAGTGCCATGTCGGCTGTCATTCTGTGTCTCTCTGCCCCTTGCAAGCCGCATAGGGCCTGGAACATTGTGGGAGCTTAAATGAACGAGGCTGGAGTCCCCAAGGTCTACAGCCACCTGCGAGTGCGTTTCCTTAGGATGAAACATCCCAATGATGAATCCATGTCACTACGTTCCAGGCTTCCACCGTCACGGCAGGCCACCTACAGGGGCCCAACACCAGAATATTCTTCAGACCATGTGCTTGGGCGCAGAGGTTGCTGGGTATAGGGGTTGGGAGCAGAGGCTGACAAACATTGTCAGCCTGAAGCAGGAGAGAGAAGGAACCCTCTGGGCTTCACCGTGGGAGCCTGAGAGCTGGGCCCTGTGGCCTCTGGGC
Source organism: Homo sapiens (assembly GCF_000001405.40). Lineage (NCBI taxonomy): Eukaryota > Metazoa > Chordata > Mammalia > Primates > Hominidae > Homo > Homo sapiens. The sequence goes on from NC_000014.9 coordinate 90,819,882, forward strand.
TCATTTCTGCCTCTGCTTTCCATATCCTGGCCCTCATCCATGGCCCGGGCCACTCTGGCAGCTGCCACAGCAACCCTAGAGAGGTACAAGTGATCCTATGAGGACAAAGTCCCTGGATGGTTCTCCAGGTGACTTTACCTGCAGGCAGCACTCAGCTAAATTCAAGAGTAAGAAGGCATTCGTGCTCATAATAGTAATTAAGGCAGTATCTTTTCCTCTAGGCATTCAGGTAGTACAGGTTTGACAAGGATGTGGAAAATCACAGCCTATAGGCCCAATCCCACCATGGGGCCTAGGGTGCCTGGCAGGAAAGAAGTGGAGGACAGCTGGGAAAGGAGTCTGACTTCTGGCCAATTCCTTGAGAACAGCTGGGGTACCAGGAGGAGTGGAGGCAGGCTGTAGGCTCATTCCAAAGGCCAGTGCAAATAGGGGGCTTGTGTGGTCTGGAGACCTCCCAGTCCTCATCTCCGAAAGCCTGGATTCCCTGTGCAATCAGAATAAGGGAAGAGGTGAGCAGCAAGGGAGCGGGCGTGAGAGAGAAAACAGAGAGAGAGAATGAGAGAGGGATTGTGGCCAGGGTAGGATGGAGAGAGCTTAGGGGAAGGAGACACTGGTGGGAGGAGGGGTCATAACTTTGCCCTTTCTCCTCCCTCACCTGGCCTGGAAGGTTCTTCCCCAGAAACCCATGTGGTCCCTCTCTACCTTCCTTCTGAAGGCAGTGAGGGAGGTCACATCCTCACAGAGACCTTCCCCGACCACTCTGTCCACCTTTGCTCCCCCTCATTCCCTTCACCCTTACCCCCTCACCCTGCTGTAGTTTTCTTCTTGTCCCACCTGATCTATGGTTATTAACTGAGTGTGTATTATCTGCCTCCCCTCACTAGAGCAAAAGCCCCAGGAGGGCAGGGATTTGTGTGTGGTTCTGTTCACAACAGCATTTCCCAGCACTGAGAACGGTGCCTGATGCATGGTGAGTACTCAGTCAATACAGGTTGAATGAATGAATGAGCTGAAGGAAGGTGGAGGGGCTGGGATTGGGCAGGTGAGCATCCTGGTGAACAGCCCCACAGGGAAGTGGAGATCCACTGTCTGAAGCCGATGGGCAGGTTGAAGGGGGAGACAGAAACCCAGAAACGGGGATCCACAAGGGGCCTCAGTGTGCCAGCAGAAAGAATGATCACCTCTAACCTTTGGCCTCACCCTGCCGGGGCAACAGCCCTGTCATCTCGCTGCCAGAGCCAGGGACAGGCCTTGCAGCCCCAGGAGGTGTGAGCCATCAGCAGCTGGTGCTGTGGGCGGTCGCTGCGGCGATGCTCACGGGGAACCTGGAAACCACACCACAGCTTGCAGGCCCGGGGCGTGAGTAATGAGAGTGCAGTCATGATAGCTGGCTTTGGCTGGCTTTTAATTATGTAATATTTGATACATACAAAAATACCCAGAATCAAGGGGCACCTACATAATAAAATAATAAGATGAACACCAGGGAAACTATTGGCTATCCCAGAGTTAACTACATTGTGATTTTTGTGTTTGTTATACCCTTGCTTTGTTTTTTAGCTAGTTTTATCACTAAACTTGCTTTCTGCCACTTCTTATAAGGTGAGTACAACATGTAACCCTATACACCAGAGGTCTCCAAGCTTTTTGGCACCAAGGACCAGTTTCATGGAAGACAATTTTTCCATGGGTAGGGGGAGGTGGGGGGATGGTTTTGGGCTGATTCAAGCGCATTACATTTATTGTGCACTTTATTTCTATTCTTATTGCCTTATAATATATAATGAAATAATTATGAAACTCACCATCATGTAGAATCAGTGGGAGCCCTGAGCTTGTTTTCCTGCAACTAGACGGCCCCATCTGGGGGTGATAAGAGACAGGCATTAGATTCTCATAAGGAGTGTGCAACCTAGATCCCTCACATGCATAGTTCACAGCAGGGTTTGTGCTCCTATGAGACTCTAATGCTGCCGCTGATCTGACAGGAGGCGGAGCTCAGGCAGTACTGTGAGCCATGGGGAGCAGTTGTAAATACAGGTGAAGTTTCGCTTGCTCACCCACGACTCACCTCCTGCTGTGCGGCCTGGTTCCTAATGGGCCACTAGCCAGTACCAGTCTGTGGTCCAGGGGTTGAGGACCCCTGCTATACACGATATCGTTTGGTTTCACTTGTTTTGAGCTTTCTAAAAATGGCGTCGTGTCTTCTTTTCTCTGGTGTGTAATATTCCATGGCATGACTGTGCTACACTTGAATTATCCAACCTCCAGGTTTATCAGACCTCGAGTCTGCAGGTTTGCTTTAATGGACAAGGTTATTGTTTATAAAATCTGCATTAGGCTGTGCACAGTGGCTCACACCTGTAATCCCAGCACTTTGGGAGGTGAAGGAATTTGAGACCAGCCTGATGAACGTGGAGAAACCCGGTCTCTACTAAAAATACAAAATTAGCCAGGCGAGGTGGCGCATGCCTGTAATCCCACCTACTTGGGAGGCTGACGCAGGAGAATCGCTTGAACCCAGGAGGCGGAGGTTATGGTGAGCCAAGATTGCGCCATTGCACCCCAGTCTGGGCAACAAGAGCCAGAGTCCGTCTTAAAAAAAAAAAAAAAAAGCTGCATCAGTGCCATCATTGTCTTGAGCGGGGTTTCTGAGGATGGATTCAGGATGGCTCTGTGCCCCTCCCCCTTGGAGTTCCCTGAGGGTCCCCTAACTTTCTTCCAAAGAGCCACTTCCAGCTGCCTGGAACTATGATTCCCATTGTAGGGACAAAGCAGTGGGAAACTTGCTCGGCAACTCCACTATAGGCACCAAAGCTGGTGCTTCTAATTTACCATCTGTTGCCATCTGAGAGGGACAGCCAGATGGAGAAGGCTAGTTGGCCGCTCAGGGAGGGCCCTGGGTAGCATGAGTCAGGTGTAGAAACCATGGTCTAAAGTTTCAGCTTTGCAAGTCTAGAAATATGTCAGTGTTCCAGGGTGCTCTGCCTAGTCCCACTAATGAAGCCCACCAGAGACCACTGTTTCAATCCCATGCCAACTCTCATTTGCAGTAGAAGCCAACCCCCAGTATCTCATAATCAGGAGACCCCACTCTTAGTGTCAGGAAGCATGCAAAGCTAAAATCATCCTTAACTTACCTGGTGGGCACGGATTCAGAACGAGAGAGGGGAAGGTATCAAGAAGGTGGTCGTCAGCCCTGGAAAAGCTCAGAAGGCCATCTCAGTCTGTTGCAGGAAGTCAGGGACCTCGAATGGAGGGACCGGCTGGAGCTGCGGCAGAGGAACATAAATTGTGAAGATTTCATGGACATTTATCAGTTCCCAGAGTTAATACTTTTATAATTTCTTATGCCTGTCTTAACTGCAATCTCTGACCACAAATTATGAAGATTTCATGGACATTTATCAGTTCCCAAATAATATTCTTATAATTTCTTATGCCTGTCTTTACTTTAATCTCTTAATCCTGTTATATTTGTAAGCTGAGAATGTACGTCACCTCAGGACCACTATTGTATAAACTGATTGTAAAACATGTGTGTTTAAACAATATGAAATCAGTGCACCTTGAAAAAGAACAGAATAACAGCGATTTTCAGGGAACAAGGGAAGACAACCATAAGGTCTGACTGCCTGTGGGGTCGGGCAAAATACAGCCATATTTTTCTTCTTGCAGAGAGCCTATAAACAGATGTGCAAGTAGGAGAGATATCGCTGAATTCTTTTGCCAGCAAGGAATATTAATAATTAATACCCTGGGGAAGGAATGCATTCCTGGGGGGAGGTCTATAAACGGCCACTCTGGGAGTGTCTGTCTTACATGGTTGAGATAAGGACTGAAATATGCCCTGGTCTCCTGCAGTACAGTACCCTCAGGCTTATTAGGGTGGGGAAAAGATCCCACCCTGGTAAATTTGTGGTCAGACCGGTTCTCTGCTCTTGAACACTGTTTTCTGTTGTTTTAAGATGTTTATCAAGACAATATGTGCACAGCTGAACATAGAGCCTCATCAGTAATTCTAATTTTGCCCTTTGCCTTGTGATCTTTGCTTCGCCCTTTGCCTTGTGATCTTCATTGCCTTTTAAAGCATATGATCTTTGTGACCTACTCCCTGTTCATACACCCCCTCCCCTTTTAAAGTCCTTAATAAAAACCTGCTGGTTTTGCGGCTCAGGCGGACATCACAGACCTACCGATAGGTGACGTCACCCCCGGAGGCCCAGCTGTAAAATTCCTCTCTTTGTACACTTTCTCTTTATTTCTCAGACCTGCCGACACTTAGGGAAAATAGAAAGAATGTACGTTGAAATATTGGGGGCTGGTTCCCCCAATATCAGTCCCGCTGTTGAACCCATTTCTCCACAGTTGAGAATATCCACATGTCCAAAGCCTATCTCCCCCTGCCCAGAATGAGGCTGGACCAGCTCTGTGAATTTTTACTTCTTATCTCCATACATTCCAACCTTGCACAGGCTGTAGACACCATAACAATTAAGCTGATTTTGGTTTAAGCCTGTAAAATAGTAACTTTTGTGTAACAGGAGGGTTTTTTGTTGTTGTTGTTCTGTTTTTTACTTTAGAGACAGGGTCTCACTATGTTGACCAGGGTAGTCTTGAACTCCTGACCTCAAGCAACCTCCCACCTCAGCCTTCCAGAGTGCTGGGATTACAGGCATGAGCCACCATGCCCAGCTTTTTTTTTTTTGAGACGGAGTCTCGCTCTGTTGCCCAGGCTGGCATGCAGTGGTGCGATCTCGGCTCACTGCAAGCTCCACCTCCCGGGTTCACACCATTCTCCCGCCTCAGCCTCCTGAGTAGCTGGGACTACAGGTGCCCGCCACCACGCCCAGCTGATTTTTTGTATTTTTAATAGAGATGGGGTTTCACCGTGTTAGCCAGGATCGTCTCGATCTCCTGACCTCGTGATCCGCCCACCTTGGCTTCCCAAAGTGCTAGGATTACAGGCGTGAGCCAAGATGCCCGGCCATTTATTGTATTTTTAGTAGAGACAGGGTTTCACCATGTTGGCCAGGATGATCTCGAACTCCAGACCTCGTGATCCGCCCGCCTCGGCCTCCCAAAGTGCTGGGATTACAGGCATGAGCCACCGTGTCTGCCCTTTTTCTTTCTTTCTTTCTTTGTTTTTTTTAGAGACAGGGTCTTGCTTTGTGTCTCTTGGGCTGGCATGCAGTGGCACCATCATAGCTCACTGCAGCCTTGAACTCCTGGGCTCAACCAATCCTCCTGCTTCAATCTCCCAAGTAGCGCCGCCATGTCCAGCTAACTTTTTTTAATTTTGTAGAGATGGGGGTCTTGCTTTGTGGCCTAGGCTGGTTTGAGCTCCTAAGCTTGAGTGATCCACCCACCTTGGCCTCCCAAAGTGCTGGCAGTACAGGCATGAGCTGTGATGCCCTGCCTGTAATAGGAATCTTCAGGAGTGTTTTCCTCACACTCAGAGTTCTGGGGACACTTCCGTGTTACCCTGTACCCCACCTGTCCTATCTTCTCCAAAAAAGGCATAGACTGGGTTTGTGATAAAATACCCACCTATATCTGTAAATGAACATCAAAGTAAAGATGGGAAACTATTCAGATACGGGGGAGAAAGGTGTATCTGCCAACAGGGAGGAGACTGACTGTTCCTCAGCATAAGGCTAGACTGATTTCTGAGCTTCCTAGCAGACCAGGCACAGAAGAAAACACGTGGAATGGTTTTATTTATTTAATTTTTTTTTTTTTTTAGATGGAGTCTCACTCTGTCACCCAGGTTGGAGTGCAGTGGCTTGATCTCAGCTCACTGCAACCTCCGCCTCCTGGGTTCCAGCAATTCTCCCTGCCTCAGCCTCCCAAGTAGCTGGGATTACAGGAATCTGCCACCATGCCCAGCTAATGTTTGCATTTTTTAGTAGAGACAGGGTTTCACCATGTTGGCTAGGCTGGTCTTGAACTCCTGACCTCAGGTGATCTGCCCACCTCGGCCTCCCGAAGTGCTGGGATTACAGGTGTGAGCCACTGCGCCTGGCAGAATGGTTTGATTTAAATGATGTTGTTGATTCACATATCAGGAGTTTGTTTGTTTGTTTGTTTTTTGAGATTAAAGTCTTGCTCTGTCACCCAGGCTGGAATGCAGTGGCACAATCTTGGCTCACTGCAACTTCTGCCTCTGGGGTTCAAGTGATCCTCCTCCCTTACCTTCCCAAGTAGCTGAGATTACTGGCATATGCCACCACGCCTGCCTAATTTTTGTATTTTTAGTAGAGACGGGATTTCACCATGTTGGCCAGTCTGGTCTCGAACTCCCGACCTCAAGTGGTCTGTCCACCTCAGCCTCCCAAAGTGCTGGGATTACAGGTGTGAGCCACCACGCCCAGCTGACATCAGGAGTTTTAAAGAGAAATCACGAACTAGGTGGGCACAAGGGACCTGGTTGTTCCTGGGGAGTTGTATCAGCAAACAGGTTTGAAGTTTGCACTTCGGACACGTTACTGTGAAAAAAAGAAACTAATTCTCATTTTGTGTGAAGGAGCCTGATAGACACAGGATCTGCTTCAGTGAGGAATTGTGAGTGATCTTCCCCTGCACAAGGCCAATAGGGTGCAAGGTTTCCACAGTTCAATTCAACAAACGTTTATTGAGTACCTACTATGTGCCGGACACAGTGTTAGGCCTTAGTGATACAATATTGTGTAGGGTATGGTCCCATCCCTCAAGGAACTCACAGTCTAGTGGGGGAAAGAAGTGAGCAACAGCTCTGCAGCCGGACCCAGAGGAACGCCAGGAATTAACTGTGGTGGGTGCTCCAGTAAGTCTTCCTGGAGAATGTTGCCCCCAAGCCAAGCCTTGAAAAAGGATCTCAGGTCCAGTCTGCTCACCAACCCTCACCATCTAACAAAGTGGTCCTGGGTTTTCAAAACTCTTGCACTCAAAATAGGGTCCCAGTATTCAGACATATGCAGTCCCAGATCACCCCCGACCATCAGATGAGAAAAACCCAACAATCTGGTCTCCTTTCCTGCAGCAAAGCACTTGGTGGTCAGAAGGGTTGGGGGTGAAGGTTTATGGGATCTGCTGGACAGCTGGTGAGGCATACAGACACTTCTGGTTATTATCTTTCTCCCAAATCAAATGCTAAAGGTACTAAAACCATGCTGACTGCATGAACCATTCCCTGGGGACTGGTAGGGCATTCCATTCCTCCCCACATTTGGGAGTCCAAACTGGGGTGGAGGGGTAAGAAGTAAAAGGTCTGGGTCAAGTGCTGCCCATCAGCTTGTTCATGATCAGGTACCCTTCAGTTTCCTTATTTGTAAGAGGAGAGTGCTAGTCAAGGAGGTCCTGGGCTCTGGTCGTTGATTCTGTCCTGTCAAAGTGAGAGTGGCTGGAATGGGATTGGTATATGGGTGCTCCCATACAGCTGAGGTTCCTTTCTGAGCTCTCAGGAAGCAAATTAAAAAAAAAATAATAATAATTACCAGGTGAGATGGCTCACAGCTGTAGTCCCAAGCACTTTGGGAGGCCGAGGCGGGTGGATCACCTGAGGTCAGGAGTTCGAGACCAGCCTGGCCAACATGATGAAACCCGTCTCTATTAAAAATACAAAAATTAGCCGGGTGTGGTGGTGGGCACTTGTAATCCCAGCTACTCGGGAGGCTGAGGCAGAAGAATCGCTTAAACCCGGGAAGCAGAGATTGCAGTGAACCAAGATCACTCCACTGCACTCCACCCTGGGTGACAGAGTGAGACTCCATCTCAAAAAAATAAAAAATGAAAAATAAAAATAAAACGAATAATAATAATAAGGCATCTGAAAAAACTCTTGAAGTTAGGAAACCTGGATTTGATTTTCATCTCTGTAACTGACCTGCCGTGTGACCTTGTGAAAGGCGTGTCCCCTCTCTGGGGGTGTCAGTGGACTAATTCCCGAGTTAGCTGTGGGGGGAGATGATCACTGGCATTTAACAGTAAGGTGGGGCTTCAGAAGTCCATCTACTGCGAAGCAAGAGAAAACTCCACGGAATACACGACTGAAACGAGTGGGAAGCCAGATGTGTCACGGACGTAGGGAGGGGAAGATGAAGGTCCCAGCAAAATCCCGGGAACATACCTGTCAAAGGGTCAGCGAGAAAACCAGTCCCTTGGCTGGTTGAAAGGAACACTTGATTCTTTGTCAGAAAGCAGCCTTGCGCTTCTAAGGGGTCTGCTGTCTGAAAGAAGCCTTCGAGGCTCGCAGACCTGGGGAAGAACTCAACCTGCCTTCAGCCCATGGGGACTGGGGCCGGCGCGGCTTTCTGGAATCGAACGGAACGAGGCGACCAGGCGCGGCGGCGGCAGCCAATGAGGGAGCCTCCTGATGAGGTCATGCAGTTCCTGGGCGCTTCATTGGCGGATCCTTCGCGGGGCCGCGGCGGGGGCCGCAGGGCGGAGCGAGGCGGGGCGAGGCGGGGCGGAGGCGGTGCCTGCCAGAGCCCGGACCTAAAACCGCGGTTCGATTTTCCTTATTTCCTCCCAGCGCTTATTTCCCCTGAGCGCGATGGGTCAGGCCCTTCTTAAGAGAGCAGTGAAAATACCCAGAAAAAAGGGCTTTTACTCACTCCAGAGACTGGGTTTACTTATTTTGGGTGAGCCCTCATTTTCTTTAGTAAAAGTGGAGGGTTGTTTAGTTTTGTTTCAATCCAGGCCAAACGCACTATTAACTCTAACCATTTAGCAACGCTGAGAGAATGTCCCTTGGTAGCCTTTTATTTGCCCACTGTGGTCCTCTAACCCGCTGTGTTGGGAGCACCGAACACCAGCTTTGTTCCACAGACGTGGAAACAGACCCAGGCGACTTGCCCAGGGTTATGTGGCCATTCAGTGGGACAGTGGGGGAACAGAGAACTAAGCTTTTGGTCCCTGCTGCCTGCCCAGGGGACCCACTCTCATGACCCTGGGTCACAGCCCAGGGCTCCCCACAGCCCAGGGCTCCCCACAAGGAAAGGCAGTCAAGTCAACCTTGCTGCTTCCTGTTGCAAGCTTTTGATACATCAGTTTCATTTTCAAAATACCGCCCAGAGTAGTCTATGGTCAGCAGAAAGATGCTGACAGCACTGTCTATTCTAGGAAGTTATTTTCGAATGAACTACAGTGTGAGGGACGGTTGGAATGTCCCTGATGCTGAAGGAGCCTGGCAGCTATTACGCTGGTCCTCAGCCCACCAGGCCTTCCTTTTTAAGAGGTATCTAGGAACTTGCATAATGCCTCTGTTTTGTTGCAGTCTAAGGGCGCTGACCCTTTGCCCAGAGAGAAGCGGAGTTTTAAGTGATGTGTACAGGACACTCTTCTAAGGATGAGACCCTGGCACTTGGCCTGGGCCCTCAAATATGCGTTGAATGACTGATACAGCCTGAATGCCTGTTATCAGACTCAGAGATTGTGTGGGCCAGGGAAGGCAGGCAGCAGAGAGAGTGCGGGCAGGCCGGGCGCGGTGGCTCACACCTGTAATCCCAGCACTCTGGGAGGCCGAGGTGGGCAGATCACTTGAGCTCAGGAGTTCAAGACTAGCCTGGGCAACATGGCAAAACCCTGTCTCTATTTTTATTTAGAAAGAAAGAAAGAGAGCGAGAGAGAGAGAGACAAAGAGAAAGAAAGAAAGAAAAAGAAAGAAAGAAAGAAAGAAAGAAAGAAAGAAAAAGAAAGAAAGAAAGAAAGAAAGAAAGAAAGAAAGAGGAAAGAGCAGAGTTAGATGGCCTCACTCGTGGGAGGATGCCATCTGTCATCTGGGATCTTTATCTCCTTTCCTGTATTTGAGGAATCCCCCACCAGAGACACTGAAAATGCCAGGCACTCACTGTGCCAGACCCCCTTGTTTCTACAGTGAGGGGTGGGGGACCTCAACCCTGCCAGGCAGACGCCACTCAGAAAGCAGGTGCAGGAGCGTGGGCAGCCTCAGCCTGATTCGGAGGCATCCCAGGTGGCAACTGCTCTGGCAGGCCATGTGAGTGGGGCTGGGGTGCACTTGGGTATCTGTGCCCAGCAGTGGTGGCAGCACTTTTCCTCCCTGCCAGACCAGTCCTGCGGAGGATGTCCAGCCTCCCAGCCTGGGTCCCTTCCTCCCAGAATGTGTGCACCTGATGTGATGAATTCCACTTCTACCTAAATCAGCCAGAGCTGGTTTCTGTGGTTTCTAGCAGAGAACTGGACTGCTGGAGGAGGCTTCCTGTAGGAGGGACAGGCACTGGCTAGGCAAGAAAGGATGGGCGCCCAGGTAGAAAAAATGGCACCAGGCTAAGGGTGGGGAGGAGACGGAGGACGGAGAGGCATCGTGGTACCATCTTCCTTCAGACCAAGTCACAAGTTTCAGAATTGTGTGGAAGGAAGCAAGTCACATTGCTGGGTCGGGTATCCTCCAGCCTCTCACAGGAGTTATAAAGGGTCCTAGGAGTCATGATTGGGCTGGAGGGGTTTCCTGCAGGTCTGCTTTTTCCCCTTTGAGCCTTCCTTCCTTCCTTCTTTTTTTTTCTTCAGACAGAGTCTTGCTCTTATCACCCAGGCTAGAGTGCAATGCCGAGATCTCAGCTCACTGCAACCTCAGCCTCCTAGGTTCAAGCGATTCTCCTGCCTCAGCCTCCTGAGTAGCTGGGATTACAGGTGCCTGCCACCACGCCTGACTAATTTTTATATTTTTAGAGACAGAGTTTCCCCATGTTGGGCAGGCTGGTCTCAAACTCCTGACCTCAGACGATCCGCCCGCCTCAGCCTCCCAAAGTGCTGGGATCTGAGCCTTTTACTCAAGAAACTTGGGCTTTTCTTCCCCAGTGGGAAGGGAGGTTAGGTTTAAGAGAGGAGATCAGGCTCCTGGTAGCCTTTTACTAGGCGGGCTTCTCTGATTTTATTAGGAAGCCTCAGTGTGCTCCCCAATAGGTAAGTCCTTCACCTGAAGTACAATTTTAACTTGGGGTGAAGACTTTCTTTTTAGAATGAAAGATGAGGCTTAAAATGCCCCTTTCCCCAGCCCTAACGCAGCCCTTGCATTTCCACCTTTGATGGGCGAACTCACTCCAGTGGGGCTGGCCCTTTGCCGCTCTGTGTTCATTGACATGGGTGTTGGGAGGACGCTATTCCCTGAGCCACCCTTTCCCAGGTGGGGAAACTCTGGTGGTGCTGGGGGCCTGGGGATGAGCTGCCTTCTTTGGAGCAGAGTTTGAGAGAGCAAGGAGGGCTCAGGAGCCTGGGGATGGAGGTGAGGTAGGGAAAGCCTCCAGAAGGCGGGCAGGGGCTGGCATCCCGGACCGGCGCTTCCCACCCCTCTTCTCAGGCCTCCTCCCCAGCAAAGGTGCCAGACGCCCTGGGCTGTCGCCGTTCCCCCATGGGGCAGTAAGAGCTCTCTAAACCTCAGACTTCCACAGACCTGCCTCAGATGGACCCCCAAGAAAGGAGGAAGCCAGCTCTCAGGGACTGAGCTGCAGGCCCAACATCTCCTCCCTACCCCAGGCTCAAACCATGAATGCCGCACAGCGCTGCGTGCATGTCCACGAGGACGTGCCCAGCAGGCATCTGCCAGCACAGCGGGCTTTCACAGCACAATCTGGACAGAAGCTGACGAGGACATAGCTCTCCGACAGCACTTGCCATTCTGGGTGCACAACCCAGCGCCCCGCCCCTGCTGCCTTTGCGGACCATTCACTCTGGGCGTCAGCTTCTCCCTGATCCCTTCCTGGTGGGCTTAGAGTCCCAGGTGCCACAGTTTGTGCCTCGGCGCTCGTTGCATCCCCCAGGGCGCCCATCACCCATGGGCTGGGCCTCAGCAGGCCCTCAACAGGCACCCGTCAGTTCACCTGTCCATTCAGTGACCCCCCAAAGGAGGGAGAAGAAACATCCCTGCCGAACGCCACCACCCTCTGCCCCAGGCTCACCTCCTCCCCAGGAGGAAGGACTGGTTGGGGTTTCCAGCTTTTCCTTTCATCATTTTGTCTTACACTTTGTGCCATTCCTGTCATGAGCACCCACAGTTCCTCTTCTGGCAGAGGTATTTGGGTATTCATTTGCTTCTCCAAACAGACTAGGAGTCTCAGAAAGGCCAGGCCTGGGTCCTGACCATGTCACCATCTCCCACATCATCTGGCGCGTCGTTGGCGGGCCACATGGTTTTTGAATGAAGGCGCAGTCATAGAGTGGAGCTGTCATGCTGAGAGGCCGCCCACCCCTACGACACTCGGGAAGTATGTGTGTGTTGGAATGTGTGATTTTAAAAAAAGTTGTCTGAGAGATAGATCCCATAGCATGCGGTTCCCAATTTAAAGCACAGAATTCGGAAGTTAGTAGTATATTTACAGACATGTGCAACCATCACTACAGTCCACTTAGGAGCACTTTTTTCTAAATGCTCCCAAAAAAGAGACTCCATGCCCATTAACAATCACTCCCTATTTCCCCTCATGATAATATATATATATATATATACACACACACACACACACACACATTATACATATATATATATATTCATCCACAGTTCCTGATTCATAACTCCCAAAGCCCTCTTTGACCTTCTCCTACCCTCCTTTTACCTGCTACAGAGGGTCCTGCCTCATACCTTGGAGAAAAGAATGCTACACAGAAAGGGAAAAAAGAATTGGAACAGATGGCCAGGTGCAGTGGCTCACACCTGTAATCCCAGCACTTTGGGAGGCCAAGGCAGGCGGATCAGGAGGTCAGGAGATCAAAACCAGCCTGGCTAACACAGTGAAACCCCGTCTCTACTAAAACATACAAAAAAAATTAGCCCGGCGTGGTGGCGGGCGCCTGTAGTCCCAGCTACTCGGGAGGCTGAGGCAGGAGAATGGCGTGAACCCGGGAGGCAGAGCTTGCAATGAGCCAAGATCACGCCACTGCACTCCAGCCTGGGCGACAGAGCGAGATTCTGTCTCAAAAAAAAGAAAAAAGAACCCCAAGAGGATTGGGCTGGAGAGCTCTAGACAGCTGACCACAAGGAGGTTTCTGGAGGCAGGTGCACCTGCGGGGGGCATGGAAGCTCCATACCCCTTCCCACGTGCCTCACCCTATGCATCTCTTCATCTGTATCTTTACAATATCTTTTATAATCAACTGGTAAACTTAAGTTTTCCCTCGAGTTCTGTGAGCAGCTCTAGCAAATTAATTCAACCCAAAGAGGGGGTTGTGAGACCCCCCAGCTTAAAGCTGGTTGGTCAGAAGTTCCAGAGGCCTGGACTTGTGACTGGTGTCTGCAGGAAGAGGCAGTCTTAGGGACTGAGCCCTCTACCTGTGGGAACTGACCCTAGCTCCACACAGGTAGTATCAGACCCAGCTGGTGCCTACTGCTTGTTGGTAGGGAAACCGCCCCCCTTGGTCACAGAAGTCTGTGTTGATTGTTGTGGCATGAAAACAAAAGAAATACAGGTTTGAGTTTTTCCAAAACATCCCCTACCGGCCGGCCCTAGGATTTTCTGTCTCCATGGATTTACCTGTTCCCGCCATTTCACATACATGGACTCATACAACATGAGGTCTTTTATAACTGACTTCTTTGACTTAACACAATGTTTTCAAGGTTCCTCCATGTGGTAGCCTGTACCAGCACTTCATCCAACTTTATGGCCACTAATATTCCATTGCGTGGGTGCCACATCCACTCATCCACTCATCAGTAGATGGGCATCAGCCTGATTCCACTCTTTGGCTATTGTGATGCTGCTATGTGCATTTTTGTACAAGTTTTTGTGTAGACGTACATTTCCATTTCACTTAGGTGTAGAAGTAGGAGTAGAATTGCTAGGTCATGCTGGTAACTCTATGTTTAACCTTTGGAAGAACTAGTAAACCGTTTTCTAAAACAGCTGCATCGGCCGGGCGCGGTGTAATCCCGCCTGTAATCCCAGCACTTTGGGAGGCCGAGGCAGGTGGATCACGAGGTCAGGAGATCGAGACTATCCTGGCTAACACGGTGAAACCCCGTCTCTACTAAAAACACAAAAAATTAGCCGGGTGTGGTGGCGGGCGCTTGTAGTCCCAGCTACTCGGGAGGCTGAGGCAGGAGAATGGCGTGAACCCGGGAGGCGGAGCTTGCAGTGAGCCGAGATAGCGCCATTGCACTCTGGCCCGGGCGACAGAGCGAGACTCCATCTCAAAAACAAACAAACAAACAAAATGTGCATCATTTTACGTCTCACCACCAATGTATGAGGTTTCCATTTCTCCCCATCCTCCACATCTCCCTTTTGTTTCTTTTTCATATCTGTCATTTTGAGGCTAGCCATCCCAGTGTATGCGAAGTGGCATTACACTGTGGTTTTGATTTGCATTTCTTTGATAACTAATGATGTTGAGCAACTTTTCAGGTGCTTATTGGCCATTTGTCCATCTTTGAAGAATTCTGATTCTTTGCTCATTTTTAAATTGGGTTACTTGGGTTTTTTTTTTTTTTTCTTTCATTATTGAGTTGTAAGAATTATTTATGGCTGGGCGCGGTGGCTCACACCTGTAATCCCAGCACTTTGGGAGGCTGAGGTGGGCGGATCACCTGAGGTCAGGAGATCGAGACCAGCCTGGTCAACATGGTGAAAACCCATCTCTACTAAAAATACAAAAAATTAGCCAGACGTGATGGCAGGCGCCTGTACTCCCAGCTACTCAGAAGGCTGAGGCAGGAGAATCGCTTGAACCCAGGAGGCAGAGGTTGCAGTGAGCCGAGATTGCGCCACCTCACTCCAGCCTGGGTGTGACAGAGCAAGACTCCATCTCAAAACAAACAAACAAAAAAGTTATTTATACATTCTAGATACACGTATCTTATCAGATATATAATTTGCAAGTATTTCTTCCATTCTGTGCATTTTCACTGTATTGACAGTGTTCCTTGAGGTGCAAATTTTTTTCTTTTTTTTTTTGAGATGGAATCTCGCCCTGTTGCCCAGGCTAAAGTGCCATGGCACGATTTTGACTCACTGCAGCCACCGCCTCCCGGGTTCAAGCAATTCTCCCGCCTCAGCCTCCTGAGTAGCTGGGATTACAGGCACCTGCCACCATGTCCAGCTAATTTTTGTATTATTAGTAGAGATGGGGTTTTTCACCATTTTGGCCAGGCTAGTCTTGAACTCCTGACCTCAAATGATCCTCCCGCTTCGGCCTCCCAAAGTGCTGGGATTACAGGCATGAGCTACCACGCCTGGCTGCAAATGTTTTTGATGAAGTTCAATTTATCTAATTTGTTCTTTTGTCACCTGTGTTTTGGGTGGTGTACTTAAGAAACCATTGCGTAATCTGAGGTCGTGAAGATTTATAGCTATGTCTTATTCTAATAATTTTGCAGCTCTAGCTCTTCGGATGAGGTCTGTGATCCGTTTTGAATTAATTTTTTGTATATGGTATTAGGTGGGGGTCCAAATTTACTCTTTTTTTTGAGATGGAGTCTCGCTCTGTTGCCCAGGCTGGAGTGCAGTGGCACAATCTCAGCTCACTGCGAGCTCCGCCTCCCGGGTTCATGCCATTCTCCTGCCTCAGCCTCCCCAGTAGCTGGGACTACAGGTGCCCGCCACCACACCCGGCTAATTTTTTTTTGTATTTTTTTAGTAGAGACGGGGTTTCTACTAAAAACGGGGTTTCTACTGGCTTACAGGCGTGAGCCACTGCACCTGGCCCAAATTTACTCTTTTACATGTGGATATCTGGTTGTTCCAGCACGATTTATTGAAAAGACAATTCTTTCCCTTATTGAATAATGTTGGTGCTCTTGTCAAAAACCAATTTACCATAACTGTATGGGTTTATTTCTGAACCTGAATTTTATTCCATTGACTTATATGGCTATCCTTATGTCAGTATCACACTGTCTTGATTATTGTAGTTTTGCAGTAACTTTCAGAATTGGAAAATGTGAGGTCTTAGTTTTGTTCTTCTTTTATAAGATTGTTTTGATTGGGGGGGGCTCCCTTTTATTTCCATATTAAAATTCAGATCTGTCAATGTCTGCGAAAAGAGCAGGGATTTTGATTGGGCTTGTGTTTGAATCTGTAGATCCATTTGAGGAGTACTGCCATTTTAAGACTATGAAGTCTTGGCCGGGTGCGGTGGCTCACATCTGTAATCCCAGCACTTTGGGAGGCCGAGGCAGGTGGATCATGAGGTCAGGAGATCAAGACCATCCTGGCTAACATGGTGAAACCCCGTCTCTACTAAGAAAAATACAAAAAAATTAGCCGGATGTGGTGGCGGGTGCCTGTAGTCCCAACTACTCAGGAGGCTGAGGCAGGAGAATGGGGTGAACCCAGGAGGCGGAGTTTGCAGTGAGCTGAGATCGCGCCACTGCACTCCAGCCTGGGTGACAGAGCGAGACTCCTTCCTGAGGTGAAAAGTGGGGAGGGCCGGGAGAGGCCCTGAGGCTTTATCCTCCCAGCACTGGGGCACCACACAGGGGGTTGCAGTGGGAATGATCAGATTGGAATTTTTATTTATTTTTCAGATTTAAATTTTTAGATGGTCATTGAGGTGATCCAACCTCTAAAATCCCTGATCACGGTCTAACGCAGAAGCCCTGGCCCCCACTCTGGGAACCCAGGCCCAGGAGCGCCTTTGGGGTGGTTTGTTGTTCTCCTCTGCGGTCAGATCAGGGGCCCCCGTGTAGAAACCACAGCCCAAGCTACTTCCATTTACTTAGCAGCAGGGGAGTTTCCTTGGCTCCCAGAGGCACCCTGGGCTGGCCCTTAGGCCCTCTCTGAGATGGAGACCCTGGATGCCAGGGCACACGGGGGCATTTCTGGGCTGACGGGCTCTGAACTTGTGCCTGGGAAGGGGAAGTTTTCCCACAAGCCTTCTCTCTTCCTCTCCAAAATCTCAGGAAGCTACAGAGCCACCTTCTGACAAGGGAGGAGAGCTTGGTCAGCAGGGCCCAGCTGCGAGGGTGAAGTTGTGCCCAGCTGCGAGGGCGAAGGTGTGCCCAGCTGTGAGGGTGGAGGGGTGCCCTGTGAGGGCGGAGGGGTGCCCAGCTATGAGGGTGGAGGGGTGCCCTGTGAGGGTGGAGAAGTGCCCAGCTGTGAGGGTGGAGGGGTGCCCAGCTGTGAGGGTGGAGGGGTGCCCAGCTGTGAGGGCGGAGGGGTGCCCACCTGTGAGGGCGGAGGGGTGCCCACCTGTGAGGGCAGAGGGGTGCCCAGTGCGGGCAACTTCACCTTCATGATTAGCATTTGCACAGTGTGAGGGGTGCTGCTGAGCAGACAGAATCAGCTGAGACACCCACTCCTCCGTCAAGAAGCTGGGTTCTAGATCACCATACTCCTCCTGTGGGGCCTGTTTATTTGGGGTGTCTGTGTGCAAGGCTAGGAATGACGTCTCTGTCTTTCTCTAAGAAAAATTTCTAAATTAAAAAAGAAAGCCAAATACCACAATATGTCCAGGGTTGAGCCATCTCTGAGGGTCTTTTCTGCAGAATACAAGTAAGTCACTCTACAGTTCTGAGCCTCAGTTTTCTTGCTTGCAAAATATTTTTCAACCAGAAAATATCTCAGTGTAAGAGTGCCTGGACACCCCATGTTCCCTGGCGGCACCCCATCTCCGGCAGCAGCCAACTGTGCAATGTCCCCAGGAAACATCCACCTTCTAAAGGGCAGTCATCAGCGAACAGAGTTTTGTGTGGTTGAAGTTGTTCTTCAAGTACCTTTGGAATGAAAACTATGGTATCATGATGCATGAGTTGGCCAATTATTCTTCCCGACTCCTGAAAGTAGTTCAAGTTTGGTCTTTAGTTATTCAACACAGAAGCAGCACGATATGTTTATCTGTTCGAACAGAGGTTTTGATTTCACAGATGAAAGAGAAACGCTTGTTACTTCACATGCGGACTGCGAGATGTAGACTGGCTTGCCCTGATGGAAGACTTCTCAGAGAACATATATGGCCCCTAATTATAGTGGGCACGTCATCGCTTGAAAGTAAAGTGCACTGGGCCGGTGGTAACCCCAGCACTTTGTGAGGCCGAGGCAGGCGGATCACCTGAGATCAAGAGTTCGAGACCAGCCTGGCCAACATGGCAAAACCCCATCTCTACTAAAAATACAAAAAGTAGCCAGGTGTGGTGGCGCACGCCTGTAATCCCAGCTACTCAGGAGGCTGAGGCAGAAGAACTGCTTCAACCCGGGAGGAAGAGGCTGCAGTGAGCCAAGATCGCACCACTGCACTCCAGCCTGGGTGCTGGGTGACAGAGCGAGACTCCGTCTCAAATAAATAAATAGAAGGTAAGGTGCACCATTGATTGGGAGACAACACACAGGCTTTGATTGAGGCGGGGACTTGTGTTCTTTCCAGTTGTGAAGGGGACAGGCCGTGTGCTCCAGCATCAACAGACTAATGAAGTCAACACAAACTTGCTGCAGTTTCCATGCCTTTCTTCCTCCAGGATGGAAATTAATACCTGGCCTCTACTGAGCCCCTTTTCAAACTTTATCTCAGAAGAAAACCTTCACTTTTAGATGCCATGCCTTAACAGAATATGGCCAATTATTCCTTTACCCTGCATCACCACAGAGCAACACCCAGCACAGGGTGGGTGAAGGAGGGGTCAGAAACACAAAGCCAGTCTGAAATATTTAACTCTTTCCACTTTACCCTAGAGCACCAAGATGTTCTGAATGCTTTCAGTATTTTGGAAAGCTCTGCGCTTCCATTTTTTGTCTCTCGGATTTGATCAAACTCAATTCCATAAGCATTTATTATGCAGCTACCAAATGTTTGGGATGGCGCTGACCTCCCCTGTCCACCACCAAAGGAAACAAAAGTGGAGGAAAATGTCCCTGTCCTGGAGTTTGGGATCTGCTGGAAGACAAATGTCTTGTTAAAAAGCCAGACAAGGGGCTGGGCACGGTGGCTCACACCTGTAATCCCAACACTTTGGGAGGCCGAGGTGGGTGGATCACCTGAGGTCAGGAGTTTGAGACCAATCTGGCCAACATGGTGAAACCCCATCTCTACTAAAAATAAAAATAAAATAAAAATAAAAATTAGCCGGTCGTGGTGGCGGGTGCCTGTAATCCCAGCTACTTGGGAGCCTGAGGCACGAGAATCTCTTGAACCCGGGAGGCAGAGGTTGCAGTGAACCGAGAATATGCCATTGCACTCCAGCCTGGGTGACGAGAGTGAAACTCATCTCAAAAAAAAAAAAAAAAAAAAGGCAGACAAGGAACAGGCAGACCAGAAGCCCTGGGGGAGCGGCCACTGATTTTGCTTCTGCCCAGCGTCCAGTCTCCTGCCCTCGGCTTCTGCTCCCACTTTGCTTTGGAGAAATGACCTCAAACTAGCACATGATAAGTACCCGTCAAGGAGGAGGATGCACTGCCTTCCTCTAGTCAAGGCTGAGCATGTGACCCAGCCAGGCAGTTAGAACCCTTCCTCCCTGATATTTCAGTCTAGCCTGGAGAGACCTAGGGATGAAGGAAAAAGAAACTCAAACTTAAACACAGTCACTCACACGATTCCCTGCCCACTCACGCCGGATTAGATGTGTTCAGTACTGAGGACCAGATGAAACATCCATTTACTTTCCTTTCCCAGGCCCCAAGGGCCACCCAGGCCCTGCCCCTTCCAAGTCTGGGCTTTGTGCCTTCGGTCATTTGCCTCTCCCACTTCCTGTTGTCCATTCCCTTTTTGCTTAAGTTACTCAGTTAACTTTTTGCTTAAGTTACTTAAGTTAGTTTTTGTTGCTTTTGAACAAAGAACCTGAGGGAGACATCTGGTAAATGATTTTTATAACAATTGGAGTTGGAAAAGATTTGGGAGACTAAGAGAACTGTCCAGAGCCCAGACCCAGGCGGAGAAATGCTGGCCCTGGGGCGGAGAGCACAGAGAACAGAAGCAGTACTGCTCCCACTGTGCAGAGCACAGAAACCTATCTTTGTTTTCTTGGTTGGATGAACAGAGATCTTAATATCTCCTTTTTTTTTTTCTTTCCAGGGTCTTGCTTTGTTACTTAGGCTGGAGTGCAGTGGTGTGATCATGGCTCACTGCAGCCTCAACCTCCTGGGCTCAAGTTATCCTCCCACTTTAGCCTCCCAAGAAGCTGAGCCTGTAAGTGTGTGCCACCACACCTGGCTAATTTTTGTGTTTTTTGTAGAGACGGAGTTTGGCCATGTTGCTCAGGCTTTAATATCTCTTTGAAATGGTTTGGATGTTTGTCCCCTCCAAACCTCACGTTGAAATGTGACCCCCAGTGTGGGAGGTGGGGGCCTAGAGGGAGATGTGTAGCTCATGGGGAGGATCCCTCATGAATGGCTTGGTGCCACCCCTTGGTGATGAGCGAGTCTCACTCTGTTAGTTCATGTGACAGCTGGTTGTTTAAAAGAGCCTGGCACCTCCTCTCCCTCTTTCTCCTCTGCCCCCCTCTCCATGTGACACACCTACTCCCCCTTCATCTTCTGCTGCGATTTTTTTTTTTTTTTTTTGAGACAGAGTCTCACTCTGTCGCCCAGGCTGAAGAGCAATGGTGTGATCTCGGCTCACTGCAACCTCCACCTCCCGGGTTCAAGTGATTCTCGTGCCTCAGCCTCCCGAGTAGCTGGGATTACAGGCACCCACCACCATGCCAGGAGAATTTTTGTAATTTTATTACAGTTGGAGTTTCACCATATTGCCCAGGCTGGTCTCAAACTCCTGACCTCAGGTTATCCACCCACCTTGGCCTCCCAAAGTGCTGGTATTACAGGCATGAGCCACAGTGCCCAGCCTCTGCTGTGATTATAAGCTTCCTGAGATCCTCATCAGAAGCTGAGCATACTTCATGTATAGCTTGCACAACTGTGAGCCAAATAAACCTCTTTTCTATATAAATTACCCAGCTTCAGTATTCCTTTATAGAAACACAAAATGGACTAACATACCCTTCCTTGCTCTTCACTGATGTTTAATAACTCACTGCTCAGGGTAGGCCTGTGGACAAATTCAGTTTCACAGGTCACTCATTCTGCCAGGCCCACGTGCCCCAAAGGCCTGATGGATGGCAGGAGTGAGCACACACAGCCCCTCAAACTGAACTTTGTACAACCTGCCCTCTCACCCCGCAGATCATCTGGATTAAATTTTCTTTTTTCTTTTTTTGAGACAGAGTCTTGCTCTGTTGCTCAGGCTGGAGTGCAGTGGCTCGATCTCGGCTCACTGCAAACTCTGCCTCCTGGGTTCAAGCAATTCTCTGCCTCAGCCTCCTGAGTAGCTGGGATTACAAGCACCCGCCACCACACCTGGCTAATTTTTTTTGTATTTTTAGTAGAGACTGGGTTTCACCATCTTGGCCAGTCTGGTCTTGAACTCCTGACCTGGTGATCCACCTGCCTCGGCCTCCCAAAGTACTGGGATTACAGGCATGAGCCACCGTGCCCGGCCATCTGGGTTAAAATTTTAATCCTTGGGCAGCCTCCTCTCACCCTTCAGTGTGCTTAGAGTGCACTGTCTCCCTTATGAGTTGTTTAGGGAATGTTTCTAGCCTGAGTGGAATCACGGCAGGCGAATCTGCGGTGTGAGGCTCTGACTGTGGCTCTGCTCCTCTCCTCCAGGTTATGCAACCAAGGATGGGCTGCTATTTGCTGGTGGGACTAGGCTTGTACTTAGGTTGCACTTTTTTTGAGAGACAGGGTCTCGCTCTGTCACCCAGGCTGGAGTGCTGTGGCGCGAACTTGGCTCACTGCAACCTCTGCCTCCCAGGTTCAAGCGATTCCCCTGCCTCAGCCTCCCGAGGATCTGGGATTATAGCTGCGTGCCACCGTGCCAGGCTGATTTTTGTATTTTTAGTAGAGACGGGGTTTCACCATGTTGGCCAGGCTGGTCTCAAACTCCTGAGCTCAAGTGGTCCACCCGCCTTGGCCTCCCAAAGTGCTGGGATTACAGGCATGAGCCACCACACCCAGCCTATGCTGTCCTTTAAAAAATCATTATGAAATATTTCATACATGCAAAGGGCATAAGGATACTATCATGAACACCTGCATGCTACCACTATGCTGAACAAATCAAGCATTAGAAATGCAGTTGGTGGGCCGGGCACGGGGGCTCACGCCTGTAATCCCAGCACTTTGGGAGGCTGAGATGGGCGGATCACAAGGTCAGGAGTTCGAGACCAGCGTGGCCAACATGGTGAAACCCCATCTCTACTAAAAATAGAAAAATTAGCTGGGCATGGTGGCACACATGTGTAATCCCACCTGCTTGGGAGGCTGAGGCAGGAGAATCGCTTGAAACCAGGAGGCGGAGGTTGCAGTGAGCTGAGATGGCACCACTGCACTCCAGCCTGGGCAACAGAGTGAGACTGCGTCTCAAAAAAAAAAAGAAAAGAAAAGAAATGCAGTTGGCGCTCCTGTGTGAATCCCTGTTTAAAGAGCCTCACACTGTTAACTGGAGCTTTGCAGAACTTGCTCATATGCTTAGGGTCAACAGCAATTCAAGGTGGGCCAAGATTATACATGGCTTCCATGTCTGATCAGATAAGACACCGGAGAGTTGCTAGGTTTTTCAAATTGCTAGCAATTACTATCCCTATCACCATGCTTTTTTTAAATTTAATTTAATTTAATTTTTTTTTTTGAGACAGAGTCTCGCTCTGTTGCCCAGGCTGGAGAGCAGTGGCGTGGTCTTGGCTCACTGCAAACTCCACCTCCTGGCTTCACGCCATTCTCCTGCCTCAGCCTCCCGAGTAGCTGGGACTACAGGTGCCCGCCACCACACCCGGCTAATTTTTTTGTATTTTTAGTAGAGACGGGGTTTCACCATGTTAGCCAGGATAGTCTTGATCTCCTGACCTCGTGATCCACCCATCTCGGCCTCCCAAAGTGCTGGGATTACAGGCGTGAGCCACCGCACCCAGCATCACCATGCTTTTCTGCATCCAAAATAGGTCACCTGCAGCAACGTGGGAAGCCTTGTACATTGAGCTGAGGATTTTTTCAGTCTACTGCACCTCCTTCTCGTCCTAATAATAACCACACTGTAGAGGTGGGGGGAGCTCTTGAGGCCCAAATTGTGAAGTACTGCCCAGGCCTGCGCCTTCCCCTCTGCCCACATCTCATGCAGGGCCACCATGCCTGACGTCTGCAGCACATGCTGACGCTTCCTGTTCTAGGCTGCCTTTCAAAGCTTTGTTGCGTACAACTGGCTTTACACCCTCCCACAGTCTTGGCAGCCTATTAATAACTACTATGCTTTTGGAGCATCCCAACTCTATAGACACTTTCTTTAGACTCTACAGTATAAAGAATTACCCCAGAGAATGTTCCAGTCTTCTGCAGCCTTAGGAACTGTTACAGAGAAAAACTGACTGAAGGATAACATTACCCCTGTTTTACAGATAAGGACACTGAGGACCAGAGAGGTCTGATGCTCTAATGATTGGCACTCAGGCAGCACTGAGAGGTGGGAGCAGACCTGCTGAGCAGGTGGGACTTTGAGGCAGAGGCTTCCCCTGGGTCTTCCTTCCACCACAGGCTGCTTCTGGCTTCTGGCCAGGCTGGTCTATCTACTATTTTGGTTGTTTTTTAGCCACTTGTACTTGAACCAATGGAGGGACCCAGGGTGACCTTAATCTGTTTCCTGTGAGTTTTTCTAATTTTAATTTTTTTTTTTTTGAGACGGAGTCTTGATCTATTACGTAGGCTGGAGTGCAGTGGCATGATCTCAGCTCACTGCAACCTCCGCCTCCCAGGTTGAAGCAAGTCTCCTGCCTCAGCCTCCTGAGTAGGTGGGATTACAGGTGTCCACCACCACACCCGGCTAATTTTTGTATTTTTAATAGAGACGGGGTTTCACTATGTTGGCCAGGCTGGTCTCAAATTCCTGACCTCAGGCGATCCGCTCGCCTTGGCCTCCTAAAGTGCTGGGGTTACAGGTGTGAGCCACCGCGCCTGACCTTAATTTTTTTTTTTTGAGACAGGGTCTCACTTTGTCGCCCAGGCTGGAGTGCAGTCACGTGTTCTCAGCTCACTGCAACCTCCACCTCCCGGGTTCAAGCGAATCTCCTGCCTCAGCCTCCTGAGCAGCTGGGATTACAGGTACCCGCCACAACACCTGGCTAATTTTTGTATTTTTAGTAGAGACGGGGTTTCACCATATTGGTCAGGCTGGTTTCGAGCTCCTGACCTCAAGTGATCTGCCCATCTTGGCCTCCCAAAGTGCTGGGATTACAGGCATGAGCCACTGCACCTGGTCTAATTTTTGATTTTTTTTTTAAGAGATGGGGTCTCTCTCTGTCACCTGGGCTGGAGTGCAGTGGTGTGATCATAGCTCACTGCAGTCTCAACCTCCTGGATTCAACAGATCCTCCACATTCAGCCTCCCGAGTAGCTGGGATTACAGGTGTGTGCCACCACACCCAGCCACTTGTGAGCTCTTGATGCACTCATCAGCACCAGTTAGAGCCTCAAACAGCCACAAAGACACAAACTGGGAAGGACTGACTGGTGGTTTGGCTCAGCTGTACCATCTGGAATGATAATACAAGTCGGATAGAATCAACACTGATATTTACTAAAACACCCAGGGGTGCTTTATATACATTATTTTTACAAAAATGAGATTCTTGACTCAATCTGAGTATGTGGCTCACCATCCTTTGCCACATCCTGCAGAGAAAGTCCACATGCAGATGGGGTAGCAGCCAGCCAGAGCTATCCCTGTGGTGATCAGTGGTCCAAGGCTAGCCCCTCCCCCCACACCTCTACACGGTAGCTTAGTCCACTGCATTTGATGGCCTCTGGTTTTACCCTGGGGATTACTTCTTCTCTGTCTTATAAATAGCCAAACATTTGCCCTGGTTAGCTGGTAATCCGTGGGGCTGACTCTGAGATGTCAGCATTACACCCACCTGAGTTTAAGCTCAGCACAGGACACAACACAGCATAGGTGACCAAAGTTAAAGAAACACAAAATGGGCCAGACGAAGTGGCTCACCTGTATTCCCAGCAATTTGGGAGGCTGAGGCAGAAGGATCACTTGAGCCCAGGAGTTTGAGATCAGCCTAGAAAACATGGTGAGACCTTGTCGCTACAAAAAAATAAAAAATAAAAAAAATTAGCCAGGTGTGGTGGCACACGCCTATGGTCCCAGTTACTCAGGAAGCTAAGGCAAGAGATCGCTTGAGCCCAGGAGTTCAAGGCTGCGGTGAGCCATGATTGTGCCACTGTACTCCAGCTTGGGTGACAAAATGAGACCCATGATCTCGGCTCATGGCAACCTCCGACTCCTGGGTTCAAGTGATTCTCCTGTCTCAGCCTCCCGAGTAGCTGGGATTACAGGTGTGCACCACCACGCCCAGCTAATTTTTGTATTTTTAGTAGAGAAGGGGTTTCACCTTGTTGGCCAGGCTGGTCTCGAACTCCTGAGCTCAAGTTATCCACCCGCCTCAGCCTTCCAAAGTGCCAGGATTACAGGTGTGAGCCACCACACCCGGCCTACTGTGTCATTTTATGTCAGGGACTTGAGCATCCTCGGATTTTGGTGTCCTCAGATCTTGGTGTGCTGGAGCCCATGGATCCTGAGAGACAACTGTATTTTCATCACCTCCAGAAGAAACCCTGTGTCCTTTAGCTATCCTCCCATAGTCTCCCAAACTTCCCAGTCCTAGACAACCATGAATCTAGTTTCTGTCTTGGCCTGGGAACAACGGCATGTTTCCCTGAGTGACGCCTCAGCTTTAGGACTGAGTGCTTGGTGCAAGGGTCCACAGTAGCCTCTGGTCTCCCTGGTTTGCCTCTCCCAGCACGGAAACTCTGCCTCAGGAGCCAGGACAGGCCATCAGGGTGCCAGTATTCACATCCCAGGATGGGGCCCGGGTAGGGCCTCCATCCCACGAGGGGGCAGGAGGATGAAGGGAGCCCCCAACTCTCGCCTGTCCCTGCCCAGAACTTAGCCTCAGCAACAGGAACTGGGGGCAGGAGGAGAAATGCTGGCATGCTGCTTCTCTTGGGAAGGCAGCCCTCCCACTGGGTGCTGGGGAAGACAGAGCCCTGCGCCCTTGGCTGCTCCGTTCTGGAGTGGAGTTTCTGTCTTGCTGCGCTGGAGGTCAGAAGTCCAAAAATCAGTCTCATTGGTCAAAGTCAAGGCGTCAGCAGGGCTGGCTCTTCTTGGAAGGGCTTGGGGAGAATCCATTTCCTTGTCCTTTCCAGCTTCCACAGACCAGCTATGTCCTAGATTCATGGCTCCTTCCTGCACCCTCATGGCCAGTGGTGTGGCATCTCCTCTCCTCTCTGAGCTCCCGCTTCCCTCTTAGAAAGACCTTTGTGATGACATTGGGCCCATCCAGATTGGCCAGGGTCATCTCCCCAACTCCAGATCCTTACCTTAATCCCATCTGCAAGGTTCCTTTCGCCACGTAAGCTAACATAGCCACAGGTTCTGGGGATTAGGACATGGATGTCTTTGAGGGGGACCATTATTCTGGTGGAAAGTAGGAGAGAAACAAAGTGGTAGCCTCCAGCTGAGAGGCAGATGAGTCTAATTCCCATCTTGGCTCATCCGCGGACCCAGCCAGGAGCAGCACAGGATGTTTCCTGTCCTGTGGGACTGCCTCTCCCCAAAACCCCCTCACCACCCTGTTGGAGTTCCACCTTCACCCATGCTGTCAGCAGAGACTCTTGCTTTGGGTCTCCCCGAGCCTGGATAACAATAACTCCTATTTATGAACACCTACTGTGTGCCAGATATGGTTGGGCTAGAAGGTTTCCAACACTGTCTTGAAGCCACGTAAGTACTCTTCAAGAAGACAGTATTGTTCTCATTTTAGAGAAGAAGAATCCAAGGGTTAGGAGTGTGACTCGCCTACCTCATGTGGTCAGAAAAAATGGATGAGTAAGGATCTGTGGTGGTTTAAAAACATGTCCACAGATTTTTTGGTGCTCCACCCTTCCACAGACCAAGCCTCATTCTCCTGCTCCCAAGGGTGGTTGTAACTGGTCGTTGGCTTCTAGAGAATGTAGAGATGAGTGCAGAATCTGGCAGAGATGACGGCCTGTGGCATCTGAGAGTAAGACATCAAAGGAACTGTAGCTCCCTCCTTGTCTTCTCTCTCAGATCATCAGCCTGGGGGAGCCGAGTGCCCTATTGCAAGGGCACTCACACAGCCCTGTGGAGAAGCCCACCTTGCAAGCTTCCTGCCATGTGAGCCAAGTTGGAAGCGGATCTGCCAGCCCCAGTCAAGCCTTCCAGTGATGGCAACCTTGGCCAACATCCTCACCTTGACTGCAACCCATGAGAGCCTCTGAGCCAGAACCATCCAGCTAGGCTGCTTCCGAATTCATGACCTACCAGAACTGTGAAATACTGAATGGTTATGGTTTTAAGCCACTATTTTGGGGGTTATCTGTTGTGCAGCAATAGATAGGTAATATAGCATCTGAGTCTGTGCTTATTCTGCCAACAGATGCCACCTCCAAAACGATCAAGTTAGGTCATGATGTCTTTGGAAGGCTGGGAGAAGCTGACGTGGAGGGATAGAAGGTGGGAGAGTTTCTGAGGATAAAGAGTGAAGGACAAGTGGCTCAGGGAGTGGGGGCAGGAGGGTGGGCTGAGGAATGACTGGGCCCCAGAAGACTGGGTGGGTGGCAGCCAAGGGGACTGAGGAATCAGCTACCAAGAACCGTGGGAATGGAGACCTAGGCGTGCCCTCCCTCAATCATCTGCTCCGGGGCTCATTTTCTGGAACCCTCGAAGGATGGGGGCTTGATGAAGGGAGGCATGAATGGGTCCTAGGGGAAAAGACCTTTCAGAACACTAAATGGGCGAGTGGCTTCCTTCTCCTTTTAAGCCGTCCTTCAGGGCAGTTCAGAAAACGCTGCATTCAGTTATCCACACACGGTTTTCATTCAAGCATAAGTTAATGTGAGTCTTCTAAGATGTAAATTCACTGATACAGATTGTTGTGCTTCTTTAACACTCTCACTTATTTCCAAGATCCAACATACCTACCCCCACGCCCCGAAAAGCAAACAAACAAACAAACAAACAAACCACAAGTCCAAGTCAGATATCAGGCATTTGTACATTGACAGGTTTATTCTTAAAGCTTGAACAAATACATCTTTACACACACACAAGTTGGTAAAAAGTAAGCCCTTACTGCTTTGTTAAAAATAAAACCCATACATAAAGCTTTCCGGTCAAATTCCCGAAACATGAAAACATCACATTTCTACAATACATCTGCTTTTTTGATTCATGTGTGTTTTCAACACAGCTCAACAACTCATTCCGATCTACCCAAACAAAGAGAAAACTAACTTCCAGACCATGAAGGAAAAAAAAATACATGCCTCTTATAACTGTTAAAGACAAGTAGCTATAGAATTCTGAAAATTCTCAATAAATAGTTACTAGTATAAAAATGCTTAACTCCATATAGCTCACCTTTAATCAAAGGCAGTACCAGTTATCGCTATAATAAAGCACTCAAAGAACATCGAAATAACTTCATATCTATAGCAACGAAGGGAACATGGAACATTAGCCCTCCTAAACAATTCCAGAAGAGGGAAGTTCATTATGAATTAATACTTGGAAGATTCTAGCCCAGCTAGAATAGATTTTAAAAAACTACAATAAAGTATATAAATATGAAATTCAGAAAAGCAGATAAAGAAAAGCTGTCACTTAATAACACAGGTGGCAGCAACCAAAAATATCATTCCCTCTGGGGGGAATTAATGCTAGATTAATGTGAATAAAATAAAGGAAAATGACATAAAATGAAGATACAAAATAAAATTGATCCTTGATGTGAGAATAACTGTATTCCTTGCATGTTCAGAATGTCCTTATGTTCTTCTAGAGAGACTTAGAAAAAAAAAGCCATGCAAATAAAAATCTCATTACATGCCAGCTGAGTGACTTGCAAAGGTTTGCCCCAGAAGGGCTTTTTAAAGAGGCTAAAGACATTCTAATTGCCATCCAAATTGATGTTTACACCAAAATAAGAAGAAATCATCTACTCCCAAAGCAAATCCTATCTATGGACTTCATAGAATCCCTTATACTTTGTAACATTTTCTGCTTCCTTCTTAAAAACCTAGGGGGAAGGTGAGCTCCTGGGACATAAATACGCAGGGAAAGAACCTCATTAAGCCAGGCAGAGGATGGCAAAGATCAACAAAAGAAAAGAGTCCACCGCACTCCAGCCTGGGCAACAGAGCAAGGCCGCATCTCTAAAAAGTAATAATAAATAAAAGGAAAAAGATGCAAGCAAATTTCTGCAAATAGAAGCGTTCACCCCACAGATGAGAAAAGGGGACTCAGTCGTAACCAGGAGAGCCCGCGCAGGCACCTTGGTGGTCTGAATCTAATAGATGCCACTCTCAAATTCTGAGGAGGATGAATTAGCTACTGCTTATCAGGCAACTAACAGAGCCGGCAACAGAAAGGTTACAAGGCCACCTTCGCAACCAGCCCTTTGAAACTGGAAACAAAGTTTTGGCCAGAGATGAACACGCACCCATATGTCTGAAGACAAAAGTTTTTTAAGAGGGCACGGACTCCGGATCTTTTATCTTATGAATAGATCCACTTTGGTTGGTAATTCTTCTGCCTGACAGGCTGCCTTGGGCTACTACACAGCTGATATGAGTGGACAGCAAAGAGCTGTGTAAACCTGTCTAAAACAGTGCACTTGGTGGCTACATACGGCTAATCGCTGCTAGTGTTTAGAGTCTGTGGCTGACTCATCTCAGTACGGTGACCTGGACTGCAGCAAGATCGGGCACAGCTTCCCTTAGGTGGGAGAAAGAAGGAATACCATGGAGGTGTGTGTGGATGTGTACGCACACAGGAGAGAGTCGGGGCTGGTGGGGAGGCAGAGAGAGAGAAAGGAAAGGCCAAAAGGAAAGTTAAAGGGATTTACTTTATTGATGCTAATGTAGGGGTCAGCTAACAGTAACAAGCTACTACTATTATTTCCCAAAGATGGAACAAAGGGTGACGTTACCCGTTGATGCTAGATGATGTCCTCAAACCTGACGTAGTAAAGGAAAATCAACACATTGTCTCACAGCTTTCTTACCTGGCAGCTGGCACCACATTAGAATCTCCATGGCCGTGCATGGTGGCTCATGCCTGTAATCCCATCACTTTGGGAGGCCCAGGTGGCAGGATCGCTTGAGCCCAGCCTGGGCAACACTGTGAGACCCCACCTATATTTAAAACAAAGGAATCCCCAGTCTCTTTGAAGTATGTGCCTTAGAAGGAAAGTTTCAGGACACTCTGGCACTTTTTTTCTAGTCTGGGAAGGGATCTGTGGGCTTTCTACAAGGGAGCAAACAACCTCAATTCTTTCCTCTGGGATCCCGTCAGCTTCTCCTTCCCCAGAGGTCCTGACATTGCTTACCAGCCATTGACCTGAAATGAACTGCTTCAACGTGTTCTGAAGGACCTTTAAATAAGAGATGGTAATAAATCCAGCTGCTACAGAATGACAAGAAGAACAGTCATGATTGTAGTCAATTTTAAAAATAGACATCCTTTCCCTTCTTGCTCCCTCCCATAAATACTAAATGGAAGAAGACACAAATAGAAAGAGAAGAAAGTATTTTTAATCTATTAAGAAAATGAAGAAAACAACCTAATCAATGTGGGAAACCATACAAAAAAAAAAAAAAAAAACAGAAAATATTACATAACCAGGCCTTTTAAATAAGGATGGAATTCAATAAAAAACTTAAAATGCTTACATCTTCTGAAATAACCCATGATTAGCTCCAAGTTTTAGAAAGTTCTTGAACAAAAGGTACACATCAAAGTAGTGAGGTAGCAGCCCCCACTTTCCCAAAAAGTTTTCAGGAAAAGGCTGCACAAGCACCTGTTGGTGAGGTCACCAGGAAGGAATCTGCTTCCGGCAGGAAATTGCACTGGGTGAGCTCTAAGGCTCCTAAACTCTAAGATTCTCGTATGTGCTGAAAACACTGCTATGACGACAGTTTGATCTGATCATCTATGCATTCCTCTGAAATAAATGAAGTCAATTCAAATAAGACATTCTACAAATTAGCCAAGCACAATGATATATTTTAAACCCACACTCAGACCGACAGTGTACACCATAAATTTGTACTAGAACAATACCCATAAATATAAAAAATCTACTTAATTTTATACTTTGTTAGTTCCTACTTCAAAATGCTAGTCAATATTCACTACAGAGAAGTGGGTAAAGATACTTTTATTTTATTTTTTTTTTGAGACAGAGTCTCACTCTGCCCCCCAGGCTGGAGTGCAGTGGCGTGATCTCGGCTCACTGCAAGCTCCGCCTCCCGGGTTCATGCCATTCTCCTGCCTCAGCCTCGTGAGTAGCTGGGACTACAGGCGCTCATCACCATGCCTGGCTAATTTTTTTGTACTTTTAGTAGAGACGGGGTTTCACCGTGTTAGCCAGGATGGTCTTGATCTCCTGACCTCGTGATCCACCCTCCTCAGCCTCCCAAAGTGCTGGGATTACAGGAGTGAGCCACCGCACCTGGCCTGGTAAAGATACTTTTAAAATTAAATTGCTATATAACAGAAAGTCTTCATTATTAAATATCATTCTACCCATCTTTGGAATCAGTGTACCTTATGGATTTTTTTAATCCTCTTTAATCGATCCCTCAGTATGCTGGTGAGACAGGGAGGCACAGGTTAACCCCATTTTACAGATGAAGAAATGGAGGCAAAGGGAGGCTGAGTGATTTGCTCAGGGTCACCAAGTCTGCAGCTAAGCTGGAAATAAAGTACCAAACTGCCTTTTCCACAAAATCCTCAGTAATACTCAGAGAGAGTGTCATATCTAGTACATTTTACTCTTCACTTAAAACCAAGGGTTCAGGGAAAAAGGAAGGAATTAAGTGAGCTCTTTGGGTAACCTTGTTTTCTTCTAGAGGATGAAGGTATTTCTCTTTAGATACTGGTAGATATCATTAGTAAAAACTGAATGGTTTTTACTAATAAAGCTGGGCACAGGCCAAGGCAGACATGAATGACAGGCTTTATCTTTCATGGCTCAGTTCTCACAAGAGGCTCACTGTACAAGGTCCAACTTTGCATCTAACTTCAACACACAGCCTTCCCAATCATCTCACAGCGTTTATTTGAACAAAAAAGACAGAATTTAATATATTCGTTGATCTAAAGAAATAAACAGTATTATTCAGTAATAGTCCTAGTATATAAAAACGTGGCATTCATCTACAGCAAAGACAAATTATCGGTATCTTTTCTTTAAAAAATCACTTTTTTTTTTTTTTTTTTTTTTTTAAGACGGAGTCTCGCTCTGTCGCCCAGGCTGGAGTGCAGTGGTGTGGTGCGATCTTGGCTCACTGCAAGTTCTGCTTCCCGGGTTCACGCCATTCTCCTGCCTCAGCCTCCCAAGTACCTGGGACTACAGGTGCCCACCACCATGCCTGGCTAATTTTTTGTATTTTTATTAGAGACGGGGTTTCACCATGTTAGCCAGGATGGTCTCGACCTCGTGATCTGCCCGCCTCGGCCTCCCAACACTTTTGTTTAAAAAATGGAAATTTCTTCTAAAATGGTTTTTCAAAGCTATGGCTCATAAGGAAATAACTAATTGTCAATGTCTAAATACCTTAAAAAGAAGCATATATGTAAGTATTAGTCCAATCATGTGAAACCCAATAAAACAAGATTTGATTTGAAAACATTTTCAATGAAAAGTGCAAAGGTTAAGGGAAAAACAGCATCTGATATGTGCACCCTATTGTAAAGAATTGGTATTTAATGCTGCAATGGAGTACTAACCACTAATTTCCAGTTTGCCACATGAAAGGCATACTTCCAACTTTTATTTTATCCACATTAAAAGTATTTGTCTTTAAACAAAAATAAATTCCAGTTAGCCTTTGCTGGGAGAAACTTTTTTTTTTTTTTTTTTTTTGAGACAGAGTCTTGCTCTGTCGCCCAGGCTGGAGTGCAGTGGCGCGATCTCGGCTCACTACAAGCTCCGCCTCCCGGGTTCATGCCATTCTCCTGTCTCAGCCTCCCCAGTAGCTGGGACTACAGGCGCCTGCCACCACGCCCGGCTAATTTTTGTTGTATTTTTAGTAGAGACAGGGTTTCACCATGTTAGCCAGGATGGTCTCAATCTCCTGACCTTGTGATCCGCCCGCCTCGGCCTCCCAAAGTGCTGGGATTACAGGCATGAACCACCGTGCCCGGCCTGGGAGAAACATTTTTAAGTGTGCAAAGCAGTCACAATGAAAAAAGCCCCGGATGTTAGCAAAAAGAGTGAATGTGTTTGCCGTTCTATAAATAAAATGAGTTCACTATAAAAAAAATTGTTATGATGCTTTACTTAATTTGCCCATTTCTCAACATAGGCTTTGAAAAATTCCTCTAAATGAAACAACTTTATAAGGGATGAAGATGTCATAATGATATTTTCCACTGTAGAAACTTCTTAGGTTATCACTCAAAAAACAAAACAAAAGCCAAAACCTAGCAGAAACAAATGACTAATCAAACTAAAATTTCAAAGAGTAGATTCATCAAACTAAGATCTCCCATTAAGACATCAACAATGAAGTGGCTAATAAAAAAGTAAGCATCACATTTATGATGTCTAGATAAAAGTCAACCAAATAAATAAGATGCATCCCTTAAGTAACAACAATAAAAAAAAAACCCAAAAACAAAACAAAGCATCAATGGATGTTTTAAATACCTAAAATTTAGGTTGGGCACAGTGGCTCACGCCTGTAATCCCAGCACTTTGGGAGGCCGAGGCAGGCAGATCATCAGGGCAGGAGTTCGAGACCAGCCTGACCAACATGGTGAAACCCCATCTCTACTAAAAATACAAAAAAAAAAAAAAAAACCCTAAAATTTAACACTATGAAGTCTCTATATTAAATCAAAATCGTAACCATCTTGAAAGCTAAATTAAAATAATCCTGGAGCTCTGGAATGTTATTCCCTCTTAAAGCTGTATTAGGTCTTTAGGAAATCAATGTGGTGTTACTAGTTTATGTGTATCCCATTATTCATTTAAAAAGAAACGAACACAAATATTTCACACCCTTTTTCTTGATTAATCATTTGTACCAGAGAAAACTCTGTATATACCAGTACAGGTGGGGGATTACTGGCAGGGCAGATAGTCGATTTAAGGAGTGAGGGGCAGTCTTATTAATTTGGTATTGTAAGCCCCCAATACATGTGTGTATACACATACATAAACACACACCTATGTAATTTTCACAAGACCAAACTATTAAAGTACCTAGAAAATAGAATATTTTTTCCTCTAAACTAAGATATCTGTTTATATAGACTATTGATGCAAACTAATTTTAAGTAATTATAGTGCAAGGAGCCTGATGTATGAAGATTTGACATTGTAATTTATAATTCCTAAGTAATTATTAAATGATTAATGTTTAATCATTAATCATTTAATAATAAATGGCTACCAGATTTAGAACAAAACTTACTGTAGCCATTATAATCTGCTAACGTTTGAAAAACTTAACATGAAATCAGCACAGAAACTAAGTTTTTAGAAATAGCCTACATAATGAAGATTATGTATTATATAGTCACAAATTTTTATTTTAGATTTCACAATGTACACTTGTCTCAAGTAAGTCTATTTAACTAGAATTTTTAAAGACTTGCGATTTTGCTAAATGTATCATCATTAGAAAAAGTTTTCTGGATGTGTATATGAGCAGGGTTTGATTATTCTGACATCAGAAAGCCAACACTAGATTCCACAGCAAGGACACTGGAATTTAAAAATCTGGAATACTTTAACAGTAGACTTTACTCAAATATCTAAAAGACGTATCAGACTCACTCAGTAAAAAATATACTATACTTACTACAAATACATTATCTTCTAAGCCCATTCTTATTTTTAAAAATATGTACAACTAGACTAATGATGCCAAATACTTACACAAGTTCATGCATTTTAGGTGTGCTTTATTCAAAATATATTATTAAAAAATGTCAATACCTAGTTACTTCAAAAAATACCTTCAAAATGTTTACCATTCAAAACATATAAAAAGCACTGACTTTATTGTACTGCAATATAAATTCTTCACATAAAGATTTTATGTAAAACACTCTGCAGTTAGAAACAATCTTATTTACATTTTCTATAAAAGTATTTTGAAGTTTTAAAAGTCTAATCGATTTTTTTCAATACATTTCATCTCTTTGCTTTGCCAGGAACAAAGTTTCAAGTGATATCTCCATCAGCGAATAAAAAGATGTATAAGTTCACTCATATTGATAAAACTTTTGCATTCAAATGAATACAGATTATCTAGGATAAAGATATTTCAAATGTATATGATGGGGCTAAGGGAGACATAGCTTCTGACTACTTAGTAAAATGGCAAAATCATGAATGGCATTAATTTTCTGCTATTTTAAAGGTATTATGTTTGATGAAAAGACAACTGCTATAAATGACTTTCTGAATAAATATTTCAGCTAACTGCACAAATGAGCCTGCTTCTGAGACAAAGTTAACATAGGTAAGATGAGAGAGATTTTAGAAAAGTGCTCACCAAAGAAAAACTGAACTCAAACAAAGGCCTGGTACTTACATTATTTTTTATTTTTTATTTTTTTGAGACGGAGTTTCACTCTGTCGCTTAGGCTGGAGTGCAATGGCGTGATCTCGGCTCACTGCAACCTCTGCTTCCTGGGTTCAAGAGAGTATCCTGCCTCAGCCTCCCAAGTAGCTGGGCCCACAGGCACCCACCACCACGCCCAGCTAATTTTTGTATTTTTTTTTTTTTGAGACAGAGTCTTGCTCTGTTGCCCAGGCTGGAGTGCAGTGGCGCGATCTCGGCTCACTGCAAGCTCTGCCTCCTAGGTTCACGCCATTCTTCTGCCTCAGCCTCCCGAGCAGCTGGGACTACAGTCATCCGCCACCACGCCCGGCTAATTTTTTGTATTTTTAGTAAAGACGGGGTTTCACCGTGTTAGCCAGGATGGTCTCGATCTCCTGACCTCGTGATCCGCCCGCCTCAGCCTCCCAAAGTGCTGGGATTACAGGCGTGAGTAGAGACAGCGTTTCGCCATGTTGGCCAGGCTGCTCTCAAACTCCTGACCTCACGTGATCCACCCGCCTTGGCCTCCCAAAAGGCCGGTGCTCCCATTATTATAATGAGTCCCAAAGTAAGAAATTAAACTTTAGGGCAAAGATACAAGTAATGATAAGCTGGATATGATCACCATGGAAACATACAGCACTTTGACATCTGTCCGAGCACTACCCAATAATGGGAAAAGTATGATTCCCAAGGAGGTTCCCTTTCTCTGTTAAGCTGGAACTTTGGTGTTTCCTGTAAGAGGCAAGTTTACTTTGTCCCCAAGAGCTTAATCTCTAGTTAGAAAAGATTTTCCAACCATAACATAACTATGCTTCAGAGTTGATGCCAAAGAAAGGGGGGCAGGATGGCATTCTCTGAATAGCCAGGTGTTAGTACTGACTTCCTCAAACTAGCTACAGCCTTTCTAGCTATGCGTGATTTTTTTTTTTTTTTTTTTTGAGACGGAGTTTCACTCTTGTTGCCCAGGCTGGAGTGCAATGGTGCGATCTAGGCTCACTGCAACCTCTGCCTCCCGGGTTAAAGTGATTCTCCTGCCTCAGCCTCTCAAGTAGCTGGGATTACAGGCATGCGCTACCACGCCCGGCTAATTTTTGTATTTTATTAGAGATGGAGTTTCTCCCTTTTGGTCAGGCTGTTCTCCAACTCCTGACCTCAGGTGATCCACCCGTCTCGGCCTCCCAAAGTGCTGGGATCACAGGCGTGAGCCACTGTGCACGGCCTGTGTGTGATTTTTTAAAATATAAGATAAAATTCATTTTAAGTGTACCATTCATTGTTTTTTACTACATTTACAATGTCTTGCAACCATTACCACTACCTAATTCCAGAACATTTTGATCACCCCAAAACCCCATCACCTGTATACATTGTCACTCCCTATTTCCCCCTCCCACCAGCCCCTGAAAAACACTAATCTTTCTGTCTCTATGGATTTGCCCATTCTGGACATTTCATGTA
This sequence comes from Homo sapiens, assembly GCF_000001405.40. Lineage (NCBI taxonomy): Eukaryota > Metazoa > Chordata > Mammalia > Primates > Hominidae > Homo > Homo sapiens. The sequence goes on from NC_000014.9 coordinate 90,856,901, forward strand.
AGTGGAATCATACAATACGTGGCCTTGTGTGTCTGGTTTCTTTACCTTTAACTGGTAGTTCTTCAGCCATTCCAAAGGGGCTACAATTTCGAGAATACCAAGCCACAGGTGCTCAAGATGGCGAATCTGTCCTCCCAGTGCAGCCTAGTTTCTATGGAGCTACCATATATGACAGTGTCCTATTATTGCTGCCTTTTGATCACATGAACATGGATCATAATCAGAAGTACAAACTGTTATCTCTGGAATACGTCTTTGTAATAAAAAAAAATCCACTGGATAAAGTTTCAAAAGTGGGAAAGAATAACAAAGACAGGAATAGAATCCTTGATCTGACTATAATATTTTAACAGTGACATGTGCCCAGATTATATTTTTATCTTGGTAACACTGAAATTTATGCTATTCTGGAAGACAAAGACCACCAAGCCATTTTTTGGTATCACGAAGCATTTAATAAGTGCTTAGTTGCATCTGAAATGTTTTTCAAAAACAGAAGTTAAAATGGGAAACCACAGTAGGATGATTCTTCATCAGATTTCATGTCGATATTCATAAAGAGACATAATTTCAGAGCTAAGTTTGTTCTCCATAAATCAGTTCCTGGAGTTTCAACTCAAATTGTCAAATAATTGTGCTCCCGGTGAGATTTTTATGTAACACAGAAACTCATAGTTAGGGAATTGGGCTTGCAAAAGGTAGGCCAAATATTGATGTAGTGTGGGTGAACTGTGAACTGCATTAAGCTCTACAGAGTTTTTTCAAAAGGCTAAAAATATTTATATAAAGAAGATGTAATCATCTAAAAGATTCCAGTCTCTTTTTTCTCACTCCCAACCCCCACACAAGAAAAGTCTATTTTAATTACCACAAGTCCGACTCGGCAACCATTTAGTAGCCTTTCTATAAAAACAGGCTGCAAGTGCCAAAGTGACACAGATCTTATCTTAAATATTGTTATATTGCTTGTGTCTAGAGTAATACCTGGCCTGAAAGAAGTGCTCAAAAACTATTTAATGGACAAAGGAACAAATGAATAAACCGGGTGCCTTCACATATGACCATGTGACAACCAAGTTATCAATGCCAGAAGCCACTGCGGAGAAATCAACAATGGCGATTAAAAATGATTACCACCAGATTTTTGCTTTTGGCCACAATAGAGTAGCTTGTGATTGGACTAGCCCTCCTACTGAAAACAACGATGAAAGCTATATTAACCCTTTTCCGGTTTAGAAAAAAAAAGTACAGCTCACTGCCAGCATTCATTTAATTTTACGTAAACACATTCTTTGAGGCTAAAGCAAATCTGACTGATTTTCAATGTGAAAATAAAATATAAAAACTGTTCTTGATGTTATTTCTAAACAGATCTAGTATCAGAAGCATCTGAATCATCAAAATCATCTATTTCAGAAAAATCGAATTCATTAAATAAATCTCTGTCCAAGAACTGTTCGAGAATGATGTTAACATCACGTGTAGGAATGCTACATTTTCTAGGATTCGACATTTTCAGCGATCGAGAATTATTATACTTTGTAAATGGAAATACCACTACTAAGAACAGAATGCTATAAAGAGAACGATGTCCTTTTTTTCTGAAGTCAATATACTAGAGCTAAACGAAAGTAATAATAAAAGCGAGAGTTCGTGGCAAAGTTATCTTGGGGTAAATACTGCAGCAGCAAGTGCTGCTGGCAAGTATTCTTGGGGCAAACAGGAAAAGGGTTAAGTAGAACATCTTTTATAGGCAACAGGGAGCAAACCAATGCAGGGAGAACTTGACGAGCTGCAATAAAATAGCTGAAAGGAGGGAAAAAAGGGAAGCACACTTTGGTGAGCTCTGTGTTCATTTTGATTACTTCTTCAAGGCACTGCAAATTCACAACACAGGGAAATAAATACCTAGCAGCAAGCAGTAATCCCACTTGGTTGAAGAGACAAAAGTTGGAGCTTGGGAAAGTAGCTAGGACTTAAGGGGCAAAATCCCAGAGCGAAGAAACCTCAGGGAAGTGAGCCTGAAATACTGGTACAGTATCTCCTTGAGGTGTCTGCCAATTGCAGACTCCTGTGCAACAAGGTGAGACTTCAAGAAATCCAGCAAAAAGCAGCAGATGAGAGGCTAACGAGCTGAGCAGCTCTTAGTACTGAGGAGGGAAAGGTTGGAATTCAAGGTCACCGAGGTGAAGTGGCCCTGATAAACACCCTAGATTTTCAGATGAGAGCCCAAAGAGGCCATATGCTAGGAGTAAGAGCAAAACTGAAATGTACAAGCCCAACAAAGTCTAAAACCAACCTTCAATAGGATTACAGTGATATGCCTGTATTTTATCAGACTGCAAGAAGAAAACATAACCATCTTAGAGGAAGATAACATCGTTCAAAGCCCCTACAGTATTTAACACACAATGTATGACATTTCACCAAACTTATAAGGCATGCTAAAAAACAGCACCAAATGACTGACAACAGACAATGGAAACAAACAACTAGTAGTAGTAATCAGACACTGGATTTCTCAGACAAGAGTTTTAAAATTACTTTGATTAATGTGTTCAAGAATATAGAGGAAAAGACAAGATATGATCAGAGACTTGGCACCTACAAAAAAGTGTCATGGATATTTTAGAATCCAAAATATAAGATATACAACTAAATTTAAAATTGATTAGGCTCAGCAGAACAGGATAAGTTAATTAGGTCAGTAAAAACTATACAGATTGAAGTACAGGGAGAAATTAAGATGGCAAACAAAGGACTATAACAGACATATGGAACATAGTATAACACACAATCCTAGAAAACGGGAGAGAGAAAACGGATTGGAAAAAACTATTTGAAGAATGACTGGTTAAGAATTCTAATAAGGAAGGACATCAACCAACAGATTCAGGAAGTTTACCAATCTTAGGATGGATGAAGCTGGAAACCATCATTCTCAGCAAACTATCAAAAGATCAGAAAACTAAACACCGCATGTTCTCACTCATAAGTGGGAGTTGAACAATGAGAACACATGGAAACAGGGAGGGGAACATCACACGCTGGGGCCTGTCGGGGGGTTGGGGGCTAGGGGAGGGATAACATTAGGAGAAATACCTAATTTGGTGACAGGTTGATGGGTGCAGCAAACCACCAGGGCACGTGTATACCTATGTAACAAACCTGCACGTTCTGCACATGTAACCCAGAACTTAAAAGTATAATAAAAAATAAAAACAAAGACGAAGAGAAAATCTTAAAAGTGACCACAGAAAAAAGACACATTACCTTCAAAGGAAATATAACTAATGGCTTTTTCCACAGAACTTAAGGATTGGAATGATATCTTGAAAATGGTGAACCTAGGCTGGGCGCCAGTAGCTCACACCTGTAATCCCAGCACTTTGGGAGGCCGAGGTGGGCAGATCACTTGAGGTCAGGAGTTTGAGACCAGCCTCGCTAATGTGGTGAAGCCCCATCTCTACTAAAAACACAAAAATTAGCCAGGCGTGGTGGTGCATGCCTGTAATCCCAGCTACCTGGGAGGCTGAGACACAAGAATCACTTGAACCTAGGAGGTGGAGGTTGCAGTGAGCCAAGATTGTGCCACTGCACTCCAGCCTGGGTGACAGAGTGAGACTTGGTCTCAAAAATAAAATAAAATAAAATGGTGAACCTAGTATTTCATACAAGGCAAAAATATCCTTCAAAAATAAAGGTAACATTGAATTGTATCTGAATGGAATGATTAGATGGGTATATTACATGATACATGAATTTTATCTTAAAAAAATAAAAATACAGAAAAATAAAGGCAAAAGAAAGAAGGTTTCAAAAAACAAAAGCTGAGAGAATTCATTGTCAGAAGACTGGCACTAAAATAAATACTAAAGAGAATTCTCCAGATGAAGAAAAGTAATCCCAGATGGAAGTAAAAAAGGCAGGATGGAAAGAAAAACACCAGAAAACATAAATATGTGAGCAAACAAACAATATAGAGTCTATTTTTTTTTTTTTTTTTTTGAGATGGAGTTTCGCTCTTGTTGCCCAATCTGGAGTGCAATGGTGCGACCTTGGCTCACTGCAACCTCCCTCTTCCGGGTTCAAGCGTTTCTCCTGCCTCAGCCTCCCAAGTAGCTAGGATTACAGGCATGCACTACCACTCCTGGCTCATTTTTTGTATTTTTAGTAGAAACGGGGTTTCACCATGTTAGCCAGGCTGGTCTCGAACTCCTGACCTCAGGTGATCCACCTGCCTTGGCCTCGCAAAGTGCTGGGATTACAGGCGTGAGCCACAGTGCCCAGCCAGAGTCTTTAAAATATATAGTAGTAGTACTACTAATAAAAATAATGTCGGCCGGGCGCGGTGGCTCACGCCTGTAATCCCAGCACTTTGGGAGGCCGAGGCGGGCGGATCACGAGGTCAGGAGATCGAGACCATCCCGGCTAAAACGGTGAAACCCCATCTCTACTAAAAATACAAAAAATTAGCCGGGCGTAGTGGCAGGCGCCTGTAGCCCCAGCTACTTGGGAGGCTGAGGCAGGAGAATGGCATGAACCCGGGAGGCGGAGCTTGCAGTGAGCCGAGATCCCGCCACTGCACTCCAGCCTGGGCGACAGAGCGAGACTCTGTCTCAAAAAAAAAAAAATAATGTCTTATGAAGTCTAAAACACATATATAGAGATAAAACATACATAGAATGTAGAAGTAAAATACATGACAACAATAACATAAAAGGAAGAAGGGGGAATACCTGTAATCCCAGCACTTTGGGAGGCTGAGGTGGGCAGATCACGAGGTCAGGAGATCTAGACCATCCTGGCCAAC